>NC_000001.11:23099163-24349163 GCF_000001405.40 Homo sapiens | reverse complement strand
GGCACATCCAGTCTGGTCCCAGCTGCACCACCTGGACGTGCAGAACTTCGAACAGGCCACTCTTACTTCTCTGAGCCTCGGTTTCCTCACTTGTAAAATGGGCATAGTAATAGGATGTACACACACTGTGGTTCTGCACACGAACTGAGACGATTGTGTAAAGGGCTCAGCCCAGTGCCTGTCCCAGGGAAACAGCTCTGTAAGACGTCGGTGTTGATTAGTACTAGCTGCCTAGAAGCTGCAGCAAACCTCAGGTCCTGGGTTTCAGGTGGAGGTCATCCTCTCTGGGCATTTTAGAAAAAGGATCAGGTTCAGCTTCTCAGTTATTCTCTACCCTAACAGAGATTCCTCCTGGCAAGAGAGTTCTTAGACGACTATTTCTTTTAATGATGATGTGACTGAAAGCTACCAGGAAGAAGATCTCAAGTCAATCTAAGGAAGAACTCAGGAACTCTCTCACCATCAATTGGACAAATTGGACAAAGACACCATGGGCTGCCCCACAGGTAGTAAACTCTCCATTCCTGGAGGTACACGGGTCAAAAGTGGGCACCAGCTTGGAAGCGCTGCTGGAGAGAGGGAGTGCAGGCACTAGATGGGGAGCTGACCCTTTAAGGTATTGTCCAACCCAAAGCCTCTGAGTCTATATTTAGGTGACATTAATGGTCTTTTGTGAGCCCAGCTTCCTGGGGCTGATGCCGAGCAGGGCTGACGGTGCGTAAAGAGAACAAGCAGCCGAGTAGCATGAGGAGAGCCTGGGCTGGCATCCCGGCTCTGTCACCTGGAGCTGAGTAACCCTGGCAAGTCACCTGACCTCTCGGAGGCTGTGTCCTTGCGGGAAATGAGGAGATACGAATAGTACCCACTTTTCAGGGTTGTTAAGGGCACATGATGAGCCAGTGCAGGCGGCATGTCTGACCAACTGCCTGGCACATAGTGGGCCTTCAACAAAGGTCAGCTAGCGTTACTATTTGATGCCATTTTCACTCCGCCAGCCTGAAATCTTGACACCATCTGGCTTTTCCGAGTGGTTCCACCTTCAGCCACAGCTGACCCTGGTGGACGCTGTGTTTGCTTAGTTTTTGGTGGAGCCACAAAGCTGGCTATGGGTTTTATTCAGGACTGGGCTGTTTTGCCCACTCTCTGGTGGTGTGGGGGGCTGGGGAAGGTCTCCTTGCACAGACATTGCCTTCAGCTACCCCAGCCAGCGGCCCCCAGCCAACCACAAGCAGGCAGAATGAGGCCCCCTGGGAAAGAAAAAGAGAGCGTCTCTGGGGCCTGGCCTTTTTGGGTTCCATTCCCATTAAAACAGAAACAGGTTTGCAAAGCCAACAAAAAACCCTGGCCTGTCAGACAGCAGCCATCAGATCAAGGAGGATTTATGGTGTGTGCGACTCCCAGGGTGGAGTCAGGGTTCTGGCTGGGAGATAACATCGCAGAGGCACACCCCCACCGGCAGGGCCCCTCAGGCCCCCTGGACAGGGTGGGACGGGTAGGCCACCGGCATGCCAAGGTTCCCTCCTGTGGGAAATCAGAACTGCGTGGTGAGGAGTGGGGACAGGAGCCTAGAGGGGGTCTGCCATGGGGGGCGGGGTCCACAGGCAGCTTACCGCATTCCTCAGCCCCTTCAGGTCTGGGGTCTTCAACATGAGCGCGTCAAACACCTCCTCAGTCTCCCTCCGCACATACAGCAGAACTGAAAAGCAAGGGCCAGCTTGAGTGCAAGGAAGATAATGTGAACAGGATCATCTCAGGGGCTGGGGAATCTGAAAACGTTACTTGAAGATTGACTTCTGCTGCGGGTCTTTGCCCAGCTGGGAGGCCCTTTGGCCGGCTCTGCAGATTCCCATGCACCCTCTTAAGCTGTGCTTATGTGGGGGTGTCTGAACCCCTGCTCTACTACCTGCCAGCCAGGTGACCTTGCAAACGTGATTTTAACATCACGGAGCCTGATTTTATTTGCATGTAAAATGGAGGCTCTGTCCGCTGTTTCGTAGAGTCATTGTGGGAATTGATGGCAGTGTCTGGAAACACGAGGTGCCACGCAAAGCTCGATTCATGGCTGCTGGAAGCTTTTGAGCTTAGCTGCTAGTTGGTTTCTTCCTGATGGCCAGCTACAGCCCCCAGAGGTTTGGGCTTGTTCCCCACCCCAAGGAAGTAACAGATTTAGAGGGTCAAAGCAAGAAAGCCAGACATCAAAACCCCACCCTTCTCCCACTCCCCATCAGAAAAAGTGGGAGAGGGGGGACTCGCCCAGCATAATCAGCCTGCTGACTATGCCAGCTGCCCAGGACTCCCACGTCCACACGAGGTCAGGAGACAGAAGCCGCCAGTCCTGTGGTGGTCTCTCCAAGCAGCCTGAGGTTCCCTCCTTACCCCCACCCCCAAGTCTTAACCTAAACCTAGCTCCAAGGGGTAAGGCAGCGCCTCGTGCCCCACCCCAAGGAGGCTTTGGGAAAGCCCATGAGGGAGGTGGGAGCTGGGGTGGGCCTGGTGAGTAAATGAGGAGGGCGGGAGGTCACCTCTCTGAAGGTCGCCTTCCTTGGCCTGCTTGGAGGGCAGAGGCTCAAACTCCTCAGTGAAGGGCGAGCAGGTACGCTTCAGAGGCAGCCTGTGGGGATGGCAGTGGGGGAGCTTGTGAGAAACTTGGGGACCCCTAGAGGCTCAAGGACCCTGCTGGGCCTCCAGGGGCCCTAGAAATGGGGAAGAAAACACAAGGGTGGATGCAAAGCAGAGGGACAGTGGGGGTAAAGCAGCAGGTCTGGAGTTGGACTGCCTGGGTTTGAATCCCAGCCCTGCCACGCACTAGGTGTGTGACCTGGGTGAGTCCCTTAGCCCATCAGTGACCCCATGTATAAAATGGGATGATGAGAAAGCAATGATAGCAATACTTCATAGAGGGATGTGAGGCCACAGGAGACCATGCTCACTGCGCTTAGAACACTGTGACGCACAGGAGGGCCTCAATAAATGTGGACTCATCGTCATCATCATCGTTCCTTTTTAAAAGAAGTCAGGTCAGATGTGAGGCGGGGTGGGGGGGTGGAAGGACTGGGGGCTTTGGAGTAAGACAGGCTTGGGGTCCAGTCCTGCTGCGGTGACTTTCACAGCTAGAAGGCACTTCACTTCTCTGAGCCTCAGTTTCCGCATCCATAAAGCAAGGCAATAACCCTGCTTGCCTAACTCTGAGGCTGTTGTGAGGTGACAAGTGACATAATTTGGGGTGAAAGCACCAAGTGAAAAGTACATTTTGTTCATAGGGAAGAAACTGATCATAACAGCAAATGATCTTCATAAAGTGCTTTCCCACTTACGAAGATTCCATATCCACACCGCCCTCCTCACCCTCTCGAGGCTGTTTTCCTCATCTGACAAATGTGTAGGCTGAGGCTCAGAGAGGTGAAGGGACTGCTCAGGGCACTAAGGCTGTGACTGACAGAGGGAAGGACACAAAGGCCCTTCCTAGGCCAAAGTGTCAAGGGGTGCCGGCCCCAGCTAGGCCCCCCAGTGGGGGTGTGTTGGGGAAGGAGATGGAGGGTTTTCATCCCCTAAGCCTCCAGCACAGCTTCCCTCTTCTCTCTGAATCTGCACCACCACAGACTCTTTTCCTTTCCCTTTTTACAAGCGGGTGTCTCGCCAGAGATTCGCCGACTTTTCACATAAAACAAACCCATAAAAACCCAGGCAGTTTCAGTGAGAAAGAAGCATGGATCTAGCTTGGGGGCTGGGGGCAGAAGCTGGTGGCTTCCTCCTCTGGCCCCACACCCTAGCTTGCAAGGAACAGGGAGAAAAGCAGGCTGGGGGCAATGGGCATGGTACAGTGGGCATGGTACAGAGGGCACAGGTGTAGAGGGGGTACAGGTGTGGCGGAGGCACAGGTGTGGAGGGGCACAGGTGTGGAGGGGGCACAGGTGTGGAGGGGGCACAGGTGTGGAGGCGCACAGGTGTGGAGGGGGCACAGGTGTAGAGGGGGCACAGGTGTAGAGGGGGCACAGGTGTGGAGGGGGCACAGGTGTAGAGGGGGCACAGGTGTGGAGGGGCACAGGTGTAAAGGGGGCACAGGTGTGGAGGGGCACAGGTGTAGAGGGGGCACAGGTGTGGAGGGGCACAGGTGTGGAGGGGGCACAGGTGTAGAGGGGGCACAGGTGTGGCGGAGGCACAGGTGTGGAGGGGGCACAGGTGTGGAGGGTGCACAGGTGTGGAGGGAGGCGTGTGGTTGTTTCTCTCCATACCTGTTGGAGCTGCTGGGTCCTGCCGAGGGGGCTGCCTGCAATGAAGTGAAAAAGACATTTTCCATCACACGCAGGAAAATGAGAGGAGCCCCTGGCTGCTGGAGGCTCTCTGGGAGGAATATTTTTGGTGGGAGGTGGGGAGAATACTGTTACAATGCCTTTCTAGCCCATTCTGCTCAGACAAGTGCCCTTAAGTGACCTGAGATGTTGAGTGGAAAGGAATCACCCAGCCCGAGCTGGATGGGTCAAGGACTCAATGAACACACAGGAGGTGCTAAAGCCATGTTGTCAGAGCAGAGTCACACTGAGCCCCACCTGGGCCCCAGCATGCCCAGAAGGGCTGGGAATTGCAGATGGTCCTGCGGCCGGTAACTAGGCAGTTGGAGCTGAGGGCCAAGGGAGCAAGGGCAACAGGGCTTTTTTTTTTTTTTTTTTTTTTTTTTTTTCTGGGGGGAAAGAGTCTCCCAGGCTGGAGTGCAGTCCCACCATCACAGCTCACTGCAGCCTCGACCTCCTGGGCTGAAGCAATCCTGCGGCCTCAGCTTCCCAAGTAGCTGGGATTACAGGTGTGTGCCACTAAGCCTGGCCAGAGGCCCTCTTCTTGGACCCTACAGTGTGCCTGGCACTGTGCGGTGTGGGGCAGGCATCAGTCAGTCTTGTGAGGTAAGAAGCTGAGGCCTAGAGAGAGCAGAGAGCTCTAGAGATGACACGCCCGGCAGGAGGCAGAGTCAGGGTTCAAACTCAGGCTCTCTGTTGGCTATTGCCCTGGGCTTCCCCTCTCCCAGGCTCACAGGTGTGGAGACTGGCCCACCCTCAACCCCCACAGGTTGACTGTCAACCTAGCCACAGGGGCCTTCACCCTGAGTGGTCATCTCCTTACTGAGGGCCTCTAGTTGGTGAGAGAGTGAGGAGAGCCAAGAGAGAACAGGTTCACACAGCCGCCTGTGCTGCGGGGCCACAGCGCAGCTCCCAAGATGGCAAAGAGAGGAGGGACACAGACAGTGCTCTGCGCCTGTGCCAAGCTCTGTCAGCACTGGCCGCTCTTCTCAGCGCCACTGTCTACACCTCATTGTCCTAAGTCAATACACTAAACATGCCTTGTACACCAAGGTCCATTTGTATAAATATTCCTGAAGAAACAGTGCGGAGCTGTACCCTTAAAGGAAGGAAATGCTCAGACTCTCCAGTATGGAAGCGCACTAGGAGACAGGCTCTGGGGTCTTGACCCTGCCATTGAATTGTTGTGGGACCGTGCCTGGAAAAGGGGGTAGGTGCAGTCTCTCGGAGGACAGCTGTAACAGGGAACCCAGCCCACTCCTGGCTGCCAGGCGCTCAGTCCCGGCTGCTTGAGAGGCGGAGCAGCTAGTGGGGAAAGGTGTGGATTCTGAACAGGTGCCTCAGTCCAGATCCTGGCTCTGCCACTTACTAGCTGTGCAATCTCAGGAGGTTTCTTAACTTCTCTGTGCCTCCATTTCTACCCCACAGATCCAGGGAGACATTATTATTGACTTCCCAGGGCTGTAGAGAAGGGTAAGGACGGTGATGCCTGGGAAGCGCTCAGAGCCGCACCTGGCACACAGTGAGCACCACAAGTGCTGCCGTGAGAATTCCATGGGGCTGCAATCAAATTTGGGGTCAGATATCAGAAGCCTCCTCTTTGTGTGCCCTAAGCATGAACGTTTTAATGGTTACGAAATCTGTTTCTTCATAACATTCTTCTCTTCAATACAATAGGTCACTGAAGCTATAGGACCATATATACATGTTTAAACCCCTATGATTCAATAAAGGTCTTGAAACTGGCTGAGGGGCAGGCTGCTCCCCACTGGTCTGTGCTAAGGCAGGCCCCACCTAGGAGCCAGGACCCTCTCTCGGCTCCTTCCCGAGACCCCAGCCCTGGCCTCACCCCTCCAGAGCGCTGCAGGCTGGAGAAGTGCACATTGGGGATGAACAGCACGGGTGGCGTCTCCAGGTCAGTCTCTGGCCGAAGGTAGGTCGTCTCATTGCCCCTGAAGCCCGACAGCAGGCAGCCCTTGACGCCTGATGGGAGAAGGAAGCCAATGTGCCCCGAGGTCCCTCCACTCAAGTCCCTCCCACCTCTGGTCTCCTTCTCCCCTTCACGCCAGCCGAGCCCACCCAGGCCCTGGATCCCCACTGACCACTGTTGCTGGAGTCAGGGCACTTGACCTTCCTCCGGAACTGCTTCCGCTCGTCATCGCGCATCTTCCTCTCAGCTCCCTGCAGGGGAGAAGGAGAGAGGGTCACCAAGGGCCTGGGAGGGGCTAGCTACTTTCACAGCTGCTGCTTTGCATCTTAAATATGGGCCAAGCTTCTGGTCCTTCTTTTTTCCAGAACAAGACCAGGAAATGGGAAGGTACCAGCACTTACCTGGCCCAGCCTGGCCAGTGGGGCCTGGCCCTGCTTGCCTGAGGTCACTACAGGCCATGAGAGAGGCGGACAGACAGAAGACAGAAAAGAAGAAACTCAGAGAGACAGAGAGATGGAGGAGTGGGGGTGGAGGAGGAGAGGGGAAGGAGGAGAAGGGATAGAAAAACAGAGAGAGACAGACAACCCAGAGAAGCTAGGAGGACGCACGGGTCAGGGTTTGGCCCTTCTACCTCCCCGGGACCCAGTATAGGGTCTGCCCAGTCCAGCCACCTTGTCACAGAAGATCTTGATCTGGCAGACAGCACGGTGTACCAGGCGCTCAGTGCCCAAGCCACAGTCATAGGTGTCAATCTGCAGGTTCAGGGGGACACCCTTCACCCCCTTTTGTGAGGAAAAGTCTGTGCTCAGACAGTTTACGCCGATGAACACCTGGAGACAGAGGGGGCCGCTGGGTAAGTGGCCTGCCCAGGTGGCCAGCCCCACCGTCCCACAGTGATCCTGTATTTCTAGCTTTCTGTGTGCCTGCTGCTCACCCTTAAGCCTCACTAGGCCCCTAGAAGGCAAACATCAGCACTCCTCTTTCACAGATGGGGAAGCCAATGCTCAGAGAGGTGGGGCAACTTTCCCGAGGTGACACGGGCAGTGTGTGGTGCAGCAGGGGTTTGAACCCAGACTCACAGCCCAGGCTTTTCACCGCTGTTGGTACAGTTTCCGCTAGACTGCCAAGGGCAGCCCAAGGGGTGGAGACTGGGGGGGATGTCAAGAGTCCTATAGGAGCTTAAGATCCAGAGCCTCGTTTTTCTGCAACTCAGGACAAGGAGGTGGAAAAGGGCTGAGTCCCCTGTCCCCAGCACAAGGAGACCACTTTCCTGCTGGCCCAGAGACACAGCCCCTCTCCACCCCAACCACCCACTCCAGCCATAGCAGGACCCTCTAGTGAGAGGTTCTTTCAGCTGATTTGATCCCACCCCACATACAGCAAGGGAGCATCCTAGTCACCCCATCTTACAGCCGGGGAAACAGATGCTCTGAGCAGGGCTATAATTGCTGCCGTTCCCCTAGGGAGTCAGGCGTGGGGCATAACAAAGTGAGCCTGGAGGAGGGGCCGCCCACATCTGCTGCAGGAAGCTGGGCTCTGCCGCTCACTAGCCATATACGGCTTCAGACAAATCCTTTCACCTCACTGAGCCTCGGTTTCCTTGTCTGCAGAATGAGGATAATGAAACCTATCTTGTGTGGCTGTGGGGTGTGTAGGCTTGATATGTTATAACCGTTGCCATGAGAGGGACAGCTGGAAGTCTCATCCCAAAGCCTATGCCCAACTGATGGTCGCCTGGGGTCAGTCTCAGCGGGGCAAACCCTGGCAAGGTCACCTGGTGATTGTCCTCCTCTGGGGCTCCATGGGAACCCCGGTCCCCCCGACGCAGGCTGGCCCCTGGTCTTTGGAACATTTCCTTTGGAAATGACCCTGATGCAAACAGGATGTGGGGGGGTGTGTCTGAGCAGACCCCCTTCTTTCCCTGGCTGTGCAGACCAGGCCCCCAGGCACATGCCAGACATACCTCCCCCTCAGCCAGCTCTGCCCTCATGCAGCCCCCGCCCAGCTCGCACCTGAGAAAGACCCAAGCCTGGGGGCTTAAAAGGCTGTGAGAAAATCCCCACCGAAACCCATCTCTCCCTTCCCACGAAACTCCCCACTCCCTGAACCCAAGGCCCCAGCTCCTCCTCCAGCCCGGTGCCAGTCTGAATAATAATAATCCCTGCCTTTGTGCTCCCTTTGTGTTTTCTGAGCTCCTGCACCTCCATCTTCTCCAGGCAGCCTGGCCATCCCTGGAGGCAGGCAGGGAGGCAGGGGTTAGCTCCCCAGCCTCTCCAGGCCAGAAATGCCCCTGAGATGAGCTGGACCTGACCCTGCTGAGTGAGGTAAGCCTGGTCCAGGGAGGGGAAGGGACAGGCCGAAGGTGCTCAGCTCCTGACTCCCACACTAGTGCCTCTCCACCATGCTGGCTCTCTAAACAGCAAACCAAGACACAGCGAGGCCCATGCGCACATGGCAAGCCCGCGGCTGGGCTCAAGCACTAAGGCTGGAAGAATCTTAATGGCTTAACTACTGGCATGAAAACATCACCAGAGGCTCCATCTCTCAGGCCTCTCCGGTTTGTAGACATGCATGATCTTGTGGGCTCTGCACTCCAATCCTAGCAGGCAGGTTACTGTTCTCATTTTTACAGGCTCAGAGAAGTGAGATAACTGGGATTCGAGCCCTCATTCACCGGACTCCTTCGCATTTCTCCTGCATGCGACATTCTGCGCTGGCCAAGAAGTCAGGAAACGTGGGTGCCCCCAGTGGCTTGCTGTGTGACCATGCAAAAGGCTCAGTTTTCCCATCTAGTAAATGGGTGGACTGGAGTAATATCAACAGTTGCCACTTTTGGGCCAGGCGTGTGCTCCACCTTTTACTTATCTCACCTGCTCCTCACTACAACCTACCAGTTGGTACTATGATGCCACTCCTATTTTATAGTCAAAACAACTTAGGCTCAGAGGGACTAAGGCACTGGTCCAAAGTCACACTTTGGACCAATAGGTGGAAGGGTGGGATGCGGACCCAGCCTGCCTGGCTCCAAAGCCCAAGCTTCCATACTACACTGCATCCTGCCTCCTCCATGAGTGCCCTCGTCGGAGCAAATGACACTATCCTAGGTGCAAGAAAGCCTCTACCCCAGAATAGGGACTTCCAGGCAGCCCAGTCCCATCCCAGCCACTGCCCTCAGCACTGACCTTGGCCTCTTCATTCACGTTCCACACAAAGGACAGTGCATTATAGGCCACCTCCTCAATGTGCTCCACAGTGTTGAAGTTTTCTTTGCAGTCAGCTGAAACCACAGGAGACCAGAAGGAGAATCAGGAAGGAAGGGATCTGGGACCACTTGAGGAGGGAGGCATTAAAAACTGGGCCTCACTCGGCCGGGCGTGGTTTCTCACGCCTGTAATCCCAGCACTTTGGGAGGCCGAGGCAGGGGGATCACAAGGTCAGGAGATGGAGACCATCCTGGCTAACATGGTGAAACCCTGTTTCTACTAAAAATACAAAAAATTAGCTGGGCATGGTGGCAGGCGCCTGTAGTCTCAGCTACTCGGGAGGCTGAGGCAGGAGAATGGCCTAAGTAAACCTGGAAGGCGGAGGTTGCAGTGAGCCGAGATCGCGCCACTGCACTCTAGCCTGGGTGAGAGAGCGAGACTCTGTCTCAAAAAAAAAAAAGACAAAACTGGGCCTCACTCTTGGCAGGGGCATACATTCTCTCCCCCAAGAACCACACTTCAATCCAGGGAGGAAAAGGGATTCCTGTGCCCTGGATTACAGATGGGAAAACAGGTCCAGCCTGAGAAGCAGATCTGCCCAAAGCCCCAGAGGGAATCCCAAGCTTTGCCAAATAGTCTCATCATGTTGGGGGTAGAGGTTATACTTTTCACCAGGGCTGTGATTTGGGACTTCTCCCAGATGAAGCAGCAGCAGCAGTATGGTAATAACAACAGTAATAGGGGGAGTAAGAGCAGTAGCAAAAGTAGTAGGACTAGCAAGTGCCATTTCTTCAACACTTACAATATGCTAAGCCCTCAGTTCATCCTTCACAACTATGCTTTGAGTATTCAGTTTACATATGAGGAAAACGAAGCTCAGAGAGGTTTGGTTACTTGGCTAAGGTCACTCAGCTAATAAAAGGCAGAATAGGGGCTGAAGCTCAGATCTGTCTGGCTCCTGAACCCATGCTCCTCACTGCTATGCTATCCAGCCTCTCGGACAAGTCATTAAACAGTCCCGTGTGTATCATGTTCCCCAGGGCACATAGCTGCTAAGCTGAAATCAGCATTGTAAGCAGGCAAGGCAGCTGGCCTCAGCCCATTTGAGAGTTGAACAAACTGAGGCTCAGGAAGGTGAGGTGACATAGATCACACAGCCAGGAAGGGAGTAAGGGAGCCAGAAGCTGAAGACTTGAGGGCGGGCTGTGCCTCCCACTTGTTTCAGGGCTAGGGATGGGGACCAGGTGGCCCCCACAGGGAGCCTTTCCCCCGCCCAGCTCCCAAAAGCTGAACGTCCTGTGCTGTGCCTCAGGCCTTCCGAACCTGCTGCCTGCACCTTATCTTGTGCATTTGTGTCTTCATCAGCCTCCTGATGGAGACAAACAGGCCAGCATCGCAGGAGCCTATTTATCTCACACTGCTAGGGTCCCCAGGGCCCTGTTTATCCCAAAGCAATACAGAAAAGACGCCACAACTTCTAGTCAACAGATGCAAATCCTTGCAAACCCCACGGTGTTTGACCTGGAGACAGAGGTCAGAGCCAGGTAGGGAAACAGGGGTGAGTAAGAAAAAGGCCTGATTGATGCGGGGGTGGGGAGAGAGAGGGGAGCTGGAATGGAGGCTTGAGAAGGCTCTCACCCACGTCAATGACCCGCTGCTTGGCAGTGGGTTGCCGGGAATGCCAGTGCTTCCAGAAGCGCAGCTGCTCTACTGGGACCTTCTCATTGTCGAAGACAACCATCACCACACTCTGCAAGCACAGTTGGTCACAGTCACTCCCGGCCTCTTCCTAGAGCCTGGTTCCAATGGCCTGCCCTTTTGCCTCAGTTTCCCCAACCCTGTGGCAATGGGCTATTATCAAACAGCCTTTCCCCAGGGTCCGTGGCTAGCCCAAGGAGGAGGTATATCTTGCCCCATTCCACCCCTTCTGAAGCTGCTCCAGGCCAACGCACCTTGACTTTGTTGGAGGACAAGGCAAGGCCTTTGCCACCTGCTGGGGTCCGCAGGGTGACGGGGTAGAACTGGCCTTTGTTGAGGTAGGCCATGGGTGACTCGCCTGACTTGATGTGGATGGCTTTGGGGGAGCCCAGGGTGTATTCAAAGTCACTGCAGGGAGGAGGGAGAGGACAGTGAGGCTGGGCTCCCAGGCAGGAAGTCTCCTAGAGGGCAGTGGGGCAGGAAGCCTGAGGCTATGTTACAGACTTGCTGTTTGACCTTGGAAAATAACCTTACTTCCTTGGGCCCCAGTTTCCTCAATTTGGGGGTTCTATTTAATGGCTTTGTTGAGCCACAGTCCTGCTGAATAATGAGGGCCCAATGAAAATTAGAGAGAACCTTGAGGGGTGACAAAACCAGGGAAAACTAAGGATAAAAGAACCTCAGTTTTCTGATAAGGTACAAGTTCTGAGCTCCCTATCACAGCCCGGGGACAGGATGTGGGAATCATTCTGTCTCCCTCTATCTATCTGCCTTCATCCCCCACTTCTCATTAATTGATTGTGCCTGCTATGCTCTGGGGACAGTGTGGGGCTCTGTCTGCAGCCTCCTGCCCACTGCCCAGGTGTCTGAGGGTCCAGGGAGACCAAGTTACCTTTTGAGGCTGGGGTAGTCCTCTGGACATGGGGGTTCCGGGGAGGTTTTCAGGATATCTGGGAAGAGCATCGACTGCAGAGAAACACAGCCCCAAGAGAATAAATGCTCACATTCACTCTGGGAAGCCTCAGCCCAGGGCTGTGCATTACAGCTATGCAGGTTGTACAGTGTACAACTTGGACAATAGTACATGGCAATCCCGTCTCAGCTCTAGGATGCTTTCCCCCATGGATTCCAAAGCTCTGATCTGTTCACTATCTTCTCTCATTCTGTATATGCACACACATATCTATGCTATAGGGGAGCGGGGATGCGCCCTCACCTCCTGTGGGTCATCTTTGAAGGTGCTGTCTGGCTGCCAGCGCTGTGTGGGCGGCACCCCATGAATGCTCTCAAACAAGGAGTTGAGGGAGCCATTATCATACATATCAGTGGTGGGTAACAGGTAGCTGTCCACAGAGCCGGCCTCCAGCTTGCTGGGGCCTGCAGGGAGGGGAGCTGCCTTGCCAGGGGTGGGCAAGGCCCCCTCCAAGCTCATCAGGTTATTCTTCTTGAGCAAATCTGGGTACTCTGGGGTTCCAGACACGTTCTCTGTCAGGAATTTCATGAGGTGTGTGGGGCTTTCAAGGGGAGTGAGGTCCGTCTCATATTCCATGCCATGGTAGTACCTGGGGAGAAAGAAAAGGGGCTGAGTGTACTTCTCTCTGGGGGTAAAGGGGGGTCTTTGGCTAGAGTGCAAGGCAACTGACACACTGGCCTTTGATCCAGTGTAATGTTTAGGTCCATCCAGCATGCACGAAATAAGACACTGTAGCAGCCCAATTGGCCACAGGGATGAGCAGGGAGGTGCTGAGAATGGAACCAAGCACAGGCTCAGGGTTAAGGGAGCAACATCTGTTTTATCCATTACAGTACTTATTAAAAAAAAAAAAAACCCTGAAAGTTTAATCGTTTATTTTTAGCCAAAGTCAAATGTCTCTGTGTCAAAACGTCCCTACTTCAAAACAACTGTATTGAGTCAACCCTAGCGGGGTGTGTACAAAGTGGGGAGGGTGGAAGAAACGTGTATCTCTGAGTACAATTAACACATGTTTAGGAAAAGATCTGGAAGGATGTACCCCAAACTGTTAAGCGGGAGAGGGGTACAGGATTATAGGAATTTTTTTTTTACTTTATACATTTCTGAAGAGTTTGAATCTTTTGCAAGAGACTGGTGTTGCTTTTGTAATCAGAAGAGCTAATGATATTTTTAAAAATTAGTTTTGAGTGGCAGGGCGCGGTGGCTCACGCCTGTAATCCCAGCTCTTAGGGAGGCCGAGGCGGGCGGATCACGAGGTCAGGAGATCGAGACCATCCTGGCTAATATGGTGAAACCCCATCTCTACTAAAAATACAAAATATTAGCCGGGCGAGGTGGCGGGAGCCTGTAGTCCCAGCTGCTCGGGAGGCTGAGGCAGAAGAATGGCTTGAACCCGGGAGACGGAGCTTGCAGTGAGCCAAGACCGCGCCACTGCACTCCAGCCTGGGCAACAGAGCGAGACTCCGTCTCAAAAAAAAAAAAAAAATTAGTTTTGAGAAAGGTCCCCATGTACCCAAACCCACTGTTCCTGGCAGTGGAGGGGACTGGCCCTGAGCCAGCTGCAGGCCCAGGCTGGGTTATGAGATGAGCTGCAATGCCTGTTTGAATTTTTCAAAAGGCTTCCCAGCAGAGGCCCTACAGGGTCATTTGTGAGAAGTCACCTGATTGGCCAGGAAGGAGAAAGTGGAGAAAGAGGGACAAGGTCTTTCCAGTGCCCATCTAGTCTTAAGCATGGCCTGGGCCGCTTTCTAAAGGAAAGGAACATCAATGCCCTGGGGCACTAATGCCAGGGGAAGAAGTATGGGAACCCAGATGTCCCTCCCCCAACACAGGTCTCCCTCCCCCAACACAGGTCTCCCTCTCCCAGAGGCTGTGGGTCTTCAGGGGAGAGGGTTTTGAAGCTGAGAAAGAAAAGCTGTCCCCAGGGCTTTTCTATTACTAAGGCTTTGAAGTTTGTTTTCAGTAAACTCCAGCCCACATGGCCTATAGGCATCTGGGGTGTGTGTCTGTGTGTGTGTGTGTGTGTGTGTGTGTGTGTGTGTGTGTGTGTGTGTGTTTTCAAGCTGAGTTTCATTAGGACTTTCAAGAGCCCTAGGCTCTGCCTTCACTGGCCTCTTCCAAAACATTTAAAAATATCTTTAGTAAGTACAATGGTATAAAGATGAATATAATCCAAGTTGGATTATATTGATTTTTTTCTTTTAATTTTAAAATAAATGAAAACATTATCATGAATCCCAAAATGTGTTGTGGGCCCTCAGCACTGTGCCTCCTGTGCCTAATGGATAAGTCAAACCTGTGTGGAAGAGGCTCCAGGTGGAGGTGGGGAAGGGCAAAGAGGCAGAGGGTGTTGGCAAGCCTCACCTCTTTCCTTGGTCATTCCTGCCCCCAGTGCTGGAGGACAATATCCGCTTCTCCTTGGGACCCTGAGAAGAGAGAAAGGAAGGATTTATGCATGGCTAAGCTTCTGCTGGTAGGAGCCTCAATCCCCTCCTGCAGCTTTGGCCAGGCAGGGGAGTAACTTTGGTGATATGGTTCGGCTGTGTCCCCACCCAAATCTCATCTTGAATCGTAGTTCCCATAATCACATGGGAGTGGGAGGTAATTGCATGATGGGGGTGGTTACTCCCATGCTGCTGTTCTCGTGACAGTGAGTTCTCATCGTATCTGATTATTTTATAAGAGGGCTTTCTCCCTTTCGCTCGGGACTTTTCCTTGCTGCCGCCATGTGAAGAAGGATGTGTTTGCTTCCCCTTCCTCCATGATTTAAGTTTCCTGACGCCTCCCTGGCCATGCTGAACTGTGAGTCAATTAAACCTCTTTCCTTTAAAAATTACCCAGTCCTGGGTATGTCTTTATTAGCAGCGTGAGAACAGACTAATACACTTGCTCACTAGAAAACCCTCCAGTCCTTCCCACTGGCTGGAGCTCTAGCTATGATTAGTCTGAGCCCCAAGTCAGGGAGTGGGAAGAAGAACCTCAAGCTTGATAGTTAAGGAGCATGAAATTTGGAGTCAGGCAGGCCTGGCGTAAGTCCTAGAAATGCCACTTGAAAGTGCACTGTGACTTTGGATAAATGACTACACCTCTCTGAGACTCAGTTTCTTCATATGTCAAGTGAGTGGTTATAATACCTACTTAAAGGGGATTATGAATATTTGTTAATAAAAAATACTCCCTTTTTTAATAGAGTACTTCATATGGGCTAGGCATTGTACTAAGTGCCTTCTCATCTCTTAATCCTCACAGTCACTCTGAGATGTCTACTAGTATCATCACCATTCTATGGATGAGGAAATGGGGGCTCAGAGAGACTCTATTGTCTTAGTACTTACAAGCATAGACTCTGAATCCAGCTTTCTTGGGGTCAGTTCCTAGACCTACCACATACTAGCTGTGTGACCTTACACAAGTCCCTTAACCTCTCCATTCCTCATATCCTCATCTGTACAGAGATCATCATATAATACCAAACTCAGGGGGTCACTTTGAACACTCAGAATAGCACCTAGCACATGGAGAGCACTATATAAATGTGACCTTTCATGAGTATAATTATAATATTGTTATATCTTAGAACATTCTAATGCATTTGTCTCTAAGGCTGATACAGCTAGAACCAGGACCCCAACCCAGCATAGCCTCCAAAGCCTGTACTCTTAATCACCCCAAGAGAGTATGAAGGAAAGTGCCTGACACAGTGGTGGACATTCAATAAGAAATGGTAAGCAGTTGCCTTTAGCACTATATTACCCGAAGCCAGATTTGTGGCAGGACTAGGTCTCAAATTCCCGACTTGGTGCTCCTTCCACACCATCAGACCATGTCATCACTGTCCAGGGGGCTGCTCTGAATCCAGAGTGCTCTGGAATGGGGAGGCCAGGGCAGGTGTATCTCACTGAGACACTGTACTTCGCTAAAACCAGTATTATCAATGTCACCTTCAGAGCCTCTCTTCTACCATACTGGCCCTGGAATGGCTTCTTGCCAAGGGGACAAGGAGTTGGATTGTATCTGATGGTCGATCCTCAACCTATAAATCCCAGGCTGCAGTTTGAACCTAGATCTAGAATTCTGGCTCCTACCATGGCCCCAAGCCAAGGCAGCCATTCAAACTCCTCTTCCATCGACCTGGGCTGAACACTCTCTGGATGCCACCAGTCTGCCGGGGAGGAGGGAGGTAGGGTAACCAGACCACTCCAGAAGGAGAACCAAAGCCAGAGGATAGTTTTGGGCTTTCTCCTATCTGGAACCCACTTGGCCTCTCAGTTCAAACAAAGAATTTGCCTTTATTCTTGAGGTAGAGTGGATAAAACACTTCTTGGGCTAGTAAGTTTGAGGTCTTCTGTACAAGGTGGCTTTAAATCTTCAAGTTTCTCAATAATTGGCTAGCTGTGTGCCCCCATCCCCCAATCTAGGAAAGTTTCTTGGAGCAGTTACCCAGCCCAGGGACAGCAAGTCAGTTTGCTGTCTTGTGACAATTCAGACAGATAAGTAGGGCCTACCTGGATTACTACATTGACAAAGATTCTGCAGCCTCCTGTGCCCTTCATGAGAATGCAGGCTGCAATCCATTAGCAATGTCTAGCACACGCACTGGAGGTGGGAGGGGGGTTGTGTCATGTGTTATACCCTCGTGATTCCTGACTGGTCCAACCCCTACTTATCAGATATGGGAGGACCTAATTCCTATTCTCAGGAGCTGACAGCCTCTCAGAGACAAGGCCAAGACCCTAGAAGTAGTTAGAGAACAGTAAAAGACATAATGGCAGCTGGAGTAGGAAAGACAGTAAGACCCTCAGGAGAGGGAGATGAGGTGGCAGATGGCTTCTAAGAGAAGGTGGGCCTTGGGAAGGCCCCGAAGGAAGGGAATGGGTTAAAGAGTAGGAGGTATACTCCAGGTGGTGGGGCTGTACCAGGTAGGTTGGGATGACAGGGAAACGTAAGATCCGAGGACAGGGGCAAAAAGAAGATGGTGGGGTATGAGAGTGTTGCTGTCACAGAATGTGCTTGGACCAGGCAACGAGTGGGTCAGGCACTGTCCACTTGGTCAACACGTGTCACAGACTGTGTGGCAGGCTGTATGGTGTGCTGAAGACTCAGTAATGATCCTCTAGGAGCTTAGTCTCGTGCAGAAGATGGAAGAAATAAATGTGTAAACAGCAAGCCTCTAAGCATTCTTGATGGCATCAAGGACGACGATGGTGGTTGCTGAGGGCACCCAGACAAGAAAGCCTCCTCTCCAGTGAATGAATGAAGTGACATTTAAGCTGAGACCCCAAGTTGAGAGTAGGGGTTAGCCATGGGAAAGGGAGGGTGCCAGGCAGAGGGAACAGCATTGTGCAAAGGCCCAGAGATGAGGGGCTGGGGTGGTCATGGTGGGCTGCTGAGCCATGAGGCCTGAAGTGAAGACACCCATTCAGTCAAAACGGGGCATGTCCAGAGGGGGTAGACGTACCATGTAGTAATCATAGAGGAAGCTCAAGGCCGCAACACTGTCATCATCTCCATTGACTCTCATCATGGCCTTTGTGGCAGCTGTCAACGGGTTTTCTAGGTACGTCTTCCAGGCCTCATCCTCACTAGTGTAAGAGAATTTCTGCAAGTTGACTGGGTCGTTCTTTAGCAGCCGCACAGACCTGAAACTGAATGCAAGTAAGGAGAGTCAAATTTAGGCTATCCCAGAGGAAGGTCCGTGAATGGGCAGCCGCAGGCCAACGCCCAGGAATTCAGAGTTATTAGCTTTGAAAACATGAAACTGCCTCTTCTGCCACCATTAGGCAGTGTGGGGCAGCAGAATGGACACAAACTCTGGAGCTGGATCGATTCCAAATGTTGCCATGTAGAAGCTGTTGACCTGGGCCTTAGTTCCCTCTTCCACAGCATGAAGGCCATCATCCTGATCTTCAAGACTACAGAGTGGATTCAATAAAATACTTTCATAGTGCGTACTTATTCAAAGAGAATTCGTGTAATGAATGGGAAATGCCAATGATAAGCTGCAATGTGATACGAATAAAATTTCCAGATAACCCATCATGAGTTCTACTGAAGAAGTTGTCCTCAAGACTGTGAAAGGCACAGAAGGCGTAGATCATTTCAAGTCTGGGAGAAAGCGTGGTCTATGACAGAGAGAGCCAGGGCGAGGAAGCCCTTAGGCAGAACCTGGTCTGGGAAATGGCATTTCAGGCCAATTTTATTGTAGAGTTTTGAGCAGTTGCTCAGAAGCCAGGAACTGGAGTTGAAGGCTGCAGGGCACACAGAGGCAGGAAGGACCCGGGTACTGGTGCTGAGAAGCTTGGACAAATACAAGGCATTATCTCGCTCAAGAGACAAGCCACAAGGGCTCAAAGGAAAGAGATCAGGAAAGGCTTTCTGGAGCAGGCAGACATTTTAGTTGGGGAAACTCAGCACTGGGGATTATTTCACTCAGCAATGTGGGGAAGGAGCAGGGACCTAACAGAAAAATAAGAATGGAAAAATAATAGCTACTCTTTATTGAACACTGGCCATGCGTTAGGCACTAGCTAAGCACATTTCATAAATTACCATGTTACTTGAAACAACCCTGCAAGGCAGATACTATTATTATTCCTATTATACAGTGGAGGAAACTGAAGCTCAGATAAGTTGAGAGTTGTCCAAGGTCCCAGTAAGTGAGTGGCCCAGAGGGGATTCAAGCTCCTTCAGGGTGATGCAATGGTACAGAATAATGTCCTCAAACTTTAGCTGCATGAGAATGACTTGGAAGGCTTGTTAAAACATAGATCGCTTTCACAGCAGGGTGACTACAGCAAAGAACAATGTAGTGTATACTTCAGGATATCTAGAAGAGTAGATTTTTAATGTTATCATCCCAAAGAAATGATAAATATTTAAAGTGATAAATATGGCAATTATCCTGATTTGGTCATTATACAATGTAAAGGTGCACTGAAATCTCACACTGTACTCTATAAATATGTACAATTATTATATGTCCATTATTTTAAAATTAATTTAAAAACACACAGATTGTTGGGCCCCACCCCTGGAGTGTCTGATTCACTGGCTCTGGGTGGCTGAGAATGTACATTTCTAGCGATTTCCCTGGTGCTGCTGATTCTGGTAGTCTGGGGACCACATTTTGAAGAATCACTGGTTATTGCACATGCTCTTAACCACAAACAAAGGCATAGAAGCAGAAAAGTTCTAGTTGTGTTCAATTTAGAGCAAAGAGTGTATGAAGATGGGGTGGTCCAGGCTATGAAGAGAGAGCCCCAGAGATGAAGTGGGCACTGGCTGGTCTCCTGGTTTCCCAGTGCCTCCCTTTCTACATGGGCCAGGCAGAATCTCCCATGTTAGGGACCTAAGAACAATGCCAGCTGCCATTTACGATAATGCATATGAATGTTCTCTGTTCGTTAGGCCGTGCTTCTTACAAGGACACTACAAGGTAAGGATCATTTGCTTCGTCTGTTAAGATAAAGGAACCTGAGTCTTGCAGAGAACGAGAAAATGTCCAAGATCATCCAGCTGGTCCGTGAGACAACCAGGATTTCAACTCAGCCTTATCGAGCACAAAGGCACACACTTGCCACGCAGCCACACTGCTTTTCCGTTGATGCAGGGGTGCAGTCTTTATCACAGCAGAAAAATGTGTTTGTGGTAAAACTGTGGCACAGTGGCAGACTAGTGGGTGGGCAGAGACCCCTGTAATCAGGTGCATGAAGTACCCTCCTGCTGCCAGGCCACTAGGGCCCATATCCTCAGACTGCAGTGGGAACAGCAGGCCAGGCCATACCTCAGCATACAGGAGGCGGCAGCTCTCCCAGCGGCTTCATCCAGGACAGTGTCTCCCATCCCACCAGGCCCCAAGGTGTGAGGAGCTGGGCTCTGAGAGGAAGGGAGGTGGAGCTGTCACGCAGGAAAGAGAAATGACAGAAACTTTCCTGTTCTAGGGGTGCGGAGAGCGGGAGGCACACCCTGAGTTTCTGTTGCTATAAATCAAGGGGCCTCAAGGAGAGGTGAGAAGAGGCCCCTCCTCATTGCTTCCTGGGCCTGGGGTTTAGAAGAATTTACTGAGCAAGTCCAGGGTGGCCACCCTCACTGTCTGCCCAGCCCGGAGCTAATGGAAACTCCCAACCAACGAGGCATGGGAAAAGCAGGGAAATGCCTGACTGATCCCACCCCCTGGATCAACAGGGACCACCAGTGCTTAGCACTGTTCCTCATTTGTAAACGAGTCTAATAAAAGCACCCACCAAATAATATCATGAGGATAACGCATCAGCACAAGAAAATGCTTAAAACTCTGACTGGCACAAAACAAGTGTGTAATTCATGCAAGCCATCACTGTGTTCCAGGTCAGCTTGGGGCAAGACATCAAGGGGTTGCAAAGTGGTAGAAGACATGGTTACTCTGCAAGTCAGTGGCAGGTCTGGGCCTGGAGCCCCAATCTGCTGACTCTAGGGGTTGACCATTATCAGCTTTGATGCTGTGAGTTACCTTACCCTTTAAAAAAGATAAATTTTAGAAGACAACGATAAAGTGACACCGAAACAAAAGAACAGACAATGTCTGCTATTCACCTGGGTGGGTCTCTTGGCCTATAAGGTCTCCAATCTATCTTGTTGGTATCCCAAAGTCTGATTCCTTGATAAACAGCAGCTTCTGTACTTTAAACACTTACCACTGGCAAACATAGTGCCATCTGTTTTTGTGTGTCATCTCATCTACTCCACACAACAGCCCTGAGAGATAGGAATTATCATCTCCTTTTATAGAAGGGGAAATTGAGACTCAAATAGGTGACATCACCTGCTCAAGGTCACTCAGCCAATAAGTGATGGAGGCTCAGCTTGAACTTGGAGCTGTCGGACTACACAGTAAAGCATTCAAGCCCTGTGCTAGTCTCTTTTCTAGATGCCTTTCCTATTCTGGAAATTTCCCTTCTCAAAATACATTGAACTAATTCTCTGTTGCAAGGCAGAAAGGAATTTCCCACCCACACAAGGCAGGAGGAAGGCGGCAAGATGATGACTGGAAGAGTTTCTGGTCAGGGGCTGGGAGTCCCAATGCCCTGGTTCCCATGCCTGCTCCTGCCACCAATAACCTCATGTTCTAGAACTAAGAATTTGGCTTCTAGAAAGTCTTAATGAATAAGGTTAGTATTGACTTGTGTGTTGAATCCTAAAATCCAAGAACTTTTGGCTCTCTGGTCTCTTAAAGATTACAAATAAGGATTGAGGAGCCAGTAGGTGAGAGAGGGGGAAAAAAATAAGTTGTCCCAGGAGCTGATACTGGATCAATGTGAAAAGAGTTCTAAGAAGGAGTGAGTCCTACTCATGGGTGATAGGGCCAGAAGAAAGAAGGGAAACCAGGGGACTCCCAACCTATGAGGTCAGCTTCCCTGGGGCCTCCACAAACTCTCTGTTGGTGTCCTTGTCCAAGACTGAACTAAACTATCAGAAAGTGAAAAGGAAAATGAGGGAGGAGGGAAGACCTGCCATGGATAGCCTGCCATCAGATCTCTACCAGACACAGCACACCTGAACCTGCAGCACATAGAAGGAGGCAGCACCAGGGTCACAGTGTATGGGTTTGTTAACTACATGTCCTTGGGTAAGGCACTTAGCCCTTCTATTTCCTCATCTGTTAAATGGGTCTATTGAGTGTCTTCTATGTGCCAGTGTGCCAGTCAGGGACTCTTCTGAGCACTGGGAATCAACTAAAATGAGACAGATAAGACTCTGCTTCCATGGAACTTACAATCTAATTGGGGAAGATAGACCATAAACAAGTAGGTAAATTAGTTATTTTTAGTTAGTAATAAGTGCTATGAAGAAAATTAACATAGTAAGATAATGGAGAGTCAATAGGGGTGGCTACTTTACAGTAGGGTTCATCTCATGGGTTGTTAGGAGAATTAAGTACATTAAGGTAGGAAATGTGTTTAACCTAGAGCCTGCCAGAGAATAATTGCTCAGTTAATAATAACCATCATCACCATCATCATCCCAGAACCTCCAAATGGGAGTAAAGGGGATACTCTGCCTGAGGTTCTTAAATTTTCATCCTCCCACAAGCCTCCTGTCTGTGAATGGGGTTCTGTTCAAAAGAAACAAAAGAGATAGTGTAATAACACCTTGCCCAACTTCCATTATCTCATAGAGCCTCCCAACATACATGATGTGTTATTATCCCTACTTTACAGACCAGGAAATATACAATAGAGATGTTAGGTGACCTGTTGCAGGGTACTGAATGAGTGAAGCCAGGACTCCTAGGGTCTGGCCTGGGAACTCTATGGCTAGCACTTTCTCAAGAGGGAAAAAACTACTACTTTCCAAGAAGGGATGTAGGAGAGATTTAAAAAGCAATAAACCTGGGTGGCATCCATCCACGTAACCATCCATCCCTCATTTTTAACAAATATTTATCAAGTAACTACTATGTGCCAGAACCTGTCCTGGGAGAATAAGATAACGAGGTCATCCCTGCCGACACGGAGGTTGCATTTTAGTGGCAGTAAGACCTACATGACCACAAAAACAAACAGTTAACATTAGATGGGTGAAGAGAGCTATGAAGAAAAAGAAACAAGAGGACTTCTGACCTGCCTGAACCCAAGGGAGTGACGGATGTTGGTTAAGAAGAGGGGTGGAGGGGAAGAGGGGTGGAGGGGAATAGGGGTGGAGGAGAAGAGGGGTGGAGGAGAAGAGGGGTGGAGGAGAAGAGGGGTGGAGGGGAAGAGGGAGAATGGAGATGAGTTGGGAGGACCTTGGACCTTCCAGATCAAAGGAAAGGCAAGATCAAAGGCATCAGCCTGGCACAGCTCCCAGAGCTTGTCCGCCTACTGTGTGCCAGGTGTGAGCCAGGTACTTTGCATATGCCACCTTGTTTTAAGGAAAGCCAGCCCACTAAGGAGGAAATCCAAGATTTGATAATCCCTCACATTTGCATAGTGTTATATTTTTCAATGTGCTTCTCATACATCTGTCATCACCTCTGATCTTACAACGCCCCTGTCAGGTAGGGAGGGAAGTTATGACTGTCCTCATTTGAGGAAAAACTGAGCCATGGAGAGGGCCACTGGCTTGCCTAAGGCCACTGAGCTTGTACCTCAAGGCATCAGGCCTAGAACTGAGGTCTCTGGCTCCCAGCATCCAGAACCTTCACAGAGCCGCCTCCTCAGAGTCTCCCCGTCTGGCTTCTCCTCCATTTAGGAGAGAGCAGGCAACAAGATCAAGAGAGAGGAGCTCAGGGGTCTACCTGATAGGCCTCACTTCTTGAGGCCTCCCGTCCAGTCTGTGAGGAAGTGCAAATTGCCGGGGCCAGTGCTCTGGGAGGAGGGGATGGGACCTTTCCCCAGTTCACTGGCACTCGGCACAACAGGGGTGTGGTGCCAGCTGCTCCATGCCCAGTCAGCCTCAGCCTTCATGGCTCCAACATGCCTCATTCTGGGCACCAGGATGGTGAAAGTCTAGAGTGGTAAAGTGGGGTTTCATCCCAACAAGTCTCTTCTGAGTCAAAATGCCCACTGCTTTCTGGCTGAGCTACTTAAAACCCCCAATAAGACCAAGGAAATGCTGTCTCAGCCATCAGTTGAGAACTTTTGGTATCATTTCCTTCTGTTAGAATCCTAGCAATTTAGGATGCAGACAGACCTCAGAGGTCTAGTTCCAGAGAGGCACCTGCCTAAGGACATGCAGCATACGGCAGGATGGGACTCAGTAGTTAAGCTACAGAAAAGAAAGTACTCACTCAACTTTCCAGAAGGTGGGAAGAAAACCCAACACCAAAGGAGGTGGTCTCAAGCTCCACCAAAGAAGGTGTGTGGCACAGGACAGATCCAGCAGGCTAGACCCCACTTCCCTTCAGCCAGAGAAGGAAGAGTTCCAGGGGCCGCCTGAGCTGGGTGTTGACACCCAGATACTCCCAATGACTTGCTAAATCCTGCCATGAGCCACCCAACCTCATTAACAGTGATCAATCACTCTCTAATCACCCACAGGGAGGCCCTGACACAACTGCTCACAGAGGAATCATTTTCCAGTCAGCCCCACACACGATGTTCCCTGGGCACGACAGGGGCGCCCCAGGGTTCTCGTGCCTGCCAGTGGCCCATCTGGTTTTCTGGGTGTACAGATTGTGAAATGTGCCTCGTCACATGGGCTGGGGGCTCATTTGGGGGCCTCAATGGGGAAATGGCAGAGTGTAGGGCATGGCTCTGTAATGACTCCAGTTTGCATGAGGCAGTATGAACTCATCGTTATGGGAGTGGGCCCAGAGCTTTGCAGACCTGGGTTCCAGGTCCAGCTCTGCTACTTACTGGGTGACTTTAAGCAAGCAACCTGACATCTCTGTGCCTGTTTTCTTACCTGCAAAATGTGAGGCAATGAGAATGCTAACCTCACAGAATTGCTATGAGAGCTACCGTTCATTGAGGGATTACCAAGTACCGGGTGCTGGCTAACAACTTCTAGTCATTGTCTTTGTTTTTTACAACTTTGTGAAGTATTACTGTTGGAAGATGCAATGAGGTAATGCAGGTAAAGCGATCAGCATAGTGCCAGCACATAACAATGTGAACTACTTTTATTATTATTACTAATACTTTGTGGGGTAGTCCCCAGCAAACTGCACAATTCACAGCCTTTTCCAGCCTATGAATCGGGATATCTCTTCCTAGCTGGCAGAATCATCCTGATGCTTGGAGATTTCCACTTAAGAGGAACACGCACTACCAGCTTCATCGTCAGGACCCAGGTGGGCAAGTTGACGGTGGTCAGGCTGCAGCAGACACTTTTAGTTGCATGTAAATTATCTAGGTGCCCTTTCCTAATTAGAGAAGAAAGTGAGTTTCTGCTATTTTAAAAATTCTTCCCTGTATGGGAATTTTTCTTTCATGCTATATTCTCCTCTTGGTGTCTTGTCTAATTTTCCTTTTCTCCCCCCATCTATTGTTCAACTGAGGTGTGAAAGAAGTTGAAATCCACCTGTAAACCCGGGGGTGCCACATCCCTTCATTTATTCACTCACTGATTCACTCAACAAACATTCACTGAGGATTACTCTGTAAATGGCCACGTACTGGGTGCTGAGGACAAAAAAGGTGAAGGCCACTGCCATTCATGTGGCTACACTGTTCTGTCCCCTTTCGGTCCCTGCCCTTGAAAGTTCCCAATTCTTGCTGACCTCCTGGAAAAGCCTAGAGAAATACCATCAAATAACGGAGAGATAATTTCCCTTCAAGACTTTCACTAGGTCAGTTGTTCTAACCTTTTTAGGAGGCAAAAGGAATAGAGAGGGGGAGGCAGCCAGCCAGGATTATTTGCGGCATTTTAGATAGGAAAGCTGAGTTCCAGAGAGGGGAGGGAAGGCAAGAGAGGGAAAGGAACTCAATTATTTCATAGAGTCAGGCCTTGTGCCTTTTTATTCTCATACATGCCTTGTGAGGTGGGTATTTTTATCATCATTTTACATGGGCAAAAACTGACACTTAGGTTAAGGAGCTCATCCAAGTCACCCAATCTATAGGTGGCAGAGCTGGGCTTAAAACACAGGTGTGATCTTGGAACTAAGCTCTCAGCCTGCTGACTCAGCAACTACACTGCAGGTCAGTAGTGGATTTGGGAACCTCCTGCTTCCCAGTCCTCTGCCTGGTCTTCTAGGCCAACAGTTTTACAACTTGGACACGCATCAGAATCACCTGGAGGGCCTGTGAAAACACATAACGCTGAGCCATACCCCCAGTTTCTGATTCAGTAGGTCTAGGGTGGGGCTGAGAATTTGCATTTTTAACTAGTTCCCAGGTGATGATGATGATGATGATGGTCCACGGACCACAGTTTGAGAACACTGTTCTAGGTGTTCTCTTTCAAAATAATGACTCCCTCTCTTCCCCTTAACGACTCCAAAGGTAACATAGGTTTGTAAAATACAACAAATATATAACATGTAGAACCTACAGAAAAATAGGAAGAATGGAATTCATCCACATTCTTCTGCTCAGAAATAACCACTCTTAACAGTTTGGCACATCTCCTCTGTCTTCTTTTCAGAGGCTAAGCACAGAGGAAGCGGGGTGGCCTATGGCTGCTCGGCTAAGACCCGGTTAAGATCCCAGTGCTTCCGTGAGACCTTGGGCAAGCCTGAACCAGGTCTGGGTCCCCTCTTCGGCAAAACTGCATTTACACTCCCATCCCGCATTAGTTTGTTGGGAGGGTTTAAAGAAGAGCGTGTATTTATCAAGCACTCGACACAATGTCAGATGCGGAGTCAGCGCTCCATAAATGTTGGCTGTCATTTTTGTTCTAACGTAAGAGAAAGCTGGATGATCCCATCTGGGTTTCAGCCCCGTTTTCCCTCTTCACTCCTCCGGTGGGTCAGTGGGAGCTCTGCCGACCGCCTGGCTGCGGCCACTCACTGCTGGGACTGCGCAGCCTGCCCGCTCCCAGCAGCTGGCGGAGCCGCAGGACCCCCGCGCCGCCCGGGCCGCCGCCGTTAGGGTTGGCTCAAGCCTCTCGGCCCAGTCCGCCAGTTTTACAGCCCGAACTCAAAGAGGGCTTTTAACTTTTCATTCAGCAGCAGCGTAGCTCCGACTTTTAATAACACACCTCGTGCACGACAAAAATTTGCTCCTGGCAATCATGGTTTCGACCACAAAACCACAGCGGGGAGGCGTTCCTGATTAACTCTTTCAGCGCTCCAGGCAGTCTGGAGCCGGCGCTCCTGGAGATCAGATAGAACGGCGGCGGCGGCCGCGGTCAGGACTGCGACGGTTCTAGTCCCCTTCCCCCAACCGAGTCGCGTCTCTGCGAGGCTGAGGGGAGACTCCAGGCGGCAGCGGTGGGGCCCAGAGAGCAGGGAGCGAGGCCGCGGGGGACGCTCCTGCCTCGGTGCCTTAGACCTACTGTGTGCCAAGCCCCTTTGCGGCGAAACTCTCCCTTCCTGGGCTGTCAACGGGGCCTGCCTGGAGCGCCGGCCGGCCCTCCAGAGGGGAACAACAGGTCACCGGGGAGGTCGCCTGCGGCTCCAGCTCCCCGGGGGCCCCGACGCACCTTCAGGAAAACCCGACGCTGGGCAGCTCGCGGGCGCCGGCTGTTTTCCTGCGAGACCCAGGCGGTCGGCGGCGACTTCCGGCGCCCTCGGCCGCAGCCCAGGATCCCTTGCGCCCTGCGGTAGCCCGGGGCTGCCCAGGGCTGCGGGCTCCAGGCACCCAGAGCGCTGCGACCACATGAAAGGCCCGGCGCTCAGCACCCGCCAGCCACCTCCAGCTGGTTTCTAACTACACCGCCGGGGCCTCCATGCTTCTCAGAGACCAGCCTTCGAAGTGCCGCCTTACACCCGGGGCCTGGCCACCGGGCGGGCGCGGATGGAGCTCTGGTCCACATTTGGGAGCTCACAGTTGTTCCTGCCAGGTAGGTGTTACAGACAGATGAGCAGACTGAGGGTCAGGGAGGACAAACAAATTCACCAGGATCCTGCTGTTGGTAAGTGGCAGAATTTAGAGTGACAGGCAAGTCCCACTTTTGCCACTATATCAAGGCCTGGCCAGAGTTGGCCATTCCATGAGGGCCCAAGCTGTAAGCTATGGCCAGTCCTCTTAACTTGGCACTTTTTAGGAGAATGTCGAGGCCGCAGAAGCAACAGCAGCTCAGAACTTGCAAGCCAAGCGCCGGGTGCCCTCCCCTTACCAGTAGGGGCAGCTGAGCCCCCAGGCTCTGCCACTGTAATCTCAAATGGTGGCTTGGAGTCCGCCTGCAATTACTCAGCAGGCAACTGGCTTCCCTCACCCCACCCCAAACTGAGAAGCCTCAACTGTCAGCGGATCTGACTTCAAATCCAAACCATTAGGGAGGAGAAAAGCAAGAAACCTTTCTGTTCAAGTAACCCAGCTTCAGAACACATACCCCCTAACGTGCAGTAATGAATAGATTCTGTCTGTAGCCTCCGCAGTTTTAGCCAGCAAATTTAAGTGGGATGGAGACACATGTCAAGATTTTTTTGCGCGTTCAAAGTATGGAAAAATAGCAAGAGGTTTGGGAATGCTCATTGATTGGTTAGTTCTACATGAAATGACAATGGTGTTACTGGTGTGTTCTCCACCAGCCTTAAAAGCAATCACTATTCTAAAATTGTCAAATCCTCTAACAACCCCATGAGGTGGATACTACTGTTGGCCACTATTTACAGATGAGGATTAAGGGACTTGCTCAACATCACACAGCTATAAGTGCTAGAGCTGGGACTTGAACCCAGGTGTCAGTACCAATGCTCCTGCTCTTATTCTCATTGCGGTCCAATTGTCAATACATTGTCAACCCCGGGAAATTCATTCAAAAGAAATGTGCCTGTTAACCCAAGTGATTGTGCTGTGAACATGAAGAGCTGAAGGGCTAGCTAGAACATAGAATCCGGTCTGCAGTCAGGACCTAGCACTGCTGTCTGCCCACAGATCTTCAAGTTCTTAAAAGTCTGTTGAGGAGCAGTTAGAAAAAAGATGGTACAATCCTTGCCTCTGCCCACTCACCTCTGAGGGTGGCAGGAAAAGGAGAGCCTGTGTTTAAAGGATTCTGGCTTCTCCTGCCAGCTCCCTGAACCCAATCTAAAGCAGCCCAGATCCCAGCCTCACCCTACCTTCTCTAAGGTCTGGACCCCAAGAAGGACATCATGGTGAAGATCAGCATCAGTCAGTCAGGATCTTAAATCTCAGATGTGGGCAGGAAGGCACATGCATCCTCCCAGCCAAAAGAGGTGACCTACCAAAAATCACTTCTCATCTTCCCCAGCCTTAGAACTGCCTCTGAATGAGAGGAACCACATTTTACTGAACGCATCTTCAGACCATAGCTTTATGCTAAGCATTTTACAGCATTTATCACACTTAACTCTTTCCAGAATTCTACAAAGCATTCTTGTACCCATTTTCCAGATGAGGAAAATGAAGCCCAGAAAAATTGAATGTCTTGTCTGAGATCACCCAGGGACAGAGCCTGGATTTGAACTTAGGTCAAGCCCACTACAAAGAGTACACATGCTTAACCACCACACTGTAACCTTCCCACTTGGGACTGTTCCAACCCAGCAAACAAGTCCCTTTAGAGAAACCCAACTCTCTGCCTAAGACAGCTCTTAGAACTACCTTAAAGAAGTTCCTTTTGGCAAGAAGATAGAAAGCCTCGATGGGATTGGGGTCGTCTGATTTCCAAGGCCCCTTCAGAGGATCAAAAAGTGGTGCCAGAAACCTTCACAGTTTCAGTCTTGTGTTTCCCTGCCTGGCTCGAAACTGCTCAGCAAAGAGAATGAGAAAAACTATTTTCCCAGGGAAACACTCACCTCTAGCTTGAGACTGGGGCTTGCCTTGACACGCCAAAGTAAGATCGTCAGCCCATTCATTTACCCTTACAAATTGCTCTGTGAATCCCGGTGCCGGCCTCCCCGCTCTTCCCCCTCCAGGAAACCCCATCCAGCCTCCACGCTCTGAGAGCGGCAGGTATCCACCGATGTTTACTCACTCAAGTTCATTCGACATCTTCCTGCTCCCAAGCTCCGACGATCAGCACTGAGGCTCTGCTGACCGCTTGTCTCTAATTCTTGCCTGACACAGACATTCTCTGCCCGGGAAAGTGTTTGATTTATGTTGAGGTTTGGGTGTCGAGATTTTGCTGACAGGTAGGTTCCCAGCAGCGCTGGCGCTGATTGGCTACAGGTACAGGTGCCGGCGACTGGAGGTATACCTCAACAGGTGCAGCTGTTAACTCTTAGCCCGCCGAGGAGGGCGGAGCTATGGGGGACTGGCTGGGTGGAGCTGGCCAATTCCTTCCTTGGTGAGGGGGTGGGGGGTGGAGATGAGGGAGGAGGGATGGAGAAGAAAATGTTGGAAAGAAGCAAGATAACTAGAGGAAAAGTACAGGGACAAACAGATAACTTGGCTTAAAGGAAAACTTGATTCCTGTTTCTAGTCATTGTCCCAGATACCCAGAAACATCCCCACCCCCAAATTTCTTTGCCCCCTCCTTCTGTACCACTGGGGAATTCTCAAAGGAGAGAGCAACTTTTCCCAGGTAGATCTTTGTATAAGTTCCCTTTTTTTCAGTTTCCCCTTTAAGGTAATATTTTTGAATAATCTTTTGCAGTTACTCAAGTGACTTCTTTTGGTTCTTAAAGTAACCTACCGTGGTAGATTTATTATCGCTTCCCCCTTCCTCTTCAACACATATTTTACAGATGAGGGAGGAAATGGAGGCCAGAGAGGCAAAGTGCCTTGCCCAAGGGCACAGCTAGCGAGGTCCCAGCCCAGATCCAATCTGCAGTCATCTCACTCCAAGTCTGGCTGCCCCTTGGGCTGAAGTCAGTGGCCTCAATTCAGTAGACATTCATTGAGCACCCGTTGTGTGCCAGACCCTACTCTGGGTTCTGGAGAAACTGAGGCCAGAAAAAACAGGGGTTACTGTTCTAAAGGAGTTTACAATCTGGGGGGTGTGTGTTGGTGGCAGGGGGTGGGGGAGTAAAGGAGAACAGGCTTTTATTGGGTGTGAAGGGGGTGTGGGCAAGCCACATACCTCTGGTCAGCACAGAAGGGATAGAAAAGTTGAAGGCTCCTCTGAAGCCTCAGCCAGCTGGTCATTTCACAGGCTCCAAGTGCTTCGTTCTGTATTGGGAACTTGGGAGAAATTCAATGCCTGTCAGATGAAGTAATTGTGGAGTAATTGCTGTGAGCTGTCTACTATAAAGAACAAGCTTGGTAAACCCCAGAATATCCACAAACACAAACAGGAGAATGTAAGAGCTTTTTAAAGAGCTTCTTCCAGGATTAGTTTGAAATTAAATCTAAGCCAGAGATCTTGGCATCTTTTTTTCCCTCTCTCTCTTTCTATTCTCCCCTCCCCCACCCTTCCCCTTTTGGCAAATTATCTCTTTGCTGTGTCTTCCTGGAAACCTCAACTTGGCCCACTCCTCTCTCTCTTCTCTGGGAACGGCAAGTGAGGTTTCAGCTACCCCTGCCAATTTATGGAGGTTTTTCAGGGTAAAGTCAGAATTCAAAGGAGCCCTCTTGGGGTGGGGTCAGGGCTCTGGAGAGGGGGTACTGGGTTTGAGAACTCTCAGAGATTGGTTTCTCCCTGGAGGCTGTGTTGGGGGAAGCCCAGGGGACCCTAATAAATAATAGTAAATAATTGCTAATAAAGCCACCTCCTCAGAGCAGCCCTCTTCAGTCACCCTTGTTAATAAAGTAGACATTCAATCACTCTGGATCACACTACTTTTTGTTCTCTGCAGAGCCCTTATGACTTATGATACAATGTAATATGACCTATGATATTTTTCTAATCGTTTATTGTCTTTCTCCCCTTCCTCTGGAATGTAAATTCCATAAGAGCAAAGACTTTGTGTCGCTCACTGTGGAATCTCCAGTGTCTGGCACCTAGTAGGTGCTTCATATACCACAGGCACCGGGCATTGTGCGCCTTTGCATACATTGTGTCGCCTAATCCTTACAGCAACCCTGGGAGATAGACATTTTTGATACCCCCATTTTATAGATGAGGAAACTGAGGTACAGAATACTGAAGTAAACTACTCAAGCTGCAGAGCTAGGCAGTGGTAGAGCTAGAGCTGGGATTTAATCCGAGAGCAGAGCCTGGGTGCCCAACCACTTCACAGAGCTTATTGGTGGCTGAAGGGCTATTTGGTGCCAACTGTAACTGCAAAGCTTATTGCAGTCCAAAGGATGGCACACTCCTCTGTATGTACCTGTCTGCCCACCTCATGGAAGGCTGTGGAGTTTCTGTCAACCGTGTTGCAACCCACAGGTGAAGGGCTGTGGGGTGACTCATGCTGACTGGGCTCAGGGGAGGCTGGGATTCCAGGTGGCGTGTCTGTGCTCGCTGGGGTTTTAAAAATGGGTCCTCTCCCTCTGCCTCTAGGTTTTGCCTCTTTCATCACCCGCACCCATCTTCAGAGATCAGCAGAGACCCAAATCACAGGGCAGAGGGTTTCTACGTCTCCACACACAGGAAGGCTACAGAAGTGTCCCGGATGGGATAGAAGGACCGGTGGTCTGGGCTAGGTAGGCAGGAACGCCATGAGCCAGTTTGCAAGGTCACCAGGCCCCTCAGTAGGAATTATACCTCCCAGGCAGGAGGTACAAGTGCTTTCTAGGCCTTCATCCCAACAACCCAGAGATGCCAGGCCTTTAAAGAGACACTCCCCGTGCTTTGCTGCTGCCCCCTTCCTGCTCCTGTGGGGCTGAGCAAGGCTGGCACCTACTTCCCCTTCATGGATCAGCACAGCTCTTGGTTCCTCTGCAGAGGAGATTTAAAACAGAACAGCTATTCCAAAAAAAAAAAAAAAAAACAAAGTTTAAAAAAACATAAACAGAGACCAGCCAATTACTTGTAACATAATAATTATATCCACAATAATGACAGTAAATAATGAGGGCTGCTGTTTAGTTAGCGTTTGTATTTTGCAAGCACTGTGCTAAGACTTACCTATGTGTTAGGATAGTATTGTTCTGAGACTCACAGGCCTCCTTTCAAATCTCAGCCCAACTAGCTACATGATGTCGGGCAAGTGGCTACAGCTCTTTGAGCCTCAGTTTCCTCACCTGTAAAGTGTATATAAAAATTGTATTCCTCCCTTATGGGGTTATTGTGAGGATTAAAAGATAATGCGTGTGAAGTGCATTATCTGTACCTGGCATCTAGCACTCAATACTTGTTAGAAAAGCCTTTTTTTCCCCCCTTAATTCTCATTTAAATCTAATGAGGAAGATATTAACCTTATTTCACAAGTGAAGAAACAGACTCGGAGGTTAAATGATTTGTTGGAAGTCAAAAGTTAGCTGGGTGCGGTGGCTCATGCCAATAATACCAGCACTTTGGGAGGCCAAGGCAGGCAGATCACTTGAGATCAGGAGTTCGAGACCAGCCTGGCCAACACGGTGAAACCCCGTCTCTACTAAAAAAACAAAAATTAGCTGGGCATGGTGGCATACACCTGTAATCCCAACTACTTGGGAGGCTGAGGCAGGAGGATTGCTTGAACCTGGGAGGCGGAGGTTGCAGTGAACCAAGATCGCGCCACTGCACTCAGCCTGTGCAAACAGATAATGTCAACAACAACAACAACAAAACAAAAGCTAATAAGTTAAAGAATTGAGATTTGAACCCACATCTTTCTGATTCCATTCTTGCAGGACTGGACTAAGTTAGGGAGTGCCCTGCGCTCAAGTTCTGCCTGACCTCTGGCTACTTATTGTGTGACTGAGTAAATTCTCTCCTCTCAGAGTCTCAATTTCCCTCTATAAGAACAGATTAGTGAATCACTATAAGGGGGGAGTTCCCTATTAAAATCATCTTGATTTGCTTTTCTAGATTACTGATGTTCTTTCTCCAGACGTTCTGATCTGCCCTCTTGGAGGACTGCACAGTCCTTCATCCCTCCCCTCCTTTCCACGATCATGCCTGTGCAGAAGCCACTGTTCCCAAAGAGTATGACACTTCTCCTTGGCATGTTGGGGAGGAGTAAAAGTTAGGGCCACTGTAAGTGAGCACTGAGAGCCAGGGCTCCTCTGTGTGTCTGTGAAAGTTGTGTACTGAACAATGACGGCACCATTTACCAGACGGGACATGCGCTGCTGAACATGAGGACCTTGCTGACAGCCGTCCTTTTCTAACACTTGAATGCTTTCTAATTATCCAGAACTCTTAATGCAAATCTGTTGACCTATATTCAAATATTGAAAGAATATATACCCACATGTCAACAGTGCTTCTCTGTGGGCACTGAAATACCAGGATTTCAATCTTTTCTCCGTCTTCCCCCAAACGGGCTACATTGAACTTGCACTGCTTTTGTAATTAGAAATTCTATACAAAGCCCCAGTTTAAATGTCATTAAACCAAAATAATTTCCCATTGACAAATGGCCATTGTGTCCCTATCCTTCCTGGGACAAGGGCAGGGATGAAGAGAGTGAAGACTGAGTCCTTGCCCAGTGATCCCCTGGGAGGCACAGGAATGGAGACGGGGGGGCTGTCTGGCTTGCAGGGGGGCTGTCTGGCTTGCAGGCTCTCAGCAGCGAGCTCAGCTATCTGATCTCATTTTGATTTTGCAATTAAAATTACTATCATTTATTGAGCACTTAACGCCATAATGCTAGCTGTAGATGCTCTATCCCATTCCTACCTGTAAAATGGGGTCACATGGTTGGCCAAGTTACTAAAGAACGTCAGCTTTGAGGGTGACTGCCTGAGGCCTTGGACAAGCAACTTCACTTCCTTCTGCCTCAGTTTGTCCTCAGTGAAATGATTGCTATGAGGATTAGATAACAGTGTCCATAGTATGTGTCAGGCACTGTTCTAGTGCTTGATTTTATATATATATAAATATATAAATATATAAATATATATATAAATAATATATAAATAAATAAATAAATAAATATATATATATATATAAAATCATGTAATTCAAGAGGCCTGTGAAGTAGCCGCCATAAGTATCCCTGTTTTATACAGAAGATGGTAACAGTCCCAGAGAGGTGATATAACATCTAAGGTCACCTGGCTCTCCCCTTAGTGACAGAGATGAAATCAAACTGAAGTTGGCCTGATCCCAAAGTTGTGGAAATAGTCCTTTCAAGCTTCCTAGTCCCTGTCTGGAACAAGGTCTAGGAGGGATAGATAGAAGGGAGATGGGAGGGAGGGAGGGAAGAAAAGTAGATAGGTTGGTTGATAGTATCTGCAAGGCAGATAGGATTTGTAAATTTCTGGAGGGCAGAAACCATACAAGGAAAAATAAATCTCACATAGCACTTGTCCTGTGTCTCAACATAATAGGTATTCAATAAATGTTTGTTGAATAAATGAAAAACGGATGAATGAACATAATTTCACACATTACTGACATTCTGGGCAAATTAGGTATTGCCTTCTACCCCCCACCCCACCCACCACCACCCAAGGGAAGACCTCCGAAGTTTGAATTCCTCTCCTCCCTCTTATTTTCATGCACCAGTGCCTTCTCTTTGCACCCATGACTTCAGGTCTGTATGTAATTTCCCATCATGCTTCAGTGGGGTCAGCCTGGGGATTAAATTAAATGAGATATTGACGTAAAACCTATGGCAAATAGGTACCCAATAAAAGGTAGCTGGTGTTATAGGGAGCACCCAGCTTAAAAAAAAGGCCTCAGCCACTTCCCATTTCCAGCCCCAGTGCACAGCTAAGTTCACAGCATTCAGCCCTCAACCTCCCCTCAATACAGCCTCTGCTAGATGTAGAGCTCTTTTCAAAGTGTTTTCCTGTGCTTCATCTCCCCTGATCCATACAGCCATCCCAGGAGGAAGGGACAAGAGTGCATGGTTGGCCCCATTTGTTAGACTGAGGTTCAGAGAGAATGCCCCTGGTTAAGTGAAGAACTTTGGATTGACCCTTGACTTTCAGACAAAGCATCACCCTAGATACCATTATGGGTCCTAAGGGGTCACAGAAGTGCTGTCCTGGGCACTCACTCAAAACTCATTAAAATATTCTGTAGCATTTCATTTGAACATTTAACATTTAAAGTAAAAGCTTCATTATAATGTTCTTAAGCAGAGGGGTAGGCCACACACCCTACATAGAGAATATGCCCCCCCACCTTTTTTTTTTTTTTTTTTTTTTTGAGACAGAGTTTCGCTCTTGTTGCCCAGGCTGGAGTGCAATGGCACGATCTTGGCTCACCACAACCTCCGCCTCCCAGGTTCAAGCGATTCTCCTGCCTCAGCCTCCCTAGTAGCTGGGATTACAGGCATGTGCCACCACGTCCAACTAATTTTGTATTTTTAGTAGAGATGGGGTTTCTCCATGTTGGTCAGGCTGGTCTCAAACTCCCGACCTCAGGTGATCCGCCCGCCTCGGCCTCCCAAAGTGCTGGGATTACAGGCATGAGCCACCGCGCCCGGCCATGAGAATATGGCCCTTCTTTGAAGGCATGGATGGACCTGGAAGTTGTGCCTGCAGAGCAGCAGGACATGGAACGGGCAGCTCTCAGGCCCTTTTACATTCTGTACTTTAGATGGTTATCACAGTTCTTCCAGTAAGACCACCTACATTCCTTCCTGGAGCTTCCTTGGACATGAGGAATCATGGAGTCTAAAGTCACCCTGAAAGCTCTTCTTAGAAATAAGTCTCCGAAAGCAAACAAGCAGTTGTTTTTGTTTTGTTTTTTTTCATTTATCCAGTTGATAAAGATGAAAGAAAATGCTAATCACAGTATTGGCAAGGGAAAACAAGCATGCTCCTTGCTGGGAGGAGAGTGAGCCAGTCTAAGCTTTGGCTTTCCAGTTTAGCTCATCCTTTGATCTAGCAATTTCACTCATAGGAATTTTGCCTAAGCAAATAATCTTTGTGTGCAAAGAGTTACCTACAAGGATGTGCATCAGAGCATTGTTTATAATCCTGAAAAATTAGAATTAATAAAAATACCCTTCACAAGAGATTCAGTGAAGTAAATTAAGATACCTGAATGTAGCTGCATGCCCCGCTACAGTTTAAAAGGATGCTACGGAGGCTTCCTGTGTACCATGGAAGTTATTTACTGTGCTTTCAGTACAGTTGTTAGCAATTATGTGTTTTTATGATTGTTCCAGGCATTAGGCTCAGTGTTTGACCTCGTATTATTCTCACAACCACCTTATGATGTGAGTACTATTATCTTTATTTTGCAAATGAGGAAAGTGAGGCGCAGAAGTGAAACTTACTAAGGTTATTTTCAGGGAGTTTCTGAGCTAAGTCTTGAATCTGGGTCTGATTCCCTACTTTTAAGTCTTCCATTTACTCTACTTTTAGTAAATTAGTCCATTCCTATTTTAAAAATCCATTTATATGAATAGAGAAAACAATAATTCACCCCAGGGAGTATTATGGATATTGGGGTCAGTGGTGATTTATGCTTTATTTTTGTTTCTGTGGACATTATTTCTTCTGTTAATAGGAAAAAGAAACTTTATTTAAAAGTAACAAATCAGAGAAGGCTTATCCTCTGCTCAGGCAGAGAAGGAAGAAGCAGCCAGTGTGCTGTCTTGAGATTCTTTCTCTGTTGCCAGGAACCAGCCAGAACAGGAGGCAGCCAGGGAGAGGGGAGCCAGGGAGAACACAGCCTCAGTCCTGGAAGGAGAGGGCCTGCTGGGAAGAACAGAACCCAGCTGTCTTGGCCCCAGGTGAGCCCTCACCTGTGCCTCAGGCCCCAGCAGCCCAACCACTATTGCTGAGTCTGTCTTAAAAGAGGCCATTAAACAAGACACTGCCCACTTCCAAATAAAAGACAGCATCGCAGAGAAAAACATATTTATCCCCACTACCCCCACGGCAAACACTGGAAACATATTTCCTCCTCTGTGCAGGGGTCAAACTGGGGCCTGGAGGGTTAAGATAGGGATTTCCTTGAAATGCTACAGAGGAAAATTGGCCAAGGTCTGGCTTGGACAGAGGGTCTTGGTGCCCCAGTGCTGAATGGAATGAGTAGGTGGCCAGGGTCAGTGCTACCTTCCTAGGTTAGGGTGGGGTGGGGTGAGGTGGGGCAGGACAGGGCGGGACCTGCTCTGCTTAGAGAGGTTCAGATAGGCACAACTAACCCATAAGGTCCTAACCCGTCCTGTTTCTTAGGAGTGTTCCTTCAAAGGCTGCCATTGGTGTTTATTTAGATCTGATCTCACTGGAGAGGGTGGGGAGAGGGAGGGTTTTGCTGAGGCCTTTCTGGGCCCTGTATCCCCACTAGGAAGGCAGAGGCCATGTGGTCAGAGGTTAAGTGCTCAACCTTGGGCCTTGAACATTCAGGTGAGGGGTTTTCTGAATCCACCGCTGGCCTGCTAGGGAATTTTTCAAGGCCATCAGTTTGGGGCCTTATGGTCCAGCAGTGGAGAAGAGGAAGGACTTAGAAACTGTGGCCTGCAGGGGCCTAAGAACCATATCTTACGCCACGATCAGGCCCCTCTGGCTCTTCTCTCAGGAAGGTAACCGCTCAGAAGTCACCATCAATCTCCCCACTCCTCACTTGCCCCTGCTTACCCTTTCAGCCAGTGCTCCGGACAGGCTGCCACATTGACTAGGCACATGCGTTATTCATTTATCCATTCATTCAGTGAGTATGGAGAGTTATTTAATCATCACCAATTATAATAGCAGCTCTCATTTTTTGAGCACTTAACTCTCTGTTCGGGTCTGTACACTTTACCTGTCCTGTTTCACTCAGTCCTTACAAGTGCCCACCTCTATTTTATAGATGTGGAAGCTGAGACTTAAAGAAGCTATGAAACTTGATCAGGTCATGCAGCGCCAGAGGACCCAAGGTGGGATCTCAACCCAGACTGTTTGGCTCCAAAGCTGAACTGCTACATTACGTTGCTTCAGCAAACAGTCATTCAGGTAACTTGGTGAGGACGTGCTCAGTTCAAGTAACTATGCCACAGTCTGGGGAGAGAAATGAATAAGGTATATTCCTGTACACAAGCCCACTGGGGAAACCTTGATGAAACCCTTCTACTCGAAAACCTTTCCTCTGCTTGCAACTAGATGTTTGGAAACATTGTTTTGTTGTCAAATTTCACAAAATATCTTGTGTTGGAGGAGTCTGTTAGACTTCTCTAATTTCACCCTTCAGGTGATGCAGAAGTCTCTACTGCCGACTACCTGCCCTCACACACACATACACAGAAGGTGGAGCACATCTAGCTTGGATTTTAGAGCCAGTCTACGTGAGTCTGTATCCTGGCTCAACCATTCACTACTTGTGTGACCTTGGGCAAGTCCTTTGAGCTCTCTGAGTCTCAGTTTCTTCATCTGTAAAATAGGCATAATTTCACCGTTGTGAGGTTTTTGCAAATAAGGTAACACACTGCAAAACATTCAGCACCACTCTGGTGTATAGTTAAGACCTGATAAGTGTCAGCCATTGTCTTTTATCATTAGGGATGGGCATCTCTTGCCACCCCAGTGAAACAGTTCCTTGTCCTGTCTCTTTCTTTGCTTCTGCCTCCCGGGGCACTCAGCCCAAGGCAAATGTGCCTGAAGATGGGGGTTAGTCATCAGGTTCCCCTGCCTCAGAGGATGAGAGCATGACTGCTGCTCTCTGCCCAGTCTCCTAAGAAATCTGATTCATGCCTTGCCAGTACTCTATGAATATGCATACTTCACCTGCAGCCCTGTCTCCTTTCACAATGAGCTCAGTCATTTGTACCTCCTGGGTCATGTGCAGACATCCTCAGTATTACCCACTGATGGGTGTTGGAGAAACTGCTAAGAAGATGAGTCTTGATAGGCAGGTGACAGTGACTTGACTCTCTAGTCCATGGCTTTGCCTGTTTCGCCATATTTCAAAACTGCCAGGGGCTTCTGAATTGACTGATGACCCAACATAGGGTCACAGTATTTCATTTGGCTGCTCTTAGACTGAAGTGACAACTTGGGATAGCCCCATCTGAATGGGACCAGTTTGGGAGCCTTTTGTTTCACCCTCTTTCTCTCTCCAGTCTTTGTGGGTTCCCTGAAACGTGTGAGGTGGTTTGGGGATGTTGAAAGTTAAGCCCCTCAAAGAGAAGACTTATGCCTTAGATTAGTGTTAGTGATTACAAGCTCCGGGTTTTGAGACTGATCTGGGTTTGAAACCTGGCTCAGCTTTTTGTTAGCTGTGACCCTAAGCTTCATAACTTGTTTCTCTGAGTCTGTTTCCTTATCTATAAATGGGATTAATAATAGTATTTATTTCATAGGATGGTCGTAAGGATTAAATGCATGTAAAGCACTTAATATAGTGCCTGGCACAAAGTAAGTGCCCCATAGCTGTTACCAATATTAGGCAGCAGGAGAGACAGCACAGGACCAAGGGGCAAGAGATCAAGGTTTGAGTTCCAGCTCTGCTGCTTGCTGGCTGTGTGACCTCAGGCAAGTCATCTTCCTTCCCTGAGCCAGTTTCTCCAACTGTGAAATGAATGGTTTGAGTTTGAAGGTCACTCAGGTTCTTTCCAACTGTCTGAGATCTGTGACTTTGAAGGTGACAAAAAAAGAAAACACAGGAAAAAATAATTAGTAGCAGATGCCTTTATCAGCCAAGATAACATTTCATAAACCCCCGGGCCTCGACACCATCTTCAAAAGCCACCCCATCCCGCAGCTTCTAGGCAGAACCTTCTTGACCAGATAGGGTGAATGAACTGTTTGCAAGACTTTCTGGAGCCACAAGGAGGCCTCAGGGAAGGTGTAAGGCTAAAAAGCGAAGCCTGCATCACAAAGGGAGCAGGCCTGAGAAAACCAGCTAACCCCAAACATCAGACCTGGGGGATTCTGCCTTTTGGTGCCTTGGGCGAGAATCATCCTCCACTTGACCAGAATGGATTAGTTTATGGTAAGGGAGGGATGTTGTCTCTAGAGCCTGGGGATGTCCTGATCTGTTGTAAAACAGGCCCCACCTGGGAAATAGAACATTTTCTTTTTTGGGGCCTAGTGACCTCTGACACCCCCACCCCCTTCTTCCTGGCCCACTGTGCAGTCTGAGTCACACCCAGCAGGAGACCAATGCTGGGAATGGAGGAGGCATTCAGCATCCCCCTTACCCACAAGAGTCTCCACCGAGTTATTCTTAAGCCCTGCTTGAACCCTGAGGGGGATGACATGGGCAGGATTTACAGAAAATAAAAAAACAATCAGTTTCAACTCGTTCTACCAGTTTTTGCCCCTTACAGTACAAAGTCTCTTAACCAATCTTAATGTAACAAATTTCCCTTTACAGAGACAATGGGCTTTAGAGGAGTTTAGTGATGTTACTAACAAACATAAGTACCTTGTACTAACCTCCTGGTGCCCAAGTGTTTGAGGTGAGAAAAACTGAAACATGAAAAGCCCAGAGAGGTAAAGTGACTGGCTCAAGGTAAGTGGTGGAGTTGGTATTTGAACCCAGATCCCCTGTTACTTCAGAACCTCAGCTACCGCTGTGACTTTGGGTGCAAACCTGTCTGAAGCCTGTTGGTGAAGCTCTGCCCAGCTATGAAGAGGCACAGATCTGCCTGCCTCCCTTGGAAGGCTCAGACTCTTTTTCTGGAAGGCCTACCTTCTCATCCTTTGGCAGTTGGGGGAACTGAAGCACAGTGAGGGAGATAAGCGTGCCATACAATGAGAGGACAGAGCTCAGCGCTCTTCACTCATGTGCCTGTGGGAAAGAGCCAGTTCTAGGGGTGGGGATCGCGAAGGAGCACCCTACTTCCCTGTCCTTGTCACGTCCCATGGCCAGTAGCCATGTACTTTTTCCTCCTTTTTCTCTTGCCCAGCAAATACAGGCTCCAGCTGCAGCCACTTTGAAGATAAAGTTTCCTCCATAGAAATTCTGCAATACAGATGTCCTTCCGCGGTCCCAGTTCAGTCCTGCACCAGTTCCTTTTCCCACTGGGAAATTTCTTTCCTCTTCCTACTTCCATGCAACTGCGAGGCAAGGCTCAAGCCCACTTCCTTCTCCTTTTCCTGTGCCTCCCTGTGGAGGGAGCTCCCTCTTCTTCACAGCTCCAGGCTCTTCCCTACTCTGGCCCAACCTTATGGGCATTTTGCTCCATAACTCTCCTCGATCTGAACTGCTTCTGATTTCTCTCAAGTCATGTCGGGGAATCTCACAAATGCATTCTGAGAAATACAAGAATGCCTGAGATGTTCCCGGCAGAAAAGATTCCAGGATCAAAACATTTGGGAAAAGCTTCACATCTCTCCTTAGAAATGAACAAGGCATAGTCATCAAGCATCTGAAAAGTCCTGCAGTCAGGAAACCTACCTTGTTTGTTTTTTAACCCAGTATTTCTCAAACTAAGATGGCCATGATTTCATCTCCTCCATCCCCACTGACTCCTATAACAACCTGTAGAACCAGTGATCCACTGTGGAACACACTTTGGGAAACACTGTCCCCAGCCCTCCAAGAAGGCATAGAGTTGACCTTGCCTTCATTGATTTAAACCCTTCCTGTTTCTCTGGGCTATTTACTTATTATCTCACATACAAAATAATCTAAGGTGATGTCTGCCCAATTGGGTTTTTAGGAAAGACATACCCAATGGGAATGAAGATTTTCTTAGCAGGATTTGATGAGCCCATTACTAGAAAAAAAATCAAGGATTTCCCAGACTTTCAGGGTGAGGAGAGAATTTGATACAAGCAGCAGAGGCTGGGCGTAGTGACCCATGCCTAGCACTTTGGTAGGCCAAGGAGGGAGGATTGCTTGAACCCAGGAATCCAAGACCAGCCTGGGCAACATAGTAAGATCCCATCTCAATTTTTTAAAGAAGGATTTATCAAACTTGTTTCCTAGTCAACGGATAAAGCCAGAGAGGTAATGGCCAGAAACCCAAAATCTAGAGAGTACCAGATAAATACTTTTTGGGTGAATGAATGAATGAGCAGGCTATTGATCACAAAGTTGGCAGACATTGTGAATGAATGGATGAATTAATAAACAATCAAATAACTGGTCTCCAGGCCTCCAGACTTTCTGAACTTCATTGTATCTACCTGCTGTGGCCACATATATATCTCCTCAAAACCCAGATCTCATCAGTCCACTCTTCTGTTCCCTGGCTGGCTCCCTGTTGCCTTCAGGATAAAGTCTACATGCCTTTGTCCTGGCATTGAAAACTCTGCAAAACAAAGCTCCAACCTAGCTTTCCATCCTTCTTTCTCTTCCCCATTGGGTACCCCTTACTCTAGTCACACCAGTCCCCAATTCACTTTATCCGTCTCCTTTTCTTTCTCAAGCTATTCTCTATACCTCACCTTTTCTCCCCTGCCTCCATTGTTGCTTATTCAACCCTAGCAGTGCTTTCAGGCTCAGCTCAAACCTTATCACCCATGTTAAATGAAAGAAGCCAGACACAAGAAGGGGACATTCTGAATGATTCCATTTATATGAAGGTTAAGAACAGGCAAAACTATTGTGGGGAAAAAACAGAACTGTGGTTGCCTTTGGGGAGTGAGGATTGATTAGAAGGGGTTTTGGGGGTATGAAAATGTTCTTGATCTTCATTCCAGTGGTAATTTCATGGGTGAATACATTTGCCAAAATTCACTGAATTGTACACTAAAGATCTGCATTTCTCTGTATTGTCAATTTAATCTAAAAATAAAAATCTTACCACCCAGATCTCCCTGGCAAGAATTCACTGCTTTGTCCATTATTCTCTCAATGCACTTTGTCTATACTGGCAGCATTTCACTTAACATAGACTGCCTTCTTTGAGAATAATTTACGTATATGTCTGTTTGCCTTCGCTACCACATAAGAGCTTGCCTCTAGGGCCTTCACACAGACACTCAACAAACGTTTGTGAGATTGAGTTAAGGCCCAAAACCAACAAACAATGGCAGCTATCATGTATTAAGCACGTACTATGTGCCAGGCTGCATGCTAAGTTCTTTACACACATATTTAATTTTATAATATAAAATATGTAATGTATGTATACATACATACATATATACATATATATATATATATATATATATCTCCCATGAGCTCAGATCTATCTCATGAGCTACTCTGTATCTGAAAAGAGGAAAATATGCATAACAAATGTGAATGGTATAGCTCGATTACATTAAAATACAGGCAAAATAAGTGTGTTTCCAAACTTTATGGTTACTGTGTGATTAAGGACATGTATGTTGAATTTTCAGTCTCTATTTTACATTGATAATACTGAGGCCCAAGATACAACAACATACAGTGCTAGAAATAGGATACAAACCCAGGACAGGCACATCTCAAAGCCATCAAGCTTGAGTACCTCCAAAGTGGCATCACATAAATCTAGGAGAAACAAAACAAAACAAAAGAAACCTCGTGAGATCTTTCTGGCCAAGAGACTTGAAAACAGCAAGTCCTGAAATTGAAAATGTGTGTGAAGTGCGTATATGAAGCACGCCCTGAGAAGAGGCTCTCTGGGGGCTCTGCAGGGCTCCAGGTGGGTGGTTAGCAAGAGGAGGACTTGGGTTTATAATCCTAACTGCTCCATTTAGCAGCAGTATAACCTTGGACAGTTATTTAGCCTCACTCAGCCTGACTGCTCTCCCACTTGCAAAATCGGTGTAATGACAGTGCCCACCTCATGGGGTTTCAAGGGAAGATTCAATGAAATAATGCATATAAACCCCCCAGCATGTGTAAGTACTCAGGAAACATTTGTTGTAGTTTATTAACATTTTGCTGCTTTTACTATGATTACAACCACCTGTATCCCTCCTCCTTGTCCTCCCCTACACCTCCACACCCCCCACAACAGTATTTGGCCTTCTCCCCACCCCTTCCTTTCCTCAGATGGTAGAAGCCCAGCAGGTAGTTCTCTAACAGCAGTCGTGATGGACAGTTTCATAATGAACAGCTATCACAATAGCCAGTCAGCCCTGTGAGTACAAAAAGGGGTTAATTCCTTGGTGGGTAGTGACTCTAGGGATCCCTAGCTAATTTGGAGGGAAAAAAAATCTTTGTTTTTAAATAATCTTTGCCACCTGCTTTGGGCTTGTCCTTGCCTAACTCATTCTGAAATGAGGTGGTGGGAAGGCTTCCAACATGATGAATGGGGCCACTGAGATCGGGGTGCCCACCTTTGAATTGCTAGCGAAAACCAGGCTGTGGAATTCAGGGCTGATGGGAAGATGGGAACCTGCCGGTTGGAAACTCGCCCTTTGGGATTTGGCCTGAGGGGCTGGCTGGGGATGAGGGTCCTCCATTAGAGTTCTGAAGACCAGACATTAGGGTTTCCTGTCCTCCATCTGAAACAACCCTCTGGCAGGTAGAGGACTTGCCAAGGATAAACCCTCTTATATGTCAAGCTTTTCATTTTTGTGATTTGTGAGTTCAACAGGCCAATGTTATTTGAAATAAAATAACTTTTTTTCTTCTAATTACAAAAGCAACCAATGCTCATTGAGAGGAAAAAAAGCAATGAAAATGCAGATAATTATAATGAAGAAAAAATTAAATATTTATAATTCACCATCCCAAGAGAACCACCATTATTCTCCCATATGATTTTCTTTGCCTACAGGAAAGCAATTACATCCGAGTTAACTGTACAGGCTCTCAGAGCCAAACTTCAATCCCAGCTAGAACATGTGGGCTAGTCCCTTACACTCTCAGAGCCTCAACTTTCTCAACTGTAAAATGAGAATAAAAAGAGCACCTATAAGGCTGGGTCCACACCGGTGGTCTCAGCTACTTGAGAGGCTGAGGCGGGAGAAACACTTGATCCTAGGAGTTCAAGGGTGTAGTGCGCTATGGTCACACCTCCAAACAGCCACTGCACTCCAGCCTGGGCAACAGTGAGACCTGTCTCTAAAAAAATAATTATTTTTATTTATTTTTTTGAGATGGAGTCTCCCTCTTGTTGCCCAGGCTGCAGTGCAGTGGCGTGATCTCAGCTCACTGCAACCTCTGCCTCCTGGTTTCAAGTGAGTCTCCTGCCTCAGCCTCCCAAGTAGCTGAGATTACAAGCGCCCGCCACTACGCCCGGCTAATTTTTGTATTTTAGTAGAGACGGGGTTTCACCATGTTGGTCAGGCTGGTCTCAAACTCCTGATCTCAGGTGATCAGCCCACCTCAGCCTTCCAAAGTGCTGGGATTACAGGCGTGAGCCACCGCGCCTGGCTATTTATTTATTTTTTTGGAGACGGAGTCTCACTCTGTCACTTAGGCTGGAGTGCAGTGGTGCAATCTCGGCTCACTGCAGCCTCCGCCTCCCAGGTTCAAGCAATTATCCTGCCTCAGCCTCCCGAGTAGCTGGATTACAGGCACCGACCGCCACACCGGCTAATTTTTATATTTGTAGAGAGACGGGGTTTCACCATGTTGGCCAGGCTGGTCTTGAACTCCTGACCTCAGGTGATCCGCCTGCCTTGGCCTCCCCCCAAAAAAATTATTTTAAAGAGTACCTATGATAGTTAAGAGTTTATTAAACAATTTTTTTTAAAAAAGGGTATCTGTTACAGGGTTGAAATAATGCCTAAAAATGACTCTACAAATGTTAGCTCTTACTGTAGAAAATACATATTCTTTTTTGTCTTTTTGAGATGGCGTCTCGCTCCGTCTCCAGGCTGGAGTGCAGTGGCGCAATCTCAGCTCGCTGGAACCTCCGCCTCCTGGGGTCAAGCAATTCTCATGCCTCAGCCTCCTAAGTAGCTGGGATTACAGGCGCCCACCACCACACCCAGCTAATTTTTGGAAAAGACTTGTTCTTACTGAAAAAATGCTGCCACACTATTTGATGGCATTTTTGTATCCTGCCTTTTCTCCCCACTGGGTAACAATGTGAACCCCTGTAGCATTAAATATTCTCTGGTGACCTTGCTGTGGAAGACCCATGTCTAATTTACCAGTCCCCCATTGACGTACAAGGGTGTATCCAGTATTTCATTATCATAAACAACGCTGCACAAACATAATTATGGCTAAACCTTTGTGCCCAGCCATAATTATTTCCTTGGGGCCAATTTCAAGAAGTAGAATTGCAGGGTTATAAGGGTAGGCACAGTTTTATGACTTTTGATAACTGTTATCGAACTGCCCTCTAGAAAGATTGGACCATATTCCTTTCCCACCAGCAGGGAATAAGAGTGACTGTTTCCCTGCACAGTCACCAACACTGAGTTTTATCATTTTTGTCCATTTTAAAACAATTATTCTTGAGCAAGGGAATTTCTTCTATCTGCCTGATTCAACTGAGAACTCCCAGAGGGCAGGGCGGGAAGTAGTTCCTTCATCTCTGCGTATTTCCAGTACATAGTACATGCTCTGCCCACAGTAGACACTCAAGAAATATTTGAGCTGAATCTTAGAAGCAGCCAAGAGTGGTTTTAAAAGCACCCTAGACAGCCAATTCTTATTAAGTGCAACACTTAACAACTAAGAATTGTACCTGGATGAAATTCAGAGAGTATGCACTGAGGAAGGCAAAGACATTTCCAGAAACGCACCCCTGATATTCAGATATTAATCAGCTAAGTGATACTTTCTGAGATTAGCCTGGGTTGGGGCTGCTTATCTGCCAACAGATTTGCATGTGTAACTTGAGATCCACTCCGGTTCCAAATACTTGGGGGAACTCTGAGCCAGAATATCTGGGTTTTGCTCTGTCACCATTTTGGCGGTGGTCCAGAGCTCATCACTTCATCCTGTTGAGTTTGGTTTCCGCATCTATTTAATGTGGAACATACTAGGATTTCCATCAGAAGTATTTTAACAATCATAGAATTCTGCCTTCCTCTCCCTCTAGCATTTATTGAGGACACAGCCTCCTACCTGTACTGAAAGCAGGTCAGCATGGTGGACGAGGAAACAGGTTCTGGAGCTGGACTACTTGGGTCCAAAATCCTCTCTGTCACATTCTCACTATAGGAACTTGGATTTGCTGGGAGGATTAAATAAGCTCATCTGTGCAAAGCAGTTAGGACAGTGTTTGGTAATAGTAAGCACCAAGTGTTGGCAACAGTTACCTTATTTAAACCTTTCAGTAACCCTGTGAAGTCACTATTTATTATTTACTCCATTTTAAAGATAGAGAAACAAGGCACAGAGAAGTTACACAGCTGGTAAGGATAAAGCTAGGCTTTGATCCCACGTCTGTCTGACTCAGGACTGTTTTCAAAACTCTAAAATGTTAAAGCTGGAAAACACCCTATAGATTATCTAATCCAGTCCTCTCATCTGACCCACGAGGAAATCAAGACCCAGAGAGCAGAAAGAACTTGCCCAAGGACACAACAAAACAGTGATGGAGCAGGGCCTGGGCTCCAGTCCCTGCTTCCCAGAGACAATGTAGCCTCTCAAGTTGCTGCCTTTGCTCCCCCGCAAAGGAGAGGAGCACAGGAGCTTGCAGGTACTTGAGCAAAAAGTGCCTTGAGCAACTCCGCAGCCTGGCGCAGGCCAGGTGCCAGGAGAAGGCAGTGTTGTCATTGGCCACTCCAGTTACTCCTTTTGTCCAATTAATCCAGCCCTGAGTGCCCTCCCAGGGGGAAATCTACCAACTCCTGCCTGGACCTGTGCTTTCTGCAGCTCCCCTAAGTGCCAAGGCACAGCGACTCCAAAAGTGGCTGCTCCTCCCAGGCCCTCCCTCGCCCCTCATTCCAAGTCCACCACTGGGTGCAGGGAGTTGAACAAAGAGACCCGGGGAGGAAGGTCCCTGCCCTCCCTCCCCGACAGTCGCACCTCCTCTGCTTTGTTTCTAGGCTTGTTTTTTTCAATGGTATATTTTACTGAACCCCATATATAAAAAATTATTTTGGGCCGGGTGCGGTGGCTCACACCTGTAATCCCAGCACTTTGGGAGGCTGAGGTGGGCGGATCACCTGAGGTCGGGAGTTCGAGACCAGCCTGACCAACATAGAGAAACCCGGTCTCTACTAAAAATGCAAAATTAGCCAGGCATGGTGGCACATGCCTGTAATTCCAGCTACTCGGGAGGCTGAGGCAGGAGAATCGCTTGAACCCGGGAGGCGGAGGTTGTGGTGAGCCGAGATTGCACTGTTGCACTCCAACCTGGGCAACAAGAGCGAAACTCCATCTCAAAAAATCAAACAACAAAAAAAAACCAACAACAACAAAAAAACTTATTTCAAAATGTATTGAATATAAATAAATTATTAATGAGGTATTTTTATTCTTTTTTCTGTAAGTCTGATTTACCTTTCCAACACGTCATTTGAATGCTATATTTTCAAGGGCTAGTAGCCAAAAAAAATGGAAACATCCAAATGTCCATCAGCTGATGAATGAATAAACAAAACGTGGTACATTCATACAATGGAATATTATTCAGCGATAAAAGGAGTAAAGTACATCATGGTTGAACCTCAAAAACATATACTAACTGAAAAGAACCAACACAAAAGACACATACTGAGTGACTGCATCTATATAACATGCCCAGAATAGGCAGATCCATAGAGACAGACAGTGGACTAGTGTTTGCCTGAGGCTAAGGGTTAGGGAGGAATTCAGAGTGACGGTTGATAGGTATAGGTACGGGTTTTATTTGTGGGGGAGGGGTGATAAAATGTTCTGGAATTAGACAGTGGTGATAGTTGCATAACCTTGTGAATATACAAAAACCGCTGAGTTGTAACACTTTAAAATGGTGAATTATTTAAAAAAAAAAAAAAAGCCAGGCGTGGTGGTTCACACTTATTATTGCAACACTTTGGGAGGCTAAGGCAGGAGGATTGCTTGAGCCCAGGAGTTTGAGACCAGCCTGGGCAACACAGTGATGTCTTGTCTTACTAAAAGTTTTTTTAAAAATTAGCCAGGCGTGGTGGCTCACACCTGTGGTCCCAGCTCCTCAGGAGGCTGAGGTGGGAGGATCCCTTGAGCTGGGGAGTTTGAAGCTGCAGTCAGTTGTGATGGTGCCGCTGCATTGCAGCCTGGGTGACAGAGCCAGACCCTGTCTCAATTTAAAAAATGAATAACCAAAAGGTGAATTTTATGGTATGTGAATTACATCTCAGGAAAAAAAATTAACAATAAAATAAATAAAATTAAGATGTAGTCCTACCAAAACAATAGTTATATTTAATAGGAAAATCTTTTACACTGATTCGGTTTCTAAATCTAAATATAAGTTAATTAAGATTATAAAATTAAAAGTTCACTTCCCTCATTAAGGCAGCCACATTTCAAGTCATAATAGCCATGTGGGACCAGAGGCTACCATAAAGGATGTGGTACCTCTGAGAGCTCGCTGCCCCTGGATGCCAAATGAGGTCCTGAGTGGCCATCCTCTACCACTCCCTGGGTAAGTCCTGAAGGAACCAAAAGCAGGCTGATAAGAGGACGCTAGAGTGAACAAATGAAACTATATCATACAGACCCTTTTTCTTTCCACCATAATGCAGAATCACATCAATTACATCATTTCTTTCCAGCAGCAACTCTATCTTATAGGTGAAGAAAGCCATACAATGTCAAAACCAGAAGGAATCTTTGAGACAACCAATCTTTTAAAAGTTTAAAAGTACAATTCACTCTTTATGGCATACAGTTCTATGGATTTTGGCAAAGGTATGGATCTGTGTCCCCTCTACCACGATCAACATACACAATCGTTCCATCACCCTCAGAGGTCTCTCACGCTGCTCAGTTATTGTTTGAAGCTTTCATTCATTTCTTGTCTATCCACTGTTTACTAGGCTCCCGCTCTGCACTGCGATCTTTCTTTTTCTTTCTTTCTCTTTCTTTCTCTTTCTTTTTTTCTTTCTTTCTTTATCTCTTTCTCTCTCTCTTTTTCTTTCTTTCTCTCTCTCTTTCTTTCTTTCCTTCTTTCCTTCCTTCCTTCCTTCCTTCCTTCTTTCTTTCTTTCTTTCCTTTCTTCTTTTCTTTCTTTCTTTTTTTTTGACAGAGTCCCACTCTGTTACCAGGCTGGAGTGCAGTGGCCTCGGCTCACCACAACCTCTGCCTCCCGGGTTCAAGCGATTCTCCTGCCTCAGCCTGGGACTACAGGCACAGGCCACCATGCCCAGCTAATTTTTGTATTTTTAGTAAAGATGGGGTTTCACCATGTTGGCCAGGATGGTCTCCATCTCTTGACCTCATGATCCGCCTGCCTCGGCCTCCCAAAGTGCTGGGATTACAGGCGTGGGCCACCGCACCTGGCCAACTGCAAACTTTCTTAGTCCCCTTAACCACTCTGTGTAGTGGGTATTTGGTTCCCCTTTGCTCAAGGCCACACAGCTCTTAGTGACAGAGCTGAAATGTGAACTCAGATCCACCAACTCTAGTCTTAACTAGGAGTTAACTTAGTAGTTCTTAACTGCTGCTATCCAAGACTCGTTCATTTGCTGACTGCCCACCAGAGGCTGGGTGTTCATTGAAATACTTATTGAGCACCAGCTATGCGCTGCCCTATTCCAGGAACAAACAGGCCATGATCCCTTCTGGACGATGCAGCTTCTGCCCTGGTCCCAGACTGCTGGGGTGCTGGGCTCTCACCTGCCTCACCAGGGGCAAGTTCAGCGGTACAAAAGCACATGGCTGCCCTCTCTTCTTTTTCTTCCTCTTCCTCCTCCTCCTCTTCCTCCTCCTCCTCCTCCTTCTCCTATTCCTCCTCCTTCTCCTCCTCCAGCTGCTCTCCCCTCCTCCTCCTCCTCCTGCTTTCCTTCTCCATGTGCCAAGCCTGACAGCTTTCACCAGGAGAACTGAGAAGCCTCTCCCGAGGTCTGTTAACAGTGAGCTAAGGGCATGTCCCCTCTGTCATCCTTTTCCAAAGGAGAGGAAGATGCCCCACTTGACTAGCCCTCCTCCTCACCCAAGCCTTCCCTTAGGGTGGACATAACCTCCTCCGAAGCAGCAGCAGGGCTGCAGGACCAGGTGCACAGGCGGCGGCTTGGAGGGCCCTTGCACAGACCACTGTGTTTTGCAACCAGGAGCGGAAGGGAGGCTCAGAAAACATCCCCAGGAGCAATGACCCTGGTGGCCTGAGGGCTATTTCTCCCATCACATAAGCAACTACTGTCTGGGGTTTCAAAATCCTTTTTCAGGCTTCATCACTAAAAAGTGTTTTACTCCCAAATGACCTGTTGTCATCCTCCTGATCTTCTAGAGCTTTTTTTTTTTTAAATAAACCCCTCCCCTTGCTCAAGGTGAGGTGATGCCAAGACTGTCTAGGCTTAGCTTCAGGCTTCCAGCTGAGGAAGCTGAAGAGATTCAGTAGCAGAAGCCTCATAAAGAGAGGCTTCCCCCAGGGCCCTGCTTGTTCCTGGCTCCTGCTGAGGAGCAGACATAGACCAGACAGGCTGGGACATAGGGCTGGTTCCATACTCAAAATCCTGGTTGCCTTAACCTGGGTTTAAACAGCACATTTTGATAAACAGCCCCGCTCTGAGAACTGTACAGTGTTGCTAAACCCAGCCTCTCAGGGTAAAGCAAGGCAAGGGGAAAACAAACATTTTATGGCTGTGGAAAGACAGCCACTCCGGCCCCGTGCCCTTCTGTGACAGCTCTCATTACAGGAGAAGCTAGATCTAGAGGGAAAAAAGGGCCACACAGTCAAATACAAATATGGTGAACAATGATTTCTCTTTATTGTTTTGAAACAGAGTCTCGCCCTGTCACTCAGGCTGGAGTGCAGTGGCGCGATCTCATTCACTGCAACCTCCGCCTCTGGGGTTCAAACGACTCTCCTGCCTCAGCCTCCCGAGTAGCTGGGATTACAGGCGCCCACCACCAGGCCCCGGCTAATTTTTGTATATTTAGTAGAGACGGAGTTTCACCATGTTGGCCACGCTGGTCTCGAACTCCTGACCTCAGGTGATCCACCCACCTTGGCCTCCTAAAGTGCTGGGATTACAGGTGTGAGCCACGGCACCCAGCCTAATGATTTCTCTTTAGCTTCAACTCCCTGGGCTTTCTGGACGGTAGGGCTGAATTGAAGAAGGCATAAAAGCAGAAATTAGCCACTGACCTTGAGATATTTTTGTCTGAATCTGGGAGACAATTTTAAGCTAAGCTGGGGTTGGATTTACCAGAAATATCCAGGGGTTTACTTTTATTATTTATTTCAAATGTAATATATGTTTGTGGGAGAAAATTTTCAGAATTACCAAAGGCAATAAATAACTAAAAATTTAAAAACATTACTCCACCATTCAATGCTGATATTTTAAAACCTTCCAACCTATTCTTTCCATAGTAGATTTTTTTTCACAAAAATGGAATCACAGACAAGATATTATGTTTTATAAGCTTGCTTTTTTCTTTTTTTTGAGATGGAGTCTCGCACTGTCACCCAGGCTGGAGTGCAGTGGCGCGATCTCAGCTCACTGCAACCTCTGCCTCGTGGGTTCAAGCGATTCTCCTGCCTCAGCCTCCCGAGTAGCTGGGATTACAGGAACCCACCACCACGCCAGCTAATTTTTTTTATTTCTAGTAGAGACGGGGTTTTACCATGTTGGCCAGGCTGATCTCGAACTCCTGACCTCATGATTCACCCGGCTCGGCCTTCCAAAGTGCTGGGATTACAGGCGTGAGCCACCGCGCCCAGCCTAAGCTTGCTTTTTTCCAAAAAATGTATCAATAGATTTTGTTGTTATTAATGAATGTATCAATAGTTCTTAAGCCCACTGGGCAAATTATTAAGACTCTGTAACTAGAAATGATTCCCCCGCAGCATCCTGAGAGATGAACATGATTCCGCACAGTGACTTCAGGGTGGCTTATTAAGGGGATAAACTCCTCCACCTCTTCTTGTTAAGCATGTCTGTTCGACAGTCCAAGCCCAAGATGAAAGGCAAGTGGCATGGCTGAATCAGCACTTTGGTCCCACCATGCCTGCCACCTGTTTTATTAAGCGTGCCAGTGTGTCAAGTGCTGAGGAATGAAAAGAAGGGTGTTGTTGTCAACCGTGACTTTATCCCCTCACTCCAGGCCTTCCCTCAGCCACCTCAGCTGGAGAGGCCTTGAGGCTGAGGAAAAAGTGCCTTCCAGGAAAGCAACTGCACACATTTACCTCAGAAAATAGGAAGCCCCCAAGAGCAGTGAATGAAACATTACTTTGCTGTCTTTGGAGGCCAATTTCCAGGTCTCTCCATTTTAAAATGAATGCAGATACAAAATCTCCTCAGTCCCCTGTAGCCGCGTGTGTCGTGTTTGTCCCCTTGGGACAGAAAATGGTGAGCTTATGTCCTGTGGTGAGCAAGAGCCCCCCTTGACCTGAAGTAGCTTCCATCCGTCCCTCAGCCTCCCCCTTTTCCTTTCCAGTAAAGAAACCCAGTTGCCTGGTACAGTGTCAGACTTTGCAAGGCTGTTAACGACCTATAAAAGTCCAAAGACAGACTACTCCAGAAGGAGGAATCACTGACTAAGGAAATCCTGAATGCCCTAAGCCTGCTCATTAACAAGAGGCGAATAATAACAGCCAAAGTGGAGAAGCTCATAAATTACCCAAGGAAGCCCAACGAAGTTGGGGGGTGGGGCCTGACCAATGGAATCCAGGGTTCACTTCTGGGGTTAATGGAATCCTGGCTGGTCCCTGGGATTGCCCAAGGCCAGGCGTGGTGTTTCCTTCCTGCCTTGCTGGGAGAGGTGTGGAAGTTTGAGGGAGGTGATTATTGCAGAGTCACCAGCAAATCAGGGCGATACTTGCTCTGGGCCACAGAGGGAAGTGGGTCACGCACTGGAGAGTATTAGAACTCCAAGCTTTGTCTTGGCGATGTGCTCCCAGATAAGTAAACAACATCCCTCCCTTTCCCTCCCCCTACTGGGCATCTTCCACTCCCAGTCATTTATCACAGGCTGAAGAAAACACATTATTAAAAAGAAAAAGGAAAGGCGGGGAGGAAGACCTAGGACTTCTCAAACCCCTTTCCTTCCAAGAGCTCCAGGCTCCATGCTATGATCACTATGAGCTTCCCGGACGGGCTTCCACACCCCCAGCAAACTGGGGGATGAGTTTAATTTGCTTTCCATTAAAGCTCCTGCTACTTACTAAAGATTTCACAACGTAATGGCTCAGTATAAGCAAAATGGAAGCCCCAGGCATGACTCAGCCCACCTTTTCATGACTCAGGATCTGGAAGAAATTGGAGAATGTATGATCAAATCTCGCCTGTGGCACATCCAGTACGAAGAGGTTTCCCAATGCCCTGATGTTTGTGTCTGTGTAGACGGTGATTTCATCACTCCACCAATAAAGCCTAACAGTACCAACAACAGCAAAAGAATATGGTAGCTGACCCTTATGGAGCCTTATCCATCCCAGGCATTAATAGACACACACGTTTCCTCCTCCGGCCCTCATGCTAAACTCAAGAGGAAACCTAGGCTCAGAGAGGTGACGTGACTGCCCAGATCGCACAGGGTGAGAGCCATGGCCAAACTCGGGGCCCAGTTCCCTAACTGTAGGACTACAACCACATTTTGGTGCCATATTTGATACAAACTCAGGTAGAGGTTAAGATCACGGGCCAAAGAGCCAGAAAGTCCTTGGAGACTGTCTTGGCCGCATACTTTAGGGTGAGTCACTTTGCCTTCCTGAGTCTCACCTGTAAGATGGGGGAAATAATACCGTTTGTGAGGATTAAATGAGATTCTTCACATAAAACGCTTAGCACACTTGTAATAAGTTGTCTGTAACTGTAGGTTGCCATGGACTGGGAGTGCCGGCTTCTGGGGGCACCCAGGTGGGAGGGTTTGGGGAGGGCCCCAGCAGGGCCCTTAGAGGAGCCGCAGAAAGCAGCGTTTGCCATTTCCACAATTTCGATGAAACCCATAATTATAACCCCTCCTGCCACCCCTGGCCCTGGGGCAGTGATAGAATCTTGCTGCTTTCGGGGTCAGGCCTAATCACCACATGGATGGGCAGGCACAGGGTGCTGTGGGAGATGGGTGGGGGACAGGTGGGAGAGGGCACTTGTGTCTGAGTCAGGCAGCAGGACACACCCAGAACTGCACCGTGGCGCACCCACCCAAATGCAGAAGCTGCTGCGGCCCCTTTCACAGGAGATCGCAGAGTGAGATTGCAAGGCCTAGAATTTCTGCCCAGGTTTTTTTCCCTCCTCCCACCCTAGGAGCACATATGTAACATGCTGAATTTGAGCCAAAGTCATATTAAATAACAGCTCCTCTGAATTGAGTTCTTACCGTATACCAGGCCCTAGGCTGGACACGTTTTATTTATATTCTAATTTAATCCTCACAACAGCCCCATGGGATGGTATCAGTTGGGTACACATATGTAGCAGTTACTATGTGCCAGGCACTGTTTTAAGCATTTCACGTCTATGACTATCCACGCCTATGAGGGGAGTACTATTATTTCTCCCTTTTTACAGCTGGAGAAACCAAGGCACATAGAGTGAAGTAATCTGCTCAAGGTCACAGGGCTAGAAAATGAGGGAGCCAGGTCTCAAAGCAGGGCAACTGGACCTGTGCACACACTTAACTTCTACATTACAAGCCTTCTCTACCCCACGAGCTACTGTTATTATCCCCATTTGGCAGATGAGCAAACTGAGGCTCAGAGACCAGAGCCAGGATCTGGCGCCAAGACCCATGCTCAAATCGTTATACCAGACTGGCCTACACTCTGACTGCAGTGCGTCTTTTTTTTTCTTTTTTTTTTTTTTTTTTTTTGAGATGAAGTCTCGCTCTGTCGCCCAAGCTGGAGTGCAGTGGCGCAATCTTGGCTCGCTGCAATCTCCGCCTCCCGGGTTCAAGCAATTCTCCTGCCTCAGCCTCCCGAGTAGCTGGGACTGCAGGTGCGCACCACCATGCTGGACTAATTTTTTTGTATTTTCAGTAGAGACAGCGTTTCATTATGTTGGCCAGGCTAGTCTCAAACTCCTGATCTCATGATCTGCCCGCCTTAGCCTCCCAAAGTGCTGGGATTACAGGCATCAGCCACCGCGCCCGGCCAGTGGGTCTTTTTTCAGTAGGACATGAATGATGTGATTTAAGGAAAAGAGAGGGGCAGAGAGCCCCAGTGCCTAGAAATAACCACAGCCAGTAGCCCTTACACCTGTAAGTGTTACTTTTCTTCTCATTTTATGTATGAAAAAAATTAAGTCCAGAGAGGTGAGGTCCCTGTCCTGCCAGGGAGCAACCGGGCTGAGGCTTGAACCCCTGACTCCTGAGCCAAAGCCCCAGTGTGTCTCTTCTTCCAGGCAAGGTGTCTGAAATTCCACTCTAAGAAATTCATTATTTGGGTCCTGAAAGTGTTTGGCCTTCAAATCATTTAAAAAGAATTTGTTGAGCAGCGACCTTATTCCAGATGTTGTGCTGAGTCAGGGGTTTTCACACTGTGTTTGAGGCCTAGAAGCTCTGAGACAGCGTCCCTGGTGGGTCTGAGATGCTCACACAGGTGGGGCTGCCCCCAGTCCCCTTCCCCATTCTGCCAAGAACTGCTTTCTTATATCTGTTTTATTTTGAGATACGTATAGATTTTGCTTTTGAAGAGAGAGTTCCACAACTAAACATGCTTTAAAATCACTGTATTTGGTCCTGGGGACGTAGAGGTGGTCTGTCATGTCCCAGCTTCAAAGAGCCACCTGGGACAGACAGGAAAACTCATTGCAGTACAGCTTAGCAAACCCCCAGGCAGGTGTGAAGTGCGGAGACAACGCAAAAGAAGAAGTGATTTAGCTCTGGGGCAAAGGAGGGAGAAGGCTTTCTAGAGGAAGGGACATTGAACTGAACTTGAAAAGACTCTGGATTCTCTGAGCAGCCGAGGTAGAGAGAGCATTCCAGGTGGAAGGAACAGCATGGCCAAGGCACAGAGGTGTAGTGGGAAGTGTATTGAGGGAACCTGAAGGAATCCTGGAATGGAAGGTGTGGGACACCAGCACATCGTCATCAGCTAGTGGCTGAAAGTGGAGTAGGTCACTTTTAACCATGCTTTTACGGTTAGTGTACTTATGCCGGGTCCTATGCTGGGCAGCGGGGACAAGGATATGAGCTAGACAGAGCTCCTTGCTCTCCCAAATCTCAACATCTGGGGTGGGGAGGGGTGAAGAAATTCAGCCCGGCTCCTGGTCAATGAGAGTTTCTTAGGGTGGGATGTGGGGGGCTGGAGATGATCAAGAGTTAGTTACTGAAGCCCAGAGCAGGGCAAGGCGTAATGCATTTTAAACAGGGATGGCCAGCGAGGGCTTCACAGCTAAAGTGGCACCTGAATTGGACTTGGAGAGGTGGGGATGATTGTGAGAGTCGGGGGTGGGAGAACACATTCCAGGCCAAGGAAGGAACAGCAGCAGGAAAAGCCTAGACACAGGAATGCACAGGGTGTGAGCAGGGAACAGGGAGTAGCTGGCTTGGGTGCAGCATCGGGTACGGGAAAGGACGTAGAAGGAGATCAAACTGAAAATGTCTGTTAGAGCTAGACTGTGGAGAAATGGGCAAGAGGCAAGCAAAGGAGTCCACACCTGAGGATCTGAGCAACAGGATGAGCAGGGCACAATACCAGCCCTGTGTCATCACCACCTGTGGGGGGGTCCACCTCCTGAAACACCTCAGAGGGACCAAAGCAATCGCAGCCCAGAGGGCAGCCTCTGGAGCCAGCTGCTCCACTAAGCAGCCACACGACCTTGAGCTTGTTACTTGGCTTCTTGGAGCCTTGGTCTGCTCATTTGTAAAATGGGCACAGTAACACATCTCCTAGAATTGGTGTGAGAATTAAATTAGTTAATACACTCAAAATGAACAGAACACAGCTGGTCACATGGTAAATACGGCTATTATGCTAGCGCTTATTATTTAAAAGACCAACTCATTTAATTTATCTCCTTTTCCAATGATGAGAAGGAGAGTTCTCCAGAGAAGGAGAACTACGAGAGGAATTCCATTTCATTCGTTTCTCGGTTCTTTCATAGTTTGGTCATCCAGTTGGTGGGTCAGGCATGCCTCTTCTTTCCTTCTTTTTCCTCTCTTCCTCCCTGCTTCCACAAATACTTTTTTTTTTTTTGACATGGAGTCTCGGTCTGTCACCCATGGTGGAGTGCAGTGCACAATCTTGGCTCACTGCAACCTCCACCTCATGTGTTCAAGAGATTCTCATGCCTCAGCCTCCCCAGTAGCTGGGATTATAGGCACCTACCACCACGCTTGGCTAATTTTTGTTTTTTTTTTCAGTAGAGTTTCATCATGCTGGCCCTGCTGGTCTTAAACTCCCGACCTCGAGCAATCCACCCGCCTCAGCCTCCCAAAGTGCTGGGATTACAAGCGTGAACCACCACGCCCGGCCCACAAATACATATTGAGTGCTAACTCTGTTCATCGCTTTCTATTCCGTGTCAGGGAAGTTTGGGTGAGACACCCAGTACACTCTAGGTCACTATTTTTTCAACTCATAGCCCTTCACAGGGCACTGATCTGTGCCAGGCCCTGTGCTGAGTATGGGGAATACTGATGCGTAAGCTGCTTCCTGCCCTGGGCGAGTTGCCATCCTGGCCCTGCGCCCGGGACTCTTGACTGTTAACCATAACCCCGTGGGATCCATGCTAAGCAGTCCCATGGGAAGCCCAAGGAGAGAGTGGAGAGCCAGGGCCACAGCAGAGGAGAGGGGAAGGCTGTCATTGCAAAGCGGAAAAGTCCTGATTTGGCCTGTGTCATGAAATCCTTTTATTGCTTACAAGTTTCAACATTCAGATTATTTTCTGAATAGCCAGAGAGGAGCTGAATGGGACAAAGAATTTATGAAAATGATGCCAGCCCGGAGTTCTGGTGCAGACAGGCCTTCTCTAAACCTTGGTTAAAATCACCCTGTGTATAGAACACAGGGTCCTGGGCCAATGATGATAATAGTAACAATGCACTTTTTTGTTTTTTGTTTTTATGAGACAGGGTCTCACTGTGTCACCAGTATGATCATGATTCACTGCAGCCTCCAGCTCCCAAGCTCAAGTGATCCTCCTGCCTCAGCTTCCCAAGTAGCTGGAACTACAGACATACACCACCACACCCAGCTAATGTTTAAAACTTTTTTTTTCTAGAGAGGGGATATTGCTATGTTGCTTAGGTTGCTCTTGAATTTCCAGCCTCAAGTGATCCTCCCACCTTGGCCTCCCAAAGCACTGGGATTACAGGCATGAGCCATCTCATAATGGCCGGTTTTTTAGCACCTACTGTGTATCGGGCACTGTGCTAGGTGTTTTACAGACATCATTTCATTTAATTCTCACAACAACTCTGCAAAGGAGATGAAATCTAGTTCAGATATGGACACCTAAGGTCACACAGCTGACCAGAGGCCTGGCGTGGCACCAGGGAGCTCGCAGAATGCCAAGTTGAACCTTAAAAGTATCACCAGTCAATCCTCATCCTTTGCAGATTCCATATTTGTGAATTTGCTTGCTTGCTAAAATATATTTGCAACTCCAAAGTCAATATTCACAGGGTGTTCACTGTCTTTCACACACGTGTGGAGCAGCAAAAACTTTGGGCTGCCCGATGCTACATTCCCAACTGAGGCTGAACAAAGCAAGGCCGTGCCCTCTTGTTTCAGCTGTCATACAATCAACAAATGTCCTATCGTGCTCTGTTTAATTCTGCACTTTTCACTTTTTGTGCTTTCTTTGGTGATTTTGCTGTTTAAAATGGCCCCCAAGGCTGAGTGCAGTGGCTCATGCCTGTAATTTCAACACTTCGGGAGGCCGAGGTGAGAGGATCGCTTGAGCTCAGGAGTTGGAAACTGGCCCGGGCTATATAGTGAGACCCTGTTTTTACAAAAATAAAAAAAATTAGCTGGACATAGTGGTGCATGCCTGTGGCTCCAGCTGCTCAGAAGGGTGAGGTGGGAGGATTGCTTAGGCCTGGGAGTTAAAGGCTGCAATGAGCTGTGATCACACCACTGCACTCCAGCTTGGGCAACACAGCGAGACCCTGTCTCAAAATAAATAAATAAATAAATAAATAAATAAATAATAAAATAGCCCCTAAGTGTAGGGATGAAGTGCTGTCTAGTGTTCCTAAGCTGTGATGTGCCTTACAGAGAGAAAATACATGTTAGATAAGCTTCCTTCATGCATGAATTACAGTGCAGTCAATGTTAATGAAGCAACAACTTACACTAAATAAAGTGTGTTTAATAGAATCACACATAAAACAAGGTTCCATATTGCTTGGTTAATGAAAATGTGATCAGTGGCTCACAGGAATTTCACCTTGGATATATCTAGGAGCAATGGTTCTGTATTTGGGAAGTCAGCGTTTGCGGTGACTTTATAGGAGGAGAACTACCGTAAGTAGTGAGTGTCAACTGTATAGAACAACACAGAAGTTCTTCATTCAATGTACTTATCTCTGTCTCTTACACATGCACACACATACATACATACATACACATTTATACTTTTTTTTTTTTGAGACAGGGTCTCACTCTGTTGCCCAGGCTGGAATGCAGTGGTGCGATGTCTACCCACTGGGGCTCAAGTGATCCTCCTGCCTCAGCCTTCCGAGTAGCTGGGACTACAGGCATGCACCAGTACACCCAGCTAGGTTTTTTTTTTTTTTTGAGATGGAGTCTCATTCTGTCACCCAGGCTGGAATGCAGTGGCGTGATCTTGGCTCACTGCAACCTCCACCTCCTGGGTTCAAGCGATTCTCATGTCTCAGCCTCCCAAGTAGCTGGGACTACAGGTGTGCAGCACAGTGCCTGCCTGGCTAATTTTTTTTTTTTTTTTTTTTTTTTTTTTTTGTCAAGACGGGGGTTTCACCATGTTGGCTAGGCTGGTCTTGAACTCCTGACCTCAAGTGATCCACCCGCCTTAGCCTCCCAGAGTGTTGGGATTACAGGCATGAACCATTGCATCTGGCCGGTTTTTAAAACATTTTTTGGAGAGTTGAGGTGTTCCTATGTTGCCCAAGCTGGTCTCAAACTCCTGAGCTCCAGCGATCTACCTGCCCTGGCCTCCCAAAGTGCTGGGATTACAGGTGTCTCTACACACACACACACACACACACACAATTGGCCAGGTGTGGTGGTGCACACCTGTAGTCCCAGCTACTCGGGAGGCTGAGGTGAGAGGATCACTGGAGCTGGAAAGTTCAAGACTGCAGTGAGTCGAGATTGCACCACTGCACTCCAGTCTGGGCAATAGAGTGAGACCCTGTCTCAAAAAAATTATAAAATAAAATAAATGAATCTAAATGGGATCCTACTGTGTATATTCTTTTGCAGTTTTCTGTTTTTGCTTCACAGCAGGCTGTATGTGCTTTCTGTGTTGCTGTGCCCAGAGACCAGCCTCACTCTTTTTAAATATCTGTGTGATGTGAATGTTTGTTCTCTCGTGTGCTTAACCATTTGCCCCTTTGATTGACATTTAGGTTGTTTCTATTTTTCATTACAACAAACATTTCTTGTCCATGACAATAGGGATCTGTAATGGGCCCTTCCATTCCTTCATAGAGGGTTTTCACTGGGAGAGACTGGGGCCAAGACTTGCTCAGATCTCTGGGCAGAGCTAGAGCCAGAGGACCCAGAATCCCAGCAGAGCTCCAGTTACCTGTGAGAGAAACAGGGGCCTGCGAGGGCAGGGAGGGTGGGCGGAGGGCGGTGGGCACAGAGCCCCCGCTCCCTGGCAGTGCGTGTGGTCCCATTCCTCAGGTCCTTGTGCAAACACCGCTTTGTCCCTGGCTGAATAGGAAAGTCAGCCCCAAATTAGCACTAATGTGAGGGCGTTTAACCCTCTTGTGAGGCCCTTTGAGAAAGCACAAAAGAACTTTTTCAGGGGCTGGGCTGTGCAGCCCAAACAGGTCTGACTTGGAGACACATGCCTAGCAGGAATGCCAGCCCTAGGGAGACTCAGCAACTGCCCTCTCCTGGCAGGTAACCCAGCAGATGGAATCTGAACACAGCCCCCGGTCCTGGAAGGCCTGCACCCCAAGGGCTGTGGCAAGCAGGGGCAGGCCACTGTGCCAGAAGGCAGGATCTCATGGCTGGTTAACTAACGTTTTGACATCAGGGAGATCTGGGTTCAAATCCTAGCTCTGCTATCACAAACTGAGACCCTCTGAGCACGTCTGTTCCCCATCTGAGCCTCAGCTCTCTCAGCCATCACATGGGGATGATAATAGTGATGACCAGAGGAGCTTATTAAGAAGGTGACCTGAGACGATACAGTGTCACCTTCTCCGGGAGCCTGATCAGGCTGTTTAAAACCACAACATTAGGTGGGGCACAGTGACTCACGCCTGTAATCCCCAGTATTTTGGGAGGCCAAGGTGGGAGGATCTCTTGAGCCCAGGAGTTTGAGATGGGTCTGGGCAACATGGTGAAACCCTGTCTCCACAAAAAATACAAAAAAGAAAAAAAAAAAAACAGAAAAATTAGCTGGGCGTCGTGGTACACACCTGTAGTTCCAGCTACTTGGGAAGCTGAGGTGGAAGGATGGCTTGAACCTGGGAGGTCGAGGTTGCAGTGAGAGCGGTGATTGCACCACTGCCCCCCAGCCTGGGCAACACAGCAAGACCCAGTATCAAAAATAAAAACATAAAAAAAAAAACAAAACCACAGCATTCCCCTGCCCAACTCCACTCCTCTCTCCTCCTTTGCTACCTTATTTCCCTCCACAGCACATGCCCCTTCTAACCTGCTGTATAAGTTACTTATTTGTTTCACTTACTACGTGCCTTTCCCAACCATAAGCTGCACGAGGGCACAACTTCATACCTCCTCTGTGCATCGCTGTATCCCAAAAGCCTTACACGGTGCCTGGAGCACAGTGGGCCCTCAATAAATATTGGTCATGTACAGAAGGCTTAGCACGGTGCCTGGCACATAGGAGTCTTTGATTTTAAAAGACAACTTTGGCAGCTGCCGCTGTTGGCATTGTCCTTATTCTCAATGTAATTCCCCAGGGCACACAGACAACCAGGTCCCTGTGCCACTAGGCTGTGCCTATTGGGATTCTCACCCTCCTCAGCTCATAAATCAAGAAAGAGAAATATTTGGGCCCATACAAAACCACAGCAGAGGGCTGGGCCTTGCCCAGAAGTTGCCTCTGAGTGGAGTCTGTACGTGCGTGCGCGTACGTGTATTCGTTGGCCTGTCTGTGTGTTTTCCCATCAGCACAGGTGCCTGCTGGGGCCACGCTGTACACCACAGGCTCTCCTCTCTCTCAAGATGGAGGTCGGGGTGTAGCTGCGTTTGGGGAGCAGCTGCCACATCTCCTTAGGCATGTAGCAGCCTGCGTGTGCTCCGGAGACAGAGCAGCGTGGGTGAGGCTCAGGGTTTGCCTGCCCCAGTGGCCTCTGCTCCAGAACAGGCTTGTCTGGGCCTGCCCACCCTTAATCTAACCACAGAATTGGGGAACTGACTGAACCCCAATTTCTAGGGGGGTACAGCTTGAACGCCAAGGCTTCTGCCACTGTCTCCATGGCCTTGGCCCAAACCTTATTGGCAAGAGGCCAAGTCAAAGGGCCTCACGTGGGTGCTGGAGGTTCCAGATCCACAGGCCATCTCCTGGGTTCTGAAAGGGTCACTCGTGTTTCCCAAGTGCCCACTAAGTGCCAGACCTGCATGAGGAGCGGGATGGAGGGGTGAGCAACAGAGACCCAGCCCTCCCCCATGGGGCTCCTGGGCTGGGCCAAGGAGGCAGATGTTAAACAAAGAGTTACTTAAATTACAGATGTGATGAGGCTGAGAAGGAAAATTCAAGGGACTGTGTGTGCTTTGAACTGGGCTGAGGTGGGTGCTTTGAACTGGGCACCTGAGCTGGGCTGAGGTACTCTCTGAAGAAATAATATTTATTTATTTATTTAATTTTGAGACAGGGTCGTGCTCTGTCACCCAGGCTGGAGTACAATGGCATGGTTACAGCTCACAGTAGCCTTAACCTCCCGGTCTCAAGCAATCCTCCCACCTCAGCCTCCTGAGTAGCTGGGACCACAGGCACACACCACCACACTGGGCTAATTTTGTTTACTTCTGTAGAGACAGGGTCTGTGTTGCCCAGGCTGGCCTTGAACTCCTGGACTCAAGCAATCTGCCCACCTTGGCCTCCCAAAGTGCCGGGATTACAAGCATGAGCCAGGGCACCCAGCCAGAAATGATATTTAAACTACGGCTGGAAGGATGGTTGGTGTCAACCAAGTTGAGAGGCTGGAGTGGTGATGGGAAGAGAGGAATTGTGTCTCAGAAAAAGGGAACAGCATGTGCAATGGCCCCGAAGCGAGCCTGATCCGCGGTGTGATTCTATTGAAACCTGCAACACCCTAAGAGGGAACTTTTAATTTTGCTGATGAGAAGACGAGGCTTGAGGAGGTTCGGCCACCGGCCTGGGACTCAGCAGGTTGCATCCTGAGCCCCTGGGGTTTTCCTGAGGACTCAGCCTGAGTCACCCAGGACTCAGCCGAGTCCAGAAGACCAGCCTCCCTTACCTGTGGAAAATGTTCAAAAAGTTTCAGGGTTAATGAGGTTTCTGGGGGGGAAACTCATTGTGAAGGAGAAAGCATTAAAAAAGAGCATAATCCTGATTCTGAGGTGACTGGGAAGGCAATTCCGGGATTCCAGCATCCTTTCCCAACCCGGTTCCTCCTTGGATGTGGTCCCATCTGATATAGCTTTCCCAGAATGAATCACAACGCAAAACTGTCCAGATGCATGTAGATAAGTAAATAAATAAACCCAACAAGTGGGCCAATTCCTTCTTCCTGGAGGAAGTAGCTCAGTAGAGTCCACAGATAACAAAACAGAGTGTGTCTTAAGATTTTAATTAATCACATTGTTGATTTTCCCTGGGTTATTGAATAAGGTCCACTCGGAAATAATGAAGACACCAATGTGCCTGGGCTCCTGGGCGAGTAAAGAGAAGGCAGCATTTGGCAATGCCTGGTGAAGGCCTAAGTGAGGTGCGGGTCATTCACTGTGATTTGCTCCACATTTATTTACAAGCCCAGCAAGCTGTCCCTACTGTCCCAAGGTGAGCAACCATAGCTTGACTTCCTGGGCTAGAGCAGGTGGCATCTTTTTTGAGGAGGCCCCAAATGGCATCCCCCATACTCCCTGATATGATGACTATGACTGGGGCCTCCAAGTAGTAGGTGAGGCGTGGGCACCCACCTGTCTCTGGGTAACCACACCTACCTGAGTAAGCATTGGGTAACCAGGCATGAGGCACCCATCTGCATGGGCAATTTGTACAATTACCCCGGGTGCCCAGGTGAATCAATGTTTACTTGCTGCAAAGCTGGGGAACCTCAACCTCGCCTGTGGTCCAGGGACCTCCAGGGCAGCAGCATGGGAGGAATGTCTGGTCCAAACGGCTAAGGCATCCCTGGCCCAGTTTCAGGTACAGACTCCAGCAGACTCTCCAGTATCCATTCAGGGTTGAGAATGTTGAGGAACCTGGAGATATTTGAAAAATAACTCCAGAAACAAATGAAGCGATTTTTAAAAACAGGGCACAGTGAGGTGAATTAACTCGCCCCAGGTCACACAGTGAATACACAGCAGAGTCAGAACTTGAACCAGGCACAGGCAGACTCCAGCATCCCCTTCTACTCTTGGGTTAGTATACTTATATCTACTGTTGCATATGTATGGAATAGAAGGTCTGGAAGCATGTACATCAAAGTGATTTTTCTTTACTAGTGAGATTATTGGGGAGGGAGGGGGGCTTTCACTTTCTATTCTTCACAATCATGTATTATTTCTTCTTTTCATAACCTGCATTAATTTTATATTTAGGAAAAAGTGAAAAGATGTGGTTTTGATCTGGTGCTCCAAATTGATAATGTTTATCAAAGGCTTTAAAAATATCCTAAGGGAATAATCACATGTAGTCAAGAGGATACAAGACTGTTTCTGGAATCACTGATCTTCAACCCACTGCTTTATCACCTGACACAGTGCAGCACCTGTTGCTGGAACATTCCACAGCCTTTAGGAGTGGAGTTTTGAAGAACATGCAATGACATGAGAAAATGTTAATGACATAGAGTTAAATATAGAAAGGAGGGTATGAAATTGTATACAGAGTATGATGCCATTGGTGTTTTTAAACAATTCCAGGCTGGGTACAGTGGTTCACGACTGTAATCCCAACACTTTGGGAGGCCAAGGTGGGGGAATAGCTTGAGCCCAGGAGTTTCAGACCAGCCTGGGCAACAAAGTGAGACCCCCCCCATCTCCACAAAAAAATGAAAAAATTAGCCGGGCATGGTGGTGTGTGCCTATGGTCCCAGCTACTCAGTAGTCTGAGGCAGGAGGATTGCTTGAACCTAAGGGGTTGAGGCTGCAGTGAGCCAAAATCATGCCACTGCACTCCTGCCCAGGTGACAGAGTGAGACTGTGGAAAAAAAAAATTAAAAAAAAATTTTTAATCCTATATAGAAATACTAGAAAAATGCACCAAATATTAATAACAGTTATCTTTGGATGTCAGGGTTATGGTAACTTTAAGCTTCTTTCTACTTTTCTTCATTTTCTATGATAATTGTATGTAACTTTTCTACTCAGATAGAACAATAACAAAACAACTAATGTTTACTAGTGTTTTCTGTGCTAGGTATGTTACATGTTCCATCTTATTTAATCTTCACCACAAACTTATGAGTAGATGTGAGGGAATGAAGACTTAGAAATGGGAAGTAATTTGTCCATTGTCACACAGCTGGTATGTGGTGAGGCTGGGGTCTGAACCCAGACAATCTAACTGCAGAGGCCACTCTCAACCACTATAGATGCTATTTTTCTTTAAAATAAAGATAGTACTTCAAGGGCTGGCTCCTGTTCATCTTGCCCAGTAGGCACAATGGAGACCTGAAGCACAGCCACCATGGATCGTTGGGCAGGCTGTGCTCTGCTTGCTAAGCGGTGAGTCTTGGCAAGGAACTGTATCCATCTGGAGAAAGAGGTGCTTTTTCATAAAAATGTGAATTAAAACCACAGTGAGCTGCTACTACATACCTACCAGAAACATTAAAAAGATGGACAATACCAGCCAGGTGTGGTAGCTCATGCCTGTAGTCCCAGCACTTTGGGAGGCTGAAGTGGGGTGGATCATTTGAGCTCAGAAGTTCGAGACCAGCCTGGGCAATATAGTGAAACCCCGTCTCTGCAAAAAATACAAAAATTTAGCCCAGCATGGCCACACATGCCTGTAGACCCAGCTACTTGGGAGGCTGAGGTGGGAGGATCACTTGAGCTTGGGAGGTGGAGGTTGCAGTGAGCTGAAATCGTGCCACTGCACTCCAGCCTGGGTGACAGAGCAAGACTCTGTCTCAAAAATAAAATAAAATAAAATAAAATTAGACCAAATGTTGATGAGGCTGTGGAGCAACTGGAACTCTCATTCATTGTTGGTGACAAAGTGATACATTGTTGGTGGTGCAATAAAATGGTACCACCACCTTGGAAAAAGATCTGTCATTTTTTTGTAAAATAAAACATACACCTACCCTGTGACCCAGTCGTTGTACTCCTAAGTATTTACTCAAAAGAAATGAAAACACAAATTCACAAAAAGCCTTGTAGAAGAGTGCACATAGCACCTTTCTCATAATAGCCCCAAATTGTCAACAGCCCGGGTGTCCATCAATAGGAAAATGGACAAACGAACCGCAGTATAGGCCTACAAAAGAATACTCCCCATTAATAAAAAGGAATGAATTAATGATATGCAGGAACAACATGGATGAATCTCAAAACACTACATTGAATGAAAAAAGCCTTACATGAGAGATTATATAAGGTATCATTCCATTTATATGAATTTTCAGGACAGGCAAAACCAATCTACTGTGGAAAAATATTGGTACAGTGGGTTGCCTAGTGTGCTGGAGGGGAGAGTATTGACTGGGAAGGGGCATGAGGGAACTTCCTGGAGTGAGGGGAATATTCTTTATTTTGAGAGGGTTTGGGATCACAGGTGTATGCATTTATGAAAACTCAATAAAAAGCACTTGTGCATTTCATCATATATAAATTTTACATCAAAAGGATAAAAGTTGTGAGCAAATATATGTGCATGCTGAAGTAGTTAAGGAAATTGTATTGATGTCTGCAATTTACTTTAAAATTTATAATGAAGTCGAAGCATTAATGAATGTCTAGAGGGATGGCTTTATGTGAAAGAAAAGCAAGTACAGTACAACATTCATAGAATTTAAATGGTGAGTTTAAGGATATTCACTATAAAATGCTTTCAACTTTTGCTGTGATGTTTGAAAACTTTCATAATAAAACATTGAAAAACAGGCTTCCTGTACACAAACATAATTATGAAAGAAGCCAGGCACAAAAGGACACACGATGTGTGATTTCATTTAGCTAAAGGACAAAATGAACTGATGAGATTAGAAGTCAGGATAATGGTCAGGACAGGGGAGTGAGGGGGTGTGTGTTACTGGGAAAGTTCTGCTTTTGCACCTAGGTATGGATGGCGGTGTTCAGATTGTGAAAATTCATGATTGGTGCACTTTTCTATAATGTATATTACACTTTTCTGTACATATGTGTATTGTACTTAATAAAACTGGGTTTTAAAAGACTTGTCATGTTACCAACTCCTGCTTCAATCAATATTTGGTAATAATTCACCATCTGTCTTACTCACAGAGAAATGTGGGTTCAAATTCTGGTTCTGCCACTTAGCAGCTGTGGGATCACACAAGTAACCTCCATGGGTCTCAGTTTTCTCCTCTGTTAGGAGGAATAATGACATCTCTCTCAGGGGAGGTGATGTTGAGATGGAAGGAGACCATACACACTCATTGCTTGACCCTGTGCCTGCCACATGGTATTAGGTTGGTGCAAAAGTTGACGAGTTTTTGCCATTAAAAGTAATGGCAAGAACCGCAATTACTTTTGCACCAACTTAATAACTGCTTTCAACGAGATTAAACGGTGGTGATTAATCAGTACCCTCAGGCTTCCCCTGTTTTCACCACCACCAGGGATGTCAGGACTGGGCAGCAAGAAAGGCTTTTGGATTGGCTGAGGTCCTTTGGGCCACTTGCTTAACTTCAACTTCTCTGAGCCTCAGTTTCCTCATCTACAAAGTACAGATGATAATTCCTGCTGGGCGGGGTTGCCGTTAGCACCAGAAAAACTTTAGATCCATTAGCTTGAAGATGTCCAGGGTTTTCTAAGGACCTTCTTGTGTTTTTTGTGTTTTTTTTGTTTTTTTTTTTGTTTTGTTTTTTGAGACAAGGTCTCACTCTGTTGCCCAGACTGGAGTGCAGTGGCTCGATCTCAGCTCACTGCAACCTCCATCTTCCAGGCTCAAGTAATTCTCCTGCTTCAGCCTCCCAAGTACCTGGGATTATAGGCATGTGCCACTACTGCCCGGCTAATTTTTGTATGTTTTAGTGGAGACGGGGTTTCACTGTGTTGGCCAGGCTGGTCTTGAACTCCTGACCTCAAATGATCCACCTGCCTCAGCCTCCCAAAGTGCTGGGATTACAGGCATGAGCCACCGCGCCCAGCCCCTTCTTGAAGTTCCAAACCCCACTATGGGGTCAATGGATGTAGCTTGGACATCTTGGAATAGAGGCTCTGGGGTCCTCCCCAGGATACAGTGACAGCCCTTGTGGCACCTGCCCCTGGAGGCCAACACGGTAGCCTTGCTGGCACAGCCTAGCAATTGCTCCAGTTAGTAAATCAGGGATTGCACTTCAGTGAGTAACCTGCCACCCAGGAGCAGTTATCTGCTGCTGCCACCACACAAAGGAAGCTCTGTTCAGGCACAAAGCGACTGCTTGGGATGCTGGCAAGACCAGAGCTTCCCCTGGCCCTCAGGCCAGGACTTGGGACTGGGTGTCTGGCCCTGAAGGTGGGTATCAGCTTCCCAAAGGTGACTGCCAAGCTCAGAGGCATTAGGACGTGCTCATTTCTGAGCTTTGAGACAGCTTGTCTTCCACCCACCCACTCTGCCAGGACCCAGGCTCGCTTTCCTGGGGGCAGCTGGTCATTCTAGTGTGGTATGTGTGTCAGCCATGGACCAGATGGTCTATAAGCCAAGGATCCTCAAATGGAGACCCTTGACCCCAGCCCAGGACTCCTCAGCTGGAGAATCAGCCCACTCCTGCCCAAGAGGGACAGGTGCTTAGGACCAAGTGGGCAGCCAGTAAACATACATTAGAGAGAATAGTAGCTAAGGGCTTAATTGCCGGGCAGCATGCCAAAGCATTACACCCATTGTCACATTTGGACTGTTATTATCCCATTTCTCAGATGAGGAAAGTGAGGTTTAGAAAGATGATGTAACCTGCCCCGGAATCCATGGTTTTAGCCCAGCTTGGGTGACTTTGAAGGGCCCCCAATCTTTTTTTCTTTTTTTTTTTTTTGAGACAGTGTCTTATTCCCATTGCCCAGGCTGAAGTGCAGTGGCCTGATCACAGCTCACTGCTGCCTTGAACTCCTGGGCTCTATTGATTCCACTGTCTCAGCCTCCCAAATAGTTGGGACTACAGGCACGTGCCACCATGCCCAGCTAGTTTTTTTTTATTTTTGGTAGAGATGAGGTCTCATGATGTTGCCCAGGTTGGTCTCGAACTCCTGGATCCACCCTCCTCGGCCTCCCAAAGTGCTGGGATTACAAGCGTGAGCCACTATGCCTGGCCAAGCCTCCACTCTTGCCCACCTTGTTATACTAGCAGCAAGTGATGACAACAATGATAACTGACTTTTAAGCACGGATAGTACATGTGCTAAGCACTGTACATTCATTATTGGATTAAATCACTCGAACGACCCTACGAAGTAAATATGATTATTCCCCATTTTATGGAAGAGGAAACTGAATAAATGAATGGCTGGTGGGCTTCGCCTCTCAATAGCTAATTTTTATCACATACCTTCTCAACAGAATTGGGTATTAGGACAGACACATTCATACTGATGATAGCCTTTCATCTCCACAACCCCAATAAGACGTCAGTGTTAGTTCTTTCACTTTCTAGATGATATAACTGAGGCTTGGAACAGTTACATTTCCTGTTACACAGCTAAAAGCGCTAGAGCTGTGATTCAAACCCTAGGCAATCTGCCCCCAAAACACACATTCCTGCCATTCTAAACTACTGTGCCAAGCCTACAAGCCAGTTGCCTTTAGCCATGCTTAATTGAAGAATGATGCCATATGGAATATGCCTGGCTAGGCTGATTAAATTAATCGAATGTCAAAATATCTGGGTGGACAAGAAGACAAGTCAGTGTGAGTCGAAAGGAATGCGTAACTGCCCCAGGCCCCTGGTTTTTGGGGGGCAGTGTTGCTTAGTGGTAAGGAGCCCAGAGTGCCAGAGCCAGCCTGCGTGGGTTCAAATCTCAGCTTTACCATTGACTAGCTGTATGACCTTAGGCATGTTGCTTAACTTTTCTGTACCTAGTTTATTCATCTGTAAAATGGGTATGATGATGGCAATATGACAGTGCCCATCTCCTACGGTTAATAGGATAATTAAACCAGTTAATATATGTAAAGCACTTAGAACACAGCCTGGCATGCTGTCAGCATTATATAAGAGCCTGTGATTCCATCCACGAGTTGGGCAATGTATGCAAGCACTTAAGTTTTGTCACATGCAAAAATATCTTTGCTGAGTTGTGATTTGATGTTATACCCTAGTTTTTATAGAGGGTGGATGTGACAAATAGTTATTGAAGAATGTGTCAGTGTCACTGACGAAGCTGAGGACATTGTTCACCATGTTGCACAACGCCCTTTATCTCAACATTCCCATGCTCGCTCTGTTCCTCCCGGAGCTGAACATCAGGAAAGACCATGTCTCTCCAGACCAGCACGTGTGATGTCTGGGAGCAGCACAAGACCCCTTTGGCTGTCAGGAATTTGGAAATAAAATGAAAGGTGCTGTTCATTGGCTTAAGCTGAGGTCCTAGGACATTCTCCTTTTCCTGTTGTTTGTTTTCTTTATCAAAAACATTGTTTTAACTTTGATGTTTTTGAAATGGAAATTGTTTTATAGATTATTTCTGATTTTAAAACATATGTATCTTGATTGTAAAGAAAAATATTAATATTTTGATGTATCCCCTTATAGATGTTTGTATATACATTTGGGTATGTATAATGTACGTGTGTGTTATGTATATTATATGCATCTGTATGTGTAAACATGGATATGTGTGTGCATATGTTTTTGGAAACAAAATTTTAGAAAAGGGAAAATGGTGCCATACTGTTTTGAAACCTACCATTTGCTTTTAGCTTACTGCAGACATTTTAAGGAGTTACAATACCTCAGGGTATGCTTGTTGAAAAAGAAAAGAAGTTACAATAATAGCAGTCATAACTTTATTCATTCATTTAGCAAAATATGTATGATACCCGTAAGTATTTTCTAGGCACGCTCTCTAGGCTCTGAGAACATAAAGCTGAACAAAATAGATAAGATATGCCCCTCATAGGAGCTATCAAACCATAAACCACTAAAAATGATCATTTCAAATGCTGCTGTGAAGAAAGTGATGCCCATATGTTGAGGGCAACATTGAAAAGGGGGTCATAAAAGCCTGCTTAGGTGAGGCGCAGTGGCTCATGCCTGTAATCCCAGCACTTTGGGAGGCAGAGGAGGGTGGACCCCCTGAGGTCAGGCGTTCAAGACCAGCCTGGCCAACATGATGAAACCCAATCTCTCCTAAAACACAAAAAGTAGCCAGGCTTGGTGGCGGGCACCTCTAATCCTAGCTACTCAGGAGGCTGAAGTGAGAGGATCACTTGAACCCGGGAGGCGGAGGTTGCAGTGAGCCGAGATCATACCACTGTACTCCAGCCTAGGTGACAAAGTGAAACTCCATCTCAAAAAATAAAAATAATAAATAAATAAACATTTTTTAAAAATAAAGCCTGCTTTGAGGAAGGGATGTGTGAGCTGAAGTGTGAGTCATGAGAATGGGACAGCCTTGACCGCATCCTGGCAGGAAAATGGAGGAATTGGCAAGTGCACAGGCCCTGTGGTAAGAGCAAGCGTGGTCCATTCTAGGAACAGCAAGAAGGCTACTGTGGCTGGAGCTGATCAACACACAGGTGGAGAGACCAGAAGGGCTCAGTTCTTGCAGATCCTGGGGAAGGGCTTGGGTTTTTCATTCAGTGTCATGCTCTGATTTAGCCATCTGAAGATCAAGATGACTGCCTGCTTGGTGGGGACTGCAGGGACCAAGAGTGGAAGCCAGGAGAACAATTACAGGAATCCAGGTGGCATGCACTAGAGTGGCAGCAATAGACATGCCAAACCCTGGCTGGATTTAGACTTAATTTTGAAGTAAGTCAAAAGAGGTACTTGCAGAGGTAAGGAATAGGGGATTCAAGGACAGCTCTGAGGCTTTGGATAACAACAATAGTTATTATAGTCAGCCCTCTGTTCCAAGGATTCAGCCAACTGTGGATGGAAAATATTTCTTAAAAATACAATAACAAGTGGGCGGCCGACAAGATGGCTGAATAGGAACAGCTCCAGTCTGCAGCTCCCAGCAAGATCAACACAGAAGGCAGTGATTTCTCCATTTCCAACTGAGGTACCCAGCTCATCTCATTGGTACTGATTAGACAGTTGATGCAGCCCACGGAAGGTGAGCCGAAGCAGGGTGGGGCGTTGCCTCACCCAGGAAGTACAAGGGATTGGGGGAACTCCCTCTCCTAGCTAAGGGAAGCCATGAAGGACTGTGCCTTGAGGAACGGTGCATTCCAGCCCAGATACTACGCTTTTCCCATGGTCTTCGCAACCCATGGATCAGGAGATTCCCTCGGGTGTCTGCATCACCAGGGCTCTGGTTTTCAAGCAAAAAACTGGATGGCCGTTTGGGCAGACACTGAGCTAGCTGCAGGAGTTTTTTTTCATACCGCAGTGGTGCCTGGAATGCCAGCAAGACAGAACCATTCACTCCCCTGGAAAGGGGACTAAAGCCAGGGAGCCAAGTGGTCTAGCTCAGTGGATCCCACCCCCATGGAGCCCAGCAAGCTAAGATCCACTGTCTTGAAATTCTCGCTGCCAGCACAGCAGCCTGAAGTCGACCTGGGACACTCGAGTTTGGTTGGGGGAGAGGCATCCGCCATAACTGAGGCTTGAGTAGGCGGTTTTCCCCTCACAGTGTAAACAACGCCTCTGGGAAGTTTGAACTAGGTGGAGCCCACTACAGCTCAGCAAAGCCACTGTGGCCAGACTGCCTCTCTAGATTCCTCCTCTCTGGTCAGGACATCTTTGAAAGAAAGGCAGCACCCCCAGTCAGGCGCTTATAGATAAAACTCCCTGGGACAGAGCATCTGGGGGAAGGGGTGGCTCTGGGCGCAGTTTCAGCAGACCTAAACGTTCCTGCCTGCTGGCTCTGAAGAGAGCAGTGGATCTCCCAGCACAGTGCTCGAGCTCTGCTAAGAAACAGACTACCTCCTCAAGTGGGTCCCGGACCCCCATGCCTCCTGACTGGGAGACACCTCCCAGCAGGGATCAACAGACACTTCATACGGGAGAGCTCTGGCTGGCATCTGGCAGGTGCCCCTCTGAGACAAAGCTTCCAGAGGAAGGAACAGGCAGCATTCTTTGCTGTTCTGCAGCCTCTGCTGGTGATACCCAGGCAAACAGGGTCTAGAGTGGACCTCCAGCAAACTCCAGCAGACCTGCAGCAGAAGGGCCTGACTATTTTAACGAAAACTAACAAACAGAAAGGAATAGCATCAATATCAACAAAAAGTATGTCCACACAAAAACCCCATCCGAAGGTCACCAACATCAAACACCAAAGGTAGATAAATCCATGAAGATGAGGAAAAACCAGTGCAAAAAGGCTGAAAATTCCAAAAACCAGAATACTTCTTCTCCTCCAAAGGATCACAACTCCTCACCAGCAAGGGAACAAAACTGGAGGGAGAATGAGTTTGTCGAATTGACAGAAGTAGGCTTCAGAAGGTGGGGAATAACAAACTTCTCTGAGCTAAAGGAGCAATGCAAGGAAGCTAAGAACCTTGCAAAAAGGTTAGAGGAATTGCTAACTAGAATAACCAGTTTAGAGAAGAACATAAATGACCTGATGGAGCTGAAAAACACAGGATGAGAACTTCGTGAAGTATACACAAGTATCAATAGCTGAATCGATCAAGTAGAAGAAAGGATATCAGAGATTGAAGATCACCCTAATGAAATAAAGTGTGAAGACAAGATTAGAGAAAAAATAATGAAAAGGAAAAAACAAAACCTCCAAGAAATATGAGACTATGTGAAAAGACCAATCCTACATTTGATTGGTGTACCTGAAAGTGACAAGCAGAATGGAGCCAAGCTGGAAAACATTCTTCAGGATATTATCCAGGAGAACTTTCCCAACCTAGGAAGACAGGCCAACATTCAAATTTAGGAAATACAGAGAACACCACAAAGATACTCCTTGAAAAGAGCAACCCCACGACACATAATCGTCAGATTCACCAAGTTTGAAATGAAGGAAATAATGTTAAGGCAGCCAGAGAGAAAGGTCGGGTTACCCACAAAGGGAAGCCCATCAGACTAACAGCTGATTTCTCTGCAGAAACCCTACAAGCCAGAAGAGAGTGGGGGCCAATATTCAACACTCTTAAAGAAAAGAATTTTCAACCCAGAATTTTATATCCAGCCAAACTAAGCTTCATAAGCGAAGGAGAAATAAAGTTCTTTACAGACAATCAAATGCTGAGAGATTTTTGTCATCACCAGCCCTGCCTTACAGGAGCTCCTGAAAGAAGCACTAAATATGGAAAGGAAAAACTGGTACCACCCACTGCAAAAACATACCAAATTGTAAAGACCATCAACACTATGAAGAAACTGCATCAACTAACGGGCAAAATAACCAGATAGCATCATAATGACAGGATCAAATTCACACAACAATATTAACCTTAAATGTAAATGGGCTAAATGCCCCAGTTAAAAGACACAGACTGGCAAATTGGATAGAGTCAAGACCCATTGGTGTGCTGTATTCAGGAGACCCATCTCATGTGTAAAGACACACATAGGCTCAAAATAAAGCTATGGAGGAATATTTACCAAGCCAAAAAAAAAAAAAAAAGCAGGGGTTGCAATCCTAGTCTCTGATAAAACAGACTTTAAACCAACACAGATCAAAAAAGACAAAGAAGGGCATTACATAATGGTAAAGGGATCAATGCAACAAGAAGAGCTAACTATCCTAAATATACATGCACCCAATACAGGAGCACTCAGGTTCATAAAGCAAGTTCTTAGGGACCTACAAAGAGACTTAGACTCCCACACAATAATAGTGGGAGACTTTAACCCCACTATCAATATTACACAGATGAATGCGACAGAAAATTAACAAGGATATTCAGGACTTGAACTCAGCTCTGGACCAAGTGGACCTAACTGACATCTACAGAACTCTGCACCCCAAATCAACAGAATATACATTATTCTCAGCACCACATCACACTTATTCTAAAATTGACTACATAGTTGGAAGTAAAACACTCCTCAGAAAATGCAAAAGAACAAAAATCATAACAAACAGTCTCTCAGACCACAGTGCAATCAAATTAGAACTCAGGATTAAGAAACTCACTCAAAACTGCACAACTACATGGAAACTGAACAATCTGCTTCTGAATGATTACTGGGTAAATAATAAAATTAAGGCAGAAATACATAAGTTCTTTGAAACCAATGAGAACAAAGGCACAGCATACCAGAATCTCTGGGATACAACTAAAGCAGTGTTTAGAGGGAAATTTATAGCACTGAATACCCACAGGAGAAAGCAGGAAAGATCTAAAATTGACACCCTAACATCACAATTAAAAGAACTAGAGAAGCAAGAGCAAACAAATTCGAAAGCTAGAAGACAAGAAATAACTAAGATCAGAGCACAACTGAAGGAGATAGAGACACGAAAAACCCTTCAAAAAATCAATGAATCCAGGAGCTGGTTTTTTGAAAAGATTAACAAAATAGATAGAACGCTAGCCAGACTAGTAAAGAATAAAAAAGAGAAGGAATCAAGTAGACACAATAAAAAATGATAAAGGGGATATCACTACTGATCCCACAGAAATACAAACTACCATCAGAGAATACTATAAACACCTCTACGCAAATAAACTAGAAAATCTAGAAGAAATGGATAAATTCCTGAACACATACACCCTCCCAAGACTAAACAAGGAAGAAGTCAAATATCTGAATAGACCAATAACAAGTTCTGAAATTGAGGCAGTAATTAATAGCCTACCAACCAAAAAACTCCCAGGACAAGACGCATTCACAGCCGAATTCTACCACAGGTACAAAGAGGAGCTGATACCATTCCTTCTGAAACGATGCCAAACAATAGAAAAAGAGGGACTCCTCCCTAACTCATTTTATGAGGCCAGCATCATCCTGATACCAAAACCTGGCAGAGACACAACAAAAAAAGAAAATTTTAGGCCAATATCCCTGATGAACATCGATGCAAAAATCCTCAATAAAATACTGGCAAACTGAATCCAGCAGCATATCAAAAAGCTTAGCCACACGATTAAGTTGGCTTCATCCCTGGGACGCAAGGCTGGTTCATCATATGCAAATCAATAAAGGTAATCCATCACATAAACAGAACCAATGACAAGAACCACATGATTATCTCAATAGATGCAGAAAAGGCCTTCGATAAAATTCAACACCGCTTCATGTTAAAAACTCTCAATAAACTAGGTATTGATGGAATGTATCTCATATACGTAATAATAAGAGCTATTTATGACAAACCCACGGCCAATATCATACTGAATGAGCAAAAGCTGGAAGCATTCCCTTTGAAAACCAGCACAAGACAAGGATGCCCTCTCTTACCACTCCTATTCAACATAGTATTGGAAGTTTTAGCCAGGGCAATCAGGCAAGAGAAAGAAGTAACGAGTATTCAAATAGGAAGAGAGGAAGTCAAATTGCATCTGTTTGCAGATGACATGATTTTATATTTAGAAAACCCCATCGTCTCAGCCCAAAATCTCCTTAAGCTGACAAGCAACTTCAGCAAAGTCTCAGGATACAAAATCAATGTGCAAAAATCACAAGCATTCCTATACACCAATAATAGACAAGCAGTGAGCCAAATCTTGAGTGAACTCCCATTCACAATTGCTACAAAGAGAATAAAATACCTAGGAATACAACTTACAAGGGATGTAAAGGACCTCTTCAAGGAGAACTGCAAACCACTGCTCAAGGAAATAAGAGAGGACACAAACAAATGGAAAAAGATTCCATGCTCATGGATAGGAAGAACCAATATTGTGAAAATGGCCATACTGCCCAAAGTAATTTGTAGATTCAATGCTATCCCTATCAAACTACCATTGACTTTCTTCACAGAATTAAAAAAAACTACTTTAAATTTCATATGGAACCAAAAAAGAGCCCATATAGCCAAGACAATCCTAAGCAAAAGAACAAAGCTGGAGGCATAATGCTACCTGACTTCAAACTATACTACAAAGCTACAGTAGCCAAAACAGCATGGTACTGGTACCAAAACAGATACACAGACAAATGAAACAGAGCAGAGGCTTCAGGAATAATGCCACACATCTACAACCATCTGATCTTTGACATATCTGACAAAAACAAGCAATGGGGAAAGAATTCCCTATTTAATAAATAGTATTGGGAAAACTGGCTAGCCATATGCAGAAAACTGAAACTGGACCCCTTCCTTACACTTTATACAAAAATTAACTCAAGATGGATTAAAGACTTAAATGTAAGACTTAAAACCATAAAAACCCTGGGAGAAAATCTAGGCAATACCATTCAGGACATAGGCATGGGCAAAGACTTAATGACTAAAACACCAAAAGCAATGGCAACAGAAGCCAAAATTGACAAATAGGATCTAATTAAATGAAATAACTTCTGCACAGCAAAAGAAACTATCATCAGAGTAAACAGGCAACCTAAAGAATGGGAGAAAATTTTTGCAATCCATCCATCTGACGAAGGGCTAATATCCAGAATTTACAAGGAACTTAAACAAATGTACAAGAAAAAAAACAAACAACCCCATCAAAAGGTGGGCAAAGGATATGAACAGACACTTCTCAAAAGAAGACATTTATGCAGTCAACAAACATGAAAAAAAAGCTCATCATTGCTGGTCATTAGAGAAATGCAAATCAAAACCACAATGAGATACCATCTCATGCCAGTTAGAACAGCAATCATTAAAAAGCCAGGAAACAATAGATGCTGGAGAGGATGTGGAGAAATGGGAAAGCTTTTTTTTTTTTTTGAGACGGAGTCTCACTCTGTTGCCAGGCTGGAGTACAGTGGCATGATCTCAGCTCACTGAGACCTCCACCTTCTGGGTTCAAGCAATTCTCCTGCCTCAGCCTCCCGAGTAGCTGGGACTACAGGCGTGCTCCACCATGCCCAGCTAATTTTTGTATTTTTAGTAGAGACGGGGTTATACTGTGTTGGCCAGGATGGTCTCGATCTCTTGACCTCATGATCCGCCTGCCTCAGCCTCCCAAAGTGCTAGGATTACAGGCTTGAGCCATCACACCTGGCCAGGAATGCTTTTACACTGTTGGTGGGAGTGTAAATTAGTTCAACCATTGTGGAAGACAGTGTGGTGATTCCTCAAGGGTCTAGAACCAGAAATACCATTTGACCCAACAATCCCACAGTATAATCCTTTGGGTATATACTGGGTATATACCCAAAGATTATAAATCATTCTACTATAAAGACACATGCACATATATGTTTATTGCAGCACTGTTCACAACAGCAAAGACTTGGAACCAACCCAAATGCCCATCAATGATAGACTGGATAAAGAAAATGCGACACATATACACCATGGAATACTATGCAGCCATAAAAAAGGATGAGTTCATGTCATTTGCAGGGACATGGATGAAGCTGGAAACCATCATTCTCAGCAAAGTAACACAGGAACAGAAAACCAAACACCACATGTTCTCACTCATAAGTGGGAGTTGAACAATGAGAACACATGGACACAGAGAGGGGAACATCACACACCAGGGCCTGTCAGAGGGTGGGGGGCAAGTGGAGGAATAGCATTAGGAGAAATACCTAATGTAGATGACGGGTTGGTGGGTACAGCAAACCACCATGGCACATGTATATCTACGTAACAAACCTGCATGTTCTGCACATGTATCCCAGAACTTAGAGTATAATTTAAAAAATACAATAACAAATAACATTACAACAATAAAAATAATGCAAATAAAAACCAATACAGTAGAACAACTATTTACATAGAGTTTACATTGAATACAATGTACATGATACAAGGTATCATAAGTAATCTAGAGATGATTTAAAGTATACAGGAGGGGGCTGGGCACAGTAGCTTACACGTGTAATCCTAGTACTTTGGGAGGCAGAGATAGACAGATCACTTGAGGTCAAGGGTTCAAGACTAGCCTGGCCAACATGGCAAAACCCCATCTCTACTAAAAATACAAAAAATTAGCCAGGTGTGTTAGCACATGCCTGTAATCCCAGCTACTCAGGAGGCTGAAGCACAAGAATCCCTTGAACCCAGGAGGTGGAGGTTGCAGTTAGCTGAGATCACACCTCTCTGGGAGACAGAGTAAGACTCTGCTTCAAAAAAATAAAAAATAAAGTATACTGGAGGGGACTGGGCACAGTGGCTCATGCCTGAAATCCCAACACTTTGGGAGGCCAAGGTGGGGACGGATGGCTTGAGCTCAGGAGTTCAAAACCAGCTTGGCCAACATGGTGAAACGCTGTCTCTACAAAAAGTACAAAAAAATTAGGATATGGTGGCACATGCCTATGGTCCCAGCTACTCAGGAGGCCAAGGTAGGAGGATTGCATTTGCCTAGGAGGTCAAGGGTGCAGTGAGCTGTGATCACACCACTGCACTCCAGCCTGGGCAACAGAGCAAGACCCTGTCCCCTCAAAAAAATGTATATGGGAGGATGTGCATATGTTATATGCAAATACTACATCATTTTATATCAAGGACCTGAGCATCCTCAGATTTTGGTATCCCTGTGGGGTTCAGGAACGAATCCCCCTCAGACACCGAGGAATGACTATATTTACTGAGAAGTTACTAACGCCAAGAACTGTGCTAAGCCCATGTATAGATTGACTCCACAGTTCCCCAAGTAGGTCTGTGGTCTGAGGTATTAGACCCACCTGCTGTGGTCCTGAAAATGCAGGATTTATATTCATATCATTATTCCAGGGATCTCATTTGTGGCCAAGCTAGGGGATATCAGTGCACATTTAATCATTCAACAAGTCCACAGGTAGGACTTTGTATATTAGTTTTACAGAGTGGGAAAGTGAGGCTCTGGAAGCATAAGTGATGGCACTAAGTTGACAGTCCCTCTGACTTCACAGCTGGGCACCTAGGCACTACAGTCCAAACACTGGCAATAAATATGGCACCACCCAGTGACTTAACAGCTGCCCCGGATTCTACTTTATGGATTACCTCGTACTAAGTAAACACAATCTTTCCTTTTTACCTTTTCTTTTCATTACTTTGGGGTGTGACATGGACTTGGGTTCCAAACCGTGGGCTTAAAATCCTTTCTAGATGTAGCCAGAGTGAAGCACCACTTCAGTAGCAGTTAATTACCTTTAATGATAATTGGTAACACTAATAATTGCAGCTCCCATTTACTGAGCGCTTACTACAGGCCAGGCCCTGTGCTACGGGTGATGTGTGCCCTTTGAACACATCATCTCCTTCATCCCGCCCAAGTGAGTGTGGGCTGGGGATATTCACATCGCCCTCAGCTCCCTCCCTCCCTCCCTCCCGGGTATGCGGGGAGACAGTGATACCATCAGTCAAGCCTGGTGATTAAGCATCTTGGGCCTTTGCTACTGTTTCCATAATAAGGTAGTGGCTTTTGACCTACTTCCTGGGCCAAAACCCTCTCTGGGGATTTGATGGCTCTGTGTAAAACCTGACCCGTGGTCTATCTCCTTGTGGTCAAGAATCAGGGTGGGGCAGTGGGCGCTGGTGGAGAGAAAGGGGGAGGAAAGATTGCAGCATGAATCAGACCCTGGCTCCACACTTAATGGTCACCAAGAAGTCTGCCCCACCGTGGTGGCATTCCAGAGGCCAGAGGCCAGTGTGACTACTGCAGCTGGAATCTGACAACTGTGGCTTCCACCATAATGACACCTTGAGAGACGCTTGGTGGTCACATGGGGTGTGTTTTCTTCCCTACTTTTCTCTCACAGTCTTTTCCACTCTCAGCCAGGCCCTTGGGCTGTCCCTGGGGAAGGGAGCAGAGAGCTATTCGAGTAGAATGCTTGGTAGGCAAGCACTTCCTCTGGGGACTCTTGTATTCATGCACTCATTGGTTCCTCTGTACATCCATCCATCCATCCTTCCATCCATCTATCCATCCATCCATCCATCCATCCATCCATCCATCCATCCCTCCCACCCTCCCTCTATCCATCCATCCATCCATCCATCTATCCATCCATCCATCCATCCATCCATCCATCCATCCATCCATCCTTCCATCCATCTATCTATCCATCCATCCATCCATCCATCCATCCATCCATCCAACCATCCATCCATCCTTCCATCTATCCATCCACCCACCCATCTGTTTATCCATCCAGCAAATGACTATGTCTAAGGCACACTTGTAGATATTTGGGGCTATGGGAAATAACAAGGAGTAAGACACAGACCCTGCTCTCAAGGAGCCTGCACTCTCACGTGGGAAATAGAAGTAAACTGACAATGCCGTAAACTTTGGGAGTAGTTTCTAGGAGACATATTAAGCTGTGCTGAACAAGTTCATTTGAATTACTCAGAGCCAGTTTGGCCTCTGGAGGCACACATCCCTGCTCAGATCTCAGCTCCACCAATTATCATCTGCATGGCCTTGGGTAAGGCACTTCACTTCTCTGAGCCTCAATTCCCTCATCTGTAAAATGGGAGTAATTATAATACCTACTTCACTGAGTTGTGAGAATTAAAAGGAATATGTATGTACAGGACAATGCCTGGCCTGTAGTAGATGTGGAATCATCGGTTAGTTCATTTCTCTTTTCTTCTTTAAGCTCTCTGGGGGGTACAGAAATGGATAAGCTCTAGTTCCTATCACAAAGGGACTTAGAATGTAGTAAGAGAGAGTGACCGTGGGTTTAGCCCTTGCTGCTTGCCAAGTACCATGAAATACTTCCTGTTTATTTTCACATTTAGTTTGTACAACACAGTGAAGGCTTTATAATTCCCATTTCACAGATAAGGTAATGGAAGCTCAGAGAGTTAAATGACTTGCCAAGTTTGCACAGCTAATAAGTGGCAAAGCTGGGATCTGAACCCTGGTTTATTTTACTGCCGAGTCCACAGTCAAACACTAGGTTATAGTGTCTGTACACAGCTGTGCATGGTAGAAGGTAATAAGTATCCTAATAAAGTGTCAAACATATTGTTCTGAAAACATGGAGAAAGAACTTCTTGGAGAAGATGGTATTTGAGCTCCATTGTGAAGGAGAGAAATCTAGAATATCAGTCTCATTTCACAGAGATCACAGGTGGCAACTGTGGTCTTCCAGGCAGACAGCACAGCTTGGGTAAAAGCATGAAGGCGAAAAGTGTGCAGTGCTTTAAGGGAGTAATCCCAGAATCACATACCATTTATAAAACCTGAACATCATGTTAGTCCGATCCCATTATGTCACCGGTGACAAAACCGAGGTCCTGGCCCAGGCCCCGTGGTAGTGAGTGGCAATGCTGGGGTCAGCCCAGCATTGTTGGAGTGCAGAGTGTGGGACAGATAAGGCTCACCAGAAAAGTGGGAGTCAGATTACAGAAGACCTTGATTCTAGTGTGAGGAGTCTGGAAATAGAGAACGGTTGAAGGTACCTGAACAAGGTGAGTTCCAACCTATTGATGGCGGAACTGGAGGGACCACAGCCCCACGGGATAGGAATCTTTGGTGGGGTCCAGCAAATCACTGGCTTCATGGGATTTGAGCCACTTCAACTGGTCTGGAGCTCTTCATCATGGGGACATTCATTTGCTTATCAAAAAAATAGGTTTGCTTGAGGACTGGCAGTTCTAACAAGGTGTTTTGATTTCTAGATTTAGAGGTCTCCCCTGTTAAATAAATGCCCTCATAGAACTCTGTATTTTCTCCTTTGGAGCACTTATCACAGTGTATCATTAAAGTTAATTGTGTGAAAGTAGTGACTGTCTGGCTCCATGGTGGGATCAAAGCTGTCGTCTGTTTTTTTCAACACCATATACCTAACATCTAGCAAGGGCCTGGCATAGAAGGGCTTAATCAAAATTTTTTAATGAATCAATGAACCAACCAATGAATCAAAACTAAGTTCAGCCCGATCAATTTCCAGATAAGAAAACTGAGGTCCAGAGAGAAGCAATTCCTTCATTCAACTTGACACGTATTCCTTGACCTACTATGCACCAGGCAATATCGTAAATATAATGAACAAGACAGACGAGGTCCCTGTCCTCAGAGGGATTAGGAGTGAATAAACAATACGTGAGTAAACAGATACATTGAAAAGGCAGTTCTGTTAGGTGCCTGTCTTGAGAACAAGGTTTCCCTTGGAAACAGGATGGGCTGGCCAGAGATGACTCTTCTTTTCCTTAGCACACACTTCATCCTCTACCTCCTCCAAATATTTTGAAGGTTTTGGTTTAAATCAACATGTGGGATCAACTCTCAGGCATTTTCTCCCAAACCAGATTGAACATTTGGAGTTCTGGGATGATGAGTTTGAAGCCACCAATAGCATTTGTGGAGCACACTATCTGCTTCTAGAAATGTAGGCAGGCCAGGCACAGTGACTCATGCCTGTAATCCCAACACTTTGGGAGACTGAGGCAGGCAGATCACTTGAGCTCAGGAGTTCAAGACTAGCATGGGCAACACAGGGAGACCCAGTCTCTACAAAAGAAAATACAAAAAAAAAAATTAGCTGACCTTGGTGGTGTGCACCAGTAGTCCCAGCTACTTGAGAGGCTGAGGTGGGAGGATCTTTTGAGCCCAGGGGGCGGAGGCTGCAGTGAGCCATGATTGTGCTACTACAGTCCAGTGACAGAGTGAGATCCTTTCTCAAAAACAAACAAACAACAACAAAAAAAAACAAAAAGAAAGAAAAAAAAAGTAGGGCAGACCAAGAGATAGAGCCCACAGCTTACATCATCCCAAAGGTCAAATTCCACTTGATGAGGCAAAGAGAACCATGGAGGTTCTCATTATTGTTTGAGTTTGCATTTCCTTGATTATGAATGAGGTGAAACATCTTTTCACACACTTCCTGGCCATTTGAGTTTCCTCCCCTGTGAAGTGGTTGTTCGTGGCCTTCTTTTTTTCTATGACCTCTGCCTCCTTTCGCACAGGAGGAAACTAAGGTTGACAGTCAACATGACTCGCCTAAAATCAGATAGCTATTCTACATAAAATTACAGAAAACTATGTTATCTATCGTATGTTGCCTTCCTCAAGGTAGGTACCTGCTCAAGACCTGTGTGTTGGACCGAATTTAAATGAATAGAGAACAACCCTGAATGTGAGACACCATCCTTGGGTGGTGAAAGGAACAGAGATCTGGAGTCAGCCAGCCCGGGAGGGCACTAAACCTGGCTGTGCTGTGTGATCTTAGATAAGCACCAAGCCTCTCTAAGCCTCCATTTCCTTATGGAAATGTCAGAATCTCTACCCCCAGGTGAATCAGGAAACCTACTACAGGGCTTGCTCAGGGACCATTCTTTTTTCCCTCTCGCCCCTTCCTGGAGGATGCCGAACAGCCAAGTGCACAGGGTTGTGGAGGCCAAATCAAGCAGGCACAAATAGGAAAGCAGGCTGGATGATGGCCCCTAAAATGTGCAGTCTTAATCCCCAGAGCTTGTGAATATGTTACCTCACCTGCTCGAAGGGACTTTGCAGATGTAATTAAGCTAAGGATCTTGACACGAGAGATTATCTGGGTGGACCCAATGTAATCACCAGGTTTTATGGTCAGAAAGTTCAGAGATACAGAAAGAGAAGTGAGGACAGAAGGCAGAGGTTAGAGTGATGTTCTTTGAAGATGGAGGAAGGGGTCACAAGCCAAGGGATGGAGGCAACCTCTAGAAATTGATAAAAAGAAGAAAATAGATTCTTCCCTGGAGCCTTGGAGGGAGCATGGCCCTGATGACATCTGGATTTGATCCAGCAAAACCCACTTCAGACTTCTTTATTTTTATTTATTTTTATCTCTTTGAGACAAGGTCTCTGTCACCCAGGCTAGAGTGCAGTGGCACAGTCATAGCTCACAGCAGCTTCGACCTCCTGGGCTTAAGCAATCCTCCTACCTCAGCCTCCTGACCAGCTGGGACTTCAGGCACGCACCACCACACTTGGTTAATTTTTTTACTTTTTGTAGAGATGGGGTCTCACTATGTTGTCCAGGTTGGTCTCAAATTCCTGGCCTCAAATGATCCTCCTGCCACAGCCTCCTAAAGTGCTGGGATTACAGGCATGAGTCACCGCACCCAGCCCCATTTCAGACTTCTAATACGTAGAACTGTAAGAGGATACATCTGTGTTGTTTTAAACCACTAAGTTTGGGGTAATTCATCGCAGTGGCAGTAGGAAACCAACAGAGATGACATCTTGGAAAAACCAAGTTTTCTGAAGGAGGGGAGAGACATGAATGGTGGTGAAGAAACAATAATAGCTCCTGTGTTTTTTTTAAGTGTTTATTTTATACCAAGAACTGTTCAAAACCCTTGTTTCAAATTACTTCATTTAATCCTCACATCACCAAGTGAGATAAAAGCCGTTATCCCATTTGCCAACCAAGAGAACAAAGGCCCAGCAAGGGCGAAGAATTTAGTCCTGTTAAGTTAGTGGAGGAGCTGGGATTGGAACCCAAGTCCACCTGTCACCAAAACACCATGATTTTCCCGAAGTGGAAGTCTATGGCTTGGCCAGAGGCCAGAGGAAGTCTAGGCTTTAGTTTTAGAGCTGGCAGGTTGCTGCCAAGTTCACTTATTTTGTGCCTAGCATTGCACTAATGCAGGGGAGCCCCATACTCCCTGGGAGACAGGATGTGGTGGAACACAGAGACCCAACCTGAACGATCCTGAAAATATAACCACGTTCTAAAATGCCTAATTGTGTTTAAATGAAGTGGAGAGGGGAAGAAAAAGAGATATTGGGCCTAGCAGGGTGGGCTTTTGAGAGAAGGTGGAGCCTTAACTGGTCCTTGAAGAATGAATAGGAATTAGGGAGATGGGGAGAGGCGCCTCTGATGGGGGAAAGGGCTAGAGAAGGGGATGCTGCCTGTGCCATCCCAGACTGTGATGTAGCAGAAACTCAGTCCTGGGAGAACTTATACAACTCTACGAGAAAAACCTTGCAGATGCCGAAAGCTAAATGGATGAAGGAAAGGTTAGAAGACAGGAATAAGCAATTCACGAACACATGGAAAGATGTTCCGTCTCATTAGTTATTGAAGGAATTAAAAATTAAAATGAGATGCAAATGGTTGCCTATCAAATCAGCCCAGATTTGAGGAAATGATAATAGCCAAGGTTGCCAAGGGCGTGGTTGAAAGAGGAGCTCTCATTCGTGGCTGGTGGGAGTGGAAATTAGTACAACTGTTTTGGAAAACAATTTGGCAATGGGTCTTAAAAGCCCTTGATATGTTGATATCCTTTGATCCTGTACCTTCTCTTCAGGGAGACTTGCTTAGGTTATTGTGAACAGGGAAAACCCTTGTATATGAAATTCTCACTGCATCCTTACTTATACAGTGGAATAACTACCACAGCGTCCCAGAGGGCAATGTGAAGTAAATTACGGTATCTCAACCTAGTGAAATATGATGTATCCATTCAAAATAATGGCAGCAAAAATCTAGATTTGCTTTAATATTTTACATTAAGTGACTACAGCAGGACACAGACTTTCACCTCTAGTAGAGCAGACACATACAAAGTGTTTTTTGTAATTGTGGTTAAAAAAAAAAAAAACCTCCACAACATAAATTTACTCCCTTAACTATTTTTAAGTGTACAGTAGTGTTAACTATACGCACGTTGTCATATAACAGAGCTCTAGAACTTTTTTTTGTTTTGTTTTGTTTTTTGAGACAGAGTCTCACTCTGTCGCTGGGGCCGGAGTGCAGTGGCACGATCTCGGCTCACTGCAACCTCTGCCTCCCGGGTTCAAACGAGTCTCCTGCCTCAGCCTCCTGAGTAGCTGGGATTATAGCCACCCGCCACCATGCCCGGCTAATTTTTTGTATTTTTAGTAGAGACGGGGTTTCACCATGTTGGCCAGGCTGGTCTCGAACTCCTGACCTCGTGATTCGCCCCCCCCTTGGCCTCCCAAAGTGCTGGGATTACAGGCGTGAGCCACCGCGCCCGGCCAGCTCTAGAACTTCTTAATCTTGCATGACCGAAAATCTATACCCACCAAACAACTCCTCATTCCCCTCTCTTGAGTCCCAGGCAACCAGCACCCTACTTTCTGTTTCTATGAGTTTGAATGACTTTAGATACCTCACAGAAGTGGAATCGTGCAGTATTTGCCTTTTTGTAACTGGTTTACTTCACTTAGCATAATGTCAAAGTGTTTTCTAAAGGATTCAAATAAAAGATGCCAAAACTTGTGGTTGGCTTTGAGTGGTGGGTCTAAATATGGTTTTAAGAGTTCTTTCTACATTTCCCTTTTTCCAAATGGTTTAGGCGTGTAGTATTCCTTTAATAATAAAATAAGACTCATTTCTTTTTAAGGAAAAAGGACGAGAAAGTGGGTCCCAGAGGCCTAGGAAGTAGCACATTCTTAAACTTGTCACATGCTATGGAGGTGATAGGCTGGCACAAAGAAGACCTTAGGCTAAAGAAAAGGCTCCAATAAGAGGCCCAAAGCATCCAAGCTTCCCCTTGCCATCTTGCCTTCCCAGAAGACCAGTTGCCTTCTGGGTAAGGCCTGAGAGTCAGGGACGTAGAGGACACCCTGCCCCGGTTCTCTTCTCCGAGAATCTACCACTTCTGGGCCCAGATTTTTTTTTTTTTTTTTTTTTTTTTTTTTTTTTTTTTTTTTTTTTTGAGACGGAGTCTCACTCTGTCGCCCAGACTGGAGTGCAATGGCGCGATCTCGGCTCACTGCAAGCTCCGCTTCCCAGGTTCACGCCATTCTCCTGCCTCAGCCTCCCGAGTAGCTGGGACCACAGGCGCCCGCCACCGCGCCCGGCTAATTTTTTGTATTTTTAGTAGGGACAGGGCTTCACCGTGGTCTCGATCTCCCAGCCTCGTGATCCACTGGGCCCAGTATTGATTAGCGACAGGGCCAGCTGACATTCACCACCCAAGACAACTATGATTCATTCCTCCCTCTCCCAGGGAATGTCAAATAGCTGTCTGCTCTTGGCTGTCTCTAAACCCACCCAGCCAAGCAGCCCTCGGGGACTTCAGCCGAGCTCCACCCGCCACGTGCAGACTTAAAAGGAAGGACTGATGCTAGGTGGGCATAAATTAGGAAGTAGGTGGAGGGGGCAGAAATACATCCACCCAGTACTGTGTTTTGGGTCCACTGCTGTATTGGAAAATCCTTGCGGGCCCAGATCTTTTGTTGTCCAGCATCTCCGCCCTCCAGCCCTGATTACAGGGTTGTAGACCTTGTAGAGACTTCATAAATATTCATTCATTGGATGAACCAAGAGCATCCTATCATTTGGGCAAACAGCTCATTTGAGGTGTGGTGCATTCATCTTGGGAAATCATCAAGACACCGGAAAGTTACAGCAACAGGCAGAGGACAGGCAGGGAGGAGACCTCAGGCAGAGGACATGCAGGGAGGAGACCACAGGCAGGGAGCTGGAAAGGATGCCAGGCCCAGCAAAGGGGATCTCAGTTACCTTCCATCCCGCCCTGCTTCCATGCTGCTACCTCTGAGTGCCAGACCCCTCCCCAACTTGATGTCTACTTCTATCCCTAAGAAGCATGATATGAACATAGGCAACACACTTCTCCCATCCTATTCAGGTCAGCTGGAATACAATAAGCACCGACTGCTACCATCCCTCAGGACCAGGAAAACCAAGTGTGAGTCCCAGCTCTGCTGCTTACGAGCTGAGTGACCTTGGGCAAGTCATGTATCCAAGGGGCAACAGACTATATAATAACTATGTAAGGAATACCTAATTTTAAAATATTCATTTTTTGAGTTCTTGGAAACTTTACAAATAGCACCTACTTCTCGCAATGCCCTGTGACGGAGGGACTATTCTTATCCCCATTTTACAGAGAAAGAAAGCCCAGATTCAGAGAGGTTTAGAAAATTTCCCAAAGTCATAAGGTTATGAAGTGGTAGAGCTGAGATCTGGACCAGCTCTGATGACTTTACAACTTGGGCTCTGCCATCAGGCCATGCTGCTTCCCATCCACAACTACCTAAAAAGCATTGCTGTAAGGCTCTAAAATGGGGTCACGTATGTGAAAGCGTGTTGTGAACTCCAGTGCACCACATGATTGTTAGGCTGGCTGTGGAGACATTCACAGGACAGGGAGAGGGGAAGGGACTGGAAAATCTCAGGACCACCTACCACACCTGCATCTGTCCCTATAAGCTTCTCAATTCCCATGAGGGTGTTTGGCCCTCAGGCAGCCCTCCCTCCTAAGATGGACCGGAAGAAATTCTCCTTGCTCTGGAACTAAGAGTAGTTTCACAACTAGGGCTGTGTCCCATGAGCTCTCTCCATCAACCAATTGATCTTTCCATCAGCTGACAAGGTGTCCAGAGTGCCTAATATGCATTCAGCACAGCGCCAAGCCCTCTGCCTTCACTGGGGGGCCAGGCCAGGCTTCAGGAGGCAGGCTTTTGCCCCAAGAGAGCTGCCTAACTCCAGGGCTCTGGGGAAAGAGAGGCTGACTAGAGAAAGCCCTCTTTCAGATGTCACTGGAGGTAAGAACTCATAGATGACAAAATCACATGCTTTGTAGGTCTGGCTGCCTGAACTGGCTGTTGATTGACTCAACTGTACAATTCATCACCCATTTATCATGGTTACTGAACAACTTCTCAGCAAAGCTGGGTGGCACAGCGATCAACCACGTGGGCTCTGGAATCAGACAGACCTGTGTTGAAACTTGGCACTGTGTTAATGAAATCACTTCAACTTTCTGATCCTCAGTGGCCACATCTGCAAGATGGGGTAATATGATCCATTCACAGAATTTCTGTGAGGAGTGGAAGAGATGATGCATGTGGAGGCTTCAGCACAGTGGGTATGTAGTAAGTGCTTCAGCATGTAGTAGGTGCTCAGTAAATGTACCTGTGTGTGGCCAGAGCTACTTAGATAGGTAACTAAGATGAATAAGAAAAAGGCTTGCCTTCAAGGATTATACATTCAGTAGCAGGGTCAGAAAACCGCAGTCTATACTGTAATCATGACTGCACTTAATATTTATATTTAGTTATTCCATTCAATCCTTGCCCAACCAAGATCAGGCAACAAAAACTTTGTAGAGCCAGGATTTGAACCCAAGTATGGCTTACTAAGATTGAGACATTAATTTGGAGAAAAGGATCAGACCTAGAGTTAGGAGACCCAGGAATGAGTCATCTTTTTGGATCAATTTTCCTAGCTGTCATATATATATTTGGACATTTGGAAATGAATGTGCTGGGCACTTACCAAGTTGATGATTATTACATATGGTGGTAGAAACTGAAACCAGACATAGTCCTACAGAAAGTAAATTAGAGGCAAGGTCTGAAATCCTTTCTGACTTCTGAGCCTGTGCTCTTTCCCATGTGCTATGTCGACCTGCCAGCCTTGAAGGTCTGATGAGAAATTCACCACGGGTCTGCCAAGGCAGCAATAGGCTTACCAATCATTCATTGTTCTATTGTCAATCACTAGTTTTGAGGAACTGATGGATTTGTACTAAGGTAATTGTGTCTCCTGGGTGACCTAATCATGACACCAGGCAATGAAGAAAGGAGACAAGAGAGAATACTTTCACGGAGCCTGCATGTATTCATGACCTACTGTGTGCTCAGCCCTATGCCAAACCCCAGCATACAGGTGTCATGCCCTCCCTATGCTTCCAGGCTTGTGGTGAGCCAAGGCAAACACCCAGGAAGTATCCAACCACACAAGACTCTAACCAGAAGCTCAGTTTTACTTTGAATTATGAAGACCTTGGAGTCATACAGAACTGGGTGCAAAACTGAGTTCTGATACTCAGTGCCTGTGCAGTTTTGAGCAAGTCACTTCACCTCTCTGAGCCTGTGAAATGGAGACGAGAAGGATGTACTCAGGAATGTTGGCTGACAAAGACTGTGTTGGGTTGTGAAGACAGGGTGGGTTCCAAGACCACCTAGGGGGAACACTACAGCCTTGTGGTTGCCAACTAAAGAAAAATCAGGCTTTGAAATAGTTTTTATTTTTTATTTTTTGAGATAGAGTCTCACTCTGTTACCCAGGCTGGAGTGACATGGCGCCATCTCGGCTCACTGCAACCTCTGCCTTCTGGGTTCAAGCGATTCTCCTGCCTCAGTCTCCTCAGTAGCTGGGATTACAGGCGTGCGCCACTACACCCGGCTAATTTTTGTATTTTTAGTAGAGACGGGGGTTTCACCATGTTGCCCAGGCTGGTCTCGAACTCCTGACCTCAGGTGATCTGCCCACCTTGGCCTCCCAAAGTGCTGGGATTACAGGTGTGAGCCACCGTCCCCAGCCTAAGAATTAGTTTTATTAAGAGGATCGCAACCTGGTAGTCTTTCAGAGAGTTTATGTTAGGCTGCTTCAAAGCAGTATTTAAGTCCAGTTTATATGAAGGTGGAAGTGGTTCTGCATGTGCTCAGAAGTTACATCAAACCTACTAAGAAGTTACATTAGAGCAAAATCTTATGAAAGTTTGGGTGCGAGGGTACATGTGTTTATAGATTACAGAGGCACAATCATTAGTCCTGTCAGTACCTTATGCACAGGAAGAGGCAAGGGCCAGGATCATTGAACTTATTTTTTTCTAAAAATGCTGTGATTCGGGCAAGAGATGTGGGAACCTGTGCTCTATCCCGCTCATCATCTTAAGAGCAGGAGGGCTGCGCTGTCACGAGTCAAGGGCTTTGTGAAATTCTGCTGGGAGCAAACATTGCTCCTTACCTCTGCTACTTTGCCTCATGTGGTTAAGAGAGGACTTGTGTAACAGACAGACCGGGGACAGAATACTAACTGCTCCATCATAGCTGCATGACTGTGCAATTTATTCAATTTCCCAGGTCTCTCTGTTTCTTATAGGAACAGAATGCAGTGATAGCAAGCTATCTCCTGGAGGAGATAGAGACACATCACAGAACAGGAATAGCAAAACTCCAGGGGCAAAGCCCCCAAAGAGCGCACCTATGATATTCGGCTGGACTTAAAAAAAGAGAGAGCGAGTCTAGGGGGTGCCACCAGCCCTGCAGCAACCCTATAAGGGCCTCATGCAGCCGACTATGGGTGCGACTACCTGTTCCTCCACAGGCAAAGATGGAGGCCCAGAAACACCACTTCTGGTGTTAAAAGCTGAGGGTAAATTTCCAGTCCCAGGCTGCACCACGCAGCTGAGCTCTTAGTGGAAGGCCCTGATTGGGTCTGCTTGCCACCGTCCAACATTGAGCTCTCCTATTGGACAGAGCCTCTGCGCCAGCATGCCTCTCTGTATCACCATGAGCCAATTAGCAGAGGCCGGGCTGTGAGGTCACCCAGGGGCCAGGCCTGGCTCCAGCTATAGCTGGGAAGGAGCCGTTTCCCACAGCGTCCAAGACTCCTCTGCAGTTCATAGCTTGACCTGGCTTTCTTCCCTATGTGCCAGCTCCTCACGGTCATTGATCTGCAGATGGACTCGAATCTGTCCTTCACACGCACGTTTATGAGGCACTGGCCAGAGTGGTGTCGTCTGTGGCCCTGGGACGGAATTTGTGTGCCTAGCAGCATTGCCTATCCAAGACCAAGATGGTGGAAATTACCCGCTCCTTACTTGGAAGTCTGGACAGGACTCGATTGATGGCTGCCGTAACCTAAGCACCAGGTGGAGCATCAAGATGATGCACACGTGCCCGTGTCCACAAAGAGCATCTGCGTCCTTGCGGAAAGAGGAAGGTAGTTGCAGAAATGTAATACAAAGTAGAAAATATCTGTGCCTCAAAAGAGGTGAAGATAGCTTGCAAAAGAGGTGAAGATGTAGTGCTCTGGGAAGGCTGCTGGAGCTAGAGCACGAAGGACGAGAGCAGATGGCTTTTTAGGACAATGCCACTGTGGCCATCACTGAGTGTTAGCGAGGAACTCACAGTCCTCACAAGATCTCTCTTAGAGGGAGACAGAGGAGTATAGTGGTTGGAAGCTCAGGCCTTGGAGTTGGCCCACTGGTTTCAAATTCCTCTTCTATTTTCTAGCTCTGTGAACTTATGAGATGAAAGTACCTCGGTGCCCGGCATATCAACGAATGGTTATTATCAATTCTCAAATGAACTATCACATGCCCTCAGATAACACATCACAAACTCCGGGATCCACAACGACAGGACTAGAACCTTAGCCTCTTCCGGTTCTTCGGTAATCTGCAATTCACGTTGAATGGTGAGAAGAGAGGATGGAGCAGACAGACCCACAGAGGCCTTTACTCAACTCCACACCTCCTCTCTGGTGGCCTTAAGTGAGGCAGGGAAGGCTTACCCGAATCCCTGAGGTGAGCACTCCATCTCGCCCTGATGTCTGCCTGGTCTGTGATGGCGTCCTGGCCTTCCCGCAAGCCTTGGTCGGGGGCTGACCTTTCACCAGATGAAATGGACCCCTTCAGTGGTTGAGGAAGAGAGAGACTTACCCCTGCCTTCTGTAGCCTGTCATTAGGGGGCAGTCAGCAGCCTAGGGACATGCAAAGGTTTCTAGCCCTTTAACTCTTGATTCTCAACTCCTTCCTTCCCCGGCTCTCCCCCAGGTATCTTATGAGCAGGGGAGGCTTCTAGTGTGAAGCTAGCTCCTCCACAGCTTTAAGATAAAGTTTCATCACTGGTTGGCACTCTCCTTCCAGTTGTTTGTTACCATATTCTCATCTGTAAGAGATATATTTTAAAGCCCCAGCAAGGAAAGAATTGTTGGGCCTTGCTCTGTGTTTTGCAGTTGCCTTTATTTTAGTACTAACCTGAAAGTAATTATCTGTGGCTGAGTCTGCTTCCACTGGGGTCCTCGAGGGCCGGATCTGTGTCTGATTCATCTCTGTGCTCCCAGAATTGAGTATAAGGCCTGGTACAGGGGGGTGCCCCATGAATATTTTGAGGGGTGGATGGATGGATGGCATAGCTCATCCATTTGGGCCTAGACGCTTGGGAACTCACATCACAACAGAAAACTGTCCCAATTTCTCACCCTCTTACCTGATCTAGGTTATTGCCTAAAATTCCCCCATTTGACAGTTCATCTCTTTGAATTCATCATTTACCGCCTTGGCCTCCTGGAATTTGGATTCTCTTTTAAAATCAGTTCGTCAGGGGTTCTGGAGGGTTTTAAGTGTCTGGGGGGTTTTAAGAGGTTCATGAGTCCCATGAAAGTGTTGGCAGGATTTTCAAAATGTGTGGGTACAGTTTCCTGGTGGCGAGGGTTACCACTAGCTTTCTTCAGATTTCCAAAGGGGCCGTGACAAGAAGAGGTGAAGAAATACCGTGAGGATAGAGGGCTGTAACGCGGAGACTTTCTGAAGACCCTGGGTCATCAGTCCTCTCATTTATAGAGGGGAGAGAACGGCACTCACAGGGTTGTTGTCAGAATTCAGTGGTTTTTGGAGATTCCTCAAATTGTACTGGGTCTCCTACATACACCCCTGAGGGCACACTGGAACTTCCTGGAAGGATTTCTATGGCTCTTGAAGTCTTTCTGTGGCCCACATGGCCCTCCAGGCCCTCTCACAGCTTGCTTTCCTGTCTGTCCCCTCAAGCCACAGCTCTTTTTACTTCCTTGAGTGACCCCTGCTTCCTCCCATCATGGGTTCTTTGCACTTCCTGCTCCCTCTTCCTGGAATGCTTTCTCAGAGGTGCCACCCTCATTCCCTCTTTGCCTGAATAACTCTTGCTTTTCCTTCAGATCTCTGCACACTTATCTCTTCAAGGATGACTTCCCTGACCATCCTGACTAGACCAAAACCCTCCTTCACAGGCCCTTAGAGCACTGGAAACTGCTTCAGCACACTGCTGAATTAGTTTTATAATTTTACACTGACTTTTATGATCCCTTAATTGGTGTCTGGCACCACCACTGCATTGCGGGCTCCAGGGAGGCAGGAACCACATCCATTTTTTCCTCTGCATTCTATTCCCAGGACCTAGCACAATATGTACACATAATAGGTGCTAAATAAACTGGTGTTAGGAGCCTCAAAACTCTTGTTTTCGTGTACTGGAATGCTTTCTCTAATGCTTTTTTTGTTGTTTCTGCAGAGTTCATGAGGAGGGCTTGTTCTCATGAATAATGTGGGATGGTCATTCTGGGTGTGGACTCTAGAACCAGACCACCTGAGTTCAAATTCTGGCTGTGCCTCTTACTAATGTAGGTCAATCCTACATTTTGGAAATGAGGAAAGTAAGGCTCAGAGAGGCTAAACTATGTACCCAAGGTCACACAGTGGAAAAAACTAGGATTTGAAAATAATAGGACTGACTCCAAAATCTATGCTGTTTTCATTCTAATACTGGGCATTTTTGTTAGAAAAAAGCTCTGAAAGTTTATTTGGGGTGATAGAACAGTTCTGTATCCTGATTGTGGTGATGGTTATACAAGCCCGTACATGTGATAAAATTTCAGAGAAACATACACAAGCACACACACAGAGTGCATGTAATGTAGAAACTTGTAAAATCCAAAGAAGATCTGTTTTTGAGTTAACGGCATTGTACCTATGTCAGTTTCCTGGTTTTGACAGTGTACTTTGGTTGTGTAAGATGTTATCATTGTGGGAAGCTGGGTGAAGGGTACACAAGAACTCTCTAAACTATGTATGCAACTTATTATGAGTGTGAAACTATTTGAAAATAAAGAATATTATTTGTTAAATGAATTCTGACAGTCAATAAAGGGGGAGTTGAGACTGGCTAATAAACAATGGACATCCCTATCTTACTTAAGGTCTCTTGGGCTGGGGATCAGGAGACTTGCAGAGGCTGAGCAAGAGGCCGCCCTGCCCCTGTGCCTACCCACAACCACAGCGCCCCACCGCATGTCCAGTGGACACCCCTGGAGTGATGCGATTGACAGTAAGGCTCATTAGTAAGACAGACTCTGGTTGGTCTGATCCAGGAGTGTACTGAAGCCAGCTTGAACCAGCTCTCCAGAGCCATTGTGTCCATCTCTTCCTAACTCTGCATGTAGTAAAGTCAGAGTGATAGCTTAAAACTAGCCATGGTGGGAGTCTCTACAGCATAGAAATCAGCAAATGCAACAGATCAGAGTTGGTTTTTTTTCCTGAACAGCACACCACTACCCCAATCTACATCATATGCCTACACTAGAAAGATTATCTTGTGCTTCTCGAAGGATGACAGGGTTCCTATTATAGGGGCTGGCTGTAGCACCAGCCCAGTGTCCAGCTGTCTTTAGCAAGCCACCAAGATCTGCCAGCCACTCACACACAAGGCCTTGTGACCATTTTGGTCACTCTGAGTTATGGCACTAGTTAGCGCCTCAAAATCTGCAGATGACAAATCAGGTGAAGTCTTCACAGCTGTGTTCTGAACAAGCCAGAGGGACTGCAATGGGCAATGTGGCACAATAGACACAGTCTTGGACTAGAAGTTCTAGGCTTGGTTCTATGGCACCTTGGGCAGGTCAGTTCTCTCTGGGTCAGTGTGCTGAAGAAGGGAAGGAAGGAGCATTGAGCTAGATGGTCCCTGAAGGCCTTATCTAAGAACAAGTCACTTTCAAAATGAGAACTCAGCCCTTAATCTCTCATCTACTCCCTGCGTGGCCTCTCCGAGACCTCAGTTTCTGCATCTGCAAAACAGGATAAGAATCTCTTATTCAAAGAATTGTTCTGAGGCATAAATGAGTTTTAGAAGATGTGTTCCCTGCCCTCAAGGGGTCCCAGTCCTGTTGGAAACATGAAACAAACCCACCCAGATCAGTGAATGCTGACTTTCCTGAAGTGTGATCCAGGAGACGATTTCAGTTCATGTTCAGACTCATGTTTTCTGTTAATAATTGCATATGTATGCATTTATTTTAAGGTATCTCAGGAAAAAATAATAGTGATTCACTATTATTTTATGAGGTTTTTTTAAGGTACCTCAGGAAAAAATAATAGTGATTCACCCAAGAGTGCGTGGACACTATTGCTAAGAATAATAATTTTTTAAAATTGAATTGTTTAAAATCCATCTTAGAAATGTTCAGTAGCTGGGTGCAGTGGCTTGCAGCTGTAATCCCAGCACTTTGGGAGGCCAAGGTGGGCAGATTGCTTGAACCCAGGAGTTCGAGACCAGCCTGGACAACATGGAGAGACCCATATCTACAAAAACTACAAAAATTAGCCAGGTGTGGTGGTATGCACCTGTAGTCCCAGCTACTTGGGAGGCTGAGGTGGGAGGATTGCTTGAGCCTGAGAGATGGAGGTTGCAGTAAGCCGACATCACACCACTGCACTCCAGCCTGAGTGACAGAGTGAAACCTTGTCTCAAAAAAAAAAAAAAAAAGTTTGGTAAATAAAAACACAGATTGTAAGGGAAATCTCAAAAGTGAAGCTTTGTAGATGCTGAAATGAAAAGTCATTTTCAAAATGGAGGCTCCTGGCTCCTTCAGTTCGGATACTGTGGGATAATGGGTGGGAGATGTGGAGAGGCAAATTTGGGAGTCATACATGAAAAACCTTGACAGCGTTTCTACCTGTTAACTAGGGAGAGAGGCTGGGCTCTGAGGGGTTCCTGGCCGTTGACAAGGTTGTCCTAGAAGCCATCAGATCAGTGAGGGTGCTCTGGCTGGGAGTAATAGAAACTGTGACTCAAAGTAGCCTCAACAAGGAGGGATCTTATGGGCCTCATCACTGGAAGTCCAGAGGGCGGGCAGGCCTCAGGGCTGGTCCTGTAGCAGCCCCACAGTGTCTGCAGGGTCCCAGCTTCTTCCTGTCTTTCTGCTCTGTAGGGCACAGTGCTGGCCCCGCCTAAGGCTGGTTCCTTCTGCAACCTTTGAAGGATGGCCACCTTCTGGTTTTAGTGTTTACTCCGGCCACATGCTTCCTTCTTCACAACTGGAGGAAGAGAGAGTGCCTCTTCCTCAACCATCAAACAAAAGTTCTTTTCAGTCTGACTGGGACAGCTTGGGTCCCCTGCCTACCGCTGAGCCCATAACTGTTGCCCAAGGAATGCCATTCTCTGCTGGCTTCAGCCTGGATTCCTTAACCAATCACTAGAGAGGGAATCACTATGAGTGGCCTGGACTAATCTGAGCTGAGGAAGACTCCTCCACTGGATGAAACAGCTGAGAGACAACCATGATGTTCATCATCATCATGATTGTCAGATGGTCACCAAGCTCACTTCCTCTTCTCCTGGGCACACAGCTGGACTACATTTCCCAGACCCCCTTGCAGTCAGGCATGGCCACATGATAGTTCCAGGCAATGGAATATGGATGAAGGTGATGTGGACCACTCAGTTGCCTAGAATAGAAATGTTTCTAAGGCAGGAGCCAACAAATATTTTCTGTAAAGGATCCGATACTAAATATTTTCAGCTTTGCAGGCCACATATAGTTTCCATCATATCTTCTTCTCTTTCTCTTTCCTCTTCCCTTCTCTTCTCCTAGCTCCATCCTTCCTCTCCTCTCCTCTTTCTCTGCCTTAGTCACAACCCTTTAACAATGTAAAACCATTCTCAGGTCTAGGGCTATACAAAAACAGTCTGCTGGCTGGGTTTGGCCCACAGGGATAGTTCGCAGCCCCTGCTCTAGGCTGGCACTGGGAACCACACGTTGAAGATGGATGGCAGAGGCGTAAGATGCCAAAAAACATGGGTCTCTAAGTTACTGCATGGAAGAGAGTCCCCAGACAGAGCGCCCTCATTTGGATGTAACTACTGTGAAGAATAAACTTTTTTTAACATTCTTTTTTGGTGTGGTAATACATAACATAACATTTATCATTTTAACCATTTTTAAGTGTACAGTTCATGGTATTCACATTGCTGTTCAACCATCACCACCATCCGTCCACAAAACTCTTTCTTTTGTAAAGCTGAAACTCTGTACCCATTAAACAGTCACTCCCCATCTCCTCCCAACCCAGTCCCTGACATCACCATATTCTACTTTCTGTCTCTATGAATTTGATTACTCTAAGTACTTCATGTAAATGGAATTATAGAATATTTGTCTTCTTAAAATTGGCTTAATTCTCTTAGCATAAAGTCTTCAAGATTCATCCATGTTGTAGCATGTGTCAGAATTTCCTTCCTATTTTTTTTTTTTTTTTTTTGAGACGGAGTTTTGTTCTTGTCGCCCAGGCTGGAGTGCAGTGGCGCAATCTCACCCACTGCAACCTCCACCTCTCGGGTTCAAGCGATTCTCCTGCCTCAGCCTCTTGAGTAGCTGGGATTACAGGGGCCCACCACCACGGCCAGATAATTTTTTGTGTGTTTTTAGCAGAGACTGGGTTTCACCATGTTGGCCAGGCTGGTCTCAAACTCCTGAATGCAGGTGATCTGCCCACGTCACCTTCCTTTTTTTTTTTTTGAGACAGAATTTCACTCTTGTTGCCCAGGTTGGAGTGCAATGGCGCCATCTCGGCTCACAGCAACCTCCACCTCCTGGGTTCAAGCGATTCTCCTGCCTCAGCCTCCCGAGTAGCTGGGATTACAGGCATGTGCCACCACGCCCGGCTAATTTTGTATTTTTAGTAGAGACAAGATTTCTCCATGTTGGTCAGGCTGGTCTCGAACTCCAGACCTCAGGTGATCCACCCGCCTCCGCCTCCCAAAGTGCTGGGATTACAAGCATGAGCCACCGCACCCAGCCCTTCTTTTTTCTTTTTTTGAGACAGAGTCTCGCTCTGTCGTCCAAGCTGGAGTGCAGTGGCATGATCTTGGCTCACTGCCAACCTCCTGGGTTCAAGCGATTCTAGTGCCTCAGCCTCTTGAGTAGCTGGGACTACAGGCCACTTTTTCTATTTTTAGTAGAGATGGGGCTTTACCATGTTGGCCAGGCTGGTCTTGAACTTCTGATCTCAGGTGATTCACTAGCCTCTGCCTCCCAAAGTGCTGGGATTACAAGCATGAGCCACCATGCCTGCCCAATTTCCTTCCTTTTTAAGACTGAATAATATTGCATTGTATGAATAGACCACATTTCATTTATCCGTCTGTCTGTCAATGGATATTTGAGTTGTTTCCACCTTTTGGCTATTGTGAATAATGCTGCTATGAACATTGGTGTACAAATATGTGTGCCTGCTTTTAATTTTTGGGGGCATATACCCAGAAGTGGAATGAGTTCTATTGTTTTAAGCCTCTGAGACTTTTATAGCTTATTTGTTATAGCAGCAAGTGTTGAAAAATACAATTGCCATTATTATCATCATCATCCTTTTAAGCCATTTCTTGAATACATAGTGTGTGCCAAGGACTAAATCAAGGCCTGTATATGAATTTTCCTGGATTATCTCATTTAATCTACAAAACAACCCGGTGAGGGAAATGCTATTTTATCCCCACTTTAGAGGTGAGTAAACTGAGGCTTAGAAAAGTTAAATGGATGATCCGAAATTACGTAGGATCTCTGCACTTGAGTAGCTCACAGTCCACTGAGGAAGAGAGACAAGAAACAGGCAATTCCAAGGCAGCATGGTGAGTGCTGTGCCAAACAGAAAAAATGTTTTGAAGTCTTTAGCTCAGGGGGAAACAGGGTGGGCAGTGGACAGAGAAGGCTTCCTAGAGAAAGGGAAGTCTAAGCTGAGCCCCAAGAATAGAGAAGGTGTTACTTGACAAGGAGTTGGGGGAGAGGGCTCAGGCAGGCAGGTCAGCACATGGAAAGGCCCAGAGGTGAGTTAGAGACAGCATGATTTATGTGGACAACTGGCAGGATAGGCAGACTCCAACCCAGGTCTGTGGGCTCTGAAGCCTGTGTTCAACCACAGTGTTGTGCTGCCTCCCCTGAAAGGAGGAGAGGGAAGGGAGTGAGAAAGAGGAGCAATGATCCCTGAGATTCCTTCCAGACCTGAAGCTCTGGTTCTGTGATTGCCCGAATCAAGCTCTGTGCAAGAATCAGTGTGGGATCCTTCATCATCATTCTCAGGAAACACAGGCAAGTGGGAATCTGGTCCTCCTGCTGTAACTGTTTTGTGAGCGCATTTTCGAACACATGAGGCCATATGCTTAATTTGGATTACTCTCCCAAGTCTTGGGGGATTTGGCCTGCATGAGAGCAGCCCACCAGGCCTATCACATTGGTTCATCAATATTTAACACAGAAAACCTGCCTGGGCTCAGGCTCAGGCTCAGTGAGTGTGTCTAAATACATCATTTTTTCTCACCTTCCAAAGGTCACGAGGGGCCGGGTGCGGGGGCTCACGCCTGTAATCCCAACACTTTGGGAGGCCGAGGCTGGTGGATCACTTGAGGTCAGGAGTTCGAGACCAGCCTGGCCAACATAGCAAAACCCCATCTCTAACTAAAACTACAAAAATTAGCCAAGTGTGGTGGTGCATGCCTGTAATCCCACCTACTCGGGAGGCTGAGGCAGGAGAATCACTTAAACCCGGGAGGCGGAGGTTGTAGTGAGCCGAGATTGTGCCACTGCATTCCAGCTTGGGTAACAGAGTGACACTCTGTCTCAAAAAAAAAAAAGTCACAAGAAAAGGTCCCCGGGAGGGACAAAGGGTCAGGCCAGGGCTTTGTCCTTCTCTGTGGAGCCTGCAGGCAGGTGGACAGCCTCCTGGCCTCTTGGCTTGGTTACACTCCCCCAGGCCCACCTAAGCCCAGTGCTTGGGCTTCTCTGCCCTTCTGCAGGCAGGTATGCAGGGGCAGCCTCCAGAGTGTTCCAGTGTCCCTGTTCCCAAGAAGCAACCACTAATACCCACTGAGGGCTACTATATTCTGCCACTGTTCTGAGGGAATTTCCACACATTGGCTTGCTGGGTGCGGGGGCTCGCACTTATAATTCCAACACTGGGAGGCTGAGGCAGGCGGATCATTTGAGGTCAGGCGTTCGAGACCAGCCTGACCGACATAGTGAAACCCCATCTCTACCAAAAATACAAAAAATAAATAAAAATTAGCTGGGCATGGTGGCACAGGTCTGTAATCTCAGCTACTCTGGAGGCTGAGGCATGAGAATTGCTTGAATCTGGGAGGTAGAGGTTGCAGTGAGCTGGATCATGCCACTGCACTCCAGCCTGGGTGGCAGAGTGAGACTCCATCTCAAACAAACAAACAAACAGACAAAAAACCACTCTCATAACAGCCCTATATGTTAGGGATAATTAATATCACTGTTCCCATTTTAGAGATGAAAAGACTGAGGCACATAAAGGATGGGTGACTTGCCCAAAGTGAGGTTCAAACCAGGCTGTCTTGCTCCAGAGTTTGAGCAGTGAGTCAACATGCCATCCTGCCTCTGTAGGGTCCCTACAGATAAGAGCAGGGGCTGGAAAAGAAATGTTTGGAGAAAGGGAAGATTTGGGGTTTGACAGACCTGAGTTTGAGCCCCAGCTCCTCCATTGTGCCTGTGCCACCTCTGACAAGTTGCTTAACCTCTCTGGGCCTCTAGGCCTCAGTTTTCTGAACTGCAGAGTGGAGAGCATAATGAATATCCCCTTCCCACCAAGATTCTTGTGGGCATTAAATGAGATGACAGATACAAAGTGCCTGGCACACAGCAGGCAGTCGGTAAATGGTAGCCCTTACTAAGGATTGCACAGTTAATAGGATCAGGACTTTCACAAGATGACACTGCAGATCTGGACCCATTCCTGGTAATCAGTCTCAGGGACAGGAGCCAGCATAGTCTTACAGAAAGTGCTCTGGACCAAGAACTGAGAGTCCTGGGACTGAGTTCCAGTTCTGTCACTTGGGTCAGAGTGCTGCTCAGCCCTAAGCTGGAGGGTCTCCGCTTTTAAATGGGGGAAAGGGGTCAGCCTGGATGTTTCTAAGATTAGTCCCAGCTCTGGCATTGTGGGATTCCTTGAGGTAGGACAGACACATTCAGTCATTCAACAAACACCAAGTGCCCAAGTGGACAAGACACTGCAGAAAGTAAAGCATTTAAGGTAGGACTTGTCTTGAAGAACAGGGAAAAATTTGGCTGGTGAATGGTTATTTTTCACCACTAAAAGCAATGTGCAAGTGGATATTCATTTGCAAACAAACAAACATTAAAAACTTTATCAAAGTTTTTGTCACCACTGCACTCCAGCCTGGGTGACACAGCGAGACTCCGTCTAAAAAAAAAATAGTAAGATACACAAACATAAAGATAATAAAATAAATACAAAGTAAAATATAATAAAAATGATAAAATGCAAAAGTAAAATACAAACAAAATGTTTGCAAATCATATATCTGATAAGGGACTTTCATCTAGAACATATAAGGAACTCTGAAAACTCAATGGTAAGAAAACAGACATCCCAATTAAAACTGGGCAAAATATTTTTTTTTTTTTTGAGATGGAGTCTCGCTTTGTCACTCAGTCTGTAGCGCAGTGGCACGATCTCGGCTCACTGCAAGCTCTGCCTCCTGGGTTCAAACAAGTCTCCTGCCTCAGCCTCCTGAGTAGCTGGGACTACAGGCGCCTGCTACCACGCCCAGCTAATTATTTTTGTATTTTTAGTAGAGATGGGGTTTCACTGTGTTAGCCAGGATGGTCTCGATCTCCTGACCTCGTGATCCACCCGCCTCGGCCTCCCAAAGTGCTGGGATTACAGGCTTGAGCCACCGCGCCTGGCCAAACTGGGCAAAAGATTTGAAGAGACACTTCACCAAATACAATGTTAAGATGGTAAACACATAAAAGATGCTCAACATACAGTTGCGAAAATTAAAAAGAATACAGCTTTTTGTTTGTTTGTTTTTAGACAGGATCTCGCTCCATCACCCAGGCTGGAGGGCAGTGGTGTGAACACGACTCACTGCAGCCTCAACCTCCTGGGCTCAAGCCATCCTCCCCACTTAGCCTGGCTTGAGTAGTAGCTGGGACCACAGGCATACATCACTACACCCAGCTAATTTTTAAATTCTTTTGTAGAAACAAGGTCCCACTATGTTGCCCAGGCTGGTCTTAAACTCCTGGGCTCAAGCAGTCCTCCCACCTCAGCCTCCCAAAGTGCTGGGATTATAGGTGTGAAGCACTGCGCCCAGCCAAAAAGACTGTATCAAGTGTTGCTGAGGATGTGGAACAACCAGAATTCTCAAACACTGTTGGTAGCAACGTAAAATAGTACAACCACTCTGCAAACCAGTTTGGGATTTTCTTTTTTTTTTTCTTTTTATTTTAAGTTTTAGGGTACATGTGCACAATGTGCAAGTTTGTTACATATGTATACATGTGTCATGTTGGTGTGCTGCACCCATTAACTCGTCATTTAACATTAGGTATATCTTCTAATGCTATCTCTCCCCGCTCCCCGCAGGGATTTTCTTAAAAAGCTGAATATACACCAGCTATGTGATCTAGCCATCGCGCTCCTAGGATTTACCCAAGAGAAATGAAAGCTTATGTCCATTCAAAGATTTGTACATGAATATTCAGAGCAAATCTGAATAAGAGGATATTATTTGCCACAGCCCTAAACTGGAAACAATCTAAATGTTCATCAACTGGTGAGTGGATAAACAGATTGTGGTATATTCAGACAATGGAATACTATTCAGCAATAAAAATTAATGAGCCTTTTTTTTTTTTTTTTTGAGACGGAGTCTCGTTCTGTCACCCAGGCTGGAGTGCAATGGTGTGATCTCGGCTCACTGCAACCTCCGCCTCCCAGTTTCAAGCGATTCTCCTGCCTCAGCCTCCTTAGTAGCTGGGATTATAGGCATGCACCACCACACCCAGCTAATTTTTTTGTATTTTTAGTAGAGACAGGATGTCACCATGTTGGTCAGGCTGGTCTCGAACTCCTGACCTCAAGTGATCCGCCCATGTTGGCCTCCCAAAGTGCTGGGATTACAGGGGTGAGCTGTTGCGCCCAGCCGTGAGCTATTTATACATGCAACGACATGGGTGAATCTCAAAATAATTATGTTGAGTGAAAGAAGTCAGATGGAAAAAAAGCACATACTGTATGATTCCACTTCTACAGAATTCTAGGAAATATGAACAGTTAACCAATAGTGACAGAAAGCAGATGAGTAGTTGCCTAAGGATGGAGAGAGCCAGACAGTGAGGGAAGGAGAGGTTCCCAAGGGGCCTTTGGAGCCAATGAATATGTTAATTGTCTTGATTCTGGTGATGGTTTCACAGTGTATACATACGTCAAAATTTATGAAATTGCACACTTCAAATAGGTACAGTTTATTATATGCCAATTATACCCCAAAAGCTGTTAAGAAAAATCACTGTACAAAAATTGAATTGGTAGTAACAGGAAAGACAGTCCAAATATGTTAGGATCGAAATATACTTAAAAAGCACCTTCCAAGATAGCAAATATAATTTTATAAATACGCACAAAAATGTAGTAGAATATTTTATTATTAAAAATGCACACAGGGCTGGGCGCAGTGGCTCACGCGTGTAATCCCAGCACTTTGGGAGGCCAAGGCAGGTGGATCACCTGAGGTCGGGAGTTTGAGACCAGCCTTGCCAACATGGTGAAACCCTGTCTCTACTAAAAATACAAAAATTAGCCAGGCATGGTGGTTCATGCCTGTAATCCCAGCTACTTGGGAGGCTGAGGCAGGAGAATTGCTTGAACCCGGAAGGTGGAGGTTGCAGTGAGCCGAGATCACGCCACTGCACTCCAGCCTGGGCGACAGAGGGTCTCTGTCTCCAAAAAAAAAAAAAAAAAAATGCTCACAGACCCTTCGTCCTGGCAGTCTAACGTTTAGGGAGCCGTCTTACAGGGGGAGAAAGAAACAGAGTGTGGAAGATGAGACTACCATATAAGGATGTGCAGGTTGTTCACTGCACAAGGAAGGACACCACACCGATGGGGCATGTAGGGCTGGAATCCGGCCTACACGCCACTTGCCAAGCTGCGTACTTTGTTACAGGCTGGTGTCTATGGGAGGGGTATTTTTTGCTAATTTGCACAAAGATACTAAACGGGTGATATGGTTTGGCTGTGTCCCCACCCAAATCTCATATTGAGTTGTAGCTCTCATAATCCCCATGTGTCATTGGAGGGAGCCGGTGGGGGGTAATTTAATCACGGGGGCAGTTGCCTTCATGCTCTTCCTGTGATAGTGAGTGAGTTCTCATGAGATCTGATGATTTTATAAGGGGCTTTTCCCCGTTTTGTTTGGCACGTCTCCTTGCTGCTGCCATGTGAAGAAGGACATGATTGCTCCCCTTTCTGCCATGATTGTAAGTTTCCTGAGGCCTCCCAGCCATGCTGAACTGTGAGTCAATCAAACCTCTTCCCCTTATAAATTACCCAGTCTCAGGTATGTCTTTATTAGCAGCATGAGAATAGACTAGTACAATGGGCTACACAGCCCAGTCTTTAAAGACATATATCTCAGGATGATTAGTCCGACATTGTCTGCAATAATCACTGCAACAAATCAGAAATGACCTGAATGCTATCAGTGGAAGAAGGGGTGAATCAAGTCACCCAGCCACGTAATGAAAAAGTATGAAATGATTAACAAGAATGAGGTAGCATCACAAGAGTCGACCTAGAGAGAGGTCCAGGGAGAATGTTAAATGAAAGAAGCATATTGTGAGGTGCTGTGCATTGAGTGGACCCAAGGTTCACTCACACTCCTTGGAAGTCACCCAATAATCCCCTTGATTCTCTGCCTGTGTTTTCCTTTTCCCTCATGTTTCTCCAAACGTCTTCCTTGTTGATGGTTGGAGGTCATTAAACCAGCCTTGGATGACTGTATTAAGGCCTTCAATTAACAGAAGACATAAATCTTATACATAGAGACTATTCTGTATATATAAAATAAGATTGTGGGGCAGTCCCAGTGGCTCACACCTGTAATCCCAAAACTTTGGGAGGCCAAGATGGGAGGATTGCTTGAGCCCAGGAGTTTGAGACCAGCCTGGGCAACAAAGTGAGACCCCGTCTCTACAAAAAATTTTAAAATTAGCCAGATGTGGTGGTGCCTACCTGTTGTCCCAGCTACTTGGGAGGCTGAGGCAAGAGGATTGCTTGAGCCCAGGAGTTTGAGACTGCAGTGAGCTGTGATTGAGCCACTGTACTTGGCCTGAGCCACAGAGCAAGACCCTGTCTCAAAAAAAAAAAAACAATTTTTTATGGCAAAAGGAACATATTTGTATAAATATATATGATTTACATGTACATATGTTTGGAGAGACTTAGAGAAGGTATATGGCAGTGTGTTGGAAGATTTACCAAAGTGTATTGCTTATACTTCTGTATTTTATTATGGGAGACTATTAACTTTTTCTTCACACACTTCAGCATCATTTGATATGTTACAATGGGCATATATTTTAATCATCATCATCATTGTTAATATTATTTTGTAATTAACAAAACAGGGAATATAGGTGTTCCTTGTATTGTTCATGTTACTTTTCTGTAAGTTTGGAATTACATAAATTTAAAAACTTAAACATTTTAAAACAAAACAAAGTAAAAATAGTTTACTTTTTCAAGAAATTAAATACTAAACCCGTACAGATCCCTTTCGAAACTGCTAACTAAGCTGAAATGACCCACACAAAAATATTCAGATTAAAAAAAGGAAGGTCTGGGCTTTGGATGTGACCCTCCTCTTCAGTCCAGGGGAATCCAAGGCCCCTCTTCATCTGATAATTCATGAAGCATGGAGAGTGTTAAACTGTGGTCATGACTCCTATGCAGAGGCTAGAGAGAATCTGTGGCCTCCTGACATCTTAGGAAGATGTTTCTCTGTGCATCTTTTGTGCGTCTTCGGCTCTTGTCCGATTCTCAGAGGGTCTGTGACCTAAAAGAGGCTAAAGTCCAGAACTTTGCTTTATCTTTAAATTCTGTCATTTGCAGATATGATTTCAGTAAGTCAGCCTACAAACTGAAAACTTTAACAGCCAGGACAAACACGATGATTTTTATTCATTATACTATATTCATTATACTAAAATTCACTGTAAAAATGAGAAAATCCTATAAAGCCAGAATATCTGCAATTATAATTTTTTATTTTCTGTTTTTGTTCATTTCTACTTTTTTCTTTTTTTTGAGACAGAGTCGTGCTCTGTCACCAGGCTGGAGTGCAGTGACACGATCTCAGCTCACTACAACCTCCGCCTCCCGCGTTCAAGTAATTCTCCTGCCTCAGCCTCCCAACGCATCCACCACCATGCCCAGCTGATTTTTGTATTTTTAGTAGAGACGGGGTTTCACCATGTTGGCCAGGATGGTCTCAATCTCTTGACCTTGGGATCCATCCACTTCAGCCTCCCAAAGTGCTGGCATTACAGGAGTGAGCCACCGTGTCCAGTCCATTTCTACTTTCTAAATATACTACAGTGAACACGTATTATCTTGGCAATAATAAAATTCTATGAATACATTTATTAGTATAAATATAAACATGTATATTGAACGATGCATAGACAAAAGCCTAAAAGAAATCACACCCAAGATACTCACCATGTTTATGCATGAGTGATGGGGTTGTAGGTTTTTAAACTTTCTTCTTTGGGTTTACTAGGAGTTCCTACATTTTCTTTATTGCTTTTGGAATAGGGGAGAAATTATTCTGAAGCAATACGAAATCACTCCCCTCAGCTGGGTGTGGTGGCTCATGCCTGTAATCCCAGCACTTTGGGAGGCCAAGGTGGGCGGATCACTTGAGGTCAGGCGTTGGAGACCAGCCTGGCCAACATGGTGAAAACCCGTCTCTACTAAAAATACAAAAGATTAGCTGGGCGTGGTGGTGGGTGTCTGGAATCCCAGCTACTTGGGAGGCTGAGACAAGAGAATTGCTTGAACCCAGGAGGCGGAGATTACAGTGAGCCGAGATGGCGCCATTGCACTCTAGCCTGGGTAACAAGAACGAAACTCCAACTCAAAAAAAAAAAGAAATTATCAGTTCCCTCCTGTTGATCATTTAAGATCTCTTTTTTCTAGCCCCCCGCCACCCCACAACTGGCACCCTTTCCTGCAACGCCTCTCACTCCACATTCGTAGCCTTGTTTGGAGAAAGCGGGGACAAAGAAGGCTCACCCAGCCATGCTGGGGATGAGTTTCTTTTGGGGCTCAGCCCCTGAGTCACATGAGAAACCCTTAAGCACAAACTCCAGACATCTCACTCTCTCTCCCACCGCTGCATTCTCATGGGAGAGTTCAAAGGTTGAAAGGGCAATCTAAGAGTTGGAGTAGCTGAGGCTCAGACAGGCTGAAGGAAAGAGGCTTTCTCAGATTCAGGGATTTTTCTAGATTCAGGGATTTTTCTAGCACAAGAGGAGCAGGGTAGAAATTGGGAGGCTGGGCTCTGACGTCAGGCTGCCTGAGTTCTAATTCCAATTCTCCTGAAGTATTGGAGTTCCAATACCAGCTGTGTGACTTCAGGCTAGTTCCTTAACCTCTCTGAGCCTCGGTTTCCTCATCTGCAAAATGGGGTAGTGATAGTACCAAGAAGGAGGTTGTGTGATATGAAGACATATCAGTAAAGCATCCCATAAAATGTGAAATCATGAACACTCTCCCTCAGTAAATGAATGATTTATCGAAACCTGCATAATTTCATAGCAGGCAGACCAAGAAAATTGTAATCTCTTCACACCATAGCTATAGGGTTGCACCACTTTGGCAGGTGAACAAACACACGAACCACCTTTGTCGATATTAGTCTCGAAGTACGTGAGGTTGAAATGATATAAGGTCTTTAGTGAAAGGGCTTTCATATTTTAAGAAATTCATCCTCCCAGGATAGTAAAATTCCAATGACATACTTTATGTGCAGCACCTAGGTTAGTGCCCGGCAAGAGTGCTTCATGTGCAAATATCTACTCAAAAAGATGACTTGGCTTCCTGCCCCTGGGGCCTGGCAGCCACCCTGAGACCCCATCCAACACTGCTGTCCCCACCTTTCCTACAGGGGAAGGGGCTGCTGGTATTCTCCTGGCGAGGGTCCCATCTGGTTCTCGCCCCAGAAACAGAAGGTAAATAGGGGCTGGGGGCTTGCAACAGAAATCCTGGAACTCCTCCTGGGCTAGGAAGTAGTGTCCCAGCAACAAGTCAAAAGTGGGAGCAAGGGCATGTGGTATGTGACCCCAAGATGCTCCTCTTCCCCCTGGCTTGGGGGTCCCTACTTGTCAGTAGTTTATACATCACCTCCTCCAGGAAGCCACCCTAGCTTCCCTCTCCCCATCCTACAACCAGAGCCTCTTCTGGCTTCCTCACACTCTGCTTACCCCATCACAGCACTTGGCACAATCGATTCCAATAGCGTGTCCGCTTGCTCAATGCTACACTCCCCGTGCCTCCCACCTGGTAGACCGAGAGCTTTGAGGAGGACAGGGAGTGTGTTTTATTGTCTGTATCTCTGGCATCTAGCACAGGGCTCAGAGTGGGCCCTCCATAATCAGGTATGTGAGTAAGTGCCTGAGCACATGAGTACATGAGTAATTTGGCACAACTTGTAGGGCAGAGGTTAAGAATCTGGGCTTCAGAGCCAAACAAACCTTGATCAAATCCCAGCTCCGCATCTCCCTGGCATGGAACTTGGACGAGTTCTTTCCTCCCTGGGCCGTGTCGTCCTCATGGGTAAAGTGGAAATAATAACAGTTCCCAAAGCACCAGTTATTGTGAGGGTTAAAGGCAGCAGTCACAACAAAGAATGAGCTCAGAGCCTGCATGCGTTCCATAAATGCAAGTATTCCATAAATGCCCTCTGTGCTGCTGTCTCCCCAGCTCCTAGAAGTGTGGCGGCTGGAAGCCTCCATCCCCTCCACCCTAGGAATGTGAAGGGCCCGCCTCGGTGGCAGTGTAGGGTCGGGGGAAAGCTGGTGGGCTTCCTGACCTGGATCCACTGCTCCTTTCAGAGACAAGGGTTGAGACACTGGCCTCAGCCTGGCTCACCCTTCCTGGGCCTCAAAGGCTGGGGCTCCCCCTCTCCTTGTCAAAATTAGCCTATCACATCCTGTGAAACTCAGGTGGGTGACTCAGAGACAGGCGGGCCACCTCGATTGCTGTTCCCAGGGCTGGGCTCATGGGCAAGGCGAGGCGTGGGCCCTCCACACACACCCACACCCCACAGGGACCCCGGGCCAGCAGCGAGCACCCCTTCCTCCCTCTCAGAAGCAGCCAGGGAAGCCCACCTCCCCTGACTTTTTCTCCTCTTTTCTTTTCTTCCCACTCGTCCAGCCTCTTGTTTTCTGCCCCCAAGGTGAAACGTGAGATCTGTCATTAGAAATTACCATGACTGACTGTCTAGCAGCTGACAGCATTGAGGAGAAGGGAGGAGTGGGGTCTGCGGGGCTGGCTCAGTGGGTTTTTCCCCAGTCCCTCTCCCGACTGCCCTCCCAGGATGGCAGAGCCAGATGTGTTCACATCCAAAACACACTAATTGTTTCTGGAAATCATCTGGGAAGATCTTCCTACAGCTGCAGTTCTCAAAAGGTGGTCTGTGGACCCTTGGGCATCCCGAAGTGCCTTTGAATCTTTCACCTTTTACCAAAGACCCTTGGAGGGGGGCCACAAGATCAAAACCATTATAATCATCCTGAGATGATGTCTTTATCACTCTCATTCACTCACAAATATTTAATGGAGTTTTCCGGGAGCTCTGTGACATGTGACATTGCAACAGATTGAATGCAGAAGTAGATACAATAATCCTGCGTGGTGGCTCACACCTGTAATCCCAGCACTTTGGGAGGCTGAGGCAGGCAGATCACTGGAAGCCAGGAGCTCGATACCAGCCTGGCCAACATGGCGAAACCCCATCTCTACTAAAAATAGAAAAAAATTAGCCAGAGATCGTGGCACATGCCTATAATCCCAGCAATGCAGGAAGCTGAGGCATGAGAATGGCTTGAACCCGGGAGGCAGAGGTTGCAGTGAGCCGAGATTGTGCCACTGCACTCCAGCCTGGGTGACAGAGTGAGACTCTGGTTAAAAAAAAAGAAAAAAAGAAAAAAGAAAAAAAAAGAATCCAGCTGTCTCCTGTGAAGCCAATCATTAAAGAGACCTGCAAAAATACAAAACGATGCCACTCCTTTAATTGGTTTTAATTTGGAAAATTGTGTCATTTCTTATAAAACTATGTTTTGTGTTAACATGTGATGAATTTATTATCCTCGCTTTAAATCAGTTTCTCAACCTTGGCACTATTGACATTTGGGCCAGATAATTCTGTTTATTGGGGGGTGCATCTGTGTATGGTAGGATGCATCTCGGATGCTGAGCAGCATCTCTGGCCTCACTACACACTAGACGCCGGTAGCATGCCCCATCTCCAGCTGTAACAAACAAAAATGGCTTCCAGCCTCGTCAAGTGTCCCCTGGGAGATAAAACTATCCCTGGTTGAGAACTACTACTTTAAATAAATGAATTACTACTTTCAATAAATGAACTAATTAATTAATTAAAATTTCCCAGTTTCAATTTCTAGTATGACAATTAGCAATAAATATAACAAAACTTTCAATGACTTTTATCTTCTTTTTTTTTTTTTTTTTTTGAGATAGGGTCTCACTCTGTTACCCAGGCTGGAGTGCAGTGGCCTGATCACAGTTCACAGCAGCCTCAACTTCCTGGACTCAAGCAATCCTCCCACCTCAGCCTCCTGAGTAGCTGGAGTCCCAGCTACTTGCCACCATGCCCGGCTAATTTTTTAATTTTTTATAGAGATGAGGTCTCACTATATTGCCCAGACTGATCTCAGACTCCTGGGCTCAAGTGATTCTCCCGCCTCAGCCTCCCAAATTGCTGGGATTGCAGGTGTGAGCCACTGTGCCTGGTCACTCAGTGACTTTTAAGAGTGTAAAGTGGTCCAGAGACTAAGAATTTTAGAAACCTCTGCCTTAAACCACACACAAGGCATCATGGGTTTGCAGATGAGGACAAAGGACTGGCAGCTCCGACGTTTTTCACTGGCGTGTTCCTGCAGAGGAGAGCACTCCTCACTGTATAACTGTGGGAGGTGTGAGTCAGCCTCCCACAGAGGGGATTCTTTTTGTCCTTTTAAATAACATTTCTTTTGCTTTTTCAAATAACAAAACAAAATCAGCACATAGGGTGGCAAACATACGAAAACACAAGGGGGTGAGAAAGAATCTCCAATGATTCCACCCAAGAAATAACTACACTTCACATTTTGGTGTTTTGTCTTAATAGTTAAGGAACTGAGTGACATGGTTTGGATCTGGTCCCAAATTGCATGCAAATTGTAATTCCCAGTGTTGGAGGTGGGGCCTGGTGGGAGGTGATCAATCATGGGGGTGATTTCTCATGAATGGCTTAGCACCATCCCCCACACACCCGGTCCCGTTCTCACAATAGTGAGTTATCACGAGATCTGGTTGTTTAAAAGCGTGTAGCTCCTCCCCCCTTGCTCTCTTTTTCCTGCTCTGGCCATGTGATGTGTGTGCTCCCCCTCCACTTGCCATCATGACTGTAAGTTTCCTGAGGCCTCCTCAGAAGCTGAGCAGATGCCAGCATTATGCCTCCCAGACAGCCTGGGAAACGGTGAGCCAGGGAAATCTCTTTTCTTTAAAAATTACCCAGTCTCAGGTATTTCTTTATAGCAATGCAAGAATGGTCTCATACACTGAATCTCTATCAGATTGTGGCACCAACATGGTCACACTGGGCACTGTGAGATGGCTTTCTCCCCAGCTCAGCTGGGGAAGCACCTTAGATCTTCGGAGGTGACTTAAGCTGCTCTCTGCTGCACTAGGTGAAGTGGGGTCGGGGGGTGGGGGCCTGAGGACGTGGTGAGACTCCCTGAACTGCACAAAGCCAGCTGTGTCTGCAATTCACACCTGCCCCAAGGCCTCTTTGGCCACTGGGTGGTGCCTGAAAGCTCACCATTTGCATGGCATTTCTTTAACTTGAGGCTTTACTCCCTAGTAGGCCTTCTAGGGGTATTCACAATCTCCCTGCTTGAACCACTTCTGGGTTCCCCATTACCTGCAAGTTGAAGTCCTGATGCATTTGCATAAGTGAATAGTAACAGTTTCCAATCACAGTGTGTTTCCGGTGTACCCAGCCCTCCGCTGAGTGCTTTTCCTATTATAATGTGTGTCATCACATGACCTACCATAAGGTGGGCATCACAACTTCACTTTTCAGATGAAGACAAGGCATAGGGAGGCTAAAGGACTTGTCCAAGGCAACACAGCCAATGAGTGGCAGGTTGAACCCGCTTCTGATGACACGGAAGCTTGTGTTCCTAGATGCCACACTTTACACACACACGTCCCTCACTGATCCCGTTTGCTTCTGCAGCTTCTCCCAGGAACGTCAACAGTACGGAGCTTTGGACACAATGGATTCTAGCCTTGACTTCATTTTTGTTATTTTTTTTTATTTTTGAGAGAGAGAGTCCCACTCTGTCTCCTGGGCTGGAGTGCAGTTGTACGATCTCGGTTCACTGCAACCTCCGCCTCCCAGGTTCAAGCGATTCTCGTGTTTCAGTCTCCTGAGTAACTGGGATTACAGATGTGTGCCCCATACCTGGCTAATTTTTGTATTTTTTAGTAGACATGGGGTTTTGCCATGTTGGCCAGGCTGGTCTCGAACTCCTGGCCCCAAGTGATCCTCCCATCTCTGCCTCGCAAAGTGCTGGAATTACAGGTGTGAGCCATCATGCCTGGCTTAACTTCATCTTAAAAATAACTGTAGGTCAGGTGCAGTGGCTCACACCTGTAATCCTAGCAATTTGGGAGGCTGAGGCAGTGGATCACCTGATGTCAAGAGTTCAAGACCAGCCTGGACAACATGGCAATACCCCATCTCTACTAAAAATACAAAAATTAGCCAGGCATGGTGGCATGCACCTGTAGTCCCAGCTACTCAGGAGACTGAGGCAAGAGAATCACTTGAACCCAGGAGGTGGAGATTGGAATGAGCCAGGATCACGCCACTGCACTCCAGCCTGGGTGACAGAGTAAGACTCCATCCCCCGCAAAAAAAAAAAACAAAAAACAAAAAACAAAAACTGTAACCTGGAGGAAGTCACTCAGCCTCTCTGAGCCTCAGTTGCCTCATCTGTAAAGTGGAGTGATAATGATACTGACTTCATAGGGCCATTGAGAGGACTCAGTGATGCAGGCATGCTAGGGCCTTTGCGCTGAACCTGGCCACTAGTAAATGTTCAGTAAGAGAAAAACAATCCTACAACCAAACACTCTGAGATCCTTGTGGTTCCCCAAACACCCTGAGCTCCTTGAAACCACCCTGCATTGTAGGCAGTACTCCCTCTACCTGGAATGTCTGCTCCTTCACTTTCAACTCCTATTCATCTTGCTTCATCTCTTCTTCAAAGTCTTTCTTGCCTTCTTTCCCCATGGTAGTCCCAAACCTACCTGGGCCTCAGAACCACAGGCTTCATGTGAAACCTATGTACAACCACCCTACCAGCTGAATCAGAATGTCCAGGGTGGGGCTTGGAGCCCATCCATATTGTGACATGCTTCCCTGCTGATGAGGACGCGCAGCCAGTTTACACCCTCTAGGCCTGCAGCACGCCCTCCTATGAGGATTTGTTTCCCAGGATGTTCAGCATGGCCTCCCACAGATGGTGGGGAGGACCTGGGTAGCAAGAAGGGGTCTCCTTGTTTTTGAATCTCCCATGAACTCTTAACATCTCCTGAGCACTTACTTGCTCTATGCCAGGCACTGTTCTACTGCTACGCTCATATTATCTCATTTAACCCTCAAATTACCCTAGGAAACAGGCATTGCTATCAGGGTGGGTGCTGTGGATTCACTTACTCCATTCCACCTTTGAGCACCTAGAGGGGCAGCCATGAGCACTGCCTTGCAAACTTCCTATTACAGGGAGTGGAACCGCCCAGAGTCTCAGTGGCTGTGCTTTGAAATCTATCCCCATGGGATGGTCCCATCCAAGACTGAGTATAGTAGGGATACTTAACTAACCAGACCCATTCCTTGGGGATGTGGGACTCGCTTCACGACCAGCTGTGGTTCAAGGACTCCCAGCTGGCTTTGCAGAAACTTTCCAAGTTTGCACAGTCTACAATGCCTCTACTACCCAACCCTCTCTCATCTCTTCTTCCCTTAGAGTCAAACTTGCTTTGCAATCTGAGGGCTGTCCAAGCCTTGCCTGGCTCTCTCCCTATTTTCTGCCCAGGCATTTCCCCTAGTAAAATCCTTGCATGTTTAATTCTTTCTTGTCCTTGTTCTCACAGGACCCAGACTAGGTCACCTTTTTTTTTTTTTTTTTTTTTTTTTGAGACGGAGTCTCGCTCTGTTGCCCAGGCTGGAGTGCAGTGGCGCTATCTCGGCTCACTGCAAGCTCTACCTCCTGGGTTCATGCCATTCTCCTGCCTCAGCCTCCTGAGTAGCTGGGACTACAGGTGCCCACCACCACGCCCCACTAATTTTTTGTATTTTTAGTAGAGACGGGGTTTCACTGTGTTAGCTAGGATGGTCTCCATCTCCTGACCTTGTGATCCGCCCTCCTCAGCCGCCCAAAGTGCTGGAATTACAGGCGTGAGCCACCGCGCCCAGCTTAGGTCACCTTTTATTGACAAGATTAGAAAACTAAAAACTACTTTTCCTAGATTCCGTTGTGCCTAGGATTTTGGATATGAATTAGGTTCTGCCAATTAGATGCTCTAGTGTGATTTTTGTAGGTGGAAAAGAGGAAAAGCCTCTTTCCCCTCTCTTTTTAGTTGTTTCTTCTGGCACACAAAGTTGGGGAAATACGAGATTTTTCTCCAGCAGATTCCAGTGGCTGTTATGCATGGGTGCCAACGGGCAGCTGCACGCTAGGTGCGGTGGCTCACGCCTGTAATCCCAGCACTTTGAGAGGCTGAGGTGAGCAGATAGCTTGAGTCCAGGAGTTTGAGACCAACCCGAGCAACATGGTGAGACCTTGTCTCTACAAAAAAGAGTAAATAAATAAATAACAGTTGCAGTGGTGGCTTCTAAATCTGCCTTCCCACCTCCTGACTGGCAGTTAGGGGTGTTTGTCTTGAGCAGGGCCCGAGGTAATAGCTCCCCAGAAGGTCAATTCTAAACACAGCTTCTGGAGGCCTGACCTAGAACTTGCTCCCTCAGCCCTTCGAATCATTTTGAAAGTCCCTCATTCCATGTGTTAAATCTTCTTGCTTACCACACCCTGAATGGCTTCTGTGTCCTGCACTGATACCAGCATGATTCTTCTCTTTTTATAGATGAGAAAACTGAGCCTTAGGTGGTTGAGAAACTTCACCATGGTGACTGGTGATCGAGTGGGAACTGGCCATAGAACCCGGCTGTCAGGCTTTGGAGCCGTGTCCCCAGCCACTGCACCACTCTCTGAAGCACCCGGCACAGGGCTCAGCATCTCTTACACTCTGGAAACTTCTGCATTAATTAGACGGGAGGAAAACATATTTCCCACTTTATAAACATATTCTACCTTGTTTTTTTTCTTTTCTTTTTTTTTTTTTGAGATGGAGTCTCGCTTGTTGCCCAGGCTGGAGTGCAATCGCGCAATCTCAGCTCACTGCAACCTCTGCCTCCTGGGTTCAAGCGATTCTCCTGCCTCAGCCTCCCGAGTAGCTGGGATTACAAGTGCCCACCACCACATCCAGCCAATTTTTTTATTTCTAATAGAGACAGGGTTTTGCCATGTTAGCCAGGCAGGCCTCGAACACCTGGCCTCAAGTGTCTGCCAGCCTCGGCCTCCCAAAGTGCTGGGATTACAGGCATGAGCCACCGCACCCGGCCTCTACCTTGTATTTTTAATAAGATCATTTTTCACCCTTCACCTCATGTCATAAGACTTCAGGAGGTTTTCACTTATGCAAAACAACCTTCCAAAATACAAATCAAATCAAATGTTGTGATGTGCTTAAGAATTACTTTAAAATAAGGCCAGGCGTGGTGGTTCACACCTGTAATCCCAGCACTTTGGGAGGCCGAGGCAGGCAGATCACAAGGTCAGGAGATCAAGACCATCCTGGCTAACATGGTGAAACCCCGTCTCTACTAAAAATACAAAAAATTAGCCGGGCGTGGTGGTGGGCGCCTGTAGTCCCAGCTACTTGGGAGGCTGAGGCAGGAGAATGGTGTGAACCCAGGAGGCGGAGGTTGCAGTGAGCCGAGATTGCACTACCGCACTCCAGCCTGGGCAACAGCAAAACTCCGTCTCAAAAAAAAAAAAAAAAATTATTTTAAAATATAGGGCAAAAATGCAAAACTCAGAAAAAATATATACTTTTTAAAACTAAGATGTTTGGTTGTTTTCTTATTCTCAAGGCAATATACATTCATCCCTCAGTATCTGTGGGGGATTGGTTGCAGGACCCCCTGAAGATACCAAAATCCACAGATGCTCAGGTTCCTCATTTGCATATAACCTAGGCACCTCCTCCTGTATTCAGGCAAACCTCATCTTATTGCATTTTGAAGATATTTTGTTTTTCGCAAATGGAAGGTTTGTGATAACTCCGTGTCAAGTCTCCTGGCATCATTTTCCCAACAGCATGATCCTACTTCATGTCTCTGTATCACATTTTGGTCATTCTTGCAATATTTCAAACTTTTTCATTATCATATCTGTTACAGTGATCTGTGATCGGTAATGTTACTATTGTAATTGCTTTGGGGTGCCACGAACCGGGCCCATATAATATGGCAAACTTAATCCATAAGTGTTGTGTGGGTTCTGATTGCTCCAGAGACTGGCTGTTCCCCATCTCTCTCCCTCTCCTCAGGCCTCCCTATTCCCTGAGACACAGCAATATTGAAATTAGGCCAATTAATAACTCTACAGTGGCCTCTAAGTGTTCAAGTGAAAGGAACAGTTGCATGTCTCTCACTCTAAACCGAAAGCTAGAAATCATTCAGCTTAGTGAGGAAGGCATGTGTTGAAGGCTGAGATAAGCCAAAAGCTAGGCGTCTTGCACCAGTGAGCCAAGTTGTGAACCCAAACGAAAAGTTTTTGAAGGAAATTAAAAGTGCTAATCCAGCGAACACACAAATTATAAGAAGGTGAAACAGCCTTATTGCTGATATGGAGAAAGTTTGAGTGGTCTAGATAGAAGATCAAACCAGCCACAGTTCCCTAAAGCCAAAGCCTAATCCAGAGCAAGACCCTAACTTGCTTCAATTCTATGAAGGCTGAGAGAGGTGAGGAAGCTGCAGAAGAAAAGTTTGACCCTAGCACAGGTTGGTTCATGAGGTTTAAGGAAAGAAGCTGTCTCCATAACATACAAGTGCAAGGCGAAGCAGCAAGTGCTGATGTAGAAGCTGCAGCAAGTTCTCCAGCAGATCTAGCTAAGGTCATTCATGAAGGTGGCTACACTCAACAACAGACTTTCAATGTAGACAAAAGTCTTCTATTGGAAGAAGATGCCATCTAAGATTTTCATAGCTAGAGAGAAGTCAATGCCTGGCTTCCAAGCTTAAAAGAACAGGCTGACTTTCTTATTAGGGACTAATGCATCTGGTGACTTTATGTTGAAGCCAGTGCTCACCCATCATTCCAAAATTTATGGGGCTCTTTAGAATTATGCTACATCTCTTCTGCCTGTGCTCTATCAATGGTACAACAAAGCCTGGATGGCAGCACATCTGTTTATAGCATGTTTGACTAAATATTTTAAGCCCATTGCTGAGACCTATTGCTCAGGAAAAAAAAAAAAAGATTCCTTTCAAAATATTACTGCTCATTGACAGTGCACCTGGTCACCGAAGAGCTCTGATGGAGAGATACCAGATTAATGTTGTTTACCTGCCTGCTAACACAACATCCATTCTATAGCTCATTGGTCAAGGAGTAATTTTGACTTTCTTTTTCTTTTTCTTTTCAGACAGAGTCTTGCTCTGTTGCCCAGGCTGGAGTGCAGTGCCGTGATCTCGGCTCACTTCAACCTCCGCCACCCAGGTTCAAGTGATTCTCCCGACTCAGCCTCCCACGTAGCTGGTATTACGGTGCCCACCACCATGCCCAGCTAATTTTTGTATTTTTAGTAAAGACAGGGTTTCAGCATCTTGGCCAGGCTGGTCTTGAACTCCTGACCTCGTGATCCACCTGTCTCAGCCTCCCAGAGTGCTGAGATTACTGGCCTGAGCCACCGTGCCCGGCCTTAATTTTGACTTTCAAGTCTTGTTATTTAAGGAATATATTTTGTAAGGCTACAGCTGTCATACATAGTGATTCCTCTCATGGACCTGGGCAAAGTAAATTGAAAACCTATTGGAAAGGAGTCATCATTTTAGATGCTATTAAGAGCATTTGTGATTCATGGGAGGAGGTCAAAATATCAACATTAACAGGTGTTTTGAAGAAATTGATTCCGATCCTTATGGATAACCTTGAGGAGTTCAAGACTTCAGTAGAGGAAGTCACTGCCGGTGTGGTCGAAACAGCAAGAGAACTAGAATTAGAAGTGGAGTCTGAAGATGTGACTGAGTTGCCGCCATCTCATAATGAAACTTGAATCGATGAGAAGTTGCTTCTTAAAAATGGGCAAAGAAAGTGGTTTCTTGAGATGGAACCTATTCCTGGTGTGAATACTGTGAACATGGTTGACATTGACAGCACAGGATTTAGAATATTCCATAAACTTGGTTGATAAAGCAGCAGCAGGGTTTAAGAAGATCGACTCCAATTTTGAAAGAAGTTCTACCGTGGATAAAATGGTAAACAGCACCGCATGCTATAGAGAAATATTTTATGATAGGAAGAGTCCATTGATGTAGCAAACTTTACTGTTGTCTTTTTTTAAGAAATTGTCACAGTCACCCCAGCCTTCAGCAACCACCACCCTGATCTGTCAGCAGCCACCAACATCAAGGCAAGACCCTCCACCAGCAAAACGATGATGACTCACTAAAAACTCAGATGATTGTTAACATTTTTTAGCCATAAAGTATTATTTAATTGAGATGGGTACATTGTTTTTTAGACATAATGCTATTACACACTTAATAGACTGCAGTATAGTGTGCACATCACTGGGAGGCCAAAAAGTTGGTGTGACTCAAGTGTATTGTGATATTCACTTCATTGCAGTGTCTCCGAGGTATGCCTGTACTTTAAATCATCTCTAGATTACTTATAATACCTTAACAATATGAATGTCGTGTAATTAGTTGCCATCGTGTATTGTTTAGGGAATAATCACAAGGAAAAAAGTCTGTACATGTTCAGTACGGATGCACCACCCATCTTTTTTCTGAATATTTTCGGCCCATAGTCTGTTGAACCCACAGATACGGCACCCAGGGATATAGAAGACTGACTTTATGTTTGTTAACAGGCAAGCACACAAACAATGAAAAAGTAGAGGCGAGTTATGCAAAATTCTATTCCCCAGGAAAAACCACTGGTAATAGTGTATGGTGGCCAGGCATGTGGCTCATGCCTGTAATCCCAGCATTTTGGGAGGCCGAGGTGGGTGGACACTTGAGGCCAGGCATTTGAGGCCTCTATTAAAAATACAAAAATTAGCCAGGTGTGGTGGCACAGACCTGTAATCCCAGCTACTCAGGAGGCTGAGGTATGAGAATCACTTGAACTGGGAGGCAGAGGTTGCTGTGAGCCGAGATGGCGCCACTGCACTCCAGCCTGGGTGACAGAGTGAGACCCCGTCTTAAAAAAAAAAAAGCTTTCCCAGTAGGCTGTTACATGTGTGTGAAGCCATCCTTATAGATAATGGTGAAATTGTTTCGAGTGCTTCCCCGATCCCTCTAGGTCAAGATCTGAACCAGCTGCTCACCCTGGGGAGGGTGGCTTCTGTAGGAATCTTCTGGCCAAAGCCCTCCGCCTCCACAGTTGTTAACAGAGTGGGGACAGCTCCAAGTCCTGTCCTTCGAGATTCCGCCTCTTTTGGGGGCTTCTCACTGATCCCTGCTGTCTTGGGGAGGGGCGCACAGAGCTCCCTTTGGTGGTCTGCTTAAAGCACAGCCTCGGAGCTCTTGCCTTCATTCCCCATAGTGCAGCTGAGCTCCTTTAAACAAGAGGTTGGCCAGGAACGGGGGCTCACACCAGTAATCCCAACCCTTTGGGAGGCTAATGTGGGAGGATCGCTTGAGCCCAGGAGTTTAAGACCAGCCTGGGCAACATAGCGAGACTCTGTCTCTACAAAAAATACAAAAAATATAGCCGGTGTGGTGGCGCGCATCTGTAGTCTTGGCTACTGGGAGGCTGAGGTGAGAGGCTCGCTCGAGCCCAGGAGATCGAGGTTGCAGTGAGCTATAATCACACCACTGTACTCCAGCCTGACTGACAGAGTTGTCTCAAAAAAATAAAAATTTTTATTATAATAAACAAGAAGTCACTAAGTCCCTGGGTGGGGGAAGGGAGATAGGAGGGAAATAAACACAGACGGCAGCACAAGACAAAGTTACCTGTGTCACCTGCCACACCCCTCAGCCTTGGTTCAGCAGCCTCAGGTTCAGCAGCCTCAGCAAGCACTCAGCTCCCTGTCTACCTCCGTGTGCAGGAGGCCACTCTCCATCCCTCAGAACATCCCCCACCAGAACACCCAAGCTCCGCCAGGCCCAGATCACAGTGAGTGAGGCCCAGAAGGATGCAGAGGCCCCTTCCTCTGCCAAAGCCCTGCCTTCCTGACTCAGGACCTGCCAGAGGATCAACTCCCTCTAGCCCCAAGGCGGGGATGGAAACAGCCTGCCATACTCCTCCTCTCGTACCCAGGCCAGATGGCCCTGCTCATCACTGAGCCCACTTACAGCCTGGGAATCCTCAACACAGGCCCCGCTGAATTCACTGGGGTCCTTGGGTTCCATTAACCCTAACTGTCCTCCTTGACTTACGGCCTCAGTAGGACAACCAGCTCAGATGGTAGTCCCATAAACCCAGATAGGAGAGGTATTATTTTTTCCCAAAATTCACCCTTTAAAGACACCAGTTGCCTAACAAAAATGGGATACCAAGGCCCCAGATATGGCCCTTCATTGCTGCTTCCACATTGTGAGAAGGAAACCTCTATGGAAATGCAGGAGAGGAGAGAGTCAGGGAGACCAAGGATATAGTTCAGGGGAATTTGTCCCCAAGTGTAAAGGTCATCCCCAATGAGCCTACGTCAGCCACTGATGGCTTCAGAACAGCCACTTATGACTTCTGTTCTGGGAGATGATCCCATTGGAGCCTCCCGGCAATCTCTGTGGAGTAACTTATGCACAACCTCCAGGGCTTCAGAGCTTGTGCTCTGTCTGGCACCTGTGGACCTGGGTATAAATCCCAGCTCAGCCACTTGCAAGCTGTGTGACCTTGGACAACTCTCACCCTCTCTGAGCCTCAGTTCCCACATTTATAACATTTTCTCAGCTGGGGCCAATTCTGTGCCAGGGGCATCTGGCAATTTTGGTTGTCATGACTGGAAGGTGGAGAATCCTACTGGCATCTGGTGGGCAGAGGTCAGGGATGCTGCTGAATTTCCTACAACACAAGGGACAGCCCCTCAAACAAGTCAACAGTGCCAAGGATTAGAAGCCATGCTCTGTATTAAGAGGATAACAGTACCCATCTCATAGGTTGATTGTAAGATTAAGTGAGAACATGTACCTAAAACATCTGGAATATATGAAGCCCTCAATAAATGAGAAATATTGCCATAGTAGAAACCCCACCAGAACATTAAAAGTGGGGCCCACAAATTCCAATTGTTTCAAATGCAATCTTGCATTAGCTTATGTACAGCCACCTGCGTAGCTAGCTGGTCTTGACTTCTAGGGACCTGGAGCCAAATTGCCAATAGCAGTTTACCAGATTTACATTATCGTGGGGTTTTCTTGAATTTTTGTTATTCCTATTTTATGGCTATGAAGCCCAACTTCCTGGTGGAATTGGTTTGTTTTTTTGTTTGTTTGTTTTGTCTTTTTGGTTGTTTTTGTTGTTGTTTTGAGACAATGTCATGCTCTGTCGCCCAGACTGGAGTACAGTGGTGCAATCATGGCTCACTGCATCCTTGACCTCCTGAGCTCAAACCATCCTCTCACCTCAGCCTCCCGAGTAGCTGCGACTACAGGCGATGCTACCACACCTGGCTAATTTTTGTATATTTTGTGGAGACAGGGTTTTGCCATGTTGCTCAGGCTGGTCTCGAACTCCTGAGCTCGAGCAGTCCTCCCACCTCAGCCTCTCAAAGTGCTGGGATTTCAGGCGTGAGCAACCGTGCCCAACCTGGAATTGTTTCTGTACAAGTACTTCTCCATCTCCCAGGATTTCTTCCTCTCCAACTTGCTTCTTCTAGTCTAAGGTGGGCTTGAAAACCTTAATGAAAGTTGTTTGTAAGCCAAGAGTAACTAGGTTACAAATGAGAGTCAGAGGGTATTTCTAGGAAAGAAGTCATAGGTATTGGCACATGAACTTTATACTTTCGTGTGTTCAGAGGTCTTTTCTGCTTGCTTCCTGGTTCACAGATGAGGCTTCCTGATACTGGGTCTGAAGACTTGAGGTATTATCACCACCTGAATAAATTCTATCTACTTTGGAATGCAGTGTATGATTTTTGTGTGTGTGTGCCTGAAAACTTCCTTAAGTTGGACTTAGAAGAATTTTTTTCAGCAAATATGTATTAGGTGACTACTCTGTTCCAGGCATAGTGAGTGCAGAGAGCCAGCCAAACCAGCATGGGATTCAGACCCGCGTATACAGCTCAGCGCGGTCAACAGTTATTCTTGTTCATTCATTCATTCACTCATTCATTCATTCATAAGAAAAGTTTAGTAAGCACCAATGTGCGCTAAGCACTGTTCAAAGCACTTCACTTAATTAAATCCTCTATCTTAAAAATTACCAAGCAAGGTAGGTCTAATTATCCCCACCTGAATTAGATGAAAAGACTGAGGGTAGGAACGGCGAAATCGCTTATTCAAGATCACACCTCCAGGAAGGGGTAGAGCTGGGCCTCAGCTGTCAACCCTGCTCCTCCCTCTTCCCACTCCCTGCCACCCCCACCCCCACCACAAGGCTTCCGACTCCCCTAAGAAAGGTTTTCTTAATTGCTCTCTAAGAACCTTGCACAGAGCACTTAGCTTTGCCTGGCTCTGAGAGCTGTGAAACGGGTATTTCATTAAGCTCTTTATAAACTTGCCTGGTTCCACCCTTGAGAGATACCTAAGTGCCAGCCTCCCATGACAGAGGGGAAACCCAGCAGTTTGGGGCCACTGGTGACGCTGGCCTGGTGCCAGCTGTCCCAGTCCCTGAGTAGAGCCAGACCTAGTCACAAGGACTGAGGGCTGGTGAAGACGGAAGGCATGGGGAGGGGTCCATGATCAATCAGGACAGAGGGGGTCTGTGAACCTGCGGTGGACAACAGTTTTGCCTCTGGGGAACACCTGTGTTCTTACCCAGTTTCGTGGGAAAAGTGTGGACTTTGGGGCCACAGACCCTATTCTGCCCGCCTTTAGCTGAGGGACCTTCTAGCTGGGATGTGCTACATAATCTCTCTGTTCCTCAGTCTCTTCACTTATAAAATGAAGATGATAAGTCCGAACAATGAAAATTAAATAAAATTGGCCAGGCACATTGGCTCATGCCTGTAATCCCAGTACTTTGGGAGGCCAAGGTGTGTGGATCACTTGAGGTCAGAATTTCAAGACCAATCTGGCCAACATGGCGAAATCCTGTCTCTACTAAAAATACAAAAATTAGCCAGGTGTGGTAGTGTGCACCTGTAATCCCAGCTACTTGGGAGGCTGAGGCACAAGAACACCTTGAACCCAGGAGGCGGAGGCTTGCAGTCAGTTGAGATTGTGCCACTGCACTCCAGCCTGGATGACAGAGCAAGACTCTGTCTTGAAAAAAAAATTAAATTAAATTAAATTATGCCCTACTGTACTTGACATACAATTTGCCAGGAATATGAAATGTGCAGCACAGCTAACTCCCCATCTCCCCTCCTGTGCTCATGGCAGACATCACTAACAGATCACAGAACCCTTCTTCACCAAAACAAACCCATCTCAGCTCCAGATGCCTGCCCAAGGGAGCGTTTCAGGCAGCCATCTCCCACAGATCAGAGTTGACATGTGTCCCAATAACCTATTACAAAGTTGTTGGTTTAAGACAGCATTTTATTATATCTTGTTATTTTGTGGGTTAGGAATTCAAGCAATTCTTTGGCTTCATGTAGCATTGACTGAGGTTACTTGGAAATACTCAACTGAGCTCATCTGAAGGGTCCACCAGCTTTTCTCACACCCCTGACAGCTCGGTGGGGGCTGTTGTGAGGCTGGGCTCACCGGGGCCCCTCTTCACTAGCAGCAAGGTGGTCAGCCTTCTCACCTGGCCGCTCAAGGCTCCAAATGACAGGAAGTGAAGCTGCAGTCTCTCAGGGTCTGAGCCAGGACCTGGCCCAGCATCACTTCTGCTGTTTTCTGTTGGTCAAAGCAGTTACAGGCCCCTTAGGTCCATGGGAGGCGTGTCGGAGAATTTGCAGCCATCTTTAATCCCTGCGGCATGAGAGATGAAGTGTGTTTGCCCCAAAACAAGCAGCAAATGCTGGGGCTCTTTGCACTTCTTCCTGGGCACCCACTGCCCCTATCTGTATTTACTCCAAGCCTTCTCTATGGGTGTGAGTAAGTGCCATGTTCAGTGGGGATACAGGAATCAGCAGGACCTGACCCTGCCCTCCAGGAGCTGACTGTGGGTCTGAGAAAATGGGCCACATTCCGTAAGGAACTGACAACAGGGCCACGGGGCTTAGCCTACAGAGAGAGACAGAGGCTTTGGTGGCTCTGGGGAGAAGGTGGGGGCAGGTGGCATCTGAGCTGCATTTCCAAGATGGTCAATACTTTACGGCTGGAGTCTTGCATTCCACTGAGCACTAATGAGGTGCCTACTGTGTGCCAGGTACAGTTTTTGGCTCCAAGGAAGCAGCAGCAGACAGGACAGAGTCCCCTGCATGAGAAGCTGACCATTCTGGCTGGGGAAGACTATGAAGAGGCAAGGAAGTGAGTAAACAGAGAGCATAGTTTCCGAGCACGATAAAGGCTGTGAAGAAAATAAAGTGAGATAAAGGAACAGAGCAACTTGCTGGGGAAGAAGGTTGTAGGTGGGGAGTCCGGGGAGGCCCCTGAGGAGGTGGTGCGGGAGCAGGGACACGAAAGGCATGAAGACCCTGGCCAGGTGATGCTGAGACCCTGTGTGCCAGGCAGGCAAACCCAAGTGCCCAGGCCATGGGGGCAGTGGTTGCAATTTTTTTTTTTTTTTTTGTGACACAGGATCCCACTCTATCACCTGTGCGGGAGTGCTGTGGCACAATCATGGCTCCCTGCAGCCTTGACCTCCCGGCCTCAAGTGATCCTCCTGCCTCATCTTTTTTATTTTTTTTAGAGACGGGGTCTCACTATGTTGCCTAGGCTGGTCTTGAACTCCTGGGCTCAAGCAATCCTCCCGCCTTAGCCTCCCAAAGTGCTTGGATTACAGGCAATTCTGTCTCAGGAACAAGGCCAGTGAGGATGATGCCCACGGGCCGGCAGAGGAAAGGTAGGCAGAGCTGGGTCAGGTAAAGACCACCATAAGGCCTGCGCATTTGATTTGAGTCACATCTGAAGAAGACCCTCTGGTTGCCTGTGGAGAGTGGATTGGAGGGGTGGGGTGGAATCAGGCTCATGCGGAGCTGCTACGCTGTCTGTGGGAGAGAGAGATTTGGGGTGAACAGCTGGATTTTGGATGGTTTTGGAGGCAGTACCAAAGCATTTGCTGATGACAGATGTGGGGTATAGAAATTAAGGAAGATAACCGGGCATGGTGGCTCATGCCTGTAATCCCAACACTTTGGGAGACCAAGGCAGGCAGGTCACTTGAGTTCAGGAGTTCAAGACCAGCCTGGGCAACATGGCAAGACCCCATCCCTACAAAAAATAAAAAAATTAGCCAGCCATGGTGGCACACACCTGTGGTCCCAGTTACTCAGGAGGCTGAAGTGAGAGGATGACCTGAACCCCAGGATGTCGAGGCTGCAGTGAGTTGTGATCGCGCCACTGCACTCCAGCCGGGGCAACAGAGTGAGACTCTGTCAAAAAAAATAAAAAAGGAAAGAAAGAAAGAAAGAGAGAGAGAGAAAGAAAGAAAGAAAGAAAGCAAGCAAGCAAGCAACAAAGAAAGAAACAAAGAAGGAAGGGGAAGGGAAGGGAAGGTAGGAAGGAAGGAAGGAAGGAAGGAAGGAAGGAAGGAAGGAAGGAAAGAGAGAGAGATGAAAGAAAAAGAAAGAAAGAAAGAGAGAAAGAAAGAAAGAAAGAAAGAAAGAAAGAAAGAAAGAAAGAAAGAAAGAAAGAAAGAAAGAAAGAAAGAAAAAAGAAATCAAGGAAGACTCCAGGGTGTGGGGCCTGGCTGAACCGGGTTGGGGAGTGGGTGCCATTTCCTGCAATGAGGAAAACTGGGGAGGAAGAATTTAGCCCAAGTCAGATTGCATTGCTGTCATTTGAATTTTAGCTTCAATTTTTCAAGCAACTATTAAAAGTGAGATACGGTACTTTGCGACAATGATCACTCGTCAGTGTCATCTGTGAGACAGGCTTTTTTATGCCCACTTTGCAACTGAGGAAGGCAAGGCTCACATAGCTCCCGTACAAGTTCCACAGCCAGCAGGAGCAGGGCCAGGTGCGACCCCAGGTGCCCCAGTCCCTTTGCAATATACTATACACCAGTGAGTGGTTCTCAACCAGGGGTCACTGTAACTGCCATCCTCTGGGGACATTTGGCAATGTCTGGAGACATTTTTGCTTGTCAATCTGGACAGATGCAGCTGGCTTTTAGTGGGTAGAAACCAGAGACGTGCTGAACATCCTACAATGAGCAGAACAGTCCCCACAATCAACTACTATCCCGCCCTGGGCTGGGCATGGATACCTGCTGTGTGCCAGGTACAGTTTTTGGCTCTGAGGGAGCAGCAGTAGACAGGACAGAGTCCCCTGCATGAGAAGCTGCCCATTCTGGTTGGGGAAGACTATGAAGAGGCAAGGAAGTGAGTACACAGAGAGCATAGTTTCTGATCACGATAAAGGCTGCGAAGAAAATAAAGTGGGATAAAGAAACAGAGCAACTTGCTGGGGGAGAAGGTCATAGGTGGGGAGGCTGGGGAGGCCCCTGAGAAGGTGGTGCCTGTGATCCCAGCATTTTGGGAGGCCCAGGCGGGTGGATCACCTGAGGTCAGGAGTTTGAGGCCAGCTTGGCCAACATGGTGAAACCCCGTCTCTACTAAAAATACAAAAACTAGCTGGGCATGGTGGCAGGCACCTGTAATCCCAGCTACTCCAGAAGCTGAGGCAGGAGAATCGCTTGAACCCGGGAGGCGGAGGTTGCAGTGAGCTGAGATGGCGCCACTGCACTCCAGCCTGGGTGACTGAGCAAGACTCTGTCTCAAAAAAAAAAAAAAAATTATCCCTCCCCAAATGTCAGGAGTGCACTGAGATTAAGAATCTTTGACACAGAGCTTCCAAGAGAGGCAAAGAACTGCAAGGTGGGGCAGGGGGATAGGACGGAATTTTGATGGCAGGGCTTAAATGAGCAAAGGCACCAGGGCCAGAAAGCCCAAATGAGTGGGAAGGAGAAATCTAGGCTGGCCATGGGAGCAAGTGTGCCTGTTGAGAATGCGCACAAGAGGCACGTGGGGGACCAGACCCCATATGGGCTGCAGGCCAGGCTGGGGAGCCGGGACTCCCCTCAGCAGGCAGCAGAAGTCCTGAGGGTCTAAGCAGAGGAGGGGAGGGCCTGGAGGGAGGGCATGCTTGCCCTTCCCATACCTGCTCTCAGAAAAACAGCTAACAAACTCCTTTACACTAGGGATAAATGACAGAAGACTGGATGGGTGACCCTTTTCTGGGCTCTCTGTATTTTAACCAGGATGAAGTCTTAAGCCAAAGAAGTGAAGCAATAATGGTGGAATTTCAGGCACCATCATGATGAATGTGGACTAAGCCTGACAGTCCCTCTCAGGCTGGACTGAGGTTGGAGGCCTGGACTGGATTTAGGGAGCCCAGGTAAGGAAGAACCACTGTTTTTCCATCAGTCAACATCCACTGTGTACTCATGCCTCTGTTCCAGGCACAGACCCTGTAGGACCCACAATCCTGGGAGGGGGGTTCTGCTAGAGAGGATCTCCCCAAGGCACTCAGGGATTGAGTGGTACGGGGTGGAGCTGGTCCTTGAACTCAGGCAGCACCCCTCTGGGATTGTGTTCTTTATCTTGTCCAAGCCCAGGGCAACCCTAAGAACTGCTATAATTTATGGAGCCCTCACTACTTGTCAGGTATTTTAAGCTTTGCACATAGCAGCTCATTCATTCCTCAGGCAAACCTATCAGGTAGAACCACTATCATCCCCATTTTACAGGGTAGCAAACTGAGGCACACAGCGGGAAGTAACTTGTCTGAGGTCACATGGCTTGTAGGTGTAGGAGGCAGCCAAGCCAGGACTCAGAGCTAGGCAGTCCCACTCGAGAGCCACCCTCTTTGCCCTCCTGAGCAGCTGTAAACCCTGGGCTTTGTGGGAGGAAAGAGGAGGACCTGCCATTCCGGGGTTTCCCAGCACAGCCGCTCCACTCTCACACTGGCAGATTAGTGCCCTGGGGATCTCAGACACCAGGGATGGGGTGGGCACTGGGGAGGGACCAAGGAAGAAAATACAGGACACATTCTTGGCTTGAGGCCAGTGCTGAAAGTTAAAGAAAGGACCAAGAAAATTCTCCTTTGGGGGCCTGGAGCTGTTTTGCAAGGTGTTGCTTTTCTCCTCGACTGTGTTTACTTTGCCAAACTGGAACGCTTTTCTGAAATCTAGCAGCCCAGGAGGCTCGGGGCTGTTTGCCAAGGAACCAGAGCCAGGGCAGGAGGGGAAAGCAGAAGGCAGGGCGCTGCATCTCCTCAGGGGCCCACCTGGCTGCCTGCTCCCGGGAGGATCTGCCTGGAGGGCTGCAGGAGTGAGAGAGAGGGAAGGAGCATCTGGCGGGGAGTCAGGAGGCGGGTGGCCTCCCTGCCCTGTTTCTACATCAATGCCTCTCAAGTGTGTGCCTCTCTGGACCTCTGCCCCAGCCGAGATTTACAGATCCGCCTGTCCACTGTACTGGGCCGCTTGAGTGTCTCATTAACAGCTCACCCATAACAAGTCCCCAATCAAAATCTGAGCCCCACCCCCTCGTACCTGCTCATCACCCCCCGCCCCCGCTCAGCCGTCCCCTCCCTCCAAGTGCTCAGATCAAAACCCCAGCAGACACCCTGGATTCCTCTTCTTTCCCTCACGCCCCACATCCTGTCCATCAGCAATTCTCATGGGTCCACCGTTTATTTGTTTATTTTAAGACAGAGTTTCGCTCTTGTTGCCCAGGCTGGAGTGCAGTGGCGAGATCTCGGCTCACTGCAACCTCCGCCTCCCAGGTTCAAGCAATTCTCCTGCCTCAGCCTCCCAAGTAGCTGGGATTACAGGCATGCGCCATCATACCTGGCTAATTTTGTATTTTTAGTAGAGATGGGGTTTCACATGTTGGTCAGGCTTGTGTAGAACTCCTGACCTTAAGTGATCCACCAGCCTTGGCCTCCCAAAGTGTCGGGATTACAGCCGTGAGCCACCGTGCCCAGCCAGGTCCACTGTTAAAATACGTCCCGCATCGAACTCATCACTTCTACCACCTCCACCAGCCTGGTCCGTGCCACCAACCACTTCTAACTTGCCATCATGTCCACCCTTGCCCCTCTACAGCCCTTCTGCACACAGCAGCCAGAGTGGTTTTTGAAGAATGCAAATCAGATTGTATGACTCCCCTGCTCAGAACTGTCCACTGGCTTCATGTTACACTAGAGGAAAAGCCACTGTTCTCACTATGACCTTGTCTTCTCTGGCCCCTGCCCTCCTCTCCTTCTGCTTCAGCCCCCACTGTTAGCCTTGTTCACTCTGCGCAAGGCACCTGGGGCTTCTGGCTGTGCCCCCTGCATTAATATTCTCCTCTCCCTAGAATGCTCTTCCTCCACAACTTCCCATGGCTCCCTCCTTCCCATCATTCATGTCTCATCTCAAATGTCAGCTCCTCAGAGAGGCCCCTTTGACCACTATGGTCAGTCACTCTGTATCCCTTTTTCCTTTAAAAAAATAATTCTCCATAACACATGTTATATTCTGAAATTACTGAGTTTATGTATTGTCTTTCCCCTGTAGAATGTCAGCTCCTTGAGATCAAGGACTGAGTGTCTCTTGTTTGCTGCTGTGTCCTCAGCACTGAGAGCAGGGACCTGCACACAGTAGGTGCTCAGCATATTTTGTTCACTAGGTGCATGAACATGCTTTGTGGGGGTCCCCATGAGCAGGCGATAGGCACTCTCTGCACCCTGGTTCTGTCGTGTGTAAGATGAAGCCCCTGAGCCTCACCTGCAAGGGGCCAACCCCCTCTAACACCTCTGTGAGTCTCTTATTGTTCAGAACCATAAAAGGCCAGATCAAAGATGTAGCAATAGAAGCAAAAGAAAAAGTGAGAGAGATGGAATTTTCTGAAGATAGTAAAGGAGGGATTCGGAGCCCCACATGAGCTCAGGTGTGAAAAGTGTCGGTGGAAGAGCTGGAATCGGGAGAACTCTGTTTGAGTCCCACGTCCTGGCCATTTACCTGCTGAATGATTTCAGATGAAGAAGTTTGCCTCTCAATGCCTCAGTTTCCCCCTCTATAAAATGGCAATGATACTCCAAGCCCTGCTTCCTTTGCAAGGTTGCAGAGAGGGTCAAACAAAAACTGATTTCATGGGTCAAAATTTAATGAACAATTAAATGATAAAAAAATTGTTTTGGAGAAATCTTTACTGAGTGTCTGGGAGCCAGACACTGCCCTGGGGTCTGGGGGTACTGTGAGGAGTGACCCTTTCCTTCAAGGAGGAGGATAATCACACAGACAAACATGTGCCCACCAATAGTGAAAGGTGTGTTGAAGGAGGGGTGGATCCCCTGAGGGACTAGTCTGAGCTGTAGGTCAGGGAGGGCTTCCCTGAGGAGGTGCCCTTTGGATTAAGAGGTGAAGGATAAGCAGAAGTCAAATAGCAAAGGGTAGGATGAGGGCTGGAAAGGGTGTTTCAGGTAGCAGATACAGCTCAGGCAAAGCCCTTGAGGTGGGAAAGAACAGAGTGCAGGAGACTCGATAACTGGCATGGCCGCAGAGGTGGAGAGGAAGCCTGCATCAGAGAAGCTGGCCAGGTTAGCAGGGGCCAGGTCCCATGGGGCCTCACAGGGCACAGGAAAGCTCCATTGTCATAAAGGCAGTGTGGCCCCCAAAGGTTTGGGTGGGGGGAAGTGGGAGGTAATGATGTAGTCAGGTTTGTATTTCAAAAAAGCAACTCTGGCTGTTGTAAGGACAGAAGATGGAGGGGAGCAAGGTGAATGTGGGAAGGCTGGTCACAGGCTACTGCACCTGTCCTAGCAAAAGTGGATGAAGCTAAAATAGGATGAAGTAGGAACTTGCACATAGCATGTTCAAGAGGGTAATTTCTGAGGGACCAATTTGCAATCTGAGGCAAAATAGCAAATGTGCAGACACTTTAGTCAAGCAATTCTGCTTCTACAACTCAATCCTACAGAAATGCTGGCACAAAAGTTCAAAGACCTCTGTACAAGATGTTCATTATATCACTGGTTATAATAGTAAAAACCAGGAACAACCTGAGTGGGCATCAATTGACTTTGCCAGAATTATGCAGGGAAATACTATGCAGCTGGTAAAAAGAATAAAACAAATCCATGTACACTAATGAGAAAAATAGACACGACACATGGCCAGGTGAGAAAACAGGTTACAGAACTACATAAATATTATTAAACCATTGATTTTTAAGTATATATCTTCCTCACGTTTCTGTATACATAAAAAGGCTGGAAGGCTGGACGCAGTGGCTCACACCTGTAATCCCAACACTTTGGGAGGCTGAGGCGGGTGGATCACTTGAAGTCAGGAGTTCAAGACCAGCCTGGCCAACATGGTGAAACTCCGTCTCTACTAAAAACACAAAAATTAGCTGGGTGTGGTGGTGGGCACCTGTAATCCCAGCTACTCAGGAAGCTGAGGCAGGAGGATTGCTTGAACCCAGGAGGCGGAGGTTGCAGTGAGCTGAGATCACACCACTGCACTCCAGCCTGGGCCACAGAGCAAGACTCCGTCTCAAACAAACAAACAAACAAACAATCAAAAAAGGCTGGAAGACCGCACTCCCTTGTAACTAGTGGCAAATGTCTGAAGTAAAAGAATAAAATAATACAGAGAAACTTTCACTTTCTCTGTATTGTTTGCATTTTTTTTTACAGTGGACATGTATTTTTCAGCAAAACGTATTTCTTTTAAAATATTAGCTGCTATAATCAGATGTTTTAGTCTGTTCAGGATGCTATTACAAAATGCCAATAAACTGGGGGGCTTATAAACAACAGCAATTTGTTCTTGACAGTTCTGGAGGCTAGAAGTCCAAGACCAAGGTGCCAGCAGATTCGGCATCTGGTGAGGACCTGTTTTCTGGTTCGTAGATGATGGCTTCTTACAGCAACCCCACCTGATGGAAGGGGCAAGGGAGTTCTCTGGGGCCTCTTTTATAAGGGCACTAATCCCATTCATGAGGGCCGTGTCTTCATGATCTAATCACCCCCAAGGCCCTCCTCCTAATATCCTAATATCCTCACACTGGTGTTCAGGTTTCAACATATAAATTTTGGGGGCACACAAACATTTAGACCATAGCAAGATGGCTTCATCTATCATCCACCCCACTACGACTAACATCCCATCAACCTCACCAGTATCACCACCTCTACCATCTCCTCCAGCATCACCTCCATCACCATCACCACCTCTATCACCATCACCACCTCCATCATCATCACCAACTCCATCACCATCACCACCTCCATCACCACCTCCATCACCCTCACCACCTCCATCACCACCTCCATCACCCTCACCACCTCCATCACCACCTCCATCACCCTCACCACCTCCGTCACCACCTCCATCACCCTCACCACCTCCATCACCACCTCCATCACCCTCACCACCTCCATCACCACCTCCATCACCCTCACCACCTCCATCACCACCTCTATCACTGCCTCCATCACTCACACCACCTCCATCACCACCTTCATCACCCTCACCATCTCCATCACCACCTCTATTACTACCTCCATCACCCTCACCACCTCCATCACCACCTCTATCACTACCTGTCACCCTCACCACCTCCACCACCACCTCCATCACCCTCACCACCTCCATCACCACCTCTATCACCACCTCCATCACCCTCACCACCTCCATCACCACCTTCATCACCCTCACCACCTCCCTCACCACCTCCATCACCCTCACCACCTCCATCACCACCTCCCTCACCACCTCCATCACCCTCACCACCTCCATCACCACCTCCATCACCCTCACCACCTCCCTCACCACCTCCATCACCCTCACCACCTCCATCACCTCTATCACCCTCATCACCTTCATCACCACCTCCATCACTACCTCTATCACCGTCACCACCCCCATCACCACTACCACCACCTTTGTGCAAGAGATGCAGTACAGCAGTGCTTAGGAACACAGATTTTAGAACAGCACTGTCTATGTAATTATAACTACATAATTCTAACTATAATTTTTAACTATATAATTTTAAATTTTCTTGTAGCCATATCAAAAAGTAAAGATAGGAGTGAAATTAGTGTTAACAATATATTTTATTTAACTCAATATATGGAAAATATGTCACCATGAAATCAATATAAAAATTTCAATGTGATATAGTACATTCTTTTTGTCACACCAACCATTCAAAACCTGGTGTCCATTACACACTCACAGCTTGTCTCGATTCACACCAGCCACATCTCTAGTGCTCAATGGTCACTCAGGGCTGGAGGCTGCCCTCCTGGGTAGCACAGTTCTGAAGCCAACTGCAGCCACCACATACTGGCTGTGTGTCTGTGGGCAAGTTGCTTAACCCCTCCGGACTCACTTTCTTCATCTGTAAATTGGGAATAAGAGCAGAGCTATGAGGATGAGATGTGTTAACATGTGCTCGTTGTTTGCTCCAGTGCCTGGCACACAGGCAGTGCTATCTAGTATTGGCTGTTATTCTTCCAGAAACCTGGAAGAAGTTCAGAGGTTTTGGCTTTGCATGTGGAACCACCCAGAGAGAGGGAGATTCATGAGCGTTGGTGTAGCCAGAGGTGGCTTCAGACTTCCTGGAGAAGTGATTTGGTCAGATCTTGCAGCTTGGACAGAGCTTGCACAGGAGAAGGAAAGCAGAGAGGGCTTTGTGGAGGAGAGGAGGGGAGTAGGGTCAGGAGGATGCCTGTCTGGTTAAGAAAGAGGGTGTAGGTTGAGGAGCAGAGGGAGAATTGGGCATGGCCAGACAAGGGGGATGAGGCAAGGACTGAGGGACCCTCGAAATCATGTCCTCCAGCATCCCCATCTGACACATGGGAACACCGAGGCCAGACAGGGAAAGTTACTTGCCCAGGGAGCCAGCCACACATGCTGCCCTTTGTTCACTGACCAAACACCCCATCCATCGGCGCTCTGCCTCTGAAGCTGGATCATGCTGAGCTGGGCAGGCATGTTTCTCTGCTTTGAAGAAGAAATTCTGTGACTCCGGAGGCCCCATCCCAGGGTCTGGACACCCCTGGAGAATTATAAGCCTTCCTTGAACTGAACGCAAATCCTTCTTTCTGTGGTTAATGGTGAATGTACCTCTTTGCAGGGTGGGCAAAGAAACTGGCCCCCAGGCTGCAAGGACCCCCTGGACCGTTTAGAGGCAACAGCTTATGCCGGGGATTCAGTCGCCGCCGTTCTCTGGTCAGTAATTAACTAGGCCTCATCTGGGCAGCGATAAGAATGCTGAGGCCGTTAGCTGGGAGTATGCTGTGTGTACATCTCCTCTGGGGATCACCCCCAACTGTTTGCTCCAGGAAGCGGGTAGCAAGTCTGCACAACCTGGCCCCCATCTCCAGGTGACTGGCCTTGAGGTCGGTGCCACCCTGGACAGAGGACCCAAGCCACCCATGGACTGACCCATGGGCAATGGGCAGGCAGCTCACTCACAAATAGCCAAGGCCATTCCCACTGAGAAGGGTCTGGTCGAGGCCACCCAGGGGTCAAAGGAAGTTCCTGGCTGTGAGGCCCTCTGCAAAGTTCATCCATGAGGACTGTGGGCTGCTTTTGTTGTTTGAAATAAACTGTTCCCAATTTTCTATCCAGTGCGTGTCCTTTCCAGAGACCTTCCCACAATGGGCATAAGTCATTTTAAAGAGTGTTTTTGTCAAGGAAATAATAAAACAAATAATATTTGTTATAAACAACACAAGTAATTTTATTATTAAGTATTAATATTAATTTGCTTTTTTTTTTTAAGACAGGGTCTCACTCTGTTGCCCAGGCTGAGTGCAGTGATGCAATCACAGCTCACTGCAGCCTCGAACTCTAGGCTCAAGAGATCCTCCCGCCTCAGCCTCCCAAGTAGCTGGTACCACAGGTCTGTCCCACCGCCCTCAGCTAATTTTTTTTTTTTTTTTTTTTGATACGGAGTATCACTCTGTCACCCAGGCTGGAGTACAGTGGCACAATCTCGGCTCACAGCAACCTCCACCTCCCAGGTTCAAGCAATTCTCCTGCCTCAGCCGCCCAAGTAGCTGGAACTACAGGTGCGCACCACCATGCCTGGCTAATTTTTTGTATTATTAGTAGAGACAGGGTTTCACCATATTGGCCAGGCTGGTTTCAAACTCCTGACCTCGTGATCCACCCGCCTTGGCTTCCCAAAGTGCTGAGATTACAGGCATGAGCCACCATGCCCGGCTGGCTAATTTTTTTAAAAATTTTTTTGTAGAGACAGGAGTCTCACTATGTTGCCCAGGCTGGTTTTGAACTCCTGGCCTCAAGCTATCCTCCCGCATCGCCCTCCCAAAATGCTGGAATTACAGGTGCGAACCATGGAGCCCGGCCTGAAAGAGCTCTCTTAACTCATGATGATAACTCAGCTCTGGCAGAGATCAAACCAGCAGCTCTGTATGTGTGACTGACAAGCACACAACAGATCCAAGTCCTCATTGGGCAGCCTGCACAGGATCAGAACATGGCCAAGTTCTAATTGGATAAACAGCCAGGGACATTGCTGTACTTTAATTGGATGACCTATACAGGAACACTTCATTGCTAAATTCGGATTGGCTAAATGTACTTCTGTCCAAGTTCATGAGGAACCTGTGCAAGGTGGTATGTTGCAGAAACCAATCTAACAGCAACTTGAAGCTGCTCATGGTCATATTTCTCGTGTTACCTTCCAGTTTCATTGCTCAATCTACAGTCCAACAGTGTCTAGAAAGAAGGATTTGGCAGATGAAAAGTCCCAAACCTATGCTCTCTTCCCTAAAGAAAGGCTGAGCTGGGCGCAGTGGCTCATGCCCGTAATCCCAGCCCTTTGGGAGGCTGAGGGGGGCAGATCCTTTGAGGTCAAGAGTTCGAGACCAGCCTGGCCAACATGGTGAAACCCCATCTCTACTAAAAATACAAAAAAATTAGTTGGGCATGGTGGCGGGCACCTGTAATCCCAGCAACCCGGGAGGCTGAGGCGGGAGAATTGCTTGAACCCAGGAGACAGAAGTTGCGGTGAGCCGGGATTGCGCCACTGCACTACAGAGTAGGCAACAGAGTGAGGCTCTTCTCGAAAAAACAAAACAACAACAACAAAAGGCTGAAACAGCTCACAATTTTGTTGACAATTAAAGTCAACAGTCCTTATTGGTGAGAGCTCTCACTTGCAGGGCAATTAACATACGCCAGGTGCTGGGCTTCATGGGCAACACCTCATTTAATCCTCACAACAACCCAATAAGGAGAGCAACATGTTTCCCCACTTTACAGATAAAGAAACTGAGATTCAGAAAGGGCCAGAAGTTGTCCAAAGCAAAGCCATGTGCCTAGACAGAATCTGAGTTGGGATTCACACACATATCTGCCTGATCTTTACCCTGGGCTGTTTCTCAGTTTGCAAATGAAACCAAAATGTGCTGCTGGACAGAAACCAGCATTCCGCTTCCTCCCAGTGCGCAGGAAGGGTGTTTATGGTGGTCCGGTCCAGGCCTACACTCAGCACCAGTACATCCACAAAGTTGGCAAAATATTGAAACGCTTCCACACTGGTTCGTAAGCAGCTGCTCTCCTGAGTCCCCCAAGGGTCTCTCAGCCTTCTTGATTCTCCAGGGACACCATCCCCTACCCTGAAGCCTTCCAGACCTCCCCACGATCCAGTGACTGAAGGGCTAATGCCCAGTCCACCGGGGGATCCCGGTACATTCCCATCTCCAGTACATGGGTCGGTGCCTCTGCTATATGGGTCAATAAATATTTGAAATATCACTCGGGTAATGCAAGATCCATAGCTTGGCAGCTTATGGTAAATTACCTCACCCAAATGACCTAGATATTCTTCCCTTCTTCCAGAATAATACGCGTCTCACCATCTGTTTTGAGAATAGGCTGATATCTAGCACATTAAGTCTGACATAGAGTAAGTCTCCAGTCCATGGAAGTATGTTGTGTTATTATAATTATTGCTAAGGTGGGTCTGCACTTTCTAGCATTTCACAAAAGGTGCTCAATAGCATTCTAGACCCAAGAGATGCTCTACTATATTAAAATAAATAAATAAATAAATGTCTGGGTGCAGTGGCTCACGCCTGTAATCCCAGCACTTTGGGAGTCCAAGGTGGGAGGATCCCATGAGATCAGGAGTTCGAGACCAGCCTGACCAACATGGAGAAACCCCGTCTCTACTGAAAATACAAAATTAGCCGGGCGTGGTGTCACATGCCTGTAATCCCAGCTACTCAGGAAGCTGAGGCAGGAGAGTTGCTTGACCTTGGGAGGCAGAGGTTGCAGTGAGCCGGGATCACGTCATTGCACTCCAGCCTGGACAACAAGAGCGAAACTCCGTATCCAAAAAAAATAAAAAAAATTCTGAGGTCAAGCAAATTTTGGAAACTGCAGATGCTCAGAGATTCACAATGTGCATTAAAGGATATAAAGGATCTGAGAAGGTCTGCATTAGATAAATTGGATTTGTATCATTTAATCCTTACATCGTCTGGTCCCAAATCCATCTGACTGCAGGACTCCCTCGTTCCGGTAGGACAGTTAGGTGGGTGGGTAAAAATTTACAGACATCCTCTACAATTTAATTTGGAAACATCTGTTTCTAGCCAAAACCAACACAGGATTCCCAAGTAATGATAGGGGCGTGTGTGCATGTGTGTGTGCGTGCTTGCGTGTGTGTGTGTGTGTGTGTGTATTTCATCTGCAAACTGAGACCATTTCCAAAAAGGGATCCAGCATTTCGAACCTGGGCTGGAAGAGGGCGTCTACGATGGGGAGGCTCACACCTGTGAGTTATCACTGGGCTTGGTCTCAGCCTCACCTCCCTCCCTCCCAGGGGATGCAAAGTGATGCCAGGCAGTGTGGGGTGGGGTCCACCTGAGAAGGCTTCCTGCAGGGAGGGAGTGTGGAGCCAGCTAAAGGGGAGGGGTGGGGTCCAGATGAGCAGAGAGGAGGTTGGAGGTGAAAATGCCACTCCCCTGGGACACATGGCACCTTCCAAATCACACAATGCCCCGTCCAAGCCAGCTGTTGGCTTTCTGCCCTGGCCTCTAGCTCTCCTTCCTTCCCCTCCTCCCCTCCCAGGTCTAGAACCATCTCCTGAGTCAGCTCTGGGCTTCCTGCTAGGAGCTCAGACCCTTCCTGCTCAGGGAAGGTAGGGCTACCTGAGGGACTGTACCTTGGGGACGGGGACTGGAAACTCACCGACAGTGCACAGCCCAAAAGGAACAGAGAGTGCAAGGCCAAATCTGTTTGCTCAGCCCTTGGGTTAACCCTGAGACTCAACCCTCTCACCCACAACCACTTCTCTTATGGGGAAGGGGTAGGAACTGCCTGTGCCTGGGGCTGGGGAAGGGAGAGGGAGCCCAACGGGTGGGAATCGAACTCAGGCTGGAGGTAGGACCGGCCTTTCTCTGGCCCCACGGGAGACCCAGAGCCAGCCTGGGAGTGAGAGGTGAGCCGGGAGTGGCAGGGGGGTGGGAGAGGCCGCATGAGCCCAGGCGCCAGGCGGGTTCCTCCACCCCAGCCAAGAGGAGCGGTCTAGATCCCTCCCTCCCTCCCTCTCAGCTGACAGGGCAGGGCCAGGCAAGCATGCAGGGACCTGGAACCGAAACTCAGCAAAGAGTGTCATTCCAGGGACCCTCGCCCAGCAAGCCTCCAACCACCCTGGCGCCTGCTCTGCCCCAAGGCCATGCCTCCCAGAAAGGGGGCTAGTGGGAACCGCAGAGCAATGGCAGAAAGAGAAGCCTTTGGGGTCAGACAGACAGACATGTTTCCTGAGCACCTGTCATGTTTCAGGCCCTGAGCTTGATTCTAGAAACACAGTGGGGACCAAAACCAGACATGGCGTCCTGCACCCTGTGTGGCCTTGGCCTGGTCACTCCACCTCTCTGAGCTTTAGCTGCCACAACTATACCACAGGGCTCCTAACTCTCTGTTGCCTGGGTTGCTTTGAAGATTAACTGAGCTAAGCCTAGTATGTGACACCCTGCAAAGGGTAGGTGCTCAATAAGGGGTAGTTACCAACATGACAGGGGCTGTGTTGAATAAAGCTCCCTGCACAGAAGGCCGGCTTTGCCCAGGTTTGCCCTCTGCCTGTTTCTAGATCTTAATTCCAGTCCTCTCTGCATGACCTCGGCAGGACCTGCCCTACCCTTCTCTGGTCCTCACTTCCCTCTCCTCCGATATGGGGTCGCAGTCCCTATGTCAGCTGCTTCCCAGGATCAAGTGAAAGCCTTTGGACCCAATAAGGAGGGTTCCCCTAGGGCACAGAGGGACAGGCTTAGCAACGATTTTCAAACTACATGTCACAATCCATTATGAGTCTTGTAAGACATGTAGTGGCTGTCGCCAGAATTTTCTTTTAATTGATTAGAGGGCATCTTGCATAGTAAGGATATGTTTTTACTTTGGGAAATTTTTATTTCAGTTAAATATCGATACATATGTTTCCTAAGTCATAGGAACACATATATCAAAATGTTTTTCTTCCTGTGGGGAGAGCAACGCTGCAAAGCAACTGGTAATGGTTAAGAACACAAGCTCTGGGGTCAGAAAAGTTTAAGTTTGGGTCCTCACTCTGCCCCTATTAATGGAGTGACGCTGGGCAAGTTACGTTAGCTCTCTGTGCCTCAGTTTCCTCTTGTGTACAAAGGGGATAGAAATAACACCTACCGGCCAGGTGCAGTGGCTCATGCCTGTAATCCCAGAGTTTTGGGAGGCCAAGGTGAGAGACTTGCTTGAGGCCAGGAGTTCAAGACCAACCTGGGCAACATAGCAAGACCCTGTTTCTACAAAAATAAAAAAAAGTTAGCTGGGGCTGGGTGCAGTGGCTCACATCTGTAATCGCAGCACTTTGGGAGGCCAAGGCAGGCAGATCATTTGAGGTCAGGAGTTCAAGACTAGCCTGGCCAACATGGTGAAACCCCACCTCTACTAAAAATACAAAAAGTAGCCAGGTGTGGTGGTGCCGGCCTGTAATCCCAGCTACTCGGGAGGCAGGAGAATCCCTTGAACTGGGAGGTGGAGGTTTCAGTGAGCAGAGATCATGCCACCACCCTCCAGCCTGGGTGACAGAGGAAGGTTCCATCTCAAAGAAAATCAGCTGAGCATGGTGGAGCATGCATGTATTTTGAGCTACTCAGGAGGCCGAGGTGGAAGGATTACTTGAGCCCAGGAGGCTGAGCCTGCAGTGAGCTGTGACTGCACCACTGTACTCTAGCCTGGGCAACAAAGCAAGACCCACTCTCTAAAAAAATTAAAAAGAAAGAAAGAATACATACCTCATTAGTACTCAGAACAGTGCTCGGCACGAGGCTTAGTGGGAGTCAGACTCAGAATGAGGAGGAAGGCAGGCCTCAGAGGGGGTGGCCTCTGTAAGTGGGAGTGGGGTCTGCTGCCCCCTCCCCAGTGCAGAAGGCTGTTCTGGCCCAGCCCCAGCACCCCTTACTTTACAGATGAGAAGCCCGAGGCCCCGAACCAGAGAGCGACTTGTCAGTCACTGAGAAGCTGGAGCCTTCCGCCTCCCAGGCCAGGGATTCCCACCTCTTACTGCCTCTTGGTCTCGACAGAGTACTTGACCCTTCGATGTCCTCTCTGTAAAATGGGGGCAGTAAATAGTTGACCTCTTAGGGTTGACTAAATGACATCCTTGATGTACAAACAAAGTGCTTGGCACAGGGCAGGCCCACAGTAAGTCTAATGAAATGTTAGCAGTTTTTACTCACAATATATTGTTCAACAAAAAAGGCAGGTTATAAAACAATATGTACAGTATGAGCTCATTTTGTATAAGTGAAAAAAAAAAAAAAAGGCATGTGGTCTGCGAGCACCTCCCAAGCAGCTCACAGTGATCATTTCTAGGTGCGTGAGTGGGTGGGGGTCGGGGCGGCGGGGGGGCGCGTTACAGGTACGTCTTTGGTTTTTGTTTGTTGCAGCCAAAGTTTCTAGTTCTAATTATTCTACAGCTAATGTGTATTGTTTTTATGTAAAGGAAAAACAGAGGTATTTTTAATCACCATAAATAAGAACGACTATCCACCTCAGCTGACTCATGCGATGTCCCCAGGCCAACACGTGGGCTGAACCCAGGCCGCCTTCCACCGAAAACCACCAGGTGTGCCATTGTGGTTTGGGGCACCGGCACACCAAGCAGCGGCCTGCTTTGCATTTTCTTTTTCTTGTTTGTTCACAGTGACAGCTGATGACCCACTGGTGGCATTCCGTGTAACAAACACATGCCAAAGATTGCAGATTTCGTAGGCAGGAGGGAGGGAAGGAGGGAGGGAGGGAGGCAAAGGCACGCTGGAGTTTATCAAGCAATAAGTCCTGGCATCTTCCTTATGCAAAACCCAGGCTGGGAGTGGACAGTGATAAGGGCTAGGGACAGATATTCTGTAGGCTGTGGATGCCACGCCAAGAGGAAGAATGAAGGGAGGGGTACATGGAAGGAGATGGTGGCTGAGGCAGGAGGGCACGGGGAAGAAAGGGAGGTGGTTCAGAGGCTGCTCCCCCACCTGCTGGGCCCTTTCCAGGGCCTTCCCAGAAGTTCACCTGATGCTAAGCAGCAGGGGTGTGTGGGCAGCAGGGGTGTGTGGGCAGCAGGGGTGTGTGGGCAGCAGGGATGTGTGGGCAGCAGGGGTGTGTGGGAGGTGGGGATGTATGCCCTGGCGGGGGATGGGGGAATCAGGAAAGAGATTCTATTTGGCCAAGAGAGGGATATTGAGGCTATAGAGGGCTGGAGAATCATGTTCAACGGTGAGTGTGGGGAAAGATGGATCCAAGATGGACCCTTTTAAAAAGACACGTGCTTTAGGGAGCCTGTGGTTTCATGGGTCTCCACAAGCATCCAGAAATCTGTCCTCTGACAGCACCCTGGCTGCCCATCCCCTATCACAGGGTAGGTAGAACTGTCTATCTGTTATGATCCACAGCAGCCATCCCCCAGCCGAGCCCCATCTCAGCCTCCTGAGGCTCAGCCCCCATCTCCCCGTCTCGAGGCCCAGCCCGTGTCTCAGCCTCCCGAGGCTCAGCACGGTCTCCCTCCATCTTAGTCAAGCCCTGTGCCCAGCACAGGGCCGAAAGACAGAAGATGCCCACTGAGCCCCCAGTGAACACCTGAGTCTGAAAGATGAGTGTGGTCTGAGTGGCGAGTGACTCACCTGTGCCTGAGGCTTAGGAGACCCACCTCCCAGGTTCCCTTTAGCTCGCTGTGATCTGAGCTTGGGAGCATCGTGGAACAGGTCCCTGCCTTTTATTCCATCTGCACAGCAGGGTTAGTCCTGCCCGGCTCCATCTCTGAAGAGGAGGAATCAAAAAAAGGGATTTTACAGAGTTGAGGGGGAAGAGAGAGGGCGCAGGAAACCTATTCCAAGCTGGCATGTCCTGCACGTGCCTGCTGGCTTTGGGGAAGTTGGCGGCCGCTAGGGGCCTGGACAAGAAGGAAAGGTTGGCCAGGGCCTGGGTTGCCAGATTCAGCAGCTTGGCTGGAGGCTATAAGCAGGAGGAGGCCAGGAACTGGATCTGAGAAGAGAGGACCAGTCCCAGGAAGAAAGCTGAGACACTGCTGTCTGGGAGGAGCCAAGAGCTTGGTTTATTGTACCAGGAAGAAAAGTCTAGGCCTCTGCCAGGGCAATCATCAGAGAACACTGCTCCAGGGAAAACTGCCTCCCACTTCCTGGACCTCTGTGGGCAATAGAGAAGTACATGTCAGCAGTGCCTCCTGCTGGACAGCCCCAACATTACACTATTTGTCCAATGTCAGAAACAGAATGTAAGACGGATGTATCTGGAATGTTCAAGCTGGAGTAACACCATCCAACAACTATTACTGCTGCTGCTGCCACTTTTATTGATGGTTGACTGTGTCCCAGGCACTGTGCTAAATAATTTTATTGGATGATCTCAATGTTCACAACAGCCCTATGAAATAGGAACTATTACTAATCCAATTTTTCAGATGAAGAAACTGAGAAACAGTTTTTTTCTGAGGTTTCAAGTTAGCTGGTAGCAAGATTAGCTGTGCAGCCCAGGCCTCTCTAGCCCAAAAGCCCATGGTTTTTTGTTGTTGTTGTTGTTTTTTGAGACGGAGTCTCACTCTGTCGCCCAGGCTGGAGTGCAGTGGCGCGATCTCGGCTCACTGCAAGCTCCACCTCCAGGGTTCACGCCATTCTCCTGCCTCAGCCTCCCAAGTAGCTGGGACTACAGGCACCCGCCACCACGCCCGGCTAATTTTTTGTATTTTTAGTAGAGACAGGGTTTCACCATGTTAGCCAGGATGGTCTTAATCTTCTGACCTTGTGATCTGCCTGCCTCAGCCTCCCAAAATGCTGGGATTACAGGCGTGAGCCACGGCGCCCGGCCCAAGCCCATGGTTTTAACCGCATTCTTGGGTATCTCAACCAGTTCAGGATGATGGAGAGTTTTCGTTTTTGTATCATCTCCACTTGGTTGGTAGAGGCTGCCTAGAGCTCTGGGTTGAGAGGATTCCTGAGTGCTGTGATGAATTTGTGATATCTGCCAGCGGCACTGGAAGGGATGTGGCCGCATGCGTGTGAGTTATGTTTTCATCTCTGATCTAGTCCAATCTATTGTATACTGTGATCCTTATAGGACCCTGAGAAAAGGAATCAAGGCTAAATCTTTTTTTTGAGACTGGGTCTTGCCCTGTTGCCCAGGGTGGACTGCAGTAGTGTGATCACAGCTCACTGCAGCCTCAACCTCCCAGGCACAAGTGATCCTCCTACCTCAACCTCCCAAGTAGCTGGGACCACAGATGTGTGCCTCCACACCTCACTAACTTGTTTTGTTTTTTGTAGAGATGGGGTCTCCCTATGTTGCCCAGGCTGGTCTCAAACTCCTGGGTGATCCTCCCACCTCAGTCTCCTAAAGTGTTAGGATTACAGGCGTGAGCCACCGAGCCCAGCCTAAGGCTCAGTTTTCTGACCTCTGTCTTTACTCAATCACTCGGTGACCTAAAAGGCATCTCAAATGTAGCATGTCTAAATATGGAACTCTTGATTTGCACCTCCAAACCATCCCTCCACCATCTTCCCCACTAAGTAAAAGGCACCGCTAGTCTTTGTTGGCTCAAGACAAAAAGCCTTAGTATCACCCTTGACCTCCTTTTTCTCTCACCCCTGACATCAAATCTTTCAATACATCTCACTGGTTCTCCCCTTGAAATATATCCAGAATCCAGCCACGTCTCACCACCTTCACAGCTGCCACCACCATTGTCTTCCCTGGACTAATGTAGTAACCAATCTTGCTCCACGTGTCCTTACCCCCTGTATTAGTCTGTTTTCATGCTGCTAATAAAGACCAGAGACTGGGTAATTTACAAAGAAAAAGAGGTTTAGTAGACTCACAGTTCCAAGTGGCTGGGGAGGCCTCACAATCATGGCAGAAGGCAAAAGGCACGTCTTACGTAGCAGCAGACAAGAGGGAATGAATGAGAGCTAAGCAAAAGGGGAAACCCCTTATAAAATCATCAGATCTTATAAGACTTATTCACTACCATGGGAACCGTATGGGGGAAACTGCTCCCATGATTCAACTGTCTCCCACCAGGTCCCTCCCACAACACGTGGGAATTATGGGAGCTACAATTCAAGATGAGATTTGGGTGGCGACACAGCCAAACATATCACCCACTACACCTTAGTCTCAACTCAGCAGACATCCTTAGGCCTTCTCGGTTTTTCTTTCTTTTTTTTTTTTTAATTATACTTCAAGTTTTAGGGTACATGTGCACAACGTGCAGGTTAGTTACATATGTATACATGTGCCATGTTGGTGTGCTGCACCCATTAACTCGTCATTTAACATTAGGTATATCTCCTAATGCTATCCCTCCCCCCTCCCACTTCTCGGTTTTTCAAAGCACTTTGGCATAAGTTACACACACACACACGCGCGCACACACACACACACACACACAGAGTAAAGCGAGGCAGGAAATTGTCACTCCCATTTGACACATGAGAAAAACTGAGGCTTGGAAAGGTGATGCAAAGACATCAAAGACACAGCGGGGGAGTTGCCCCAGCTCTTACTGTGACGCCATACACTGCCATTTCCCTTCTGGACATGACCCTCTGTCTCCCACAGCCTCCTATGGGTACATCCGAGAGTCTCCCAAGAGGCTGCAGAACGTCAGGTAAGGAGAATGTCAAGGAAGCCAGGAGAGTTGGTCTTCTCTCTGCCTTGGAGGGCCCCAGTCTAAGAAAAAAAAAACGTTATCTCTTTGGTCTAATCCGCGGTCTCGCAGTCTGGACCACTTTCCTTTGGTATGTGGTGCCCCCTGGTGCTCACTCTTAGGAAATGCAGCTGGTTATCTAAGCTTTAGGGGAGAGGGGTGAGCTTTCATGGTGGAGGTGATGCCTGGGGGCTCTTCTGACCACCCTCTCAGAGGAGCTCCCTCCCAGCACAACTGTTCCATGCCTTAGAGACCAGCGTGTGCGTCCAGGTTGATGAGGGCCACACTGCTCCTTTAAAAATTCACCAATCCACGACTTCTAGTGGGAACCCAAATTGGTACAGCCTTTTTGAAAAGTCATTTAAAATAATAATAATAAAATAAAATAGCTGGACATGGTGGCTCATGCCGCAATCCCAGCATTTTGGAATGCTGAGGTGGATGGATCGCTTGAGCTCAGGAGTTTGAGACCAGCCTGGGAAACATGGTGAAACCCTATCTCTACAAAAAATACAAAAAATTGGCCAGTCGTGGTACACGCCTGTGGTCCCAGCTACTCAGGAGGCTGAGGGGGGAGGGTTTCTTGAGCCTCGGAGGTCAAGACTGCGGTAAGCCAAGATTGTGTCACTGCACTGCAGCCCAGATGACAGAGTGAGATCACGTCTAAAAAAAAAAAAAAATTAACTTGGGAGGCCAAGGTGAGAGGATCACTTGACACCTGGAGTTTGAGACTAGTCTGGACAACATCACAAGACTCCATCTCTTAAAAAATTAAAATACTTAGCCGGGTGTGAAGGTGCATGCCTGCAGTCCCAGCTACTTGGGTGGCTGAGGCTGGAGGATCGCCTGAGCCCAGTTCAAGGCTTCAGGCAGCCATGATTGTTCTGCTGCACTCCAGCCTGGGTGACAGAGCGAGAACCCATCTCTAAAACAAATTTTCTTAGTTAAAACTTTAAAAAATATTTTAAATGACATACTCATGATATAATGTGAGCTACTAAACATATATATAAAATACTGTATATGTACTAAACTCACAAATGGTAGCAATGAGTCTCTCTGCAGAGTGAGATTATATTTTATTTTTATTCTTTATAATTTTCTATACTTTCCCAATTTTCGGCATTCAGCATGTTTCACTTTTCTAAAGTATAGTTTTGTGAAGGAAAAATTATAATAAATCCCTTTCCATCTGGTTTCCTGTCCCTGTCATCTGCTGTATGCTGGTCAGAACATCTCTGGAGCACTATTCAGTGAGCAACAGGAGAGTTAAAGATTTGTCCACCAGTGAGAACACGTGTGCATTACAGTGGAGGAGCTTCTGAACGCCTTGCTTTACTCAGGGATTCCAGAGTCCCAGCAGGGGCCGGAGGAAGAAGAACAGACTCCTAGAGAGGAAGAAACTTTGACCTCAAAAATGAAGAAACAGAGGACCAAAAGGAAGCTCTTGACCAAGATTCTTAGGCAGATGGAGACAGGGTTGGGTTTAGCATTGGTCACACAGCAGATGGAGACAGGGCTGGGTCTAGTGTTGGTCACACAGCAGATAGTCAGGTTGCCTGACCCGAATTCCTGAGTTCTTCCCCCACACCAGCAACCTGGAACTTCTAGAAAAAGCCCATGAACACGCAAATGAACACAACAGTGAGAAACCTCTCTTGGCAAAACATTATAAGCTGGCTGAGACCTAGGATTGACTAGGATGTTAGGAAAAGGATAGTCTCATATATCCTACCGGTAGGAAGTTGGTTCAGCCACCATGGAGAGCGACTTGCAGTATCTGTAGTATCTGTTAAATTTTAAAATGCACACACCCCGCCAGGAGCAGTGGTTCAGGCCTGTAATCCCAGCACTTTGGGAGGCCAAGGCAGGCAGATCACCTGAGGTCAGGAGTTTGAGACCAGCCTGGCCAACATGGTGAAACCCCGTCTCTACTAAAAATATAAAAATTAGCTGGGTGTGGTGGCACACACGCCTGTAGTTCCAGCTACTCGGGAGGCTGAGGCAGCAGAATCACTTGAATCCAGGAGGCGGAGGTTGCAGTGAGCCGAAATCGCACCACTGCACTCCAGCCTGGGCAACAGAGCAAGACTCTGTCTCAAAATAAATAAATAAAATAATAAAATAAAATGCACACACCCTATGGCCCAGCAGACTCATGTTTCCTTATTATCTCCCTCAGAAAAACAAACACTTAAGTGCACATGGGGCCAATTACAAAAGTAATCATTGGAGTGTTTTATTGCGAAAAGCTGGAAATAGTCTAAATATCCACACATCCATTGAGAAACAGTTTATAAAATAAGGCACACATGAACCATGGAATGTACCTTGAGCAGTGAGGCAGGCGGTCTCCAGGTACTCTTATGGGAAGTTCTCCAGGAAGTTCTGTTGAGTAAAATATCGGAAGCAGGAGGCATAATAACTGAGTATGACACAATTCATATAAAAACCACCCACAGGGCCGGGGCGAGGTGGCTCACGCCTGTAATCCCAACACTTTGGGAGGCCAAGGCAGGTGGATCACAAGGTCAGGAGTTTGAGACCAGCCTGGCCAAGACAGTGAAACCGCGTCTCTACTAAAAATGCAAAAATTAGCTGGGTGTGGTGGCGGGCATCCCAGCTACTCAGGAGGCTGAGGCAGGAGAATCGCTTGAACCTGGGAGGTGGAGGTTGCAGTGAGCTGAGATCGTGGCACTGCACTCCAGCCTGGGTGACAGGGTGAGACTCAGTATCAAAAAAAAAAAAAAAAAAAAAAAAAAAAAAAACACACACAGGGATGTACAGTATGATGTATTTTCTATGGGCCTATAGAAAAAGATTTGAAAATATTGCTCCCAAACTGATAATAATAATGATTACTTTTGAGAGGGAGGGGAGAAAGGATAGGGGAATGATGAATCAGTGCTATTTTAATGTGTTGAAAGGAAAATGAATTCATCGATTGCCTGTGTAATTTAAAATTTATTATTAGAAAGACAGAGATAAGAAGAAAAATAAACTTTTTTTTTTTTTTTTGAGGCTGAGTCTCACAGTCTGGCCCAGGCTAGAGAGCAGTGGTGCAATCCTGGCTCACTGCAGCCTCGACCTCCCTGGCTCAACAAATCCTCCCACCTCAGCCTCCCAAGTAGCTGGGACAACAGCTGCATGCCACCACACCTGGCTAATTTATTATTTTTGTTGTAGAGACGGGGGTCTCACCGTGTTGCGCAGGCTGGCTTCGAATTCACCGGCTTAAGCGATCCTCCTGCCTCGGCTTCCCAAAATACTGGGATTACAGGCGTGAGCCAGAAAGAATTTTCTAAAGGGAGGAGAATCACAGGAGGATGTAGCACACAGTAGTAGGCCCACAAGGTCCAACGGGTAGGACCAGAGTCCCCACCGGGCGTAGAAGAGTCCCGTTTGTGAGCTAGGGCTGGGCTCCCAGCCACCGAGCTGCCAGGCAGCAGGTTCGCGCACGCTTTCCCAGAAAAGTCTGGGCGCGCACCGTGCCTGCCCCTGCAAGCCCGGCGGCCAGTGCGCCTGGGAACCGCTGTCAAGCGCCAGCGGCCTTCCCAGGCCTGGAAGGAGCAGATAAAGGCGGGGATGGAAAGAGCCTAGCTGTTCTTACAGGAAAGGGAGAGGGGGTTCTTGGATAAGAATGGCCCTCGCCTCCTCTCCCGCTTCTTCTGCGCCTTTGCTCCCTCGGATCCTTTGAGCAGGGCCACACTTGGAGTCCTCCACGCCAGGGCCTGGAGGGAATGTCCCACCCCCACCACGCCTCACTGCCCGCTGAGACAGAAAAGGCTGGCCCGAGATGAAGGGCTGAGCCAAGATCTGAAATCACAGGCTCTTTCCTAGGCTGCCACATGGCCTTGGGTTCAAATCCCAGTTCTACCACCCTCAAAACTTTGCACCCCTAGAGACCACCCCGCAACTGAGATATAATTCACATACTATAAAATCCACCATTAAAAATGCACACTTTTTAATATATTCACAAAGTCATGCAACCATTTCTACTCTCTAATCTGAGAACGTTTTCATCACCTGGAAAATAAACTCTACCCACTAGTAACCATTCCCCATACCCCTCCCTTTCCCCAGCCCCTGGCAACCACTGATATACAACTGACCATTGAACATGGGTTTGAACTGTGAGGGTCCACTTATATGTGAATTTTCTTCTGCCTCTTCCACCGAGACAGCAAGACTAAACCCTCCTCCTCCACCACCTACTCATTATGAAGAAAATGAGGATGAAGACTTTTATGATGACTCACTTCCACTTAATGAATAGTAAATGTATTTTCTCTTTCTTATGGTTTCCGTAATAACATTTTCATTTCTCTGTTTACTAGAGTACAGTATATATGTAAGAGTGCAGTATATATATATATATATATGACATGCAAAATATATGTTGTTTATGTAATCAATAAGGCTTCCGATCAACAGTAGGCTATTAGTAGTTAAGTTTTGGGGGAGTCAAAGCTTACACTCAAATTTTCAAACTCTTCTCTTCACTTCTTTACCTATTTGAATTTCATTCAACAATTGTTGGAATTAAGTTTACTGTGGAGCAAAATGGTGGCTGCCTGCTCGCGCGCTCTCTCTCTCTCTCTCTCTGTCTCTCTCACACACACACACACACACGCACACACACACACCATTTAATACCGGTCTAAGCCCAAACTGGCCGGGTGCGGTGGCTCACGCCTGTAATCCCAGCACTTAGGGAGGCCGAGGCAGGTGGATCACCTGAGGTCAGGAGTTCAAGACCAGCCTGGCCAAAATGGTGAAACTCCGTCTCTACTAAAAATACAAAAAAATTAACCAGGCATGGTGGCGCACAGCTGTAGTCTCAGCTACTTGGGAGGCTGAGGCATGAGAATTGCTTGAACCCAATCAGCTAAGATCACGCCACTGCACTCCTCCAGCCTGGGCAACAGAGCAAGACTCTGTCTCAATAAATAAATAAATAATAAAAATAGGGGTCCAAGCCCAAACTAAATGGAAAGGTAAAATATATCCACCACCCCACATCATAGTATGTTAGAGCTGGGATCAAATACTACAGTGTTTCTGAAAGTGTGGAACCCAGACTAGCAGCACCATCATCACCAGCATCACCTGGGAACTGGTTAAAATGCAAATCCTTAAGCCGCACCTCAGAAAAAAAATGGAACCGGGGACTCTGGAGATGAACCCCAGCAACCTGTGTCTTAACCAGCTCTCCAGCTATGGCTCACGCCTGTAATCCCAGCACTTCGGGAGGCCCAAACGGGTGGATCACTTGAACCCAGGAGTTCAAGACCAGCCTGGGCAACACAGCAAAACCAAGTCTCTACAAAAAATAAACGAAATTAGCCGGGTGTGGCTGCATGTACCTATAGTCCCAGCTATTCAGGAGGCTGAGGCAGGAGGATCGTTGAGCCCAGGAGATTGAGGCTGCAGTGAGCCGTGATCATGCCACTGCACTCCAGCCAGGTGATTCTAATACACATGAAAGTTCCCAAATTACAGATGAGAAAACTGAGGCCCAGAGAAAGGATGTAACTTTCTCAAGACCACAGAGTGATAAAGAAAGAAGCTTTGGAATTGTGTGGTCCTGGATGTGAGTTCCAGCTTCCCCATTTCCACCTGTGTGACCTTGGGCATGTCTCTTAACCTCCCTTTACTTTAGTATCCTTATCTGTGAAATGGGAACTGTGTATACCTCCCTCCAAGCAAGGCCACTTCGCTGCATTAAAGCCGGCGTGAGGGCTGGAACTGAGGTCTCCTGGTTCCCAGGCTGGTGCTCTTACACCAGGAAACTGGCTGTCATCTGTGCACCATCTACAAGAAGGATCTTGAGACTTAACATCTGTAAAGGCTGGCATGGGGAGAAGGGCTTTGTTTTCTTCTGTGAGGCCCCAAAAGGAAGAATTAGATGACTAGGGTAAATTACAAGGAGGTAGGTCAAAGTAAGGGCGATGTTCCTAACTAGAACTGTTCACAAACAGAATTGGCAGCCCCAAAAGATAGCAGGATCTCGTCCCCCAATGAGTCCAAGCAGCAGCATCCAGCTGGTCTCTCCAGGATGTTGAAGAGGGTAGACTTTCAGGGTAGGAAGTTGGTGGGGATGATCTCTAAGGACTCCTCCTCTGCAACCCAGCAGTGGGTGTATGCCGTTTGCCTCTGCAGCCTCCATTCCTCTGAGGAACCAATCTTCCTCCAGTTCCTATAGTTGGAGGAGCTGTCAATCAGAATACTCCCTTACCCCTCTCCCCCGGGATGGGCATTCTACCCAGAGAGGCCAATGACAGTAGCCCATTCTTCTGACCACATCGATTGGCTCAGGAAATGGCATGTGACCCAAGCCAGGCCAATCAGAATCTGTTTCCACTAGAGCCGTCCCAGAGCCACATCCATCCTTGAACTTCTCAATCTGGGGAACTTGCAGAATTCCTTTTGCACTTATGTCAGTTTAGAGTTTGTGTTCTTGCAGCTGGTAAAGTCTTAAATTCCACTCCCACATACAAATGATCTCCTTGTTCTTGTACTGGGCCCTGCCTGCCTCCAGCATTACATTAAAACAACAGCAAGAAGAATAATAGTCAAAACAACAATGGTTTAAAATCTTTAGTTTCTTGGGGGGGGAAAATGCCAAAAGAAATTTCAGTCCTGACACAGAGCCAAAAATTTGGAAATCCATTTTCTCCACCTCTCTTTCCATACATCTCATATTCACACTCACATTCAGCTCTTAGAGCAGCTGGTCCCTGCACTTGCTCCTTTTCTCTCCACATGTCCCCCAAAACTGACTTTTAAAACCCAGCCCCAATTGGCTTTTACATTTTGCCTCCTCTCCTGCCTTTTCCCAGTCCTATGGGACACTTTGCCAGCCTGCGCATAATTATCTTAGTAGACAGGAGAGGGAGAGGCTGTGAACTCCCTCTCTCTCTCTCTCTCCCTCTTTCTCTCTCTCTCTCTCTCACACACACACACACACACACAGAGTAATGTGGTTTTGTTTCCCCTGTTGCACATTATTATTATTATTTTATTTTATTTTATTATTTTGAGACAGAGTTTTGCTGTCATTGCCCAGGCTGCAGTCCAGTGGCATGATCTTGGCTCACTGCAACCTCCACCTCCCAGGTTCAAGCGATTCTCCTGCCTCAGCCTCCCGAGTAGCTGGGATTACAGGCACATGCCACCACGCCCAGCTAATTTTTGTATTTTTAGTAAAGATGGGGTTTCACCACGTTGGCCAGTCTGGTCTTGAACTTCTGACCTTAGGAGATCCACCCACCTCAGCCTCCCAAACTGTTGGGATTACAGGCGTAAGCCACCGTGCCCAGCCACATTATTTTTTAAACATTATTCTTGGGGACAACAGAAGACTGTAAAATCCCAGCTATGGAGGGGAGCATGACAGTGGAGTTATACTTTCGAAAGAAACACTGAGGTCTTCTAACTATGAGTCATATGCCAAGTTCAAGTCAGTAAACACTTAGTGAGTGGCTAAGGCGTGGCAGATAAGAACCAGGAGAGGGGCTGAGTTGTTTAGGGCATATGAAATTGTGTTTGACTGAGCCCCATTCAGCAAAGGTTTGCTTACTCACAGTTCATTGAGCACCTACTATGTGCCAGGCCCTGAGCGAGTCATTAGAGTTGTATCCAAGAAGTAAGATATTCAGTGCACAAAAATGATGATATTGTGATTAATTCATATCAAAGAGACTGCTATGGTTTGAATGTGGCCTTCAAAATTCATGTGCTGGAAACTCAATCCCCAATGCGACAGTGTTGGGAAGTAGGGCCTGATGGAAGGTGTGTAGGTCGTGAGGGCTCTGCCATCATCAATGGATTAATGAGTCCATAAAAAGGGCTTGTGAGAATGGGTTCTCTCTCTCTCTCTCTCTCTCTCCTCTTCTGTCATGTGAGGACACGGTGTCCTCCCCTTCAGACGACAAAACATTCAGGGTGCCATCTTGGAAGCAGAGAGACTGGGTCATAACCTGAAGGCATCTTGAACTTGAACTTCCCAGCCTCCAGAGCTGTGAGAAATAAATTTCTGTTCTTTGTAAATAACTCACTCTGTGGTATTTTGTTACAGCAGCGCAAAATGGGCTAAGTCAGAGACATACATGGGGATTGGGAGCAAATCAAAGACAGTGGTTAAGAAAGCCTCCCTGAGGAAGTGGCATGTGAGCTGAGACTGAATCAAGAATAGGGGCCTGTTGGAAGACTAGCGGAAGATAAGCCTGGGAAGGAAATTCCCACCACAGGGACCAGTGTTTGAAAAGGCCAGGGGGCAAGAGAAAGAAGGGAACTGGAAGCCTCTGTGGCCGGAACACAGAGAACTAGTGGGGAACTTCAAAAGGTGGATGGAGGCCACATTGTGAAAACCTTCAACAGCTGCATAAGAGATTTTGAGCCTCAAGTCATGGACCAGAGACTTTTAACATGAGCCCCATAGGCCCTTAGGGGTTGGGATGTGGTTTGTTCTAAACATAGAAAAGCTCAGCTGTGGTGCCACAGATGTTGGGTCCTCCAACAGTGAGGGAAATTGGCTTCGTCCACCCAGTGGTGTGCTGGAGCTGGCTCCTACAGGCTCAGGAGCCAATTGTGCACATTTCTTCTGTTTTGTTTTTTTTTTGTTTTTGTTTTTGTTTTGAGATGGAGTCTTTCTCTGCCGCCCAGGCTGGAGTGCAGTAGCGTGATCTTGGCTCACTGCAAGCTCCTCCTCCTGGGTTCACGCCATTCTCCTGCCTCAGCCTCCCGAGTAGCTGGGACTACAGGCACCCGCCACCGCACCCGGCTAATTTTTTTGTATTTTTAGTAAAGATGGGGTTTCACCATGTTAGCTAGGATGGTCTTGATCTCCTGACCTCGTGATCCGCCCCCCTCAGCCTCCCAAAGTGCTGGGATTACAGGCATGAGCCACTGTGCCCGGCCACATTTCTTCTTATCTCTGTGTTCAGTGACCTCACATTTGCTAGCTTAAAGTCAGCCACAGTGGGGATATTCACACCACGAAGGTTGGGAAACACAAGAAAGCAGGACTTTTACCCCTGTCCCCTAAACCCCCAACCAGTTGTGAAACATTTATCAGCACCACTGCTTCATACCTAATATTCCAACCCAAAGAGGAAGCTGGCTCTTCAGTGCCCACCGTTCCACTCATGAGAGTTGAGAGGTTAGCGCCATGATCTTTGCAAATCAGGAAGTGATTAAGACTGGGGAGGTTTGTTCTTGTTTGCCCTTAAGCAAGCAAGAGGCTGGGTAGCAGAAGTTTTAAAACCACAAGCTTTGAGGACAGACAGACTGAGTTCCAAATTGCAGCCCTATCACTATAATTAGCTGTGTGACCTAAGCAAGGATGTAACCTCTCCGAGTTTCATCTGTTGAAAGGGGATATTAATAATATCCACCTCATAGGGTTGTTGTGAAGATTAAATACTGTATGTAAACTGCAGTGCCACTATATAACAAAGACTCAATAAAGATTCGTGCAGTCAGCTGTTTGGGATAAAGAGATATCAATAGAGATATATTCATTTTATTCCAGAATGGATGGATTGTATTTGAGATACCTGAAAGAAATTGAAGCAGTGTATTTAGGACCTAAGTAGAAGCAAGGTCGTGGTAACTGGCTGAGATTTTCTGACCGGCATCTATAGATGACATTTTTTTTAAGGTTTTGAAAGATCCAACTTGGCCAAGCTCATAGTCACAAAATGTCTCTTGAAGGATCAAGGCATCTGAACACACAATTTTCTAACTCGAAGCTATGCGTGGGCGGGGAGGTGGGGGAAGAGGAACAAGAGAACAAACATGTGACAAACAAATTGTCAAAAAAGAGCAAGTGCCAGTTTCAGATGCATAGCACAGGAGCCCATGGGTGGAGCAGGTGGCAAATGAAGATATTTCTGTACCTGCTGTTGAACCGCTCCAAGCACAGTGGGATTCCGGGTCTAAAAGAGTTGCAGTTGCTGGGTGGAAATGAAAGTCAACATTTCAGGGCCGGGTGCATGGCTCATGCCTATAATCCCAGCACTTTGGAAGGCCGAGGTGGGCAGATCACTTGAGGCCAGGAGTTCGAGATTAGCCTGGCCAACATGGCGAAACCCCGTCTTTACTAAAAATACACAAATTAGCTGGGCATGGTGGCTTACGCCTGTAGTCCCAGCTACTTGGCAGGCTGCGGCATGAGAATCGCTTGAACCAGTAGGTAGAGGTTGCAGTGAACCATGATCACGCTACTGCACTCCAGCCTGGGTGACAGAGTGAGACTCTTGTCAAAAAAAAAGAAAGCAAGAAAATAAGAAAGCAAGAAAGAAGGAAAGAGAGAGAAAAAAGAAGGAAGGAAGGAAGGAAGGAAGGAAGGAAGGAAGGAAAGAAAGAAAGAAAGAAAGAAAGAAAGAAAGAAAGAAAGAAAGAAAGAGAGAGAAAGGAAGGAAGGAAGGAGAAAAGAAAGTCAACAGTCAACATTTCAGAGATCCCAAGATACCAACACTGACCGTGCCTGCTGCTCTTCCATCCTCCTCCACCCTGCGCCTTTGAGGTGGAATTGCGTCCTCTGTGAGCAGGGCTTTGTTAAGAGATCCTAATTAAGGCCAGGCACAGTGGCTCATGCCTGTAATCCCAGCACTTTGGGAGGCTGAGGTCACCTGAGGTCAGGAGTTCAAGACCAGCCTGCCCAACATGGTGAAACCCCATCTCTACAAAAATTAGCTGAGCATGATGGCAGGTGCCTGTAATCCCAACTACTTGGGAGGCTGAAGTGAGAAAATAGCTTGAACCCAGGAGGCGGGGTTGCAGTGAGCCAAGATCACACTATTGCATTCCAGCCTGGGCGACAGAGCTTTTGTCTAAAAAAAAAAAAAGAAAAAAAATCCTGATTAAGCAGAAGCCTTGATGCTAGTCCCAGAAGCATCCTGAAATTTCCAAAAGAAATTTCCCCCGCGGTTAAACTCAGAGCAACTTTTGGACCCACCAAGCTCTGTGAAAATCATTTTCTCTTCCAAAAACTGATGGGACCAAAGCTGATCCCAGTTTCAAATAATTATCAAAAAATTGGAAACGAAATATGATCAGAAAAGAAGAAAGTTGAAAAAGAAAATCCTCATCACCCAAAGACAACAACCATTAATATTTTGGTAATTATTATTCCAAATATCTTTCTATGCATACAGACAGACTCACACACACACACACACACACACACACACACTTTTTTTTTTTTTTTTGAAACTGAGTTTCACTCTGTCGCCCAGGCTGGAGTGCAGTGGCGCGATCTCGGCTCACTGCAACCTCCGCCTCCTGGGTTCAAGCGATTCTCCTGCCTCAGCCTCCCTGATAGCTGGGATTACAGGTGAATGCCACCACGCCCGGCTGATTTTCTGTATTTTTAGTAGAGACGGGGTTTCACCATGTTGGCCAGGCTTGTCTCCAACTCCTGACCTCAGGCGATCCACCCGCCTCACCCTCCCAAAGTGCTGGGATTACAGGCGTGAGCCACCGCGCCCGGCTACACACACACTTTTTTAATGGGCCTATGTTTTAGCACTCGCTTTTCTGTTTCTCAGTGTGTTGCAAACACCTCGGTGTCGATACACACCATTCGGCAACGTCCTCCTAAAGGGCCGCATAATATTGCGCGTCGTGGCGTGTGCCTTACTGGGAAGCTACTGCTGTCCAGGTGAACACCACAGCCTTCGGGGTCAGAAAGACAGCTTTCCCCAGAACAAGCACCTGAAGCTCTGGGGCCTGCCGCTCCCCGGGAGAGAAGTACGTGGAGAAGGGCAGCACGGATCCGCCGGGATCCCCGGGGGCATTAAAGGGAATCGCGTGTGTAAGGCGCGGAGCTCAGCATCCGGCTCAGAAACGCGCTCGGATCCCGCCAATGGCATTGAGGCCGCGTAGCCAAACCGGCCTTGAACTCTCCCTAATCCTGCCAAAATGGCCCGTCCTGGAGCACTGGACTGGCCGTGGGTTATTGATCATCAGCCGGTTTCTTCCCCTCCCCTGCCCTTCCCCCGTGCACGGATTTACTGATTTTTTTTTCCGGGAATTGAGTAAAACAAAACTAAGTGCAGATGAAGCAGAGGTACGGGCGAGTTTCGAGCGCGGGGACCGGCGCGCTCCCCCCCCCCCCTCCCCCCGCGGCGGGGCTGTCCCCAGGGACCTTCTCAGTGAATCCTAGGCGGCAGGGACGGGCCCGCGGCTCTGCGGGCCATTGGCTGCCGACTGCGTCACCTGCCCGCGGTGGGCTAGGAGACGGGAGGCGGGAGGCGGGAGGCGGGGACCTGGGCCCGGGCGGGGACGCCGCGGCAGGAAGGCCATGGCGGGGCCCGAGCGCTGGGGCCCCCTGCTCCTGTGCCTGCTGCAGGCCGCTCCAGGTAAGGGCGCGGGGCCGCGGGAGGGAGGGGGAAGAGGGCTCCCCGGGCCGGGCCGCGCCTACCCTCGGACCCGGAGCTCCTGGGACAGGCACGGGGTCCGCAGCCACCCGAGCCGGGTGCGAATCGGCCCTGCCTACGCGCCCCCAGTTTGCTTCTTCCCAGGACTGAACAGAACCGGGTCTTTGATATTCCTCTCCCGCAGGAAACGAATCCAGTTTCCTAATGCTTCCAGCTTCAGGAGAACTGGAGAAAAAAGACAGCGGCAGTTTGATACTGCATATTTTTTAATAAAGTGCTTTTTAATGTTTCCTAAAGAAAGCACTGATCCCTGCGTGAAAACCACACTTGACCCTAAAGTGTGGACAGCAGGGAAAGTGGGACCGATTGATGTCCCTTCCCGTTCCTGCCAGGCCTCTGGTGGGACGGAGCTCTGGTCGCCTGTGCCCTGCTTTCTAACAAGACGGCTTTCTTTTGGTGGTGGTTGTTGTTTTGTTGTTGTTTTGTTGTTGTTGTTGTTGTTGTTGTTTTCCCACCTCTACTGATGAGTAAGGTGTCAGGTACAAAATTCCTCGCCGTAGGACCCAACCACCAAACCTCACCGCCCACGACTCCAACCGAAGCAGGGAAGAGAAGGTCCAGAAATCGCCCCCAGGATATTTTCCTAGTCTTGGACTCACAGTTTAAAGAGCTGTAAAGGTCCCTGGGCATAATCCAATCATCATAAAAGCCTATATTTATTCAGCAACTTCTTTGTGCCAGGCACCGCATTATTCTGGAAGCCTCACGACCCAGCCATCCTCGGAGGTAGATATTATTTTTACTTTTCCGATGGGAAAACTGAGGCTCAGAGCAATTCAGGGAATTCCTCAAGAAGGATGGCAGAGGTGAGGCACACAGAAGAGAGAAGAGGGGCTAAAGCAAGCCTGGCTAGCTTTTGCCTCCAGGGTAGGCACGTGGGACAGGCTGTCCATCCACTGGGTCACTAGGCCAGCCAGGGATGCTCCAGCCCCCAGTGCCCACAGCAGCGTTCTCTGTGGCTGATGAGGGACCGTGTACCTGTGTGTGGAGGGAGGGTGGGGTCTTCTGTTCCCCTTTCACTGTCAAACCCAGACCTTCTTGTACTTTCACCTGATAAGTATTTAATATACACAACACTAACTATGGTGTGATGATTTAGGAGTAAGTACAGCCAGATCTAAGTTCAAATACTGGCTCCCACACAAACTGACTGTGTAGCCTCAGGCAAGTTAGTTAGCATCTGTCTCTGAGCCTAGCGCCCTTTCCATGGAAGCAGAATGAATGACACCTACCCCATAGGGTGGTCTGTCCCAAGGGTGATTGAGGTTTTACATGTAAAGAGCCAAACTAGTGCCTGGCATCCTTTGAAGGCTTCATAGAGGAAAGTTGCTCTAACTGCTGTTTTTCTCATGTGACCTAGCTCGAATCTGGGGACTGTCCTGCCCATAGGATACCTTACAAGTGGCTTGCAGACAGCCTGGTCTCCTGCTGGTCACCCGTTAGGAAGTCCAGAAGCTGGGAGTAGTAATAGCACTAGCCTCGTGGTGATACAGTCCCAGCTAGAGGACACAGGATGAGGTGGAAGCAGGCACCCACTTTTGGGTCTAGAAGGTGATGGGTAGGCAGCCGAGGCTGGGGACAGCCATCCACAGAACTGGACCCTCCCTCCCTGATGCCATTTTGCAACCCGTATGGATTTCCATCATGGCACATGGGACACTTCAGGACCCTGAATTCTCCATGGGACCATGAGCTCCTATAGGGCAGGAATGAAGTTGTGTTCTTCTTTGAAACCCCTGGCACACCGTGGTCAACAGATCTTGTTTGACTCGTAGTGGTCAATAGATGGAATAGTTGGAATCATAAAGCTCAATAGACCCCATGAGAACCTAGAAGACAAAGTACAGTCAAGAGCTCGGACTTTGGAGTTGGCTAGGCCTGGACTGAATCTGATTCTACAACTTAATAGCTGAGAGGGCCTTGGTTTTCCCATCTGTAACGATTATAATTATTATAATGAATACCTACCTCCTAGGGATGTAATGAGGATTAAAAGAGAAAGTGCAGGTAAACTGTTTAGCACAGAACCTGGCTCACAGAACACAATACACATTAGCTGCTATTATTATTATTATTATTTTATTTATTTATTTTGAGACAGAGTCTCACTCTGTCACCCAGGCTGGAGTGCAGTGGCGCAATCTCGGCTCACTGCAACCTCCACCTATCGGGTTCAAGCAATTCTCGTGTCTCAGCCTCCCAAGTAGCTGAGATGACAGGCGTGTGCCACCATGCCCAACTAATTTTTGTATTTTTAGAAGAGACGTGGTTTCACCATGTTGGCCAGGCTGGTCTCAAACTCCTGACCTCAGGTGATTTGCCTACCTCTGCCTCCCAAAATGCTGGGATCACAGGGGTGAGTTACCATGCCCGGCCTTAGCTGCTATTATTATCATCATCGTTATCATCATCATCATCACCTCGTAGATATGTCAAGGAAGATTCCCTGGAGGAAGTGACATTTGAATCAAGTATTTCAAAGACTAGATGGTGAATACCAGGCAGTCAAAGACACCTGGGTTTAAAAACATCCAGAAGAATGCAGTGGCTTGGCAACATCGAGCAGGAAGATTGCCTGATGAGCCTGTAGGGTAGCTGTTGGGGAGAGAGCAGCAAGACGGCCTGGCCAGGCCAGGCCAGGCCACGTCAGGCAGGGCCTCACAAACCTCAATAACAAATGTGGACTTTATTCTGAGGCCAAGGAAAGGGCATGAAACTGGGGAGTGGTGTAATCAGATGCGTATTTCAGAAGATGAAGATTAACAGTGAGAAGGAAAATGTGCCACAGAGGGGAATAGAGGTCAGTTAAAGGGAGTCAGGGAAAGTGTCCTCGAGACAGTGACATCAAAGGAATGTGAAAACAGCAAAGGAGTGAGCCAGGTGGATATCCAGGGGCAGAACTGTTAAGGCAGAGGGAACAGCATGAGGGAACAGCGTGTGCAAAGGCCTGGAGTTGGGAGTGTGGCTGGGGTGCTCCAGGAAGGGCAAAAAGTCCTGTGTGGATGGAGATATGGGAGCAAGGGAGGAGTGGTGGGTCAGATTGGGTAGGGCCTTGGTGGTGATTGTAAAGACTCTGGAGTTTAGACCAGGCACAGTGGCTCAGGCCTGTAATCCCAGCACTTTGAGAGGCCAAGGTGGGCGGATCACCTGAGGTCAGGAGTTCGAGACCAGCCTAGCCAACATGGTGAAACCTCGTCTCAACTAAAAATACAAAAATTAGCCAGGTGTGGTGGCACATGCCTGTAATCCCAGCTACTCTGGAGGCTGAGGCAGGAGAATCGCTTGAACCCGGGAGGTGGAGGTTGCAGTGAGCTGAGATTGTGCCACTGTACTCCAGCCTGGGTGGCAGCATAAGACTCTGCCTCAAAATAAAATAAAAATAATAAAGACTTTTGAGTTTACCTGGAGTGAGATGGAAGCCTTTAGAGGGCTTAAGCAGAAGATGAACATGATCTGATTTTCATTTTTAATCCTTCCTGCTATGTGGAGAATGGACTGAAGGCAAGGTGTTTTGTATATTTGTCTGTTTCGTAGAGACAGGGTCTTGCTCTGTTGGCCAGACTGAAGTGCAGTGGCACAATCACGGCAGCCTTGAACTCCTGGGCTCAGGCGAAACTCCCACCTCAGCCTCCTTACTCTCACCATTGTGCCCTGCTAATTTTTTAAAAAATTTATTTTGTAGAGATGTGGTCTCACTATGTTGCCTAGGCAAGTCTTAAATTCCTGGTCTCAAATGATTCTCCTGCCTCGATGTCCCAAAGTGCTGGGATTACAGGTGTCAGCTGCCATGCCCGACCTGTATTTTTTTTTTTAATGGGGAAAAAGCCTTTTAATAGTATGAGGTGTTTTCTGGTGTTTCTACCATAAAGCTCTTCTGTAAATCAAAATGAGAATGTAATTATTGATAGAGCAATGACCTTAGACTACAGTGCAGACTTTTCATCTTACATTTGGGCTCATGAATTTTAGTATAACTGATTATGACAGTGTTTTTTACATAGTTATGATCTAGAGCAGAACTGAAAACAAAATAACACATACTCTACATCAATATATTCGTTCAGTAATATCTGGGCTTGGATGAACCTGCAGAAGTAGGTAAAGCTGTCAGATATTTTCTTAAACCAACAGAAAAGAAATGTATATGACAGATGTTGTGTTTACTTATTTATTTATTTATTTATTTATTTATTTGAGATGGAGTCTCACTGTGTCACCAGGCTGGAGTACAGTGGTGTGATCTCTGCTCACTGCAACCTCCACCTCCCGGATTCAAGCGATTCTCCTGCCTCAGCCTCCTGAGTAGCTGGGATTACAGGCGTGCACCACCACGCCTGGCTAATTTTTGTGTTTTTAGTAGAGACAGGGTTTCACCATGTTGGTCAGGCTGGTCTCGAACTCCTGACCTCGGGATCTGCCCACATCAGCCTCCCAAAGTACTGGGATTACAGGCATGAGCCACCACGCCCGGCCTGTATTTATTTTTTTACCACTATGGAGTCCAATATGAAATTCTCACAACTATGCAAATACATTATTAACATGTAAGCACACCTAGGTATAAATATGCACATAGTCCATTAATTACATCAGGGGAATTAAAAACATACTTTCAAGTTAAAATGAATTTTCAGGAAAAAAACTGCATTCACAAATCTGAAATGTGAATACAAAAATGAAATTGTGAAATAAATAATGAATATAGGTGTCACCTAAACTTCCATAGTAACATGCCTCCAAATGTGGATTTAGTGATCATCCACCTTGGGACAAGGGCTTTTGATCGCCTCCAGCTAAATTAGGGTTCCAGTAGCAGAGTGGCTGGCAAGCCTGCCCTAATGAATAATGCCAGCGAACTGGGCGTGGGTACTTACAGTGTGCCCTTCATGGAACACTTTTTTTTTTTTTTTTTTGGAATGGAGTCTCGCCCTGTTGCCCAGGCTGGAATGCAGTGGCACAATCTCAGCTCACTGCAACCTCGTCCTCCTGGGTTCAAGCAATTCTCGTGCCTCAGCCTCCCAGGTAGCTGAGATTACAGCCCTGTGCCATCATGTTCTGCTAATTTTTGCATTTTTAGTAGAGACGAGGTTTCACCAAGTTGGCCAAGACTGGTCTTGAATTCCTGACCTCAGGTGATCTGCCCACCTTGACCTCCCAAAGTGCTGGGATTACAGGCTTGAGCCACTGCGCCCGGCCCATGAAATACTTCTTACCTGGCGGACAGCCTAATAGCCTAGCTGTCTAACCCATGGCTGGGGGTCCTTCACACTTGTTTATACTGGCAGACGTCCCTGTGACTCTTGTCTGATCCATGTCCAAGTTTATGCCTGTCTGACCATTGCTCTGGCGCTGGGAGCCAGACTGTGTTCCCAGCAACCCAGGGAAAACCAGGCCTGGGCTGGGCCTGGGTTCCTGAGATGGAAGGTGCAAATTCAGTACACCACCTCAATGCAAAACAAGTTCAAAGGCTTATTACTTACAGATCCTGAGCAGGGAAGGTGCAATGAGTAGGGAGGGTCATCCTCCATCCTGGGCTACATGAAGCGGGAATGAAGAGTCAGGCAAAAAGAAAGTGAGAGCTTGTGGCAATGAGAAGTATATTATGTAAGGGACTAGGGTGTGGGTCAGGTTAAGTTTGAGGGCAAATGCTTGAATGATCCCTTTAAAGGAATGGGTGGGAAGTGGGGAGCCCAGTTTGCCGGGAGGGAGAGATGCCTCGAAGTTCTTATCTCTGGCCACTGGCTTGGACCATCTGAGTGTGGCATCTACTTCTAATGCCTAGGCAGCAACCTTTGCTGTGTCATCTCCCTTACACAAGGTTGGAAGCAAGGAGACCGGTCAGGAAGCCTTTGGTGTAACCCATGTTATTGTAATATTCATTCATTTACTCAACAGATGTTTATTGTGCACCTACTATGTGCTGAGGCCATGGCAGGCAGGCTCTGGGGATGTGGCTGAGAACAGGACAGAGCCCCTGGTCCTTGATATCCTCAAGGATGCTCCCTCCTGGAGGCCATTAGGTTCCTGTTCCATGGTGTTCTGCTGGAACCCTCCGGTCCCAGAGTGTGCAGGAGCCTCCCCTCCTGGCAAAGGGTCTTCTCTCATGGCACAAGGGCTGCAGTACAGCCAGTCAGTGGCTCCTGGTTCCTCAAACTCAGTGAGCACCTGCTTGCCCTTCGTGCTGCCCCTCAGCTTGGGATGGCCTGAGTCAAGACCAGCCAGGAGCTCCAGGCTTCATGACCCCTTTCTTTCCCCCAGGGAGGCCCCGTCTGGCCCCTCCCCAGAATGTGACGCTGCTCTCCCAGAACTTCAGCGTGTACCTGACATGGCTCCCAGGGCTTGGCAACCCCCAGGATGTGACCTATTTTGTGGCCTATCAGAGGTAGAGGGGACTCTCTCGGCTGGTGGATGGGAAGACTGAGGGGGTGGGTGGGGGCTGGAGGGGCTTCTCTGGGACAGCTGCACCCAGTGTGGGCAGCACTGGCTAGCTCTCTGGGCCCTACGGGAGATGGCATGTGGCCGGCATTTGGAGAGGGGCTTTTGATAAAGGTCTGGAGGTGGGGAAGATGTTGAATGAAGAGCAGTGTACAGGTGACCAGTCTGCCGGGGCGGGGGTAAGTCTTTGAGGAAAGTTGGTGTGGGGCATGGATGTAGCTGTGGGGGCCAGAGGATGAAATTCTCAAGTGGCTGGATGAGGTGCTTGGAGCTGTCCCAGCTGATCAGTGAGGCAACTAGGTACACAGCAGAGGAGCTGTTACCTGGGCAATTAGGCATCCCTCAATGATCACACTTTTTTTCTCTTTTTTTTTTTTTTTTGAGACAGAGTCTTGGTCTGTCACCCAAGCTGGAGTGCAGTGGCTTGATCTCGGCTCACTGCAACCTCCACCTCCTGGGTTCAAGTGATTCTCCTGCCTCAGCCTCCAGAGTAGCTGGGATTACAGGCATATGCCACCACATCTGGCTAATTTTTGTATTTTTAATACAGACGAGGTTTCTCCATGTTGCCCACGCTGGTCTCGAACTCCTGAGCTCAGGTGATCCACCCACCTCAGCCTCCCAAAGTGTTGGGATTACAGGCGTAAGCCACCGCGCTTGGCCAAATGGTCACACTTTTCCCGATGGGATCATTCTCAATTTGGAAGCCCAGGCAGCCACAGCGAATCCAGAGAAATCTGACAATGGAAGCAGATCCACCATCTTCGAACATAGATGGGAATCGTTCAGAGTTCTTTAGCAGGACAGTGAGATGATAGAAGCAGAAGCTCGGGAGGATTCACCTGGAGTTGGTGAGGAGGGGAAAGCAGGAAGAGGAGGGGACCACCGTGTCCTCAGGACCCGTCCTGTGCCAGGCCAAGTGCTAAGGGCCCTACGTGAATATTTCACTTCCTTCTCCCAATGTGACCAGGCAGGCTCTGTGTTTTCCCCATTCTAGAGGTGAGGGGATTGAGCTCAGAGGGTGCTGTGTCTTGTCTGAGGAAGGACGTCATGGAGCCAGAAGGGGAACTCGGGTCCGACTCCAACATTTGTGCCCTTCCTGTTGCATCACGTCATCCTTCCATGTGTGGAATCCACATGTGAGTGATGGGAGCCTGGCTTGAGCAGGGACAGACTGCAAGAGAGCTTTCAAAAGCAAGAGCGTTATCAGGTGCCAGAAAACACCTAATATTTACTGTGTGGCTGGCACTGTGTCAACACATGTAATGAACTTAATCTCACAGCAGCTCTCTGAGGACAAGTTCAGTACGCCTCTTTACAGAGGAGGAGACTGAAGCACCAAGGGTGCATGTTGCTCAAAGTCACACAGCTGGGCGTAGTATGGCTGGAATAAATTTATTAAGGAGTTGAAAGTCTATCCTCTAGGACCAAGCATGGTGGCTTACATCTGTAATCCCAGCACTTTGGGAGGCCGAGGTGGGTGGGGAGATTGCTTGAGTCCAAGAGTTCGAGACCAGCCTGGGTAACATGGTGAAACCCTGTCTCTACAAAAAAAAAAAATACAAAAAATTAGTGAAGTGTAGTAGCATGTGCCTGTGTTCCCAGCTACTTGGGAGGCTGAGGTGGGGAGGATCACTTGAGCCCAGGAGATGGAGGTTGCAGTGAGCTGAGATCACACCACTGCACTCCAACCTGAACAACAGAGCAAGATCCTAAAAAGAAAGAAAGTCTATCCTCTGAACTTCTATGATATTTTTCATGTCTTTTATACATTAGAATGGTGATATTCTAATTATATAATTTTTTTCATTTGTTAGTTGGAATTATTTTATAAAGAGATGTATCCTCTCATCTGGTATTTGATATCCAGTCATACTATTCAAATAGGCAAGAGAGGATAAATGCTTAATTTTTTTCCTTTATCAATTTTCAAGATAATGAATTGGTTCCTTATCATCTCCCAAAGGTGATTGCTAGTTTATTATTATCATTATGAACTCAGGCATTTAAACACATTTGGTGGTTTCAGTCTATTGCGACGTACTCTGCTCATTGAAGCTTGAATTGCCTCATCTCTGTCCAGTGGGAGTCTCATCAAGTTTGCTCCTGAGTCCTTTTAACTTGACCCTAGTGGTCAAGTTAAATCTTTCCAGATTTAACAGATACCTTTCCAGCTGTCCATTACGACAAGATGTTCCAGGTCCCTCTGGTACAATTCCTGACCTAAAACCTGCAGTCAGCCATTTCTCCATTTAGTAAGAAATGGTTATAAAGACTATAATCTGCATGCTAGCTATGCTGATCACTACTTAGCTATTGCTTTTGGTGTTTTCAGTGAACAGAGTGATGTGTGTATACCACATAGACACACACATGTACATACTTTTTTTTTTTAGACAGAGCTTCACTCTGTCACCCAGGCCAGAGTGCAGTGGCATGATCTCGGCTCACTGCAACCTCCACCTCCTGGGTTCAAGAGATTATCCTGCCTCAGCCTACTAAGTAGTTGGGATTACAGGCGCCCACCACCATACCCGGCTAATTTTTGTATTTTTAGTAGAGACGGGGTTTCACCATGTTGGCCAGGCTGGTGTCGAACTCCTGACCTCAAGTGATCTGCCCCCCTCGGCCTCCCAAAATGCTGGGATTACAGGCATGAGCCATCGCACCCAGCCTACATGTACATAATTTTTAAGATAAAATGCCTAATGAGTTATACGGGTGCTTCCCATCTAAATTTAGTTCCTTAGGATTTTTACCTGACTTCTATGGTACATCTATATTTTCTTTCTTTCACACTGAGAATCCTGTTTCTCAAGGACAGGGGACATGATAGAACTAGAATGACCCATAATTACTCATTTTCTTTATCCCAAAACATACATACTTGCCTCTTAATAGTTTCTTGCTCTTTTCGCCCAAAGGGTTTGTGATGGTCAATATTAGGTGTCAACTTAATTGGGTTGAAGGATGCCTAGATGGCTGTTAAAGTTTTGTTTCTGGGGGTGTCTGTGAGGGTGTTGCCAGAGGAGACTGACATTTGAGTCAGTGGACTGGGAATGGAAGACTCGTCCTCACTCAGTGTGGGTGGGCACAACCCAACTGGCTGCCAGGCTGGCTGGAAAGCAGGTGGCAGATGGTGGGATAGCTTCACTTGCTGGGTCTTCCAGCTTCCTTCTTTCTCCCGTGCGGGATGCTTCCTTCTGCTCCTCCTGCCCTTGAACATCACACTCCGGGTTTTTTGGCCTTTAGACTCTTGGACTTAAGTTAGTGGTTTGCTGGGGGCTCTCGGATCTTTGGTCACAGACTGAAGGCTGCACTTTCAGCTTCCCTGGTTTTGAGGGTTTCAGATTCGGACTGAGTCACTATGGCTTCTTTCTTTCCCACCTTGCTGACGGCCTATCGTGGGACTTCGCCTTGTGATCGTGTGAGCCAATTCTCCTTAATAAACTCCCTTTCATATATACGTATAACCTATTAGTTCTGTTCCTCTGGAGAACCCTGACTAATAAAGGGTTGTTGCTTTTTCTTTAAAATCTAGTAATTTTATTTGACTGTGTGTTGGTATTGCTCATTCATTCTGAGTTGATATTTTTAGGCACTCAATATTCTCACTTAATACATGGTTCCAAGGCATTTTTATTTTAGGAAGGTTTTCTTAAATTATAGTTTTAGTATTTGTTCTATTCTCTTGTTTTGATTTTCTTCTTTAGGGACTCATATCACTTGTATGTTGGATCTTCTTTTTCTGTGTTCAGTATTTGTCTTTTGGGCACAGAGACTCACACCTATAATTCCAAGACTTTGTGAGGCATAGGTAGGAGGATCGCTTGAGCCCAAGAGTTTGAGACCAGCCTGGGCAACATGGTGAGGCCCTGTCTCAAATTAAAGAAAAAGGAGAGAATACTTGTCTTTTTCTTTCAAATGCCTTTTATCTGTCTATCTATCTACTATTCTGCTCTCTAAATGAAATAGGTTTCACTCTTGAGTTTTTAAAAAACTGTATGCTTCCATGTGTGAGATTATTCAACATCTTATTTGTAATCTTTCTCTTGGTTACATTTATTTTTCCTGAAACTCTAGTCTGCTTTTAGCTGACATGTTTGTAGCTAAGAGCGCACATTTCTTATCATAGCTTGCCGTGCTGAATTAATTCCAATTTTCTTTTAAAACCAACATTATTGAGTTAAAATGTATATAGAATAAACTGTTCCCATTTTAAAGTATACAATTTGATGAGTTTTGACAAAAGTGGGCACCCACGTACCCACCACCACAATCAAGATGTAAGACGTTCTCTATCACCCCAGAAAGTTCCCTCATCCACTTTGCATTCAGGCCTCCAGATCTAGGCAACCACAGATCTGCTTTCTGACACTGTGGATTAAACTTTGCCTGTTCCAGAATTTCATATAAATGGATGTGTATAGTATGTACCCTTTCGTGTCTGGCTCCTTTCCCTCAGCATAATGTTTCTGAAATTCACCCACATTGTTACATGTATCAGTAGTTAATTCCTTTTTATTGCTGAGTAGTAATGCCATTGTATGACTATGTATGACATTTGTTAATCCATTTTCCCGTCAGTGGATATTTGGGTTGCTTCCAGTTCTGGGCAGGTATTCATTTGCTAGGGCTGCCATATGCTTGCCCTCTGGCCTCCCAAAATTTGTGTCCTTTTCATATGCAAAATACATTCACCCCCTCCCAACAGCCCCAAAACTCTCTTTTTTTTTTTTTTTTGAAACAGAGTTTTGCTCTTGTTGCCCAAGCTGGAGTGCAATGGTGTGATCTCGGCTCACTGCAACCTCTGCCTCCCGGGTTCAAGAGATTCTCCTGCCTCAGCCTCCTGAGTAGCTGGGATTACAGGCATGCGCCACCACGCCTGGCTAATTTTTTATATTTTTAGTAGAAATGGGGTTTCACCGTGTTAGCCAGGCTGGTCTTGAACTCCTGACCTCAGGTGATCCGCCTGCCTTGGCCTCCCAAAGGGCTGGGATTACAGGCATGAGCTACTGCACCTGGCTAGCCCCAAAACTCTTAACCCATTTCAGCATCTACTCTAAGTCCAAAGTCTCATCTAAATCAGGTATGGGTGTGACTGGAGGTGTTACTCATCCTGAGGCCAAATTCCTCTCCACTTATGAACCTGTGAAACCAGACAGGTTATGTGCTTTGAAAATAAAGTGATGGGACATGCATGGGATAGACTTTCCCATTCCAAAAGAGAAAAATAGGAAAGAAGGAAAGAGTGACAGGTCCCAAGCAAGTCTAAAACCTCGCAGGGCAAATTCCATTAGATTTTAAGTTTCAAGAATAGCCCTCTTTGGCTCAGTGCTCTGCCCTTTGGGCCCACTGGGGCGGCAGCCCTATCCCCTTTGCCCTGGGTGGTGACCCTACCCTCGAGTCACTGGTTAGCAGCAGCCTAGCCTGCTGAAACTAAGGAGGGGACAGTGTTGCCTCCAGGTCTTTGGTGGCAGTGACAACCCTGCTGATCTCTGAATCATCTTCCAGGAAATTTTTCCCTATACTTGAAGGATATTGCGTGTTCACAGCCAAATAGCTCCAGCTCTTGTCCCTTTCTTTAGAATCCCAGAAGTCCAACAGCCTTCCTTCATTCTGTCCCATCTCTGTCCCCTTTAGTCAAAGCTGGAAGTGCCTCTGCTGGTATAATCCCATCAGTATGTCTAATTTCTGCTTAAATGGCTGATTAAGTCTATGAGTTGCACCTCTGATCTCTTTATCAAAAGGTTGTTCTAGCCACAACCTTAGTGTCCTCCCCAGAACATGCTTTCTCATTTTTTTTTTTGCAATGTGGATAGGCTGAAAATTTTCCAAAGCTTCAAGTTCTAGTTCCTTTTGGCTTACCAATTCTTTTCATATATCTCTTCTCTCACATTTTACTATAAGCAGTAAGAAGAAACCAGGTTGTACCTTCAGCACTTTGCTTAGAAATCTCTTCTGCTAAGCATCCAAGTTTATGTCTTTTAAATTATCTTTTTGTTATTTATTTTATATTATCATTTTTGAGATGGCTAGCCAATGAACTTTTAACTTCTAATTTCTGCAAAACACTAGAAGACAATTCAACCAGTTCTTTGCCACTTTATAACAAGGATCACCTTTCCTCCAGTTTCCAATAACACATTCCTCTTTTCCACCTGAGACCTCACCAGAATCACCTTTAATGTCTATATTCCTACCAATAGTCTTTTTAAGGCAATATAGGCTTTCTCTAACATGCACTTCAAACTTCAAGATTCTACCCATTATGCAATTCCAAAGCCACTTCCACATTTTTAGGTATTGATTACCTCAGCACCTCATTTCTGGTGCCCAAATCTGCACTGGTTTGCTAGGGCTGCCATAACAAAGTACGACAGTCTGGGTAAACAACAGAATTTTATTTTCTCAAAATTCTGGAGGTTGGAAGTCCAAGGTCAAGGCGTTGCTAGGTTTAGTTTCTCCTGAAGCCTCTCTCCTTGGCTAGCAGATGGCTGCCTTCTTGCTGTGTCCTCACGTGGCTTTTTCTCTGTGTGTGTTCACTCTGGTATCTCTTCCTCTTCTTACAAGTACACCAGTCCTACTGGATTAGGGCCCCAGCCTTATTACTTCATTTAACCATAATTACCTCTTTAAAGCTCTTATCTCAAAACACAATACCACTGGGGATGAGGTCTTCAACATATGAATTTTGGGGGAACTCAATTCGTCCATAATAGGGCTATTATGAATTAAGCTGCTGTGAACATTCATGTACAAGTCTTTGTGTGGATATGTTTTCATTTCTCTTAGATAAAGATCTAGGAGTATCAGCCTGGGCAACATAGTGAGACCCCATCTTTACAAAAAATTTTCAAAATTAGCCAGGCATGGTGGCGTACACCTGTAGCCCTGCCATCTCAGGAGGCTGAGGTGGGAGGATCCCTTGAGCCCAGGGGTTTTAGACTGCAGTGAACTATGATTGCACCACTGCACCCCAGCCTGGGTGACAGAGTGAGACTCTGTCTCTAAAAAAAAGAGAGAGAGGGGAGGAAGGAAAGAAGAAAGAGAGGGAGGGAAGGAGGGAGGGAGGGAGGGAGAAGAAAAATGGATCTAGGGTTAAGATTTAGGAGATTAGGTAATGAATGTGTACTATTACAGGGAACTGTCGAGCTGTTTCCAAAGTGACTGTACCATTGTTCATTGCCACCAACAATACATGAGAGTTCTAGTTACTCCATGTGCTTGTTACACTTAGTATTATCAGTCTTTTTCATTTTAACCATTCTAGTGAGTATGTAGTAGTATTTTATTATGGCTTTAATTTACAACTCCCTAATGATGAATGATGTTGAACATCTTTTCATGTGCTTATTGGCCATTCATATATCTTTTGTGAAGTGACTATTCAAATATTTTTCCACTTTTTATTAGGTCATTTATTTTCTTATTATTGAGTTATCTATGAATACAAATCCTTTATCAGTGTATGTATTGTGATTTTTTTCCCCAGTGGCTGGCCTTTTCATTTTCGTTAGGCTTTTTTGGTGGGTTTTTTTTTTTTTTTTGGAAGAGAAAAATATTTTAATTTGATAAAATCCAGTATATCAGGTGTTATAGACTGAATTATACTCTACCCCACAAATTCATATGTTGAAGCCCTAACCTCTAAGTGACTATTTGGAGATGAGCCTTTAAGGAGGTAATTAAAGTAAAATGAGATCATAAGGGTGGGCCCTAATCTAATAGGACTGGTGTCTTTATAAGAAGAGGAAGACACCAAGAGCGCATGCACACAGAAGAACGGCCTTGTGAGGACACAGCAAGATGACGGCCATCTGCAAGCCAAGGAGAGAGGCCTCAGTAGAAACCAAACCTGCTGATGCCTTGATCTTGGACTTCCAGCCTCCAGATTTCTGTTGCTGAAGCCACCCTGCCTGTGGTGTCTTACCATGGCAGCCCTCACAGACTAATATATCAGATTTTTTTCCTTCAACAGTTAACGCTTTTGGTGTCCTAAGCAATATTCGCCTGACCCAGGGTCATGAAGATTTTTCTTCTATGCTTTCTTCTGGAAGTTCTATAATTTTAGCTTTTACATATTTTTTTAACTTTCCTTCTTCTTGCCTTCTGTTTCTTTTAAGGCATCATCTATTGTGTTAATTTGTTCTTGTATTCCTTCTGATTTATTCTTCACTTCTGAAATGAATTTTGCTTTTTAAAAATATATATAATTCTTTTCTGTGTCTGAGTTTTTCTAATTAGGTTTTATGTGGTTTTTTCTTGTCCTGCATCACTTTTTACTGTCTTTTGCCCATTTTGAAGTATCAGGTTCCAGTTTTGATCTGTTCATGGATATGTTTTTGTGACATGTTTCTTCTGGCTTCTTATCATTTATTGCTTAGCTTATTAATTTCTATTCTTTCTTATTTTCTATTATAAGTATTTAAAGCTATATGTTTTCCTCTAAGTATTACTTAGCTGTCTTATACGTTTTCATTTGTGTTATTTGGTGATCATTCACTTTCAGCTATTTATTAATTTCCATTATAATTCTTTCATCTATGGGTTGTTTTAAAAAATATTTTTAAGGCCAGGTGTGGTGACTCACATCTGTAATCACAGCACTTAGGGAGGCTGAGGTGGGAGGATTGCTTGAGGCCAGAAGTTTGAGACCGGCCTAGGCAACAAAGTGAGACCCCCTCTCTACAGAATATTTTTTTAAAATTAGCTGGGCCAGGAGTGGTGGCTCATCCCAGCACCTGTAATACCAGCACTTTGGGAGGCCAAGGCAGATGGATCACCTGAGGTCAGGAGTTTGAGACCAGCCTGGGCAACATGGTAAAACCCCATCTCTACTAAAATATAAAAATTAGCCAGGTGTGGTGATAGGTGCCTGTAATCCCAGCTACTTGGGAGGCTGAGGCAGGAGAATTCTTTGAACCCAGGAGGAGGAGTTTGCAGTGAGCCGAGATTGCACCACTGCACTCCAGCCTGGATGACAGAGCGAGACTCTGTCTCAAAAAAAAAAAGAAAAGAAAATTAGCTGGGTGTAGTGGCAGGTACCTGTGGTCCCAGTGACTCAGAGACTGAGGCAGGAGGATCACCTGAGCCCAGGAGTAGAGGCTGCAGTGAGCTATGTTTGTGCCACTGCACTCCAGCCTGTGCAACAGAGCAAGACGCTGTCTCAAAAAATATATATTTTTTTAAATTTTCAAACTTCCTTTAGTTCTCTTTTTGTTATTAACTTTTAACTGAATGTTTTGCAATCAGAAGAAATACTTTATGAGATACCTATTCTTTAAAATTTCTTAAGAATTGCTTTGTGTTAATATTTTGTTAATAGTTCACATGTGGTTCAACCAATTTGTTTAGTTAGTTCTGTATATGTTCATTAGACCAACTTGATAACTGTGTTGTTCTTTATTTATTTATGTATTTATTTTTCTTTGTCTATTCATCAATTGCTGGGTGAGATGTATTAAAATTTCTTGTTGTAAGTGTGGCTGTTCACTTTCTACCTGTAGTTTGTCTGTTTGCTTTATAGAGGGTGAAGTTGTTTAGTAGGCACACATAAGTTAGAATTTTTCTGTCTTCCTGGTGAATGGAATCATTTATCATTATCTAATGTTCTTTTCATCTTTAGTATTGCTTTGGACTTGGAAGTCTGTATTTTGTCTCCTGTTAATATAACTACACTGGTTCCTTTGGTGTGAATATTTGCATAGTATAACATTTTCCATGAAGAAACAAAACAGAGGAATTGGTTCTTTCTCAAAATCTGATCTTTGTGTCAGCCCCCATCTCAGCCTTCTCCATTCATCCTTGGTCACTCCCCAAACCCAGGAGCAATCCTTGATTCTCCTTTTCCCCACATTCTACATCCAATCCGTTAGCAAGTTCTATTAGTTCTATTATTACCTCCAAAATAGATATTGAATCCAGCCCTTTCTCACTGTCTCCACCATCATCCTGTCTCACATCCCTACCATGGCCTCCTTGCTGGTTGACCAGAGTGATCTTGTAAAAACATGTTAGGCCAGGCACGGTGGCTCCTGCCTGTAATCCCAACACTTTGGGAGGCCAAGCGGGTGGGTCACCTGAGGTCAGGAGTTGGAGACCAGCCTGGCCGACATGGTGAAACCCTGTCTCTACTAAAAATACAAAATTAGCCAGGTGTGGTTACGCTGGCCTGTAATCCCATCTACTCGGGAGGCTGAGGCAGGAGAATCACTTGAACCCAGGAGGCGGAGGTTGCAGTGAGCCAAGATCATGCCACTGCACCCCAGCCTGGGCAACAGAACAAGACTCCATCTCAAAAAATAAAAATTAAAATAAAATGTTAGGCTCCCTGGGTCTCTGGCTTAGTCCATTTGTACTGCTTTAACAAAATACCTTAGAATGGTGTAATTCTAATAATTGCTATTAATAAATAATAGCAATTAATAAATAATAGCAATTTCCTTCTCACAGTTCTAGAGGCTGGGAAGTTCAGGGTCAAGGTGGCACCTGACTCCGTTCTGGTAAGGGCGGCTCTCTGCTTCCAAGATGGTGCCTTCTCGCTGCGTCTTCGCATAGCGGAAGGGCAAACACTGTGTCCTCACGTGGCAGAAGAGATAGAAGGGCCAGGCAGCTCTCTGAAGTATCCAGGTTGGAGTCATGGACCTGCATGTTCCCCTCTGACATCCACAGAGTACCTATCATGGTCCTTGGCATGCAGCAGGTGGCCCATAAACGCCTGAATGAACAAACATATAGTAATGGTCGCTAGTACTAGGAATAGCAGCCACCGCAACAGTCCTGTGAGGGAGGCATTACAGATGAGGAAACTGAGGTTTAGGGGCAAGGACCTGCCCATGGTCCCAAAGCTAGGGAGGGACAGGGCTGGGATTCCCACTCCCATCCATCTGGCTCCAGAACCTGAGCTCCTGACCAGGCTGTTCTTATCCTGTCTCAGCCAGTGGCTGCCTGTCTGGACGGATGGACCTAAAGTCAGTCCAGCCAAACAGAGGGAAGCATGATCAACTGTTCTCTAAGTTCCCTGACCCGGAGAGGCTGAGTCCATGGCCCAAGCTCTCCTCTCTCCTCCCCCAGCTCTCCCACCCGTAGACGGTGGCGCGAAGTGGAAGAGTGTGCGGGAACCAAGGAGCTGCTATGTTCTATGATGTGCCTGAAGAAACAGGACCTGTACAACAAGTTCAAGGGACGCGTGCGGACGGTTTCTCCCAGCTCCAAGTCCCCCTGGGTGGAGTCCGAATACCTGGATTACCTTTTTGAAGGTAGGTCTGTGGGTAAGGGACTGAGTGGAAGGCTGTCCATCCCATCGGGGAGCTGTGCTCAGTGCTCAGTGGTTCTGTTCTCCTGACCATCTGTCTCCCACTTCCCCAAAGCAGAGGGCAGCTCCCTGGGCCAGGCCCTTTGAGATGGGGTGTGGGACCAGCAACAGCGAGGGACCATGTCTGGCAGCCTGTCAGGGAGTTAGGGGAGCTCCAGCCAGCACCAGCAATCTCACGTGCACCCTCTGCTAACAATGTTCATTATTTTCAGTTGAGCACCATTTTGGTCATGGACTACACAAGGCACTTTATATGCTTATTCCTATTTTTTATGTTCAGCTTCTCTCCTTAAAAACAATGTTTAAAACCAATTCTGGGCCAGGCGTGGTGGCTCACGCCTGTAATCCCAGCACTTTGGGAGGCCAAGGCAGGTGGATCACCTGAGGTCAGGAGTTTGAGACCACCCTGGCCAACATGGCAAAACCCCGTCTTTACTAAAAATACAAAAATTAGCCAGGCTTGGTGGCAGGCACCTGTAATCCCAGCTACTCGGGAGGCTGAGGCAGGAGAATCGCTTGAACCCAGGAGGCGGAGGTTGCAGTGAGCCAAGATCACGCCCCTGCACTCCAGCCTGGGCGACAGAGCGTCTCAAAAGAAAAAAATTAATAAACAAAGAAAAAAAAACAAATTCTGTTTGCAAAAGTATTTTCTATACACTGTAGAAATTTGTGGGGGGTGGGGGGGTAAAGATGATAGAAAAAAAAATGTCCCATGCTTACTGGCAGAAATCATGTATTGACATTGGGTGAGGAGGGCACTTTTTTTTTTTCAGTCTATTTTTAATCTTCACAGCAAACTTGTGAGGTTCATTTCCATCAACCTGAGACTCACAGAAGCTAAGAAACTTGATACCGCTAGTAACCAGTGGACTTGATACCGCTAGTAACCGGTGGACATAGATGTGAACTGGATCTTTCTGACCTCGGGCAGGGCCGGGTAACAAAGGGAGGATAAATGCCCAGACAGTGTCCTCAGAGAGCTGAGAGCTGTAACTTGCTGCCCGGGCTTCTCACAGTGTTCAAGGACAAAATAAGGCTTTAAGAGAGAAGAGGGACAGACTGATTGCAGGGCAGCAGGAAGAGATGGTAGAGAAGGAAGAAGAGATGATTCGTGTGGAAAGAAGCTGGCTCGGTGGATGGATAAAAGAAGGGAAGGACAGATGGGTAAGAAGAAAGGGAGGATGGAGGGGATGGAGGAGGAAGCAATGGAAAAATGGGAAGGAAGGAGGTTGGATGGAAGGATAGATGCCTATTAGGAAGGAAATATGTGTGGATAGAGAGATGGAGGATAGGAAGTATGTTAGTCAAGGTTCTCCAGAGAAACTGAACCAATAGGATATATACAGATACACTAAGAGGAGGCCAGCCGGGCGCGGTGGCTCAAGCTTGTAATCCCAGCACTTTAGGAGGCCGAGGCGGGCGGATCACGAGGTCAGGAGATCAAGACCATCCTGGCTAACACAGTGAAACCCCGACTCTACTAAAAATACAAAAAAAAATTAGTTGGGCGTGATGATGTGCGCCTGTAGTCCCAGCTGCTGGGGAGGCTAAGGCAGGAGGATGGCGTGAACCCAGGAGGCAGAGCTTGCAGTGAGCTGAGATCGTGCCACTGCACTTCAGCCTGGGTGACAGAGCAAGACTCCGTCTCAAAATAAATAAATAAATAAATAAAAAGAGGCCAGCCATGGTGGCTCACACCTGTAATCTGAGCACTTTGGGAGGCCGAGGCGGATGGATCATTTGAGATCAGGAGTTCAAGACCAGCCTGGCCAACATGGTGAAACCCTGTCTCTACTAAAAATACAAAAGTTACCCGTGTGTGGTGGCACACACCTGTAGTCCCAGCTACTCAGGAGGCTGAGGCAGGAGAATTGCTTGAACTTGGGAAGCAGAGGTTGCAGTGAGCTGAGATCACGACACTGCACTCCAGCCTGGGTGACAGAGCAAGACTTTGTCTCAAAAAAAAAAAATTTATAATAAGAGGAGATTTATTATGGGAATTGGCTCATGCAATCACAGACACAAAAATGTCCCCCAGCATGCAGTCATGGGCTGGACAACCAGGAAAGCTTGTGGTGTGATTCTGTCTGAGTCTGAAGGCCCAAGGCCAGGGGAGCAGTGGTGTAACCCCCAGTCGGAGGCCACAGGCCCAACAATCAGAGGGGCCACTGATATAAGTCCCAGAGTCCAAATGCCGGAGAACAGGAAGCTCCAACGTCCAAGGACAGGAGAAGTTGATGTGCCAGCTCAGGAAGAGAGAATGTGAATGTGCCATTCCTCCTCCATTTTTTGTTCTCTTTGGGCCGTCAGTGGATTGGATGATGCCTGCCCACACTGGTGAGGACAGATCATCACCAAATCTGCCGATTAAAATGTTAATCTCTTCTGGAAAAATCCTCACAGATGGGCCCAGAAATAATGTTTTACTGTCTACCTGGGTATCCCTTAGTGCAGCTAAATTGACACATAAACTTAACCATCACAGGCCAGGCACTGTGGCTCACACCTGTAATCCCATCACTTTGGGAGGCCAAGGTGGGAAGATCCTTTGAGGATGAGGTAGGCAGATCACTTGAGCCTAGGAGTTCAAGACCAGCCTAGGCAACATAGGGAGACCTCGTCTCTACAAAAAAAAAAAAAAATTAAATTCGCTGGGTACGGTGGTGGGCACCTGTGGTCCCAGCTATCTGGGAGGCCAAGGTAGGAGGATGACTTGAGCCCAGGAGGTCAAGGCTGCAGTGAGCCATGATTGTTCCATTGAATTCCAGCCTCGGTGACAGAGCAACACCCTGTCTTAAAGAAAGAAAAAATTTAACCATCACAGAAGGCAGAAGAAAAGGCAGATGGGTGGATGAGATGGGTGGGTAGATAGTATAGAAGAAAAGCAGGACATCCAGGCAGGGAAGGAAGGGCTGGAGCGAAGGAGAAGCAAGGAAGGAAGGAAGGAGAGACAAGAAGGAAGGATGTGTAGAAAGGTGAAAGAGAAAAGAAGAATGGATGTATGGGAAGAATGGATGAGTAGGTTAGAAGGCTCACTGGCTAGATAAAAGGTGAGAAGTATAAATGAATAATAAGAAAGGAGGCATAGGAAGAAAAAAATATTGGTTAGAAAGGATGATTGAGAAGAAAGGGTGGTTGGGAAGGAAGGAAGGAAGGATGGATGGATGGATGGATGGATGGATGGGAAGGAAAGGAAGGATAAGAAGGCAGACAGGAAGGCTCTCTGGCTAGAAGAATGGCAGACAAACCACAATAATTGCTGAATGGGTAGGAATAAGACATTAGAAGAATAAAGGGAAAGACACAAAGATATTTAAAATGTTTTCATTAATTTTTTGCCTCCTCCCTGAATTTCTCCTGATTCTTCAGCCCCACATCCCAAGCCAGGGTGATCCTTCCTGCCTTTACACTCCCTCCACACTTTTTCTGCTCTCATATGTGGCCGTGGTCACTTTCTTTTGGTAGTTTGCATATTTCATTTACCCCAAACTTTCAGCTCCTGAAGGTCAGGATACAAGGAGGCCTCATCTCCGCATTCCCCTCAGCTCCCTTCCTGAAGCTTGATACCTAGTCAGTACCCAGTGGATGTTTCCTAAACATGTAAGTAATGACATCATGAAGAAGCCACATGTTTACCTTGACCACAAACACAGGGCAAAGGTGACTAGTGTGGTCAGAGATCCCTGCTGGCTGGGAATCAGGGAAGGCTGCATGGAAGAAGTGGCATTTTAGTTAGAACTTGAAAGGTGGTGTATTTAGTTTTCTCTGGCTGCCATATTCCTTGTCACATTGCCCTCTCCATCTTCAAGCCACTGGGCAAGGCTAGAAGGCCCTCAACAGACTATCGGTAGGAATGTGGAAGTTGAAGACTCAGAGTGCAGAAAGAAACAAGTAGCATTTTAGAGAAAAGCTAAATCCCCTCCAAGAATACCTCAATCATCGTGAAAAGCCTGTTAGTAGACGCACTAACACTCAAGGCACTGCTTCACAAGGTAAGGAACGTGTAATTGAAAACTTGAGAAAGGAAGAAACTTGTTCTGTACTGGCAGAAAGCTTAGCAGAATTGTGTCCTGCAGTCATATGGGACACAGAGCTTGTAAATGATGAATTTGAATGCTTATCCGAGAAGGTTTCCAAATAAAATGTGGAAGGCACGGCCTGGTTTCTTCCTGCCTCTTATAGTAAAATGCAAGAGGAGAGAGAGAAAATGAGGGAAGAACTTAAACAGAAAGGAACCAGGACTTGATGATTTGGGAGGTTCTCAACCTATGCAAAAAACAATAAAATTAAGAGATTGTAGCTGGGCACAGTGGCTCATGCCTGTAATCCCAGCACTTTGAGAGTCCGAGGCGAGCAGATCACCTGAGGTCAGGAGTTTGAGACCAGCCTGGCCAATGTGGGGAAACTCCGTCTCTACTAAAAATACAAAAATTAGCTGGGTGTGGTGGCGGGCACCTGTAATCCCAGCTACTCAGGAGGCTGAGGTGGGAGGATCACTTGAACCCAAGAGGCGGAGGTTGCAGTGAGCCAAGATCATGCCACTGCACTCCAGCCTGGGTGGGTGACAGAGCAAGACTCCATCTCAAAAAAAAAAAAAAAAAGAGATTGCTCCCAAAAGTGTGACATAGAGAAACAGCCAAGTATGTGATTATACCAAACTTCAGGAAGATAAAAGATCAAAGTACTCAGTCGCTCAAAAGGCTCTTTGAAGAGATTAAGATTATAACTCACAGTCCCCTTCAATCAAACCAGGGGACTTCTAGGAAGCTGAACAGCATTGTCCCTCAGCCATCTCAGCTGGAGCCAAAAGTAGAGAAGGGCTTATCTGAAAAAAGGATCTGTGGACCTGGCTTTTATCTAATAATGCAGTGGATTCCCCCATGACATCCATAGGAGACCCGTAAAGTTCCTGAGACGTTTACATCCACAGAAACACTGTTAGCTTGGATTAAATGGAACACAGAGAGTATGAAATCAAAGAAGGCTGTTGGACTCTCCAGTTTCTACTGTTGAGATGCAGACTGGTAAAACTACTTAGCTGCAAACACCTGCTACCTTTAGTGAAAAGGAAGGATATCTCAGACGGTGAAACCAGAAGCTCAAAGGGCAGTGCTAAGAGCGAAAGAGAATTCTTCCCAGGCCTTGAAACCTAATGGAGTTTTCTTGGCTGGATTTTCAAACTGCATTGGACCATGACCTGATTGTCCCTTTCATGTCCCCATGCTTGAGCCAGATTGTCTGCAACTGTTATCCTGTGCCTGTCCCACATTTTATGTTGGGAGCAGAAAACTTTAGTTTTGCTGGCCCACAGATAGAGAGAAACTGTACCCCGAGAGTTGTACTGACTGGACTATGCCCAGAGTCTATTTGACTCTGACTTAGATACTGTTGATTTGGGAATTTGAGTTGATGCTGTAATGAGATGAGACTTTGGGGGACATTGGGATGGAGTGAATGGATTTTGCATTTGAAAGAGATGTGGGTTGGGTAATCCCAGCCCACACCTGTAATCCCAGCACTTTGGGAGGCCGAGGCAGGCAGATCACCTGAGGTCGGCAGTTCGAGACCAGCCTGACCACCATGGAGAAACCCCATCTCTACTAAAAATACAAAATTAGCCAAGCATGGTAGCACATGCCTATAATCCCAGCTACTCGGGAGGCTGAGGCAGTAGAATCGCTTGAACCCGGGAGGCAGAGGTTGCGGTGAGCCGAGATCACGCCATTGCACTCCAGCCTGGGCAACAAGAGTGAAACTCCATCTAAAAAAAAAAAGAAAAAAGAAAGAGATGTGGATTTTGGGTGGGGGACAGAGGGAAGACCATGGTAGGCAGAATGATCCTCTAAAGGTGCTCTGCCCTAATCCCCAGAAGCTAAGAATATGTTAGATGTCAGTATTGCGTGGCAGTAGGAATCTTAATTAACGTTATAGACTGTTATGGTTTGAATGTCCCCTCTAAAACTCCTGTTGACATTTAATCATCATTGTGATTGCATTAAGAAGTGGCCCTGTTAAAAGGTGATTTAGTCCTTAAGAACGCTGCCCCCATGAATAGATTAAGGTCAGTCTTGCGGGAGTGTGTTTATCAAGAATGGATTGTTAAAAAGTGAGTTCTGGCCAGGGGCAGTGGCTTATGCCACTCAGCACTTTGCGGGGCCAAGACTTGAAGTCAGTTGTTTGAGACCAGCCTGGCCAACATGGTGAAAGTCTGTCTCTACTAAAAAATACAAAAAGTGTCCGGGAGTGGTGGCGGGCGCCTGTAATCCCAGCTGCTCAGGAGGCCGAAGCAGGAGGATCGCATGAATCCGGGAGGCAGAGGTTGCAGTGAGCTGAGATCGCCCCGTTGCACTCCAGCCTGGGTGATAGAGCAAGACTCTGTCTCAAAAAAAAAAAAAAAAGAGGAAAGAAAGAAGAAAGAAAGAGAAAGAAAGAAAAGAAAGAAAAGGAAGGAAGGAAGGAAGGAAGGAAGGAAGGAAGGAAGGAAAGAAAGAAAGAAAGAAAGAAAGAAAGAAAGAAAGAAAGAAAGAAAAGAAAGAAAGAAGAAAAAAAGAAAGAAAAAAGAAAGAAAGAAAAAGAAAGAAAAAGAAAGAAAGAAAGAAAGAAAGAAAGAAAGAAAGAAAGAAAGAAAGAAAGAAAAGAAAGAAAGAAAGAAAAGAAAAGAAAAGTGAGTTCTGCCCTCTCTTGCTGGCTTACTCTCACCCTCTCTTGCCCTTCCACCTGCCACCATGGGATGACACAGCACAAAGGCCCTCACCAGATGCCAGTGCCATGCTCTTGGACTTCCAAGTCTCCAGAAACATGAGCCAAATACACTTCTGTTCATTATAAATTACCCAGCCTGTGATATTCTGTAATAACAACACAAAATAGACTGAGACATAGATCTTCAAATAGTGAGGTTATCCTGGATAATCCAGATGGGCCCAATCTAATCCCATGAGCCTTTAAAACTTTCTCCAGATGGAGGCAGAAGAGAAGTGGCAGAAGGGGAAGTCAGAGAGATTTGAAGCATAAACAGGACTCCATGGTGCCGTTTCTGGTTTGACGATGGAGTGGTAACGTGATGAAAAATGTGGGTGCCTTCCGGAGCTGAGAGGCTCCCACTAACAATCGGCCAGGAAACAGGGACCACAGCCCTACAGCCACAAAGAACTAAGTTTTGCTGACAACCCAAGGGGGCTTGGAAGTGTCTTCTCCCCCATCGGTTCCAGATGTGAGACCCAGAGCGGAGGAACCAGCTGAGCCCACCTGGACTTCTGACCTAGAGAACTGTGAGATAATAAGTTTGTATCATTTTTAAGGCACTGTGTGTGTGGTAATTTGTTATGACAGCAATAGAAAATGAATCCAGATGGGCAGGATCTGCCAGGCCAGTGACATGTGGAGGGCACCCAGGCGGATGGGATGGCATGAGAGAAGGCAGGTCAGCAATGAGCTTGCCCAGGTCACCTCTCCTCTCTAAGCCTCAGTTTTCCTCTCTATGAAATGAGAGTAGTGATATCTCCCTCCCAGGGTCAGTGCAAGGCTGAAATAACAGATTATAAGGTGCTAGGTGCACAAGAAGTGTTTGAAACATGCTAGTTGCTTTTCCATTTCCAAGAGAGCTCTCTGGTCTTGGGGGATGGAGGCAGTGCGGCCCCTCGGGATTACTGACAGGTCCTGCTCTGTTTCTGCAGTGGAGCCGGCCCCACCTGTCCTGGTGCTCACCCAGACGGAGGAGATCCTGAGTGCCAATGCCACGTACCAGCTGCCCCCCTGCATGCCCCCACTGGATCTGAAGTATGAGGTGGCATTCTGGAAGGAGGGGGCCGGAAACAAGGTGGGAAGCTCCTTTCCTGCCCCCAGGCTAGGCCCGCTCCTCCACCCCTTCTTACTCAGGTTCTTCTCACCCTCCCAGCCTGCTCCTGCACCCCTCCTCCAGGAAGTCTTCCCTGTACACTCCTGACTTCTGGCAGTCAGCCCTAATAAAATCTGATCAAAGTATGATGACCTACAGGAGGCCTGCTTGCCAAGTCAACAGATTCAGTACAGAAAAACTGAAAAATACAGATAAGCTCTAAGAAGCAGACCAAAAGTACCCAGAGATGACCACACATCACTCTGGTGTATATCCAATTTCAGATTTGTTTTCTGTGTATGCATGTGTGTATAGCTGCATTTATTTATGGCAAGGGCTGGCAGACTTTCCCGAAGAAGGCCAGATAGTCGATATGTTTGGCTTCATGGGCCGTATGTTCGCTCAGGACTACTCAACGCTGCAGTTATAGCACAAAAGGAGCCGTAGCCTATACGTAAATGAATGGGCATCGCTGGGTTCCAGTAAAACTGTTTACAGGCCAGGTGCGGTGGCTCATGCCTGTAATCTCAGTACTTTGGGAGGCCGAGGTGGTGGGAGGATTACCTTAGCCCAGGAGTTCAAGACCAGCCTGGGGAACATGGTGAAACATTATCCCTACAAAAAAAAAAAAAGCTGGGTGTGGTGATGCATGCTTGTGGTCCCAGCTGCTTGGGATGCTGAGGCAGGAGGATCGCTCGAGCCCAGGAAGCAAGGCCACAGTGAGCCATGATCGCACCACTGCACTTTAGTCTGGGCAACAGAGTGAGACCTTGTCTCAAAAAAAACAAAAAATAAAACTTTTTACATAAACAAGTGGCCAACCAGACTTGGTCCCTGGGCCTCTGCTCTTGAATGTTCTTGCTTCCACTAAAGTAACATTCACACTCCCGATTTTTGCATACTCTGGGTTCTGGGGAATATAGATCCGAATCCAGCGTGGTTCCTGCCTTCAAGAACCTCACAAATATTCTAGACCAGCACTGCCCAATAGAAAGAAATATAATGCAAGCCACATGTGCAGTTTTAAGTGTTCCATGTTAAATTAAGTAAAAAGAGACAGGTAAATCGAATTTTAATAACAGATTTTACTTCATCCAATTGAATGGTATCATTTCAATGAGCAATTCTGATAGTGATTGAGATCTTTTACATTCTTTTTCACTACGTCTTTAAAATCTGATGTGTGTTTTGTACTTGGAACACTTCTCAGTGTGGACCAGATGCATTTCACATACTCAGTAGTCACGCGTGGCCAGTGCCTTCCATACCACACAGTGCAGCATCTGTAGAGGTTTCCTCCACTGCTGATAGACTAGGAGACCCCAAGATGGAAAGCCTGAAGAATCTGCTCCTCGAAGTAGGGACCTTAATGGGGTGCACGCCAGGGCGACCCCAAGTGGTAGGCTGCTTTTGAACCATGGCTATCCCTACCTCTAGACTCAGCTGAAAAGAACTCAGGTAGTCTTGGGAAGTGCTTCCTCAATGCTTAAACTTTAATGCAGGAAAAGAATAGAAAGTTCAGGCAAGGAGGGAGGATCACTTGAGGCTGGGAGTTCGAGACCAGCCTGGGCAACAGCAAGACCTTGCCTATACAAAAAATAATTTTAAAAAATTACCCAGGTATGGTGGTGTGGATCTGTAGTCCCTAGTTACTTGGAGAGCTGAGGTAGGAGGATCGCTTGAGCCCAGGAGTTTGAGGCTGCAGTGAGCTGTGATCACACCACTGCACTTTGGCCTGGGTGACAGAACCAAACCCTATCCCCTACAAAAAAACAAAAAAAAAAAACAAAAAAAAAACACCCTACCATGTCTGCCAACCCCACTCTGTCCTGGCTGTGTGAAACCAGTCCCCACAGCAGCTCTGCCACTCTCTGCTTCTTTTCCAAACAGACCCTATTTCCAGTCACTCCCCATGGCCAGCCAGTCCAGATCACTCTCCAGCCAGCTGCCAGCGAACACCACTGCCTCAGTGCCAGAACCATCTACACGTTCAGTGTCCCGAAATACAGCAAGTTCTCTAAGCCCACCTGCTTCTTGCTGGAGGTCCCAGGTGGGTATCAAGTGGTGCAGAAAGAGAAACTTTCCCTCTGGGCCTTGGGAGCTTCGTGACACAGTGGTTAAGAACATGAGCCTAGAGATAGACTCGCCTGGATTAAAACCACACTCATTGTGTGTCTTTGGGCAGCTTACATAATGCCCCAAACCTTGGTTTGCACAGTCTGCAGGATGGGTTTATTCTTGTGAGGATTAAATAGGGTCATGTATGTGAAGCACTCGGCACAGGTGCAGTTGTAGACAAGAGCCATTGTTGTTTCTCTCATTGTTATTTTTCCTTCCTTAGAAGCCAACTGGGCTTTCCTGGTGCTGCCATCGCTTCTGATACTGCTGTTAGTAATTGCCGCAGGGGGTGTGATCTGGAAGACCCTCATGGGGAACCCCTGGTTTCAGCGGGCAAAGATGCCACGGGCCCTGGTATAGCAAATCTGGGGGTGTGCAGCAGGTGGGGAGGGGTTGAGAGTAAGGGAGTGGGGCTGGAGCTATGAGTTGTTCAGATAGAATATCAAGATGGTCCAGACTCTTGGACCAAAACATCTATCTTTGTGTCTGAATTTCCACCATTAGTAATGCATTCATTTAGTCCTGAATAAAATGGCAAACAGGCCCTGGAGGGAGCAGTGCCTTAAGTTCCTTTGAGATAAATAACTTCACCTCTGCTAAGGATGTGTCAGCTGCTGAGAGCAGAGCCCCTGGCCTTGGACCTCAGGAGAGACACTCAAAAGGGGAGGAGAGGAGGCACCAAAGGGGACATCTTAAAAGAGTTCCAATTTTTAGTTCACACTTTAACCCAGGATAAGCTGTGTCCTGGCTGACCTTGGAGTTTCTTCCCTGGTCTGCTGGGTCTCTCCCTTAGAACCTAGGGGCGAGCTGGGGCAGGGGAAGCCCAGGAGGTGATATAGGTCGGCCCTGTTCAGATGAGGGCTGGCAGGGGCAGCTTGGGCATATGCGAGGCTCCGATGGGCATGGGGGCTTTGAGGATGGATTCTGAGTGTCCCTGCATCGTGGCAGGGTGGCAAAGGGAGCATTTCCAAATTTCCTGGCTCCAGGATCTGTGGGAGAATCCCACTAACTGTCAGGGTGACAACCTCGGGTAGACATGTCTGTGCCCTGCCCCGTGCCCTCAGCCTTCCTGTTAAGAGCACACCAGCTGGATTTGCAACTCCCAGCGCCTGCACCCAATGGGCTTTCTCTGGCCTCTGGAGCCCACATTGCCCCTGCATGTGGCAGGCTGCAAGTGTCACAGCCACCAGCTCTTCCATTCCTCAACAATGACTGTGGGTAAATAGCCCAGGAGCGTCCCCCTCCTGGGATGGTTCTGAGGTGCGTGTGCCCAGTGGCTCCCTGAGTTGCCAGCAGGATTAAGTGCCAGTAGCCCTAGTGGTCAGCTGCTTGATAACACCCTGCTTCCTGGCTGCTCCCCCAGTCCCATCTGGTGTGTTCTGGGATCATCTCCCAAAGAAACTGCTTACACTTGAAGCCTTGTCTGAGGTCTGTTTCTAGGGGAATTCAGATGATGATAATTATGCTTCAGGAAAGCCTAAATTTTCTGCTTTTCTCTCCCCTACCCAAATCAGGACTTTTCTGGACACACACACCCTGTGGCAACCTTTCAGCCCAGCAGACCAGAGTCCGTGAATGACTTGTTCCTCTGTCCCCAAAAGGAACTGACCAGAGGGGTCAGGCCGACGCCTCGAGTCAGGGCCCCAGCCACCCAACAGACAAGATGGAAGAAGGACCTTGCAGAGGACGAAGAGGAGGAGGATGAGGAGGACACAGAAGATGGCGTCAGCTTCCAGCCCTACATTGAACCACCTTCTTTCCTGGGGCAAGAGCACCAGGCTCCAGGGCACTCGGAGGCTGGTGGGGTGGACTCAGGGAGGCCCAGGGCTCCTCTGGTCCCAAGCGAAGGCTCCTCTGCTTGGGATTCTTCAGACAGAAGCTGGGCCAGCACTGTGGACTCCTCCTGGGACAGGGCTGGGTCCTCTGGCTATTTGGCTGAGAAGGGGCCAGGCCAAGGGCCGGGTGGGGATGGGCACCAAGAATCTCTCCCACCACCTGAATTCTCCAAGGACTCGGGTTTCCTGGAAGAGCTCCCAGAAGATAACCTCTCCTCCTGGGCCACCTGGGGCACCTTACCACCGGAGCCGAATCTGGTCCCTGGGGGACCCCCAGTTTCTCTTCAGACACTGACCTTCTGCTGGGAAAGCAGCCCTGAGGAGGAAGAGGAGGCGAGGGAATCAGAAATTGAGGACAGCGATGCGGGCAGCTGGGGGGCTGAGAGCACCCAGAGGACCGAGGACAGGGGCCGGACATTGGGGCATTACATGGCCAGGTGAGCTGTCCCCCGACATCCCACCGAATCTGATGCTGCTGCTGCCTTTGCAAGGACTACTGGGCTTCCCAAGAAACTCAAGAGCCTCCGTACCTCCCCTGGGCGGCGGAGGGGCATTGCACTTCCGGGAAGTCCACCTAGCGGCTGTTTGCCTGTCGGGCTGAGCAACAAGATGCCCCTCCCTCCTGTGACCCGCCCTCTTTAGGCTGAGCTATAAGAGGGGTGGACACAGGGTGGGCTGAGGTCAGAGGTTGGTGGGGTGTCATCACCCCCATTGTCCCTAGGGTGACAGGCCAGGGGGAAAAATTATCCCCGGACAACATGAAACAGGTGAGGTCAGGTCACTGCGGACATCAAGGGCGGACACCACCAAGGGGCCCTCTGGAACTTGAGACCACTGGAGGCACACCTGCTATACCTCATGCCTTTCCCAGCAGCCACTGAACTCCCCCATCCCAGGGCTCAGCCTCCTGATTCATGGGTCCCCTAGTTAGGCCCAGATAAAAATCCAGTTGGCTGAGGGTTTTGGATGGGAAGGGAAGGGTGGCTGTCCTCAAATCCTGGTCTTTGGAGTCATGGCACTGTACGGTTTTAGTGTCAGACAGACCGGGGTTCAAATCCCAGCTCTGCTGTTCACTGGTTGTATGATCTTGGGGAAGACATCTTCCTTCTCTGCCTCGGCTTCCTCATCTGCAGCTACGCCTGGGTGTGGTGAGGGTTCTAGGGGATCTCAGATGTGTGTAGCACGGAGCCTGCTGTGTCCTGGGTGCTCTCTACGTGGTGGCCGGTAGAATTCTCCATCTATCCAGGCTCCAGGAGACCCCTGGGCATCTCCCACCTGTGGCCCCTAAACCCAGAGTGACTGAGAGCACTTAACATTCAGCTTGTCTCATCCCCAGTCTACCTCCTTCCTTCTACCCTCACTGCCTCCCAGTCAGGAGAGTGAGCTCTCAGAAGCCAGAGCCCCACCCAAGGGGACCCTGGTCTCTCCGCCTTCACCTAGCAATGGGAACCCTGCTTCCCAGGGGAGGAACCAACTGCTCCACCTTCTAGGGACCCAGTTTGTTGGAGTAGGACAGTAACATGGCAGGAATCGGACTTCTGGGCCTGTAATCCCAGTTTGGATGGCACGTTAGACTCTTGGTTGACCGTTGTGGTCCTTAGAAGTCCCATTCTCCCTTCCAGTTATGAGAAACCAATGCCTTCTAGATTCAGGTGACTATCCTTACCTGGGGGTGCTGATGCATCCTCAGTTAACCTACACCCACCTGAATATAGATGAGCGTAGCTGAGTTTTCACCCGTAGGACCGAAGTGTTTTGTGGTGGAGTATCTGAACAACCTTGGCTCTGTGGCCATTCAACCTGCCAGGACTAACATTTCTGGATTTGTGAAGAAGGGATCTTCAAAGCCATTGAACCCACAGAGCTGTGTTGCTTTAAAGCCACCACAAGGGTACAGCATTAAATGGCAGAACTGGAAAAGCTTCTTAGGGCATCTCATCCAGGGATTCTCAAACCATGTCCCCCAGAGGCCTTGGGCTGCAGTTGCAGGGGGCGCCATGGGGCTATAGGAGCCTCCCACTTTCACCAGAGCAGCCTCACTGTGCCCTGATTCACACACTGTGGCTTTCCACGTGAGGTTTTGTTTAGAGGGATCCACTACTCAAGAAAAAGTTAGCAAACCACTCCTTTTGTTGCAAAGGAGCTGAGGTCAAGGGTGGCAAAGGCACTTGTCCAAGGTCGCCCAGCAGTGCTGCTCTGATGACTTGTGCACATCCCCAAGGGTAAGAGCTTCGATCTCTGCACAGCCGGGCCAACCTCTGACCCCTTGTCCATGTCAGTAAAATATGAAGGTCACAGCCAGGATTTCTAAGGGTCAGGAGGCCTTCACCGCTGCTGGGGCACACACACACACATGCATACACACATACGACACACACCTGTGTCTCCCCAGGGGTTTTCCCTGCAGTGAGGCTTGTCCAGATGATTGAGCCCAGGAGAGGAAGAACAAACAAACTACGGAGCTGGGGAGGGCTGTGGCTTGGGGCCAGCTCCCAGGGAAATTCCCAGACCTGTACCGATGTTCTCTCTGGCACCAGCCGAGCTGCTTCGTGGAGGTAACTTCAAAAAAGTAAAAGCTATCATCAGCATCATCTTAGACTTGTATGAAATAACCACTCCGTTTCTATTCTTAAACCTTACCATTTTTGTTTTGTTTTGTTTTTTTGAGTCGGAGTTTTGTTCTTTTTGCCTAGGCTGGAGTGCAGTGGTACAATCTCGGCTCACTGCAACCTCCACCTCCCGGGTTCAAGTGATTCTCCTGCCTCAGCCTCCCAAGTAGCTGGGATTACAGGCACCCGCCACCACACCTGGCTAATTTTTTTGTATTTTTAGTAGAGACGGGGTTTCACCATGTTGGCCAGGCTGGTCTCGAACTCCTGACCTCAGGTGATCCGCCCGCCTCGGCCTCCCAAAGTGCTGGGATTACAGGCGTGAGCCACCGCGCCCAGCCAAACCTTACTATTTTTTTAAAGAATTTTTTCCAGAGTTTAATTTCTGACATAGCTTAAGTTTTCCAGTAACTCTAAACTCCATCTCCTTTATCGTCATTAAGTCATTCACAAAAAGCCAGGAGAAGCATTTGGAAAGGGCATGATAATCAGTATAATAATTTGCCTTGTGTGGTCAGCACTTAACTGTTTACAAAGCCCTTTCACGTGCACAGCAGGTGGGAACTGCGCGGTGTGGGCTGGGCCTGCGCTGGAAGCATATCCCGTGAAAAGTGTTAGTGCCTTAGGTGAAAGCAACATGTATCCCTTTAGACTACTAACGGTATATGTTGTTCTTATGTATTTGTATTTATTTCTATTTTTTCTATGTTTATGTCATATTTAAACGATATCCTACTGCTTGTTGGTATTACCCTAAACTGTTTAAATAAAGAGCTCTATTTTTAAAGAAAAAAGGTACAATTGAATGGAAAAGCGTATGCTCTTATCTTTTTTTTTTTGAGACAGGATCTCACTCTGTCATGCACGCATGCCCCACCAGGCCTGGTTAATTTTTTTGTTTTTGTAGAGATGGAATCTCCTATGTTGCCCAGGCTGGTCTCAAACTCCTGGGCTCAAGCAATCCTTCCCGCCTCGGCCTCCCAAAGTGTTGGTTGGGATTATAGGTGTGAGTGACCGTTTCTGGCCTATGCTCTTATTTTTCAAAGGCTCCTCACCTCTCCTCTGGGAAACCTAGCTGTTAAGGCTACAAGGGTCAGCCAGGCAGGGTGGCTGATACCTGTAATCCCAGCACTTTGGGAGGCCGAGGCGGGCAGATCACGAGGTCAGGAGATCGAGACCGTCCTGGCTAACATGGTGAAACCCTGTCTCTACTAAAAATACAAAAAATTAGCCGAGGGTGGTGGCGGGCGACTGTAGTCCCAGCTACTTGGGAGGCTGAAGCAGGAGAATGGCATGAACCCGGGAGGTGGAGCTTGCAGTGAGCCAAGATCACACCACTGCACTCCACCCTGGGCAACAGAGCCAGACTCAGTCTCAGAAAAAAAAAAAAAAAAGACTACAAGGGTCTTGAGTCGGGTCCCCAGAAGCAAACCCAGAGAAAAGGTAGAAAGGTAGAAAGCAGTGCAGTGATCCAGGTAACGCCAGGAGGGGAGTGTGGAGGCAAGATGGGGCGGAGGGTAGGGGAGGAGGGGAGTGTGGAGGCAAGATGGGGAGGAGGGTAGGGGAGGAGGGCAGCCAGGCAAAGTGTGTCATCAACAGGTCCCTGCTGTGGGCAGCTGGACCTCAGTGCCCCTGGAGAGCTCTGGAAGTCAATGTAGGATGCAATTCAGATTTGGTCCCACTGCCAGGGGCAGGAGCCAGGGAGTCTAGCTACTCCCTCCCATCAGTCCAGTGTGGAGGCCGTTCCCTGAGGCAGAGTTGCAGGTACTTGCAGTTGGAATCCACCAAGCTGAGTGCACAAGAAAGGGGAGTGCCATGGGGCTGAGGGCAGGGTCCCCAGCCAATATCCCTTGTTGTAGTGAGGCTGGAGCTGACAGCTCACCCAGCTGCAACTATGGTCCATGGAAGGATATGGAACAGCACCTGTGCGCCTAGCTTTGCATTGCCAAACTCATTCCAGCAGCTCTCCATTAGCAAGGGTCTCCCAGTTTCCAACAACTCTCTCAAGGCCACCTGGTGACTGTCTTAGCACTGTGCCCGCAGTTGTCACCTCTTATTGGTGCCAGGGCAGGCGCTAGACCCAAGCCTAGCTGATCTGACAAGTCCCTCTCCCTGGAATTCAGTAGTCTCCCTGGCTGGCTGGGCCTGGAGCAGGTACCTTCCAATCTGCCATGGCCACATTTCCCAGTCTGAGGAACAGTCTGCAGACAAGACAAGAAAGCAGCCACTGCCACGTGGGCTGCCGAGACAAGAAACGGCAACCCCTGCTTCTGGTCCCTTCCCCCAGGTGCAGCTGCACCCCAGCCTCGACTTCATCCCACTTTTAAAAATATTTTTTTCTAGATAGACAGAGTCTCTCTCTGTCACCCAGGCTAGAGTGCAGTGGCGTGATCTCAGCATCTCAGCTCACTGCAACCTCCACCCCCCAGGTTCAAGTGATTCTTGTGCCTCAGCCACCCAAGAAGCTGGGATTACAGCTGTGCACCATCACATTCTGCTAATTTTGGTTTGGTTTTTTGTTTTGTTTTGTTTGTTTTTTGTTGTTGTTTTGTTTTGTTTTGTTTTTTTTGAGATGGAGTCTCGCTGTGTCTCCAGGCTGTAGTGCAATGGCGTGATCTTTGCTCACTGCAACCTCCTCCTCCCGGGTTCAAGCAATTCTCCTGCCGCAGCCTCCTGAGTAGCTGGAATTACAGATGCTCGCCACCATGCCCAGCTAATTTTTGTATTTTTAGTAGAGACGGAGTTTTGCCATGTTGGTTTTTTGTTGTTTTTTTTTTCAGTAGAGACAGGGTTTCGTCATGTTGCCCAGGCTGGTCTCGAACTCCCGGCCTCAAGTGATCCACCTGCCTCGGCCTTTGAAAGTGCTAGGATTACAGGAGTGAGCCACTGTGCCCAGCTAGTTTTTGTATTTTTAGTAGAGACAGGTTTTCGCCATGTTGGCCAACCTGGTCACTCCCCTCCCAAAGTGCTGGGATTACAGACATGAGGCATCATGCCCGGCCCCTTGCAACCTACATACAAGTCCATGAAAGAAACCAGAATGTGTTACCCCCAAATATGCCTCTTTGACACGATAATTTTGAATATTTTTTAGCTAAGGTAGTTAAAAAGCAGCAAACAGAGGAAGAGCTCCCCTCTTTCCGCCGAAAGGCAGGTTATAAATTCTTTACTGGAGACAACTTTTACAAACCTTATGCCATCAGTTTACTCCCATGCACTTACCTTCTCAGAGGTCCCTCCTTTGGGAGCCTAAACCTGCTTTCCTTTGTCTTGCCACTTCTCTAAAATGTATTGTGTGTTTTTTTTTTCCTGTTCCCGTTGTGGGATATGATGAGGTTTCTCTTCAAATAATCTGATCCATCTTTTATTCTTTAATTCATAGTACCCCTTTTTCTCCTTTTTGCCTTTGTTAGATGCCCAGGCACACCACAGTACCAGGGGTTATCAGTACCAGCTCACATTCCTTTCCTTATTTGGAAAGAAGACTAACTTTCTAGCTCATGACAGACACCCCTTCCCCGCCCTCTCCAATTTCTTTTACGTGCCCACCTTATGTAAAAAAATTCAAATGTTTAGCCAACCGGGATTCGTTTAGATTGTACGACCGGACCCCGGCCAATGGGGAAAGAGTACAGGGGCAGGATTTGCGTCAGAATTAAAGGCTCTCTTGCCCTTTGTTCAGGTGTGCTCTCATGGCGACTGGCCAAGGAGGCACCCGTCTGCGCAGAAGTAAAATTACTTTGCTAAGAATCCTTTGTTCGAGTGTTCAATTTCCTTAGGATTTTGAGCGTTATTCCTGACAGCGTTTTGTCAGGATAAAATTTATTGTTCTTTGTTGAAGATGCTCTCTAAGCCAGAGTCATAAGCCACTGCACCATCACCTTTCTTTTGAGGTTTCTCCCTCGTGATGTGTGCTGCACGTATTACAGACTTGCTTGCTTTTCTCTTGGTAATCTGTCTTTTGTTACAGGGCGATCTGTCTCTACTATGAAGGAGTGAGAAATTATGTTTCCTCCCCCACCCCAGCATTTAAGCCAGGGCCTTCTATTACTTGTAACCAAATGTCCTTGCTAATTCACAAAGACAAGGAGACAGTGAATCCACCTCCCGGGTTCAAACGCTTCTCCTGCCTCAGCCTCCCGAGTAGATGGGATTACAGACACCCGCCACCATGCCCGCTTGTGGCCAGCTTCGGGTATCTGGTCCTTTCCAGGAAACAGGGAAGGACGTCCTCTCCAGGTGACCCGCCCGCCCTCCTCCTCCTCCTACTGCTGGGTCGCCGCCCTTGAGCTTCTCCGAACCTGTCTGCTGCCACCTCCTGGACGGTGGTGGTATGTCAGGGCGGCTGGGCGCGGTCTTACCCGAACCGAGCTCAGGGAACCTGGAGAGGGGAGGGCTGGGGTAATGGACGCCCTGAAAACTTCCTTTAGGAAAGGGGTTGCTTTTCCTCTTGGCACCAGCACCTGGCACAGAGTGGAAGCTTGGGATTGAGTAAGTGAATGAAAGAATAAGTGAGTGAATTGGCGTATGAATTGGAGTCAGTAAGTGGACGGCTGTGACTGACTTACATATAAGGTTGCAGGAGCTCTCGCATGCGATGATACCATCCTGATCCCAAATTCCCGTTGCCCGTCGGTGCCCGTCCTCCCTCGCCCAGCATCTGCTCTGAGGGGGCACTGGTGCTGCTCAGCGAGCATAGTGATGTTGGAGGGAGTACGCGGGAGACAGAACAGGACCTTAACACTTGGTCTGGGACTTATTATTCTGTAATTGATTGTTTCCCATGTGATTTAGGTTTTGATCAATGGCTGCCTGCGCATCTTCCCTGAGCTCATTCCTGTGTGCATAAAGTGGGGCTGAAGTAATGAGGGTTGGGGGTGTTTTTTCTAGAAAACAGACTAGAAGTTATATCTAAATGCGTGAGTCAGCTCCATGAGTCAGTTCCTCAAGAGATACTGGTTGACACCAGGACCGGTTCCAGCCCTGGGAGCCCCACCCTTGGCGTGTGACGATACATGACATGGAGGTGTGATGGCTTTATATAAGCTGAGTCTTTTTATTTCCCCCAACTGCTTATTTAAGTGGATGAAGAGGATAAGGTCACGAGGAGTGCCCTGTCCTGGTGGACAAAACCATCAGCATATGGCGAGAGGCCCCTCTCTAGGAGGGCGGTGCCTCCAGGGTGGGACATATCCCACCCCACTCTGAGTCTGTTTCTCCAGGTGCTTAGTGGACCATCTGGGAAGCCAGAGTCCAGTAGGAGCCTGGAGCCCCCACACTCCCATCTCTGAGCTCCAGGCCCTTTCATGAAAGCCCCTGCTTCTAAGTAACTCTAACCCAGCCTGGACGCCTAACCTGCAGGATGCAATGCCGTTACTTTCTCCAGCCCTGGAATCGGGCCTCAGAAATGATGGCCAACTCAAACTTCTTTTTTTTTTCCCGAGACGGAGTATTGCTCTGTCATCCAGGCTGGAGTACAGTGGTACAATCTTGGCTCTCTGCAACCTCCGCCTCCCTGTTCAAATGATTGTCCTGCCTCAGCTGCCCAAGTAGCTGGGATTACAGGTGACTGCCACCACGCCCGGCTAATTTTTGTATTTTTAGTACAGATGAGTTTTTGCCATGTTGGCCAGACTGGTCTTGAACTCCTGACCTCAGGTGATCCGCCCACCTTGGCCTCCCAAAGTGCTGGGATTACAGGCGTGAGCCACCACACCCAGACTCAAACTTCTAAGGGAATGTTATCATTGCCCTCATGCCCACCTCCCTCCATCCCCACACCTGCACACCAGCAGTCTAGGTTTTTTTTTCTTTTTTCTTTTCTTTCTTTCTTTTTTTTTTTTTTTAAGGCACAGTCTCCCTCTGTCCCCAGGCTGAAGTGCAGTGGCATGCAATCTTGGCTCACTGCAACCTCTGTCTCCCGGGTTCAAGCTATCCTCCTGCCTGAGTAGCTGGGACTACAGGTGTGCACCACCACGCCCAGTGTATTTTTAGTAGAGAAGCGGTTTCACCATGTTGGCCAGGATGGTCTTCATCTCTTGACCTCGTGATTCGCCCGCCTCTGCCTCCCAAAGTGCTGGGATTACAGGCGTGAGCCACTGCGCCCGGCCTGCAAAGGTTTTTAAGGGAACTCATTGGTCCTTGGGTTCCTCATTTTGTAACAGAGGATGCTTGCTGCGTGAGACCTCCTTCTCAGAAACGGTCCAGAGACAGCAACCCAGCAACACTGAGGAGTAGAGACTTATTTCCATTTCTAGATGAGGAAGCTGAGGACGAGAGGCTAAGGGACCCTCACACAGCAGGGAAGTGGCAGAGCTAGAATTCAGACCGGGTCTGTCTACTCAAAGCCCATGTTCCATTCACTTCCCTTGGCTCCTGTGGGGGCCTATGAAAGTGCTCCCCCATCCTGGCTGGAAATGCATGATCTTCTTAATGTTTTTATGAAGAAGCATGGCCTTATACATGCCTTATAGGCATGTAATAAGCTTCTGGAACTTCAAACTCCCAAGAGAGAGCTGAAATTATAAGTAGAGTCAGGAAATTCTACAATGACTTTATGTTTGTGTGAATGACATTGGTCATGAAGGGAATTCTGGGATGTCAGGGGAGGTTTCCAACCCCAAAGTGACATGGAAGCAGAGGCCATGCAAGCTGCAGAGGCCCTTAGGAGACTTCTAGACCAAGACTCCTTTACAGACAGAGAAACTGAGACCTCAAGAGGGGACAAGAACTATTCATAGTCACCTGAAGTCAGGTGCAAGGTTGTGACCAGACCCAGACTCCGGACCTGGGCCATGTACTCAATGTCCCTGATTGACACAGCCCAGGCCTTGGAGTCAGATGGGCTCTCAGGCTTCGTTCCTTGCTCCTGCTCTCCAGGAATGAGCAGGAACCCCTCTAGGACCTGCCCCTGCAGAGTCATCAACCACGGAGACAGCACTCCACACTCCCTGAAGACTTCCGGGAAACAGCCCACTGCCTTTTGATGTTGTGCTTCTGTTATTCCTGGGTGTTGAGAGAAGGGACAGGAGCAGATCACATTCCCGAGTAGTTCATTGTAAAATGTGCTTTTTCTATAGCTTGGGGATGTTCCCTACAGTCTTAAAGCCCTGGCCAGCTTTCTCCGGCACACTCATTCATTCAGCAAATCTTACGAAGTACCTGCTCTGTGCCAGCTCCTACTAGACACTGAGATACCCAGGAGAGCGAGCTCCAGGCCTTGTCCCTGTAGTCAGTGCCATGGGGAATGGGAAAGCACCATGCAATGCATACTAGGAGATGGGAACACAGAGCTGGTGTTCCCAACCCAACCAAGGGAGCAGCTCACACAGGGGAAGCTTCCTGGTGGAAGTGAATTTAAGCAGAGGCCTGAAGAATGAATCGGAGTGAGACAGGAAAGTGGAGGTGGAAAGGGATTCTCAGAGGCAAGACAGTGCATGGGTGCACTGGAGAAATTTGTCAGAAAACAAGTGCTTTTCCTGGAGGTCTGAGAATCAGCAAGGCGAAACTGCTGCTCTGAAGGTCAACGCTGTAAGTCGATGTTGGATACCTGCTCTACATTCAGCCATGTGGAGGGTACAGAGGAATACCAGCGGGCTCTTTGCAATCAGAATGCTTGACGAGCACCATCCAACTTTGGAGCCCAGAGAACGAGGTTATCTGGGGAACCTCTGCCACTGAAGGCAGCTTCGTTGTGAACACCTCCAGCAGCCAAGACCTTTCTACCTCTCAAGGCAGCCACACCATCATAGCGAGAGTGATTTCCTTAAATTGAAAAAATGGCCTCTCTAATATGTCTCCCCCTGACCACCCTAGTTTTCCTTTTAGAGGTAGTTATACAAAAAAGGTCTAGAGCCTTCTCCATGCAATAGCCCCTCAAATATTTGAAGACGGTGCTCATGTTTCACCTCCACTCCAACTCGAATCTCTCCTGTTCATTCTTTTGTTTGTTTGTTTGTTTGGAGGCAGAGTCTTGCTCTGTCACCCAGGCCAGAGTGCAGTGGCTCAGTCTCGGCTCACTGCAACCTCCGCCTCCCAGATTCAAGCAATTCTCCTGCCTCAGCCTCCCGAGTAACTGAGATTATAGGCATTCGCCACCATGCCCAGCCTTTTTTGTTTTGTTTTGTTTTTTTGTTTTTTTAGTAGAGACGGGGTTTTGCCATGTGGCCCAGGCTGGTCTCGAACTCCTGACCTCAGGCAATGCGCCCACCTCGGCCTCCCAAAGTTCTAGGATTACAGGCATGAGCCACCGAGCCTGGCCTGTTTGTTTTTGAGATGGAGTCTCACTCATTCTGTCGCCCAGGCTGGAGTGCAGTGGCACGATCTTGGCTCACTGCAACCTCCGCCGGGAGTCTAGGGACCCTAGACTCCCTGCTTCTCCTGCCTCATTCTTCCAGATTCTTCCTCATTCTTCCTGATTCTCCCTCATTCTTCCTGATTCTCCTGCCTCAGCCTCCCGAGAAGATGGGACTACAGGTGTGCATCATCATGCCTGGCTAATTTTTGTATTTTTAGTAGAGACAAGGTTTCACCATGTTGGCCAGGCTGGTCTCGAACTCTTGGCCTCAAGTGATCAGCCCATCTCAGCCTCCCAAAGTACTGGAATTACAGGCATGAGCCATGGCGCCTGGCCTCCTTTCCATTCTTGAACATGTAACACAGCTGAAGTATCATAGTGGACAATGCCAAAATGCAGGCCAGACCACATATTCTGGAAGGACTTTGTTTTTAAGTTCGTTTGTTTTTTGAGACAAGGTGTCACTCTGTTGCCCAGGCTGAGTGCTGTGGTGCAGTCATGGCTCACCGCAGCCTTGATCTCCTGGGCTCAAGCAATTCCCTGCCTCAGGCTCCCAAGTAGCTGGGACTACAGGCATGTGCCACCACACCTGGCTAATTTTTTATTATTTATAGAGACAGTGTCTCACTATGTTGCCCAGGCTGGCTTTAAACTCCTGGACTCAAGCGATACTCCCTCCTTGGCCTTCCAAAATGCCGGGATTACAGGCATGAGCCACGGTGCCTGGCCTCTGGAAGGACTTTCAAAGTGAGATGTTATGGGCTGGAGTTATCAAGAAGGGCCATATCGCAGAAGAAAACTGTCTTGGTGAGATTCGAGGAAAAGGGAATTGGCTAAGGGAGTGGAAATGGCATTCCAGGAGGAGGATAGAGCCCCAACAAAGGCTTGTCTTTAATGCCGATTTGTTATGTTTAGTAACCTTGCTTTCCCTTAATATAAATTAGTGTATTTCCTATATTAACTTTAGGAAATGCAGATAAGCAAAGGGAAGAAAAGAAAAATCACCTACAATTCCACTACCACCCAGAGATAACGCCCCTAGTGTTTTCATCTATATCCATGAAGACACGCAGTTTGCTCTGCGTGTGCAGGTGTGCGTTTTAGCCAGGGTGGTACTGTACATAGGTTATGTTATGCCTCTTTTCACTTGAAAAAATATGATGAGTCTTTACCAGGTCACGAAACATTTTTCTCCAGCATTATTTTGGAAGCTGCATTTGTCTTGCTTTGGGTGGACATACCATTATTCTTTTAACCAAACCTCTATTGTCAGACATGGAGGTTGTTTTCATTTTTTTCTCCTTTTTTTTTTTTTTTTTTTTTTTTTTGAGACGGAGTCTCGCTCTGTCGCCCAGGCAGGAGTGCAATGGTGCGGTCTCGGTTCACTGCAACTTCCACATCCTGGGCTCAAGCAATTCTCCTGCTTCAGCCTCCCGAGCAGCTGGGATTACAGGTGCCCGCCACCATGTCCGGCTAATTTTTGTATTTTTAGTAGAGACAGGGTTTCGCCATGCTGCCCAGGCTGGTCTCGAACTCCTGATCTCAGGTGATCTGCCCACCTTGGCCTCCCAAAGTGCGAGATTACAGGCATGAGCCACCACGCCCCACCTATTTTTTTCTTAAACTGTTAGAAATGAAGTCTGGGTGTTCCCACATTCCTTAGCAATCCAGGTGTCTTCCTTCCCGTTAATTCCTACATAACCACAGGCCCTCGAAACTACAGGATGCCCTTTTCCTCCATCAAGTTCCTTCTTCCAGTGCTTCTGAGAGGCCCCAAGGAACACTTTCGTGTTCCACAGACCTGTTGGGGCTGCGTCTTGTCCTCTCGGCCAGCCACTTGGGACCAAAGCCTGCTCTTCTCCCTAAGCGTCCCTTGTAACCTGTTTTTCTCGCTGTAGCTTCCCCACACTGCCTTGTCATCAAAGTCATCAAAAACCCTCTATCCATCATGGTTCATTCAGTAGCACAGAAACCTCTCCAGTCTTTCAGACCAAGGGACTTTAATGTAAAGGAGCTCGTCACCCAGAGGATGAAGGAGCTGGGACACTAATCAGGACAGACAGTTCAGAGATTTCCCCAAAGCAGGAAGCTGTGCCATCCCACCAACTGAAAGGAAAGATGAGGGGAGAAGGTGTTGCCAGAGCCAGGAGCTGGCCTCCAAACAGGAACAAGAAAGACATAAGGGGTTGCCTGGCTGATGGACTGTCCAGAGGGAGCCAGAACTGCAGAGGGATATGGCCATTGCTGGGGAAGCCACTCAAACAGAAAACGAGGGGAGAAATGCTCTGATCTCTGCCTCCCCAGTCTTCCCCCAGGGGCTAAACCTATCAGAAAGCAGTTGATAAAGGAGTCTAGAAAATGTAGTTTCCTGCAGTTTCAGGAAATGACTGGCATGGGCCCTACCTTAATTCCTCCAAAGCACAGCTTAGATTTGGCTGTTTTGTCAAACAAACTTTAGCAATCAGGGCTGATAACAATTACAATTCAGGAAAGAAAAACTTAAACACCGATCTCAGCATATCACAGCCCATTACACCCAACCCGTTGGCAGGATCCCTGCTAAAATTTCGCTTGCCTTTGTGTGCTTGGGGCCAGGCAAACTCTCCCCAGGGGCAGGACCCTCCAATCGTGTCCACCCTGACCAGAGTCCAGGCCCCAGGGCCCTTCTACCTTCTCCAGGCCCTGCAGGAAGGAGAAAACCATTTCCTAAACACCTGTCCCTTCATTCACACGAAGCTCATGTGCAGATCCTGCCCTACGTGGCAAAATGATGGGAGAGCAGCCTGAATCTTCATCGTCCCGAACCAAAGCCCCATTCATGAAGTTCAGCCCCATCTCTAGCACAGCAGAAAGAATCACTGAAGTTTGAGTTCCATTTTTTTTCTAAACTTTTGCAGATCCTAGACCCAAAGGCTCAAGGTAAGAGCGGCTGGGCTTCCTCACCCCCAACGGCCTCTCTAGGGGAGAGCTGTTCCCAAGCCCACCCCAAGCGTGGGGACCTGCCTTGATATGGAGGATCAAGGAGGAGCATCGGGTGCCCTCAATCTCCTCCTGCCAGAAAAGCAAAGGAGTCACAGCTTTTCCTTTGCTGCAAGAAACATTCTGGGACCTTTTTTTTCCCCCTCTGTTGTCCAGTTATTTTCATCAGGGTAAATCCCCTAGGAATAGAATTATTAAAGCAAAAGATATGTATGTGGTGTAGGCTTTTGATCCACAGTGCCAAATTGCTTTTTGATAAGGCTGCATATCGTGGATTATTCTTGCCTTTTCTGCCCCTCAGCTCCTTGATAAACCACTTGGGATGAATCAGCCACCGGACCAGATAAACAAGCCAGCCTGTTACTATTGCTGTTTTCTGCAAGTCGGAAGGGAACTCCCTTAGATCCCGCCCAGAACCTGGAATTCCAGAGCACACAGGGCCAGGACACCTTTGTACCCCTGCTCCCCACCGGCACAGGTCCCACCCACCCCCTTCTCCCCGCCCCATGCCCGGGTGGAGCCAGCTGCCAGGGCGCCAAGACTCCCAGCCCTCTCTCTGTGCACGGCAGAGTAGAGGCCAAGGGAGGGCTCTGTGCCAGCCCCGATGAGGACGCTGCTGACCATCTTGACTGTGGGATCCCTGGCTGGTGAGTGCCCATCTACCCTGTGGTCAGACCTCCCTTATCCCAGGGGCCAACGATCAGGGTCATCTCCCCAGCACCCTCCCCAGCCCGAGCATAGCCAGTTTCAGTTTCTCCCCTGCTAGGGCTGAGCAGGGTGCCGGGTGTTCACGGAGAAGCAAATGCCCAGCTTAGTTTGCTGGGGGCATGAGAGGGTGCCTCAGACCCTGGGTTCTTCCAGGGACCCAAAGGACCCTCGGGTCTTGAGGGATATAGCCAGCTGTCTGAACTGGGGGTGCTGGATCGCTGCACCTCAGTGAATGGAGAATTGGCCTGGAGGAGGCAGACATCCTTCGGTCCCTCAAACGGTGTCGGCACAGTTTGTACCATCCTTCCTCTGCCTCTCACTTGGCACTGGCCTGACAGGGGAGGAGGAGGAAGGACCGGGGGAAACGAAGCTTGAGTTCACTATTGCCTCCCTCCATGCCCCTGCAGGGCCTCTTTGGCCCCTTTTGTTATCATAGATCTGAAAGAGCATTTTCTCCTAGAGTGGCCAGGTCTGCTACATTAATAGGTCTTAAGACACAGGACTCATTTGGAAACAGGTCTTAAGGGCATAGTGTTCAAAGCCAATAAAGTGAGCGGAGTGGGGGGCTCATCATTATGGAGAACGTTACATGAGACCCTAGACTCTCTCTCTGCTCTCCTGGTGCATTGCATGAAATTCAGGGAACTTCCTTAGGAAGTCAAAGCATAGTCCTGATTGAGGATGGCGAGCAGGTATGGCCTCGGCCAGGCCCTCCTTGCTCAAGTGCAGGACGAGGCCCACGAAAAGGCAGAGCTTCCCACCTTCTCTGCCACTGTCCCGCCAGGGCTGCCTGCGTCTCCAGGGCTTCCAGCTCTGTGGGACCCCCTCCAGTCTGCTTCCCAGCATCAAGCTGGGCGTTCCAGGAAGATGTGAGGCACCCCCTTGAGGCACCAAGACACGTCCCTTTAGACCCTCAGCCATACTGGTTAGAAATCCTAGAGGCTCCCAGCCCTTTGAGATGGGGGACCCCAAGAAATAGCCCTTAGGAGATTGTCAAGGGTCAGCTGCCTCGCGCTGCACACACCGGGCCCTCACCCCCCCAATCTTAGGCTGACTCCAGAGCATGTGGAATTGTTTCTTGTTTGTGTATTTTTCCTTAGCTTCCCAGCTGGTTGACAGAACATTGTTTTTCCACATGAATGTGAAAAAACAAGTTGCCTTTTATAAATCCGCCAGGCTGCCAGGCTCCACACAACACATGTCTCCCCAGATTTCACAATATAGACTTTCACCCGGGAAGTGCCGAAGCAACACAGGCTGAGGAATGGATGATAGATTTGAGGAGGAAAAGGAGCGAGGAGGGTGGGAGAAGAGGGGGAGATCTTGTTAGACCCTGACATCCCTAAAAGACAGGAGTGGGCCTAGGTTCACTTACCCCACTTCAGGAAGCTAACTGCAGTTCCCTCCTGAAAAGTGGTGCCAACCTCCACGTAGCCCAGGGTCCTTTGCCTTGGCAACATGCCCCCACCTCAGCCACCAGCCTCCTTGCAACCCAGATGGGCCCTCTATTTCCCACCCAGAACACTGACCTCAACCAGCAACCGTTCCCGCTGCAGACTCTACCCCAAGCCTTGATGGAGCCTGGCTTCTCAAAGCCCACCCTCACCCTTCTGCCCTGACCCACCACCCAACCAGAAGCCACTGTTCAGGTCTGACCTTGACTGGACTCCTTTCCTCAACTTTAGACTCAGCCCTGAATCCAGGACCCCTCCCTCCAGAACTGACCCCAATTCCACCCAGCCTCACATCCAAACAAGATGTCAGCTACATCCTAAGGCTCCACGGCACAGCCGTCACCTTGCGTAGAGGCAGTAGACCCCTCCCCGCGCCATCCCTAAGGCCCCATTCTGGGGACTCCAGGAAGCCTGAAGACATTTTGCAGCTGCTGGGCCAGAACCCAAATTCAGAGAGGAGGGCAGCCTTCGAGGTTGGCCAGAGGATGTGCAGCGGGGTCGGACCATTCTTCCGTCCCCATCGGTCCTCGCCAAGCCTGAGGACCCCTCTTGTGTGTAGAGTTGGAGTAGGGGAATCAATAACTGTCTGCTCCCTCACACCTTGGGCCCACTGGCAGTCGTAGACGTGTCTGGGGAAGGAGAGGCACAGACATATTCAAGACACACACCCAGGCCGCAAGGCCTTGACCCAGCTGGGGTTGCTTAACATTTTCCCACCTGTTTATTTCCCACGCCAGCCGGCCAGGGCCTCCGAGCTCCGAGCCAGCTGCCAGCTTGGGCCGCCATTTTCCCGCAGGCTCTTGCTCTCCACAGCCCAAGCCTGGGGGCCTGAGGGAAGGGTTTTATAAGTTAAGGACTCTTTGTTTACAGTGCAGATTGCTTTAGAGGCTGCAGCCCCTCCCCAGCCCCTTCCTTGAGGCTCAGGCCCTCACTGCCCTTCCCTTAACAGAAGCAGAAGTGGGCTGGACAAAGACCTAGCCTGGAAGAGAGGGCTGTGGACTCTTCAATGGCCAGCTTCTCTTCTCCTCTCTCTTCTCCTCCTCCCTAAATTCATCCCTTTATCAGGTGCTCAGGTCCCTGAAGCCCCCCACCCTCATATAAAAGGGTGAACAAGATAGCCCCCTCCCTACAGAGCGAATGTCTTCCCTTCCCAGGTCTCCTCCCTTCAGACTCAACACATGTACATAGGGGCCTGTTAGACACTAAACACATTCACAGACGCCAACCCGCTCTATCCGCCCCACAACCAGTCTAGCACTGGGATGAATATTGTAGGTTCTTCACATGCTAACTGTGATGCTGGGCGGCAGCTCTCTCTGAGCCTCAGCTCATTCATCAAATGGGGATAGTGATAGTGGGCACGTTGTCGTGAGGATTTAATGAAGGGAGGGACTTGCCTGAAAGAGGCTGTGCACTTCACAAATGCCAGTGGCTGCTGTTGTCATTGTTGTTTGTCTTTCGGTAAATCAAACTATATCCATTTTAGAGATGAGGCAATTGAAGTTCTCGTTGCTTAAACAACTTTCCCAAGGCCACCCTGCCCACGTGTGGGCTCAGTCAAGAGCGCCTCCTCCACCATTGCTTCATCTGATCAACTTGGGGCAAGTCACTTCTTACACACTTTAGTTACATATCTCTAAAATAAGGGTGAGGACACCAACTTCAGGTTGTGTTAAAAAGTGAATGAGAGACAATACCAAGCATCAATGGCGATGTGGAGAAACTGAACCCCTCAAACAATGCTGGTGGGAATTTAAGATGGTGCAGCCATAACATCCTGGACAATATATGAGACCCCATCACTACAAAAAATTTAAAAATAAATTAGACGGATGTGGTGGTGCATGTCTGTAGTCCCAGCTACACAGGAGGCTGAGGTGCGAGGATTGCTTAAGCCCAGGAAGTCGAGGCTGCAGTGAGCCATGATCACGCCACTGCACTCCAGCCTGGGGGACAGAGCAAGACCCTGTCTCAAAGACCAAAAAAATGGTGTGGCCACTTTAGAAAATAGTTCGACAGTTCTTCAAAAGGTTAAAGATAGAGCTACTATATAACCTACCAAATTCCACTCTTAGATATATACCCAAGACAACTGAAAACATATGTCCACTTATAAAATTGAACACGGTGTTCACAGCAGCATTATTCATGGTAGCCAAAAAGTAGAAACAACCCAAATGTCCTGATGAGTGGATAAACAAAATGTGGTATATCACACAATGGAATATTATTCAGCCCTAAAAAGGAAGTACTAATCCATGCTACCACACGTGTGAACCTTGAAAACATTATGCTAAGTGAAAGAAGCCAGCCAAGCTCTATTTACATAAAAAGTCTAGAGTAGGGACATTCACAGACACAGGAAGTAGATTCGTGGTTGTCAGGGTTTAGGGGAGGAGAAGAATGGGTGGAGTGACTGCTAATGGGCATGCAGTTTCTTTTTGGGGTGCTAAAAATGTTCTGGAATTAGATAATAGCGATGATTGCACAACGTTGTGAAAATGCTAAGAAACCATTGAACTGAACACTGTAAGGTGGTGACATTTATGGAATGTGAATCACAACCCATTGCAAAGCAAAATGGCTGAGAATGGATGGTTGGTTAGAACAGCGTGGGGAGCATCCCCTCTTGCTGGTCCATTTGTAGAAGGCTGGGGGCCAGGGTCTCCCTGCCCACCCACCAGGCTGGCATCTTGAAAGCAAAGGCACTTTGCATGAAATTTATATGGGGCAGGACTCTGACTGAGCCCATACATGGGCAGGGTGACCCTGGGAAAGCCCCTGCTCACCCTCCTCCCACCCTCCTGCAGCTCACGCCCCTGAGGACCCCTCGGATCTGCTCCAGCACGTGAAATTCCAGTCCAGCAACTTTGAAAACATCCTGACGTGGGACAGCGGGCCGGAGGGCACCCCAGACACGGTCTACAGCATCGAGTATAAGACGTAGGCTTCTCTCTTGACCCCACCTCCTTTGACTGATCTGAAGCCAGCCCCTCTCCAAGGAATTCCCCTCCTCTCCATATGTTCCCATGTCCCCACCAGGACTGGTGTCACATAGCCCCTCCCAGATAAAGCTTTGCTCCTTTATGTTTCTTTTGCAGAGGGAGAATAATATAAGGGTAAAAAGTACAGGTGATAGGGTCAGGCTGTCTGGGCTTAAATGCCGCTCTCGCCTGTATAACCTTGGGCAGGTAACCTCACGAAGCCTCAGTTTCTCCACCCACAAAGTGAGGACAATGATAGCACTTTCATCACAGGGTTGTTGGGTGGGTTAAACAAGATAAAGTCATTAGCACTTGTGCCTGGAAATTTATAAGCTACCAATAATTGTTTTATTATTATTAGTGAGACTAGGTCAACCGAAGATGCACCCAGCCCCTCTAGCCCACGCTCCTGTTCCTGCTCCTCTCCCTCCCATGCAGGTGAGGAGGGGTGGCCTGGGCTCAGGAGTCCTCAAACCTGGCTTCCACTCCTGGTCATGCCACGTTGTCCTGTAGCAAGTCACTTCCCCCTCTCTGAGCCTCATTTCTCTCATCTGTAAAATGGGGATAACAGGGCCCACATCAAAGGACTATGGTGATGACGAGCCCAGAATGTGGACTCAGACTGGCTGGGTTCAAATCCTGGCTCTCCACATGCACACTTCAAACACGTGGGCAATTTACTTCTTTGAGCCTCATCTTCTTTGTTTGAAAAATAAACAGAATAGGCTGGGCACAGTGGCTCACACCTATAATCTCAGCACTTTCAGAGGCTGAGGCAGGTGGATCACTTGAGGTTAGGAGTTCGAGACCAGCCTGACCAACAGGGTGGCCATACTGTCTCTACTAAAATACAAAAATTAGCCAGGCATGGTGGTGCACTCCTGTAATCCCAGCTACTCGGGAGGCTGAGGCAGGAGAATCACTCGAACCCCAGAGGTAGAAGTTGCAGTGAGCCAAGACTGCACCACTGCACTCCAGCCTGAGTGACAGAGCGAGGCTGTGTCTCAAGAAAAAAAAAAAAAAAGAAAGGAAGGAATAAAGAAAGAAAAAGAGAAGAATGCATATGCCTCAGAGAATCATTGTGAGAACAAAATGAGATCATTCGCATAAAGGGCCTGGGCCACTGAACGTGCTAAGTAAATATCAGATCTCCTTGGCATTATTAATAAGCCACAGGCCTAGCGCTGGCCTTTTCATCACCACGGTGACTTGGCCCCTTCCTGACCTGCAGGTACGGAGAGAGGGACTGGGTGGCAAAGAAGGGCTGTCAGCGGATCACCCGGAAGTCCTGCAACCTGACGGTGGAGACGGGCAACCTCACGGAGCTCTACTATGCCAGGGTCACCGCTGTCAGTGCGGGAGGCCGGTCAGCCACCAAGATGACTGACAGGTTCAGCTCTCTGCAGCACAGTGAGTTGGAGCCCCTGTGGGTTTCAGGGGAGGGAAGAGGAAAGCGCAGGTGTTTGCGGGGTGGGATGGCCTCTTCCCCTCTGGAGTGGGTGGAGGGTCCAGAAGGGGCTCTCTGCAAGGGGAGGGGCAGCTGGGGATGTGGCTTTTAGGGAAGCCCCCCACCCCCACCAATTACAGTGTGTTCCTAGCAGGTTTGTTCACTTTTCTCCACCTCCACCCCAACCTCCCTAGTTCAGACCACCCTTATCTTGACCCCCGACTGCAGTCAAGGCCACCTAACTTGTTTCCCCAACTCTCCTCTTTACCACCTCCTCCAGCCCATTCTCCACAGAGCATTTAGAGAGATCTCCTCAACACATAAATCCCACCTTCTCTTCTCAGCTTAAAACCCTCGGGCAGCTTCTCATGACTCTACAAATAAGATCCAACTCCTTGCCACGGCCCACGAGGCCCTGCCTATCCTGGTCCTCATCTTGAACATGTCTTCCCAATGCATCGAGCAGCCAAGCTTCTGACAGTCCCTGCCTCGGGTTCCTTGCTGCTCCCACTCTCTGGGGGCACTTCTGAGCTCTTCACATGACTGGTTCTTTTATAGTCCTCACGGCTCAGCTTCAACATCACCTCCTAAGTCAGTGTCCCCACCTCCAGCCCTGATGACCTGATTTCTGTAGGCCACCATCTGTGATTCTCTAGTGCAATACAGGGCTTATTGTCTTCATCGCTCAGATCACACGCTGCAATTACTGTGTTTGCTCACACATGTTATCATCTGCCTCCCCCTCTAAAATGTGAGCTCTAGAACTGTATGTGTGGGCGGCAGAATCCACTGCATTCCCAGCCCTCAGCATAGTGCCTGGCACATAGAAGATTCTCAATAGCCAGGCGTGGTGGCTCACACTTGTAATCCCAGCACTTTGGGAGGCTGAGGCAAGAGGATCACTTGAGCCTAGGAGTTCAAGACCAGCCTGGGGAACACAGTGAGACCCCATCTCTACAAAAAATTTAAAAATTAGCTGGGTGTGGTGGCACACACTTGTAGTCCCAGCTACTCAGGAGGTTGAAGTGGGAGGGTAGCTTGAACCCAGGAGGTCAAGACTGCAGTGAGCTGGGATTGCCCCACTGCACTCCAACTTAGGTGACACAGTGAGATCCTATCTCAAAAAAATAAAAAAGATATTCAGTAAATGAATGGTTGAGTGGACAGCAGTTGCTGATATGGTTTGGCCATGTCCCCACCCAAATCTCATCTTGAATTGTAGTTCCCATAATCCTGTCTTGTGGGAAGGACCCAGTAGGAGGTAACTGAATGATGGGGACGGTTCCCCCCATGCTATTCTCATGATAGTGGGTACGTTCTTGTGAGATCTGATGGTTTTATAAGGGGCTTCCCCCTTTGCTTGGTTCTCATTTTCCTTCCTGCCACCATGTGAGGAAGAACATGTTTGCCTCCCATTTTGTAAGTTTCCTGATTGTAAGTTTCCTGAGGCCTCCCCAGCCATGTGGAACTGTGAGTCAGTTAAACCTCTTTCCTTTATAAATTACCCAGTCTGAGGTGTGTCTTTATTAGCAGTGTGAGAATGGACTAATATAGTTGCCAAACTCCCCACACAAGCTAAGCGTGTGACGATGTTCACCAACTGACTTTATAGTCACACATAGCTTTTTAAGAAAATAAAAAATAAAATTAAGTAAAATATTGTTTTTTTAACCTGGCTTGTTCAGTGAATTCACATTCATTGTAGAAAATGTGTGAAATATAGAAATATACAAAGAAAAATAAAAGTCACCCAAAATGATCTTAACATTGTAACATAACTGCAGATACTAGCAGCCGTATCTACTTTGCAATCTGGCATTGCTTTTTTGTCTTAGGTTCTTTTTCTCCATATATTGGTATCATGAACATTTACCCATATCATTAAACATTTTGCACAACAAGATATTTCACAGTGCAAAATAATCCATTCTAGGGAGATACTCTAATTTACTTATGTATTTCCCTTTTTGAGGACATACAGCTCAGTTTTTCAATTTTATTAGCAGCACTGAAGTAAACATTGTTCTGACTCAGATATCTTCAATCTTGGAGGCCAAAGGATCATTGAGGAATTTTTACAAATTAGATTCAGGGTAAATGAGGTCCATGAATCCCTGAAGTTGGATGCAAGATTTTTGTATATATACATTTTGGCAGGAAGAAGACCCACAGCATTCATCACATTCTCAAAGGAGTCTGTAAACCAGCAAAGGTAATTTGGTTATTTGGAAAATTCCATCTTGAGAGAGACAGAAGTCTTCAGCCTGATCTTTGAGGCTGCATCAATAGTATTAGGCCCCAAACATTATTTAGGATGTGTAGTTGATGTCATTGACATCCCCAAAGCTGTCATACTCAATAGATGAGGGAGGAAGGGTGCTCTAGGCTGACTTAAGGTGGGGACGCAGGGGGCTGGGATGTGTGGGGGCAAGCCAAAGGCATGACCAAGCTAGGGGACTGGTGCCCCTCCCCCTGAGTTCTTCTCATCCACTCTTGGTCATCCCTTTGCCAGCCTGAAACCCAAACACCAGGGCTTGTAGAAACTTTTCTCTTTTCACTGTTTGTTTAGCCGTTGCTTTCAGAAGCATAGCTGGCACTGGAGTGGAAGGAGAGAGGGAGCAGTCATTTTCCACTGTCCAAGGTTGCCTCAGACACTACCCACCGATTCTGACTTTTTCTTTTCTCTTTTCTCTCTCCCTATCCCCAGCTACCCTCAAGCCACCTGATGTGACCTGTATCTCCAAAGTGAGATCGATTCAGATGATTGTTCATCCTACCCCCACGCCAATCCGTGCAGGCGATGGCCACCGGCTAACCCTGGAAGACATCTTCCATGACCTGTTCTACCACTTAGAGCTCCAGGTCAACCGCACCTACCAAATGGTGAGTGTATGTTGCACCCTGGTCTTTCTCTGCCTAGGAAGCCTCTTCCCTCCCAATTAGATCTGAGTTGCTTTAAGAAAAAAAGGGGACATGTTATGTAAATTAGCATTTCCCAAAACATGTCCCTTGAGAGGCTCCTTGAAGCCTGGAAATCATCACAAATGACAACTTTTCTCTTGTAGATTCACACACACAATAGCATGCTAAAAGCTCTGACAAGTCCTGCAGAGCCAAGACTCCACTATCAATTTGTTTTGTTGTTTTGTTTTGTTTTTTATTTATTTATTTTTATTTTATTATTATTATACTTTAAGTTTTAGGGTAAATGTGCAGGTTAGCTACATATGTATACATGTGCCATGCTGGTGTGCTGCACCCATTAACTCGTCATTTAGCATTAGGTATATTATCAATTTGTTTAATACAATTTCTCCAGAATTTATTTGACCAGAGAAGCTGCTTTTTTTGCATAATATTTACATTGTTTTTTGTTTAACACCTTCTCACATCCTGGGGAACAACCTCTATTAATATCTTCAGATGTTCACATTAGAAAATGCTAGAATCAATTTCTACTGCTGCAGTAGTTTTCCAATATTTGCAGGAACTATATACAGGCAATGTGGAAGGATGAGTAATAATAAGAGGTGGAAGGCAAGGGCATACATTCTCAAATAGTACATGAATTATTTCTTTTCGTATTCAGAAAATATTTGGTACCCCCTACCCTCAGCATGTGCCACCAATCCACAATTCAGTTAAATGAATATTTATTTCCTACTTTGTGGTTTCTGCATGCAAGGAGCTTATAATCTAGGGGGTGAAAAGGAAGTTAAAACAAGAATTCAAATAGCTATAGGTAGAGGAAAATATGGGTATTGGGAGGTGGGGCAGGATGTCAGCACAGCAAGATTTGAAAGACTTCCAGAAAACTTTTAGGAAGCCAAAAATGACATAATATGCATATATTACCTGGCATGCCGCAGAAATTGGTACTGGCTTCCAGAAAGCCTAATATGCATAATATGCATATTATGTCATTAATAGTCATATATTACCTGGCATGCCACAGAAATTGGTATTGGCTTTCTGGAAGCCAGTATCAATTTCTGAGGCATGCCAGGTAATACATGCATATTATGTCATTTAATCTTCACCACGGCCTTGTGAGGCAGGTTCTATCATCTCCATTGTCTAGATGAGGGAACGAAGAGAAGTTAAAAGTCACTTGCTCAGATTGTTCAGCAAATAATAGGGTAGACAGGATTCAAATCCAGCTCTGTTTAGCCCACATTTCTCCCACCACTGGCCTGCCTATACTGCCCCACCATGATCAGAGAGAAAAGCAGCAAAACTTAAGCCATTTAAAAAAAAGAGAGACGGGGCCTCACTGTGTTGCCCAGGCTGGTCTCAAACTCCTGGGCTCAAGAGATCCTCCTGCCTCAGCCTCCCAAAGTGCTGGGTTGACAGGCATGAGCCACCGCACCCGGCCAACTTAAGACATTTTTGAAAAGCACAGAACTGCCCACTTTGACAAGAGCATAAAGACATGTAAAACAGTTTCTTAAAACATGGTCCCAGCCAGGCACGGTGGCTCACGCCTGTAATCCCAGCACTTTGGGAGGCCGAGGCGGGCGGATCACGAGGTCAGGAGATGCAGACCATCCTGGCTAACACGGTGAAACCCTGTCCCTATTAAAAAATACAAAAAATTAGCCGGGCATGGTAGTGGGCGCCTGTAGTCTCAGCTACTCAGGAGGCTGAGGTAGAAGAATGGCGTGAACCCGGGAGGTGGAGCTTGCAGTGGGCCAAGATCGCGCCACTGCACTCCAGCCTGGGCGACAGAGCAAGACTCCATCTCAAAAAAAAAAAAAAAACACACACACAAAAACCATGGTCCCAAACAAACAGCATCAGAATCTCCTGCAGCACTTGTTTAAAATGCAGATTCTTGGGTCCCCTTCCAGTCAACTTCATCAAGTTATTGCACTTGCATCCCTGGGATCTGAATTTTAGTGAGCAACCCAGGCGCTTCTTCCCCAACGCAAAGCTTGAGAACCTCTGACGTGGAGGGACCCCGGGAGATAAACCTCAGAAGACTGGATGGGACTATGCTGTAGAAGGGATAGGGTGGTGGAGGGGACGAATTTTTGTTTCTTTCGGTAGTTGGGGGAGCCACTAGAGATTACTAAGCAGGGAGAGTCCTTATCACAACTATTTTTTGGTAAATATTTAGGGTCTTATTAAATATTTTATTGTTGATTTCTAATTTAATTCAATTTGTGGTCAGAGAACACACGCTGTATGATTTCAGTCCTTTTAAATTTATCGAGGCTTGTGTTATAGCCCAGCCTATGGCCTGTCCTGGTGAACGTTCCTTGTGCACCTGAAAAGAATGTATATTTTGCAGTTGGTTGGTGGAGTGCGCTATAAATATCAATTAGGTAAAGGTGATTAATTGTGTTATTCAGATCTTCTATGTCTTTCCTGATTTAGGTGAGAGGTCAATTGGTCGTTTAATTGTTGAAAATAGTAAACTCTCCAACTATAATTGTGGATTTGTCTATTTTCCCTTTAATTCTGTGCATTTTTGCTTCGTGCATTTTGAAACTCAGTTATTAAATACATATATATTTATGATTGTTGTATCTTCCTGATAGATTGAACCTTCTGTCATAGGAATTGTTCCTTTTTATTTGTAGTCATACTCTTTGTATTGAAGTCTACTTTATCGATATTAATATAGACACTCCAGCCTTCTTATGGTTTGCATAATATATGTTTTTACATTCATTTTCAATCTGCCTCTGTTATTATATTTAAAATGTATCTCTTGCAGACAGCTCTGACAGCCTTTACCTTTTTTTGACATTAATTCACATGCCATAAAATTCATTCTTTTAAAGCATACAATTCAGGTGTTACTTGCCTATTCACAAAGTTGTGAAACCATCACCACTATCTAATTCTCCCTTATCAATCTTTCTTCAAGTTCTCTATTTTTTCTGTCATTTCCAAAATGTTTTTGAGATAATTCAGTGGGTTTTTAAATTTCAGATAATAATATCTAGAATTTTTCAACTCTAAAGTTCCTAGATTTTATAGTTTCCATATTCTACTGAGATTTTCTATTCATTCATTCAATATGAGCTTATTTTGTTTCACTTCCTGGAGCATTGTTATACCGCTGCTTTAAAATCATTGTTGGCCAGGTGAGGTGGCCCACGCCTGTAATCCCAGCACTTTGGGAGGCCAAAGTGGGTGGATCACTTGAGGTCAGGAGTTCAAGACCATCCTGGCCAGTGTGGTAAAACCCCATCTCTACTAAAAATACAAAAATCAGCTGGGCATGGTGGCAGGTGCCTGTAATCCCAGCTACTCAGGAGGCTGAGGCAGGAGAATCATTTGAACCTGGGAGGCGGAGGTTGCAGTGAGCTGAGATTGCACCACTGCACTCCAACCTGGGTGACAGAGTAAGACTGTGTCTCAAATAAAATAAAATCATTGTCTGCTAATTCAACATTTTGGTCATCAGGGTCAGTCACTATTATCTTTTCTCTTGAATATGGGTCGCATATTCTTTCTTTGTATGTCTAACAATTTTGAAATGTATCCTGGACATTGTGTTGAAATTACTGTAGATTCTGTTATATTCCTCCAAAGAGTGTTGGTTTGGTTTCATCCGGTTTTGGTAGGCAATTAATTTGGCTGAACTCCAAACTCTGAAATCTCTCTTCTTTTTTTGTTGGTTAACTTTACCTGGGCTGCTTGGAGTCTACCCCATTCATGCCTACTTTAGGGGCCGGTCAGGGATTTGAGCAGAGTTTATATACAGAGTTTGGGCCTCCTTCTCTACACTCTCCCCTGTCTGTGCTTTCTCCCCTCATTTTCCAGCTGCTGTGATTATTCCAAGCCCTGCCTTTTGGGTATTCAAGCCACTGAGAATAAAGGGTTTCTGTCTAGGTTTAGCCATTCCACAGGGTGTAGACTGAGGTCTGCCTTCAGGCTACAAGACAGTAAAAATGGGAAATGTACCCATCGACATTTCTCCTCTCTCCAATATATGCCTGCTTTTATTTTCTCTCCAATGCTTTTAAGTAGTTGGTTTTCATTTTGCTTAGAATTTATAGTTGTTATTTTGGGGATGTTTGGTCCAATAGAAGATATAAATTACTAGGATTAGAATGAAGAAAGATCAAATATGGAAATGGAAGAGATATCAGGCTGGCAAGTCAAAAGATTATTGCAATGGTATAGGCTGGAAATGAGGGCCTGAACCAGGATGGAGGTCGTGAAAAACTTGGGAAAGGAGGAATCAGGGCCTTGGCAACTCTCCTGGAGTTATGTCTCATGATATGTAATGTGTCCAGTTCCAACCACATGAGTTCCACAAAACAATAAGTTAAAAAATTTATTTATGTACTTCTTCACTCACTGTCACCACCATCCCCATAAACACACACAAAAGAAAACAGTAAATTACCCTCAACCTTGGCCTCCATGTGCCTGAAAAAGAGAAGGCAGAGCTGAAATACAAAGAGCCAAAGAAAATTCTCAGTTTTTGAACTCCCGAGAACACAGGTTCTGGCCCTTTAAAGGAAGATTTCTGGATCCTTTAAGGGCAATTTGATACCAAAGATATGAGAGGGGATTTGTCCAAAATGGCTTCAAGGTTTAGGCCCTGGAGATTAGAAGAAGAGTGATGCTATTATCAAAATTAGAGAATCAAAAGCAGATTTGGGTTTGGGGTCTGGGATGGGGCCAGCCCCAGAGAGAGGAGGGCAGCATGTTCGGACATGTTGACTTAGAGATGCTCACATGGTACTATTCAGCAGGGAGCTGGCAGGGCCCATCAGAAACTCTACAGCTCTTCCTGAGATAAGTTTGGGAGTTATCCACACATCGGTGCTCACAGCAGCCATGGGTTCAGATAAGATCACTAAGTGGCTGGAGAGTATGTGAGAGAGAAGGAAATGGTTGAAGAGCAAATCTTGCAGAACAACATTGAGGGGCTAAAACCAGCGAAAGACCAGTCAGAGAGGTAGGAGGAGAGCCAGACAGGATAACATGTGGCAGCCATGGGAGAGGAGTTCTGGGTCAAAAAGGTGAGAGATACACAGAAGAACGAGAATCAAAACACAGTTCCAGCAGAAGGATTGGCAGATGCAAAGAAACAAGGGCTTTCTTATGCAAGGTAGGTGTTTACCCGAGTGGCAGGTATCCAGCATTGATGAGCCTGCAGAGCCAGGTGGGCTGCAGAGACAAATGAGTCTGGACTGGAAGCCAGGCACCAGGACTCTATTCTGTAAATATGGGTGAGGCCATCAAAGCCTTTTGAATAGAAGAGCATTATAATGAGATTGTCTTTTAGAAAGATTCCTATAAACACTAGGATGAATATGGAAGTGAACAGGGGCAAACCCAGAGATGGGCGACCATGAAAGAGGCTACTGCTAGAGTCCAGGCTGAAGCCTTGAGGCCCAATTAAGGCAGAAGCAATGAGGAAAGAAAGAAAGGAATGGGTGTTCAAAAAGTTTATGATGTTTAACCACAAAAAGGTGAAGGACAAGAGGAATTGGAAGAAGGAGGGATAGTGGGAGCGTGGGAGGGTGGTGGAGGTCATAATGACAGCTGCCATTATGTGTGTATAACCACACATTTTATATATATATATATATATGTATATAACCACATTATATAGTGTGTATAACCACTGCCTATGGGCCAGACACTATTGCAAGTGAAAGGCACACGTGCTTGGAGACTGATTGGATTTGGGGATAAAGCAGAAGGGAGGGGAATGGAAACAGAGGCTGAAGACAGACCCATCAGCATCAAACCAGAATCCAGGAGGAGCGAGCAAGCTTCCTTGGGCTCTATGTGGAGATCGGTGTGTAACAGGAATCACATTCCATTCTCTGTCCAATTCAGCACCTTGGAGGGAAGCAGAGAGAATATGAGTTCTTCGGCCTGACCCCTGACACAGAGTTCCTTGGCACCATCATGATTTGCGTTCCCACCTGGGCCAAGGAGAGTGCCCCCTACATGTGCCGAGTGAAGACACTGCCAGGTGAGTTCGGCTGAAACCAGAGGGAGGTGGGGCTCCCGAATTCAAGTCTTGACTCTTCTCTTTCCTCCCTGTAACCAAGGTGAGACTTGGCAACACTCTAGAAAACCATGGAAGGGTTATCAGTGTGTTATTGAAGTCAATCTTTGTTTATCCATAAAAGAGTTGGCTGATGAGTTATCAAAGCAAATGTTTGATTCTCACCCTCCAGCCTATGTCTGGATTTCCCCTCTCTGACAGGCCTTATGTGTACCTTGGCAAAGCAAACTCACCTTAATATTAACCCAGGTGAGATATACTGGAGGGAAAATCTGCAGGGGGGAAGCAGAGAAGATAAAAAGATCCCTCAATATCTTCCAAAGTCAAATAATAATAATGGTATCATGATAACTAGCATTTCTGCAGTGCTAACTGGGAACCAGGCACAACCAAGGGCAAGCCTCATGAGCAGTCTATGAGGTAGGTATTATTTTCATCCTCATTTTACAGATGAAGAACCTGAGGTTCAGAGTGGTTAGGTAACTTGCCCATGGCCGGGCACAGTGGCTCACACCTGTAAACCAAACACTTTGGGAGGCCAAGGCAGGAGGATCACTTGAGCCCAGAAGTTTAAGACCAGCCTGGGAAACAGGGCAAAACCCCATCTCCACAAAAAAATCAAAAACTTAGCTAGGTATGGTGGCGTGCATCTGTGGTCCCAGCTACACAGAAGGCTGAGGCAAGAGGATCACTTGAGCCCAGGAGGTTGAAGCTGCAAAGAGCTATGTTTGCACCACTGCACTCCAGCCTGGATGACAGAGTGAGACCTTGTCTCGGAAAAAAAAAAAAAAGTGACTTGCCCAAGGTCACACAGGTGCTGAGGGATGGAATGAGGCCTAATTCTAGAGGCCATGCTCTTACCACAGAGCTACTATAGATACAGTTGGGTTTTTTGTGGGTTTTTATTGTTTTTTGTTTTTGAGACAGAGTCTTACTCTGTCACTCAGGCTGGAGTGCAGTGGCACAATCTCGGCTCACTACAACTTCTGCTTCCCAGTTTCAAGAAATTCTCCCACCTCAGCCTCCCAAGTAGCTGGGATTACAGGTGTGTGCCACCATGCCTGGCTAATTTTTTTTTTTTTTTTTTTGTATTTTTAGTAGAGACGGAGTTTCATCCTGTTGCTCAGGCTGGTCTTGATCTCCTGGCCTCAAGTGATCCACCCACCTCAGCCTCCCAAAATGCTGGGATTACAGGCATGAGCCATCACGCCCAGCCTAGATATAGTTTTGAATCATCTGCTCAGTGAGATGGTCCCTTCCTCTAGCACACTGAAACTTGATTCTCATCACAAGCATCATGATGTTTTTATTAGTGTTTCTTTTCATAGACGGAGGGAAACGTTGTATTGCTCAGAGCTGCAGGTTTAGAGGATGAAGGTGACGGCAGTGGATGTGATAGATTTGGTAAAACAGTCTCCACTTTATCCTCATGTTCAGATTCATGATGTCAGTAAGTGATTTCAGTTCCAACCATGCCAACATTCAGAATAGAGTTGAGTTTGCAAGCTGGACATTGTGTGTGGCATAGTGGAAAGAGAAGTACCGTGTGAGGAATGAGAAGGCACGGTATTAGTCAGATGTCAGCCAACCACGTGCCTGGGGGAGTCACTCAGCCTCTGGGAGCCTGATCCCTCATCTGACAAATAGGGATGCTGATGCCTGGGCTGAGGTGATAATCAGAGGCCAGGCAGCTGCCAGAGCTGGGCCCTAGAAAATGACACTCTGGTCCTCAGGTTTGTTCGGAAACTCATCACTTTTCCAAACAGCCCACAAGAGACTGATTTCTCCACCTGAATCCCAGTGCACCAATTGGCAGGGGAGCTATGCCTCACGGAACAGCCAACACTGGCCACTTGCATGGGGCATGCCCTTCCTGGGGCAAAGGCTGCTAGGGAGCTCAGAATAGAACTTGGCAAGAGGAGAACTAGAAAAAGGAAACTGACGTTCTGGGGCTAAGCTGGGAGTGTTTGTATGATTCATGACCCCCTTCCCTGGACTGTCCTAGATAAATCTCAGCTGCTCCTGGCCCATGGGACCTGGCCCACCAGCTTTTTGACAATGTGAAGACCACTCCACCCTTACCCACAACACCCTTCTGTTGCCTTACTTTGTCTTGCTTATAATGAGATACCATTTTTTCCTAAGACTATAGCTTTTATATAAATCACACTTCCTGGTGGCTACTTCTTGCTGACATATAGAAGGCACCTTATCCTTAAAAATATATTTAAAACAATTCCTACATTTATTAGGTTCTACTATATTGCCAAGCAAATAGTTGTGCCAAATGCTTTACATATATTATTTAATCTTTATTATTACATGTAACATATATTATTTAATCTTTACAACAATCCTGTAAGCTGGGTAGCATCATCCTCGTTTTACAGAGGAGGAACTCTGGCTCAGAGAGGTTAAGCAACTTCCCTGTGACCGCACAGCTGCTTGGGGAACCTGATTGATTCATCTGGTTCTGAAGGCTGGGCTCTACCCACCACTTTGCAACTTTGTTTACAGTGAGCCCCCTGTACTGCACACTTCTTCCTCCTACTTCCATTTCAGAGTGATGCATCCTGCCCTTGACTGTGTATCCTGACGTCTGCATTACCCTCAGAATCCCCTTTACCTACCTCTCCGTAGATAAACAGGGAGGGTCACAGAGCATTGTCCCAGCATCTTGATGACGGAAGAGGCTCTAAGGGCCACCTCACCTCATATCCTACTCTTACAGATGAGGAAACTGAGGCTTCCTTGCAGAGTGGCAGGGAGGATGAGTTTTGAGTTACACATGTAACTCCACTGAGTAGCTGTGTGACCTTGGTCAGGTCACTTAACCTCTCTGGGACTCAGCTTTGTTATCCATAGGAAGGGAGCGTCCCTACCCCTCTGTGATGTGTTTGATGATGTAGTGAGATAACATAGGTAGAGCACCCAGCTCTACATGATCATACAGATCATGGCCTGTAGTAGGAGTTCAACCACTGCTGGCTACTGTTATTATTAAAGGGTAGACCAGAGAGGGTCGTGCAGCAGGAAGGATGCTCAGCATATCTGTGGCAGAGCCAGGCCTCTAACACCCTGTATTCCTTACTCTCAGGCTGGTGGTGTTTTTATATTCCATCCAGCCTCCCTATGGGTGAAATGGCAATGTATCCAATACACACAGTGTGAAATGGAAATATGTCAAGCCAGAGACCATTCCATGTCCCTATTCTGTCCTGGAACAAACAGCAGTGGTTTTCCAGGAATGTTATAGACATTCGGGTGGGGTCTTTTTCCTGGAGTAGGGATGGGGGTAACATGTGACAGGAGACAGGGTTTCACTGAAGTGGGAAGCTGACCCAGAGAGGCCCAAGCTCGTGGGCTAGGGGAGGATCGAGGAGTGGGCTAGAAGTAGAGGTTCCAGCAGTACCCGGAGTTCACAGTGATCGCCGAGGTCATTGGAGCTATTGATAAACTCTCCAAGCTGAGGCTGCACAGGGGCCAGGAAGAGAGGGAGGGTGATTAGCTGGCCCCTGGACTGCAGGGGTCTTGACTCTCTGAGTCACCTTCCCTCTGTTGCAAACTGTCAGTTTTACCAAAAACTCCAACAACCTCTTCCTCCATAAGTCCTTCACAAGCCCCACTTGGACTGGTGACAGGAAGTGTGTCCTGCCTGGAACTGGCTGCACCCATCCCAAAGATGCTGAGACACAGGGAGAGGCTCAGGCACTAGAGCCCTAGTCATCCCTCTCCCCTCCATTTTAGACAGGACAGTGCCTTCCCAGGCTCCCTTCTTGACCAAGATCTTCCCTGATGCCCAGCCCCTTATCTTGGTAGGGAGGTGGAGAGGACAGGCCTCCCTGTTTTCACTTCTCCCCTCCCTCTGCCTCTACCCTACCAGGGAGGCAGGACCACCCTTAGACTCAGGCAAAAGGGGCCTTTCCCTGCACCCAGCACTTTAGAAGGCCCTTCTCTGGCCCTGTCCTGGCCATTCCCCTCCTTGCAAGATGAAGACTCCATACAACAAAGGGGGCAGATCCATCTGGATCCTGTGACCTCCTTTCTAGATCACATTGTGAGTACCTGGGACCCTGAAACTCTCTGTACATATGGCCCAGAGCCTGTGATCCGTCTAGGCAGTCCTCTTTTGGGGGTACTTCCTCATGAGGGCAGACACTGCTGACATGTAGTGCAGACCCTTGGCCCAAAGGATGACCAACAGGTGGCTATTTGGAGGGGACATGGATGAGCTCGACCATGAGGGCTGGGGCATCTATACACATGTGCGTGAGGGCCCTGGCAGTGTGGGATGGAACTGGGCTGGGCTGGGCTGGGCTGGGGGCCTGCAGTGCGCTGCGGGCTTTCCCTGTACCTCCCCACTTCAGCACAGTACCTAGAGAAGTCCAAGAACTCTGAATTAAAATATGGCATCCCAGGTGGTTGTAAAAAATCTTTTTGTTAAGGTGGAAACCTCGAACATTTTATTTATTTAACAGTGTAAAAATATAATTTGTAAATTCTGACTATTTAGATGTACAGTATATGGACTTCCATTTGTGATCTTGCATTCTGACGGTAGGAGAGGCCTTGCCAGCCCAGCCAGAGAGGGTTTTCAGCATCCACATGTGGGGCCAGACCCAACCGGGCCCAGGCAGAGCCCAGCCTCACGCTTCCTTCTCTGGCCCCTTTGGTTTCCCAGACCGGACATGGACCTACTCCTTCTCCGGAGCCTTCCTGTTCTCCATGGGCTTCCTCGTCGCAGTACTCTGCTACCTGAGCTACAGATATGTCACCAAGCCGCCTGCACCTCCCAACTCCCTGGTGAGCCATCCCCCCAGGGTGGGAGGGAGAGGTCCAGGGGAGGGCCTGGGCTCCGAGGTCCCCAGTTGTCCCCAAAATGCAGGGATCCACAGACAAAGCAGGAGATGGGCCTGCTCTCTCCATTCACGGAGCTCACAGTCCCAGCTAAAGTCAACGGACGTGTAGCCCAGCAGGTCTCAGGACACATTGAAGTGGGGTGGGTGATCAGGAATAGTAGACATGGAATAAAAAACCCACATGGCTTGGAAGTGTCCAGCACCAGGAGGGTAGTGTGGGACTTGAGTGAGCAGCAAGGCAACGAGGGAGGAATGGTGGGCGCCAGGAGAGCCGTGGCACTCATGCCCTGTCTAAATGGGCAGCCGGGCACCACCATGTGGGAATGCAGGCCCAGCACTGCCTGATCTTCATGTTTTTCAAGAGAAGCCAGAGTTTCAGATTATATTGTGGAATCTCCCAATTTTCAAATATTCAGAACTAATTTTTTAAACAGATTTTTTTTTTTTTGAGATGGAGTCTCCCTCTGTCACCCAGGCTGGAGTGCAGTGGCATGATCTCGTCTCAGCACAACCTCCACCTCCCGAGTTCAAGCGATTCTCCTGCCTCATCCTCCCAAGTAGCTGGGATTACAGGCATGCACCACCACCACACCTGGCTAATTTTTGTATTTTTAGTAGAGACGGGTTTTACCATGTTGGCCAGGCTGGTCTCAAACTCCTGACTTCAGGTGATCTACCCACCTCGGCCTCCCAAAGTGCTGGGATTACAAGCGTGAGCCACTGCACCTGGCCATTTTAAACAGAAATTTTTAAATGGCAAAACTAATTGTTAAGTGGAAAGCCCTTTGTTACAGTTCTTTTAGAATTGCTGTAGCAAGTGAAGACCAGAACCACCCCCCACCCAAAAAATAAAACCACCCCCCACCCAAAAAATAAAAATAAAATGGAAAGCCCTACATCAGCCACACAAATCACATCAGCAGCCCCCACCTGACGCCAGTGCCGCCTCTGCTAGAGCAGCAAGGCCACTGCAGAAGCCATGAGCTGAGCCACCTGAGGCACCCGGAGCCTGCTCTTGCCCATCGGAGGGACAGAGGAGCTCTGAGGGAGTTTTGCTCAATGTGCAAGTCCAGATGAAGCATTTTCTGTAAAGCTCTCCCGGTCTCTCCTGGCTCCTTCTTTTCCCACCCTGACCCTGTATTAGGCCCTCAGGGACCCGTGGGCCAAGCAACAATGCGGGCCACCACCTCGAGATCATGCCCCAAGGCAACCCCAAATCCTGGTCATCTACTCCCTGGATTATCCGCCTCCTGGAGAAACCAGAGCCCAGATCTCTCTCCCTGAGATAACCCAGGCTTTAGAACCAAAGAGCTGAGAGACCCTGTCCCTTCAGAGAGGCACTTGCACCTAGAGGAGTCTCTGGGAAGCAGATGGGGATATGGGACAGACGCATCTTGAAAAAGCCCCCAGATGCCTCCCTATGGAGGACCTCACCCACCCACATCACCAGTAGGGAGCTTGGGACTTACCCTAACCACAGGGGGGTGACTGTTGTCGTCCCTGCACAGAACGTCCAGCGAGTCCTGACTTTCCAGCCGCTGCGCTTCATCCAGGAGCACGTCCTGATCCCTGTCTTTGACCTCAGCGGCCCCAGCAGTCTGGCCCAGCCTGTCCAGTACTCCCAGATCAGGGTGTCTGGACCCAGGGAGCCCGCAGGAGCTCCACAGCGGCATAGCCTGTCCGAGATCACCTACTTAGGGCAGCCAGACATCTCCATCCTCCAGCCCTCCAACGTGCCACCTCCCCAGATCCTCTCCCCACTGTCCTATGCCCCAAACGCTGCCCCTGAGGTCGGGCCCCCATCCTATGCACCTCAGGTGACCCCCGAAGCTCAATTCCCATTCTACGCCCCACAGGCCATCTCTAAGGTCCAGCCTTCCTCCTATGCCCCTCAAGCCACTCCGGACAGCTGGCCTCCCTCCTATGGGGTATGCATGGAAGGTTCTGGCAAAGACTCCCCCACTGGGACACTTTCTAGTCCTAAACACCTTAGGCCTAAAGGTCAGCTTCAGAAAGAGCCACCAGCTGGAAGCTGCATGTTAGGTGGCCTTTCTCTGCAGGAGGTGACCTCCTTGGCTATGGAGGAATCCCAAGAAGCAAAATCATTGCACCAGCCCCTGGGGATTTGCACAGACAGAACATCTGACCCAAATGTGCTACACAGTGGGGAGGAAGGGACACCACAGTACCTAAAGGGCCAGCTCCCCCTCCTCTCCTCAGTCCAGATCGAGGGCCACCCCATGTCCCTCCCTTTGCAACCTCCTTCCCGTCCATGTTCCCCCTCGGACCAAGGTCCAAGTCCCTGGGGCCTGCTGGAGTCCCTTGTGTGTCCCAAGGATGAAGCCAAGAGCCCAGCCCCTGAGACCTCAGACCTGGAGCAGCCCACAGAACTGGATTCTCTTTTCAGAGGCCTGGCCCTGACTGTGCAGTGGGAGTCCTGAGGGGAATGGGAAAGGCTTGGTGCTTCCTCCCTGTCCCTACCCAGTGTCACATCCTTGGCTGTCAATCCCATGCCTGCCCACGCCACACACTCTGCGATCTGGCCTCAGACGGGTGCCCTTGAGAGAAGCAGAGGGAGTGGCATGCAGGGCCCCTGCCATGGGTGCGCTCCTCACCGGAGCAAAGCAGCATGATAAGGACTGCAGCGGGGGAGCTCTGGGGAGCAGCTTGTGTAGACAAGCGCGTGCTCGCTGAGCCCTGCAAGGCAGAAATGACAGTGCAAGGAGGAAATGCAGGGAAACTCCCGAGGTCCAGAGCCCCACCTCCTAACACCATGGATTCAAAGTGCTCAGGGAATTTGCCTCTCCTTGCCCCATTCCTGGCCAGTTTCACAATCTAGCTCGACAGAGCATGAGGCCCCTGCCTCTTCTGTCATTGTTCAAAGGTGGGAAGAGAGCCTGGAAAAGAACCAGGCCTGGAAAAGAACCAGAAGGAGGCTGGGCAGAACCAGAACAACCTGCACTTCTGCCAAGGCCAGGGCCAGCAGGACGGCAGGACTCTAGGGAGGGGTGTGGCCTGCAGCTCATTCCCAGCCAGGGCAACTGCCTGACGTTGCACGATTTCAGCTTCATTCCTCTGATAGAACAAAGCGAAATGCAGGTCCACCAGGGAGGGAGACACACAAGCCTTTTCTGCAGGCAGGAGTTTCAGACCCTATCCTGAGAATGGGGTTTGAAAGGAAGGTGAGGGCTGTGGCCCCTGGACGGGTACAATAACACACTGTACTGATGTCACAACTTTGCAAGCTCTGCCTTGGGTTCAGCCCATCTGGGCTCAAATTCCAGCCTCACCACTCACAAGCTGTGTGACTTCAAACAAATGAAATCAGTGCCCAGAACCTCGGTTTCCTCATCTGTAATGTGGGGATCATAACACCTACCTCATGGAGTTGTGGTGAAGATGAAATGAAGTCATGTCTTTAAAGTGCTTAATAGTGCCTGGTACATGGGCAGTGCCCAATAAACGGTAGCTATTTCCTGTTGTGATTTTTTTTTTAAACTACGTTACACAAGGAGTGACCCCCTCCCCCAATTCGGATTGGCTTCAGACACACCTGGCATTTTCTCATGGGCTTAAATGACCTGGATTTCCTCAGGACAGGCAAAGCCAGAGGGGTCTGGGGTGGGAAAGAGGAGGGACTGCAGGGCCTTCTAGAGACAAGAGTTCAGAGACAAATGATGTGGAACCTTCTCCCTGAGATCGTAGGCAGAAGCCATTGTGGGTGGCAGTGGTAATCTCAGACGGCCTCTGTCCATCCAGCCTCCCTGATCCCCCACAGAGGCAGTGTTGCACACTCTGTGCTCTCAGACTGCTGCCATACCCTCCGTATCACTGCATCTCAGACGACCCCTACCATGAGGAAGCCAAAGTCCAGAGGGAGAGGGGACCTACCCGAGATCCCACTATTGAGGCTGTGACAGAGTTGGAGTGCAAACCTAGGGCTTTTTGTCCTCATCGAGAGAGGAAGCTTTCCACACCTGCTTGGATTCTTGGAGGATGAGACTAGTGGAGGCTAAGGAGGGGAGGCCTCCTAATGGGGTCCCCAAGAGAAAAGTGCTCCTGGTCACCTTGCTCCAAAGTCTTTTTGTTTGTTTGTTTTGTTTTTCCTTTTGGAGAAAGGGTCTCACCCTGTGGCCTAGGCTGGAGTGCAGTGGCATGAACACAGTTTACTGCAGCCTTGACCTCCTGGACTCAAGTGATCCTCCTACTTCAGCCTCCCGAGTAGCTGGGACTACAGGTGCATGCCACCATGCCCAGATAATTTTTGGTATTTTTGGTAGAGATGGGGTTTCGCCATGTTGCCCAGGCTGGTCTTGAACTCATGGGCTCAAGTGATTGTCTTGCCTCAGCCTCCCAAGTAGTTGGAATTACAGGCGTGAGCCACCACACCTGCCCTCCAAAGCCTTTTCTGAACATTTCTGAGAAAGAGGATGGAACACCAGTCACCTCAGAGGGACCCTTCCCAGAGTGGACAGTGTCCTTCTCTTCCCAGGTACATCTCCTCTTCTCTTCCCCACCCCTCCCCTTTCCTGGGACACAGTGACAGGTGGTGGTGTTCTTATCTGATGGTAATTAATGTTTAACATCTCCTCGGTGTCACTGGTTTAGACCCAACACCTCCGTGCAGAGGGATGGGTCTACCTGGACAGCCCCCCCCAGCCCATTCACCCCTCCACGGCAGCCAAGTCAGCCGGATGACGGCTCCCCTCTCCCCACCCACTGCAAACAAGTCTACTTCCTGTTGCTTGGGTCACACTTGGCCAAAGGTTAACTGTCTTCACCTTGTTTATTGGTGAAAAACAACCTAACAGGTGGACTATTCTCACCAAGTGAGACCCAGGAGCTACAGAAGTTTTTTATTAAGACCAGGCGCAGTGGCTCACGCCTGTAATCCCAGCACTTTTGGAGGCCAAGGTGGGTGGATCACCTGAGGTTGGGAGTTCCAGACCAGTCTGGCCAACATGAGACCCCCTCTCTACTAAAAGTACAAAATTAGCTGGGCATGGTGGCAGGCGCCTGTAATCCCAGCTGCTTGGGAGGCTGAGGCAGGAGGATCACTTGAACCCGGGTGGCGGGGTTTGCAGTGAGCCAAAATCCAGCCATTGCACTCCAGCCTGGGCAACAGAGCGAGACTCCATCTCAAAAAAGAAGTTTTATTAAAAGCCATAAATATCTCTTCCAACTCACAGTAACACGAAGCTCTTTGCCCTCCTCCGGGTGACAAACATTTCAGAAATGATTCTGGGAGGGTGGAGTCTGAGTGTCTGAAGAGAGGGATGGATGGCTTCGAGTCTGTGACTCACCCCTCCTCAGGTTGGACCTGTCTGCACTGAGGGGCGGGGACCAGACTGCATGACCCCTGAGGTCCCATGCCTCCCAGGCAGCCCAGGCCTGCAGATAGAGCTGGAACCAGCCAGAAGGCAGAGCGTCCGCATACCCTGGAGCTGGCTGGGGACCTCATCGTTCCTGAGAGTCCTGGGTCCGATCCCATTTCCAGGAATCTCCACAGCCCCACCCTGCCCAGCAAGAGAGGTGATTCTCCAAGTTTTCACTTGCCTACAAGGTATGGCACAGTCAAGCCCAGGAATAAATGACTAGTAATATAATAGTAGCAGTAGTCAAAGTCATATGAAAGAGAAGAAGTCAACCGTGTTGCTTGGCCGTTATGTACTTGATCATTCATCCTCCTGGTACCCTTCTCTCCATGATAGGTTGTATTATTGATATTTCGCAAAGGAGGAAAATGTGTCTCAGAGAGATTACTTGCCCTAGTTCATGAAAATACTCTGGGAAGCTTACTAAAAATACAGCTTCCCCAAGCCCACCCCAGACCTGCTAAACTCACAGTTTCTAGGAATCTGGTTGTTTGTTTTTGAGACAGAGCCTCACTTTGTTACCCAGGCTGGATTGCAGTAGCATGATCACAGCTCACTGCAGCCTCCACCTCCCTGGCTCAGGTGATCCTCTCACCTCAGCCTCCCAAGTAGCTGGGACTACAAACACCCACCGCCATGCCTGCTAACTTTTGTATTTTTTGTATTTTTGTCAACAGGTTTCACCCTGTTGACCAGGCTAGCCTCAAACTCCTGGACCCAAGTGATCCTCCACCTTGGCCTCCCAAAGTGCTGGGGGGTATCTGCATTTTTCATAAACTTCTTTGGTGATTCCTCTGAAGCAAGTTGAGGGAACAGTGCCGTTACACCATCACTTTCTCTCTCCATAGCCTCAAATCAGCGCCCTAGAGGGACCCCCATTACACCCGCTGTTGCAACAGAGTTGAGGGTGGGGGTACTGCATGGCTGTGATGCCTGCAAACCTCTGACCTCCCAAGCTCCCGACTCTAGGAACATACAGGGCTTGCCTGAGTTTCCACCCAGAGAATTGGACCAGCAGGACTGGAGCTCCTCCAGATTTCCAGACAGCCAGAGCCTCTGTCCCTCCCAAGTCTGAGTGTCAACCTGGACAGGGAGACTATGGCCTGATGTCACCAATGCTTGTCCCCTGTCGCTGTCCCCACCTGCATTCCAGACCATGGGACAGAAACAATAAGCTGAGGCAGGTATTGCCAGAGAGATGGAGGCAGCCCCCACCTCCCCTGCTGGTGCTGACGCTGATGAGACAACTCTGAGACCCCAGAGCTGCTGCTCAGCTCCTTTGGCTACTTGAGCCCATTTTTCCTTCCCACTCTAAGGAGGAAGGGGGAGTAAGGAAGATATGCTTTGGCCAGTCCGTATGAGAAGAACAGCAGTTGCAATTAACTGGACTCCGAGAGCGACAGGGAGGGACGGGAGACTGAAGCAGGTACAGTGTCGCCACACAGGGGGAGAAAGCCACAGGCTTGGTTGCTGTCGGAGAAACAGCATGGAGGTTCAGAGCAGTCAGTTTGTTCTTAATGGTCATAAGTCCAGGGAAGGGAATAAAAGAGAAAAGAAGGCAAGGGGAGAAAGAAGAAAGATAAGCCAGGTACTATAGTAGGTATTTTACACATTTAACCTTATCTGAGTCTCCCAGCCATTCTGCAAGATAGGCAATTGCTATAGTCTGAATGTTGGAGTCCCCCCAAAATTCATATGTTGAAACTTCATGTAATAGTAGCAAGAGGTGAGCCCTTTGGAAGGCCATGAAGGCTATGCCCTCAATAATGGGATCAAGAGGCCAGCATGGTGGTGATTCAAGCCAGTAATCCCAGCACTTTGGGAGGCCAAGGTGGGAAGATCCCTTGAGGCCAGGAGTTTGAGACCAGCCCGGGCATCACAGTGAGACCCTGTCTCTACAAAAAACGCAAAAATTAGCCTGGTGTGGTGGTGCGTGCCTATAGTCCCAGCTACTCAGGAGGCTGAGGTAGGAGGATCACTTAAGCCCAAGAGGTTGAGGCTGCAGTGAGCCATGACTGCACCACTGCACTCCAGTCTGGGCAACAGAGCAAGATCCTGTCTCGGGGAAAAAAATAAAAATGGAATGGGATTAATGCCCTTATAAAAGAGGTTGAAGAGAGTGCCCTAGCCCCTTCCACCACATGAGGACTCCACAAGAGGCACCATCTATGATGCAGAGAGCAGGTCCTCACCAGACACTGAATCTGCTAGCACGTTGATCTTGAACTTCTTGGTCTCCAGAACCGTAAGAAATAAACTTTTGTTATTTATAAATGACCCTGTCTAATGTATTTTGTTGTAGCAGCTCAAACGAACTAAGACAGTAACCATTCACTGATTCATTTTTCTTTTTTTTTTTTTTTTTTGAGACGGAGTCTCTCTCTGGTCTCCCAGACTGGAGTGCAGTGGCGCCATCTCAGCTCACTGCAAGCTCTGCCTCCCGGGTTCACCCCATTCTCCTAACTCAGCCTCCTGAGTAGCTGGGACTACAGGAGCCCACCACCACGACCTGCTAATTTTTTGTATTTTTAGTAGAGACAGGGTTTCACCTTGTTAGCCAGGATGGTCTCGATTTCCTGACCTCATGATCCACCTGCCTCGGCCTCCCAAAGTGCTCGGATTACAGGCGTGAGCCACTGCGCCCAGCCCACTGATTCATTTGTAAATAAATGTGAATTGAGGGCCAGGTGTATGCCAAGCACTGTTCTCGGGGGTAGGGATATGGTCAGGCAGGCAAGTTCTCTGCTATCTTGGAATGTGTCCTCCACCTACAGAGAAAGAAACTGAGGCCCAGAAAGGAGGCCAAGGTCCCCCTGTTAGTGACTGAGGCACCAGAGGTTGGGATTTAAACCAAGGCTTGTATAACATCAAGTCATCTAATCTCTCTGCTCAGCCGCATGACCTTAGGCTTGGCCATGTTTACAGAGGTTCCAGTGATGACTGAGTGCTTCACTGGGGTGAGGTCAACAAAGGGATACATGGGAATCCCACCCCCAGAAGCATGGGGTAAGAGAAAGCCATCAGCATTCCTAGAGCTTTCATTTAGCAAACGTCTGTCCGGGGCCAGACGCCGTGCTGGAGGTTTCACGGTTCTTGGTTGAACATTTTCTTTTCTTTTCTTTTCTATTCTTTTTTTTTTTCTTTTCTTTTTGAGACAAAGTTTCACTCCTGTCACCCAGGCTGGAGTGCAATGGCGCCATCTCAGCTCACTGCAACGTCCACCTCCTGGGTTCAAGCAATTCTCCTGCCTCAGCCTCCCAAGCAGCTGGGATTACAGGCGCGCCCCCACCACACCCAGCTAATTTTTGTATTTTTAGTAGAGACGGGGTTTCACCATGTTGGCCAGGCTGGTCACGAACTCCTGACCTCAGGTGATCCACCCGCCTCGGCCTCCCAAAGTGATGGGATTACAGGTGTGAGCCACCATGCCCAGCCTGATTGAACATTTTCAATGAGACAGCTAAGTGGAAATTGTTGTCTTCAACTGTACAGATAATCAAACCACACTGGCTGAGTGCCTTCCCCAAGGTCATCCAGCTAATAAGTGGTGGGACTGAATTGAAAGCCTAAGCCGGTTTGACTCCAGGATGCACCCTGTCTCTCCAGTGCACCTTCATTCATCTCCCCAGATTGCCTTGGGAGGACGGGGCTAGAGGACCTGTTTAAATGACTGTCTCCTGCTCAGTTGGAAGCTCAAAGCCCTCTTTGCTGTTCGTACGGATTCACTCACACTCATCCCTCACAGCAAATGTATGAAGATGAGTCTTGGAAAGCCCTTGTTCGATTGGGTCAATAGAAGATGGGAGAGAAATGTTCTCTCCCAAAAGATGCTGTAAGAGAGAGCCACAGAAGAGCTTAGAAAGGGGTTTTCAAATAGGGCAGGGGATTCAGATTTTGCCTGCAAAGTTCACTTGTGCTCTCTCTCTCCTTCTCTCGAGTGAGGAGTCCCTGAGGCACCAGCAAGAGTGACAGGTGTAGTGTGGGTGGCCACCTGAGGTCGCAGGAAGGGGTGAGGGAGGGAAGCTGTGCTCTCTGGCTAGGGGCCGGTACAGCCTTCCCCTCACCGGCTCATCCTCTGAGACTCGACCCAGGTGCACCTTCCTGATCACCTCCTGTCGTAAGTGCCTGACTTCCCCTGTAGGTTAGGGTCTGGCATAGGGTAGGTGCCAATGAATGTGAGGGGGAAAGAATTGAGACTGAGGGAATGGCAGGAGAGGGCAAAGGGTGGGAAGAGGTGTGGTGCCGAACACCTATTAACCTCAGTAGGGAAGGCACCAGGTTTGAGAGGCCAAAGAAAAGATCCATAGCCAGCAAACGGAACATGGGGGTTTCAGGAGGCGGAGGTTGCAGTGAGCTGAGATCATGCCACTGCACTCCAGCCTGGACAACAAAGTGAGACTCTGACTCAAGAAGGAAAGAAAGAAGGAAAGAAGGAAAGAAAGAAAGAAAGAAAGAGAGAGAGAAGGAAGGAAGGAAGGAAGGAGGGGGGGAGGGAAAGAAGGAAAGAAGGAAGGAAGGAAGGAAAGAGAAAGAAGAAAGAAAGAAAGAAAGAAAGAAAGAAAGAAAGAAAGAAAGAAAGAAAGAAAGAAAGAAAGAAAGAAAGAAAGAAAAAGAAAGGGAGAGAAGGAAGGGAAGGAAGGAAAGGAAGGAACGTGGGGGTTTGTTAGGGGCTTGCCTACAGGAGAGAGAGTCCACTGGTGATGAACTGGACAGGAGAACCGCCTTACATACAGAAATGGTCCAGGGGCGGCGGGCTGGACAACATACCAGTGGCGGCCGACTGGGCAGGAAAACCTCAGCCCCTTGCAAACAGCATGCAGTTTATAGAGCATTTTCACTTTACACCATCCCCTAATGACCTCCACCTGGCAATCTTCATTTAACCCAAAACTCAGGGCCTCAATCCCCTGTATGGCCAGCGTTCCACCAGAAGGGACGGGACGGGGGCTCAGATATTCATCGTAGGTAAGAAACGGGTTGGCTACTCCCCAGATTCCTTAGCTCGGAACACATATTCAGGTCTTCCACACAGGGTCATTCTTGGAGCGTGCTTCAGTTATCCCTGTCAGGTGCGTTTACCCTATAAGAAGGCCCTTCAGGGGACACTCTGGCAGCCTGAGCAGTTTGCACAGTGAAGCAGTAGGTGGCTCCCCAGCTCCTCCTGCCTGCACCACACCACACACACATGACTGTGGTCAGGGCGGGGGCCGTGTAGTAACTACCGGAGTGGTGGAGGGACCAGGAGCCACACATTGCTGTTTTAGCCAGTGACAACTTCTGAGCACGAAACACTCACTTTTAGGTCATATTCCTTCCACCGTCTTCATGAAGTCCAGGTGCCCAGTCTCACTGTCTCCGTTTTTCAGAAGGCAGTCAGTTCAGGGAAGCTGAGCGCCTTCCCCAGGGCACCCAGTCAGCCGGGGCAGAATTCAGATCAGAACTCCCGACAGCTGAGAACGCCGCACGGGATCTGCCCTCCATACGACCATGCCTGAGCCGTTCCCTCCTTTCCATTTTAACAGGGGCTTGGGTTGGGCAGAAAGGACCCAGCTGAGAGGAGGAGCAGTGTGGGGGGACGCGGCGGACAGCTCCACCTGTCGCTGCTGCCCAGCAGGCTGGAGACACGGAATGGCCCCTCCCCTTGGCCCCCTGTCCCCGATGCCATAGTTCTCATCCATTGTCATTGTACTGTCTCAGTGCTGCTATATTTAAGACGGTGCAGTCTCCGGGATCGCATTCTTCTCCCGGTGCCCGCTGAGCCGAGGGCAAGAAGAGAACAAGGACCCTCTCGGCCTCAGGAATCTTCTCCCCAGAGACTCCTAAGTGGGCACACTGCTTCTGTGAGTCACCCCCAGAAATCAGGGTGGGGGAGGGATGCCTCCTAAGAGTCAGCCACTGGGGAGTGATATCTGTGGGTGCATGTGTGTGTGTGTGTGCACGTGTGTGTGTTTGTGTGTATGTGTGTTGTGTGTTGTGAAAGGAGCCTGGGAAATTTGTGCTGAGGCAGCACCCAAGTGAAAATGGGAGGGGATTCCAGAAACCCCTGCCCCATCCCACTGTTCTGTGTGGCCCTGGGTCTTCTGAGAGCTGAGCTGTCTGTGATGTGAAAGTTGCAAAAAAAAAAAAAAGAGTGGGGGCTGCCCTGGGAACTGGAGTCTTTCCTGTGATGGAGCAGCGATAAGCGGGAGCCAGGCTAAGCTGGCAAGTTCCACGAACTTAGAGCGGAGCTGGCTGAGCCCGGCTTGGCCAACCCCACAGGCAGGGAAAGAGAGCGAGCCCTCGGATCCCAAATCTTAGAGCTGGAAGGGATTTCATCCAGTGCCTGACAGGAAACCGAGGCCCAGACGGGAAAGGAGTTGCCTCAGCTCATGACTGGCAAGGGCAGGATTCGGCCTCGCGGAAGCTGGTGGAGCCACTGGCTAAGAACACGTCCCAGCCTGTGCCACCCGCCGCCCGCAGGATGTGTCTCTGCTCCCAGCCACCATCCGCCCCCATCGCAGCTCCTGGAGGGGTCTTGGCTCAACTGCTGTGCATTCCTCTTTCCCTCCTGAAGAAGGGGAGAGGCCTCCTCGGCAGATGGAGGCTTGGGAGGAAAGCAGAGGGGAATAGGGAAGGCCACGCAGTGGGACCTCTGGCCCAGATTTTTGCACCCCAAGAGAGGGAAGCGGGGGCAGTTTCCCCTCCACGCAGGCACACACAGTGTTCCGGGAAGAGGCACCCTGGTCCTTTGGGAAAGGGCAGTGAGGCCGCAAACTTGTCCCTGCTTAATACCACGCATCAGTCAGTGCTTTAAAAAGAATTGGTAGCTCATCCGCTAAAGCCAGGGGTCTGGTTGCTGGAGGCCCCGAGGTCAGGGACGAGCGCCAGGCCCCTGCCTGCTGTGCTAATCGGGAACAGAGCATCCAGGGGAAGGGAGCCAGTGGCTGGTGCCAGGGAATGTTAACTCTCAGCCACTGGAGCCAGGGCCATCGTGTCCCAGGAAAGCTGGGGCAGAGTGGGGGGTCCTTGCTCCACCTAGGGTGGTACCCAGCAGCTCTCCTCCTGGGCCATGAGGAAGAAAGAGCAGAATGAGCAGGGCTAGCCACTTCTTTGGGTGCAAAGAGAACTTCTTCCATCGGGAGGGAGTGATACGAAGCCAAAGAGGGTGACTGTCCCATTATGTCATTTGAGATGATTAGCAGGAGCCCAGGGAGCTTTAGGGGGCAGCCCTTGGTCCCAGCTAACCCTGCAGCCATCCATTCTCTTTTTCCTGATGCCCACAACTGCAGACACCCAAAAGGAGCAAACTTCTAGGAAGTAGAAGGGGTAAAAGCCCACTAAGACTGACCCTCCACAGCCCGAGCCCCAGACACCTCCACCACATGCCCCTTCCAGGCCAACGGCTCTCCAATAAAGCCAGTGGGCTCACCTTCCATGCCATGGACTTAGAGAAATGGTCACCTAGGTGCTGTGTTCACATCCAGGCAGAAGACAGCCTACACATGCACGCACACACACACATACACACACATGCACGCCCACACACACACACGCTGCCACCTCCAGCAGGACCCTCTAGAGAGGCAGGGGCCAGACAGAGCTGACCCCACAGAAGCTGACAGGAGCAGGCCAAGGCAGGCGGTCATCCCTCTTCTGTTTCCATCCCCACGCCTGGGCAGGAACCCTCCCATGCCAGAAGCCTGCAGACCAGGATTCCCACCTGGAGGAGGTGTGAAAGCCATTCCAGGGATTTTAGCTTTAGCATCAGGGGGGCCCTCAGAGACCCAGCAGTGACTGAAGCCCGGATATGAGAAAACTCAGTGCAAAAACCCACAGCCAGCGGGCACACGGGCCTCCCACACCCCTCGTTTGCCTCTCCATATCCATGGATCCGCTTCCTGAGCCTCCCCTGGGTCAATCTGATCCGGCCCCACTGGGCGCCATCACGGGCCTAGACTTGAGCCTTGGGAATGCAAAGGAGATGTGTACATTGCAATCCCCTTATAAGGAGAAAGGCCCTGTGGCCCACCGTGTCCCCAGCCTCTGCCACGGCCTGGCCTTGAATGGACATATGACATAGAGATCAGAAGGGCTAGGGGTTGGGCTAGGGATTGGCTGCCAGTCATGGCCCCACCATCATGCTGGGTGACCTTGAGCAAGTACTGCCCCTGTTCATCAGTAAAATGGGATAATAATGGTGCTGTCCTCATTTGGGTTATTGCAGGGACTGGGGATAATGCATTTGAAAACTAACATGGGCATGGAACATAGTAAGTTCTCACTATTGTTACTTTTAATTCACTTACAGTCTTGTTGAACAGTCAAGATGCACAGATACAAAATAATTACATAGAGAAAGCATTGTCTGAATCAATGCTAAATTGTGGAGTGCTAGAAAATAAGTACAAAAGAAATGAGAAGAGGGAAAATTCTAGGTGGCCTGTAGTCTTTCTGCAAGGCTTCTTAGAAAAATAATGCTAATGCCTAATACTTATGTTGTACTTACTAAGCCCCAAGCACTCATCTAACCTTCACAACTACCCTGGGAGGTTAGTAGACCCATTTTACAGATGAGGAAACAAAGTCATGAGTCTTTCCCAAGGTTACACACTTGAAAGCTGGGATAAGGAGCTGGGATCACACCCTGTGGGCTGGACTCAGAGTCTCTCTGCTAATTAGCATGCCCTCAGTTGGGGTTTGAAGCATGACTAGAGCCAAGCGGGCCAGGAGGAGGGGAAGGGTGTGCCGGGAGAGGAAACCAGCGTGGGCAAAGGCCCAGAGGTAGGACTGAACATGGCCGGTGCAGGAAGAATGGGGACGCCTGCCCGTCCTGAGTCATAGACACAGCCGTGGACATCACAGTTTCAATTACTCATTGTCTGGGGAGCTGAGGCCCATAGAAGCGAAAACCTTGCCACAGATCATACAGTGAGACAAGGGCTGGGCTGCAGCTGGAAGCAGCTAGAAGCCAGGGCCCTGCTCCCTAACGTGGGGGCTCTGCTCACTCAGCTGGGGAGCACATGGGGTGGAGGAGAAGCCTGGCTCAGAGCCCAAGGCCTGCCTCTGTCACCTTGGGCAGGTCCCTCTCCCTCTCAGACCTCAGTTTCCCTGTCTGCCGACTGCAGAGAGGACACCCCCACCCCCCATCCTGCCAGCCTCCTAGAGATGTTGGGAAGACTGCATGGGAGGGGATAGGCGGGCACCTGGTGGAATGACCGTGGACCTTGGCCTTCACAGGTTGTTGCTCTCGTAACCATGACTCTGCCGCACAGCTTGGGAGGTGCGGGGGACCCCCGGCCCCCCCAGGCCATGGAGGTTCACAGGCTGGAGCACCGGCAGGAGGAGGAGCAGAAGGAGGAGCGGCAGCACAGCCTGCGCATGGGCTCCTCTGTGCGGAGGCGGACCTTCCGCAGCAGGTGGGAGCCACAGGGTCCCCGCCCAGCCACTGCCCTGTTCCCAGGGCCCCCAGTCTGAGGAGGGAGGCCCAGCCTAGCCCTCTGGAGGCTCCAACCTGATGGGGGGAGGGACATCCCTGCTTTCTGAACCCCCTGTCTGAGGGGGGAGACACAATTGGCTCTCTGGAGACCCCCATGTGATGGAAGAGGCACAGCCCTGTCCTCTGGAAACCCTGTTTGAGGAGGGAAGCACATTCAGGGTCGGGGGGATGCAGCCTTGCTTTCTGAGACCCCAGTATGAGGAGGGAGGCACAGCCCTGCCTGCTGGTGCCCTGAGGCTGAGGTGGGCAGATGCAGCCCTAATCTCAGGGAGCCCCCAGCCAATCCTGCAAGAGCCATTTACTCCCCTCCTTCTGGGAGCAGCGAAGAAGAGCATGAGTTCAGCGCCGCGGACTACGCCCTGGCAGCAGCCCTGGCTCTGACGGCCTCCTCCGAGCTGTCTTGGTGAGTCAGAGAAGCTTCCCAGGGAGCCGTGGCTGAGGAGGGGCCATCCTGTCCAGTCCCCGGCCTCCCTGCTGGCCTTTCACCCCGAGTGTAAAGAACCTGCCCAAAATCCCACATCTAGAATAAGGGTCTAGACAGGAGTTTAAGCCCAGGGCTACCTGCCCTCAAAGCCCACATGCCACCCTCTGGAAGGGTGCACGTGTCATAGCGGGGGACTGTTCCCAAGGAAGAGGGTAGGGGCCTACTTCACCAACAGACTTCTGGGCTTCACGTGGTGGGGGAGGGGGCTAAGAATGGGACAGAAGGAGCAAGTAAACCAGGCCCCAGTTTCCCACAAGGCCAGAGACTGAGGAGGCCTCTGAGTGTGCCGGCGTGGAGAGGCAGCGTTCGGCTTGGGGCAGGGCCCTGGGCTAGGAGGCTTGGGTGGTGGTCCTGGCTGACCTGAAGCAAGTTGCTAAGCCTCAGTCCCTGCCCTATAAAATAGGGACACTAAGGCCTGGCCACTTGGCTGTCGTGAAAACAAGATGAACAAAGGTTTGTGAAAGAGCCTTGAAAACAATGAAAACAGTCAACTATTAAGGACTGACTGCAAGCAGGGCCCTTCCAGGCTGTTTTGGAGGCAAGGGAAGATGCAAAATCATGCATGTCCTCCAAAAGTTTAAAGCATCCTGGCACTGCTGGGCACAGGGAATGGAACTGGCCAGGATGCCCCAGGCATCCCCCATCCCTGCCTGAGCCCCGATGGCCTCTGTCACGGCAGGGAAGCCCAGCTGAGACGCCAGACCTCTGCCGTGGAGCTGGAGGAGCGAGGGCAGAAGCGGGTGGGCTTCGGCAATGACTGGGAGAGGACTGAGATCGCCTTCCTGCAGACCCACCGGCTGCTGCGCCAGAGGCGGGACTGGAAGACGCTGAGGCGGCGGGTAAGGGGGTGGGCCGTGGAGCCCCAGGGCCTGGGACCTGCGACGCACCACTTGCTGCCATCCTCACCCCCTTCCCAAGAGGCGGGACATCCAGGGCAGAGTCCAGGCTTTGGGTCTGCATCTGATGCCCCTACATTCCAGTGGTGTGACCCCGGGCAAGCGCATCCCTGTTACTGAGCCTCAGTGTTCTCATCTGTAAAATTGGGCTGGGCGCAGTGGCTCACGCCTGTAACCCCAGCACTTTGGGAGGCCGAGGTAGGCGGATCACCTGAGGTCAGGAGTTCGAGACCAGCCTGGCCAACATGGTGAAACCCTGTATCTACTAAAAATACAAAAATTACCTGGGCCTGTAATCCCAGCTACTCGGGAGGCTGAGGCAGGAGAATCGCTTGAACCCAAGAGGCAGAGGTTTCAGTGATCCAAGATCACACTACTGCACTCCAGCCTGGGCTACAGAGTGAGACTCCACCTTAAAAAATAATAATAATAAAAATAAAGTAAAATAGACGTCATTGTAAAAATTCTCAGTGCTGAGGTGGGATTTAAAGGAGACTGGGTTTGGAAAGTGACTTTCCCATTGCCTAGAACACAGAAGACCCTCAGGAAACGCTAGCCCTGATGAGTATCAGGATTTGAGCCACTCTCCACACTCCCTCCCCAGCTTCCACTTACACAGGCTTTCTCAGTGCCGTGTCTTTCACCCCCACACCCCCACAGTGGGTGAGGGATTTTGTTATCATCTCTATTTTACCAATAAGGACACTGAGGACCTGCCTATGGTCCCACAGCTAGTCAATACCTTGACCCCAGGCCAGCTGGCTCCAAAGCCCATGCTCTGCCCACAGTGCCACCCTGCTCAGCTAGGGGAGGGGACCGGGAACTCCAGCCCATGTGGGTCTAACTACAGAGTCTGGGTGTCAGTGGGGAGGTAATGGCAAAGATGGCAGAGAGGTGGTCCCTGGCTCACAGCGTCATACACCTCTTCCCGCCTCCAGACAGAGGAGAAGGTCCAGGAGGCCAAGGAGCTGAGGGAGCTGTGCTACGGCCGCGGGCCCTGGTTCTGGATCCCTCTTCGCTCCCACGCCGTCTGGGAGCACACCACGGTCCTGCTGACCTGCACTGTCCAGGCCTCACCACCACCCCAGGTCACCTGGTAAGCCGCTGGGGCAGGAAGGGGTTCTGGGCCTCTGGGGTCACAAGTGAGTTCCTCACATCCAATACTTCTGCCAGGACTTCTTGTTGCAGACCTGTGAACCCTGAGCTCTGTCCACCCACCGAATAGAGCAGCTGCTGGGGAACCAGGCCTGGGTTATTTTTTTTAGAGGCGGGGCCTCGCTCAGGCTGCTGTGTGCAGTGGAGTAATCATAGCTCACTGCAGTCTTGACTCCTGGGCTCAAGTGATCCTCCCATCTCAGCCTCCCAAGTAGCTGGGACCACAGGCACAAGCCACCACGCCCAGCTTAGGCCTGGGTTATTCTTAGCTGCCCCGCAGCCAGCCTGGGGCTGGAAGACTGGGCCCCTGGGGAGCCAGCCCTCATAAAAATATGATTCTGGTCTCATGAGAAGGCAGGTGCTGCAAGCTGGGCGTCTCCAGGGTTGAGGATGACGGTGAGAGGCAGGACAGGGGCCAAGTAGCAGGGAGACAGTGGGTGGGGCAGGGAGAAGATGGGAAGGGAAGGGCCTACGGAGAAGGAGCTCACGCCTGTAGCGAGAACCTTGTGTTCCCAGCCTCGCTTTCTGCCTCTCTCCTCACTCAGCGTGAGGTCTCAGCCATGCCTCTTAAACTGCCTGGTCCTGACTCCATTTCCTGTTCTGAAGAGTGGATTGAAGACCTCCTGTCCGGCCTGCATGTGATGAGAATTTAACGCCACAACAGCATGGAAACCTCAGGGCTTGAAGGGGGCTGGGAAAGCAGGAGATGCCCTTCCTGGGAGGGGAACCATGGCAGAATCCCAGAGGCTAGGCCTCGCCTGGGGAGGGGCGGGGCAGGGGCAGGGGCAGGGGTCTCCTGCACAGGCACACATTGGAGTAGGCATGGCCGCGGCCCAGGTCTCAGTCTCACCACAGAAGGAGACGTGTCATTCACATGGCTAAGCTACTCTTTCCTGAGATCCCCCTGGGTCTAAGGCCCATTGCCCAGTACCCTGGGGGATGAGGAAGGGCTTTCAACAAATATTTACTGAGGGTGTCATCTATCCCAGGACCTGACTGAGGCACTGGGGCACACAAATAACCAAACAAGCCCAGGCCCACCTCCAGCACTTTGGGAAGCCAAGGAGGGAGGACCACTTGAACCCAGGAGTTTGAGAACATCTTGGGCAGCTGGCGAGACCCCATCTCTACAGGAAATTTAAAAATTAGCTGGGCATGTGGCCTGCACCTGTAGTCCCAGCTACTTGGGAAACCCTGTCTCTACTAAAAATACAAAAATTAGCTGGGTATGGTGGCGGGTGCCTGTAATCCCAGCTACTTGGGAGGCTGAGACAAGAGAATCGCTTGAACCCGGGAGGCGGAGGTTGCAGTGAGCCGAGATTGTGCCACTGCACTTCAGCCTGGGTGACAGAACAGGACTCTGTCTCAAAAAAAAAGAAAAGAAATAACCAGACACAATCTCACCTTCAAGGAATTAACTCTTAGCCCAGAAAAGAAACATCAACACACAAAGAAGTATACTCGTGGGTGATATTTGAGATCAAAGAGTCTGGGTGAAAAGGAAGAAGGAGCTACCTCAGCCCATAGAATCCAGGAAGGCTTCTCAGAAGAGGTTGCCTATGAGCCAGATCTTGACAGGGAACAGCCTATGGTCTAGCAGGAGAGAGAACAGGGGCACAAATAATGGAAAACACAAAGGAAAACAGCAGCCTCTTATATTTGAATCCACGTCACACTGACCCAAAACTTCACTTGCATTTGAGCATCAGGGCCATTCATGAGATAGGAACCATTATGCCTATTACACAGGTAAGGATATCAAGGCTCAGAGAGGTAGTGTGACTTATCTAAGGTCACACAGCCAATGTGAGTCAGGATTCAAACTCAGGTCTCCTGCCTCTAAGCGCATAACTCTTTCAGCTGGCCTAGAGGGTAGGAGAGTGATTATTACTGCTGTGGGATAATTAAAGAATCAGAGAGATGGAGGGGTTGAAAAGGAATTATTTAATTATTTAGGTGCACCAACCCAGTCGGATTAACATCCAAAGGACTGAGCCATGAACAAAGAGTCAAGCTACCTTTTAAGCATTTTGTGGGGCGGGGGGAGATCTGTGCAGGGGGAAGCATATTACAGAAGCATGAAACAAAGACAGTTATTCAATTAAGACACGCATTACATCATTTCTTACTTTTCAAGGCAAAACGTGTTTTACAACTTGAGTTTATCTGCCTAGTGACCTTGCAGCTGCACAGCCAGAGAAACAGGGTCTTCACAATGCCTGGGAAAGGGAGAGATAAGGGTCACTAGCCACCGAAAAACAGGCAGTTAATTTTTAAAGGACTTCAGCTCTTTCTCTTCCTCAAGGGAAATTGGGTTTTCTTACATACAACTGAGTTTTTGCTTACACATTCTTTACTTTCTTTTAATTCCTGTTCCATTATAAGTGTTACTTTCCTTAAAGCACATACAATGCTTCAGAAGACAGAGAAATAGAAATCACTCAGGCCAGGAGCAATCAAGAAAGGATCTTGAGGGAGCTGGCCTCAGGGCTGGTCATTCCCAGCTGGCATTTATTCCAAAAACTATGCCAAGTACCTTGCTGGGCACTGGGATGCTGTGGGGACTGGGCGATCCCCGCACGCAAGTTGCTGATCCCACTAGGAGGACTGCTCCCAGCGCTGGCCAGGCCAAGTGGAGGTTAGCAACTCAGCTGTCCTCCCCGCAGCCAAGCTCTGCGCGGCCCTGGCACTGAGGACCACATTGAAGGCATTCTTGGAAGCCTCTTGGGAGTTGTTTCTACCCCTGCCAACGAGGTTGCCACAACAGGGAGCTGAGCATTCCTGACAAGTGGCAGAAGCCAAGCCCAGGTCCACCTCCAGCCTGGGCAACTCAGGTGGCCCCTGGCACTCCTGGCTTGGTGGATCTGGTTTTCCATCATCAATCACATCAGGCAGGGCCACATGTTGCCCCAGGACTGACCTCCAGAGGTTCCGTCCAGCCCCAGGGCTGGAGGAATATTCCAGCTCACCTGTTAGGCAAGTCTATTCATTCAATGATTATCATTATTATTATTTAGAAATAAGGTCTCACTCTGTTGCCAGGCTGGAGTGCAGTGGTGCAGTCACAGCTCACTGCAGCCTCAACTTCCTGGGCTCAAGCGATCGTCCTACCTCAGCCTCCCAAGTAGCTGGGACCACAGTCATGTGCCCCCACACCTGGCTAACTTTTCAATTTTTTTGTAGACAGAGTCTCACTATGTTGCCCAGGCTGTCTCGAACTCCTGGCCTCAAGTAGTCCTCCCATCTCAGTCTCCCAAAGCTCTGGGAATACAGGCATGAGCCACTATGCCTGCTCTTATTTTCTTTTTTTAAAGCAATCTTTTTTTCTTTTTAAGATGGAGTCTCATTCTGTTGCCCAGGCTGACTGCACAGGCGGACACTAAGGCCCAGAGAGAGGGAGGGGTGAGCGTTGAGGTCTCCAGCTGTCTCGGCCATGCCAGAGCCACAGCAGCTGCTTTTTCCAGGAAAAGCAGAGCTGGCCAGGCTGAGGTGTCTGGAATCTTCCCGACAGGTGTGTGGTAGGGGGCCTAACCCTGGCCCCCAGGCCTGGAGAGCTGGAGAGATTGGGCACCCAGATTAGGCAACACCCTCCCTGTGGGAGGTTTAGCGGAGCTCCTTTCAGGAGGGGGCCAGGCTGGGGGCTGCATGGTGGGGCGTGGGTGTGGCTGTGTTTGGTTGCCCTGGAGACAAACATGGCATGGGTGAGGCCAGGTCCAGGGAAGGATGCAGGCTGAGGCTGGGGTGCCCTCTCTCTGGGAGGCCTCCTCTTCAACCTCAGCCACCCACACAGGGCAGAGAGAAGCATTCATCCCATGAGACTCCATTCCATGGCTTCAGGGACACAGAGGCCCAGAGAGGGGTATGGAGTTGCCTAAGGTCACACAGCAAGCTGTGTCAAAATCCAGGCCTCCTAAGTGTCACTCACCCTCACTCCTCAGCCCCTACTCCTTAGGCCTCCAGGACCCCAGGCCACCCCACTGTCCTGTTCACACAACACGGGGAACAAGACCCAAGTTCACAGAAAATGAGGGCGGCATCCAGGGCAGGGCAATCGCTTGACTACCCTTGGGAATCACCAGAGGACATTAAGAAAAACAAATTTTTTTTTTGAGACAGGGTCTTGCTCTATCACCCAGGCTGTAGTGCAGTGGCACAATCATGGTTTGCTACAGCCTCAGACTCCTGGCCTCAAGCAGTCCTCCTGCCTCAGCCTCCTGAGTAGCTAGGATGACAGGCACACCCCACCACACCCAGCTAATTATTTTAAAGAATATTTTGTAAAGATGGGGTCTTGCTATGTTGCCCAGGCTGATCTTAAACTCCTGGCCTCAAGCAATCCTCCAGCCTTGGCCTCCCAAAGTGTTGGGATTACAGGCATGAGCCACCACATACGACCTCACCAGGGGATTTTCAAAATACTGATCCCAGGGTATCAATATACTGATCCTAGGGTCTAACCCCCCCGAAATTCTGATTTCATTGATTTGGGATGCAGCCTGGACCTGGAGTTTTGTTTTGTTTTTAATGGCTTAAATAAGCTAGAAGCTTGTTTTCTTCCATCTAAACGTCTGGATGCAGACGGCACAGACCTGCTGCACAGATTCCCCAGGGACTGAGCTTCTCCACATCACTACTGGAGAGGCAGCCCTGAACTTCGGCATGTGAGACAGCCGCCGGCACCTCCCTGTTCCTGCCAAGGACAGAGGGAACAATGATGTGAAAGGGGGCAAAGGGTGTCATCAGGAGCAGCCACATGACTCTTGTCCCCGCTTGCTGTTGACAATGCTAAGTCATATGGCCACACCGAGCAGAAAGAGAGGCAAGGAGATCCGTCATATATTGGGTGGCCCGTGGGTAAATTCTGTTTCCCCCGAGAATGGCTATTGGAGAATAATTAGCAGTTTCCGATACAAATTCCCACAGCCGTATGTTCAAAAACTGAACATGGAGATTTTTTCCTTTTTTTTTTTTTTTGAGACGGAGTCTCGCTCTGTTGCCCAGGCTGGAGTGCAGTGGCGCGATCTCTGCTCATTGCAAGCTCCGCCCCCTGGGTTCATGTCATTCTGCTGCCTCAACCTCCCGAGTAGCTGGGACTACAGGCGCCCGCCACCACGCCCGACTAATGTTTTTGTATTTTTAGGAGAAACGGGGTTTCACAGTGTTAGCCAGGATAGTCTCGAGCTCCTGACCTCGTGATCCGCCCGCCTCAGCCTCCCAAAGTGCTGGGATTACAGGCGTGAGCCACCGTGCCCGGCCTGGACATGGAGATTTTTGAAAGCTCCTCCGGCTATTGTAATGAGAGCCAAAATGAAGAATAGCCATCCTCAGGGGTTGGGAAGAGCGGCAGGGGTCTGGGGTTCCTTCCACGGCAAGCCCCTTCGGAGGGAAGGGAAAAGCTGGGGCCTGGTCCTAGGGTGCCCCTGGGGATGGCTTGGTAGGGGGAGGGGCAGCTGCCCTTAATTACAGGCTCCCTCTTCTCTGCCCCCAGAAGGGAAATAAACCCTTGAGCACCTGCGGTGTGTGGGCACAGGGGAAAGGCTTTATAAGCCCATCCCATTTAATTGTCACAGCAGCCCTGTGAGGCGAGTGTTCTCATACCGCCATTTCACGAGTCAGGACAACTGAGGCTCAGAGTGGCGTAAGTGCTGCTCCAATCGCACAGGCAAGTAAGCAACACAAAACTGCAACTGGAGGCCAGGCGCGGTGGTTCACGCCTATAATCTTAGCACTTTAGGAGGCTGAGGCGGGCGGATCACCTGAGGTCAGGAATTCGAGACCAGCCTAGCCAACATGGGGAAACTCCGTCTCTACTAGAAATACAAAAATTAGCCGGGCGTGGTGGAAGGCGTCTGTAATCCCAGCTACTCAGGAGGCTGAGGCAGGGAGAACTGCTTGAACCCAAGAGGCGGAGGTTGCAGTGAGCTGAGATTGTACTACTGCGCTCCAGCCTGGGTGACAAAGCAAAACTCCGTCTCAAAAAAACAAAACAAAACAAAAACCTGCAGCTGGAATCCCCATCCGAGAGGCTCCAGACCCCTCCCGCTTAGAACCACCCTGCCTGCCACAGACCGCTATGTCCCCACAGGTACAAAAATGACACACGGATTGATCCCCGCCTCTTTCGTGCCGGAAAATACCGAATCACCAACAACTACGGGCTGCTGTCCCTGGAGATTAGGAGGTGAGACTGGAGACCTGGAGAGACCTATGACCCCAGACCCTGCCACCGCCGAGGCCAGAGCAGGATCCCAAACCCTTCCTCGGAGCTGAGGCCCAAGTTCACCTCCTTCAGAAGTCTCTAGGGTGCTGGTCAAAATACCGATTCCTGGGACAGGACAGACCCTCCCCCCACCCCCAGAGATTCAGATTAAGCAGGTCTGGAATGGAGCCCAGGAATTAATATTTAACACACACACCCACCATGTGATTCCGATGCCTTGAGATACACGGTGAGAAATTTGGACTCAGAGGCTGGCCGTGAGGACTGGATGCTGAACTAGGCATGCTGGGAAGGCTCCTTGTGGGGGAGAGAAAAATACCATAATATGCACACATATGCACCTGTGCACACACATATGCATACATGCACATACACAGTGCTCACACATGTGCTTATGTACCCAAACATACACATGTGAGGGGAAGCAGTGACATGGGAGAGAGTTCAGCCTTTCAGGAGATGGTGCGTCCTAAGCATGGTTTTGAGGGAAGAGGCAGGATGCATGCTGGGAGGCCACACGGGAATATAAGAGTGCAGTCCTCCCCAAGGCCTGTGTCACTCATCATTCATATCAGCTGCCACACGCTGAGTTCCTCCCAGGTGCCAGGCCCTGTGCTGGGTGCTTTTCACATACGATCCATAATCCCTGCCACCATGCTTGAGGGAAGCACCCCATGTCGCAGGTGATGAAACAGGCTCAGAAAGTTAAGGCTCTTGTACAGCTACTATGCGACAGGGCCTGGTGTGAGCCATTTCTCTCTATCTGGGTTGTTTCCCAAACACCAAACCCTCCACCTCAACCAACCCAGGCCTCAGAGACACAAAGATAAGCAGAACACTCATCTTACCCTTCAGAAGTGGGGAGACATAAATATCTGACCATATAAGGGAGGTGCCCCATGGACTCCACAGTCAAGGAAGGTGCGCAGGCCCAGGGGGACCTCCGGGGCAGGCAGGACTGGCCCTGGAAGCAAGAGGGGTTCCTGTGCTGAGTGACCAGGGGCAAAAAGGAGGCACCAAGGGGCCTCTGCTTGCTAATGGGGCCAGAGGTGCCACATCCGACCACCTCCTCTCTGTCACCAGGGTGCCCCTGGGATGGAGCTGGCCCAGGCTTCCACTGGGAACATGACAGGGTTGGCCTGGTTGGTGGTGAGACCCACACCTAAGACTGGGAACACCTGGGTGTCTGGCTCAGTTCTATCCAGATTGCAGCCTGCCTTGACCAAGTTTGTCTGCTGCTCTCTGAGAAAGGAGGAGGCTCCCGCTCCAGGATCCTTGTTTGAAGCTGAGTTGAGTTCCATTTGCTCTGTGACTCTGGGAAAGTCACTTAACCTCTCTGATCCTCCACAGTCAGCAATAACTGCAATGTGGCATGTCATATTTTTAAAGCACTTTCTCCTGAGACGGTTTAGGTGGTGTCGTGTCCCCAGTTTTTCAGAGGACACCGAAGCATGGAAAGGTGCAGTGGCCAACCAGAAAACACACAGCTTTTCAGAGATAATGACCAAAGTCTCTTCCTGGCACCGTGAGGCTTTCCTTAGTTCCAGCCTTTCCCACCCACACAGGGGACTTGTGTTTCCCATGGAGCCCAGCAGTCTTGGGAGGAACTTCTCCCTCTCTCCTTTTCAGATGCGCCATTGAGGACTCAGCAACTTACACTGTGCGAGTGAAGAACGCCCACGGCCAGGCCTCCTCCTTCGCCAAAGTCCTCGTCCGCAGTAAGTCCTCCCAACCCCAACAGGCACTCCGGGCCACAGCAAACCCAAGCTGGGCAGACAAGGACATGGGTCTGCGTGAGACCTGAGGAAGGGCCATAGGCACAAGGCTGTTCAGCCTGGCATTGGGTGACCAGGGCAGCCCTGGAGACTCCCGCTTCCCTGGGGGCCTTCACAGCAAGCGATAGTCTCCTCCATCAGCCTGGGCTGATGGTGGAAGGTGAGTGAGGCAGGATCACCTGTCCCTGTGGGTTGGTGTCAAGAGCAGCTGGGAGATGGGAAGGGAACTGACCTCTCCTGAGTCTTCACTGTGTGCCAGACACCCTTGATAGTACCTGATTCCATCCTGAGCCAGCCGGTGGCAGGGCTGGGACTTGAACTCAGCTCTCTCTGTAGAGTCATCACTGGCATGGTGGGCACCTTTGTGTGAACTGAATGGATGAATTAGCGAAAGGGGCCCCTTTTCTGCAGGCAGGTGCAGCTCCCACTCCAGGGCACATGGCTTGGCAAATGGAAAACAGACTGAATTTTAGCCCCCAAGTTGCTCTCTCAGGGGATAACTTTGCACAGAGCACAACCTACACAGTTATTCAAGGCGAACCCACCTGCCCGCCATGCCAAAGAGCATGCTTGGCCCACCGGATTGCGCTTAGGTTGGGATCCATCTCAGGGCCTCTGGGAGGGTGGTCTGGCCCCACCAACCCTGCTGAGGGGTCCTCAGGGACAAAAGCCAAACCCCAGCAACTCCCCACCTGACCCCCACTGCCCCATGTGGGTCCTTTTGCACATTTTCCAGCTGGGCTTGGGCCCCTCCTGGAGGTCACCCCATGGGCATCTGAAATCACAGCATAAAGCAGGTAGACACTCAGGAGTCAGCCAGACCTGAGTTCACATCCTGGCTCTGCTGCCAACTGGCTGTGTAAATCTGGGAAGCCACCTCACTTCCCTGAGCCTCTATTTCCTCATCTGTGAAAGGGAGAATCCTACAATCCTACCACCTCTCTCAGATGCCCGAGTTGATTAAATGAGATGATACGTATAAGCCTTGGCATGTGGTACCCATTCCCATGACCAGGGCAGGGCACTGCCCAAGGGGGTCACACCTTTGGGCCCAGAAGAATGCCGTGCCCTGAGTTCCAGGACCCCCGGGAGAGAGAAGCCCACGTGTGCACACATACACACACACACACACGTGCACTCATACACACACGCGCACTCATACACACACTCCTGAGGCAGCTGTCTTGGGCAGTAGACAGGTGGATCCCAGGCCACCCTCCCTGCCTCTCATCAGACCTTGTTAAACTGTCCTGCACAGCCCTCTCCACCCACTGTCCTGTTCCCTAAATAGCTCTTAGGAGGCAGATCCTGCTGCCAGGCCAAGCTCTTGTGCAGAAATTTGAGCTGTCCCCACAGTCCATGCCCAGAGTCAAGCCCAAGGTCAGGGACTGGGGCCCTGCCTCCCTCTGCCCACCCGTCCTTCCCACCACTCCTTCCAGATCCCTGTCCCTCTCTCCATCAAGGCTGGCAACTCCAGGGTCCACCAGGCTTGCTCTTGGCCCCAGACTCCAGCCAACCCTCTGCTTCTCCTACTCCACTCACCGCCACTACCACCCTCTTCTCTGCTTTCATCTCCGTAGCCACTTGGGTGATTTTAGTGGCCTGGGGGACAGGAGCCCTGAGTTCCAATCCTGACTCTTCCACTGACCTGTGTGATCTCGGGCAGCCTCCTGCCCTTCTCTGGACCTTGCTCAGGAAGGGCCTTTCCAGGGACCAGTGTCATGTCATAGCTTCAGGCTGCTGGGGTGTTGTCTGGACGGCTGTGCCTCAGTTTTCTCTTCTGTTTGAGAGGATAATAATAGTACCAACTGACAGGGCTGTTGTGAAGATAGAATGAGTCAATGTGTTTATGTGTTTAATTGGCTCGTTCAATCCTCAGAGCATGGGGCGAGCACTGTGTGAGTGAGAGCTGCTGTTACTATTCTCTGGTGGTCTGTGGCAACATTACCTTGGATTTCACCCTTCAGCCCCTGGATGCCTCTCAGTGCTGCCCCTCCCCCACCACTCTCCCTGATCCCACCAGAAATCCCCGCGCCTCTGAGCGGGCTTGACCGCTGTGAAGACAGTGCATAATCCTGGGGGCAAGTTTGGGTAGGGAAAGGAAACCAGCATGTATTGAGAACCTGCCATGTGTCAGGCTATGGCTGGTGGCTTGATTCATGTGAACCCGCTCGTTCCTTGCTCCAGGTAGGAATTACTGTCCCATTTTACTGCTGAAGAAACTGAGGCACAGAGAGGTAAAAGAACTTTCCCAAAGCCACAAGGGGAAGCCACCAACAGACCAGGACTCAAACTCATATCCAAAGCCCATGTCCCCAAAATAGCATAGGAATGTGGGCTCTGAACCTTCTCCAACTCTGTTTGCCTTTGGTTTTTCAGCTTACCTGGGGAAGGATGCTGGCTTCGATTCAGAGATCTTCAAAAGTAAGTCGGCTGGGGGAGAACGGGACCTGGGATTCTTTGTTCAGGCTTTGCTCCCCGACCCCCACAGTCCCTGTTTAGAATATAGCCATCCCCTGCCCATAAAAGGACGTCCACCGGGGTTTGTCTATGAGCTGGTAATACCTGCACCTGACTTCTAAAGGCCGCAGGGTACCCCAGAGCTGTCCCCAGCTGCTGAGCTGTTCTCTGACCTAAACTGGGTTTGAAAGGCAAAGCCAGAAAAACCAACGGACTTGGCCTTGGGATGTTTGCTCTTTGGCTGCTCTGACCACTACCTAGATAAGTCTCTTCCCCTCCTACCCCAAGGCCAGGTCCCCTTCTCCTAGTCAAGACCCAGAAGAGAAGGGATGCCCCAGAAATTTCCTCACTCCTAAGTCCCAGGCCAGGCTGGCTGCCTCAAAAACTTCTGCCCCAAATTTCATTCCCACGCCAGGATCGACGTTTGGCCCCAGCGTGGAATTCACCTCGGTGCTGAAGCCAGTCTTTGCTCGTGAGAAGGAACCCTTCTCCCTGTCATGCTTGTTTTCGGAAGATGTGTTAGATGCTGAGAGCATCCAGTGGTTCCGAGATGGTAAGGACCCCCAGTCCTGGCCCCCAGCCTCCAGAGCTGGCCCCTCCAAAGCTCAACTCAGAGCCAGAGAGGACCCCTAGCGGACAGAGACTCTCCCCAACCAGTACCAACTGTGCTAAAGTGCTGAAGAGGCAGAGGAGAGCGGGAGTGCAGCCAGGTGTGGTCAGATCATGCCACCCCATAAATGGCCACCAAGCATCTGTGGGGTGCCAGGCCCTGGGTTAGGGCTGGGGTAAATGGTAGGGGCAGATGTGCATGAGCCCAGGGGGCTGTGTCCACCTGGGAGGAGGGAGGAAGCCATCAGCACAATTGTAGCCGCTGGCACTGACCAGGCACCTGCTCAGCCATTTGCATGCATCATTACCTCCCTAAGAGTGAGGGAGGGAGGCCAGGCGTGGTGGCTCACACCTGTAATCCTAGCACTCTGGGAGGCTGAGGTGGGTGGATCACCTGAGGTCAAGAGTTCAGGTCTAGCCAACATGGCAAAACCCCATCTTTACTAAAAATACCAAAAATTAGCCAGGCATGTTGGTGGGTGCCTGTAATCTAGCTACTCGGGAGGCTGAGGCAGGAGAATCGCTTGAACCCAGGAGGCAGAGGTCGCAGTGAGCCGAGATGGCACCATTGCACTCCAGCCTGGGGGACAAGAGCAAGACTCCATCTCAAAAAAAAAAAAAAAAAAAAGTGAGTGAGGGCACTCAAAGCAATGGGAACAGAGCCCCAAGATCGGGAGGCAGGAGGGCACCACAAGTGCTCAGGGCAGGCTGCAACAGTTGCATCGGACTTTGCAGAGTCAGGGTGGTGGTGCAGATACAGTTGCTGACCCGTGGGCTGGGAGGCCTCTGGGGATGTCTCAGGCGAGGCCTTGAGAAGCCTGGTCAGAGCCAAGGCAGGAAGACGTGGCCCAGTGAGGGAGGAGGACGACGGCTGGACCTCCTACCCAATCCATGACTAGGCCTATAGCCTAAGGACCCAGAGTACAGTGCCCCTCTGGCACCCCCAGCTCTGAGCCCAGGGAGGCTGCACCTGCTGGGAGCAGGGAGTATGGGAGCCATCAGGATCCCTGACAGCTGCAATAACAAGGCTGAGACGTCTTCCCAAACGTGTAGATCTTCCAGAATGGAGGTGCTGAATGGAGGGCGGATCCTTCACATGGGGCAAAGAGAAGAGCTGGCCCCACAGTGTGGCCTCAAGGCAGGGCCCGCCCCTGAGCCCTGGACTCCACTTCTGAGTCCCCATCCACCTCCTAAGCTCCCATCCCGAGAGCCCTCACTCCCTTACCTGACCCCTGACCCCACGACACGTCCTCCACCCGCCTCACCGAGGCCCCAGCTCTCTCAGTGAGACCCAGGCCCTTTACTGAGCTCCCACCTCCCCCAAACGGGCCCTCCTTCTTTGAGTCCCCTGACCCCATACAGGGACCCATCTCTCTTGCTCCTACTCCCTCAGAGAACCTACAACTCCTCACCTTGTCACTGGCTATGTCCCTAAACCCTCACTCCCTCATTGAGCCCCAGCCCCGCACTGGCCCTTCCCTACTCCCCAAGCCCTCTGCAAAGGAGAGTTCTCCACTGCCTGCCTTGGCAAAGCCCTGGAGGCCACCACCCCCACCCAAGGCCTGAGCTGAGCCTCACCAGCCTCTCTCTCTGCCCAGCCAGGGTCTCCAGACCCCCCAGTTTCTGTGGTTCCCAGGTGAGACCAGGACCCCCCACAAACTCAATGGCCCCCCACTTCCCCTCCACAGGGAGCCTACTGAGGTCCTCGAGACGTCGGAAGATCCTCTACACAGACCGCCAGGCATCCCTGAAGGTGTCCTGCACCTACAAGGAGGACGAGGGGCTCTACATGGTCCGGGTGCCCTCGCCCTTCGGACCCCGGGAACAGAGCACCTACGTGCTTGTGAGAGGTGAGGGCATGGGTGGGCGCAGGGTAGCAGCAGGAGCCCAGAGACCAGGGCTCTGCCCCTTGTTTGCTGTGGAACCTTAGGCAAGGACCCTGCTCTCTTGGGGCCTCAATTTCTCTACCATAAAATCAGGGCTTTGGGTTGGGGTCTCCAAGACTCCCCGTGGCATCCTATGACCCTCCAAAGGGACATGGCCCGAGAGTTAGCCTGGCTGGAGCCAGGGAGGCTGGGAGCTGAGTGTGGGGCTGGAGTGATTCTGGCCACTGCTTAGGGCCTGGGTTCACATCCTGGCTTTGTCACTTCACCAGCTGGGTGACTTTGGGCAGGTCACTCACTCACCTCCAGGAGACTCAGTTTCCCCATCCAAAGAGGGGAAGGCTGCTCTGGGGCTGGAATTAATTATTCCACTTGTTCAGGTACTTGGTGTAAAATGGGCCCCCAAGAAATGGTACTGTCATCCTTCCCTCAGATACTGCTATGGGGGTAGTGGGACTAATATTCAGGCCCCAGTCCTCAAGATCAAAACTGAGCCCCTGGAGGATGGATGAGAAGAGGATGCTGGGCGGGAGTGGGAAGGGCCTGTCACCAAATGGCCACTGACTAGAAGGGCCTCCCTCTCACCCCCGGGTTTCAGATGCCGAGGCCGAGAACCCCGGGGCCCCAGGCTCCCCACTGAACGTCCGATGCCTGGATGTGAACAGAGACTGCCTCATCCTGACTTGGGCCCCGCCCAGTGACACCCGGGGCAACCCCATCACTGCCTACACCATTGAGCGGTGAGTCGACCTCGTGAGTGGCAGAGGCCCTAGGGGTAGAATTCTGTCTGGTGGTGGGAGCCACAGCAAAGAGGAGGCCCCATGTCTGACCTCAGAGAACCCTCACACCCCCGCTCCTCAGAAAAGGACAGGAGACAGGCTGTGCTGTGTCATTTAGGGGCAATGGAGGGGCATCCACACCTCCAAGTCTTTGTCATGCTGATAACTGGAATTCTATGCTGGAGTCGGCCACTGCCCTGTGGACCCTCTAGAGCTGACCCAGAGGGGCAAAACGGGGAGTGCTTGAACCCTGAGCACAGTGAATTCGTGGGCTAGTTTCCTTCCTAATGACAGAGAGAGATGGAATAGCACTGACCCCAAGGGAGGAGGCAAACAGGTAGAGAGGCCAGAACCTCCGGCCTTTTTCCAGTGTGGCCGGCTCTGAAGGCCCAGCTTGAGAAAATAGCTAATGCTGCCACGGACAGGCTCATGACCGTGCTAAGGGCATGCCTCATCTCTTTCCATCCTTCCAATGACCCGTCTCTAAAGGGGAGGGGGACTATCTAATGCCCTCTTCTATAGATGGGGAAACCAAAGTATGTGGGGAGATGACTTTGCTCAAAGACACATTTGTCATTAGTGGTGGAGACAAGACTTGGACCCACATGTGACGACTACCTCAACCAGCTGGTAACAATAAGGGTAACGTGCACTGTCGTACTGCCTGGAACAATGGTACCAAGAGGGTACAGAGAGCCCAGGCTTGGAGGGTCAACCTGGAATGCATGCCAACTTAGGGAGGGGACAAGCTCAGGTAAATCCTAACTGTGTGACCTTGGGCAGGTCTTGTCACTCTCTGAGCCACAGATCCTCCATGTGTGCAGTGAAGGTGACCACACGTGCCCCCTAGGACTGCCAGGGAGATAAAACGAGGGCTGGGTGTGGAGGGCACAGCACAGTCACAGGCTCACGATGATGCCCCATGAAAGGCACTGCTGCTGGTCAGTGTCAGGGATGGTGAAAAGGTCTCCCGGGGGCCCGAGGTTGGAGCCAGGCTCTTCCATTGGAGAGAAGAACTTTAATTGGCAGAGATGAGCTGGGCAGGCTCCCCCAGTCAGAGAAAGGCCCTTGTAGAGGCTCACATTGGGAAGGTGTGCATTGTGGGCAGGGGCTGAAAGGGGGGGCCTGTCTCCAACAGGTGCCAGGGCGAGTCTGGGGAATGGATCGCCTGCCATGAGGCCCCCGGAGGGACTTGTCGGTGCCCAATCCAAGGCCTCGTCGAAGGTCAGAGCTATCGGTTCCGGGTGAGAGCCATCAGCAGGGTAGGCAGCAGCGTCCCCTCCAAGGCCTCAGAGTTGGTTGTCATGGGTGACCATGATGCAGCCCGGAGGAAGACAGGTGGGTACAGAGGTCCTAAGCGACTTTCTAGAACATCAGTCAGGGAACCCTCAGGACTGTCTCACACAGGAGACAATCCAGCCCTCAGGAGCCCCGAGTCTGGTGGAGGAAGCACAGCCCAGCCCTCAGTAAACACTAGTCTGATGAAGGAGACAAAGGCCAGCCCTCGAGAACTTCCAGTCTGATGGAGGAGACACAATCCGGTCCTTAGGAACCCCTAGCCTGAGAAGGAAGATACAGCTAGTCTAATGGGAGAAACCAAACCTGTCCATGGGAGAGACCAGTCTGAGGGAGCACCCTACCCCAGCACCTGTCAGATGTCCTTAAGCTCGAGTGCGGGGACACGGCCTCCTCTCAGCCCTCGGGAGCCACGCTGACTTGGGTGTGCTAGAAGCTCCACCGTGGCAGGGTGCCCAGCGCCAGGCACCTCCCTCCTCCTCTCTGTCTCCACTTGTCCCAAGAGGAAGAGCATGTGCCAGGGCCTGAGAGCAGCAGGGCTCCACTTGGGACTCCTGAGAAAGCTGAGGCCAGAGGGAGGGCACCTGTCTGAGGTTGCACAGCGAGGGCTGCAAGGCCAGGACTGGGACGGGGCAGGACGCAGACCCTGGTGTGGGGTAGCTCCTGGCCTAACTCCTCCTGTGCCACCCCCCACCCTCCCATGCTCCCTTCTCATCCTAGAGATCCCCTTTGATCTGGGAAACAAGATCACCATCAGCACAGACGCTTTTGAAGGTACGCGGGATCCTCCCACACACTGGGCCTCCTGTATAGTTCTCAAAACTCTGGGACATGAGCTGGCAAAGAGGCAGAAGCTGTCCCAGTGCAGGGTGTGGGGGATGAGGGCAGGTGGGGCCTAGTTGGAGGCAGTCAGAGTGCTGGGGTCACTGTGGCCCATCTGGCTGTGGCCCTCCTGGAGGAGGGAACACATTGGGAAAAGTCCTGGCCAGAGCAGTGGGAGACCTGGGTTCTAGCCCCGGCTCTGCCCAGCATTGCTGAGTGACCTGGAGCCAACTACTGCCCCTCTCTGGGGGATGGGTAGGGGTGTAGTTCCCTCTTCCATGGAATGAGGCACTGAGATTAGGGGGTCTCTGAGGGTCCAACCATCTCGGTCCCGGGTGACTCTGATTTCAGATACTGTGACCATCCCCTCACCGCCAACCAATGTCCATGCCAGCGAGATCCGAGAGGCCTATGTGGTTCTGGCCTGGGAGGAGCCCAGCCCCCGGGACAGAGCACCACTGACGTACTCCCTGGAGAAGGTAGGGAACCCCGAGGCCCCAGCCCCAGGCCAGCCTGAGAAACAGATGTGCTGTGGGACCCTGGGCAGTGTCCCCTGGGGAGGCCGTCAGAGAATGAAAGAGAATCCCCTGGCCAGAAGGGCCCAGGCATGGCCCTACACAGAGGCAAGGGGATGGATTGAATAGCCTTTTGCAGCTACCTCTAGCCCTGGAAGCCAGTCACTGCTGGTCGTTCCTGAGGCTGTTCGTGGAAATACACAAAATACAAGACACAGACAACAATGACAATACGATCCACCACTTCCTGGGTACCTCCCTGCCCCCAAGCCAGATGGCATCAGACCACACATTGGGGCCAAGCACTTCTTGGTGGGACTATGTTGGGAGGGAAACAAGGCTGGTACCCTCCAGCCAGGGACAGGCACCAGCAGCACTTGCAGAGCCTATGGTGTGATTAGCACTAGGAGGTGGCTCTCACTGGGGAGTGGGGGCAGGGGAGACCCCGGCGGGGATGAGGCAGGTCTTGTGGAGTGAACTTCACAGTGGAGGGGGGGCAGTATGGCAGAGTAGAAGACAGCATGGTGTCAAAATCTATTCAAATCCTTCCTTGTGCTGTGTGATCCTGAGTGAGTGTCCTAAACTCTCTGAGCCTCAGTTTCCTCCAGCATAGAATAGAGAACCTGCCCTGTGAAGATGAAATAAAACACAGCCCACAGCCAAAGCCAGCAACCCCTGGGATCTGTCAGTGCTTCCCAAGGAGGTGTTCTTGACTATCTCCCTGAAGTCAGAGACTAAGTTTATCTTCTCATTACTTTCTGTGCCCAGCACAATGCCTGGCACAAACTAGGTGGACAGAAAATGTTTAGGGAATAAATGAATTTAAAATTTCCAGGGAGGAATCTCTGGCTCTGATTATCCAAACAGGCCTCTCTTTTCACACTCATGGGTAATCCTTTTTCTCCGACATAGGAAAGCTGTAGATAATTGAGGATTTGTTTCACAAGGTGGTAGTGTATCATGGTGAAGATGTTGGCGTCAGACTGCTTGGGTTCAAATTCTATCTCTGCTACTTACCAGCTGCGTGACCTTGGGCAAGTTACTTAGTTTCTCTGTGCCTCTGTTTCTTCTTCCATAAAATGATAATAATCATACACAGCTTGTAGGGTTAATGTGAGGATCAAATTAATTAGCGCACATAAAGACTTAGAATGGAGCCTGGCACACAGTAGGAGCTCAGCAGTGTTCATGGTTTCTTATGGCAATTTCTTGTCCTACCTGGTCTAGGCCACTGACAGCCAGATGGGCTTGTGGGGGGAAAACCACAGAGCGTGGAATCAGTGGGTCCCCTTGTGCTTCTAGGTCTTAACTCTCTTGCCCAGACTCAGCAGAAAGGGTCTCTGGGTACCTCACTCATCTGTCTCACCCTGGGCTCTCCACCCTCCATCTGCCCAGAGACTCGGGGTTTCTGGCTGCCTTCTGGGTCCCTGATGCTGTGGAGAGTAAACAGGTTCGCAGCCAACCACACCTGAGTGAAGTTTAATACTATATCCACCAGTTATTAGATGCAGGACTTTTGGCCAAGTTACCGAAACTCTCTGAACCTGACTTTCCTCATCGGCAGAGAAATTAACACCTTCCTGCAGGGTTATTGTGAGAATTCATTCATTTGTTCATTCATTTGTCCCAGAAACATAGATGGAGCACCTGCTATGTGCCAGTCCTGTTCTTGGCCCTAGGGACACGGCAGTCAGGGGAGGGGGTGCCAATGATAAATGGAGTAAATCAGTAGAATATTAAGCACAGTAGTGAGTGGTAGGCGCTAAGGAGAAAGACATTGAGCAGGGAGGGGAACTTGAAGTGTGGGGAGAGGAGCTGCTGACATTTTTAGATGGAGTGGCTGGGATGGCCTCCCCACTGCCCAGGAAGGTGGATTTTTATTAAAGGCCTACAGGAAGCCAAGAGATTTCTCGGAGAAGAACATTCCAGGCTGAGGGACCAGCAAGTGCAAAGGCCCAGAGGTGGGACTTGGACCCTCAGGAAACAGCAGAGAGGCACAGAGACTAAGGGCAGAGGGAACGGTGGCCAGACAGGCCGAGGGGTCAGGCGATGGGGAAGCTTTTGCTCTGAGGGAGATGCGGGACGTGGGAGGGTTCTGGGCAGACAGGGACCTGGTCTGACACGTGCTATAAAAGGATCCCCCTGATGGCCATTTGAGACAAGACGGAAGGGGGTTATAGGTAGAAATGGAGGGGAGACCAGTCAAGAGGCCATTGAGATCGTTCAGGTGCGGGGTGCTGGCAGCCTGCATCAAGGTTATGGTGGGGAGCATGAGGACAATAAGGCATGGCTGGTTTCTGGGTAAATTTTGAAGGGTGAGCCAACTGGGTTCATTCATGGAGCACATTTAGGGCATGAGACAAAGAGAGGAAGGGCCAAGGGTGGCTCCAGGGGTTTCACCCGAGGGACTGGAAGGATGGGGGCCACCAGTGCAATGCAGGTGTGGGAAGCTCTGGAGCCGCGTTGTGGACAGGCTGGACGTGAGGTCTCGGTAGGAATCCGGGTGGAGAGGTGAGGAGGCAGATGGGGCAGAGCCCCATGCTCAGGGGCAGCCTGGGCTGAGTATAGAGGATCATGAGAGCACACGGGCTGGGGACAGAGATCATGGGAGGTGACCAGCACAGAGCCGGTCTGGGCGACCAGTTAGCCAATGTGAGTCCCTCTGTTTCTTCAGTCAGTCATAGGTAGTGGCACCTGGGAGGCCATCAGCTCGGAAAGCCCTGTGAGATCCCCGAGATTCGCCGTTCTGGACCTGGAGAAAAAGAAGTCGTATGTCTTCAGAGTGCGAGCAATGAACCAGTATGGCCTGAGCGATCCCTCGGAGCCCAGCGAACCCATCGCCTTGCGGGGCCCGCCAGGTACCCTCCTGATGCCGGGGGTCGGGGAGGAGGCAGGCCAGGCCAGGCTCAGGACCTGAAGCTGCAGGGACAAAGCCCTGCCCACTTCCCTGTCCCCGCTCCCTTCTACCCATCATGAAGCTGAAAAGCAATTTGATCTCAGGCCTGGGGAGTTTTAAGACATCAGAAATCACATTTCTCTGGGCAGAAGGCTCATGGAGGGAGAGAGCCTTCTGCCTTTTTCCAGATCAGCAATGCATGGGTTAGAGTGCACAGCTGGGCCCTGCACAGCAGCTGTGCAAGCAACTGGTCCCTCCGTTCCACAGGTCTCTGGCCTGCCCCTAGATCCTGCAGCTCACTCCCAAGCAGCCCCCTGCTCCTTGTCTGGTGGGGGTTGAGCTGTCCCACCTGAGCCCTGGCTTACCAGGCAGGACACCACTCACCTGCAGCATAACGGGGGACCTGGGAGAGTCATTTCCAAGCTGCACACCTTGCTGTCCTCAACTGGCAAACCCATTGTTCTAAAGGGCCCCATCACTGCTCCCACCTCTGGCTCCTTCCTGAGTCTCCCAACTGCAACTGCATCCTGACCCCAGCTTCCCAGGGCTCCCACCTCTGAGGCCTCTGGATTCTGAGGTTCTTTACCCTCTCATCAGATTCCCCGTAGCTGCCATCACAATCAGCCCTTTAAGGAACCTTGCTACAGTACCACCTATGCAAGAAAAGCCTGGTTTGCTGAAGGTCCCATTTGGGGAAGATTTCAAAGTTCTAGATTTGTTCTGCTTCAATAATTTAGAGGGGAAAAAATACACACGCGCACACACACACACACATACACACACGGCACATATGAACAAGTTGGTGAGCAAGTGGTGCTTTTCTTTACTTCTGGTTAACATTTGGATTTGATTTGGGGCCTGGCCAGTGAGCAATTAGTCATCAGATGTGGGCAGTCTCTGGACCATAAACCACACTTAAATTGTACCAGGCAAGGCTCTGGTATAATTCAGAAAGGAAGGGAGGGCAGGGCTAGAGGTGAAGCCTTCAAACAGGTGAGGGATGAAGACCTGGGATAGGCAGGACCCTTAGGAATAAGAAGAGAGGAGAAAAAGTGGAGCAGGTCAAGGAACAGAAGCTTGGATGAGTCCAACGTTTGGGGGCCAAAAGAAAATAGAGAACAACCAAAGGATGTGTAAGGAGTTTAGAAATAAAAAGAGAACTAGGAAGATCATGCACCTGCCATCCATCAGTCCATCCATGCATCTGCCCATCAGTCCATCTATCCATCTATTCATCCATCTATCCATCCATCTATCCATTTATTCATCCATGTATCCACCTGTCCATCCATCCATCCATCCATCCATCCATCCATCCATCCATCTATCCATCCATCCATGCATCCATTTATTCATCCATGAATCCACCTGTCCATCCATCCATCCATTCATCCATCCATCTATCCATCCATCCATCCATCCATTTATTCATCCATGTATCCACCTGTCCATGCATCCATCTGTCCATCCATCCATCCATCCATCCATCCATCCATTCATCCAACCAACCATCCATCCATCCATTCATTCAACCAACCATCCATCCATCCATTTAACAAGTTACAGCAGCCCCTATCTCAAAAAGCTTAGTTTCAGGGAGCCATGAAAATCAGTAGAGAAATTTCAAGGAAAGAAAACTGAGATTAAAGATAAGGACTGAGGAAACCTATCAGATTTGGTGACTTTTGAGTGAGAGAGAGTGTGTGTGTGTAAGGATGAATGAGTGAGTATGCTTTTGTGCTTTAGTGAGGAAGCAGAGATGCTCAGAGGTAAGGGGAGAGAGGACTTTTAGGATACACTTCTGGGCCTAGGGAAGAGGTCCCAAAGCCCCCAGCAGGTCAGGAATTCATGCACCTTGATTGCTGTGGGAGCTCCTTCTGGCCTCTCCCCATGCTCCTCCCCTTCCCCAGCCTGTCAGACCCATGTAACTCAGCCTTCTCATTCAGCCCATGTTTCTATTTTTTAGCTACCCTCCCTCCTCCAGCTCAAGTTCAAGCTTTCAGAGACACACAGACCTCTGTCTCCCTGACATGGGATCCTGTGAAAGACCCAGAGCTCCTGGGTTATTACATCTACTCCCGGAAGGTGGGGACATCTGAGTGGCAAACAGTTAACAACAAACCCATCCAAGGCACCAGGTACGTCTGCCCACCCGTATCAGTCTGTTCTCACACTGCTATAAAGACATACCTGAGACTGGGTAATTTCTTTTATAAAGAAAAGAGGTTTAATCAGCTCACAGTTCTGCGACCTATACAGGCTTCTTTTTCTGGGGAGGCCTCAGGAAACTTATGATTATGGCGGAAGGCGAGGGGGAAGGAAGCATGTCTTACATGGCGGGAGCAGGAGAGGGAGAAAGAGCAAAGCAGGAAGTGCTACACACTTCCAAACAAGCAGATCTCATGAGAACTTGCTCCCTATCTTGACAACAGCAAAGCGGACATCCGCCCCCATGATCCAATCTCCTCCCACGAGGTCCCTCCCCCAACACTGGGGATTACAATTCAACATGAGATTTGAGTGGGAGTACAGAGCCAAACCAGATCACCCCTCTTCCTGCACCAGGCATCCTTGAAAGGGGGCCATAATGATAATGAAGCCCAGCATTTCACAATATTTACCCTGCGCCAGGTACTGTTCTGGCATTTTTCATATGTGAGGTCATCTAGTTCTACCTGCAAGCCTAAATGTGTAGGACTATTATTTTTATTATTTTACAGATGAAGAAACTGAGGCATGGAGAGGTTACATAACTTGCCAAAGCCCCTTGTAGCTTAGTAAATGGCAGGACTGGGACTTGAACCCAGATGGTCTTTTTCAACAAACTTTGTTGAGAATGTGCTATTTGCAGGACTCCATGGATAGAGATGACCATGCCTTGGTCTCATCCCTCCAGGAGCTTAAACCCAGAGAGAGGTGGGGAGGGCAGAGCAGTGGAGAGCTTTGGAGCCAGGGAGGCCTGAGTTCAGGCTCCATACCACCCCTCACCCTTTCTGTATCAGTCAGGGTTCTCTAGAGGGACAGACTAATAGGATAGATGTATATAGGAAAGGGAGTTTATTAAGGACTATTGACTCACACAATCACAAAGTAAAGTCGTACAACCGGCTGTTTGCAAGCTGAGGAGCGAGGAAGCCAGTCCGAGTCCCAAAACCTCAAAAGTAGGGAAGCCAACAGTGCAGCCTTCAGTTTGTGGCCGAAGGCCTGAGAGCTCCTGGCAAACCACTGGTGTAAGTCCCAGTCCAAAAGCTAAAGAACTTGGAGTCCAATTTTCAAGGTCAGGAAGCATCCAACATGGAAGAAAGATGAAGGCCTGGCTGAGAAGAGCTCCCTGCAAAACAAGATTTGCTCTAGGAGAACGTTGATAGGTGAAGAGAGAGAAAGAGGTCCACAATTGGGTCTTATCAAGAAGGGACAGGATGAGAAGGACATTTTTCTCTAAGCTAGAGCATCCTTGCGTGTCTCTGGATGACAATTCTCTTTGAGGGCTCTGAAAGGACTCGGTGTTTTTGCATCCCAGCATTAGTGCAGGTATTAACAGCCACATGTTCTTTTTCAAGGACAAAGCCCAAAGTCTTGAAGATGTACCATGTGGCGCTGGGTTTGGGGTTGGCTGCCTTTGCTTTAAATTAGAACCTTTCCTAGCGTATTTGCGTTTTAAGGGTGGATCTGGAAAAGCAAACATCCTTTAAAACTCTTAGGTCTACCCCCTCCACGGTGTCATCTCAGGCATTGCCATGGGATCAAGGGCAATATTTTTAGGAAGAATTGACCTGAACCTTCAAATTCTACCACGCTGGTGACCACTTATTCCACAAAGTTGTTCTAGCAAGTTTGGGAATGTCTCCAGGCTGTTTGTACATCCATGAAAGCTGCACATTTCTCTCCCAGGTTTACAGTTCCCGGGCTGAGGACGGGGAAGGAGTACGAGTTTTGTGTCAGGTCAGTCAGCGAGGCTGGGGTAGGCGAGAGCTCAGCCGCCACCGAGCCCATCAGGGTCAAGCAGGCTCTGGGTGAGTCCAAGGGCAGGTCCAGCCTGCAAACCTCCCTGGGCTGGGCAGGGAGCTGGGGCTCATAGATCACATCTTGGAGGGCCCAGTCCTGGTGGCCAGTGGCACATACGCCCTCTGAGGGAAACTGGAGCTGGCCCTGGCTGCCCTTTCCTTTGGGAAGGAAGTAACCATGGCTTGAGGCCATGGGATGGGGCCTGAGCAGCTCTGGGGGGTGGGGAAGCCCTCAGACCCAGAAACCTGAGGCTCCGATGCCCTCCTGAGGCACAGATACTACTGGCTCAGGGAAAAACCCCTGGAGTAGGGCAGGCACCAACTAGAGGAGGCTCGTCAGCTCCCTCAGGCCCCACTGTCCAATCCAGCCACCCCTAGGGAGCAGCTGTCCTCACCTCCTTACCTCCCTGTAGCTACCCCGTCTGCCCCATATGGCTTTGCCCTCCTGAACTGCGGGAAGAATGAAATGGTCATTGGGTGGAAACCCCCCAAGCGTCGTGGAGGTGGCAAGATCCTGGGCTACTTCCTGGACCAGCATGACTCGGAAGAGCTGGACTGGCATGCGGTCAATCAGCAGCCCATCCCCACCCGGGTCTGCAAGGTAGGGCTGGAAGGTGGCCCCAGCCTGTGTCATGACTTGTTTAGCAGCGACCAGAGGGCACTGCTTGAGTCTTGGAGTCTGACAGAGGCTGACAGAAGTCTCAAGTTCCCCTGCCTCAGCCATCGAGATCATTTTCCAGTGCAGACCCACCTTGAACAGAACTGTTTAGAGCCACCAAGCTTGAGCTGGGATTGCTTGAGCTCAGGAGTTTGGGAGTTTGAGACCAGTCTGCAACATGTTCAAAACCCTGTCTTGACAAAAAATACAAAAATTAGCTGAGTGTGGTGGCACGCGCCTGTAGTCCTGGCTACTCGAGAGGCTAACACAGGAGGACTGCATGAGCCCAGAAGGTTGAGGCTGCAGTGAGCCATGTTCATGCCACTGCACTCCAGCCTGGGTGACAAAGTGAGACCATGTCTCAAAAAATAAAAATAAAAGCAAAGCCCCCACAGACCACCTGCTCTGAGTCCCTCCCGCACCACTGCTTCTGTTCCCCATCCCTCCTCCAGCCTCAGCCTCATAGTTTGTGTTTCTGCTCTTAAAGGTCAGTGACCTTCATGAAGGCCACTTCTATGAGTTCCGTGCCCGGGCTGCCAACTGGGCAGGTGTTGGCGAGCTGTCGGCACCCAGCAGCCTGTTTGAGTGCAAAGAGTGGACAATGCCCCAGCCAGGTGAGAGGCCTGCAGGCCTGAAGTCCAGTGCCTGCCCTTCCCTCCTTCCCAAACCTACCCAATGAGATGAAGGTTGCCGCTCTCCTCTATGCATTCAGGCTTGCACTGTTTGTCCTGCACCCCAGGCCCCTGGCCCTTGCACAAACCCACTCTATAATTCCTGACACAAATGGAGTCCTAAGCCTGTCTTAAAGGACCCCTGACCTGGGCCATCAACTGGCCCTGTATCCCCAGCACAAACTATTTCCCAACTCGAGAGCCTGCCTGCTTCTAGCCATAGACCAATCTCCAGCCCCAAAGGTGCACTGCTAGGGTGAGTAACTAGTCCTGGTTTGCCTGAGACTTTCAGTTTCCTACTGAAAATCCCAAGTCCCAGGAACCCTCTTAGTCTTGGACAAATGGACAGTTGGCCACCCTACCCACTGCTCCCATAACCCAGTAAGTCTTCTCACAAATGAGCCCCTCACCTCCCACTGAGGAAGGAGAATCACACCCTTCCATCATTTTGTTCAGCTCAGTTCTGTTTTCTACACAAAACCTCTACCTCAGTGGCAGATAACTAAAACATATGATGCTTTCGACAACCACAATTATAAACAACGAGTATTTATTGGGCCGTTACTAGGTACCAAACACTTTTCATAAATTATCTCACTAATGCTCACAAAAGCACTATATTATAAGAGCTATTATTATCCCCATTTTACAGACGAGGGGACAGGAACAAAGAGGCTAAGTATCTCATCCAGAGTCCCCATATCTGGAAGAGGTGGAGTTTTGACATGAACCCCAGAGGTCTGACTCTAGAAGTTACACTAGAGTCACTAAACACTGAAGCACTTTAGAAGGATTAATGCTGTCTGGGATGGGGATGGGGAAGGTCAGGGAAGCTACCGGGAGGAGGGGAGGCTGAGCGCATTTTGAAAAGTTAACCGTGGTTTCAGGCCCAGAGCCAGGCTTTGTCATGAAGCCAAGGTTGGCCCGGGCTTGGCGACACCCAGAACAGGCCCTTCCTGGCTTGACTGTGACTGAGGGATTGACAAGCTTGTTGACTGACTGCTGGGCTTGCTGCTTACCTGGCTGGCTGCCTGGCTGCCCAACTCACACATCTCTTCCCATCTCTCACTTGTCACAGGCCCCCCGTACGATGTACGGGCATCCGAGGTGCGGGCCACATCCCTGGTGCTGCAGTGGGAACCCCCACTGTATATGGGGGCTGGGCCTGTCACAGGCTATCACGTCAGTTTCCAGGAGGAAGGCTCTGAGCAGTGGAAGCCGGTCACCCCAGGCCCCATCTCTGGCACCCACCTGAGGGTAAGTTCTTATGCCTTCATCTTCTGACTGGCCCTGAGCCTTCCCTGCCACTAGAGCATCAGAGCTGGAATGACCTCCAGACATCACTGCTCTCACTTAATGGAAGCAGAGGACCAGAGAGGAAGAGCGATTTACCTAGGGTCACACAGCAAGTTGGAGGTAGGTCTGGCTGGCTGGTGCCCATATCCTGCTCCATGCTAGGCAGGTGCCTCCCTAAAGACTCACTTGGTATCAGCCAGGTATATCAGCATTTGCACATGTATATCCCTTGACCCAGCAATTCTGCTTCTGAGATTGAATTATAGACAGGTAATTAGGCAAACGTGCAAAGATCTAAGGACAAGGATGCTTCTTGTAGCCTTGTTTGTAACGGCCCAAGCTGGAAACAACTTAAACGTCCATTAGTAAGGGTGTTGCTTAAGTTAATCACAGTGTACCTTAAAAGTAGAATCCTGTGCCAGGCAGTATAAAGAATAAGGCAGTTAAAGGAACAAGACAGTATAAAGAATGGAGATGGGCAGGGCATGGTGGCTCATTCCTTTAATCTCAGCACTCTGAGGAGGCCGAGGTGGGAGGATTGCTCAAGCCCAGGAGTTCCAGACCAGCCTGGGAAACATGGAGAAACTTCATCTCTAGAAAAAAAAAAAAATAGCCAGGTGTGGTGGTATATACCTGTAGTCCCAGCTACTCGGGAGGCTGAAGTGGGAGGATCACCTGAGCCCACAGAGGTCCAGGCTGCAGGGAGCCGTGATCGTACCACTGCACTCCAGCCTGGGGGACAGAGCAAGACCCTGTCTCAAAAAAAAGAATGAGGTGGACCTACGTGCATGTATTGACACAAAAAGATATCCATCCTATATGGCTAAGAAAAACAAAGCAGAATACAGAGTAGGATATTTATATGTGAATAGCATATAATATATGTAACATGTTAGATATAATATAGATAAATAAACATGTATGCAGATACATGTTCCTTAATTTAAATGAGAAACAAACTCTAGAGTCTTTGGCTAAATGAGAGGTCTAGCAGAATCACTAGTTTTGTTCTGGAGTGATGGTTGTTTTAACTTCCACACATGCAGGAGGTAAGAAAATCACAAATAGTCTTCTCCTGGCCTAACCAAGACAACTCACAAATACTTAGACATATCAGGAAACAAAGAAGTCACTTGAAGCATTATTAACAGACACAAATTACTACCTTAGACAACCAATCAGAGTTAGACTTCCAGGTGACTGAAGGCCACTTTCACAGGCCATAGCGTCTACACCTAAGGCCAATGTGTCTCAGGGCCTCCTTTATTTGAGGAATATTTGTAAGAATGTTATGTGGATTAGTTTCCATTTTCTGCAGCCCTAGGAAAAGGGGAAGTATTTCTCCAGCCCATTTTCCTGGGTGCTTTTCCCCAGCAGGCAGGAGGATATGCAGTTTTCAAACCCATTCATCAACATTTCATTAGGGAGCACCCAGAGGAAAGAAGGCAGGCTCAAGAAGCCCGTAACAATGGCAAAGAATAAGATACTAACAAATAGGATACGGTGCATGTCCTGTTTCTACATGGATTATGTCCTTGTAAAAGTCTAAAAAGATTTTGGCTGGGCACGGCGGGTCTCATGCCTGTAATCCCAGCACTCTAGGAGGCCGAGGCAGGCGGATCTCCTGAGGTCAGGAGTTCGAGACCAGCCTGGCCAACATAGTGAAACCTCATTTCTACAAAAAAAATACAAAAATTAGCCATGTGTGGTGGCGCGTGCCTGTAATCTCAGCTACACAGAAGGCTGAGGCAGGAGAATCACCTGAACCTGGGAGGCGGAGGTTGCAGTGAGCCGAGATCGCACCACTGCACTCCCTGCCACAGAGCAAGATTCCACCTCAAAAAAAAAAAAAATCTCTAAAAATACTGTTACTAAATGGTCCATTCTGGTCATCTCTGGGGGAGAGCCTGCCAGGGGCGCTTTAGTCCTTCATTTCGTGTTGTGCTTTATCACTTAAAATGTTTCCCAACAAGTGTGTATCTCTTTTATAATCGGAAAAAATTAAAATACCTTCATTTTACCAAAAAATGAAATTAAGGCCACCTCAGACAGAATCAGGGAAGACAAGCCTCAGCCAGGGGACTCTGCTGAGACCTTGAGGTCTTCCCCTATATGAGTGGCTCGCCCCCTCCGCATGTAGGTTGGCCCAGGCCAGGGCGGGACAGCCTAGGTGATCTGGCACCGGCTTCTGCATGTGGACAGTTGGCCGCCATTCGGTCAGTCAGCCACCGGCTAAACATTTCTTCACACCTGCTTTAATGCCAGGCCTGGACCAATTCCTAGGCATGGGAAGCTAAATAAGTCACAGTTGTTGGGTAGCAGGCAATAACAATACTGCGTGATAAATGCTGCAATTGAGGGGGTCTCAGGAATTCTGGACGCTCAAAGGAGAAGGTGAGAGGTGCTTCCTGGAATCCATGCATCTGCCGAAACTGGGTGATGAAGCACAGGCTACACTGGAGTGAGCCAGGAGGGAGGCGGGACGGCATTCCAGGCAGCGCACTCAGCAAGGGCAAAGGCAGGGAGGTGTGAAATGGCGTGATGGATGTGGGGATACTGAGAGAGTGTGGAGTGAAGGGGACAGATGGAGGGGCAAGAGGACAACAGGCTAAGGCCAGGTTAGGAAGATTATAGGTACTCGACCTCGAAATTTGAACTTGACCCTGAAGGCCACTAAAAGATGTACACATCATCAGATTGGCAGAGGGAAAGACAGACTGGGGGAGAAGAGTCCCAGGGCAGAAACGCCCTTTAGGAAACTGTTGGACTGCCCCAGGTGAGGAGAAACAAAGCCTCAATCACGACCGTGGACGGGACCTGGAGGAAAGTGGTCACATTTAAGAAACACTAGGGAGGCCAGGTGCAGTGGCTGACACCTGTAATCACAGCACTTTCGGCGGCCAAGGGGGGGTGGATCACCTGAGGTCAGGAGTTCGAGATTAGCCTGGCCAACATGGTGAAACCCCACCTCTACTAAAAATACAAAACTCAGCCGGGCATGGTGGTGGGTGCCTGTAGTACCAGCTACTTGGGAGGCTGAGGCAGGAGAATCACTTGAACCGGAGAAGCAGAGGTTGCAGTGGGCAGAGATTGCGCCACTGCACTCCAGCCTGGGTGACAAGAGTGAAACTCTGTCTCAAAAAAAGAAAAAAGAAACATTAGGGGCCGGGCGCGGTGGCTCACGCCTGTAATCCCAGCACTTTGGGAGGCCGAGGCGGGCGGATCACGAGGTCAGGAGATCGAGACCATCCCGGCTAAAAACGGTGAAACCCCGTCTCTACTAAAAATACAAAAAATTAGCCGGGCGTAGTGGCGGGCGCCTGTAGTCCCAGCTACTTGGGAGGCTGAGGCAGGAGAATGGCGTGAACCCGGGAGGTGGAGCTTGCAATGAGCCGAGATCCCGCCACTGCACTCCAGCCTGGGCGACAGAGCGAGACTCCGTCTCAAAAAAAAAAAAAAAAAAAAAAAAGAAACATTAGGGAAATAAAACAGATGGAACCTGGTGATTGGTGGAGAGGACCCAAGAAAAGAATGGCAAAGACAATCCCCAGGTGTTGAATGGCCATCTTTGTCACATGGAAAGATGAGGGACACAAGAAGGGAGAGGGTTTTCTTATTGAGAGTGGCTCCCTGCTCCCTGGGGCCCAGGTTTCAGGAAGAGTCACTGCTGTCCTCAGTGCTGGCTCTTGCCCTCTGCCCCCAGGTTTCCGACTTGCAGCCAGGAAAGAGTTACGTGTTCCAGGTACAGGCCATGAATTCAGCTGGTCTGGGGCAACCGTCCATGCCCACTGATCCCGTGCTCCTGGAGGACAAGCCAGGTAGGGGTGGCCGGAGAGGCCAGAGCTCTGCCACTGGGCTACGCCACTGGGGACGGGTGGAGTTCAAGGGAAGTTGGGAGAAGCCTGATGCTGTGCTAGGCCCTCACACTTCTCTGGCCCTCCAGCAAGCCCCTGAGGGAGGGGTCATCATCCCACACTGGCACTGATTTTATTATAGCTCAAAGAAGATCAACCAGGTCACACGCTAGTATATGACAGAATCACTCACCTCTCCCAACTACAAAGCACATTCTCTTTCCATTCTTTTAATTATTCATTCATTTAATAAATATTTGGTGATGCGCACATTGCACTGCGAATACAGGAGTGAATGAGAGAGTAAGATCCCTGCTCTAATGTAGGGGTGGGGGGAGCAGAAGACAGTAAACAAGTAAACTATTGCATGAGGAAAGCGATTTAAGATAGAGATACGTGCTTTATTATAAAAGAAAGAAAACAGGGTGATAGGATGCTTAGCTAGGGCAGTCAAGGAGGGCCTCTCTGAAGAGGTGACATTTGAGGTGGGAAGGAGCCGGATCCTGCAAGGCCTTGGCAGCCACAGCAAGGAGTCAAGTTTATTATTAAGTGCAACAGGCAGGCCCTGGAGGTTTAAGCAGGGGAGGGGTGTGACCTGGTTTATTATGCATAAACATCCGCTGCCCTCTGTTGGATCTCGCCCTCAGGTGCCCATGAGATCGAGGTTGGTGTGGATGAAGAGGGCTTTATCTATTTGGCTTTTGAAGCCCCTGAAGCCCCCGACTCCTCAGAGTTTCAGTGGTCCAAAGACTACAAGGGCCCACTGGACCCCCAGAGGGTCAAGATCGAGGATAAAGTTAACAAGTAAGTGAGGCGAGAGGAGAAACAACTGCTCAACGGGACCCAAATACTGTCAGAGGAGCTGGCAGGGGCTCCTGGCTGAGACCACAGGGCAGGACCCATCCATGATGGTTGAAAGGCGCTGCTCAGTCTTTCACTGAGGACGCTGACTGCCACCTTAGTGAGAAGAGTGGAGAGTGCATTTAAGCGGCTGCAATGGTGCTATTTTTTCTCTTCTTTTCTTTTCTTTTCTTTTCTTTTCTTTTTTTGAGACAGGGTCTTGCTCTATTGCCCCGGCTGTGCAATGGCATGATCTCGGCTCACTGCAGCCTTGACCTCCCAAGAGCAAGTGATCCTCCCGCCTCAGCCTCCTGAGTAGCTTGGCACATGTCACCATGCCCAGCTAATTTTTGTATTTTTTGTAGAGATGGGGTCTCGCTATGTTGTCTAGGCTTGTCTCTAACTCCTGAGCTCAACCAATCCTCCCCACTCAGCCTCCCAAAGGGCTGGGATTACAGGCGTGAGCCACTGCGCTCAGCCAATGGCATTGTTCTTTTGGAGATTCCTTTTCTGTAGGGAATTGTATGTGCCTCTAACTAAGTACCTTCAAGGAGACCTTCAAAGAGGACTTGGATTCTAGCCTGGCTGCCAGGGACTTGCTCTTGCAAGTTCTCTGTACTCAGGTTCTTCATCTATAGTATGCAGAGTTGGACCAGATGACCACAAGGGCCCCTGTCACATGCCCCCATGTCTCATCCTCCCCCAGCGGCTCACGGCCTCAGCTCTGTCCAGAAGGCATAAAGCCTATGCCTCAAGCCCTGGAGGAAGTCAGGGTGGTGTGGCCAGTGCAGACCCAGTGCCAGAGAGCCCAGATAATGGCACCATTGAAGGTGTCAGGCCAGAGGGGACCCTAAGGAGGTAGCAGGAGGCAGCTGCCTGTGCTTCCTGACTTGGCCAGGGTCTGCTTGGGGTACAGGCTCACCAGAAGCAACCTGGACTCCCTGGCTCCCAGGCCTCTAGTGCACAGGACCAAGGAGCTCCTCCCAGAGCCTCTGCTCTCCTCTCTCTGCCAGGTCCAAGGTCATCCTGAAAGAACCCGGCCTCGAGGATTTGGGCACCTACTCAGTCATAGTCACTGATGCCGATGAAGACATCTCCGCAAGCCACACGCTAACCGAGGAAGGTAATGCACCTACCCCGCTCCCTGCCACCTCCCCAGAGAGAGAGTCCCAAACACAAATGCCCACACAGGTCAGCAAAAAGCAACCAAAATGAGTAAAGTGGCAATTTCCACAGAGAAGTAGGCCCTCACCCACCCATTCTTTCCATCAATAGATATCTGTTGAGCACCTGCCACAGGCCAGGTAGGCCCTGGATATTACATCAGTGAACTCAACAGACATAAATCCCTACCCAGTGAAATTTACATTTTTCTGGTCTCTCTTTTATTTTCCCACCTTTTTTTTTTTTTTTTTTTTTTTAGACGGAGTCTCGCTCTGTCGCCCAGGCTGGAATGCAGTGGCACGATCTCGGCTCACTGCAACCTCCGCCTCCCGGGTTCAAGCAATTCTCCTGCCTGAGCCTCCCAAGTAGCTGGATCTACAGGTGCCTGCCACCATGCTGGCTAATTTTTTGTATTTTTAGTAGAGATGGGGTTTCACCGTATTAGCCAGGATGGTCTCAATCTCCTGACCTCGTGATCCGCCCACCTCAGCCTCCCAAAGTGTTGGGATTACAGGCGTGAGCCACTGTGCCCAGCCTGTTTTCCCACTTTTAGTAAGAGCAAAGGTACTAGAATTATTTTTGTTTCCTTCTGTAGCCCCAAAAAACAACAGTGCAAGTGTGATGATAAATTGCAAGCAGCAGTTGGTCTGAGAAATGGGGTGACAATAGGGAGCGCTGGGGACTGCGGGTAACCAGAGAGTGAATACCACGTCTAAAGGACCATCCATATTTGATAAATTAAACTGAAACAAAGCCTGTGCTCACAACAGATGAGACACTCTGCTACCTCCGTAGCAACCAGGACAGCCCTTGCCCATTGTCTACCCTGCTCATGGCACATGGGGCCTTTTGATTTTGTTAAGAAACAGAAGCCAGAGAGACCCAGGTTCCAATTCCAGTTCCATAATTTGCTGGCTGATTTTGGACAAGTCATGCCACCTTCCTGGGCCTCAGTTTCCTCACCCGTAAAGAGGGATTATAATCCCTGGCTGCCCCCACCTGAAACAATATTGTTATGCAGATACAATCAGATGATTCTATGCAAACTAAAGCCATCCACGAAAATGATGGGTTTTTTTGGTTTTGTTTGCCGTGTGCTTGCCATGAATCTAGACTCATAGTGTTAAGGATTCTGGGGCTTACTAGGGAAAATGAGGCATGGTCTCTGCCCCTGCCAATTCATCCACACAGTCCATATTGACTGAGCACCTACTGTGTACAAAACATTCACGTAGATTCAGAGCTCGCCTTAGCAGGAAAGGCAACACGAAGAAGCAGTCAGCAGGCCAGGCACAGTGGCTCACGCCTATAATCACAGCACTTTGGGAGGCTGAGGCGGGCGGATCACCTGAAGTCAGGAGTTCAAGACCAGCCTGGCCAACATGGTGAAACCCTGTCTCTACTAAAAATACAAAAATTAGCTGGGCGTGGTGGCACATTCTTGTAATCCCAGCTACTTGGGAGGCTGAGGCAGGAGAATTGCTTGAACCCTGGAGGCGGAGGTTGCAGTGAGCCAAGATTGCACCATTGCACTCCAGCCTGGGCAACAAGAGTGAAACTCTGTCTCAAAAAAAAGAAAAAACGAACAAGAAGAAGAAACGGTCAGCAAATGAGACAGCATTCTAGAACAGTCTGAGACTTCTGGGCTGCAGTGCTCGGTGTGTCGTCCAGACCCAGGGACACTAAGATAGCATGTGACAGGGGTGAGCAATAAGGCCCTGGCACCAGTGGTCCTAGAGTGACCAGAGGTAGACAGTAATGCTCAGCCCACAGCACTGCAGAGGACTAATGAAGTATATGCAGAACCAGGCACATGGTAGGTGCTCCTCTAGGGAGGCGAGACTTGATCTAGGCCTTGAAGGACGGGGAGAGGACGCAATCTCAGGGTGGCCAGCAGCAGCCCCGGCATCACCCTCAGTGCCCCAGGGCAAAGGCTCACAGTACTCATCATGGCCCCTATGGAGCCAAGGAACCCCAAGGTCGGGGGAGGTGTCTCTTGGAATTTTGACCCAGCACAGGATCCTAGGACGGCTCCTGTGGGCCCCCCACCCCCGACCAGGATATTTCATTCTCTCTGGTTTCTTCCTCACTTCCCCCTATCCCAGAGCTGGAGAAGCTGAAGAAGCTGAGTCATGAGATCAGAAACCCAGGTAAGCAAGCAGTCCAAGCTACCAGCCTTGTGCAGTTCCCACTGGGCCCATTGGCATGTTCTGAGCAGAGCAGAGTCAGGCCAAGGACCAGGAAACAACCCCAGAGGGACAGAGGGTGGGAGAATCACAGAGCTAGAAGGTCAGGGACCACTCGGGAAGCTCACGGAAGGAAAAGAGCAGCAGGAAAGGGGATGCGAGGAAGGGAAATGTGGGTGTTTTCCTCTTTTATAATTACTGTTATTGGCTCTTTAGTCATTAGGATTTGGGATCGTCTAAACCTCTGCTTCTCTCCATTGGCTAGGGACAGTGTGTACAGTCCCTAGAGCAGGGGAGGTCACAAACTTGGCTACACAACAGAACCATGATGACACCTTTCCTAATCCCAATACCTAGGCCATGCCCCAGACAAATCAGAATCTCTGAGGGTGGAGCCCAGATGCTAGGGTTTTTGAAAGTCGTCTGGGATCCAATGCCCTGCCAGGTTGAGAACTGCAGCCCCAGAGCTCTTAGAAGAGGAAACGCTTCGCTGAGATTAATTAAATCTAGAGTGGGCATTCGGAAAACCCTCCTCTGAGCCCCACCCAGTACAGTCTCCTTCAGGTTCTCTAAAGGTTTTGCATGTCAGATGCCAAGGGTGTGCTCAAGGTGGGGCTGGAAGGGAGCGGGAAAGGGAGAAGGGGTCCAACCCACCCCCTTCCCGTCCTGCGCCTCCCAGTGATCAAACTGATCTCCGGCTGGAACATTGACATCCTGGAGCGAGGGGAGGTGCGGCTTTGGCTGGAAGTAGAAAAGTTATCTCCAGCCGCTGAGCTACATCTAATCTTCAACAACAAGGAGATCTTCAGCTCGCCGGTAATTGGGTGCTCACAATCCCTGAAGTGAGGCTCCCCTGCCGGGGAGGTGGCCTCGCGGGATGGTGATTCCGCATGGGCTGGTACTTCCCCCTAGTGGCCATTTCAGAAATGACGGTGTGCTTTTGCTGTTGCAGTGATGAGGACGGGATGGGAACATTTGGCTCTTAGTACCAGTGCTGGTGTTGGGGGTGGGGTTGGCAGGGACACTACATGCTGGCCAGTGCAAGGGACATTCCCACAAACAAAGAATTCCCACACCCCCCACAACTTCTGATTACCCCACCAGACATTCTTAAGATGAAAAACCTGCGTTCATGCCTATAATTATCCAAGGCTAGACTCTAACTCTGTTTTAGGTATAAATACAAACTATTTTTGTACAATTTTTTTCTTTTTTTATCTTTTTAATTAGAGATGGGGACTCACTATGTTGACCAGGTTGGTCTTGAACTCCTGGCCTTAAGTACTCCTTCTGCCTCAGTCTCCCAAACAATTTTATTTTTTGTTTTCTGTTTTTGTTTGTTTTTGAGACAGAACCTCACTTTGTCACCATGGCTAAAGTGCAGTGGCATGATCTCAGCTCATTGCAGCCTCAACCTCCCAGACTCAAGCGATCCTCCCACCTCAGCCTCCCGAGTAGTTGGGACCACAGTCACACACCACCACGCCCAGCTAATTTTTATATTTTTTTTTTTTGTAGAGACAGGGTTTTGCCTTGTTGCCCAGGCTGCAAACTCCTGAACTCAGGCAATCCTCCTGCCTCAGCCTCCCAAAGTGTGCAATGTTACTATACACTGAATGGAGAATTTTTATTCTGCTGGTTACTTTACCTATGCTCATTCATTTTCCTGCTTTTGTACAGAATAGCTTCTGATTTTTTTGCTTTTCTTCTCTTAAAGTCAAACCGATTCATTATAAAGCAGGGCAGCATAATTAAGGTTATATCCAAGCACCTATATATTGAAATATTTTTATTTTAAACGACTTATTTCTTCTTTATATTATGGTTAGAGTATATTATTTTGTAAATCATATCTGTAGATAGGTTGTATTAGATTGAACCACATGATTTGTCAATATTCAACTGTTTACTGCTGACATGGCGATGTCAACCTCATGAGAGATTCAAATTCATGACTCAATCTCATATTATTTGTGAATTTCATCTCCAGATGGCAAAGCAGCCATTAGAAAATACGTGTTGTGGCTGGGCGGGGTGCCCATGCCTGAAATCCCAGCACATTGGGAGGCCGAGGCAGGCGAATCACCTGAGGTCAGGAGTTCAAGACCAGCCTGGCCAACATGATGAAACCCCATCTCTACTAAAAATACAAAAACTTAGCCAGGCATGGTGGTGCGCACCTGTACTCTCAGCTACTCAGGAGGCTGAGGCACGAGAATCGCTTGAACCCGGGAGACAGAGGTTGCAGTGAGCCAAAATCGTGCCACTGTACTCCAGCCTGGGCAATAAAGTGAGACTCTGTCTCAAAAAAAAAAAAGAAAGAAAGAAAGAAAGAAAAGAAAAAAGGAAGAAAATATGTGTTATATATATATCAAAGGTCCAATGACAAAAAAAAGAAGAAAGAAAACATGTATTATAGAAAGAGGGCACTAGTTCTGACAGGAGTCTCATGTCCACCTGCTGTGGGTTATATGACCTTGGCAGGTCTCTTCACCTGTCTGTGCCTGTGTTTCTCCATCTGTGCAATGGGGCTGGTTGTCCCAGCATCAAAAGATGCAAATCAGAAAACTGATTTGAAAGTTCTGCATAAAGCTTGTGCAATGACCTTACCACATGGTAAAGGAAGTGTTACAAAGTCTGGACTCATTAGTATTCAGTGGTGGGACAATCAGTTGTCCCTATAGAAAAATAAAACAAAATTAGATTACTCCCCCAAATCATACATACAAATAAAGCCAGAGGAAGAAAGAACCTAGATGAGGAAAATGAAATTTTAAAAACTGTTAGAATATGGTAAAATGTAAATGAGTGTTAATTCTGGGTAGCAAGTACACGAGTATTTTTTTTTCCATTATCCTTTACACACGCCAATGGGGTTTTTCCTATTTTAAAAGAAGTAGGAAATAAGCTGCTGGGCACAATGGCTCACGACTGTAATCCCAGCACTTTGGGAGGCCGAGGCAGGCAGATCACTTGAGGCCAGGAGTTCGAGACCAGCCTGGCCAACATGGTGAAACCCAGTCTCTACTAAAAATACAAAAATAAGCTGGGTGTGGTGGCGCATGCTTGTAATCCCAGCTACTCAGGAGACTGAGGCAGGAGAATTGCTTGAACATGGGAGGCAGAAGCTGCAGTGAGCCGAGATTGCGCCACTGCACTCCAGCCTGGGTGATGGAGCGAGACTCTGCGATGGAGTGAGACACTGTCTCAAGAAAAAAACAAAAAACAAAAAAAGAAAGAAAAAGAAAAGAAAATAGGCAAAATCATGGCACAGCAGGGGTTCGGGACTTATTATTAAATTGTAACTGATCGCTCCACTGCACCCCAGCCTAGGCAAGAGTGAGACTCTGTCTCAAAAAAACAACAACAAAAAATTGTAACTTATTCAAGCACCCCGGGGGACTAGGTGTGGGGGGAGCAGCAGAGGGTTACCCAACGGCCAGCCCCAGTCTCTGAAGGCTGACAGCTCTGTGCTTACCACCCCCAAGCCCACTACACTCTGATGTGTACCCCACAACAAAGTTCCCAGAACAGGGAAAAGGACTCTGGAGTTTGTCCTTTTCAGAACCGCAAAATCAATTTTGACCGAGAGAAGGGCCTGGTGGAAGTGATCATCCAGAACTTGTCTGAGGAGGACAAAGGGTCGTACACCGCTCAACTCCAAGATGGAAAAGCCAAAAACCAGATTACCTTGACACTGGTGGATGACGGTCAGCCATGCCCAGCCTCGCCCCGCCCAGCCCTGCCCCGCCCTGCCCCGCACACCTGGCCTGCCCTGCAGCCCTGAGTCCTCGGCTCTGCAGCCTGCTGAGCACAGCCCCCTCGACTTCTGTCCACCCCATGTCCCCTCTCCAGACCCACACTCCTCTCGGCTCATGCCAGTTCCTCCCTCTGTGTTCACAGATTTTGACAAGCTTCTGAGGAAGGCAGATGCTAAGAGAAGGGACTGGAAGAGAAAACAGGGTAAGAGCTGCTGGGGTGAAGTTCAAAATCCCTGGCCACTGGTTCGTGCTAGAGATGCTGGACTGCGGATTAATGGGAACCCCAGCCCTGCTGGGTCCCCAAGGGAGGTCCACTGTCATTCAGTCCAGTTCTGTCCCAGTGCCAGATCAAAATAGCTCTTGCCTGACCTGAGGGTGAGAGCTGAGCCCTCTTAAATTTTGCACCCTGAAGCCAGGCACAGTGCCCCACACCTGTAATCCTAGCACTTTGGGAGGCCAAGGTGGTCAGATCACTTGAGGCCAGGAGTTCAAGACCAGCCTGGCCAACATGGTGAAACCCTATCTCTATGAAAAATACAAAAATTAGCCGAGCATGGTGGCACACGCCTGTAATTCCAGCTACTCAGGAGGCTGAGCCACAAGAATCCTTGAAACCAGGAGGCGGAGCTTGCAGTGAGCCGAGATTGCGCCACTGCACTCTAGCCTAGGCAACAGAGCGAGACTCTGTCTCAAAAATAAAGAAAGAAAGAAAGAAGGAAGGAAACAAAGGAAGGAAGGAAGGAAGGAAGGAAGGAAGGAAGGAAGGAAGGAAGGAAGGAAGGAAAAAGAAAGAAAGAAGGAAAGAAAGAAAGAAAGAAAGAAAGAAAGAAAGAAAGAAAGAAAGAAGGAAAGAAAGAAAGAAAGAAGGAAAGAAAGAAAGAAAGAAAGGAAGGAAGAAAGAAAGAAAGAAATTTGCGCTCTGAGCACCGCCCCTGCCTCACCCCAGTCCCAGCCCTGGCAGAGGCAGCATCTGAGAAGTCCATAGCCATTAGCTGTCCCTCCCCCCAGCACTGCCTGGACACAGGTGGCACCCTGGCTGAGCCTGGCTCTCTGACAGTGGGCACATTTGTTTTGCACGCACAGGTCCCTATTTTGAGCGGCCGTTGCAGTGGAAGGTCACGGAGGACTGCCAAGTGCAGCTGACGTGCAAGGCAAGTCCTGCCCTGCCCTGCCCCCAGGCCCAGTGCAGGGGGACCTGTGGCTTGTCCCCAAGCCCAGTTGCTGTCCCTGCCCACCCGGCCCCCTAAATTCCATACTCTGTGCTTGGCTGATCGCACACACAGAAAGTACCCCCGAGGAGACCACACGTAACCCAAAAAGCAAACCCACCTTCCCAGCGCCCATGGGGTAGGATTCGTGTGAGGTGGACCAGCCTTGAACGAGATCCTAGTGGCTCCAGAAGGGGTTCTGAGGGGTCAGGGGGTCTAGGAGCCCACGAGGGTTTATATGTTGAGGGGTATCCCTGTGTTTATGATTACCCTGTGCTCAGAGACTCACAGTATTATTTCATCCGCCTCACAATCATCTGTGACACAGGCATTACTATCCTCACTTCATAGATGAGAAAACAAATGGAGAAATAGCTCAAGGCCACACGGTAAGAGGGAGAGCCCAGGTTTGAACAAGTCTATCTGATTCCAAAGCCTAAGGTCCTTCTTAGCACTCTTCAGCCTGTTTAGATAACTGGGGAAGGGGAGGGTGGGTGCTCTCCCAGAAGCATATTCATTCAGTAAACTCAGAGCATCTATTTTGTGCCACTCTGCACGGTACTGAACGTACAAAGATGATGAAGTGGTCTCTGTGGGCCTTGGGAGCCCATGTTCAAGGCAGGACCATTGGAAAACAGCATCCCTCATGCTTGACCCGGATGGGGCAGGACATTGATGAATCGTGATGGAGGGGGTGACTATGGGATGCTTCAAAAAAAAGGCTTCCTGGAGGAGATGACATTTAACTGAAGCACATGGACATTTCCAAGAAAAATAGAGTAAGGCAGGGATCAAGAGGCAGAGGGAAAACCATTAGCAAGAATTCAGAGTCCAGAGGCCAGCAGAGGAGACACATGGTATGTGAAAGGACTCCACTGAGATGCCTGAAAGTGTGCACAGGTGTGTTTTTACTCAAAAAGAAACAAGCCTGACAGAGTCTCCTCATTCCCCACCTTCCCCAGGTGACCAACACCAAGAAGGAGACTCGCTTTCAGTGGTTCTTCCAGAGGGCAGAGATGCCAGATGGTCAGTATGACCCAGAGACGGGAACGGGACTTCTCTGCATTGAAGAGGCAAGTGTGGCTCCAGCTTCAGGGCTCACTTTCTCCTTTGGCTGCAAGCCAGGGAGGGCCAAGAGCTCTGGGCTGGGAGTCAGGGCAGGGCCGAGGCTAGGTTGATGCAAGTGAGGCCCTGAGCACAAAATTTAAGAGGCACCAAAAAACTCAGTAATCAAGATAAATAATATTGTATGCAATATTCTAAAAAATCAAAATTAATGCAAAAAAACTATTAAAGCCCCCAAATTTTCAATAGAGACAGAATCAGTATTACTGATTTTTTTCTTTAGCTCCAGTACTGGCCCTGCCAATGACTGTGCAGGCTTGGGCTAGCCCCCGTCGCTCTCTGACCTCAGCTTTCATCTGCAACATGAGCGGGTTGGAAGGGATGCTCTTTCAACGCCTCCTTCCTGCCCCAACAGTCTAGGAGTCGGGACAGGAAGGATGTCTCCATGTGAGGCAGATCTGGGCAGAATAAAGCAGGCCTGGAGCTCAATTCTCCCCCCAAGTCCTCCCCCATGGCCTTTGGTGGACCGTGGCCTGGTTAAGAGAGAAACACAAGGCTTGCTCTCAAACGTCAACCTTTTTCTGCCCTGCTGCTGATGTCTGTGGCCTCACTGGGTGCCCAGGAGGACTGGAGCAAACAGAGCCTTGCTGACTAGGAAGAAAACAATGATTTCAAGGTCTTCTCCCAAATCCTGGCCAGGCTGATGCCAAGTCAGCCTTTGCCACCACTGTGCAAGCTCCTCAGACAGGCTGTGGCACCAGTAGGTGCTTCAAAGTTACAGAGTTTTATTATAATCATCAGTCCCATTGGTGCAAACTTTCTGGCCTCCTAAGAGTTACCTCCCTTGATCCCCACAGCAGCTGTAGCATACAGGCAGGGCAAGGATGATGCCATGATTTTACAGATGAGTAAACTGAGGCTCAGAGTGTTTCAATGCAAAGACATAAGGCTAGAAGGTGGGGTCAGAAGCCACTCCAGTCACCCACCCTAGGTTTGGCTGAGAACTTGGAGACTTCCTGGGATGGTGAGGACATAAGAGAGGACTTTTGGGGCTCAGCACCTCAATCCTCAGGTTAAGAGCTGCCTCTGTCTTGGATCCTGCCCCAAACCCACTGTGTGGAGATGGTCCTGGTGGGAAGTATTGAGAGATGAGGGCTGAAGGAAGGTGCTGTGTAATGAGAGGTCACTTCTGATCTCTGGACCTTGCCTTGAAAGCACAACTCAAGTTCTTACTTTGCTGAGTGTTTGTTCAGACTTAATTTGGGGCTGACAAACATGGGCCAAAAGGGCCCCCTTGTCCTGGGCAGGAGAAAACACGCTTCCTCCTGGGGAACTGCAGGTGGTGGGGGTCCCTCCATCCAGGAGCCCCCAGGGAGTGAAAGGTGGGCCAGGCCCAGACAAGCTCTGCAAAGTGAGGCTCACTGTGTCATGTCATGCTCAGAGCAGCTGCCTGTGAATGCAAACGAAGGTGTCTGGTTCTGTCCTCAACTCCCCCTACTCCACCCCTTCCCCAGGCCCAGACAAGCCCCGAGCTAGGAATCCAAGGGCTCTGGAGCTGAAAGGAGCCTTAGAGCTCACCCAGCCCAGATGAGTAAATGGAGGCCCAGGGAGGAGAAGGGTCTTACCTGAGGTCACACAGAGAGTGAGGGGCAGGCCTGGAGCCCAGGCCTCCGGATTTGGTATCCATCTCTCCTTCTGGAGCCCATGCTGACACCACCATCGCTCATCCTTCTTTCCAGTTGTCCAAAAAGGACAAGGGAATTTACAGAGCGATGGTTTCTGACGATCGAGGGGAGGACGACACCATATTGGACCTCACGGGTGACGGTAGGAGCTGGCGATGGGTCAGGGGCTGTGGAGGGAGCACAGTGGAGCAGACTGTGATGTGATCTGTGCAGTAAGATTTATGGGATCCCCATGTCACTTGGAGAAATTGAGGCACAAAGAGATTAAGTAACTTGCCCAAGATTCCACATCTAGTCAGTGGCAGGAGCCAGGTCGGTGTGACTCCGATGCCCTCGTTCACCACAGTATACCACAGTGAGCCCAGGCTTGGAGACCCGAAGCCTGAGTTCACTCCTCCGTCCCACAGTGGGCCCAGGCTCCTCATCAGGCTGATCAGCTCAGCCTGCAAAAACTGTCAGATTTGCATGTTTGTCCTCCATCCATAGTGCCCTTCTGCCCACCCCATTGCTGAGTGCCCTGAACCCCCTCCTATCCCCAAGCTATGAGAGTCATCCTACAGAGTTGCCTGTCCCCCTGAGAGCAGCTCACGGGCTCCACCAGCCTTTTTCTAGGATGTCCCCACTCCTAGCACATCCCTAGGGGAGCCCTATGCCAGCTAACCCTTCTCTCTGTTTCCCGCCAGCCCTGGATGCCATCTTCACCGAGTTGGGCAGGATTGGTGGTAAGCAGCCTGCCTCTTTGCCCAGCCCTGCCCTGCCCTGATGCCCAACAGCCTCCAAGCAGCCTAACACTGGCCTTGGCTATTGGGGGTGGGTTTAGTTTCTAACCTCAAACACCGAAGAGAAAATCCCGCCTCTTCACAGCACTGCATTTCCCCCACAGCACCTGCCCCCCAGGGCAGAGGCAGACAAGCCGGCCCCAAAATCTGATGCCTAAATGGCCTCAGGGAAGATTCATCCTTCTCCTCTGTCTCCCCAGCCCTCTCTGCAACTCCACTGAAAATCCAGGGGACCGAGGAAGGGATCCGGATCTTCAGCAAGGTCAAGTACTACAACGTGGAGTACATGAAAACCACCTGGTTCCACAAGTAAGTCCGCCTTGCCCCAGAACCCCAGCCAGGCTGGAAAGGATTCAGCACCTGACCCATGGGGGCCTCCCTCCCTTCTCCCTGCCTGGTCCTCCAAGCAGAGTTTCTGGTCCCCCAAGCAGAGCCTGGTCCCAGGGGTTAGCAGAGACAGAGTCTCTTCCTGGTCTTGCTGTCCACAGAAGGAGTTGAGGATAGAGATTAGCAGTGGGAGGAGTAGAAAGGCTTTGCCGAGATCCCCAGGGAAGGTGGGAACCTTGGCGGGACAACATTTTTCTGGAAACTCTATGGCCACAGCAGGATCAGTCTCTGGGCAGCAGCTGGGAACTGGGGGAGAAAGGGATGCAGGGACAAAGAAGAGCCAAGTGGTCAGGTGGGTCAGGGGACCCTTGTGGGCCTCTGCAGACTTAGCAAACTTGGTCAGCCAGGCTTAGGGGAAACATGCAGGAAAAGGGTCTGTGGGGCTGGCCACTAACTGAGAGCCAGGGCTTGAAGGCAGGATAGATGAGGTACCCACAGAGACTCAGCCACTCTCTGAGTGGCCCCAGATAATCCAACAGCAGAGTTTTCCCAGTGCTTTTTACCAGCTGCATGCCTCAGCCTTGTGGAGCAGACATTACTGCACCCACTCTATGGAGAAGGCTTGACTAATTTGGTCCAGGTTGTCAAATGAGTGAGAGCCAAGAACAGATGGAATTTCAGGACAATAGGTTCCTCCCCCAGCGAGTTTCTGAGCCCTGTGACTAAGCAGAGAGGTGTCACCTCTGCAACACAACACTGGGAACAGAGGACAGCGTCTCTAGGAATGATGAATGAATGAATGAATGAATGCAGTATTGAATGAGGAATGGAGGGTTGAATAATCAATGAGTAAGTGAATGGATATTTATCTGGTGCCTCATAGTCACCACCCATAGCCCGTGATCTCAAAACAAAACCAGAGGAGAGGATTTTGGGGCACGGGTATCTGTTGACCTGCAGACAGGCAGCCTTAACCATTTCTCCACCCTCACATTCAGAGACAAACGTCTGGAGAGTGGTGATCGGATAAGGACGGGCACCACCCTGGATGAGATCTGGCTTCACATCCTGGACCCCAAAGACTCAGACAAGGGCAAATACACTCTGGAAATAGCTGCAGGGAAGGAAGTCCGGCAGCTCTCAACAGATCTCTCAGGGCAAGGTGAGCCATCCACCTATGTCTGCAGGGAAACCTGCTTAGAAAATCCCATGGACAGTCTGGGCACACTGGGTCAGTCCTGTAATCCCAGCACTTTGGGAGGCTGAAGTGGGAGGATCGCTTGAGCTCTGGAGTTTGAGACCAGTCTGGGCAACATAGTGAGACCAGCCTGGGCAACATTCCTACAAAAACTAAAAATAATTTAGCTGGGCATGGTGACGCCTGCCTATATTCCCAGCTACTTGGGAGGCTGAAGCGGGAGGATTGCTTGAGCCCAGGAGATAGAGGCTGCAATGAGCTGTGATCACACCACTGTACTCTAGCCTGGGCAACAGAGTGAGACCCTGTCTCAAAAAATAAAAGAATAATAATAAAGGTTACTCTGGGATAGGTGTTAAGGAAAGAAATATTTTTAAAAAATTTTTAGCTAAATAAAAAGAAAGAAAAAAGAAAATCCCATGGTCTTCTGAGGGTACGCCTACCCTCCCACGCAGTCCTGCCACTGCCCCAAAGAAACATCGGCATGGGGAGGAGAGTGGAGGACAGTCAGGGATAAGCTTTGCTCCCAGGGTCACCCTGTCCCCATCATCAGACAGCAGAGGCCCTGATGGCCCCCATTCTCCTCTGTCCTTCTTATAGCTTTTGAGGATGCAATGGCTGAACACCAGAGACTGAAGTAAGTTTCCTCTACATTTCTCAGTGTGAATTATAGGCCCCTTCAGGGTGTGGCATAAACTAGGCTCAGGACTCCTTCCTGGGAGCCCCAGCCAGCTCCACCTTTCCTTCATCACCCCTCACCTCCACCTGGGCTGGACTGTCCTTTAGCAAGTGGAATGTCACACCTTGTTCCCATTTCTGTTTTTCAGAACCTTGGCCATCATCGAGAAGAGTAAGTCGGCCGATATTTCTGTTGTTTTTGTTTCTGAATTTGGGGCAAACTTCCTGGAAGCTCAACCCTCTTGGTGGGCTGCTGAAGGCCTCATTCCACAGTGGGGTCTGTGGGGCTCTAGGGTCTTACAGAGCTGCAGGGAAGACCTGGGCAAGACAGAGACAGAATCCGAGGACACCTGGGATTGTGTTGTGGAAGCATCCAGCGCGAGCCTGGTTCTCGCAGGCACATGGACTACATTGGTGGGACCGAAAAGGAGGGGACAGACAGGAATGAGGCTGGGCAGGCCTTCCCGAGTGATCTGTGGGGATGGGGTGACTTTAAAGCTGAAGCTATGGCTCTCGAGGTATTGGAGCCTCATCGAATCCAGGATGAAGCCCCAAACCCAGAGGCACATGGCACGGCCTCCGGGCCACCCGGGGAGCCACCACCAAGTCCATGAGCTCGAGCTTGTCCCATTCATCACCTCCCAACCCAAGCCAGTTCTAAGCGGCCTGGTGGTAGGAGTCTGGCTGTCTGCTCTCACTGGCCCAGCAGATGAGGAGTAAGGATTTCAGTGAGGGAAAGACCCGGGCAGGCAGCAGAGCACAGGTGTGGCCATAGAAGGAGACAGCACAGCTCTAAGAACAGACAAGAAAACTCACACCGCCAGCTTGAGGCCATGTGTGGGAGGGGATAATTCGCTCTGCGTGGCATCATTGACCCCGAGTGTCCCCACTTGACAGGAAGTGCAGGCCTCAGGCTCATAGCTGTTATTGGGAAGGGGCAATTGAGGGGTATAAGTGGCCATGCAGTGAGAAGCTCCTGCAGGGGGCTGAGGGGCGCCTCGGTGGAGGGAGCACAGCCCAAGACCAGCCTCAGCCTCAGGCCACGAGGAGGCTCTTGTACCATGAATCTAATCATTCACCCAGTGAGAATGTCCCTGCCCATAGTGGAATGCGTCATCCTGAACAGAAGCCCCGTCCAGGACCCTAATAGAGGAAAGCTGAATTCACCAATACTGGGTTGCTGGGGCATGTGGCATCAGAGCTGAAGGAAACAATCATTTTGTCCAGCTGTGAAGGGTTGGTGACACTTTCTGCCCACAACTGCATCCATCTGTGGGGCCTTCCCCTCCCCATCTGGGGTCCTGCTCCCCTTTCACCCACTGGACAGACACCATCCGCATCGGGATCTTTGCACATCCCTGATCCCTGGTCTAGGCCGTGCTGACCACCCGTCCTGTTCCCACAGCTTCCCCTGCACCATGAGGAGTAGACCAGATTTCTGCTTAGTGGTTGACAACCACACTCTTCCTGGCCACCCACAATGGCCACCAGGTCCCTCGCTTGACCAGGTTCAAAGTGTCCCAAAAGCTTCTGTTTTTTCAGACAAAAGCAAAAGGTTCTGTTGCTTTCTCTGACCTTGTTGGTCACACCCGTTGTGTGGATTTTGCCAGTTGAAGTCTCAGAGTCCCACTTACCTTCTTCCTGGTTCTTGAGGGCAGGAGCATCTCATGGTCACCTCCAGGTACCACCAATCATAGCAAATGACCTCAGATCAGTGGCAGAAAAACACTATGTCCCATATCTTCTACTTATGAATACAAAGAAGCATGTAATACAGTTCTAGAGATTTCCATCCAAGGCCAGGTGTGGCGGCTCATGCCTATAATCCCACCACTCTGGGAGGCCAAGGCAGGAGGATTGCTTGAGCCCAGGACTTCAAGCCCAGCCTGGGCAACATGGCGAAACCCCGTCTCTACAAAACATACAAAAATTAGCTAGGCGGGCTGATGCATGCCTATAGTCCCAGCTGCTCAGGAGGCTGAGCGGGGGAGGATTGCTTGAGCCTGGAAGGCAGAAGTTGCAGTGAGCTGAGATCGTGCTGCTGCACTCCACCCTGGGCAACAGAGCGAGACCCTGTCTCAAAAAATTAATTTTGAAAAAAAAATTTAAAAAAGATTTCCATCCAAAATAATGAAAATAGAAAAAGGAAAAAAAAGAAGCCTTGCTTAAAAATAAACCTCAACTCTATGAAACTTCTGGGAAGCGGCTGGCAGAAAAGGATTCATCGCTGGGGTCTCTTATTTCCCTTCCAGATCGTGCCAAAGTGGTGAGAGGTCTGCCGGATGTGGCCACTATCATGGAAGATAAGGTACTGACCCTTCCCAGCCCACAGCCAGCAGTCCCCCTCTGTGTTCCTTCGTGCATCCACCACAGATCACGAAACAATGCAGCACCATGGATTCAAAGCCAAAGAGTGGCCAAGTGACCACACCTCATTGATGACATGTGGTACAAAGGAAAGTCACTGGGCCTGGTGTCAGCCCTCAGTGGGTACTTGACCTAGTTCTATCTCCATCTGTCTAGACAGCCCTGGGCATCCTAGACTTCTACCTGCGGACTTCAGCGTCCAAAAGAAATGTCTACTGAGAGATCCCTAAAAGCCCGTCTAGGACTGAACTTATTTATGTAAATCTAGTGTTCCTGAAAACAATTGCTGACTTATTGATGGTGCTTACTTTTTGTCAGGCACGATTCCATGTATATTATCTTTTTGAGCTTCTTTAGCCATCAAGGTAATCACATGAAATAGGGTTTTATTTATTACTAATCATAGTTTATAGCTGAGGAAACCCAGAGTCCCTTAACCCAGGTTAAGAGACCTAAGGTCACACAGCTTGAAGGGGCAGAGCTGAGATTCACACCCAGGAAGCCCAACTCCAGAGCCTGTGTGTTTAATAATTACATTATAGTGCTCTGCATTAGAGCTTGTTCAGTAATTTTCTATTTTAATTCATAAACCTATGCACTAAATCTATATAATCTTACTTGCATTGTAAAATCGTAGTGACATATATATTACAAAAAGCAATAAAACAAAGTGAAGGCCATTCTGGGACCGATAATTGCGAGAGTAATTATGGTCTGAGATTCTGATGGGTAAGTATTCCTGTAGAAAGGTTGAGAATGCCCGGGCACAGTGGCTCACGCCTGTAATCCCAGCACTTTGGGAGGCTGAGGAGGGCAGATCACTTGAGGTCAGGAGTTTAAGACCAGCCTGATCAACACGGCAAAACCCCATCTCTACTAAAAATACAAAAATTAGCCGGGCTTGGTGGCGGGCACCTGTAACCCCAACTACTCAGGAGGCTGATGCAGGAGAATCACTTGATCCTGGGAGGCAGAGGTTGCAGTGAGCCGAGATCATGCCACTGCACTCCAGCCTGGGCGATGGAACGAGACTCCATCTCAAAATAAAATAAAAGGTTGAGGATGAAGGATGTGGGGTTAAAATAAAATCTCTCCCCTTTATAAATTATAATAAAACACATGTACTAAATTATCACAGGGAGCAACCTGAGCTGGGAGCTCTCTGGGGGCATGAAAGCAAATGCTAAGTTCAAGTTACAAGGAGGTGAGACTGTTCCCTTCCTGTCTTTTCAAACAGACCCTGTGCTTGACTTGCATCGTCTCAGGAGACCCCACCCCTGAAATCTCTTGGCTGAAGAATGACCAGCCTGTCACCTTCCTTGACCGATACCGCATGGAAGTGAGGGGGACAGAGGTCACCATCACCATTGAGAAGGTCAACAGTGAAGACAGCGGCCGCTACGGCGTCTTCGTCAAGAACAAGTATGGCTCCGAGACGGGCCAGGTCACCATCAGTGTGTTCAAGCACGGGGACGAGCCCAAGGAGCTGAAGAGCATGTGACAGCGTGTGTCCAGGCACAGTCTGAGTCTAGTCTACATGGACCAGTAGGGACAACCTGTACCAGGGTCACAGCCTGGCACAGGCTACAGGGGTGGGGCAGAAGGAAAGGGGACAAGATAGAACCCAGGATGTGAGGGTGGGGGTGGAGCGGATGCACCAAAGTGGAGAAGCAAAGATCTTTCTGGGGTCCTGAGTGGCTTCCAGGAGAGCGGGATGAACCCTGGACCTGGAGTAGGAGACCCGGATGCACTGGGGCTATCTAACAGTACTGGCATCTGATAGGTAGAGGTCAGGTACGCTGCTAAACACTGCAGCTCCCACCACATAGAATTATCCGACCCCAGATGTCAAAAGTGCCAAGGGCCATGAGCCCTGCCATAAACTGATACATCGCACCCCTCTTTTAGGATCCCATAGTTTCAATTCATGTAAGTTCAACAGACACCTGAAGTCTAGCATGTGGGAGGCTGAGGATGGAGCTGGGAACACAAAGGCAGCTGATAAGCAGGTTCTGCTTGCAAAGAGGCCTCAGTCCAGTGGGAGAAACAGACCTGGGCGCAAACAACTCCAGGACAAGGCAGGACATGATAAAGATTATAAAGCAGGTCCAAGGAAAGTGCCGCCAGTGGTCCAAGGAGGGAGACAGAGGGTCGTCCCAACAGGGGGAGGTAGGGCTTTGAAAACACCTTCATCCAGGCTGGGCGAGGTGGCTCACGCCTGTAATCCCAGTAGTTTGGGAGGCCAAGGCGGGCAGATCACCTGAGGTCAGGAGTTTTAGACCAGCCTGGCCAACATGACGAAACCCGGTCTCTACTAAAAATACAAAAATTAGCCAGGCATGGTGGCAGGTGCCTGTAATCCCGGCTATTCAGAAGGCCGAGGTGGGAGAATCCGTTGAACCTGGGAGGCGGAGGTTGTGATGAGCCAAGATTGAGCCAAAAAAAAATTAGCAGAATTGGTGTTGGGCCCTGAAAAATTAGTCCGATTTTGTGGTGGTAATGGGAGAAGGACATCCCAGGAGCAGGGTCTGGTGGGAGGAAAGGGAAGGAGGAGGCTAAGGCTGCCCAGGAGGCCTTGGATACCAGGCTTGGAGCTGGTAACCTCCAGGGCTTCCAGCACGGGGCCTCTGCCTGGTGTGACAGATACCGGCTGGCCTCACTTGATGGATCTCAGTACTGAGCTGGGCATTTCTCTGCCCCCCAACTTTTTTCTTTTTAAAAATAAGATGGGGAGTGTTCATAAAATTATAGATGTTTGTTGTAAAATTTTGGAAAACCCTGGAAATTATAGAGAAAATAAACATAATCTATACTCCCAACACCACAAAGTAACACCTGCCTCTGATTTCTGCAATGGCTTCTGAACTGAAGGATAAAGTGAGTCACCCCTACATACCCCACCTCTGCACGTATCAAGACGTGGTGGGTAACATATCCCCCAGCGGCTCACCTTCCAGGCTGCATGGTGCAGGCAGACCAGGCGTTTGATGAGACCTCTGCAGGGAGCAGCGGGGACCAGGGAGACCTGACTGGAGTTTGGGGAATCACGCAGATCTCGGAGGCAAACACCGCTGGTTTGAAGCACCCCTCTACCATCCACTGGCTGTGTGGTCTTGCACAGTACTTTTCCTTTTCTGGGCCTCAGTTTCCCATCTGTAAAACCAGAAGGCTGGAAGATCATTTTGAGGGTCCTTCCAATGGACACTAAGTTTTTGTTTTATTTTGTTTTGTTTTTGAGACAAGGCCTGGCTCAATTGCCCAGGCTGGAGTGCAGTGGCACCATCTCTGCTCACTACAACTTCTGCCTCCCAGGCTCAAACGATCCTCCCGCCTCAACCTCCTGAGTATCAGAGACTACACACCACCACACCTGGCTAATTTTTGTATGTTTTGTAGATATGGAGTTTCACCATGTTACTCGAACTCATGAGCTCAAGCGGATCTACCTGCCTTGGCCTCCCAAAGTGCTGAGATTAGAGGCATGAGCCTCCCTGCCCAGACAGATTATTTTATTACTTCCCAGAACTTCATCCTCTTTTGCTTTTCTCTTCCTATGAATATGTAGTAAACAAAAAGACATCATCCTAGCCCATCCTCCCACTCTTAACACTTCCAACATCAGAGGAAAGTCTTGGCTTCTTTGGTGTGTCAATGAAAATATGTCACAAATTTCAATGACATAGGAAAGCCTGTTGGCCTTGGTGGAACATGATATGAGCATCCCTGTTTGTGCAATTTGCACATGCACTGTAAGAAGCTACAAGCTGCGCTTCATGGGGCTGGAGATGTTGTGAGCTTTGTGATTGCTGACAAGCCAGTTTGGGGGCAGAAGCCAGTCCCTGGTCTAGTGCGTTGGAGTCCTTAACATATGAATCATAATTTTTTAAAATTCCTGGTCTGGCTGGGTGTGGTGGCTCATGCCTGTAATCCCAGCGTTTTGGGAGGCCAAGGCAGGAGGATCACTTTAGCCTAGGAGTTCAAGACCAGCCTGGGAAGCATGGCGAGACCCTTTCTCAACAAATAATAAAGAAAAACTAGCCAGGCATGGTGGCATGTGCCTGTGGTCTCAGATGCTTGGGAGGCTGAGGTGGGAGAATTGCTTGGGCCCAGGAGGTCGAGGCTGCAGTGAGCCGTGATGGCACCACTGAACTTCCCACCTGGGCAACAGAGTGAGACCCCACCTCAAAAATTAAAAAAAAAAAATCTGGGCCTAATAATTCCAATATGCTTGGCATATCTCAGTCTGGTTTTAATGTTTGCTCTGTCTCTTCCGTGTGTTTTACCTTTTAGTATGCCTTGTAATTCATTGTTAAAAGGCAGGCATGGCATAAAAAGGAACTGTTGTAAATGGGCCTTTAGTGATGTGACAGTGAGGTGTGAGGGAGGAGAAGCACTCTAGAGTCTATGATTAGGTCTCGGCAAACACTTTATGTGAATGTGTCACCCAAAGTTCATGTGTTAGAACTTAATCCCCAGTGCAACAGTGTTGCTTCTTATAAGACATGATGAAGTGAACTAATGAGGGCTCTGCCTTCAAGATTGAATTTTTCCTTTTTTTTTTTTTTTGGAAACAAAGTCTCACTCTGCCACCCAGCCTGGAGTGCAGTGGCATGATCTCGGCTCACTGCAACCTCCACTTCCCAGATTCAAGCGATTCTCCTGCCTCGGCCTTCCAAGTAGCTGGGATTACAGGCATCTGCCACCACACCCAGATAGTATTTGTATTTTTAGTAGAGATAGCATTTCCTCATGTTGGCCAGGCTGGTCTTGAACAACTGACCTCAAGTGATCCACCCACCTTGGCCTCCCAAAGTGCTGGAATTACAGGCATAAGCCACCACGCCCGGCCATGAGTGAATTATTGATCCATGATGTATCATTATCATGGGAGTGGGTTAGTGATCTTTGGAGTGGGTAATTCTCATGGATTCCTGATAAAAGGATGAGTTTTTCCCCCTGCCCCCATGCTCTCTCACCATGTGACGCCCTCTGCCACAGGATGATGGAGCACAAAGACCCTTGCCAGATATGTTCCCTTAACCTTGGACTTCCCAGCCTCCAGAACTGTAAGAATTAAATTTCTTTTTTTTTTTTTTTTCTTTTTTGAGACAGAGTCTCACTCTGTCGCCCAGGCTTGAATGCAGTGGCGCGATCTCGGCTCACTGCAAGCTTGGCCTCCCAGGTTCACGCCATTCTCCTGCCTCAGCCTCCTGAGTAGCCAGGACTACAGGCACCCACCACCACGCCCGGCTAATTTTTTATATTTTTGGTAGAGACAGGGTTTCACCGTGTTAGCCAGGATGGTCTCGATCTCCTGACCTCGTGATCCACCCGCCTCAGCCTCCCAGTGCTGAGATTACAGGCGTGAGCCACCACGCCCAGCCTTAAATTTCTTTATAAATCACCCAGTCTGGGCTGGTGAAGTGGCTCACACCTGTAATCCCAGCACTTTGGGAGGCTGAGGCAGATGGATCACTTGAGGTCAGGAGTTCAAGACCAGACTGGCCAACATAGTGCCCCTTCTCCACTAAAGATACAAAAATTAGCTGGGCCTGTTGGCACACACCTGTAATCCCAGCTACTCGGGAGCCTGAGGCAGGAGAATTGCTTGAGCCTGGGAGGTGGAAGTTGTAGTGAGCCAAGATTGCACCATTGCACTCTGCACTCCAGCCTGGGTGACAGAGTGAGACTCCGTCTCAAAATAGATAAATAAAGAAATCACCCAGTCTGTGGTTTTCTGTTATAGCAACACAACATGGACTAAGAGACACCGACAATCCCAGCATTTTCAGAAACTCTCCATGGACCTCCCAGCATTCTGGACTTTTCCAGAGAGCCTAGGCAGGGCACACAGCTGGAAGGAAGGCTGGCCAGCCAGGCAGATTCCCCTCTACTGGCCACCAGCCACTCCTCCTCCACACCTGTTGGGTCACCTTTCACATCCCAACCAGGATGCAGTCCTTGTCCTAAAGCATTTTTTTTTTTTGAGATGGAGTTTCACTCTTGTTGCCCAGGCTGGAGTGCAATGGCACGATCTCGGCTCACTGCAACCTCCGCCTCCCGGGTTCAAGCGATTCTCCTGCCTCAGCCTCTCGAGTAGCTGGGATTACAGGCGTGTGCCATCATGCCTGGCTAATTTTGCATTTTTAGTAGAGACGGGGTTTCTCCATGTTGGTCAAGCTGGTCTCGAACTCCCAACCTCAGGTGATCCGCCTGCCTCAGACTCCCAAAGTGCTGGGATTATAGGCTTGAGCCACCGCGCCCGGCCATCCTAAAGCATTAGAACCATTAAACAGATGGGCACAGAAAGCAAGAAGCTGGATGGGAAATGATAGCCTGTGTAATAAGTAACTCTACCCACTCAGCCTCAACCATGGCTCTAGTGAGATGCTTTTCATACTTCAAAAATTCCAAATAACTTCAAGCAACTTGAGTGATATTTTCATGCCAAAAATAGTCTCAAAAGAAGCACTCCCCAGAAATCTAGCTAAGAGAGGCCAGATATTTAATTTTCAGCATTTGAGGAAAGTATTACGGCTGGAGCCAGAGGAGCTAAGGGAAAAACAAATTGCATAGCCTGTGAGGAATATGCCTCTTTTCACCTGGGCCTCCAGAAGTCCACGTGCCCTGGGACGATTTTTACATCATCGCTTCCTGTACTTGCAGATCTAAAGAAAGAAAAACGCAGGGCCACACAAAATCCCTTTTATTCCAATTATAAATATTGGAATAAAATAAATATTGGAATAAATATCAAATGTTTCATGGTGAAATTAGTCTTTGGGTTTGCTTTAAAGTACTTTAGTCTAATAAAAAAAAGTGGGAGCGGGGAGACAAATGGAAAAGTTAGCAAAATAGTGATGCTTCTTGAAGCTGGGTGATGCGTACCTTGGAGTTCATACTACCATTCTCTCTCTGTTTGAATATATTTGGAATTTTTTCATAATAAAAAACTTCAGAGACCTCATGAGAAACAAATCTTCGGCTGTCTTTTCATACAGGAGTCATACTCATTATTTACATCCGGCAATTAGGCAAGGATTTTAGATACAGGAAAGTGTGCACAGAGTTCCTCTCCTGCAGGCAATTTACTACAGCCTGTTATTTTTCAATTGCGCAAGTTAAAATGAATGGGTGCTCTACAAGAAATAATTATCACGGAACCGCTGCAGTTTTCTTTAAAAAACTTACACATCCAAGGGATTCATTGACTCCACATTCATTCAACACACACTTTATTGAGATTACTATGTCTCAGGAACCTACAAAATTAAAGCCTGGTGCTGAGATCCAGCTTCCTTTCACCCAATGTATGACCTGATTAAGTTTTTTAGCCTGTCTTCCTCTTGTCTGTAAAAGGAAGGCTGCTATGAGAATTAGATGAGACGATGCTTGCTTGCCAAGTAACTAACACAGTACCTGACAGGAGCTAAACAAATCATAGATTTCCCCACCCACCCATTCCCTGGGGATGTCATAGTCTACTGGGAAAGAGAGAGGTGTCAATCCAACCCCCACAGAATTCAACAGTTCCTTCCTTCTCCACAAATTTGACTGATGATAGTATGAACGCTTCCAGAAATGAAAGCCCACAACCTCACAAAGGATTTTTAAAGCAGTATCTGTCATATTTTTTCAACAACAGAAATTAGAAATGCTTGTTGTAGAAAAATTACATGAGACAGAAAAAATAAAGAAGAAAAGTAAAAACACCCATAAACCCACCAGCCTGAAAGAAGTAAAATGGAAATGAAATGTTAGTTTATCAGCTAACCTAATAGATATTCCCACCGATTCCCCATTGCTGCCTCCACTCTAGAGACTGGGATGTTAAATACTCACTTTCCCGGGTTCTCCTGTAGCTGGCGGTAGCCACAGGACACAATTCCAGTCAAAGAGAAATAAGCCAACATCTGCTGGGGCACCTTGGTAGGCTCTTGGTGTTCCTGATCAAAGGGACAGACACTGCAGGCACCGTACAAGTCCCCCTCCTCCTTCCTGACTCAAGTGCAGTCATCCTGGAGCTGGAGCAGGCCTCAATTTTCTTTATGGCAGCCCAGCCATTAAGAAAAGAGAATCGCAGGCCAGGCACGGTGGCTCATGCCTGTAATCCCAGCATTTTGGGATGCTGAGGCGGGGGGATCACTGGAGGTCAGGAGTTCAAGACCAGCCTAGCCAACATGATGAAACCCCATCTCTACTAAAAATACAAAAATTAGCTGAGCATGATGGCACACACCTGTAATCCTAGCTACTCAGGAGGCTGAGGCAGGAGAATTGCTTGAACCCAGGAGGCAGAGGTTGCAGTGAGCTGAGATTGCGCCACTGCTCTCCAGCCTGGATGACATAGCGAGACTCCATTCTCAGAAAAAAAAAAAAAAAAAAGAGAATCGCAGAGATCCGGCCCTGACATCTCCACACTGCTGCCATCAGACCCTCAACCACCACCTCCAGACTACAGGCTACATATGAGATAAAACCTTTCTTTTTTTGAGATGGAGTTTCACTCTTGTCGCCCAGGCTGGAGTGCAATGGCGTGATCTCAGCTCACTGCAACCTCTGCCTTCCAGGTTCATGGATTCTTCTGCCTTGGCCTCCCAAGTAGCTGGGATTACAAGCATCCGCCACCACGCCCGGCTAATTTTTTGTATTTTTAGTAGAGACAGGATTTCACCATGTGAGCCAGGCTGGTCTTGAACTCCTGGCCTCAAGTGATCTGCCCGCCTCAGCCTCCCAAAGTGTTGGGATTACAGGCGTGAGCCACCGTGCCCAGCCAATGAGAGAAAACTTAACCCCTCTAAGTTTAAGCCACCATGAGTTAGGTTTTCTGTTCCTTGGTGCTGAAATCATTCCCAACCCACACAACACGTGTTAGGTGTATTTCATGCTAAGTTTAACAGAGTTGAGAAATCCTACGAACAATTTTACATTCTGGTTTTGTATATGCCATGACATCATAAGAACTTCCTCACATCATCAAAACATTCAAAAACCCCATATTAATGTTTATGTTGTAATTACGTATTATTTTCATATTGCTAGAAATTATTTAGAATTTTTCACTCTTAAAACTGGAATGATCATCCTTATACATAAATCTTTGCGTGCATCTCTGAAAAATTCTTTCGGATAGACTCTAGAAGGGGAATTACTAGGTCAAAGGGCATGAATTACTAAATTAAAAGCTATTCAACAGACTAACAGAGGCCAGCAACCAGTGATGGTAACCTGAGTCTTCGCCTTAAACACAGGTCACAAGTTAGTCAATCAAACATGATCAATTTGTGTTAGTCAACACAAATTTTATTTATTTTATATATATATGTGTATATATATGTGTATATATATGTGTATATATGTGTGTATACATATGTATATATATATAGTGTGTGTGTGTGTGTGTGTGTATATATATATATATATATTTTTTTTTTTTTTTTTTTTTTTTTTGAGACAGAGTTTTGCTCTTGTTGCCCAGGTTGGAGTGCAATGAAGTGATATCTCGGATCACTACAACATCCACCTCCCCCATTCAAGTGATTCTTCTGCCTCAGCCTCCTGATTAGCTGGGATTACAGGTGCCCACCACCATGCCCGGCTAATTTTTGTATTTTTTTTTTTTTTTTAGTAGAGATGGGTTTTCACCATGTTGGCCAGACTGGTCTCAAACTCCTAACCACAGGTGATCCACCTGCCTCCACCTCCCAAAGTGTTGGGATTACAGGCATGAGCCACCACACCTGGCCTGTTTATTTATTTTTTGAGACTGGGTCTCACTCTGTTGCCCAGGCTGGAGTGCAGTGGTGCAATCTCAGTTCACTGCAGCTACGACCTCCCCAGACTCAGGCAATCCTCCCACCTCAGCCTCCTGGGAAGCTGGGACTACATGTTGTGCACCACCACGCCCAGCTTAATTTTTGTATTTTTTTGTAGACTTGGGGTTTTGCCACGTTGTCCAGGCTGGTCTCAGACTCCTGGGCTCAAGCGATCCATCTGCCTCGGCCTCACAAATGCTGGAGTTATAGGCATGAGCCACCGGACCCGCACACAAATTTTGTGAGTAGTTCTTTCACTCCAGGTGCTATGCTAGGCACTGGCAATACAGTGATAAACAAAAAAGACATGGACCCTGCCCACATGAGAAACACCATTTATCAGATGTTTACCCAGAGAGATGGTGGTTGGTTTTTACTGGACCACAGCCAACTAATGAAAGGACAGGCTCACCATAAAGTTATAAAGCGGAAACCAACTGAGAAAAATGCTTGTGATTCATGTGTAAAATATAAGGCTAACACACTTAATAATCAATTACGATCTAGTCATATTGTGACTGATACACAGTCACCAACAATGATATTGCATGGATGGGCAAAGTGGCTCACACTTGTAATCCCAGCAACTCTGGAAGATGAGCCCAGGAGTTCAAGACCAGCCTGGGCAACATAGTGAGACCCTGTCTCTACAAAAAAAAAAAAATTAAATTAGCCGGGTGTGGTGGTGCATGTCTATAGTCCCAGCTACTCAGGAGGCTGAGATGGGAGGATAGCCTGAGTCTGGGGAGGTCATAGCTGCAGTGAGCTGAGATTGCACTACTGCACTCCAGCCTGGGCAACAGAGTGAGGTCCTGTCTATATATATATATATATATATATATATATATATATATATATATATATATATATATATATAATATTTAGAAGCATGGGGGGAAAACATGGCCATGCTCTGTGGCTCACACCTGTAATCCCAGCACTTTGGGAGGCTGAGGTGGGTGGATCACTTGAGGCCAGGAGTTTGAGACCAGCCTGGCCAACATGGTGAAACCCCATCTCTATTAAAAATACAAAAATTAGCCGGTCCTGTTGGTGCGTGCCTGTAATCCCAGCTACTCAGAAGGCTGAGGCAGGAGAATTGCTTGAACCCAGGAGGTGGAGTTTGCAGTGAGCCGAGATTATGTCATTACACTCCACCCTAGGCGACAGAGAGGGGGAAGAAAAAAAGCAGCAGCATGGAAAAATGTTCAGGATAGGTTTTAAAAGTCAAAAGACAGGCCAAGCACAGTGGCTCACACCTGTAATCCCAGCACCTTGGGAGGCTGAGCAGGCAGATCACTTGAGCCCAGGAGTTTGAGACCAGCCCAGCCAACATAGTGAGACCGCACCTTAATTTTTTTAAGTAAATAAATAAATATTTTTAAAATAGAAAAGAAAAAAATTTAAATTAAAAACAGGAGAAATTCATCCTGTGCCATTTCCTTCTTCCAAGTGTCGACTCCTCTTCAGAATCTGCCTGCTTTTTTTTTTAATCTCCAGTGCTTTTTTTTTTCCCCCGGAGTTAACAGTTGAAATCTGCCCGGAGATCAGTCCAGTTGGAGCTTACTTGCCACACCATGAATGGAACTCCTCATTGGGACTTACTGTCCTGGATTCTGTCTTCAGATGCCCCCTCCAGGTGAGGAGTCCACAGAACCAAGAGGACATGTCACTCAGAGCAGGCCCTCCTCCTGGGAATTGCCCCATGGACTTTTGGCGTCTCTGCCTTCTGACTCATAACACAGATTTTGGATAGGGCGGGGCACCCCTTGCCTCAGCACTCCAGAGAAGCCCAGCAAGCTGGACCTTAAGTGACAACCACAACTGAACAGTTCGAACTCAAGGTCCATTCTTTTCAATCATCTCAGCAGCAACAAATTACTGAGCTATGAGGGTGAGTTTATTTTCAAAGGATGGGATTACAGGCATGAGCCACCATGCTTGGCCCAAACCTTCCTTTAGAGGTGTGGGGTGACCACTAAAAGTACTAAAAATAGAATCACTGAAGCTACTTGAGAGGCTGAGGAAGGAGGATTGCTTGAGCTCAGGGGGTCGAGGCTGCAGTGAGCCATGATTGCACCACTGCACTCCAGCCTGGGCGACAGAGCAAAATCCTGTCTCAAAAAAAAAGAGAGAGGGAGAGATACTCAATGATGCTTTTCATCTGCAAAATAGAGTGATATAAATAAATCAGTAATAAAGTGGTTGAGTCCAGGTTGCTTTCTGAGGGTGGGAAGGCAACTAAATGCACTGAGTTTATTTAATATTTGCCTAATAACGTAATCTCTGGTCCCTAAAGCAGCCTCAGGGCTAACAGCACAAGGCCCACGGTCAGGCTACTTGGGTTCGAAATTCTGCTTGCTTATCCAGGCCTAATCACTTAACCGCTGTGAAACAATACTTTCATCTGCCAAGTGGTGATAACAAATGGGCCTCCCTATTTAGGTGATGTGTGGAGGAGCACATTGCTCTCATCACTATTCAAAGGGTTGGCTGGAGCTGGGTTTTGAGGTAATTCAGCTGCCAGCAGCGCCTTTCCCTGTTCATTCTGAGTCAGAAATGTGGGCGGATACAGTCACATAGAAGATTACAAAAGAATGCTACTGGCCAAAATCTCAAGTCTCCCAAGCAGCAATAACTCCTGCACGGGCTGTCAGCTGGGGTCGAGCCAAGTGGGCAAACGGGCTGGTGGCTCAGAGGGATTTGCTCCTCCTGACTTTGACCAGATGAGGCGGCTTTCCCAGCTCTAACATCTTTAGTTGCTTCCCACTTGCTTTTGTCACTGACTGCACAGTTTAAGATGTTTAATAAACTTGTCTCATTATCCATCTGGTGCTCACCACATGATACTTTTTCAAATCATTTGTTTATTTCCAGAAAAATAAAAATAACACTTTGACTATCAGATGTTGCACTAGCAAATCATTTTCATGTGTATCTTTCCTATATGCTACCTCATCTGACCTTTACAATTGCCCTTTGGTGGATATCTTACCCAAGAGGGAGTGGAAGATCAAGAAGGTTAAGTAGCTTGCCAGTGATTTGCAGGGCCTCTTTTTATTGTTTTAATATGGCTACTAGAAAATTCAGCTGGGCACAGTGGCTCACGCCTGTAATCTCAGTACTTTGGAAGGCCAAGGAGGGAGGATTGCTTAAGCCTAGGAGTTTGAGATCAGCCCTGGCAACACAGTGAGATCCCTGTCTCTACAAAAATAAAAATAGCTGGGCACAGTGGCACGTGCCTGTAGTTCTAGTAATCAGGAGGCTAAGACAGGAGGATCATTTGAGCCCAGAAGTTCGAGGCCTCAGTGAGCTGTGATCATGCCCCTGCACTCCAGCCTGGGTGACAGAGGGACACCCTGTCTCAAAAAAAAAAAAAAAAATTAAATTCTATATATGGCTCTTGTTATATTTCTGTGGGACAGAATCAAGTTAAACTGTTCAATTACCAGAGACAGCTGCTGGGCGCTGTGGTTCATGCCTGTAATCCCAGCACTTTGGGAGGCCAAGGCGGGTGGATCACCTGAGGTCAGGAGTTCAAGACCAGCCTGGCCAACATGGTGAAACCTTGTCTCTACTAAAAATACAAAAAATTAAGGCCAGGCACAGTGGCTCATGCCTGTAATCTCAGCACTTTGGGAGGCTGAGGCGGGTGGATCACCTGAGGTTAGAAGTTCGAGACCAGCCTGACTAACATGGAGAAACCCCGTCTCTACTAAAAAGACAAAAAAAAAAATTAGCTGGGCGTGGTGGCAATTACAGGCATGGAAAAAACCTGTCTCTACTAAAAATACAAAATTAGCCAGGCGTGGTGGCCCGTGCCTATAATCCCAGCTACTCAGGAGGCTGAGGCAGGAGAATCGCTTGAACCTGGGAGACGGAGGTTGCAGTGAGCTGAGATAGCGTCATTGCACTCCAGACTGGGCAACGAGAGCCAAACTCCGTCTCAAAAAAAAAAAAAAAACCAAGCCACCAGGCTTGGTGGCGGATGCCTGTAATCCCAGTTACTCAGGAGGCTGAGGTAGGAGAATCGCTTGAACCCTGGAGGCAGAGGTTGCAGTGAGCCAAGATATCGCGCCACTGCACTCCAGCCTGGGCAACAAGAGCAAAACTTCGTCTAAAAAAAAAAAAAAAAAAAAGGAATATTACTCAGCCTTTAAAAGGGATGAGCTGCTGACACATGCTACAACATGGATGAATCTTGAAAACCTTTAAAAGGAGTGAAATGTTGACACATCCTCCAACATGGATGAACCCTGAAAGCCAGACACAAAAGGGCAAAGATTGTATCATTGCACCTATATGAGGTACCTAGAACAGGAAAATTCATTGACAAAAAGTAGAATAGAGGTTACCAGAGGCTGAGGGGAGGAAGGAATAGGAAGTTACTGTCTAACGGGCATAGAGTTTCTGTTTGGGATGATAAAAAAAAGTTCTGGAAATAGTGGTGATGATGACACAACATTATGAATGTACTTAATGCCACTGAACTGTACACTTAAAAATAGTTAAAATGGGCCGGGCGTGGTGGCTCACACCTGTAATCCCAGCACTTTGGGGGGCCGAGGTGGGTGGATCACCTGAGGTCAGGAGTTAGAGACCAGCCTGGCCAACATAGAGAAACCCTATCTCTACTAAAAATACAAAATTAGCCAGGCACAGTGGCACATACCTGTAATCCCAGCTACTTGGGAGGCTGAGGCAGGAGAATCGCTTGAACCTGGGAGGCAGAGGTTGCAGTGAGCTGAGATCGTGCCATTGCACTCCAGCCTGGGCAACAAGAGCAAAACTCCACCTCAAAAAAAAAATTCTTTTGTTAAAATGGTAAATTTTATGTTGTGTATATTTTACCACTATTAAAAAATCAGGCTGGGCACCGTGGCTCACACCTGTAATCCCAACTCTTTGAGAGGCCAAGGTGGGCTGATCACTTGAGCCCAGGAGTTCAAGACCAGCCTAAGCAGCATGGCAAGATTTTGTCTCTACAAAAAATTAAAAATTAGCTGGGCACGGTGGCACACACCTGTAGTCCCAGCTACTCAGGAGGCTGAGCTAGGAGGATCACTTGAGCTCTGGGAGTCGAGGCTTCCCTTCTTGACCTCTCCATAACCCAGTCTCCACATAGCATGACATCACTGTTTGGAACTTTCCAGTGGCTTGCCATCACATTTTGAATAAAATACAAAGTGTTTATCATGGCCCACAAGGCCCTACACAAATGGGCTCCTGAGACCTCTTAAGCTCAACTCCTAGTACTCTCTTCCTTGCTGGCTGTGAGCCATGATTGTGCCACTGCACTGCAGCCTCAATGACAGAGCAAGACCCTGTCTCAAAAAAAAATAAACAAGAAAGCACAATAATTTCAGATAGTGCTCTAAAGCAAATAAAATGATGGTGATGAGGTAAGGCAATAGAGACTGAGGGAGGGTAGAGCTGCTTTAGATTGCATTACCAAGGCAAATCCCTTAAGAAGGTGACATTGGAACTGAGACTTGAAACCTGAGAGAGGGCCAGCCATGCAGAGAATGCCCCAAGGGAAAGATACTGCAGGGAGAGAAAACAGCCAGAAAGGGGCTCTCAGGCAGTTGAAAGAGCCCAGCATAGCATGAACATTGGTTAACAAGGAAGGGAGTACTAGGAGTTGAGCTGAAGAGGTCCCAGGAGCCCATTTGTGTAGGGCCTTGTGGGCCATGATAAGCACTTTGTATTTTATTCTAACTGTGATGGCAAGCCACTGGAAAGTTCCAAACAGGGGTGTCATGCTGTGTGGAGACTGGGTTATGGAGCGGTCAAGAAGGGAAGCTGGGAGACCGGTTATGAAGCTACTGCAATAGTCCAAGCACTTCTGTTTTCTTTAAATTTTTTGTTTTGTTTTTGAGATGGAGTCTTGCTCTATCACCCAGGCTGGAGTGCAGTGGCATGAACTCAGCTCACTGTAACCTCTACCTCTTGGGTTCAAGCAATTCTCCCTGCCTCCAGCCTCCCGAGTAGCTGGGATTACAGGCACCCACCACCATGCCTGGCTAATTTTTGTATTTTCAGTAGAGGCAGGGTTTCACCATGTTGGCCAGGCTGGTCTCGAACTCCTGACCTCAGGTGATCTGCCCACCTCGGCCTCCCAAAGTGCTGAGGTGTGAGCCACCATGCCCAGCCTGCTCTTCTGTTTTGTATCTATGACCTCTCTCACCCTTCCTCTGACTATATCTCTCAAATTCCACAGCTGTAAGATGCATTTATGTGCTGATGTTACCCAATCTATGTCTCCCAATTTGTCAAGTCAAATCACATGAATCATAGATCTCACAGTACCAAACTCTACTAATTCAAAGGATACAGACGATCCCAAGGCACAGGCAAAACATCCCTCCCTTGAAGTTCAACACCATCAACACCTCCCCACAGAGAGCATTCCTCTACTGCATAGAATATGTTTGCACTTGTATTTAATGTGTGAGTCTAAGCAATTGTACATGCCACCACTTACACGAAGGAGCCATATTGATTACAGAGCATCTTCATTTTACACCCCATTAATTACACAGCTTATGTGACATTTTCCAGCACGCTATGCTCCATAAATCCACAAATTCCAATTTTACTTCTGGTAAACACCCTAGGCAGACAACGTATATATTGATAAATGCATTACACAGATAAAGACTTACCATTATCTTTCTGCTAGTAAATACCATTAGTTTGCTTACCAGAAGCTCTGGTTACTGGAGTGTTTACAAGGGGATGTGAGTGGGGATCCCTTTCTTCCCCCAAGGATCCTTGGTAAAGAGAAGAAATAGGTTTCAGGATTGCTGCTCAACCTTTCCTTCCCAGTCACTATGCTCTTGCTGTAAAAATTCAAATAGTACAGAAATATCTTGAAAAGCAAAAGGCGGAGCTGGGTGTGGTGGCTCTTGCCTATAATCCCAGCACTTTGGGAGGCTGAGGTGGGCGGATCATGAGGTCAGGAGTTCGAGAGCAGCCTGACCAACATGGTGAAACCCCGTCTCTACTAAAAATACAAAAAAATTAGCCGAGTGTGGTGGTGTACACCTGTAGTCCCAGCTACTCAGGAGGCTGAGGCAGGAGAATTGCTTGAACCCAGGAGGCAGAGGTTGCAGTGAACCAAGATCGTGCCACTGCACTGCAGCCTGGGCGACAGAGCGAGACTCCATCTCAAAAAAAAAAAAAAAAAAAAAGCAAAAGATGGGCCCAAGCATGATGGTTCATGCCTGTAATCCCAGCACTTTGGGAGGCCAAGGCAGGAGGATTGCTCGAGGCCAGGAGTTCAAGACCAGCTTGATCAGCAAGGTGAGACCTTGTCTCCACAAAAAAAATTTTAAAGTTAGCTGGGTAGGATGGCATACACCTGTAGTCCCAGCTACTCAAGAGGCTGAGGTGGGAGGATTGCTTTAGCCCAGAAGTTCGAGACTCCAGTGAGCTATGATTGCACCACTGTACTCCAGCCTGGATGACAAAGACCTTGTCTCAAAAAAAAAAAAAAAAAAAAAAAAAGCAAAAGGTCTTCCTTCCATCCCCCAGTGTGTTCCAGACACTCACTAACCCCCTCCCAGAAGTGACAACTATTAACAGTTTGGAGTGTATCCTTCTAGTCCTTTTTTTATACATTTATAGACATGTATATGTATATATAAAAATAAACCTATGTGGCTTGGTGCAGTGGCTCATGCCTGTAATCCCAGCACTTTGGGAGGCTGAGGCGGGGGGAATCACTTGAGGCCAGGAGTTCGAGACTAGCCTGGCCAACATGGTGAAACCTTGTCTCTACTAAAAATACAAAAAAATTAGCTGGACATAGTGGCGGGAGCCTGTAATTCCAGCTATTTGGAAGGCTGAGGCAGGAGAATAACTTGAACCTGGGAGGCAGAGGTTGCAGTGAGCCAAGATGGCGCCATTGCACTCCAGCCTGGGCAATAAGAGTAAAATTCTTTCTCAAAATAAATAAATAAACAAACCCATGTGTACATTTTTCATATTTTCCATTTTTTATTGTGGCGAAATACACATTAACATAAAATTTACCATCTTAACCATTTTCAGTTTACAATTCAGTATTATCAAATATATTCAGGTCTGGCACAGTAAGTCACACCTTTAATTCCAACGCTTTGGGAGGTTGAAGCGAGAGGATCACTTGAGGCCAGGAGTTCAAGTCCAGCCTGGGCAACATACCAAGACCCTATCTCTACAAACAAGAAAAAAAAAAAAAAAAGAAGGAAAAGAAAATTACTGAGCATGGTGGCATATTCCTGTGGTCCTAGCTGAGGTGGGAGGATCGCTGGAGTCCAGGAGCTGAAGGTTATAGACACTGCACTCCAGCCTGGGCAACAGTGTGAGACTCTGTCTCTAAAATAAATGAATACATCCATAATGTAGTGCAGCCATCACCACCATCCATCTCCGTAACACTTTTCATCTTGCAAAACTGAAACTCTGTACCCACTAAACAGTAACTCTGTGCCCATTAAATAGTAACAATCACAATAAACATTTCTCCCTTCCTCCAGCCCCTGGTAACCACCACTATTATGAATTTGATACTCCTAGGTACCTCATATAAGTAGAATCATACAGTATTTGTCTTTTTGTGACTGGCTTATTTCACTTGGCATAATGTCCTCAAGGTTCACCTATATCATAGCATGTGTCAGAATTTCCCTATTTTTAAGCATAAATAATATTCCATTGTATAGATATACCACATTTTGCTTATCCAGTCATTCACTGATGGACCCTTGGTTGGCTTTCACCTTTTGACTACTGTAAATAATGCTGCTATGAACATGACTGTATCCTGCTTTCAATTATATTGAGTATATATCCAAAAATAGAATTGTTGGATCACATGGTAATTCTACTTTTAATTTTCTGAGGAACTGCCACATTGTTTTCCATAGCAGCTTTATCAATTTATATTTCCACCAACAGTGTACAAGACTGACAATTTCTTCACACTCCTGCCATTACTTATTTTCTGGGTTCTTTTTATTTTATTTTATTTTATCTGTTGTTGTTGTTGTTGTTTTGGTTTGGTTTTGATAGTAACATCCTAATAGGTTTAAGGTGTTATCCCATTGTGGTTTTGATTTACATTTCCCTAATAATTCTTGATGTTGAGCATCTTTTCATGTGCTTATTTGCCATTTGCATACCTTCTTTGGAGAAATGTCTATTTAAGTTCTTTGTCCATTTTTGAATTGGATTGATTTTGTTGTTGTTGAGTTTTAGGAGGTTTTTTGTTTGTTTGTTTGTATTTTGAGATGGAGTCTCGCTGTGTCACCCAGGCCAGGCTGGAGTGCAGTGGTGCAATCTCAGCTCACTGGAGCCTCTGCCTCCCAGGTTCAAGTGATTTTCCCGCCTCAGCCTCCCAAGTAGCTGAGATTACAGGCGCATGCCACCACACCTGGATAATTTTTGTATTTTTAGTAGAGACGAGGTTTCACCATGTTGACCAGGCTGGTCTCGAACTCCTGGCCTCAAGTGATCCACTCACCTGGGCCTCCCAAAGTGCTGGGATTACAGGAGTGACCCACCATGCCCGGCCGAGTTTTAGGAGCTCTTTACATATTCTGGATGATAATCCCTTATCAGATATATATGATTTACAAATATTTTCTGCCATTCTTTGGGTTGCCTTTTTACATTGTTGATAGTGTCTTTTGAGGCACAAAAACTTTTAAGTTTCCATGTAGTGCAATTTGTCTATTTTTTCATCTGTTGCCTGTGCCTTTGGTGTCACACATATCTAAGAATTCACTGTTAAATCCAATGTCATGTTTATCACGTTTGCTTCTGAGAGTGGTGGTGGTGTTGGGTCTTACATTTAGGTATTTGATCTACTTTGAGTTATTTTTTGTATATGGTGTTAGGTAAGGGTCCAACTTCATTCTTTTGCAGTGTGCATTATTTTTATATAAATGGAATTGTGTTATGCCTATTATTCTTCTACTTGCATTTTGAACTTAGTAAGTATTGAAGATTTTTAATGACCATTCATCATCCTTGTTGACTGAGGTACAGTATTTAATACCATGTGCTGCCAGGCACATTGTCTCACACTTGTAATCCCAGCTACTTGGGAGGCTGAGGTGGGAGGATCGTTTGAGCCCAGAAGTGCGAGGCTGCAGTGATCACACCACTGCACTCCAGCCTGGGCAACAGAGCAAGACCTGTCTCTAAAAATAACATAATACCACATACCAAATAATGTTTAACCATGCCTCTATCAGTGGACATATGGGCAGTTTCCTACTTTTTTTTTTTTTTGAGATGGAGTCTCTCTCTGTCACCCAGGCTGGAGTGCAGTGGCACGTTCTCGGCTCACTGCAACCTCCGCCTCCCCAGTTCAAGTGATTCTCCAGTCAGCCTCCTGAGTAGCTGGGATTACAGGCGCCCACCAACACGCCCGGCTAATTTTTGTATTTTTAATAGAGACGGAGTTTCGCCATATTGGCCAGGCTGGTCTTGAACCCCTGACCTCAGGTGATCCACCTGCCTGGGCCTCCCAGAGTGCTGGGATTACAAGTGTGAGCCACTGTGCCTGGCTTCTATTTTTCTTCATTACAAACAATGATGGACATTGTATATGAACTTTACTTAAATACCTTTGGGCTCACATGGAATATTTTCAAGGAATAGAATATTTCCATAGGATAAAGTATTTCTGTGGAATAATAACTAGAAGTGGACTGCTGTACTGAACAATAGGCACTTTAAAAAAATTTTTTTTCAAGACAGAGTCTCATTCTGTCACCCAGGCTGGAGTACAGTGGTGCAATCTCGGCTCACTGCAACCTCCACCTCCCTGGTGCAAGCAATTCTCCTGCCTCAGCCTCCAAAGTGGCTGGGATTACAGGCACACACCACCACACCTGGCTAATTTTTGTATTTTTTTAGTAGAGACTGGGTTTCACCACGTTGGCCGGGCTGGTCTCAAACTCCTGGCCTCAAGTAAACTGCTCACCTCAGCCTTCCCAAGTACTGGGATTACAGGCGTGAACCACTGAGCTCAGCCCACTTTAGAATTTTTTATAGAGACTGCTAAAATCCCCTCCAGGAAAAACTACACAAATTTATACCCCCTGTTGCGTGCATGAAGTACCTACCATCCTATGCCAATAGCCACCTTCTATGGCCTAATGTTTGTATCCCCCAAAAATTCTTATGTTGAAATTCTCTCCCCCAAGGTGATGGTATTAGGAGGTGGGGCCTTTGGGAGGTGATTAGGTCACTGGGGCAGAGCCTCATGAGTGGGGTTAATGTTCTTATTAAAGAGGGACTAAGGCCAGGCACGGTGGCTCACACCTGTAATCCCAAAACTTAGGGAGGCTGAGCTGGGTGGATCACTTGAGGCCAGGAGTTTGAGACCAGCCTGGCCAACATGGCAAAACCCCAACTCTACTAAAAATATAAAAAATTAGCCAGGCATGGTGGCAAACATTCCTGTAGTCCCAGCTACTCACGGGGCTGAGGTGGGAGGATTGCTTGAGCCTGGGAGGTTGAGGCTGCAGTGAGTGGTGATGGCACCACTGCACTCCTGCCTGGTGAGAGTGAGACCCTTTTCAAAAGAAAGGGAGGGGAGGGGAGGGAGAAAGGAAAGAAAGAAAAGAAAAACTCTGAAACAGAAACCTACCAGATGTCAACACACACACATACACACACACACACACACAGACTCATGCGCGTGCAAGCATTCTTTTTTTTTTTTTTCTGGGACAGAGTCTCATTCTGTTGCCCAGGCTGGAGTGCAGTGGCACAATCTCAGCTCACTACAACCTCCGCTTCCTGGGTTCAAGCGATTCTCCTGCCTCAGCCTCCTGAGTAGCCGGGATTACAGGCATGCACCACCAGGCCCGGCTAATTTTTGTATTTTTAGTAGAGACGGGTTTTCAGCATGTTGGCCAGGCTGGTCTCGAACTCCTGACCTCAAGTGATCCACCCACCTCGGCCTCCCGAAGTGCTGGGATTACAGCCATGAACCACCACGCCCAGCCTCACACACACACAAGCATTCTTAATGCCATGAGAATAGTGATGCCAAGACCGGAAGTAAGCAAATGGGTAAAAGCTGTCCAGTCATCTCAGAAACAATTTTAAACACTGGTGTATTTCATTACACAGAATATAAGGCTTTTCAGACAAAAAGTGAAAAGCCTGGGTAGAGTAGACCCACAAAATCAAGTAGCCATGAAATACTAATTGAAACCACAAGGAAATACCAAAACACACTCCTCAGAATGGCTACATTTAAAAGACAGACAGTGGCAAGGGTTCACAAGGCCCTGGTGCAACTGGAACATCAGATCTTGCCAGTAGGAGTCTAAAATTGTACAACCTCTGGGAATGTGTTAGCAGACTTTTCTAACACTTAATATGTGCCTACCTTCTCACCTAACAATTCTAACCCTAAGTATGTACCCAAGAGAATGGCTGCACAAATAGATATGTACAGGAATGTTACTAGCCACTTTATTTGTTAATAGGCAATGATTGGAAACAGCTCAAATTCATCAACAGACAGATAAACGGTAGCATAGTCATACAATGGAATACAACACAATGACAACAACGTCAAAACAGCTGTTTGTATGCTCAACAACATGGATGCAGCTCAAAAACATAGAATGTTGAACAAAAGGAACCACACACAAGAGCACACACTGTATGTACAAGAACAGGCAAAACTGATGATAATAGAATCAGAATTCTTGAGCCACAGAGGTCCAGGCTGCAGTGACCCGTGATTGCACCACTGCACTCCAGCCTGAGCGACAGAGGGAGACCTTGTCTGAAAAAAAAAAAAAAAAGAAAAAAAATCAGAATTGTAGTTACCTCCAATAGGAGGATAGTATAGATGGGAAAGGGGCACACAGAGGCTCGCTGGCTTGCTGTCAATGTCCCCTTTCTTTATTCGGATGGTGGTCACATGGATGTGTACCTATGTAAAAATCCATCAAGTACTCAGGATTAATATAGGCTATGAAATCTGTAATATGTATACTATCCCTCGATAGGAAAAAGAAGGAAGGAAGCGAGGGATGGATCCTTTCTTAGGAAGCATCCTAAAAAATCAAATAGTCTGGCTGGATGTGGTGGCTCATGCCTGTAATCCCAGCACTTTGGGAGGCCAAGGCGGGAGGATCGCCTGAGCCCAGGAGTTCGAGACCAGCCTGGGAAAGGTAGGGAGAACCCCTTCTCTACAAAATAAGAAAGAAATCAAATAGTCTATAATTATCTGCTGACTGCTCAAAAAGAAGTATATGCTTAAATCTGTCAAACATGTTGCAACTTTATACATCAAGATAAACACATAAGAACCGATTGTAAACAAAATTCAAGTTGCTGTAAAATCTCTAAAGTTAATACAATTCAGCTCCATAGACTGGACAACTCTTTCTGGTCATAAGCCCTTGACAGACACTAAGAAGGAAAATCCTTAAAGTAATAAAGTTTGTCCTGTTGGTTTCATGCCTGTATTTCCTCTTTCTGACAAATAGTGATGCCCTAGATCTTCCTATGGACAAATAAAACAGGCCCTGACCAAAAAGACACTTATCCAATGTACACATAAGTCAAAAAAAGAAACAAAATAGTTCTGATATAATGCTTATCCAACTCTATTTTTTTTTTTTTTTTTTGAGACAGAGTCTTGCTCTGTTGCCAGGCTGGAGTGCAGTGGCAGTCTCGGCTCACTGCAACCTCCACCTCCCGGGTTCAAGCGATTCTCCTGCCTCAGCCTCCTGAGTAGCTGGGACCACAGGTACGTGCCACCATGCCCAGCTAATTTTTGTATTTTTAGTAGAGACGGGGCTTCACCATGTTGGCCAGGATGGTCTCGATCTCTTGACCTCATGATCCACCCGCCTCGGTCTCCCAAAGTGCTGGGATTACAGGCATGAGCCACCACGCCCTGCTCAACTATAATTTGATAATTACAGTGGCCCTCCCCTTGGGGGATACATTCCGATACCCCCAGTGGATGCCTGAAACCACGAATAGTATCAAACCCTATTTCCCTATACATACAAACCTACAATAAAATTTAATTTGCCAGGTGTGGTGGCTCATGGCTGTAATCCCAACACTTTAGGAGGCTGAGGCGAGAAGATTGCTTGAGTCCAGGAGTTTAAGACCAGTCTGGGCAACATAATGAAACCCTGTCTCTACAAAAAATGAACAAAATTAGGCGAGTGTGGTGGCGTGTGCCTGCAGTCCCAGCTATTTGGGAGGCTGAGGTGAGGGATCACTTGAGCCCAGAAGGTCGAGGCTGCAATGAGCCAAGATTGTACCACTGCAGCCAGCCTGGGCAACAGATCAAGACCCTGTCTCAAAGAAAAAAAAAAAGTTTAATTAACATTAAGTTAATCTGGCCCAATATATTGCTATCGACTGGAACATGTTCCTGTTCATGTCTTCCTTCCACCTGCAAATTTAGTGCCTTTTCCATCTTAACTAAGCACTTACCACACACTGTGGCTACAACTTTTACAGTCTGAGGTATGACAGCAAAACTAGCATGAATTTCTTTTTTCCTCCTTCACAATGTCACCAATAGGAGATTCATTCTTATTGTAAGCTCTTAGCAACTTCAGCATATGATTTTTTTCTCAAATCAAGAACTTTCACCTCTACACTGAAAGGAAGCACTTTCCAGCTTCTCTTTAGCATATCCTAATTGCCAGCATCACTACTCTTTCGTTTTGGGGCCATTGTTAAGTAAAATAAGGGTGACTTGAACACAAGCACTGAAATACTCAGACAGTTGATCTGATCACCTAGACAGCTAGGAACCGACTAATGAGTGGGGAGCATGGATACACTGGACAAAGTGGGGATTCATGTCCTGAGCTGGATGGAGCAGGAAGGATGGCACAAGATTTCGTCATGCTACTCAGGATGGCATGCAACTTAAGACTTATGGGCCGGGATCGGTGGCTCATGCCTGTAATCCCAGCACTTTGGGAGGCCGAGGCAGGTGGATCACCTGAGGTCAGGAGTTCGAGACCAGCCTGGCCAACATGATGCAACCCTGTCTCTACTAAAAGCATAAAAAATTAGCCAGGGGTGATGGCGGGTGCCTGTAATCCCAGCTACTCAGGAGGCTGAGGCAGGAGAATCACTTGAACCCGGGAGGCGGAGGTTGCAGTGAGCCGAGATTGCCCTTGAACAGAAATTAAAAGAAAGTTTAAAATGTGTAAGCAGAAACTCAGTTGTATGTAAGAAAACCCAATTCCCCCTGAAAAACAGAAAGAGCTGGAGTCCTTTAAAAATTAACTGTTTTTCTGTGGCTAGTGAGCCTTATCTCTCCTCCTTTCCCAGGCATTGTGAAGACCCTGTTTCTCTAGCTGTGCAGCTGCAAGGTCACTAGACAGATAAACTCAAGTCATAAAATGGTGGCGGGCACCTGTAGTCCCAGCTACTCGGGAGGCTGAGGCAGGAGAATGGCGTGAACCCAGGAGGCGGAGCTTGCAGTGAGCCCAGATCGTGCCACTGCACTCCAGCCTGGGCGACAGAGCGAGACTCCGTCTCAAAAAAAAAAAACAAAAAAAAAACCATGTTTTTCCTTGAAAACTAAGAAATGATGTAATGCATGTCCCAATTAATTAAACAACTGTCTCTGTTTCTCGCTTCTGTAGTATGCTTCCCCCTGCACAGATCTCCCCCAACCTCATGAAATGCTTAAAAGGTAACTTAACTCTTTGTTCAGGGCGCAGTCCTTTGGATGTGAATCTGACTGGGCTGGTGCACCTAAATAATAAATATCCTCCTCAACCCCATTGGTCTCTCTAATTCCTTATCAATCCCCAGCAGTGCCACTGAACTCCAGCCTGGGCAACAAGAGCAAAACTCCGTCTCAAAAAAAAAAAAAGACTTCTGAATGGTTTTCATTTCTGATATTATTCATTTTATATCTTCAGACCACGGTTGACGATGGGTAACTGAAACCAAAGAAAGTGAAACTGCAGATAAGGGGGACCTACTGTATTCTTTAGAGTAGTACTCCCTAGAATAATAGACAGGAGTGTGAAAGTTTGGCTGGCACTCGGAATTTGGACAAACATTTCAAAAAATATGCTTCTCTGTCTCTACAACAAAATATAAATATCTGAAACCACCTAACCAAATTAATGACAAAAGCCCTCTCCCCTCTCCCCTCTCCCCTCTTTCCACGGTCTCCCTCTGATGCCGAGCCGAAGCTGGACTGTACTGCTGCCATCTCGGCTCACTGCAACCTCCCTGCCTGATTCTCCTGCCTCAGCCTGCCGAGTGCCTGCGATTGCAGGCGCGCACCGCCACACCTGACTGGTTTTCGTATTTTTTGGGTGGAGACGGGGTTTCGCTGTGTTGGCCGGGCTGGTCTCCAGCTCCTAACCGCGAGTGATCCGCCAGCCTCAGCCTCCCGAGGTGCCGGGATTGCAGACGGAGTCTCCTTCACTCAGTGCTCAATGGTGCCCAGGCTGGAGTGCAGTGGCGTGATCTCGGCTCGCTACAACCTCCACCTCCCAGCTGCCTGCCTTGGCCTCCCAAAGTGCCGAGATTGCAGCCTCTGCCCGGCCGCCACCCCGTCTGGGAAGTGAGGAGCGTCTCTGCCTGGCCGCCCATCGTCTGGGATGTGAGGAGCCCCTCTGCCTGGCTGCCCAGTCTGGAAAGTGAGGAGCGTCTCTGCCCAGCCGCCATCCCATCTAGGAAGTGAGGAGCGCCTCTTCCCGGCCGCCATCACATCTAGGAAGTGAGGAGCGTCTCTGCCCGGCCGCCCATCGTCTGAGATGTGGGGAGCGCCTCTGCCCTGTCGCCCCGTCCGGGATGTGAGGAGCGTCTCTCCCCGGCCGCCCCGTCTGAGAAGTGAGGAGACCCTCTGCCTGGCAACCGCCCTGTCTGAGAAGTGAGGAGCCCCTCCGCCCGGCAGCCACCCTGTCTGGGAAGTGAGGAGCGTCTCCGCCCGGCAGCCGCCCCGTCCGGGAGGGAGGTGGGGGGGTCAGCCCCCCGCCCGGCCAGCCGCCCCGTCCGGGAGGTGAGGGGCGCCTCTGCCCGGCCGCCCCTACTGGGAAGTGAGGAGCCCCTCTGCCCGGCCACCACCCCATCTGGGAGGTGTGCCCAACAGCTCATTGAGAACGGGCCAGGATGACAATGGCGGCTTTGTGGAATAGAAAGGCGGGAAAGGTGGGGAAAAGATTGAGAAATCGGATGGTTGCCGTGTCTGTGTAGAAAGAAGTAGACATGGGAGACTTTTCATTTTGTTCTGTACTAAGAAAACTTCTTCTCCCGTGGGATCCTGTTGATCTGTGACCTTATCCCCAACCCTGTGCTCTCTGAAACATGTGCTGTGTCCACTCAGGGTTAAATGGATTAAGGGCGGTGCAAGATGTGCTTTGTTAAACAGATGCTTGAAGGCAGCATGCTCCTTAAGAGTCATCACCACTCCCTAATCTCAAGTACCCAGGGACACAAACACTGCGGAAGGCCGCAGGGTCCTCTGCCTAGGAAAACCAGAGACCTTTGTTCACTTGTTTATCTGCTGACCTTCCCTCCACTATTGTCCTGTGACCCTGCCAAATCCCCCTCTGCAAGAAACACCCAAGAATGATCAATAAAAAAAAAATAATAATAAAATTTAAAAAATAAAAAATAAAAAAAAAGGATTTTGGAAATAGTGGTGATGGTTACACAATATTGTGCATGTAACTAACATCATTGAACTGCACACTTAAAAATGATTAAAACAAAAAGAGTTCTGTTACGTGTGATCCTTTGCCACAAAAAAAAAAAAAAAAAAAAAATGACAAAAGCCAGCTCATGAGTTGTAAGATATTTTTCAAGCAGCTGGTCAGCTAAACAAGTTTCCCCACCTTAATTTAACCAGAGAAAAATGCCTTATGTCACGAATCTTGAAGCCACCATGATGAGTGATGTTATAAAACTGGAAGTGGCTGATGATTATAGAAAACTGTCGGCCGGGCACAGTGGCTCATGCCTGTAATACTAGCACTTTGGGAGGCAGAGGTGGGCGATCACTTGAGGTCAGGAGTTCGAGACCAGCCTGGCCGACATGATGAACTCCCATCTCTACTAAAAATATTTTGAAAAATTAGCTGGGCGTGGTGGTGGACGCCTGTAATCCCAGCTACTCGGGAGGCTGAGACAGGAGAGTCACTTGAACCTGGGAGACGGAAGTTGCAGTGAGCTGAGATCACACCATTGCACTCCAGCCTGAACAACAAGAGTGAAACTCTATCTCAAAAAAAGAAAGAAAAGAAAAGAAAAGAAAACTGTCCACTGTCTGAAGACACAGGTTTATTCAGGAAATCTCTGGTTTATTTTGATTATTGCTTCACTCCTGCAACCTTGCTGCAATAAAGCCCACATGTGAGATATAAAGAACATTTGAGTTTGCCACTACAGAAACGACACAAATATCCAACTTTAGAGGTTATCTGGGCAAACTGTTACACCACCACATCTTATAATATTATATAAGCACTAAAAAATCATGAAGCAAGGCCAGGCACTGTGGCTCACGTCTGTAATCCCAGCATTTTGGGAGGGCAAGGCAGGTGGATCACTTGAGGTCAGGAGTTCAAGAACAGCCTAGCCAAAATGGTGAAACCTCATCTCTACTAAAAATACATAAATTAACCACACGTGGTGGCGTGCACCTGTAATCCCAGCTACTAAGAAGGTTGAGGCAGGAGAATCACTTAAACCCAGGAGGTGGAGGTTGCAGTGAGCTAAGATTGTGCCATTGCACTCCAGCCTAGGTGACAGAGCAAGACTCTGTCTCAAAAAAAAAAAAAAAATTATGAAGCAGAAATCTATTTATTGACATGATGAGTAAACCTATAAAAAGATGCTTTTTATATGCTTATTGAAAATCAAAGAAATATATATTTAAACCTAAAGATATGTAATTTCTGAGATTATCTGTAGTAAAAAAAATCTAAGCCAGGCACAGTGGCTCATGCCCATAATCCCAACATTTTGGGAGGCTGAGGTGGGAGGATCACTTGAGCCTGGGAATTTGAAATCAGCCTGGGCAACATAGCAAGATGACGTCGCTACAAAAAAAAAAATTAACTAGGGATGGTGGTGCACACCTGTAGTCTAGCTACTTGGGAGGCTGAGGTAGGAGGATCACAGAGCCCAGAGGTCAAGGCTGAAGTGGGCTATGATCATGCCACTGCACTCCAGCTTGAGCAATAGAGCAAGATCCTGACTCAAAAAAAAAAATAAACAAAAATTTGAAAATAAGCCAGGTGTGGTGGCACATGCCTGTAGTCCCAGCTACTCGGGAAGCTGAGGCAGGAGAATCACTTGAACCTGGGAGGCAGAGGTTGCAGTGAGCTGAGATCGTGCCACTGCATTCCAGCCTGGGTCTCAGAGCGAGACTCTGTTTCAAAAAAACAAACAAAAAGCTTTATTTAGGGCTGGGTGCCATGGCTCATGCCTGCAGTCCCAGCACTTTGGGAGGCTGAGGTGGGCAAATTACCTGAGGTCAGGCATTTGAGATAAGCCAGGCGGATCACAAGGTCAGGCATTTGAGACCAGCCTGGACGACATGGTGAAAACCCACCTCTACTTAAAAAAAAAAAAAAAAAAAAAAAAAGGCCGGGCGTGGTGGCTCACACCTGTAATTCCAGCACTTTGGGAAGCCAAGGCGGGCGGATCACAAGGTCAGGAGTTCGAGACCAGCCTGGCCAACATGGGGAAACCCCACCTCTACTGAAAATACAAAAATTAGCTGGGCGTGGTGGCAGGCGCCTATAATCCCAACTACTCGGGAGGCTGAGGCAGGAGAATCGCTTGAAACCAGAAGGCAGAGGTTGCAGTGAGCCAAGATCATGCCTCTGCATGCCAGCCTGGGCAACGAGAGCAAAACTCTGTCTCAAAAAAATAAATAAAAAATAAGGCCAGGCGTGGTGGCTCACATCTGTAATCCCAGCACTTTGGGAGGCTGAGGCAGGTGGATCACCTGAGGTCAAGAGTTCGAGACCAGCCTGACCAACATGGTGAAACCCCATCTATACTAAAAATACAAAAAGTAGCCGGGACTGGTGGCGCATACCTGTAATCCCAGATACTCGGGAGGCTGATGCAGGAGAATCGCTTGAACTCAGGAGGCAGAGGTTGCAGTGAGCTGAGATCACTCCATTGCACTCCAGCCTGGGCAACAAGAGCAAAACTCCATTTCAAAAAAATAAAATATAGGAACCACCTAAATGCCCATCAATTGGGGAATGGTTGAATAAATTATGGTACACCCATACTATGGAACAGTACAAAGATATTTTAAAATAAAATAGATCTAGGCCATGAGCGGTGGCTCATGCCTGTAATCCCAGCACTTTGGGAGGCCAAGGCAGGGGGATCACCTGAGGTCAGGAATTCAAGACCAGCCTGGCCAACATGGCAAAACCCCGTCTCTACTAAAAGTACGAAAATTAGCCAAGTGTGGTGGCGCACACCTGTAATCCCAGCTATTCTGGAGGCTGAGGCAGGGAGAATCACTTGAACCTGGGAGGCGGAGGTTACAGTGAGCTGAGATCGAGCCATTGCACTCCAGCCTGGGTGACAGAGCGAGACTCCATCTCAAAAAATAAATAAATAAAATAGATCTATTTATATATTTACAAGGAAAAGTATCTACTATATACAGCGAATTATTTTTAAAGCCTCTGAATAACATGTATAGACAAGCTTCTCCCCTTACATTTCAATGTCTACAGTCACAGAAAAAAAGAATGTCAACTCTTCCCTCCACCAACAGATGGCATTAGCTATAATGAATGGTCTTTGTGAACTACATACAATTCAACAATGTTGCTGTTCTTGTGTCCAAGTAATGTTTCACATATTATCAACCCCATAGTAGCCAAAGAAGAATAAAGCCAGGGAGAATTCTGAACATGCAAACAATTGTATAAGAAACAAACATAGAAATAATATTTACTTTGTGGAGGAGATTGCCACAGTGGGAACAGATGGAGATCTCACTCTGTCACCCAGCCTGGAGTGCAGTGGCACAATCATGGCTCACTGCACCCTTGAACTCCTAGGCTCAAGCAATCCTCCCACCTCAGCCTCCTGAAGAAGCTATAAGCGGGTACCATCACACCCGGCTAATTTTATTATTAATTTTGTAGAGACAGAGTCTCACTGTGTTGCCCAAGCTGGTCTTGAACTCCTGGCCTCAAATGATCCTCTGGCTTCAGCTTCGCAAAGCACTGGGATTATAGGCATGAGCTACTGTACCCGGCCAGGAACAGTTTTAAAGGACAAAAAAAGGCCGGGCACCGTAACTCACGCCTGTAATCCCAGTACTTTGGGAGGCCGAGGCAGGGGGACTGCCTGAAGTCAAGAGTTTGAGACTAGTCTGGCCAACATGGTGAAACCCCATCTCTACTAAAAATGCAAAAAAAATTAACCAGACCTGTTGGCATGCGACTGTAATCCCAGCTACTCGAGAGGCTGAGGCAGGGGAATTGCTTGAACCAGGGAGGCGGAGGTTGCAGCGAACCGAGATAGCACCACTGCCCTCCAGCCTGGGTGACAGAGCAAGACTCCATCTCTAATAAATAAATAAATAAATGGACAAAAAGATAAAGCATGTAGCACAGGAAAAGAAGAAGGAAAACAGAATGATAAAATGGAAAAAAAAATCAGTTTATGGCTAAATAATCAGAATCAAATTGGACCTCTATCAGCTTATTTGTCTGGAAATAAGTAGTGAGGAAGAGTCAAAGTTTAGGCCTGAATTTAGATCAGCCCTCATGAATTCAAGGAGACAGAGGGATATGAGCCCCAGAACCAAAAGCCCCCCTTCACCCCAGGTCACCCCAGGAACTGTGGCTGCTTCCCTTTGCCTGCCACTCCTCCGAGCAGCTCCACTGCCTAAGGTTCCACCTCAACCTCTTAGAAAGAAGAGACCCTGAGATCAAGTAGTCTTGCTACATTGATCCCACAGCCTGGGGGTTGGAGAAGAAGGAAGAGTGACAGATGTTCCTGCTTGCTTCACCCTTGCAGAGCTTTTGTATTGCCAGTGTCAGTCACCCCACAAATACTTAATCCTGAAGAAAGTGAAGGTTTGTCCTAAAAGAACTCCAGCAAAAGGCAAGGCAGAACCAAACCAAACCAAACAGGTCCTGGTCAAACAGGCAGTTTTCCAAATATATCCAAAAAATCTAAATATGTCAATACATTTTTAAAAACTAGCTGGGCGCGGTGGCTCACGCCTGTAATCCCAGCACTTTGGGAGGCTGAGGCAGGCGAATCACAAGGTCAGGTGTTCGAGACCAGCCTGGCCAACATGGTGAAACCCCATCTCTACTAAAAACAGAAAAAAATTAGCCAGGCATAGTGGCGGGCGCCTGTAATCTCAGCTACTCAGCAGGCTGAGGCAAGAGAATAGCTTGAACCTGGGATGCGAAGGTTGCAGTGAGCCGAGATCACTCCACTGCACTCCAGCCTGGGCAACAGAACAAGACTCCATCTCAAAACAAAAACAAAAACAAAAACAAAAAAACAGAAACACTTTCTTCCAGACCGTCCACCATCCCCACCACAGCCCTCTACCCCAGGCACAACTACCTACCTCCCAGACACAGGTTTAAGACAGCCTCAATCTGGCTGAGTGAATTGACTCACACCTATATAGTCCCAGCACTTTGGGAGGTCAAGGCGGGAGGATCACTTGAGCCCAGGAGTTCGAGACTAGCCTGGGCAACATAGAGAGATCTTGTCTTTACAAATAAAAAAATTTTAAAAATGGTTTTTTTTTTAATAGCGCGGTGGCTCACGCCTGTAATCCTAGCACTTTGGGAGGCCGAGGTGGGCAGATTGCCAGAGCTCAGGAGTTCAAGACCAGCCTGGACAATATGGTGAAACCCTGTCTCTACTAAAAATACAAAAATGTAGCCAGACATGGTGGCACAAGCCTGTAGTCCCAGCTACTCAGGAGGCTGAGGTGTGAGAATCGCTTGAACCCGGGAGATGGAAGTGAGCCTAGATCGCGCCACTTCACTCCATCCTGGGTGACAGCGAGACTCTGTCTCCAAAAAAAAAAAAAAAAAAAATAGCCAGGCATGGTGGTGCACACCTGTAATCCCAGCTACTCAGGAGGTTGAGGCAAAAAGGATTGCTGAAGCCCAGGAGGTTGAGGCTGCCGTGAACCGTGTCTGTGCCACTGCACTGTAGCCTGAGCAACAGAGTAAGATTCTGTCTCTAAAAAGAAAAAGGAAGAAAGAAAAGACAGCTTCAATCAGAGAGGAAGTAGAGGCAAACAGAAGAAGGATGGCCTCATTTTGATTTTCTGTTGGTTCTGGAATCTGCTTCCCTCTGGCTTCCACAGTTTCTCCCCGGTTGACTTTCAGGAAAGGAGGTAGCAATCCAAACCAGTTCATCATCTAAAATTTGGGGGCTCACTGCTTCTTTTAAAATTAAGGTTGAAGTATAATTTACATACAGAAAAATGCACAGGACTTGAGTGTACAGTTTGATGAGTTTTGACAAACATATGCAACAGTGAAACCAATATCCTCAACAAGATTTAGGCCATTTTAATCAACCCAAACGTTTCCTCCATGCCACACACCAGTCAATCCCCTTCAGAGGCAACCATTGTTCTAATTTTCACAACCACAAATTAGTTTCTACCTGTTCTCACACTTCATATGAAAGGAATCACTCAGTATTGCTCTCTTGTATCTTGCTTCTTTCACTCAATCTTTTTTTTTTTTTTTTTAAACAGGGTCTCACTCTAGTGCCCAGGCTGGAGTACAGTGGCGTGATCTCGGCTCACTGCAACCTCCGCCTCCCGGGTTCAAGTGATTCTCCTGCCTCAGCCTCCCAAGTAGCTGGGATTACAGGTGCCCACCACCATGACCGGCTAATTTTTATATTTTTAGTAGAGACGGGGTTTCACCACGTTGGCCAGGCTGGTCTTGAACTCCTGACGTCAGGTGATCTGCCCTCCTCGGCCTCCCAAAGTGCTGGAATTATAGGTGTGAGCTACCACGCCCAGCCTAAATCCTAAAAGTATTTTAAAATCTAAAAATATGGGAGGCCAAGGCAGGTGGATCACTTGAGCCTATTAGTTCAAGACTAGCCTGGGCAATGTAGTAAGACCTCATCTGTGCTAAAAAAAAAAAAAAAAAATTTAACTTTTTAAAAAATGGCAAGTAACACTGGTGTCTGTAAAAAGAAGAAATCTAAAAATAAAAAAGTTTACTTTCAAAGAAAGGTTGGAGGTGGCTAAACAGATCTAGCTAAAGCCTTTGTGTCAGGTAAGTACCATTTGCTTCTGGGGAACCCCAATTCTTTTAGCATGTACCCCACTCCACTTATCTGGAAAAAAATCTGGAGCAACAATGCTTGACCTCAACCCAAAGTTATAGAAGGAAACATAATTGACTTCAAATAATATAGCAAACTTTAAGTCCACATATAAAAATTGACTGTTGTCCAGACACAGTGGCTGACGCCTATAATCTCAGCACTTTGGGAGGCCGAGGTAGGAGGGTCACTTGAGTCTACAAGTTTCAGACCAGCCTGGGCAACATAGCAAGACCCTATCTCAACAAAATTTTTTTTTTTAATTAAGCGAGTATGGTGGGGGGAGCCTGCAGTCCCAGCTACTTGGGAGGCTGAAGTAGGTGTATTGCATGAGCGCAGGAGGTCAAAGCTACAGTGAGTTGTGATCATGCCACTGCACTTCAGCCTGGGCAACAAAGCAAAGACCTTGTTTCAAATTTTTTTTTTTGAGACAGAGTCTCGCTCTGTCGCCCAGGCTGGAGTGCAGTGGCATGATCTTGGCTCACTGCAAGCTCTGCCTCCCAGGTTCACACCATTCTCCTGCCTCAGCCTCCCAAGTAGCTGGGACTACAGGTGCCCACCAACACACCCAGCTAATTTTTTCTATTTTTTAGTAGAGACGGGGTTTCACCGTGTTAGCCAGGATGGTCTCCATCTCCTGACCTCATGATCCACCCACCTCGGCCTCCCAAAGTGCTGGGATTACAGGCGTGAGCCTCCGTGCCCGGCCTCAAAATATTTATATAAATTTACTGTCACTCAAAATCTAGGTTTGAAATTCACTCTTGGTCACTAAAGGGGCAGGTGCAGAGTTTTTCTGTCCTGGGTCCTCAGCCTCGTGCCCCATTTCTAGCTCTCTTCCCTGCCCCTCTGCCACCCCACTCCTACCCCCACATGGGACTGCTGCTGTGGAATATGCTTTCTCAATTTCCCAAAAGTCTGAGGTCATCCAAAGAGCCCCCTTACTTACTTAGCAAGTACAGGAGAAGCCTTGCAAATCATTTTTTATTTGCTAGAATTTTCTTTTCACCATTTTTTTCTCCTCTCAAAAGGAAACTTTCCATCCTGCAGGAAGAAGACAAAATAATTATCTCATTCACGTGGTCAATGATAATGACTGTGATAAATGGTCCCAATAAAGAGATTCTTGGGTGAACAGGGATCTCCAAGCATTGCCACGATAGTACACAGAGAGTTTTATCTGTGGTTTATGTACACAAATAAGTTCTGATTGACAGAAAGACTGTGGACTCAACAGCTGACATGTAAAAGGGCAGGATGAGGCCAGGCGTGGTGGCTCATGCCTGTAATCCCAGCACTTTGGGAGGCCGAGGCGGGCAGATCACCTGAGGTCAGGAATTCAAGACCAGCCTGACCAACATGGTGAAACCCCATCACTACTAAAAACACAAAATTAAGCAGGTGTGGTGGCGCATGTCTATGAGCCCAGCTACTTGGGAGGCTGAGGCAGGAGAATCACTTGAACCCAGGAGGCTGAGGTTGCAGTGAGCTGAGATCACACCATTGCACTCCAGCCTGGGCTACAAGGTGAAACTCTATCTCAAAAAAAGAAAAAAAAAAGAGCAGGATGCCAAATGAGCAGGATGCCTCCTTTCTGGGTCTCCTGCCCCCCTTGTATGTCTGCAGGACTACTCGGGGAGGTGACTCCCATGCTCTCTGCCCACATCAATTTGCTTCAGGCTGTACACTTGGCTGTCTCTCTTGGACAAAAACCACCATGTGCCCCAGTTGTGGTCCCTAATATATCCTCAATGCTGGCCAGACCACTCCTGCTCATAGGTCACCGCTCCACCCTGTCACCATCACCTGATTGGATACCAGTTCTCCTCTGATTCACCCCTCATGCATGCTGCAGCTTTGAGTTGCCCAGGAGGGCCATTTCTAACCCCTGAGCAACTGTCAAAGAAAAACAAGCCAGACACTAGTTAAAGCAGTGAAAACAGATTATATGCAGTAATGAGGGGCAGTAGGGAAAGGAGCTGAGCTCTCTTCTGGTTTACCCAGAGGTGACAGCATTTTAAAGGGAGAATGGGAGTGGGAGTGGGAGTGGGAGTGGGTGGAGGCAAGCAGGGACTAAAGGGAAAAATGATCAAGTGAAAATGCAGTCGGCCAGCTGTGTCTGCTAGCTGGTGATCAACAAGGTCGGGATTCTGTCCTCCCACAGAGACTGGGAGACAGAGGCCCTCCTGATAATCACATTTCAAAGGAATGGCTTTCAGGTCTTTGAGAAAGGTAAGTTGTAGGAGATAGACACACATCTCAAAGGGGCAGAGGAAGGAGTCTCAATAGGAAGCCCTTTGCATGAATGCTTTGCAAAAGGGAGGTCAGGGGTCTATGTTAGGTGCTGGCTGCAACAAACAGTTAATTCTTTTGACAGCCCGGAGATTTTACAGACAGGAACTTAAAAGGGGGCTGGATGGTCCCAGAGATGCCACCTTAGGCTGCTAGAAGCCATGCTAGGGCTGGTCAAATCTCTTAGCACAGGAGTTTGGAGTCATTAGGTGAAAAGAGTTCTTGCAGTTCTCACTACCATCACACCAGACCCAGAACCCAACCAGGGCCACTGACCTTGCCCTTGCTATTTGCCTGCCTGCCAACAACCTCTGTTCTTGTCCATGAGCTGCCAACAGCCTCACCAATAATTGCTACTTACATATTTGACTCTGCAGCTCACAGTCTGCTGCTGGCGGAGGAAGGACTCAACTTCCTTCACAGCTTGGACTCCTGGTGCTACAGCTTCATCAACTTTTATGCCTAGATTAGTTTACTTCCCCAGTGCAACCATGAGCCACCACCTGGAGGTCCCAGTTATAGCCACACCCCGTGCAAAGAGCCACTGCCTACATCCCACCCAAGGCCCCACGTCTGAGCCTAGCATGGTGTATTCCTTCTTCTCCATTGTCGCCTCTCTCTCTGGAACACAATTGCACCTACGGTGTGGTTCCATCCCCCACCAAACATGCCCAGGTAAATTTGAACCCCAAGTGAGGGCAAAGCTCACATTTTTCACCTGGTGCTCCTAAACCTGTGTAAATAAACAGTTCTAACCATGCAGCCGGAAGCTATTTTATACTGTTATCTAATGTGGGCTTTGTTCCTGAATCTTTCCGCCCATTTGGGAAGCAGGTAGGACATTTGAAGCTCATTCCCTCAGGAAGTGATGGGGGATACAGCAGAACAAAGAGTCCATTCTTAGCTTTTGAGTTTCAAATAGACCTTTGAAATTTATGCCAGAGAGCATATTTGTGGGGGGAAATAGGGGCAGGAGTTGAATTTTTAAATCTAAAGCCTAGGCCAGGGGCAGTGGCTCACATCTGTAATCCCAGAGCTTTGGGAAGCCAAGGAGAGGATCACTTAAATCCAGGAGTTTTGAGACCAGCCCGGGCAATATAGTGAGACTCTGTTTCTACAAAAAGTAAACAAAAATTCACCAGGCATTTGTGGAGTACCTACAGTCCTAGCTATTTAGGAGGCTGAAGTTGGAGGATCACTTGAGATGGAGAGTTTGAGGCTGCATGAGCCATGATCGCGCCACTGCACTCCAACGGCGACACATTGAGATCCTGACTCATAAAATAAAATAAAATCTGGCGGGGTCCAGTGGCTCATGCCTGTAATCCCAGCACTTTGGGAGGCCGAGGCGAGCGGATCACCTGAGGTCAGGAATTCCAGACCATCCTGGCCAACATTGTGAAACCCCATCTCTACTAAAAATACAAAAATTAACCAGATGTGGTGTCACTCGCCTGAAATTCCAGCTACTCGGGAGGCTGAGGTGGGAGAATTGCTTGAACCCGGGAGGTGGAGGTTGCAGTAAGCCAAGATGGACTCCAGCCTGGGTGACAGAGTGAGGATCCATCTCAAAAAAAATAAAATAAAATAAAATCTAAAGCCTGATAAAAGTTTGTGTCTCAATAAATTCAGCGTGATGAAGTACAGCAATAGCAGCTTCAAGATTGAGAGGAGAGGGGCAAGTTGGGGAGGAGGGAGAGGGTTCTTAGGTGTGTCACTGAGAAGAGGCCCTGTTCCATGTCATGCTAGTTCCCTGGCCCATTCTCAAGGGTAAGAATGATGTCAGACCCCATCAAGTCTCACTGAGGATCCAAGAGCAGAGAAGACCAAAGGCGGATGTTCTGGGAGGCTCCTGCAGCTCAAGCTTTGGGCCCTTTACTTGCACCGGCCTCTTCCAAGGCTCTGGACCTAATTTCATATTAATGGCTTTTATTTTCTTTAGAGAAGACCCCTAGAACTGCTTCAGGATCTGCCCCTGAAGAGGCCCTCAGCCTCACTTTCTCAGAAAGAAGCCCAGGACACTAGCCTGTTGGACGTAAGACCACAAGGAGCAAAAACATACCCTGGCTGAGGCCCCAGATCAACCAGCTCCCAGCCAAACCCCCAGCCGACTGCAGTTGCAAGTGGTCTCGGCCAAGACCAGGAGAAGAACCATCCATCCCACCTCAAATAGCTGACCCACAGAATCATAAACAAATAAGACAGTGTTGTCATAAGCCACTAAATCCAAGAGTGTTTTGTTATACAGAAATAGATAACTGATGCAGTGAATTTGGACAAGTCATCAAAAAAAAAAAAGAATTTTTGGATGAGTCACTTTATTCACTCAAAATAATATTTACTGGGAAAAAAAGTGAAGGGCGGAAGAATACGCCACCCCAAAATATGCTATTTTGGCTTAAGAATTATTTTGAGTTAAAGGCATGAACACTGACATTTTTTCTTTCTGAAAGCAAATTCCCAGTGACAGTTGTTCTTTCAGGACAGGTGCAGTGGCTCACACCTGTAATCCCAACACTTTGGGAAGCCAAGGCAGGAGGATTGTTTGAGTCCAGGAGTTCAAGACCAGCCTCGGCAACATGGTGAAACCCCGTCTCTATTAAAAATACAAAAATTAGCTGGGCGTGGTGGCACATGCCTATCATCCCAGCCACAAGGGAGGCTGAGACACAAGAACTGCTTGAACCCAGGAGGCAGAGGTTGCAGCGAGCCAAGATTGTACCACTGCACTCCAGCCTGGGCCACACAACAAGACTTCATCTCAAAAAAAAAAAAAAAAGCTGGACACAGTGGCTCACACCTATAATCCCAGCACTTTGGGGTGCTGAGGCGGGCAGATCACTTGAGGTCAGGAGTTCGAGACCAGCCTGGCTCTCATGGTGAAACCCCATCTCTACTAAAAAAATACAAAAATGAGCTGGGCATGGTGGCGGGCACCTGTAATCCCAACTACTCGGGAGGCTGAGGAAGGAGAATCACTTGAACCTCGGAGGCAGAGGTTGCAGTGAGCTGAGATCGCACCACTGAACTCCGGCCTGGATGACAAGAGCGAGACTCCATCTCGAAAAAAAAAGAAAAAAAAATATCTTATGTTAGCAGGGCTCTCAAAGGCAAGCACTGAATATAACAACTGGAATGGAAAAACTGAAAGAAGCTCTTCTAGTACCTAAGCAAAGCCATCCTCAATCCTAAAGCTGGGGGGCCCTGGAGTACCCTCCCGAGAAGTCTTTCTTACCCAGGATTCAGTGTACACAAATTGAAAGACTGAGGGAATGAGTAGGTTTCCTAACTCAGTTCTCCATGCCAAAGTTCATCCTCCTACGGGCTGAGAGCAGGGTAGAACTATTTCAGGCCCAACGTCAACATCCTTGAGAAATTCTTATCTGGAAAGAGTGGGGAGGTCGCCATGGCAACCTGTCCCAGGCCCAGCCCTGGCACAGCTCCAAGGCACACAAATAAAACCATTGGAATGTGGTGCAGGGCTCAGGGCGGGATAACTAGAAAGTTGCCAAGTTTCCATGAAAACCAACAATGTGAGGCCTCAGCCTCTGGAAGATGTCAGTAGGGAAGCTTGGGTCCCCACAGGGTCTACCCATGGAAATATAACACATTCCTAAATAGCACATATGTGCGCGCACACAGCATCACACGCACACAGCCTGCTTGGACGACAGCGACACTGCTTCTTGAAAAAGAGCCTTGTTGAAAGGAGAGCACTGGCCTTAGAGCCAGACAGAGATTCCAGTACCCGCCCTGTCAATTCCTGGGAACCCCAGGTCAGTTTCTGAACAAGTTATCCTCGTGGCCACCTCCCTTGCCTTCTCCATGTCTTTGTTCCAAGGTCATCTCCATGAGACATTTCCTGGTTACTTTAATTATTTATGTATTTATTCTATTTATTTATTTATTTATTTTTCTTGAGATGGAGTCTCGCTCTGTCGCCCAGGCTGGAGTGCAATGGCACGATCTCGGCTCACTGCAACCTCCACCTCCAAGGTTCAAGCGATTCTCCTGCCTCAGCCTCCCAAGTAGCTAGGATTACAGGCATGTGCCACCATGCCCAGCTAATTTTGTATTTTTAGTAGAGGTGGAGTTTCACCATGTTGGCCAGGCTGATTTTGAACTCCTGACCTCAGATGATCCACCTGCCTTGGCCTCCCAAAGTGCTGGGATTACAGGCATGAGCCACCTTGCCCAGCCGCCCTAGTCACTTTAAATCAAATTGCAGGCTGGGCACAGTGGCTCACGCCTGTAATCCCAGCACTTTAGGAGGCCAAGGCGGGTGGATTGCTTGAGGTCAGGAGTTCAAGACCAGCCTGACCAACATGGTGAAACCCCGTCTCTACTAAAAGTACAAAAGTTAGCCGAGCATGGTGGTGCATGCCTGTAATCCTAGCTACTTGGGAAGCTGAGCAGGAGAATTGCTTGAACCTGGGAGGCTAAGGTTGCAGTGAGCCGAGATCATGCCACTGCACTCCAGCCTGGGTGACAGAGCAAGACTCTGTCTCAAAAAAAAAAAAAAAAAAAAAAAAAAAAACCAGAAAGAAATCAAATTGCAGCCTCACGCATCCCCCACGCTCCTACTCTTCTTTATTTTTCTCCATGCTCTTAGCACCACCTGACATGCTCTATATTTTACTTCCTTAACTTATTTATTACCTTGTTAATGTCACTTCCACAGGGACAGGGATTTTTGTCCCTTTTGCCCATGCTCTACCTCCAGCACCTAGAAAATACCTGGCATGTAGTAGGTGCACAAGGAAGATTGTTGAGTAAATGCATGTAGTTTTGTCATTAGCAAAATAGGAGTCATTCTACCACCATAGGGTTAATGTGAGGGTTGAAGGAGATGCTATGGCATTAGTGCCCAGTCCTTAGCAGGGGTACCAGTGTCACTTCTGGTTACATCCTGCATTTGGTGAGGTCCCCTCATCACCTTCCTGTAGTACTTAGATCACATTTAAGAACAATTTTCATGGTATCTTACTTTCTGCCTGGGAAGGGGTATACCTGACCCCTGAGCCCAAGAATTTATCTGTGTCCTCGTCCTGCAAAACCACTAGACATTAAGCTAGGTGCGGTGGCTCACACCTGTAATCCCAGCACTTTGGGAGGCTGAGGCAGGCGGATCACTTGAGGTCAGGAGTTCGAGACCAGCCTGGCCAACATGATGAAACCCCATTTCTACTAAAAATACAAAAATTAGCCAGGCATGGTGGTGGGCACCTGAAATCCCAGCTCCCCGGAAGGCTGAGGCAGGAGAATCACTTGAACCCAGGAGGCAGAGGTTGCGGTGAGCCACGATGGCACCATTGCACTCCAGCCTGGGCGACAGAGCAAGACCCTGTCTCAAAAAAACAAACAAATAAAACCACTAGACATTAAAGACAGCAGAATCAGAGATTCAGTCCACAGAGAATTTTGCTCTAAATATTTGTTAGGAGTCTGTGTAAATAAACTAACTCATTAATAGGAAAGCACATCTCCAAAAATATAAAGATTTGAACAAGCAGGAAATGTTTCACCAGTAAACAGAAAGAACAGATCATTTCTTGCATCCTTAACACATAACAGGTGGTGTATTAGGCACCTGACATGTCTTCTGTCATTTCCGTCTGTGTCAACCTTATAAGGAAGGTATTTAAGAATGAAGAAACTGGACAGGTGCGGTAGCTCACACCTGTAATCCTAGCACTTTGGGAGGCCGAAGCGGGTGGATTACTTGAGGTCAGGAGTTCAAAACCAGCCCGGCCAACATGGTGAAACCCCATCTCTAGTAAAAATACAAAAAAATTAGCCAGGCGTGGTGGCAGGCGCCTGTAATCCCAGCTACTTGGGAGGCTGAGGCAGGAGAATTGCTTGAACCTGGGAGACAGAGGTTGCAGTAAGCCAAGATTGTGCCACTGCACTCCAGCCTGGGCAACAGAGCAAGACTCTGTCTCAAAAAAAAAAAAGAAAAAAGGAATGAAGAACCGAGGCCTAGGTTAGGAAACTGGCCTGAAGTATCACAGCAGTAAGCAGTGCAGCAGGAGTTGAACCCAGAATCAATCAAGCTCCGAAGCTTGTGTTCTTCCTGTTGTCCCACCCACCTCTTTGAAAATTCATTTAATAAAAGGCCTCTCTGCCAAACTAAGGAGTTTGGATGTATTCTGTAAAATACATTCTAGATGCAATGCAATTCTAAAAATAAAAAAAGCAACTGAGGTGTAAGTATTTGGGATCTACTAAGGAAGGAGGAATTATTTCTTCCTGAGATAAATCAGAAAAGCTACGGAGAGGAGGTGGCACTTCCTCCCAGCCTAAATGCTTTAGGGACTCGTATTCCATTAACTCATCTTTCCAGAGTTCATCGCTGGCTTTTGGTTCTAACACATGACCATGAACAGCACTCTCTACTTATATGAGTTTTCCATCTTGTCATATTTTCAGCAGGTCATTCCTTTGGGATCCTTTATTTTTATTTATAGCCTTTTGCATCATCTGACTGCAAGAGTTTCGCATGTTCTGGCAACAGCCAGTATCTGGGGGATGGGAGTCTCCAAGCACTACAAATTTTTAAGAAAGAGGATATATGAATTTAAGGTAGCTTAAACTCTTCTAGAACATATAAAAAGATTAAGGAATAATGCCTTATAAATTTAATATAAATAAAATTAATATAATATAAATAAAATAGCATATAAATTATATATAATAAAATATAAATTTTATTTAATAAAAATAAAATTAATATAAATAAAATTTAATTTTAAAAATTAAAAAAAAAAAAGAAAGAGGGTATGGAAGTTTCTCCAGAACAGAAACCTGCAAAGTCTAAAATCAAGGGCTATATCTAAGCAGTGTGCTGGAGTCTGCTTGAATCAACCCTTATGTTGAGTTACTTCAGGTAGCTTGAAATTAGACAAGGTAGAGTTATTTACACCACAGAAATCGACAAATGCTATAAATCAAGATCTTTTTTTTCCCTCCTATGGAGCCAGTTGTTAAACATTTACCAGCACATAACTGGCTATACCAGGTCTCCTGAAGCCCTGTCTATTATAAAACAGCAGAAAGAATCCTGGATTTGAAGTCAGGAAACTTGAGTTTTAGCCTGGTGTCATTATTAACACACTGTAAACCTTAGACAAGTCATTTCACCTCTCTCGGCCTCAGTTTCTTTACCTAGGGGAATTGGCTACATTCAAAACCTAGGATCACCGGGTGATAAGTTATTTCCCAAAAAAGAAAACAGGTTGGAGGTTCTTCAAGCTGTTTTCGATATTTTAAAAAGAAAAAAGAAAACCATGCATTAATCCTCTCGTAAGTCCACAAAGGTTAACTTAATTAATAAACTGTGTTTAATGCCTAAAATCTTTCAAAATATGAAACTCATGGAGAAAAAGATAGTAAGAGGAGTCAGCCGTCTGTTCCCCTAAATCCAATGAATTGACCACCTGAAATGGGACAGTCACTGTTGGTCACTAATGTTTCAGTGCTAAAGAAAACACTGCCCTGCCCTTGAGGAATTTACAGATTCAGGAGGCAGACAGACAGGCAAGTGTGCATCATAATAAATGGAGTCTGTGTTCTGATGGGGTAAGAACTGGGCTTGAAGAGAGCATATAGCAGGGGCACTAACTGTTAGGAGGAGGCTTCTTGGGAGAAGGGACATCGAATGGGAATCAAAGCCCAGAGGTCCAGCCAGGTGTGATGGCTCATGCCTGTATTCCCAGCACTTTGGGAGGCCGAGGCGGGCAGATCACTTGAGTCCAGAAATTCGAGACCAGCCTGGCCAACATGGTGAAACCCCGTCTCTAATAAAAATACAAAAATTAGCTGAGTGTGGTGGCGGGCACCTGTGGTCCTAGCTACTCGGGAAGCTGAGGCAGGAGAATCTCTTGAACCCTGAAGTCAGAGGTTGCAGTGAGCCGAGATCACGCCACTGCACTCCAGCCTAGGCGACAGAGCCAGGCTCCATCTCATTAAAAAAAAAAAAAAAGCCCAGCGGTCAGACAGTAGGAGCAATGGGGGAGTTGCAATCATTGAGAGCAACAAAAAAAGTCTGGTACAAGTTGATGCTGGGAAGGCACATAGGGCCTTTTGTATCAGGTAAGGGAATTCAGAAGTTATATCTAGCGTCCTGGGAAGCCACTGAAAGGTGTGTGAACAGGTGAGTAATTTGAGCTTTAGAAAACTCATCCAGGCTGTTGTATGGAGCATAAATGGAAAGGAAACTCCACTGGAAGCTCAGAGACCAGTTTAGAGGCTCTTGCGGCAAAATCAGAGCCTGGTGACCTGGGGTGGAGAGTGGATGGAGGAGAGGATGCACTAGGGCTTCAGGAACAAAGTGCCACACACTAGGGGGCTGAAAACAGCAGAAATGTATTCTCTCACAGTTCTAGAGGCTAGACAGCCAAAATCAAAGTGTCAGAGGGCCTCCGCCCCCTCGAGACTCCAGGTGGAATCCTTCCTCCCCTCTTCTTAGCCATCTCATGCCACTTTCTGCCTGGGTCATCACATGGGGCATTCTCTGTCTGTGTCTTCAAGTTGTCTTTTGATAAGGACAACAATCATTGGATTAATGACCCACCCTACTCCATTATTACTGTCTTAGATTATTGGGGCTACCGTAACAAAATGCCACAGACTGGGTGGCTTATAAACAACAGAAATTTTTTCTCACAGTTCTGGAGTCTGAGAAGTTCAAGGTCAAGGTGGCAGGGCTGGGCATGGTGGCTCACACCTGTAATCCCAGTACTTTGGGAGGCCAAGGTGGGCAGATCACTTGAGGTCAGGAGTTTGAGACCAGCCTGGCCAACATGGTGAGAGTGTCTGTACTAAAAATACAAAAATTAGCCGGGTGTGGTGATGCACACCTACAGTCCCAGCTACTCGGGTGGCTGAGGCAGGAGATTCACTTGAACCGGGGAGGCAGAGGTGGCAGTGAGCCAAGATTGCGCCACTGCACCCCAGCCTAGGCAACAGAACAAGACCCTGTCTCAAAAGAGAAAAAAATAAAAAAAAGATCAAGGTGCCAGCAGATTTAGTGTCTGGTGAAAGCCTAATTTCTCACAGAGCCTTCTCACTGTGTCCTCACATGTTGGAAGGGGTCTATTTCATGAGGACACTAATCCCATTCTTGAGGGCTCCACCCTCATGATCCAATCACCTCCCAAAGGCCCCCTACCTCCTAATACCATCACCTTGGCCATCAGGCTCTCAACATATGCATGGTGAGAAGGTGACTATTCAGACTATAGCAATGACTTCACCTTAACTAATTATGTCTGCAACAATCCTATTTCCAAATACAATCACATTGTGTGATACTGGGGGTTAGGACGCAAACATAACTTTTTAGGGCCGGGCGCAGTGACTCACGCCTGTAATCCCAGTACTTTGGGAGGCTGCGGCGGACGGATCACCTGAGGTCAGAAGTTCAAGACCAGCCTGGCCAACATGGCAAAAGCCCATCTCTACTAAAAATATAAAAATTAGCCAGGCATGGTGGCAGACACCTGTAGTCCCAGCTACTCAGGGAGGTGTGAGCCACCGCACCCGGCCTCCAGGGCTCTCTATTAAAAAGAAATAAAGGCAGAGATTGCAGGGAGCCGAGATCGTGCCATTGCACTCCAACCTGGGCAACAGAGCATGACTCTGTCTCAGAAAAAAAAAAAAAAAAAAAGAAACAGAGAGAGAGTAGATTTGAGATAGGAAATAAGCAGTTGCTGTCATGGTCCTCCCTTTGACTGGCAACATTCAAACACATCGTCTTCCCATGAAGAAAATGCATTTGGAGGCCAGGCACAGTGGCTCACACCTGTAATCCCAGCACTTTGGAAGGCCGAGGTGGGTGGATCACTGGAGGTCAGGAGCTCAAGACCAGCCTGGCCAACGTGGTGAAACCCCGTTTCTACTAAAAATACAAAAATTAGCCAGGCATGGTGCCGCATGCCTGTAATCTCAGCTACTCAGGAGGCTGAGGCAGGAGAATCACTTGAACCGGGAGGTGGAGGTTGTAGTGACCTGAGATCGCACCACTGCACTCCATCCTGGGAGACAGAGCAAGACTCCGTCTCAAAAAAAAAAAAAAAAAGAAAGAAGAAAGAAAAAGGAAATGCATTTGGCCCTCCCCAAGGGATACAGCAATAAAGTTACATCCAGTTACTAAATCCAGCTCAAAGTCCAGGATCTCTAGAGGATTAGGGTCAGGATGTGGCTTCTCATGACTAGAGATCTGTAAGCTTAAAGACAATTTATCTCTCCCCAACAGGATAAGTGCAATAAAAACTCCCTTTGGGAAAAAAAGAACATGGCAAACACTCAGCTGTCTCTGGTCCATCGCACTTGTACAGTCCTGCAGGGCAGGAGTAGTGGGGACTCGCTATCCCTGCAGTAGAGTTCCTTGGCTGGTCAATCTACAGCCCTTAGTTTTGTTCTCTGGAAGGATTCTCCTTGCTTGCTATTCCCCATGGCTGCATCTGGGGAGGGCACTGTGGGGAAGGCCATTCCTAGAGGCTGAAGAGCTTTAGCAGACCTCTCCTGCCCATGTAGATCAGGCACCATCAACTGCCTTGGGGCCGAACAGTCACGGGCTGTGCTGAATGACACGGCTGAATGGGGCAGGCTCTTTGACAATCCAAACCTTCAAGATCTTAGTAGGCTTCATCTGTTTGCTTTAGTTTCATGAATGACCCACATCAAAAGATCTTATTTAGATAGAGCTTTTAAGTCTGAAGACCTTACTTTTACCTCTGTATTCTACCAGTCCTCTTCTCACATAATTTAAAAGTCTTTGTCTTGAGACAATTCAAGATGATAGATGGGTTTAATGCTGCCACCCTTTGAAATGTAATTATTATCGGCTGGACGTGATGGCTCATGCTTGTAATCCCAGCATTTTGGGAGGCTAAGGCAGGCAGATCACTTGAGATCAGGGGTTCAAGACCAGCTTGGCCAACATGGTGAAACCCCGTGTCTACTGAAAATACAAAAAATTAGCCGGGCATGGTGGTGTGTGATCCCAGCTACTTGGGAGGCTGAGGCAGGAGAATTGCTTGAACTCCGGAGGCAGAGGTTGCAGTGAGCTGAGATTATACTCCATCTCAAAAAAAAAAAAAAAAAAAAAAAAGAGCTTGAGACCAGCATGGGCAACATGGAAAACAGTTGTCTCTACTAAAAATACAAAAGAATTAGCTGGGCATGGTGGCACACGCCTGTAGTCTCAACTACTCAGGAGGCTGCGACACAAGAATCGCTTCAACCCAGGAGGCAGAGGTTGCAGTGAGCCAAGATCGCACCACTGCACTCCAACCCAAGCAACAGAGCAAGACTCTGTCTCGGAAAGGAAAGGAAAGGAAAGGAAAGGAAAGGGAAGGGGAAGGAAATGAAATGAAACGAAACGAGGGGAGGGGAGGGGAGGAGGAGAGGGGAGAAGAGGGGAGAGGAGAGGAGAGGAGAGGAGAGGAGAGGAGAGGAGAGGAGAGGAGAGGAGAAAAACTGATCTGATAGAAAAACTACTGCTTCTGCTGCCACTACCACCACCAAGCACTAATGCCACTATTTCACTTGGACCAGGATCAACTCAGCTTGCAATTACTTCAGCTTTGAAAGCCATTCACCTCTGCCACCACCCTTACCAGGAAAATGATTTTCACTAACACTGAGTTCACTATGGGCCCGTGCTGTGCCAAGTGGTTCCGTGTGCTTTATTTCATTTAACCCTCCCTCTCTTCCTTCAGGTCTCGGCTCAAATGGCACCTCCCCTTTGAACCTCCCTCATGGTGGAGTGCCCCCTTTATTCTCTATCCTAAACCCTTCACAGAACATATATCAATGTATAATTATTTTATTCCACTTACTTTTAGTTGAATGAATGTTGAACGCCAGTAACCACTCTCCAAGGTGATTGCCGTTATCTTATTTTACATCTAAGAAAAGTTAAGTTCAGAGATTAAGTTCTATAATTAGCTCAGAGATTAAATACTATAATTTGCTGAAGATTGCACAGCTAGTAAGTGGCACACCTGACACAGGAACCCAGACATACCTGACTCTAAAGCCCATGTTCTTAATAATACCACTTCTGAAAACCTTCAACAAATGAGAGGAATAGCCAGGAATTGGGGAGAGGGAAGAACAGACAGGAGTATATCTGGGTCATAGCAGAGTTGAAAGACCAAGGGGCTTTATACTAGAAATGGTTCAGAAGTAGCCCTGAAAAGCAAAGAGGAATCCTTACCCACTTCCTGATCCCAGGTATTTGAGAAGTAGACAAGGAGTGGCATCCTTTTGAGAGAGCTACAGAGGAAATCTCAGATGTCTGGGTTTCCATCAGGCACAGAGGTAGAGGTAGAGACAGAGTTTCCATGAAGAGCTTACATTCTAGAAGGGTTTGCTTAGTATGGGATGAGCCTTCAGCAGGTGCAGGGGGAATCTTTGGAGGAGCAAAGCAGCAGGAAGAGGCAACACAGAGTAGAATGGAGAGGACGCTATAAAAGAAGAGGTCACAGGGTAATAGAGGGTATTATAGATTATGGGGATGTTAATATTTTGAACATTAAATCAAAGATTAGAGGATTGTGAGGGAGGACAGGCCCAACTGGCCACAACATTTGCAAGGAATCTGTCCCGGCAGTCAGTTAATGGGCAGGGGGGAATTTAGGGCATTCTGGAAGAAATCAGTCTTGTCCTAAGTTGGTAATGCTTTTGAAGACACTCTCATCCAGGTAAACTGGCCAGTGATAGTTCTATTGAGTCCCCAGGACTCTATCAACAGTTGAACAAAGCAGAGGGAGGGTAGAAGAGTGAGTGGGCATGAGTCAGGCCTCCAGGAATATGTCAGCAATGGCCTGCATTGATTTATTTCTAATGTGATCATATAGCATAACAGGGGTAAGCCTGGAAGTTCCTGGACAAGAGATACTATGTTTATTCAGCTCTGAAACTCCAGAATATAACAGATTCCCACTGCATATACTAGAAGGTGGCTCACTAAATGCTTGTTGAAGAAATAGATGAACAAATTATATATACTGTTTATTCTATTTGTGATGGCATTTAGCACAGCCATATAGCAATATAGAGTACTACAGAGCATTCAAATTTCAAGATTAGATCAATAGTCCCCTCTCGCCGGGTGTGCTGGCTCACGCCTGTAATCCCAGCACTTTGGGAGGCCGAGGCGGGCAGATTGCCTGAGCTCAGGAGTTTGAGACCAGCCTGGGCAACCCGGTGAAACCCCGTATCTACTAAAATACAAAAAATTAGCCTGGTGTGGTGGCGTGCACCTGTAATTCCAATTACTCAGGAGGCTGAGGCAGGAGAATTGCTTGAACCCAGGAGGCAGAGGCTGCAGTGAGCCAAGATCGTGCCACTGCACTTCAGCCTGGGTGACAGAATGAGACTCCGTCTCAAAAAAAAAAAAAAAAAAAATAGTCCCCTCTCCCCAAAAGAAAATCCCTGAAATATAGCAAATTTGTATTATAATGAAAGTAGCTCAGAGATCACAAATGAATACATTTAATGTTAGGAAGAAAATGAAGATTATTTACATGACTGGAAAAATATTCAAGGTAAACTGATATTTTCACTGAAAACCCTCTTTATTTGGAATGTTGGTTTTGGAACTGAGCCTGCAATTTCTCTAGACTACTTTCCCCAAGGGACTCAGTGCAACACTAGACCTTCTGTTTAACACAGCAAAGCTGATGCTATAAAACAAAGTGCAGCCATCACCATTAAGTAAAAGTATTAAGTAAAACCAGTAATATCAGTGGTTTAAAAGTTGCCACCTGAATTAATGCAGCCATTACCAATGTTAATAAACCCCTTTAAAGACATGGTAAAATGCTTTGGAAATAATACTATTTTTAAAAAGCTGCCTTCCGCCACGGCTGCCTTTGGAGAGCAGCAGCCATGGCTCTGCGCTACCCTATGGCCATGGGCCTCAACAAGGGCCACAAGGTGACCAAGAACGTGAGCAATCCCAGGCACAGCTGCCACCGCAGGTGCCTGACCAAACACACCAAGTTTGTGCAGGACATGATCCGAGAGGTGTGTGGCTTTGCCCCTTACGAGTGTCACACCATGGAGTTACAGAAGGTCTCCAAGGCCATGGAGTTACTGAAGACCTCCAAGTTTATCAAGAAAAGGGTGGGGGCCAGGCAAAGTGGCTCAGCCTGTAATCCCAGCACTTTGGAAGGCTGAGGCAGTTGGATCACCTGAGGTTAGGAGTTCGAGACCAGCCTGGCCAACATGGCAAAACCCCGTCTCTACTAAAAATACAAAAATTAGCTGAGTGTGGTGGCGCATGCCTGTAATCCCAGCTACTGAGGAGGCTGAGGCAGGAGAATTGCTTGAACCCAGGAGGCAGAGGTTGCAGTGAGCCGAGACTGCGCCACTGCACTCCAGCCTGGGCAACAGAGCGAGACTCCGTCTCCAAAAAAAAAAAAAAAAAAGAAAAGGGTGAGGATGCATATCCATGCCAAGAGGAAGCGGGAGGAGCTGAGCAATGTCCTGGCTGCCATGAAGAAAGCCACTGCCAAGAAAGACTGAGCCCCTTGCCCTGCCCTCTTCCTGAAATAAAGAACAGCTTGACAGAAAAAAGAAAAAGAAAAAAAAAAGCTGAATACAAAATCGTATAAAAAGTATATTCTTTTTTATTTTTTATTTTCATTAATTAATTAATTTTTTTTTTTTTGAGATAGGGTCTGGCTCTGGTCACCCAGGCTAGCATGCAATGGTGCCATTATAGTCCACTGCAGCCTTGAATGCCTGGGCTCAAGCAATTCTCCTGCTTCAGACACCAAAGTAGCTGGGACTACAGGTGCATGCCACCACACCAGCTATTTTTTTTGTGTGTGTGGAGATGGGTCTCACTTTGATGCCCAGGCTGGTCTCAAACTCCAGGCCTCAAGTGATCCTCCCATCTTAGTCTCCAAAGGGTTGGGTTTACAGGCATAAGCCAGCACACCCAGCCCCAAAAATTACATCCTTAAATTTGACAAAACATGTGTAAAACTTCAATCCTACACACTCTGGCAGAATATCACTAAGAGAAATTAAAGAAGATCTAAATAAATGGAGAGATATACCATATTCATGGATTAGAACAATCAATACTGTTAGAATGCTTGTTACTGTAAAACCACAAATGTCCATCATCAACAATTCATTGTTCAGAATGGTTGCTTACATTTTATATTATTAACATCTGAAAAGTATAAGCATTTGTATTAAATTTGGTGTGTTTCTGGGTAAGCTCAACAAAAAAGTAGTTTCTAAACCTGCAAAGAAGATGACCAGAGCTTAGACTGTAGATTTTTTACTGAAGTAGATTTTTACTGAAGGAATGTCCTACCAGTGAGCAAATCTCTTTGGCTCTTTTTAGCTTTAACAGTCTGAGACTAAGCCTCAGCCTCACAGATAGAAGCAATATGTGAACTAATTTCTCAAGATGATATTTCTGAAATAGTCCCTAGGGCAAGAAATCTTCATTTTCTCACATGTGAAATGAGATGAATTCCTATGTCGAGTGATAGGGCTATATTACAGATAAATTTGGATCTTCAGGATACTGGAAAGAAAGTCACCGTTAGTAATTTTTATGTGAAAATCATTCCCAACGTTAAGAGTCAGGTTTAAGAGGAAGAATCAGCAAGGGAGACTGAAAAGGAATGTCTGGTAGAATGGGAGAAAAACCTGTGTGGCATCCTAGAAGCCAAGTGAAGAAAGACGGCCGGGCATGGTGGCTCACGCACGGTGGCTCACGCCTGTAAACCCAGAACTTTGGGAGGCTGAGGAAGGCAGATCACCTGAGGTCAGAAGTTCGAGACCAGCGTGACCAACATGGAGAAACCCCATCTCTACTAAAAATACAAAATTAGCCAGGCATGGTGGCGCATGCCTGTAATCCCAGCTACTCAGGAAGCTGAGGCAGGAGAATCGCTTGAACTCAGGAGGCGGAGGTTGCAGTGAGCCAAGATCGTGCCACTACACTCCAGCCTGGGCAACAAGAACAAAACTCCATCTCCAAAAAAAAAAAGAAGAAGAAAGAAAAAAAGATGACTAGGTACTGTATCAATCAGGATCTAATCAAGAAAATCAGTCTAGGTGTTTCAAATAGAATAAATTAATAATGAAACTGGCTACAAGAGTGTTAAAAGGGAAGGAGTATCAAAAGAGGGGAGATGAGATTACTCAAAGATCAGTAACTTCAGGAAACCATTACCACCTTGGGACAGAGGAACAAAAACCTTACCCAAAACTCAGAGACAGGATCTCTGAGGGTTCTGTCTCTAAGGATCCTGTTAGCTGTGGGATCCCAGTTGTTTAAACAGGAACCCAAGAATCTGTACTTCCAAGTCATTGCTCCTGTCCCTGCAGCCACCTCTCAGATCCATTACAACCATTTTCTTTCTTTTTTTTTTTTTTTTTTGAGACAGAGTCTCACTCTGTTGCCCAGGCTCGAGTGCAGTGGCACAATCTCGGCTCACTGCAACCTCCACCTCCCAGGTTCAAGCAATCCTCCTGCCTCAGCCCCCCTAGTAGCTGGGATTACAGGCATGTGCCACCATGCCTGGCAAATTTTTGTATTTTTAGTAGAGATAGGGTTTTGCCATGTTGGCCAGGCTGGTCTCAGACTCCTGACCTCAGGTGATCCACTCGCCTCAGCCTCCCAAAGTGCTGGGATTACAGGCGTGAGCCACTGCATTACTACCATTTTCACTGGAGCCAGTGCCATCACCATCAATTACCTCTGCTGGCCAAAGATGCCACCAGAATCCAAAAGCAGGAAGAGAGTCAATTCCTCCTTCCATCCTCCAGTATCACACCAATGCCTTTCATCGTCAGAATATAAACAGAAGCCAGCTAGCAAGGAAGCCTAGAAAATACAGTTTGTCACTCTCTGAAATGTCTACCAGAGTGCAGAAGGGCAGGTGAGAGCAACAGCACAAGTTATTGGTTACCCAGCATGTTTTGTCACTCTACCTACATTTAACTTTTTTTTTCTTTATTTTTTCAGATAGAGTCTCACTCTGTTGCCCAGGCTAGAGTGCATGGCAGTGGTGCAATCATGGCTCACTGAAAGCTTGACTTCTCGGGCTCAGGCGATCCTCCTACCTCAGCCTCCTGAGTAGCTGAGACTACAGTTCACTCACTATGTTGCCCAGACTGGTCTTGAATTTCTGAGCTCAAGGGATCTACCTGCCTTGGCCTCCTAAAGTGCCAGGATTACAGGCATGAGCCACCGCTCCCAGCCTATATTTAACATTCATACAACAATTAAAACTACTTCATGATCTTCTCCTTGAATATGCAAATAATCTCTCCCACAAAGACCCATTCTCTTCCTCAAAAATGTGAGACATAAAATCCACCTCTGGTCAGGCGCAGTGGCTCATGCCTGTAATCCCAACACTCTGGGAGCCTAAGGAGGGTGAATCACCTGAGGTCAGGAGTTCAAGACCATCCTGGCCAACATGGTGAAACCCTGTCTCTATTAAAAATAAATATAAAAATAAAAATTAGCCAAGTGTGGTGGCGGGCACTTGTAATCCTAGCTACTCAGGAGGCTGAAGCAGGAGAATCGCTTGAATCCAGCAGGCAGAGGTTGCAGTGAGCTGAGATGGTGCCACTGCACTCCAGCCTGGGTGACAGAGTGAGATTCAATCTCAAAATAAAGAAATAAATTAATTTAATTTAATTTAATCCACCTCTGAATTTATCTCTGGGTGATGCTAAATCATCTTTTAGCCCAATCACAATCCCATCTGGATATTCAATAACTCAAAGATTAAGTTGAAGTTAGTTACCAACACTGCCTCCTCTTATAACGTCCATAAACCTTTTGGGGCTCCCTATTTATCTTCAGATTATATACCGTCAAAATCCAGCTGGGTGCGCAGTGGCTCATGCCTATAATCCCAGCATTTTGGGAGGCCAAAGTGAAAGGATCACTTGAGCCCAGGAATTCAAGACCAGCCTGGGCAACAAAGTGAAACCCCATCTCTGCAAAAAATTCTTTTTAAATTAGCTGGACATAGTGGCGCACACCTGTAGTTCCAGCTACTTAGGAGGCTGAAGCAGAAGGATCACTCGAACCCAGAGTTTCAAGGCTACAGTGAGCTATGATTGCACCACTGCACTCCAGTCTCAGCGACAGAGTGAGATCCCATCTTAAATAAATAAATAAAGTCTCCCACATTTGGGGTTTAAGGACCTATCAAGCTAGACCAAAGTCCTCCTTTTTTTTCCCAATTAGCAACAATCGCACCTCATTGGCTATGGTATCGCCACTGCACAAAGCTCGATCTTCCTTTCATAACTTCTCACTACTGATTAGATTGATCTGTATTTCATTTCCCAAACACACCTTGTATATGTCTCCCTCTAAGCTTTTGAGCTTGTCATTACTCCCACCCAAAATGCTTTCCCCATTCTCTTTTTCTTTTCTATCTCCTCTGCTCCAAACCTACCAATTTTTGAAGGTATGGCCCAGGTTCAATGTCTGCACACAGCTCTCTCCCAAAGGCACCAGCCCCCTGGGACAAACTAACCCCCTTGGGTTTGATTCTTCCTGGCTTCCCCACAGCACCTAGTGGCACAATGCCTCCCACATATCCATTTACTGACAAATACCTGGCTGTGGAGGACAGGGAAAAGGCAACGCATAGCTAGCTATTAATTCAAAGCCCAACACACTTAATGCCCAACATCAGCTTCCTGTAGCCTCCCATCGTCCCTACTCAGGCTCTGTTTGATTCTGAATTAAAATCTGAAGCAGTACATCAATTCACCACAGCAAACCTCAAAGGAGTTCAGCTGGTCTCCAGAGACACTGTTCTCAGATTACTACCAAGCTAGCAACCTGGTTGAGGTCATTAGCAAACCACACCACTTGCCAGCTAACATCAAGTCAAAGACAGAGGCAAACAAAATGATTTCAAAGGGGCATTGCTCAACAGGAATTGTTCACCCTGAGAAAACGTGCAGGACACTGAAGAGCTAAGACCCAGAACTCAACACATTCCTGCTTAGCCATCCTGGGTTTGTTCCCAACAAAGGCTAGAAGATGCAAAGCCGTTGCAAGTCTTCTTTCTCTATAGGGGTTTTAAGATGTGATTTGGAATGCTAATTTCTACCAACAATGAAATTCTGCATAAACACAAAGGGCAATTAGCAAAGACCCTAGAGACATAGTTCTTGTCCCAGTTCTGCCCTGGATGAACCTTGTACTTTTCCCTCCCCTGATCTTAGTTTTCTTATCTGAAATATGAGGGGGTTGAACTAGATCATCTCCAAGGACACTTCCAATCATGAAATCCAAAAACAGCTTTAATTGCTTTCTGCTTTCCTTGTTACAAGACGTCCAATTATTCATTGAAGACCATTACTATCTATTACCTTGGAGGCTACTATTTATTATCTTGGAAGCTACCATGTATGACTGTTAGAGTTGTGCACTGAACAAATCCAGAGAGCACCATTCATTTTATAGTCTATGTAAACTACATTCCTGTGTTGGGCAGTGTACAACCTGAATATCCATATATAACAGCTCTGATTATGCTCTTCAATTTTGTAAATAGTTAAGGTTTTACTTTTTATTTTCCTTTTTTTTTTTGGACAGGGTCTTACTCTGTCACCCAGGCTGGAGTGCAGTGGTGTGATCCATGGCTTACTGCAGCCTCAACCACCCAGGCTCAAGTGACCTTCCCGCCTCAGCCCCCCAAGTACATGGGACTACAGGCATGTGCCACCATGCCCAACTAATTTAAATTTTTTGTAGAGATGAGGTTTCACCATGTTGCTCAGGCTGGTCTTGAACTCCTTGCCTCAAGTGATCTGCCCACCTCTGCCTCCCAAAGTGCTGGGATTACAGACTTGAGCTACCACACCCGGCCTCTTTTATCTTCTTCATATCCATTATTTCCTGACCTTGGTTCCTGCTGGCAGAGCTGAAACTATATTAATATGTAGTACTGACTGACCAAAGTATTCTCTTATTAACTAACTCCTAATTATGTACATTGAATGAGAATAATAATAATGTTAATATTTATTGACATTTGTAAATATGTATTGATCACCTACCATGTGCAAGATACTGGACATGTATTACTATATTTGTTCCTTATGAAATCCTATTAGGTATAAATTACTATCCTCATCTTTGGATGATGATGTAGTTTGGATGTGTGTCTCCTTCAAATCTCATGTTGAAATGTGGCCTCCAATGTTGGAGGTGGGCCTGGTGGGAGGTGTTTGGGTCTTAGGGCCAGATCCCTTATGAATGGCGTGGTGCCATCCCCATGGTAATGAGTGAGTTCTTGCTCCAGTAGTTCACACAAGGTCTGGCTTTTGAAAAAAGCCTGGCATCTCTCTTGCTCTCTCACCATGTGAGAGAGGGGTGAGATGGTCCTAAGGAGTATGAACGAAGGTGATAATATTTTGATCCTCAAGGCAAGGACCAAAGCTGAAATGTCCATTCGAAGTGAATAATACACAAGCCATTTCTTCCCAACAGTTATCACTGAGCAAAGAGGAAGAAAGAGTCAGACTTAAATAAAGAAAAAAGACAGTGTTTCTAAAGTGAAACACTCTGTGTACAGAGTCCAGAGAGGGAGCAAAGTCAAAACCTAGAACAGTCCTGGCCGGGCGCAGTGGCTCACGCCTGTAATCCCAGCACTTCGGGAGACTGAGGCGGGTGAATCACCTGAGGTCAGGATTTCGAGACCAGCCTGGCCAACATGGTGAAACCCCATCTCTACTAAAAACACAAAAATTAGCCAGGTGTGGTGGTGCATGCCTGTAATCCCAGCTACTTGGGAGGCTGAGGCAGGAGAATTGCTTGAACATGGGAGGCAGAGGTTGCAGTGAACCGAGATTGTGCCACTGCATTCCAGCCTGAATGATACAGTGAGACTCTGACCCAGAAGAAAAAAAAAAAAGACAAAACCTAGGACAGTCCTAAAACAGAGGTCGTCTTGCCCTAAATCAGGATCAGGTAGCAGCTTCACCTTCTCACCCACGGCTTCAAGTCACCTGATTCTTCCACATGCCTACAGGCTGTGTGTTATGCAAGTCACTGGATTATAAGAACAGCAGTGAAATTAAACAGTTAAATCTCTGCATCTTTGCTTTTCATGCCTAAAGTCTCTCCATGTGAAAAAAAATCGTGTGATTTTTTTCCCCCATAACTGTGTGGCTCCTTGCATTGTTCCAGATTTGAAAATAAATAATGATTGATATAGAACATGGTTCTAAAAATGTTAATTAATTTGTTTACTGATATGTTTAATCTCTAAAATACTTTGAATTTAAAAAGAAATAAAAATTAACTATGACTACATACAATGAAAGAGATACATATTTTTAAAACACCCTGTACAATTCTACAACTTCATTACATATTCATATGACTTGGATATGTCTATACAAACTCTATATATTTTACTAAAAATCATTGAATTGTACACTTACAATGGGTGTGTGTGTGTGTATATATATACTTTTTTTCTTTTTTTTGGTGGGGGACAAAGTCTCGCTCTTGCTGCCTAGGCTAGAGTGCAATGGCACGATCTCAGCTCACTGTAACCTCCGCCTCCCCAGTTCAAGTGATTCTCCTGCCTCAGCCTCCCAAATGGGTGGAATTACAGGCACCTGCCACCACACCCGGGTAATTTTTGTATTTTTAGTAGAGATGGGGTTTCGCCATGTTGGCCAGGCTGGTCTGGAACTCCTGACCTCAGGTGATCTGCCTGCCTCAGCCTCCCAAAGTACTGGGTTTACAGGCATGAGCCGCCGCACCTAGCCACAGTGGGTATATTTTATAGTATGTAAATTATACCTCAATAAAACTTTTTAAAAAACCACCCTGTACAAGACTTAAAAGCAAACATAAGCCAGCAGAATATATTTGCTGTGAAAATAACTGAAACAAAATCACACCACAGAAGTCTTCAAAATTCTGAGAAAAGCATTTACATCTCAATGGAAAATGAGCAAAATAAATAAAAGTTGTCAATAAACATGAGAAAAACCTTCATCTTCACTAGCAATCAAATAAACATGGAGGCCAGACGCAGTGGCTCACACCTGTGATCTCAGCACTTTGGGAGGCCAAGGCAGGCAGATCACCTGAGGTCAGGAGTTCAAGACCAGCCTGGCCAATACAGCAAAACTCCGTCTCTACTAAAAATACAAAAATTAGCCGGGCATGGTAGTGCATGCCTGTAATCCCAGCTACTTGGGAGGATGAGGCAGGAGAATCGTTTGAACCTGGGAGGAGGTGGTTGTGGTGAGTCAATCACGCCTCTGCACTCCAGCCTGGGAGACAAAAGCGAAACTCGGTCTCAAAAAATAAATAAATAAAATAAACATGTTTTTAAGAAGTAAAGGTTTAATCTATGAAAAATGGCAACTTCTTTTTTAAGGTAACATCCAAAATAGGTGAGGATGGCTGACACAGGCTGAGAAAACACCTTGGTGTCCTTAGATATCACCTCCCTTCCTAAACAGGAGTGAATCAGGGCCAGGTGCCGTGGCTCACACCTGTAATACCAGTGCTTTGGGAGACCAAGGCAGGCGGATCACTTGAGGTCAGGAGTTCGAGACCAGCCTGGCCAACATGGTGAAACCTCGTCTCTACTAAAAATACACAAATCAGCCAGGCATGGTGGTGCATGCCTGTAGTCTCAGCTACTCGGGAGGCTGAGGCAGAAGAATCACTTGAACCCAGGAGGCAGAGGTTGCAGTGAGCCAGGATAGTGCCACTGCACTCCAGATTGGGTGACAGAAAGAGACTCCATCTTGAAAAAAAAACCTTTGGGTTTCCAGTGTCACCTGAAATTTACATCTATTGTACCTTATTGTTGCTGGCTATTTACAGGCCTATATCATCCAGTTAAATTTCAAACCTCTGAGAACTGTGGCTTAGTCTTCCATATATACCTGGCACAGAGTATAAACTCTACACATGTTCACTGTGTGTGTATTGAATGGGTAATGAGAATGAAACCAATGCGACCTTTCCAAAGGTTATTTTTATCTTGTATATCAAGTTCTTAAAATTGTTCTTTAACTCAGTCATTCAACACTTTGGAATTTGTCCTTAAAATTGTGTGCTTCTGAGATGAACAACAATGGTTATCTCAAGGTTAGTGTATTAGTCCACTTTCATACTGCTATAAAGAACTGACCGAGACTGGGTAATTTATAACAGAAAGAGGTTTAATCGACTCACAGTTCAGCATGCCTGGGGAGGCCTCAGGAAACTTACAATCATGGTGGAAGGCAAAGGGGAAGCAAGGGACCTTCTTTACAAGGCAGCAGGAAGGAAAAGTGTTGAGGGAAGGGAGAAGAGCCCCTTATAAAACCATCAGATCTCATGAGCACTCACTACCCCGAGAACAGCAAAAGTGAAACCATCCCCCAACCCCCTACTCCCCACCCCAGCCATGATTCAATTACCTCTACCTAGTCTTTCTCTTGACACGTGGGGATTATGGAGATTACAATTCAAAATGAGATTTTAGGTGGGGCACAGCCAAACCATATCAGTTAGTTTTAACAATAAAAAATGGGAAATAGGGCCAGGTGTAATGGCTAATGCCTGTAATCCCAACACTTTGGGAGGCTAAGGCAGGCAGATTGCTTGAGCCCAGGAATTTGAGACCAGCCTGGGCAACGTGGCAAAACCCCATCTCTATTAAAAGAAAAAAATACGAAAATCAGCCAAGCGTGATGGTGTACTCCTATAGTCCCAGCTACACGGAAGGCTAAGGTAGGAGGATGACCTGAGCCTGGGGAGGTAGAGGATGCCATGATTGTGCCACTGCACTCCAGCCTGGGTGACAGAGTGAGACCCTGCCTCAGAAAAAAAAAAAAAAAAGGAAAACTAGGAAATAATGCAAATGTCTGACATTCAGTGATAGATCAAATTTTTTTCCTATTTGTATAGCCTATTTTTAAAATTGTGGTAAAATACACATAAGATACAATTTACTATTTTAACCATTCTGAAGTACACAGTTCTGTGACATTCAGTACATTCACAATGATGTGCAATCATCACCACTATCTAGTTCCAGAACTTTTTCATCACCCCAAAAGGAAACTTCCCACCTACTGAGCAGTTTACTCTCCTTAGCCCCTGGGAACCACTAATCTGCTTATGGTCTCTGTGGATTTTCCCTATTCTGGATATTTCATATAAATGGAATCATACATTATGTGGCCATTTGTGTCTGGCTTTCACTTAACATAATGTTTTCAAGGTTCATCTATGGTGTAGCATGTCACAGTACTTCATTTCTTTTTATAGCTGAATAATGTCCCTTGTATTAATATACCATATTTTATTTATCCATTCATCAGTTGATGGACATTTGGCCTGTTTGCAACTTTTGGCTATTGTGAATAGTGCTGTTATAAACATTTGTGTACAAGTTTTTGTTCAAACACCTGTTTTCAATTCTTTTGAGCACATACCCAGGAGTGGAATTGCTGTATCATGCAGTAATTCAATGTTTAACTTATTGAGGAACTGCCAGTTTTTCACGGCAACTGCACCATTTTACATCCCATCAGCAATGCACAAGGGTTCCATAGATTAACATGTTATTCCACAGTTTTGCCATGCCAGACTATCCTGTCACTAATAAAACAAAGTCCCTGCTTTTAAGAAATGTATAGTCAGTAGAGGAAATCAGTTTATAATACAAATATTGTAAATCAATATTAATCTTCTTTGATTAATACCAAGAAATGGTTGATTTTTTTCAACCATTTAAAACTGTAAAACAGGTGGGTGCAGTGGCTCATTCCTGTCATCCCAACTCTTTGGGAGGCCAACGCAGGAAGATTGCTTTAGGCCAGGAGTTCAAGGCCAGCCTGGGCAACATAGTGAGACACCCCCCCATCTCTAAAAAAAAAATTTTTTTTCTGAGACAGATCTTGCTCGTCGCCCACGCTGGAGTGCAGTGGCTTTATCTCAGCTCACTGCAACCTCTACCTCCTGGGTTCAAGCTATTCTTCTGCCTCAGCCTCCGGAGTAGCTGGAATTACAGGAGTTCGAAACTGGTGCGTGCCACCACCCCCGACTAATTTTTGTATTTTTAGTAGAGATGGGGTTTCACCATATTGTCCAGGCTGGGCTCAAACTTCTGGCCTGAAGCAATCCACCTGCCTCAGCCTCCCAAAGTGCTCGGATTACACGTGTGAGCCACCGCAGCTGGCCAAAATTTTTTTTTTTTAGTTAGCCAGGCATGGTGGTGATTCAAGGCTGTAATTCCAGCTACTCAGGAGGCTAAGGGGGGAGGATCACTTAAGCCCTAGATTTTGAGGCTCCCATGAGCAGCCTACTGCTGTATCATATGATCATAGCACTGTACTCTAGCCTAGGCGACAGAGCGAGACCTTGTGTCTTAAAAAAAAAATGCGATAAAGTAAATCAATAAAAATGCAAAATCCATTCTTAGCACATGGGCAATACAAAAACAGGCTGCAAGCCAGATTTGGCCTGAGGGTTATAGTTTTCTGACACCTGGAATAGACTCCCATTTACCAAGACTGATCTAGCTGCTGCTTACCTAACGGCTACAAAAATCAATGCTGTGGCCAGGCGCAGTGGGTCACGCCTGTAGTCCCAGCACTTTGGGAGGCTGAGGCAGGCAGATCACCTGAGGTCAGGAGTTCAAGACCAGCCTGGTCAACATGGTGAAACCCCGTCTCTACTAAAAATACAAAAATTAGCCAGGTGTGGTTGTGGGCGCCCATAATCCCAGCTACTTGGGAGGCTGAGGCAGGAGAATCGCTTGAACCTGGGAGACAGAGGTTGCTGTGAGCCAAGATCAGGCCATTGCACTCTAGCCTGGGCAACAAGAGTGAAACTGTCTCAAAAACAAAACAAAACAAAAACAATGCTGAGCCTCTGATACTATTCCTCACAACTGGTCTCAACTGACCCTCCTCAACAGGGAAAGATAGAGTTATTGTTCTAGAATGGGGGTTGGGGCAGGGTGTGCTGGCACACACCTGTAATCCCAGCTACTCAGGAGGCTAAGGCAGGAGAGTCGCTTGAACCCGGCAGGAGGAGGTTGCAGTGAGCCAAGATCCCACCACTGCACTCCAGCCTGGGTGACAGAGTGAGACTCTCAAAATAAATAAATAAATAAATCATTAAATAATAGAATGGGGGTTGGGATGAATATACGTGGAACCCAGGTGATCTATGTGGGTGCCTTGTGATTTTCTTTGCCAATTGTAAAGTGAATGGACAAGTACTGCAACCTGGCCTGAGAAGGGAATAGGGGGGCACGACTTTTCTCTGCCCTCTTAGGGTCTCCAACTGGGTCTGCAAATTAAATTGACATAATGCAAATTAACAGGAGGAAAGCATACAGATGTTTACATCTACATAGGAGCCCCCATTTGAAAATAAAGACCCTGTGTAGGAAAAACTCTGTGGCTTTTGTTTTTTGTTTTTTGAGATGGAGTTTCGCTTTTGTTGCCCAGGCTGGAGTGCGGTGGTGCAATCTCAGCTTACTGCAACCTCTGCCTCCTGGGTTCAAGCGATTCTCCTGCCTCAGCCTCCTGAGTAGCTGGGATTACAGGCACCCGCCACCACGCCCGGCTAATGTTTGTATTTTTAGTAGAGATGGGGTTTCACCACGTTGGCCAGGGTGGTCACTAACTCCTGAACTCAGGTAATCCACCCATCTCGGCCTCCCAAAGTGGTGGGATTACAGCCGTGAGCCCCCCCGCCCCCGCGCCCCGAGAACTCTGTGTTTTTCCCCTACTCTCATACCACAACAACCACGTCAACACAAAAGATTTCTGTGACCAAATGAGTCGGTTTTTTCCCACACACACCAAGCAGCAGACACCAGCTGGGTGTTCTCCAATTCGGCTCTAACACTATGTACCCTAAGACAGTGCCAGATCCCACAGGTTGAGGGCTCAGTCCCCAAGACTGCCCCTACCCCCAACAATACATACAAACATCAGTCATAAGTCCAGGCCTCCAGAACTTCTGACCAACCAGCTTCAAGTTGAGGTTCCCATGACCCCCTCTTTGAGTTCAATTAATTTGCTGGAGCGGCTCACAGAATTCAGAGAAACACTTACATTTACTGGTTTATTATATAGGATATTGCCAGGGATACAGAAGAAGGGACATGTAAGGCAAGGTATGGGGGAAGGGGCTCAGAGCTTCCATGGCCTCCCTGGTTGTGCCACCCTTCAGGAGGCTCCACTTTTTCAAGTATCCAGAAGCTCCTGAACCCTGTCCTCGTGGATTTTCACGGAGGCTTCATGACATCAGCATTCCTTACCTCAGGGTATAGGATGGGACCCTCTTATGGGAGGGTCTTAAGACCCACAATCAGTCTTTGCCGCCGCGCCGGCGAGCGCCGCCCGGGAGGCAGCGGCTGGAGGAGCGGACGGGCCCCGCGGGGCCCGAGGGCAAGGAGCAGCCGCCGGCCTTGGCCTCCCAAAGTGCCGAGATTGCAGCCTCTGCCTGGCTGCCACCCCGTCTGGGAAGTGAGGAGTGTTTCTGCCTGGCCGCCCATCGTCTGGGATGTGAGGAGCCCCTCTGCCTGGCTGCCCAGTCTGGAAAGTGAGGAGCGTCTCCGCCCGGCCGCCATCCCATCTAGGAAGTGAGGAGCGCCTCTTCCCAGCCGCCATCCCATCTAGGAAGTGAGGAGCGTCTCTGCCCGGCCGCCCATCGTCTGAGATGTGGGGAGCGCCTCTGCCCCGCCGCCCCATCTGGGATGTGAGGAGCGCCTCTGCCCGGCCGAGACCCCGTCTGGGAGGTGAGGAGCGTCTCTGCCCGGCCGCCCCGTCTGAGAAGTGAGGAGACCCTCTGCCTGGCAACCACCCCGTCTGAGAAGTGAGGAGCCCCTCCGCCCGGCAGCTGCCCCGTCTGAGAAGTGAGGAGCCTCTCCACCCGGCAGCCACCCCATCTGGGAAGTGAGGAGCGTCTCCGCCCGGCAGCCACCCCGTCCGGGAGGGAGGTGGGGGGGGGTCAGCCTCCCGCCCGGCCAGCCGCCCCATCCGGGAGGGAGGTGGGGGGTCAGCCCCCCCGCCCGGCCAGCCGTGCCATCCGGGAGGGAGGTGGGGGGGTCAGCCCCCCGCCTGGCCAGCCATGCCGTCCGGGAGGGAGGTGGGGGGGTCAGCCCCCCGCCCGGCCAGCCGCCCCGTCCGGGAGGTGAGGGGCGCCTCTGCCCGGCCGCCCCTACTGGGAAGTGAGGAGCCCCTCAGCCCGGCCAGCCACCCCGTCCGGGAGGGAGATGGGGGGGTCAGCCACCCCACCCGGCCAGCCGCCCCGTCCGGGAGGGAGGTGGGGGGGTCAGCCCCCCGCCCGGCCAGCCGCCCCGTCCGGGAGGGAGGTTGGGGGGTCAGCCCTCCGCCCGGCCAGCCGCCCCGTCTGGGAGGTGAGGGGCACCTCTGCCCGGCCGCCCCTACTGGGAAGTGAGGAGCCCCTCTGCCCGGCCAGCCGCCCCGTCCGGGAGGGAGGTGGGGGGGTCGGCCCCCCGCCCGGCCAGCCGCCCCGTCCGGGAGGGAGGTGGGGAGGTCGGCCCCCCGCCCGGCCAGCCGCCCCGTCCGGGAGGGAGGTGGGGGGGTCGGCCCCCCGCCCGGCCAGCCGCCCCGTCCGGGAGGGAGGTGGGGGGGTCGGCCCCCCGCCCGGCCAGCCGCCCCGTCCGGGAGGGAGGTGGGGGGGTCGGCCCCCCGCCCGGCCAGCCGCCCCGTCCGGGAGGGAGGTGGGGGGGGTCAGCCCCCCCGCCCGGCCAGCCTCCCCGTCCGGGAGGTGAGGGGCGCCTCTGCCCGGCCGCCCCTACTGGGAAGTGAGGAGCCCCTCTGCCCGGCCAGCCGCCCCGTCCGGGAGGGAGGTGGGGGTGTCAGCCCCCCGCCCAGCCAGCCGCCCCGTCCGGGAGCGAGGTGGGGGGGGTCAGCCCCCCTGCCCGGCCAGCCTCCCCGTCCGGGAGGTGAGGGGCGCCTCTGCCCGGCCGCCCCTACTGGGAAGTGAGGAGCCCCTCTGCCCGGCCAGCCGCCCCGTCCGGGAGGGAGGTGGGGGGGGTCAGCCCCCCCGCCAGGCCAGCCGCCCCGTCCGGGAGGTGAGGGGCGCCTCTGCCCGGCCGCCCCTACTGGGAAGTGAGGAGCCCCTCTGCCCGGCCACCACCCCGTCTGGGAGGTGTGCCCAACAGCTCATTGAGAACGGGCCAGGATGACAATGGCGGCTTTGTGGAATAGAAAGGCGGGAAAGGTGGGGAAAAGACTGAGAAATCGGATGGTTGCCCTGTCTGTGTAGAAAGAAGTAGACATGGGAGACTTTTCATTTTGTTCTGCACTAAGAAAAATTCCTCTGCCTTGGGATCCTGTTGATCTGTGACCTTACCCCCAACCCTGTGCTCTCTGAAACATGTGCTGTGTCCACTCAGGGTTAAATGGATTAAGGGCGGTGCAAGATGTGCTTTGTTAAACAGATGCTTGAAGGCAGCATGCTCGTTAAGAGTCATCACCAATCCCTAATCTCAAGTAATCAGGGACACAAACACTGCGGAAGGCCGCAGGGTCCTCTGCCTAGGAAAACCAGAGACCTTTGTTCACTTGTTTATCTGCTGACCTTCCCTCCACTATTGTCCCATGACCCTGCCAAATCCCCCTCTGTGAGAAACACCCAAGAATTATCAATAAAAAAATAAATTAAAAAAAAAAAAAAAAAAAGACCCACAATCAGTTGGGCCAGGCACTAACACTTTGGGAGGGCGAGGCAGGTGGGTCATCTGAGGTCAGGAGTTCGAGACCAGCCTGGCCAACATGGCGAAACCCCATCTCTACTATAAATACAAAAATTAGCCAGGCATGGTGGCAGGCGCCTGTAATCCTAGCTACTGGGGAGGCCGAGTCAGGAGAATTGCTTGAACCCAGGAGGTGGAGGTTGCAGTGAGCTGAGATTACGCCATTGCGCTCCAGCCTGGGCGACAAGAGTGAGACTCAGTTTCAAAAAAAAAAAAAAAAGGGCCAGGCACGGTGGCTTGCGTCTATAATCCCAGCATTTTGGGAGGCCAAGGCGGGCAGATCACCTGAGGTTGGGAGTTTGAGACCAGCCTGACGAACATGGAGCAATCCTATCTCAACTAAAAATACAAAATTAGTCGGGCTTGGTGGCGGGCACCTATAATCCCAGCTACTCAGGAGGCTGAGGCAGGAGAATCGCTTGAACCCGGGAGGCGGAGGTTACAGCGAGCTGAGATCACGTCATTGCACTCCAGCTTGGGCAGTAAGAGCGAAACTCCATCTCATTAAAAAAAAAAAAAAAGAAGAAGAAGAAGAAAGAAAGAAACCACAATCAGAAAGGGTCAGGGTTCATTCTTCACAGAACTAGAAAAAAAATTCTAAAATTCGTGTGGAACCAAAAAGACCCCATATAGGCAAAACAGAACTAAGCAACAAGAACGAATCTGGAGGCATCACTGTACCTGATTTCAAACTATACTACAAGGCCATACTCACCAAAACCACATGATACTGGTATAAAAATAGGCACATAGACCAATGGAACAGAATAGAGAACACATAAATAAACTCAAATACTTACAGCCAACCGATCTTCAACAAAGCAAACAAAATCATAAAGTAGGGAAAGGACACCCTTTTCAACAATGGTGCTGGGGTAATTGGCTGTCCACTTGTAGGAGAATGAGACTGGATCCTCATCTCTCACCTTATACAAAAATCAACTCGGGCCGGGCGCGGTGGCTCACGCCTGTAATCTGAGCACTTTGGGAGGCTGAGGCGGGCGGATCACAAGGTCAGGAGATCGAGACCACGGTGAAACCCCATCTCTACTAAAAATACAAAAAATTAGCTGGGCGCAGTGGCAGGCGCCTGTAGTCCCAGCTACTCGGGAGGCTGAGGCAGGAGAATGGCGTGAACCCGGGAGGCGGAGCTTGCAATGAGCTGAGATCGCGCCACTGCACTCCAGCCTGGGCGACAGAGCAAGACTCCGTCTCAAAAAAAAAAAAAAAAAAAATCAACTCAAGATGGATTAAGGACTTAAATCTAAGACTTGAAACTATAAAAATTCTAGAAGATAACATTGGAAAAGCCCTTCTAGACATTGGCTTAGACAATTTCATGACCAAGAACCCAAAAGCAAATGCAATAAAAACAAAGATAAACAGCTGGGACTTAATTAAACTAAAGAGTTTGTGCACAGCAAAAGGAACAGTCAGCAGAGTAAATAGACAACCCATAGAATGGGAGAAAATCTTCACTAACTATACATCTGACAAAGGACTAATATCCAGAATCTACAACAAACTCAAACAAATCAGCAAGAAAAAAACAATCCCATCAAAAAGTGGGCTAAGGGCCAGGCAGGGTGGCTCACGCCTGTAATCCCAGCACTTGGGGAGGCCGAGGTAGGCAGATCACCTGAGGTGAGGAGTTTGAGACCAGCATGGCCAACATGGCAAAACTCCATCTCTACTACAAATACAAAAAATCAACTGGGCGTAGTGGCACGCACCAGTAATCCCAGCTACTCGGGAAGCTAAGGCAGGAGAATCACTTGAACCTGGGAGGCAGAGGTTGCAGTGAGCCGAGATCACTGCACTCCAGCCTGGGCAACAGAGTGAGACTCTGTCTCAAAAAAAAAAAAAAAATGGTCTAAGGACACAAATAGACAATTCTTAAAAGAAGATACACAAATGGTCAATAAACATTATGAAAAAATGTTCAACATCACTAATGATCAGGAAATGCAAATCAAAACCACAAGTAACTCCTGTTACTTGCAGGAGTAAGTAACAACCTTACTCCTGCAAGAATTGCCATAATCAAAAAATAAAAAAAAAACGGTAGATGTTGGAGTGGATGCTGTGATCAGAGAACACCTCTACACTGCTGGTGGGAATGTAAACTAGTACAGTGACTATGGAAAACAGTGTGGAGATCCCTTAAAGAACTAAAAGTAGAACCACCATTTGATCCAGCAATCCCACTACTGTGTATCTACCCAGAGGAAAAGAAGTCATTATACAAAAAAGATACTTGCACACGTATGATTATAGCAGCACAATTTGCAATTGCAAAATCGTGGAACCAACCCAAATGCCCATCAATCAACAAGTAGAAAAAGAAACTGTGATAGATAGATAGATGATAGATAGATAGATAGATAGATAGATAGATAATGATTGAATACTACTCAGCCATAAAGAGGAATGAATTAATGGCATTCACAGTGACCTGGATGAGATTGGAGACTATTATTCTAAGTAAAGTAACTCAGGAATGGAAAACCAGACATCGTATGTTTTCATTGATATGTGGGAGCTAAGCTATGAGGATACAAAGGCATAAAAATGATACAATGGACTTTGGGGACTTGGGGGGAAGGGTGGGAGAGAGGTGAGGGATAAAAGACAACAAATAGGGTATAGTGTAAACTGCTCAGGTGATGGGTGCACCCAAATCTCACAAATCACCACTAAAGAACTTACTCATCTGCCGAGTGCGGTGGCTCACACCTGTAATCCCAGCACTTTGGGAGGCCAAGGCAGGCAGATCACCTGAGGTCAGGAGTTCAAGACCAGCCTGGCCAACATGGGCAAACCCTGTCTCCGCTAAAAACACAAAAAATTAGCCAGGCGTGGTGGTGCACACCTGTAATCCCAGCTACTCAGGAGGCTGAGGCAGGAGGATTGCTTGAAGCTGGGAAGTGGAGGTTGCAGTGAGCTGAAATCATGTCACTGCACTCCAGCCTGGGCAACAGAGCTAGACTCCGTCTCAAAAAAAAAATTATAGCTCAATGAATGTAATTTAATAATATAATCTAATTTTAACTAAACTCATCTTCACCAAATGGATAAGTGGCTTTACAGGCTTCCTTCAAACAACTGTAGTTTGCAGATAATATGTAGGCACAGCAGCCAGCTGGCAGTTTTCTAGAACAAACTCTCCCACTCACTTGCGGTGTGGGCTGGGGTGCATCCCTCCCTTCCTGCCTATAAAGTGAGGAGATTAAACCAGATCAGTAGTCTTTTATAGGCGGTTCCACCCTCCAGGTATGGTTTTGTTGTTGTTGTTGTTTTTTGTTTGGAGATTGAGTCTCACTCTTTAGCCCAGGTTGGAGTGCAGTGGCACAATCATAGCTCACTGCAGCCTCAACCTCCTGGGCTCAAGCAATCTTCCTTCTCAACTTCCTGAGTAGCTGGAACTGTAGTCATGTGCCACCATGCCCAGCTATTTTTTTTTTTTTCTGTAGAGGGGGCCTCTGCTATGTTAATCGGTTGAACTCCTGGGCTCAAGCAATCCTCCTGCCTCAGCCTCCAAAATGCTGGGATTACAGGATAAGCCACTGCACCTTAACTTGTTTTTTTCTGTTTTTTTTTTCCTCTCCCCAACATGAGACAAGACAGATACAATTCTATATATTGGATTTCTGATAATAATTTGTTTGAAAAAGAAGCTTTGTGGCCTTTTAAGGATGACTGAAATCCATTAACAGGATGACCTCTATACATTTTTTTTTAAAAACAGGGTCTCCCTCTGTCACGCAGGCTGGAGCATAGTGGTACAATCATGGCTTACTGCAGCTTCAACCTCTTGAGCTCAAGTGATCCTCCCACCTCAGCCTTCCTAGTAGGGGGGACTACAGGTGTGTGCCACCGTGCCTAATTATTTTTTCAGAGGTAGGGTCTCAGTATGTTGCCCAGGTTGGTTTTGAACTCCTGGCCTTAAGCAGTCCTCCCACCTCGGCCTGGTTTCAACATTCTCACACAGTCATGCATGGCTTAATGGTGGGGATTTTTTTCTGAAAAACGCATCATTAGGCAATTTCATCAATGTCCAAACATCAAAGTATACTTACACAAACCTAGATGATATAGGATATTGCTCCTAGGCCACAAACTTGAACAGCATGTTACTGTACTGAATATTATAGTCAACTGTAACACAGTGACCATGTTGGCCAGGCTGGTCTCAAACTCCTGACCTCAAATGATCTGCCTGCCTCAGTCTCTCAAAGTGCTGGGATTACAGGTGTGAGCCACTGCACCTGGCCCAGAGGCTGCTTTACAGTTAACTTTCTAATATATAAATAGAAGGAGTACACTCTAAACTATACTTTTTAGTAGTTATTAAAAACTATTAATACTAATATTATATGTGTATATATTGTAACCCATAAATATATATATCCTATGTATCCCCAAAAATTAAAAACAAAAAGTTATACAAAATAAAAAGCATAGTATAGTAAATACATAAACCAGTAACATAATCATTTATTATCATTATCAAGTATTATGTACTGTACATAATTGTATATGCTATACTTCTTTATTTTTTGAGACAGGATCTCATTCCCACCTTGGCCTCCCAAAGCACTGGGATTACAGGTGTAGGCCACCATGCCTGGCCTATGCTATACTTTTATACAACTGACAGCCCAGTAGGTTTATTTACACCAGCAACACCACATAACAATAATGACATTAACTTATGACATTAAGACAGCTATGACATCGCTATAATTCTATAATCTTTATAATCAGCTCATTATAATCTCATGGGAGCCCCATTGTATATAGGTGGGGTCCCCAAACCCCAGGCCACAGACCAGTACCAGTCTGCGGCCTGTTAGGAAGTAGGCCACACCACCAGAGGTGATCAGCGGGTGAGCAAGCGAAGCTTCATCTGTATTTACAGCCACCCCCCATCACTTGCATTACCACCTGAGCTCCACCTCCTGTCAGATTGGTGGCAGCATTAGATTCTCATAGGAGCACGAACCCTACTGTGAACTGCGCACGCGAGGGATCTAGGTTGCACGCTCCTTATGAGAATCTAATGCCTGATGATCTGTCACTGTCTCCTATTACCCCCAGATAGGACCGCCTAGTTGCAAGAAAACAAGCTCAGAGCTCCCACCGATTCTACACTATGATGAGCTATATAATTATTTCATTATATAATACAGCTTAATAATAATATAAATAAAGCGCACAATATATGTAATGTACTTGAATCATCCTGAAACCATCCCCCATCCTTGATCCATGGAAAAACTGTCTTCCATGAAACTGGTCCCTGGTAGGGAGGTGGCGGGTCAGCCCCCGCCTGGCCAGCCGCCCCGTCCGGGAGGCAGGTGGGGGTTCAGCCCCCGCCCGGCCAGCCGCCCCTTCCGGGAGGGAGGTGGGGGTTCAGCCCCCACCCGGCCAGCCGCCCCGTCCGGGAGGGAGGTGGGGGTCAGCCCCCACCCGGCCAGCCGCCCCGTCCGAGAGGGAGGTGGGGGGCGCCTCTGCCCGGCCGCCCCTTCTGGGAAGTGAGGAGCCCCTCTGCCCGGCCACCACCCCGTCTGGGAGGTGTACCCAACAGCTCATTGAGAACGGGCCATGATGACGATGGCGGTTTTGTGGAATAGAAAAGGGGGAAAGGTGGGGAAAAGATAGAGAAATCAGATTGTTACTGTGTCTGTGTAGAAAGAAGTAGACATGGGAGACTTCATTTTGTTCTGTACTGGGAGGGGTTCTTCTGCCTTGGGATGCTGTTGATCTGTGACCTTGCCCCCAGCCCTGTGCTCTCTGGGGCATGTGCGGTGTCCACTCAGGGTTAAATGGATTAAGGGCGGTGCAAGATGTGCTTTGTTAAATAGATGCTTGAAGGCAGCATGCTCGTTAAGAGTCATCATCACTCCCTAATCTCAAGTACCCAGGGACACAAACACTGTGGAAGGCCGCAGGGTCCTCTGCCTAGGAAAACCAGAGATCTTTGTTCACTTGTTTATCTGCTGACCTTCCCTCCACTATTGTCCTATGACCCTGCCAAATCCCCCTCTGTGAGAAACACCCAAGAATGATCAATAAAAAAAAAAAAAGAAAAGAAATAGCTAAACAAGCCAATAAAATATAAAGCTAGGATAACTAATCCATTTGAATAAGACAGCATAGAGCATCCAGAAATGACCCAAATACATAAAGTGGCATTTCAAATCAATGGAGAAGGGAGGGTGTCATAGTTCGCGCCTGTCATCCCAACACTTTGAGGCAAAGGTGGGAAAATTGCTTGAGGTCAGGAGTTTGAAACCCGTCTCTACAAAAATTTAAAAAATTAGCTAGGCATGATGGCACATGCCTGCAGTCCTACCTGTTAATACTTGGGAGGCTGAGGTAGGAGAATTACTTGAGCCCAGGAGCTTGAGGGTGTAGTGCACTATGATCGCACCACTGCACTCCAGCCTGGGTGATGGAGTGAGATCCTGACTCTAAAAAATAAAAAGGGGCAATGGTAGGTTATCCAGAATTGTATTGTAGTATAGGGTAGCCCACTGGAAAAAATAAATTCAAATCCCTATCTCACAAGTTTCATTGAAAGAGATTTCACACAAGCAAAGATTTAAATGTAATAAATAAATGAACCTATAAAACTATTACAAAACAAACAAACAAACAAAAAAAAGAAACTGGTCCCTGGTGCCAAAAAGGTTGGAGACTACTGGTATACAGGGCCAATTATTGACCAAAACCTTGTTATGAAGCCCATGATTGTATTTATTCAGTTCTTTCCCATGCCCTTTGTTACATGATACCAATTGTTACATGTTAGCCTAGATAACCAGGCTACAAAGAACAGTAAGCCTTGAGAATTCTATAAAGTCTTAAGGTAAAGGTTCTTACCTTTTCTCAGCCCCTACACGCACTCCTTGGTAAATCAGAGCTCCCTGATCTACTTTTCCAGGGAGATGTCATGTAGCATTTAAGAGTCAGACTCTAGGTCGGGCGTGGTGGCTCACACCTGTAATCCTAGCACTTTGGGAGGCCAAGGTGGGCAGATCGCTTCAAGTCAGGAGTTCGAGACCAGCCGGGCCAACATGGTGAAACTTCGTCTCTATTTAAAGTACAAAAATTAGCTGGGCATGGTGGCAGGCGCCTGTAATCCCAGCTACTCAAGAGGCTGAGGGAGGAGAATCCAGGAGGCGGAGTTTGCAGGGAACTGAGATCACGCCACTGCACTCCAGTCTGGGTGACAAGAGCAAAACTCCTTCTCAAAATAATAATAATAATCGAAGTTTTAATAGCAATTAGTTCTGAGTGGTAGGATAACAGGTGATTTTTGTTTCCTTTATATTTTTCATCTCCAAAGTTTTAACATGTATAACTAGGAAAAGTGTTATTTTAAGGCATTAAGCCAGAAGTAGTGTCTCACACCTGTAATCTCAACACTTTGGGAGGCCTCGGTGGGAGGACAGCTTGAGCCCAGGAGTTCAAGATGGGCCTGGGTAATGTAGTGAGACTCCATCTCTACAAAAAATTAGAAAAAAAAAATTAGTGGGGCGTGGTGGCTTGCGTCTCAGTCTCAGCTACTTGGGAGGCTGAGGTGGGATGATCTCTTGAGCCTGGGAGGTCAAGGCTGCAATAAGTCATGACTCTGCCACTGCATTCCAGGCTGGGCAACAGAGCGAGACCCTGTCTCAAAAAAATAAAAATTAAAAAAATAATGTGGTGAAAAAATATGTCCATTAGCCATGAATTCTCCCACAGAGCAAAATTAGTCAGAGCAGGGGTTGAAAGGTGAGCCTGCACATAGATATTAATAAATTGATAAATGTGTACATATGTATGTGCCCAAAAGTTTCCAACTCACAAGTAAAGGAATGTTTAAATGAGAACACTGAGTTCTCGCAGTCTGAAGAACTTGGCTTGCTGCCCACTCACTAGAGTGAGGCAGCTTATAGGAAATACCAGGCATGTCTTATCAAACAAATTAAATGAACATGCTTCTAATTGATTGTTTGCTCATGGAGACAGAGACACAACACCAAGCACTGTCTGTGGCAGTTGTCTGAATTAAGCAATTGTACCAATAAAATTAATGTTGTATTGACTCAAGGCTTTGGTTCTGCCTATGGAGTCAGGCTCAGAATTCCACTGACTTAACACACAGTATTTGTCCCTGTGAGTCTCCTTCCAGCAAGCAGAATGGCTCAATGAGTGTGCCATTACCCACAAATCAAGGAAGAACTATTTCAGGATCAAGGAAATTCAGTTATATTGTTTACATTTGGGTTTTATTTGTGCAGTTCTGAGAACAGTACCAAGGAAAGTGGTTTTCTAACATAAATCTCAATAAAACATAGTGTCTTCAAGAAGAGGTGCAGCACCCAACAGATCATTTTCAGAAATTAACATTTGGAGGCCAAGTGCAGGGGCTCACACCTGTAATCCCAGCAATTTGGGAGGCTGACGCAGGATGATTGCTTGAGCCCAGGAGTTCGAGACCAGCCTGAGCAATATAGTAAAACTCGTCTCTACAAAAACCTTACAGAATTAGCCAAGCATGGTGGCACGAACCTGTAGTCCCAGCTACTAGGGAGGCTGAGGTGGGAGGATCATTTGAGCCTGGGAGGTGGAGGTTGCAGTGAGCTGTGATCGCACCACTATACTCCAGACAGAGCAAGACTGTCTCAAAAAAAAAAAAAAAAAAAAACAAGGAAAGAAAGAAAAGAAGAAAGAGGCCGGGCACGGTGGCTCATGCTTGTAATGCCAGCACTTCGGGAGGCTGAGACGTGTGGATCATGAGGTCAGGAGTTTGAGACCAGCCTGGCCAACATGGTGAAACCCCATCTCTACTAAAAATACAAAAACTTAGCCAGGTGAGGTGGCGGGCATCTGTAATCCCAGCTACTTGGGAGGCTGAGGCAGAAGAATCGCTTGAACCCGGGAGGCAGAGGTTGCAGTGAGCCGAGATCCTACCACTGCACTCCAGCCTGGGCGACAGAGCAAGACTCCATCTCTAAAAAAAGGGAAAGAAGGAAAATAAAGAAAGAGAGAGAGAGAACTTATCATTTGGGTCTTCAGAAAAATTACCGGCCCTGGTGTTATACTCAGAATTAAATACAGTGCTCTTAGCACACTGGGCAGCACTTCCGGGATGCGATGTTGCGCTTCCAAAATCCCTTAGTGTATCTTCCCTTGTCCCTGTCCCCCAACCCCCAGCAGATTTGTAGTTTGGTAAATTACCCAGCTCAAGCCCTATCTCTGGCAGAAAGGAGTTCACTCTCTCTCTCTACTTTTCCCAGCATCATCTTTTTCTAGGTTCTGGGATCCTACAGCAGAAAACATCAAAGGGCACTTTGTGGGCTGGGCACAATGGCTCACGCCTGTAATCCCAGCACTTTGGAAGGCCGAGGTGGGTGAATTATTTAAGGTCAGGAGTTCGAGACTAGCTTGGCCAACATGGTGAAACCCCACCTCTACTAAAAATACAAAAATTAGCCGGGCGTGGTGGCACATGCCTGTAATTCCAGCTACTGGGGAGGCTGAGGCAGGAGAATCACTGGAACCCGGGAGGAAGAGGTTGCAGCGAGCTGAGACTGCACCACTACATTCAAGCCTGGGCGACAGAGCGAGACTCCATCTCAAAAAAAAAAAAAAAAAAAGGGACACTTTGAGTGTGAGGCGGAAAGCAATTCTGGTGAGTAAATATATGTCCCTCAGTTGCCTGTATTATTTCTCAAGGCATTATGAATAATAATAATTGCTGGCATTCAGGGCCAGCTTCTTGAGCGTGCTACTTGTGCACTGGAATGGGCCCCATGCTCAGAAGGACCCTGCACTTGGCTTAGTACTCTGCGATTGTCGTTTTGAATTTCTTAATAAATATTGAATGAAGGGCCTTGCATTTTCATGTTGTACTGGGCCCCTGTGATCCTGTTAACATTTTAGGGCACTTTCTATGCATCAGACTCCATTCTAAATCTTCACCCTATTAAACATGAGTGGCTGGAGTAGCACCAGACAGTGTAAATTTCCTCCATTACTTAAGGTAATTTGCAGGACTCTGTTTTCTTGCCACTGAAAGTATTTAACTGAGAGGGGCAGGGGAGACACTTGCTCAGCAAGGCCTTCCTAGGCAAACCTGTTTTAAAAATTAAAAACAAGGCCGGGGGCACAGTGGCTCACACCTGTAATTTCAGCACTTTGGAAGGCCAAGGCAGGCGGATCAATTAGGTCAGGAGTTTGAGACCAGCCTGGCCAACATGGTGAAAACCCATCTCTACTGAAAACAGAAAAATTAGCCAGGCATGGTGGCAGGAGCCTGTAGTCCCAGCTACTCGGGAGGCTGACGTAGGTGAATCGCTTGAACCCAGGAGGCGGAGGCTGCAGTAAGCCAAGATCCAGCCACTGCATTCACGCCTGGTCAACAGAGCAAGACTACATCTCAAAAAATAAAATAAAATAAAAATAAGTAAAAATCAAAAACAAGAAAAAACCTATCACATTACTGTTTCTTTCATATAACAAACCTGCATTTACTTTATTTTCTCATTGCCATCGCCCTAGAAATATAAGCTGTATGTTTTTCATTACTGAATTTCAAGCTTCTAGCACAATGTCTGACACATAACAGGGAATCAAACTTTTTTTTGTTTTGTTTTGTTTTTCACATCACCCTCCCAAAATGCTGGGATTTTGGGGCCACCTTGCCTGGCCCAACATTTTAATAAATTAAGCATGCAAATCTTGGGAAACAAAAATTTAGAATAGCTCTGCTACAGAGTGCTACAAACTATCATCACCTGTATCGAATCACTTAATTGTCTTAGATGCTGATTGACACAAAAATAATGCCTTTATGACTTTTTATTAAATAAAAGTTCATTTAATTTAACAGTACTTGAGTCCCTGCTACCTGCTTGGCACTGTGCCACACGCTGGAGGCATTCCAACTGAAGTCTCTCATCTCCAGAAGTTGACTCTTATCGAGCAGGAAATGGCTCTCAAAAGGGCCTCCAAAATCAAAACCATACTAAAGATTATTTGCTATTTTCATGCTCATTCTCTTACAAACGTGGAGTTTTCCAGAGGGTACATGATGTGTGATAAAGGGTAGTGGAGTGTGTCAAAGTTTTCTCTATTTTTTTTTTTTTTCTTTTTTGAGACGGAGTCTCACCCTGTCGCCCAGGCTGGAATGCAGTGGTGCAATCTCGGCTCACTGCAACCTCTGCCTCCCGAGTTCAAGCGATTCTTCTGCCCCAGCCTCCCAAGTAGCTGGGATTACAGGCGCGCGCCACTACGCCTGGCTAATTTTTGTATTTTTAGTAGAGATGGGGTTTCACTGTGTTGGTCAGGCTGGTCTCAAACTCTTGACCTCGTGATCTGCCCGCCTCGGCCTCCCAAAGTACAGGGAGGGATTACAGGCGTGAGCCACCGAGCCCAGCCGAAGTTTCCTCTATTTTAAGTTCTCATTAACTATTTATTAATAGGTATAACCCACACTTTTTTTAAAAAAAGCTCTTTGGAATCTTCCGTAATACACAAGAATATAAAGGCGTTCTGAGACCAAAAAGTTTGAGAACTGCTGCAATACAGGTCCGATGCATACCCAGGAAGCCGTCAGCAACAAAGAATACACTACAAATGACCACAGTCATGAACCTACAGTGTGAGGTTTGGTCCCACCCAGGTTGGGAGCCAAATGCGTGACTAAGTGGAGATGGCTAGGGTGTGGGTGAGGGGCAAAGGCAGGCTGAAAACACTGGAGAGACAGGCCCAGCTCTGCGCAAGGGCACACACCTCCTTCCTTTACACACTCAATACAAGCTGTAAATCCTTCTTTCGCAGGTCAGGGCATAACCTGGACCAAACGGGAAATTTAAGGCAAAATAAAAGCAGGACATTAACTTGGACCAACCGGGAAATTTAAGGCAGCCTCTCTGAACTAAATAGTTTAAAAATCTGTCCATTTAGTAGTAACCGCAAAGTTTGGCCTAGAGACTAAAACATCTGCTTCCTGATTTGGGGGTGGAGATGAAGTGGAGTGTAAGGTAGAAAACGGCGGGAAATGAAGACCTAAAGAAAGAAAGAACAGGCTTGGGGGAGGGTAAGAGGCACCGCAAGAAGCCAACGAATGACACCGACGCTGAGGCGCGTGCGCCAGCCCTCCGCATGCGCAGGCGGACGCCTGGTGTTCTCGCGGGAAAGAACCGTTGCGCCCGACTTTGCGCGGAGGTAGGAGGGGGAAGTGGAGGCGGGAGTGAAGTCTCGCGAGAAGAGTCGGTTGCCGTAGCAGAGCCCTCTAGCTGTGTGTGTCTGAGGCTCGGCCGCCTGAGCCGCGGACGGTTTGCTGAGCCCGTTAGTGCGCCCGGCCGAGACACGCCGCCGCCATGTCCCGCTACCTGCGTCCCCCCAACACGTCTCTGTTCGTCAGGAACGTGGCCGACGACACCAGGTAGGTACAAGGCAGGTACTCCGGGCCTAGGCGGGGAGGCCGCAGGCGCCTGGAGAGGACCCTGGTGGTGGCGGCACTGGGCCGGGGGAGGGGACGGAGTGAAGATGGCGGGTCCCGCGCCCGCTTTGGCGCCGAACTAGGCCGCGCAGCGGGCCTCAGCCGCCGCGTGGGAGCGAGGGCGGCGCCTCTGCCTTCGCCGGGCCGCGTGGCGGGGTTTTTCGGTCCCCCTCCCCCTCCGCAGTTTGCAGCCCCTTTCTCCCTGCTTCCTGCCGGCGCGAGCAGCCCCCCGCCGCGGCCTTTCCGCGACCCGACGGCCGCCCCCCATTGATTTGAAGTTCACATTCTTCGAGGTTCACGCCCCCTTGGCCCAGAGATTTTTTTTTTTCCCCAGCCAAAAAATAGTGAGATGAAATAACGGGATCGAGGGAGAGGAATGTTGCTACCATTTATCTTTGTTGTTGTTGCCGTTGTTAATATTTGGGGGTTTTAATCAGTTGGAGGTGTTTGGAGAAAGGGAGCGTTGAGATTTGGGGAGTTAGATTTTTCCAGTTAAATGTTGCGAGTAGTTTTTCTTATTTCCTGGAAATTCTGGTCACCCTTTGAAAAGGGAGGTTTGGGAAGCGTCAGTCATTAGGACGTTGACAGCTAAGTTAGATTAATTCAGACGTACCTTAAATAGGCTTTGTTCTCACCATTCCCTTGTTTCGAGTTGCCTTCAGATTATTTTGGAAGAGTTCTTACTACAAGATGAGGCTTTTTATTTCACAAATAATGAATCTACACACAGAAAATAAGTGGTTTGGGTTTTTGGTGTTTCGTGGGGGTTTTTTGCTAGCTTTGTGATTTGCTTTTGTCTTAAATTTAAGAAGGAAAGAAAGCAATAATTCTTTCCATAAATAATTCTTTCCATAATTTCTAATAGTTACGTTAGCATCTAGAGAAATTTTCTCTTTACGTCATCTTGACACTTAACTATTTAAGAAGTTCGATATTTGTGACTTTTTCAGACCATATTTATCTACTGTTAAGTGTGTAAATCTGTCGCTAAAATTGGGGAGTAAAAATAAGTGCTTGGTATTTTTCAGAGTGCTAGAGTCGATTTGATGCTGTAAAAGTAAAAAAAAAAAAAAAAACAAGGCTTATATACAACCTAATGCTGCTGTACCTTTTATGAAAAATGACGGCTGTAGATAAAAATAAGTTGTGGTCATTCCCTTGTACCATACATATGTCTGCTGTTGTCCTGTTAATGTAAACTGCATTTTTATCTTCCAAATTCTTGGATCCTAGCTTTCCTTCATCAAAAAGATATATTGCCTATACATCTTAAGGACTTGGACATAAAAATTTGAGGTCTTTTTATGATGTTTTAGGTCTGAAGACTTGCGGCGTGAATTTGGTCGTTATGGTCCTATAGTTGATGTGTATGTTCCACTTGATTTCTACACTCGCCGTCCAAGAGGATTTGCTTATGTTCAATATCCTTTCTTCAGATGGCTGATTAGTGAGGGGTGTTGAAGTTTGAAATTCAAGTTTATGTAAGTGGTAACATCTAAAAAGTAGTTCTTTTTGTCCTCTAATAAATGTCTGTCTTCAAATTTTTGAAAATTAATTCTGACTCACACATTGCTCTCGTTATTAAAGTTAATCCAAAAATGGTAAAATATATAAATTCCCATTCATGCTTCTGAAACTCATATCGATGATTATATATGTGATTTAAATTTGAATGCACTCTGGTTGCTACTACCTTTAATGTAAGTCCTTTAAAAGTTAATATGTTCTTGTGCTTAGCAATTAAAATTTGGTATTCTTGTTTGTTAATTTGAATCACTTGATCAAAAACAAATTGTATAACAATGAGGTAAACTTCTTTAATATTGTCCCCTAATTTGCTGTCCTCTGTTGTTACCTCAGAGAATGTAAAGCTGTACAGTTATGGCGACCCCAAAGAGAAAGCATGAAAGAACCTTTAGAGTAGAGTTCAACACTTAAGGCAAGTAGACAAGCCAAAGACCTCTTAAGGATCAGGCTTGAAGAGAAGGGAGAGTTTGGGAAAAGAAAAAATAAAGAAAAGCTGGAAGAAGGACAAGCCTAATGGGAGACAAAGCCTCGCTTTATCTACAAAAGGGGGAAAAGGTTGTTTTTCAAAGTTAAAGATAAAGCCATCTGTCATATTTGGCCAAGCATCTCATGACAAGTCCTTCTGACAAGCACTTAAAGAGTTAAAGGTCAAGATGAAGTTGAATGATGGCCAAGATTAAAGGAGTCATACCTGATGTATCCTACAGAATAACTATTTTTCTTTTTTTTTTTTTTAATGTTTTGTAAGCAGTTAATTTTCAAAATTATTCTGGTTTGGTCTAGTGACAAAACCTGTAACTTGATTTATGTGGGCCTTTGATGTTGTGATTGTGGTCTTGTGTAAATGCACTCTCTCTTATGAAGTTAAAGTGTAACAGGATGTATATTCTTAAGATTAAATTCAGCATATTTTGGTTTTGGACCAGGTGGTCAGATGCCACGGAGTAGCAGGCAGTGCTCTTTGGAGTAGCGTGGGGTTCTGGGGTTAAGCCACAGAGCCCTGCTTAAAGGAGAGACAGGTGCATGCACTGGGGACTACTTAGAAACAGCTCTGGTGGTCTTGTAGGGTCAGAACCACTAGAAATTTTGTTTATATATAGATTTTAAAGTGGTTGCTGGGGACACATATAAACCCTTAACTTCTTTAACTTAGCCCTGTGAAGACTGCTGGCCCTGCGCTGCTTTAGCACAATGATCAGTTGGCCCTGAATGAGTTGCAGAAGGCCTTCTCCCTGGTATAGGTACCTAACTGGGACCTATGGGAGACTGGTCCCTGACCCAGAGTTTCAGGTGACCTTACTTCCGTTCCTTTCAGTGAGATCATCTCCCTGCAACAAGGGTTTGGGTTGTGGACCTCAGACTAGGAAAAGTTCTTCCTGCTTAAATTCAGTGAGCCTCAAACTTTTAAGTTAGTGGAGTCCTAGTGAGACTTAGGGAAAAGCCAAAAACTACTCCTGCAGGGCCAGTGATCAAGGACAGTTGTGAGAATTGGTTGCAAAGCTCCATTACAGAGAAAATAATAGCTATATCTGGCTTAGTAAATAAAGGTAGCAGTGCGTTCTGGCTTACAACATAGACCTCATTTTACCTAGTGTTGGGTGGCCGAGGAATCAAGGTCAGTAGTAGTTTGATTCAAGAGTGTGTGATATTTGAGGCAAAAAAGGCTAGTAATTCAAAGCAATCTAAAGGAGAATGATAATTTTAAAATACATATTCAGTAAGTCTATGGTTTTAAAATAGTTGAAAAGAAATAAGTAACAGGCTTATGAATTTCATTTTTGAAAAGACCATAAAGTACAAATTTCTCCATGACTGACATCAGAGTGATACTCGGCTGCCTCTGCTGCTGCTGTCTCTTCTGTCTGACTCCATTCGCAATAGCCTTTTCTTCCTATCCCTGGCTTACCGAGTAAAGTAGAAACTTGCCATCAGCCCAGGATTCTGTTTTCGAGGGTAGCCCCAGAGAGGATGCTCTGTTCTCATTAATAATTTTTACAGCTCTCAATATAAATCCTTTTTATACTTATTATATTCTGTCTCTTGGGGTAACAAAGTAGTGTACCCATTAAGTGAACGTATTCCTTCTAATTAGTTTAGAGCCCAGCTGCATTAACCTTGAGGGATGTTCAGTTACAGTATTCAAGGTTCTGAACTCCCCATCAGCCTTTCCCTTTTCATGTTGAAAGCCCAGTTATTTAGAATTTGTCCTTCCATTTAATCTGTTCATAATGGCCTCGGGAAGACAGAGCTGGAAACCTGCAGTCCTTAATTCCTTTCAGAACAAAAAGTGGGAAGTCTAGTAAGGCAGACCTTTTAGTCTCTATAATAAAAAAATACCAGTATCGGTCTCAAAAAAGGAGTGTGTCACTTCAGGGATATTTTAAATCACCTCTCTAAATCTGCAGTCTTGTGTTGTCTCTCAAATTTAGGAAAAAGAAATGTGCAAACTAGAATGGGGATTTTTGGGATAGAATGAAAACCTATACCTGTACCTAACCTAGCTCTCTTTCCAAACCATTTATATCAAACACTGTCTTGAATGTGTACTTGGCCTCTGTTAAAATGATGGTTTTAGGAAAGGAGCTAGGTTTGGACAGAATAGCTATATAAAGCCAGCAGTTCTCGTAGTATTATTGCTGACATGACCAGGGAGGACAAGCAGCTTAGCTTCTCAGATCAAAAACAAGTACCAGTAGTTCCTGCTTAAGGCTGGTAAATAATATCTTGAAATTCTCAAGTTGGAAACCAGTCTCAAACCCATTTCTTTGCAAGAAGTTGTATATTTAGGGTCATGGTTAGGGCTTTCCAGTCTAGGAGTCCTTCCAGTGGTCTGTTTCTTGATAGCATGCTTTTACAGTCTGCATGGATGTAATAACGCTTTTGGTATAGTGATTGTCTTGAGTACTGCTTGACTCTGGTCTTGATGCCCACAAATGGCTAGCGTGCTTGTCTTCCCATGCAGTGGAAGGAAGACAGTTAAATGAAATAGTAGTATTAGATATATATGAAAAAGAAAACAGCAAAATAAATTTGAAGTTAATGCTTTCCTCTCTTGTAAGGTAAGGCATATACTGCTTGCTTACACAAGAACTATTGGCATTTTCTTTTTTTCGTTTGAAACAAATATGAAAAATAGTATTTTGGTTTTAAGAAATTTTTATTTTAGCATACAACATATAACTGACATTTGTTTTTTCTTTTTTGTCTTGTAAACTTAATTCTTAAAACTTAGGAAAATTTTTGGATAGGACAACTTGGTGATTCAGCTATAACAGATCTTATTTCAATAATAACTTTACTGCAATATGTATTCATACATTTTCAAATGTGTGCCTTAGGAAATCACAAGTGCTTTTATAGTGTGAAGTGTTAATGACTGAATCCAACTGAATCACCAACTAGTAAGTGGGGGTCTGGTTGATGTTCTGGAATAATATTGGGAGATTGTGAATTGTTCCAGACATACCAACTGAACTTTCATTCATTATCAAAGTTTGCAAAACTTCCCAAGCCCCTTAACATTTAGCACATTTGAGGATGTTCGTGATGCTGAAGACGCTTTACATAATTTGGACAGAAAGTGGATTTGTGGACGGCAGATTGAAATACAGTTTGCCCAGGGGGATCGAAAGAGTAAGTACCCTTATGCCTGATATGTATGAAACATTATTTTTTAGTGTTTTGAGATTTTTTTTTAAGAATTTAAGCAATTTGTGTTTCTGTTCAAAACCCAAAGGGATCTTTTTTTTCTTTCTTTCTTTCTTTTTTTTTTTTGAGACGGAGTCTCACTCTGTTGCCCAGGCTGGAATGTGTGCAGTGGTGTGATCTTGGCTCACTGCAACCACCACCTCCCGGGTTCAAATGATTCTTATGCCTCAACCTTCCGAGTAGCTGGGATTACAGGTGCATGCCACCACATCTGGCTGATTTTTGTATTTTTAGTAGAGACGGAGTTTCACCATGTTGGCCAGGCCGGTCTCGAACTCCCCACCTCAGGTGATCCACCTGCCTCAGCCTCTCAAAGTGCTGGGATTGGGATTACAGGCGTGAGCTACTGTGCCTGGCCCAAAATGATCATATTTAAGAAAATGGAGTATCTTGAATATTTCATCATGTGTTCCAGATTGTAAGTTTTGGGGTAAGTGTAAGTAGGAGGTGGAGATGAGAATGCCTGAAATATATGTGGACTCTTTTGAAAGTTGGTTATGCAGGCTTACCAGATGTTCGCTGCGTACTTACAAGGCAGGAATACAGGTTTTAGAGTCAAAAAGACCTGTGTGTGAATTCTGGCTTAGCCATTATGTTACCTTGGGCAAGATACTAATTAAGAGATTAAAATAACCGCAGGGTGCAGTGGCTCACACCTGTAATCCCAGCACTTTGGGAGGCCGAGGTGGGTGGATCACAAGGTCATGGTAAAACCCCGTCTATACTAAAAATAGAAAAAATTAGCCAGGCATGGTGGCCTGCACCTGTAGTCCCAGCTGCTGGGGAGGCTGAGGCAGGAGAATTGCTTGAACCCGGCAGGCAGAGGTTGCAGTGAGCCGAGATCATGCCACTGCACTCCAGACTGGGCAACAGAGCAAGACTGTGCCTCAAAAAAAAAAAAAAAAATAGCTGCTGAGGAGAGGAGGAGCTCTTGAGTACTCAATGCAAACTATTGGAACTCTAGTTCTTGAGTTGGGTAATAGATTCCTGGTTATGCATTGTGTTTTTTATATGTACTCCAATACATAAAGTATCTGCTTCATTGAATTGAATGAGATAAGAATTGAAGTGTACATAAGGCATTTAGGAATGCCTTATTATTCTACTTAGGGTCTTAGAACTGTAATATTACTGCATGTTGACACTGCACATTGTTCATAGGCCACCTATAAATATTTTGTTAATTGTGTTCTTAATGAATGGAATCTGTGGTGGGATCATTCCAAATCAGCATATGGTTCAGTGGTCATTTTTTTCAGCCATTTGAAAATGTAAAATATGTGGGTGTGGTAGCTCACGCCTGTAATCCCACCACTTTGGGAGGCCTAGGCGGGAGAATTGCCTGAGCCCAGGAGTTTGAGACCAGCCTGGGCAACAAAGTGAGACCCCATCTCCACAAAAAATAAAATAAAAAATTAGCCAGGCTTGATAGTGCACACCTGTGGTCCCCGCTAGGCAGGAGGATCACTTGGGCCCAGGAGGTTGAAGTTGCAGAGAGCTGTGTTTGCACAAGTGCACTCCAGCCTGGGTAGCAGCAAGACCCAATCTCAAAACAAAAAGGCACTCACTTCCATTTGGAGTTTTTAAAAATCCTTTTATGGTATGGATTCCCAGTGTCAGAACAGTTACCAGGTCTTGGCTGATAAACTAGATGGTGAGAAGACTTTGAAAATAGTTGGGGATATTAGTATTATTTTTAACATAAAACAGTCTTCTAATACACTTTCTTGAAAATAAATACGTGCCTTTTTCAAGATGAAAATTTGCAGTTACCTCAACCCAGCCTTGGCTAAATCACGTTCTGCATCTGCATCTCACACCAAAACTACAGACACCTCTAAAACAGACTCCAGGGCTGGGCACGGTGGCTCAAGCCTGTAATCCCAGCACTTTGGGAGGTCAAGGCGGGCAGGGGCAGATCACCTGAGGTCAGGAGTTCAAGTCCAGCCTGACCAACATGGAGAAACCCTGTCTGCACTAAAAATACGAAACTAGCCTGGTGTGGTGGCGCATGCTGTAATCCCAGCTACTTGGGAGGCTGAGGCAGGAGAATCGCATGAACTCAGGAGACGGAGGTTGTGGTGAGCCGAGATTGCGCCATCGCACTCCGGCCTGGGCAACAAGAGCAAAACTCCGTCTCAAAAAAAAAAGACTCCAGGCTGGGTGCGGTGGCTCACACCTGTAATCCTAGCACTTCGGGAGGCCGAGGCGGGTGGATTATTTGAGGTCAGGAATTCGAGACCAGCCTGGCCAATATGGTGAAACCCTGTCTCTACTAAAATACAAAAATTAGCCGGGTGTGGTGGCGCGTGCCTGTAATCTCAGCTCCTCAGGAGGCTGAGGCAGGAGAATGGCTTCAACTGGTGTGGGGTGGAGGTTGCAGTGAGTTGAGATTGCGCCACTGCATTCCAGCCTGGGTAACAGAGCAAGACCCTGGTCTCAAAAATTAAAATAATTAAAAAAAAAAGACACCAAAACACATACACACTTTTTTTTTTTGGAGACAGGGTCTCTGACCCCCAGGCTGGCGTGCGGTGGTGTGATCACAATTTACTGCAGCCACCAACTCATGAGCTCAAGTGATTTCCCCCCTTAGCCTCCTGGGTAGCTGGAATACATGTGCAAGCCACTAGGCCCAGCTAATTATTTTTTGTAGAAATGGCATATTGCTATGTTGCCCCAGGCTGGTCTCAAACTCCTGGGCTCAAGTGATCCTCCCACCTCAACCTCCCAAAGTAGTGGGATCACAGGTGTGAGCCACCACCCGGGTCATACATACTCTCTTTGGGATATAAGAGGGGATGCAGGGATTTTTTTCCCTATTTATTGAGGGCTTTAATACTGTTTTTAATATTTTTAAATATTTCTGTTCTTTGTATTTCCTAGCACCAAATCAGATGAAAGCCAAGGAAGGGAGGAATGTGTACAGTTCTTCACGCTATGATGATTATGACAGATACAGACGTTCTAGAAGCCGAAGTTATGAAAGGAGGAGATCAAGAAGTCGGTCTTTTGATTACAACTATAGAAGATCGTATAGTCCTAGAAAGTAAGTGTGCTGTGTAGCACAGTGATCTGTTTAAAAAATGTATTTGTTAGCATTTAATTTTTTTTTACTATTTTGTATACTTTTAATTATATACATTGAATGTTTCATTGAGACAAAAAATACTGTAGCATTTTATTTTAAAAGTTTTATGGTTTGCTTTTAATTAGAAACTTTGCCTCTATGAATAGATATTTGTCACTGCTTTTTCTGATATGCTTTTTAGCAGTAGACCGACTGGAAGACCACGGCGTAGCAGAAGCCATTCCGACAATGATAGGTAAATAACTTTGCTTTGAAAAAGACTCATGTATTTTTTAATTTCAGAGTGAACTTTTGCTCTAAAAATAACAAATTTGATTAATATAGAATCTAATTTTTACTCTAATTATATCTCTCCTCTGTTTTGAAAGATTCAAACACCGAAATCGATCTTTTTCAAGATCTAAATCCAATTCAAGATCACGGTCCAAGTCCCAGCCCAAGAAAGAAATGAAGGCTAAATCACGTTCTAGGTCTGCATCTCACACCAAAACTAGAGGCACCTCTAAAACAGATTCCAAAACACATTATAAGTCTGGCTCAAGATATGAAAAGGAATCAAGGAAAAAAGAACCACCTAGATCCAAATCTCAGTCAAGATCACAGTCTAGGTCTAGGTCAAAATCTAGATCAAGGTCTTGGACTAGTCCTAAGTCCAGTGGCCACTGATAGTATAAACCATGGTCATTTTTAGGCATGTATCATTCATTTACTCATAGTTTGGTTTACTTAAATTATCAGGAATACAATGTTGCAATGATGCTTAAAAAACACTTGTTAGTTTTCCCTGTACCAGGCAATGGTTATAATTAAAATGATATGCTGTTGAGAAGCCACTCTTAAGAGTCCAGTTTGTTTAATGTTATGGGCAGCTACCAATTTGTGGTGTCTCTGTATATTTTTGTAAAGATTCTCATTTTTTATGCTTGAAGTATTTGGTGAAAAGATGTTGGTTGACCATAATTTGCAACATTGTCTCATTAAAAATAAACTTTCATATTCATATTTGGTAGAACTGTTAACCTAGAAATGTAGCTTGCTAATAAGATAGAATGATACAAAAGTGAAGTAGTAGCCACAGTACAACACTGACTGCTCAGACACATTTAGGTTCAGGGTGGACCTTTATGTCTTGTCAAGATGTCTAGGCCCGGCTGGGCGTGGTGGCTCACACCTGTAATCCCAGCACTTTGGGAGGCCGAGGCGGGCGGATCACGAGGTCAGGAGTTCGAGACCAGCCTGACCAACACGGTGAAACCCCGTCTCTACTAAAAATACAAAAATTATCCGGGCATGGTGGCACATGCCTGTAATCTCAGCTACTCAGGAGGCTGAGGCAAGAGAATCGCTTGAACCTGGGAGGTAGAAGTTGCAGTGAGCCAAAATCACGCCACTGCACTCCAGCCTGGGCAACAGAGTGAGACTCCGTCTCAAAAAAAAAAAAAAACCGGATGTCTAGGCCAATGATAATTATTTTTGATGCAGTGTGGATTAGTTCTTTTGTTAACCCCACTGTCTTGGGGAATGATGCCAGCTGGGAAATTGAGTTTTTGACTGAAACATGGAGCCTTCACTGCTTTTTTTCTGGTTCCTATGAAGATTTGGAACATAGAAAACACAAAAACTCACCTTAAAATTTGAGCAGGTCGTTGATGGCAAAAATAATTTTAAGGAAAAAGGAATATTCTTATGTAGTTATTCTAAAGTTTAAGGAGCGTTGTTGACCATAATATTGCTTAGTTTTCTTACTGCTGTTAAGTAAGTAAATTGTTTCAAAGTAGGTTTTGTGTGTGTGTGCCTAGTGTAAAAGAACTGAAATTTTGATGCTTACAGCACTTGGCTCGTGCATTTGTATCAAAATTTGCCTGCCTCTTTATGAGGGAGGCCTGCTTTTCACACCTCAGTTTATTTAATACGAGGCAAGTTGTAAGACAACACTCATTCTAGGTGATTCTGTGGTGCCATGAAATTTAAGGTAATTTGGGGAAAAGGATTAGTCAGTTTTAAGCAAGAGTCACATCTTTTGAGCTTTCGATTATCAGTGTAGTACCTGACTAAAAATGAAGTAATACCCTTAAACCATTTATAATTTCTAGTATTTCTCTGAAAGATCGTTTTGGGGACAAAAGTGACTTGACATGTCCAATTTCATTTCAGAATAAAAAGCTAGCATCTTTAAAAATCTCAGATTGCTTGCTTACAGATACAAGTACGAATTATGGACAAACGATTCCTTTTAGAGGATTACTTTTTTCAATTTCGGTTTTAGTAATCTAGGCTTTGCCTGTAAAGAATACAACGATGGATTTTAAATACTGTTTGTGGAATGTGTTTAAAGGATTGATTCTAGAACCTTTGTATATTTGATAGTATTTCTAACTTTCATTTCTTTACTGTTTGCAGTTAATGTTCATGTTCTGCTATGCAATCGTTTATATGCACGTTTCTTTAATTTTTTTAGATTTTCCTGGATGTATAGTTTAAACAACAAAAAGTCTATTTAAAACTGTAGCAGTAGTTTACAGTTCTAGCAAAGAGGAAAGTTGTGGGGTTAAACTTTGTATTTTCTTTCTTATAGAGGCTTCTAAAAAGGTATTTTTATATGTTCTTTTTAACAAATATTGTGTACAACCTTTAAAACATCAATGTTTGGATCAAAACAAGACCCAGCTTATTTTCTGCTTGCTGTAAATTAAGCAAACATGCTATAATAAAAACAAAATGAAGGAAATAATGATTAACTGGAATTATTACAGTATTGAATATGATTCTAAAATAACAATGGAAACAGTCCTTTATAGATTTAGGAATATTTTAAATCATTGTTGCACTAGGCACAACTAACTTTTACTTTGGAAATGATAGAACTTGCCAGAAAGGTACATCTTTTACACAGTAGTTAAAAATTCATTGTGTAATATCAAAGTTGTTTCATGATTGCTCATTAAGCCTCTTGGGTTAACTAACTTAAGAGGTTATTTGGTAGTGTTAAGATGAAATTTGGATCAGCTAATTCCAAGTTTATATTTTCATTATTGGATGGATCAGTAATTCTGCTCTCCCTCTTATAAACAAGACGCATTAGGGCTTAACGTTTATGACATGATTTTAAATCATTTTAAATTGAATGTTGATGAGCAACTAATATTAAGTGATAACCTCTTTGGGGAAGTAGGTTAGGTATTTTGTGGTTTGAATTCTATCTACTTTATGACAATTATAGCTAATTTATTAAGTATTCATGATGTGCCAGACACTTGAAAAGGCTATGTGTTAACTCACTCTTCACAAAACCTTATGAGAAAGATACTTTTATTTTCCCCATATCACAGATAAGGAAACTGAGGCACAAAGAAAAGACTGTAAGGCAGAGCCAGGATTTAAGCCCAGGCCTGGTCCCTTAGTTTTGGGGGGGTTTTGTTTGTTTTACAGACTATAATTTGAGAGAAGTAGATTGAGGAGATAGCTCATTGAAATTGTTCATTTTCTGTATAGAACTAGAAGGCCTAATTTCATTTTTATTTTTACTTGTGTCAACTTATTTTTAGACTTGGACTATTGAGAATCTTATATGTTGTTCCTAAAGCGACACACCTAACAGCTTCAAAAGGACTATATTACAGTTGAACCCATGGTAGTTTGGATCCTACTGATACTTGATGAGGATCTTTACGTAGTGTTTTATGTTAGTTTTGGGTGATGTAGTTGAGTCCCCCACTTACTGAGTTTACCTACTGTGTATGACTGGGCTCAATGATAAATAGAATGGTTATATCAACACTCAAATGAGGGCTGACACACTTCACCTCTCCTTTTACTTAAGATCTCTCTGCATTTTTTTTTTTTTTTTGAAGCCAAGTAAGCAAGAAGAAAAATGAGAGATAATGCTTCAGTGAGAGAGGAAAGGTGCTACATAGAGTATGAGCTGTTAAGTTACATCCCAGGGGAAAGACCTGGGAACTATTGTATTATTCTCTTGAAAATTTGGCCCAGTAAGCTGCTACATCCAGTTCAACTAACAAAATCCTGTATACCACAGAGAAGAATAAAGGAAACCAAACTGACAAACATCCTTCTTTTATTTAAGACCAAACTGCAGCTGGAATACCCAGTACAGTTCTGCTTACTACACTTCAAGAAAGATCTGAAAGCGGAAAAAGAACCAAAGAAGGGCAGTTCAAGCGACCAAAGGGTGGGTGGAAGGTGCTGCAGTATGAATACTGTACGAATATTTTGACTCTGGTCTGAAAAGATAAAAGAATGTTATCGAAAACTACATGGAATAATTGAAGTCCCTTCAAGTTTGAAAGTAAGCATTTTAGGACAAATAAAAGGAAATTCAACTTTGTACTTGTGGAAACTAATCCCTAAATATGAATAGGTTTATATTGATTCATGGGTAACAGGTCCATAATAAATTATTGGAAACTAGGATGTCTGAATATCAAGGAAGACAGCCATAGTCTCTTACAGTGCCTCTGTTGGTCTGTCTCAAACTGAATTGGGTGGGAAAAGGTATGGTCCAATATAAAAGTTCCATTTTTGCCATTATTGGCAAATCTTGCCTTTGTTTATTTTGGTGCCAGTGTTTTCTGCTTAATCATTTGCTTTGTTGGCATCTGTGTTTATTTACTTGTACACCACATGCAGTTTACATCTGTCTTAACTACTCCTTCCCAGGTAAATTCCAATTATATTTGACATCCAGCTAAGAGGGCCCATCTCTTCTCACCTCTTTCCTAGTCAGTATATTCAGCAAATATTTATTGAGCCCTTACTGTGGGCAAATCATTGTACTGGATAATTGAGAAAAATAGATAATTCCCTTATTCAGTAAATGTCTACTGAGCACAATCTAGTGAATCATTACAGTATGGCCTCATTGTTTTGTTTGAGGTGTGTTATTCATAACAATATTTTACACCATTCGTATCAATGTAATTATAGAACACAATATACGATCAAGGATAAGTAATTGTGTGGTTATCTGCCATTTAAAAGTATCCAGTATTTGATCACATTATTATAAATAATGAAAAAATGATTTAATCTGTAATAAACTGGTTTATTGTGCAGTGACTGTAATATACTAGAGTTATAATAAATTGTTTACTCTGCCTCACCAAACACATGCTAGGATATAACCCCCAAAATAAGTATTTAACTTTGCATTAGGTATAAAGGAGACTGGGTGCTATAATTAGATTATTTTGAGGCAGACAGAGAGCTGTTATCCTAACTGATTTAGTATGTTCTGTAATTGAGAAAATGTTCACCAAATTATACTTTTTAGTGATTTACATGTACATTTTATAGGGGACATGTTCTGTGTATAGCGAATAAATAACTTTTATAGTATCACAAAATGTTTTGGATTCCTTAGTTTCTTATTAGGATATGATGTTTCTTTACCTATACATTGATTTCATCACATTTGATTTTTGTCATCTTTTTTGCCACATACTTAAAATTTTCCATATAAAATTAACTAAAAATCTGGAAGTGGAATTTAAGCTTTTAATTTGTAGCAATTTTGAAAATATAGCAGAGGTATATTTTCAAGGGAGGTGTGAAATGGAGGTATTATTGTTTGTATTTTATTTTAGAAATTTTGTTTGAACTTGCCCAAGATCACACAGCAAGTGTCAGATCCTAGGTTACAGCCCATAATTTTTCACTTGTTTCATCTTTTGTTACCATGTTTGTTGTTTAATCCAATGGGGAAGTGTTTTTATAGCTTTATTTTCATGGAGATAGTAACATTGATATAATGGGATCTAGAATTTACTTAGAGTCAAAGTGACTAGATTTAATTACAAAAAGTATTTTGTTGTATACCGTTATACACTCATTAACATAGGGGTTCTTATGGACAGAGGTTCTATGTATTTTTAAAAGAATATGTAGAGGCTATAGACTTTTTTGCCCTCTACCTCCCTTCTCCATTTCCTTTTGAAGTTAAGACATTTAAGGGGGAGAATTAAGGTGCATATTGAGTTGGGGTTTTGTTTAAAAAAAATTAGGTAAATACATATATAACTACAATAACAACAGTTGGTAGTTCTCTAAAATATTTAATTATGGTAAATCAGAAAAGGCCCTTTAATTTTTGCATCTGTTGAATGAATTGCTTTAGGATCTCTTCTGTGGTTGTTTCTCTCTATACTGAATGCTGTCAATATTATTGAGCACTTACTGTGCCGAACCATGTGCTTTTCAAATATTTCTATTTAATCCTAAAAACACTCCTGGGAAATGGGTATTATTCCCATTTTACAGATGAGAAAATTGTCCTTTGTAGAATACCCATCATGTGATAGCTTCTTGCATATTATGCTATTCATTTCTCACAACCTTACAAGGTAAATGGATAATGTTCCTGGATGAGAGATTAAACGTACTCGAAGATCTTATGGTTGTGTGGCTCAGAGACTCTAAGCATGGCTTTCCAAATCTCATTCTCTTGTAGAGATTTTCCATTGTATTGCATTTTGACCATGTTCCTGTTTACAAAACCTAAGATTATATTCTGAAGTATCTGTGACTTGAGTGATAGCTCAGGAATAATCTGAGGGCATTCTATTAGGAAGGAGGACTAGCAAAGCCTATAGTTAGCCTATCCTAGGCATGAACTATTCTCATTTTAGATAGGATGACTTGATAAATAGGATGAAGTGAGCAACCTGTTTGTCTTCGGTTATTGCTATCTACAAGACATTCTGCTAGTCACTGTGGAAAAGTTTCCTTCTCTTGGGTTTTTTCCTCTTCCCCTTCCTCTTAACAGTGTTGGTTATCTTTATTATGTTTCTGTGTATTTGTAACAGCTGTTTCACCCTTGTATTGCATAATGGGGATTTTTCTTGGAATAAAAAGTGAGGCATGTAAATTCATTGAGAACTAACCGTAGTTTGTAAAGAAGTAAAAGGCCTTTGTATCTAGTTTTTTGCAGATCACATTTCTTTGAATGCTGGAAAGTGAAATAAACTGGTCTAGGAGCCAAAAATAAATCTTGGGTTTTTTTAAGATTTTGCTCTTAGATTTGTAACCACCTGGGTACAACTTTTTCCTAATTTGTGTAAGAGGTTTTAGAGATGCACTCTGTCCCTCTTGCTTTACAAATTGCCTACAAGAATGCAACCAAAATACTAGAAACTGAAACTTACACAAAACCTTTCAGGTTTTTTCCTGTGTTGTAGTTCTAGGGAAGAGGATAGTTTATTAGTATTTATTTTAAGCTTAAGGATAGGTTTTGGACCTGGATTCCATCATAGTATAACTGCCATCGAAAAGAAGACAAATTGAAATTACAGCATTTACCTAAGGTTCACAGTATGGCTGACTTCAGCAGCCTTACATGGTAAGTTCTCTGTACCAGCTATTTTTGGTTCTCGCAATTGCATCGACTTGGGAAATTCCTATCACCATTCTCTATATAGGCTAACCAAAACTTTTATCAGTACCTTTCCTAAAGTATGAAGTTAGGTAATCTTCCACTCCCACTTCCATTTACTCATTTTGCTTGAGTCAAACCAAAAATCTAGTGTATTACTAGATTAGTCACTAAAAATCTAGTGTATTCAATATATACACTAGATTCAATATATAGCTTAAAAACTAACAGACACCTAGGCTGAGATTTGTCCAATACATGAAGTTCAATTCTGCAATCCTTGGCATTGTTCACAGAAATTACCCTGGAAACAAAATGAACACCCAAATGCTGGTTCTGCCTTAACTCCAAATTGTTAACTAGTTTGCATGAAAATAATACAGCTTTGCCATGGGACTAGTTGTAGCATTTTAAGGATTACTCAAACTAGTTTTAAGATGCCCTATCATTTGGAATCTGTATCAGAAAGGTGTGGTTGTGATGCTTTTCTTCTGAGGGGTCCCCTTATATACTTTTCATTTGTCAACATACTTAAAACACAAGGGTTCTTGTCAACTTGATAAATTTGCTTATAATTTTTTTTCTATGAACCTAGATCATGGAATTAACTTTCAAAAGCTTTGCGATGTTTTCCATGTGTGGCCTTTTTTTTGCTTTTTAATTAACACTACTGGGAGAGAGAAATCCTAAGTAGTTGCTTAACTGCATAGCTGTCAAATCCTAGTATCTTCTGTATCAGTCAGCAAACTAGTTGCCCCTTTTCAAGCCAACAGTCCTATCACATTTTAGTTGTGACCTTTTTTATATATACGTATATATATATGATCAGAAATGTAGTGGTTCATAGTTCTGGAGTCTGAGAAATCCAAGAGTTTGGAATATTGTGAGTGTATTATGAGCTTCAAGTCAGTGACAAGTAAAACACATTTTTAAAAAGAATATTAAGCAATCAAAACCATTTTTAAAATAAAACCAAGCCAATGGGGAAAAATTTTATTTAATTTTATGCTTCACATTCATATCATGTACATTAAGTACTACATAAACTTGTCTTTAGGCTATCAATATTTAACTTGGGCAGTACTTCATCTTGATTTATTTGGAGAAATACAGCTTAGGCATCTGCTTACCTGCTTAGGCATCAAGAGGTGCCAAATTAGAAAATAGGGCATTAACAATCAAAATTTTTAAGCTGACCCACATACTTGCTACTGGTTTCGCTTATGTTTAAGCATTTAAAGTTGGCAAAACATGTTATCAATGTATTATGCAAGAGTTTACATCTTTTGCATAAGTGGTCCATTGGGTTGCACCTACCCCTTGACCAAACAAAAACAAAACATCACTGGCACCATACTCGAAACTACCTGTATCCTAGGTTATAAGATTGTGAAAGCCAACAATCTATAAGGTTGGAGGGACTCTAGTTAATCTTTGGGCTTAGAGGAGGAAAAAAAGATAGTCCCATACTGCATTTCACATCTCTTAAAAATAGTTTTAGCAGCTTAAACCTTTTTAGTTATAAAACTTATTACACTAGGGTTTACTTTGAAATATAGTTTACAACCAAATCAAGTATAACATACATACACTGGCACTTTAGCACAAGGGCAAACTTTAAAAACAAGTTATTTTGGACCTTTAAAATTAGGCCATATTATAAAAAACAGTCCACGGTCTTACATTCAGCAAATTCATACTAAAATACTCCATTTTTGTAAGATAAAGGCCAAGAAAACTTTACATATGCTACAAGTTTATTACAGATATTTACATGGCTCTTTCTCCCCTAGGTACTTAAAATTTTCACATTATCCAACTCCCCAAAGCAAGCTTTGCAGGAATGATGAGGCCAGAGCACTATTAGAATAGCTTGTGCAGTGCTGTAATACAAAAATGTATTTTGAAAGCTATTGAGTGACCATTAAATACTGTTTCTATAAAAAATGGTTTTGGTGTATTTGTTGACAGACACTTAATCCACTACATTTAATAAACAGGGCCATTGGGGTGTACTATGTCTCATTCTAATGAGCTCCAAATGCCCTTTCCACCCACTGTACAATTCACTAAAATGCAATTATTACGAAAAATTCACATTTTCTTTCAGCAGTGCATCAGGTTAGCATATTACTGGTTTGGGTGTTTCTAATATACTAAACCTTCAGATGTTTACCTAATTCTGAATCCTTGTGTTAGCTAGAAGCTTATAATCCGATTCACCAACTTTCAACAATCTACTGGTCCATGAATGATAAATTACTGTCTTCCCCTAACAATAGAAAAAGCTGATTCCTTTACCACTCCCCAAATCTAAACTTGGTTTCCACTTAAAAGTTACTCAGTTGAGAACACTTAATATCAAGTACAATCATTAGTTTAAGTTGCACTGATACTACCATTATATCACAGTGCACACAACACGAGATGGTCTATTTTTTTTACATTAATTAGTTCTACACAAATAGATTCCCTAGCGAATTTGTTTCAGACCAATTGACAACTATCCGTGAACATAACTAAATTTAAACATTTGTCTTATTTTATACCTGTACTTTAAGTAAGGTTTTAAGTTGAAATGTCATTATTTCCTTATCTGAAGGATTAAAGGAAACAGGGACCCAGTGGCTTGGTGGTTTGGGAAGAACACTTGGTGATGGCGGCTCACTAAATTTGGCACCAGCATAGTTCTGATTAGCTTGAGATTTAAAAAGTAACCTGGGACCTGATAAGCTAGAATTCCAACTTTGATTATTTGGAAAATTTTTGTTCTTCCCCCCATTTTGCATGGCCTGCCAGGCAGCTGCTGATGAGTTATAACCATGTCCTCTTTCTTTTTTCTTATGAACAATCTTCATCTGGGAATTCTGTTCCTTGGTCTTCTGTCTGTTAAGCTGTTGTTGGTTCTTACTAACATTTCTAGATTGAGGGGCTGGAATGTTATACCTCTCTCCACCACCCATCTTCAGCTTCTTTGTCACCTACAAGTGAATGGAAACAAATATTGAGTAAAATTCCATTAAGAAAAGTTCAAAATCTTTAAGAAGCTTCTATGGCTCCAACTTATAACTCCAGATATTTTGGACAAGACTCAATAACAGGCTATTCAGCTGCTTTAAACTCAAAAAAGCAAGCCGTTCAGACTTCAATATATGCACAACCTTTATTGTTATACCTTCCCTAAGAAAAATGAGCTTACCCACAAATCTACATAATCTATTTTAAAATAAAAACAATTGGTTTAGGATGGTTCCATCATAAAATGTTTGCCCATTATGATGATTACCTTTCAGTCTGCTTTTCAGATTGCAGGATCTCCACTACCTGTCCTCTTCCTTGCTGCCAAGCCCAAGATAACAAGTGTTGCTTTCTGACAGATCCCTTCCTTTGTCTCAATACAGAAGTTTTCATGGGCCGATCTGCTGAGTTCAGCCTAGGAGCTGAGGCCAACATCTGAGTCTCCTCAGCACACAAGTTTGAGAGAAGTCCTAGCTAGAAAAGTAAAGATTACTTCATTATTTCAAAAACACGTTGAGAAAGTGATCATTTAGATTTACTACGAAAATCGTTGACTGTAAAGAAGGCTACTTCCTGAACTAAAAGGTAGAAAATTTCTCGTAAGATGGCTTTCTTTGACCTTATAACCACGACCATTTAAAAAAACTCTTCACCCTTGAGATCCAGTCACTCCTGGGGAATTTTTGTAAGTGTCTCCAAGTCCCGCAATAAGTTTTATCTTTATCTTTTTCCTGGGAAAGACCTTCAGATTCTCTCGCGTATAAAATCAAGGAAGTGTTAAATGTTGAGTCATATCAAAAAATTGGCTTCAGGCGGATTTTCTAAAGAGACCGTGTTTTTAAACTCCCACCAGAATTTTCCAATCTTTCCACACATGTCACATCCATTTTCAGTCTCTTGGAACATGTAGACATCACGCAGTGTTTCCTTTGGTTATGAACGCTCTCGCCTCCTCCCCGTCTTAAAATAAGTTCTCACAAGCCCTAACAGTCTAAGCCCATCTTAAATATATAAAAATGTCTCCCTAGAGGGAACAGCTTAACTTTCAAGGTTTGGTTTTAATTTGATGTTCCAAGAAAATAAGTTACCAAATAGTTAAGCCCCCTCCTTTCAAAGGGGTAAGAGAGCTTTCCAAACAGATAAACAACCCTAAATAAATTGCCATTTCCGGACTGTGAGTAATTCCCAACTCGAACCCGGAAAACGCCTCCTCCGACGCCACAAGGGCTTGGCTTCCCAGTGGCCCCATCTCTCCGGAGCCGCAGGGGTCGCGGCGCTGCGACCGCCCGTGACCGCCCGCGCCCGCCCGGGTTACCCGGATCTCGCCTCCGCTCGCCTCCTTCCTCCAACAATGGGGAGCGCGGCCACCAACATGGCCGCGCCCTTAGCGCAGCCGCTACTTACTGACTTCAAGCTCGGAACTAACGCGGCAGCGGCTCCCTCTCGACGTCGAAGCCTCCCTCCCTTTCCAGGGAGAGACGAGGCACGGACCGACAAAGCCCACGAACACCGATGAGCGAGCTGCCGGCCACCCCAGCTTCTACAACCCGACCTTCTCCTTCTGCCTCTACCGACAAAATGGAGTCGGCAGCGACTGCAGAAGCAGGGCCGGGAGGCTCCGCGGCCAATCAAAACACGACAGCGCGGGCCTGGCCAATGAGAAGCGGGCCGCCGCCTGTTGCTGGGGCTGGCCGGGGGCGAAGGCGCGGAGGTGGGGCTGCAGAGGGTTTGAAATCTGCCCGGGGAGGAGGAGCATGCCGGGAGTAACTGCTCGGTCCACCGGTGTCTTAGTCCTTTCTCCGGCGGCCTCTCCGCGCCCCTGGCCCGCCGAGGCCCCGGCCGCTAGCTCTCGGCTCTTCCTACCGCTCGGCTCTCGTGCGCGCGGGCTCGCCGCCCTTGGGACTGCCCTGGGGGAAAAGACTGACCGGCGGGGGACGTTTGGTTCTCGAATTAGGGCCACTGAGTCCTGTAGCCTGTATTGACAGATGGAAGATACTCCGGAAAGCCTCTTGCCAGGGCGCAGCCCCCTCCCGCCTCGGGCCTCGGCTTCTGGGTCGCCTCTCTCCCACACCCACAACTCCGCGTCCGAAGCCGGCGCCTCCCCGCGGTTCCCTCCAGTGCCCCCACCCTCCAGCCCCGCAATTACTCAAAAGTTGCCTCCCTGTGAAGGCGGTTCAGACACACGCGGGCAAGTCAGTCACTTCCTGCTTGGTGGCCCCATTGGTCCTTAAGTTCAATTAGAGCCCTTTACGCGCCGTGTTACCGTTTCCTGTGGCTGCAGCTCTCCCCACCCACACACCCTCGAGGGCCACAACCGGTTAGGTTTTGTTTCTCTGAGCACAGCGCCTTCGCGCGTTGTAAGTGCACAGTAAGTTTGCTGAAAGAATGAGGACTGCTCTCCTCCCCTTTCTGCCCCACTTGTAAGTGAAAAAGGGGAAGAAAGAGAATATTGTTCAGTTGATTATGCCAGCCAGATGCAGGTAAGGGGAAAATGGCAATTTCTTTGGAGTAAATGTATAAGTAACCCAATGTGAATCTTTTAAAAGAGCACTAATTTCAATGAGCGTGAATAATTCTGGGCCAAACGGTACAAAATCAGTCTCATTCACAGTTTGTTCGTGTATACACATATATACCCAAGTTTACGTTACAGAATTTATATTTACCAACTTTTTATAAATCTCATGTAATTCGTTATTTTTGAGACGGAGTCTCCTTCTGTCGCCCAGGCTGGAGTGCAGTGGCACAATCTCGGCTCACTGCAACCTCCGCCTCCTGGGCTCAAGCGATTCTCCTGCCTCAGCCTCCTGAGTAGTTGGGATTACAGGCGCCTGCCACCACACCCTCCTAATTTTTGTATTTTTAGTAGAGACAGGATTTCATCATGTTGGCCAGGCTGGTCTCAAACTCCTAACCTCACGTGATCCGCCCGTCTCAGCCACTCAAAGTGCTGGGATTACAGGCGTGAGCCACCACACCCGGCCTGTATTTCGTTTTTTAATCTTCAATTTTTTGCCACCGTTATCCCCCACTTCCCAATCCAACCCAAATTCCTATATTCTAGCCATTGGATCTTAAGAAAAGTTACTGCATCTTACGGGATGCAGTTTGTTAATCTAATTTGATAAAAGAGGTATTTTTGAGCATAGGGACTTTCTGATGCTAATCATATTCAAATAAGAAGTATGTGGTAAACCAACAGGTGTCTTAGTGAAAGTGTAATCTGTTTTCCAAACATTCAAGAAGTTTGCTTAGACGTCTAGCCAGATAATAGCCAGCTGTATTTAATGAATTTTTAATGGTGTCACTTTAAAAAACAAAAAACAAACAAAAAAACACTTCCGTGGCTCCAAATTGTGATACGGAATAAAATCTAAACTCTAAACGTTTAGAAAATTATTCAAAGCCATTGCAGTCTAGAGTTAGTCTTTTCATGGCAGGGCATGGCTCACACCTGTAATCTCAGCAATTTGGGAGGCCGAGGCAGGAGGATCACTTGAGCGCGGGAGTTTGAGACCAGCCTGGGCAACATGGCAAAACCCCATCTCTACAAATAACAATTAGCTGGGCATGGTGGCACACGCCTGTAGTCCCAGCTACCTGAGAGACTAAGGTGGGAGAATCACCCGAGCCCAGGAAGTAGAGGCTGCAGTGAGCTGCGATCACAACACTGCACTCCTGGGTGAGAGTAAGACACTGTCTCAAAAAAAAAAAAAAAAAATTCATCTCTTCAGCCACTCTGAATTTTATCTGCATAAACGCACACATAACATTGGAAATGTATAAACCCACACAGAGTATCCTTACTCTGCCCCCTACCCTGTGCTAAATTTTTTTTTCTTACATCATTTCATTTAATCCTCACAATAATGTTGTGAGGTAGGAGCTGTTTTCATCCGCACTGTACAGATGAAGGCTCAGACGGTTTCGAGTTGAAAGCCAGGTACTAGGATTCAAGAGGCCAGGCTGCAGGTTGCCTGCAGCATCTGTGCTCTCCAGCACCTAAAAGGTTTTTTGCTCAGAGCAGACACTGACTGTTGACTGGGCTGCCGGGGCTGTTCGGGCAACAAGAAGCCTCCATCCTACCATCTGGCAGAACCAGTTTCTTTGCCAGAAGGTCAGAGTCGAGATGCCCTTGGGGAAAGCACTGTTAAAGCTTTTACTGCGTCCCAGACTCCCAGCACCCTCTCAGGCTAGCTCCAGCCTCATCATTCATTAGTATTTACCAAGTGCCCGCAACAGCTCAGAACTAGAGAGGAGAAGTTAAAATAATACCTTTTTTGGGACATCTGATACAGCCTCTGCCAGAACCATATGGTCTTTAAACTCAGCTCCACCAGCACAATCCTATTAGCAGTTCTCAATTCAAATAGGAAAATGTTGATGCCGACAAACAGCTCTCAGGATACAGCTCACCTAAACTGGAAGCCAAATGCATAATAAATACATGGATGTTTAATACAAAATATTTAGCAAAGATTTATCTGGTGCCTACTTTGTGCCAGGCACTATGCCACGCTCTGGGGATACAGCAGTGAAGGAGGCTCCATCCTGGCCCTAAAGGAACCCAAAAGCTGTTTCCTTTACAATTTACCAGAGAGGGAAACTAGTGTCTGGGAAGATTTATTCCCTCCCTTCTTCCCCTGAGAGTCAAGGACAGGCAAGGCCAAAATCAGCCTGCTAACCTCACTCAGGAGGTGCAGGTAACAAACATTGTTACTGGACCCTGCAAATAAAGTAGAAAAGGAGGGGGACTCTCACAACTTGCTGAAATTTTTTCACTGGAGGATCTGTTTTGAGCTATGTATCAGTGGCAACCAAAATCAATGAAATCATTAGGAAAACATTATCTACCTAATCTGTAAGTAGAGGTGGAGCAAAAAGCAAGTGTTTCTGGGCCGGGCACAGTGGCTCACGCCTGTAGTCCCAACACTTTGGGAGGCCGAGGTGGGCAGATCACGTGAGGTCAGGAGTTCGAGACCAGCCTGGCTAACTTGGTGAAACACTGTTTCTACTAAAAATACAAAAAATTAGCTGGACGTGTGGCGCATGCCTGTAATCCCAGCTACTTGGGAGGCTGAGGCAGGAGAATCGCTTGACCCCGGGAGGCAGAGGTTGCAGTGAGCCGAGATCGCGCCATTGCACTCCAGTTTGGGCAACAACAGCAGAACTCTGTCTCAAAAAAAAAAAAAAGAAAGTGTTTCTGAAAGCCCAGCTTTGGGGGAGAGACAGGTTGTAGGCTGAGGCATACAACTGCACCAGTGCCGGGGTAGTTGGAGAAATCACCCAGGTTTGCCATGGCTTTGGAATAAGTATATAGTAGAATCGACTGGCCTTCAGGCTGAGTCTCAGTTTCTTCATCTGTAGAATGGCAATCCTCCCTGTCTTGTAGAGCTCATGGTAGGAGCCAATGAAATAATAAATGTAAAAGCACTTTTATGATGTAGATTTAGAATACACCTGTAATTCCAACACTTTGGGAGGCAGAGGCGGGAGGATCACTTGAGCCCAGGAGTTCAGGACCAGCCTGGGCAACATGGTGAAACCCCATCTCTACAAAAATTACAGAAATTAGCTGGGAGTGGGAGGTGGTGTGCCCCTGTGGTCCCAGCTACTTGAGAGGCGGAAGTGGGAGAATTCCTTGAGCCCAGGATGTCGAGACTGCAGTGAGCCATGATCACACCACTATACTCCAGCCTGGGCAACAGAGCAAGACCCTGTCTCAAAAATAAACAGAACATGCTAAAAACGTTAGGTACTTTAATATTATCCCCCAACTCCACCCCCGCCCTAGCGAGTCCATTTCAAAACAAAAGCTGGTTTGGTTCTTTTTCTTCTTTAAGCTCATATATGAAATCAGATGGTCAACTTTGAATGTTTTTGCAGGTCTGTCCGCTCAGGGCTTAATTCAGTTTGAAGAAGCAAGCAAATTCTTAGAACCTGCCAGAAGAGTGAAATGGAACACCTGCCCACTGTTTCGATGTGCCTCAGAGCTCTGATCTTGTTGCCAAACTGATTGCAAAACACACACCCCTCCCCACACCATGAATTCATTTCCTGGGGAAGCATCTGCTGCCTCCCTGCTTGCTCAGACATTCCTGAGAAGTGTCAAATCTGTTCTTAACCATTGCAGCCATTTTGGTCTAATTACTAAACGGGGCACAGGAAGTCAATGATGAACTCCCACGCCTCCTGTCGACGCTGATCCAGGGGTCCAACCTTCAAGACCCTTAAAGGATTCTGATGCCCAGACCCCATCCCAGAATCAGAATCTTTGAGCACGGGGCTGCGGCTATTCCAATCCAGTTGATTCCAATGTCTCACTCCAGTTGAGAATCACTGCTTTCAGTTTTGCTAAGGGCAATCCCCTGGTGTGGAGGCATGTTTATGAAGGAGACCCCCTTTGTCCTATGTAATTCTCAAAGTTGGTGATAACACCAAATAACCCCAACAAGTCAGAAACTAGCTCCGGAACACCCAGAGTTGTTTAGATTAGCTTTTAAAAGTGATTTTCACACAGGTGGACTCCCAAGCTCGGCCATGGGGTTCCTTGCTAGTTTGTTGATCCCAGCCGTCTAATTCTTGGCCCATTCCAGAGTTTTGGCCTCAGTCCCCAGGCCAAAGCTGAACGGAGAGACGGGCAGCGATCTCTCCAATGGCTGAACGGAGAGATGGGCAGCGATCTTGAGAGGAATTTATGAAACAGGCTGAGACTGCTACCTGCATTGATAGGAAGAGGAAATCTGGAACACACCGTGCTCACTCCCCCCAAAATAATGGTATATCGGAGCCATCTATTTACATGTAAGACCATAACAATGCCTGTCCCCCAACTATTCACACCTGTGGCATGAGGAAGAGACACACCATCCCCAGCTCAGAAATAATGGGAGGCTCTAAAGAGAATCAAAGGAGACATGAAACCACTGAAGCTCCCACACAGTGTTTGGTTGACAGTATTCTCTGGATTCCTGTAAAACATGCTTGCTTTATCACTTTCTACGTTTTATTTGTGTTTGTTTGTGTTTTTTTGTTTTTTTTTTTTGAGATGGAGTCTTGTTCTGTCACCCAAGCTGGAGTGCAGTGGCGCAATCTCGGCTCACTGCAACCTCTGCCTCCTGGGTTCAAGCGATTCTCCTGCCTCAGCCTCCCGAGTAGCTGGGATTACAGACGCCTGCCATTACACCCTGCTAATTTTTATTTATTTATTTATTTATTTATTTATTTTGAGACAGAGTCTCACTCTGTGGCCCAGGCTGGAGTGCAGTGGCACAATCTCAGCTCATCCACCTCTCAGACTCAAGCGATTCTCCTGCCTCAGCCTCCCAAGTAGCTGGGATTACAGGTGTGTACCACCACGCCTGGCTAACTTTTTAGATTTTTGGTAGAGACAGGGTTTTACCACGCTGGCCAGGCTGGTCTTGAACTCCTGACCTCAAGTGATCCGCCTGCCTCAGCCTCCCAAAGTGCTGGGATTACAGGCATGAGCCACTGTGCCTGGCCTAATTTTTGTATTTTTAATAGAGATGGGGTTTCACCATGTTGGCCAGGCTGGTCTTGAACTCCTAACTTCAAGTGATCCGCCTGCCTTGGCCTCCCAAAGTGCTGGGATTGCAGGCGTGAGCCACCGCACCCGGTCCTGTCAGCATTTTCACAGGTGAAAAACTGAGGCTCAGCGCCACCGCGCCCCGCCTCTACTTTGTATTTTAATAGCCCCTAGCATTTTTAACATCTTCTACACATCTTTTTAACATATTCTAAATCTACGTCATCCAAGTGCTTTCGCTTTATTTCATTCAATCCTACCATGAGCTTTATAAGGTAGGCACAGTTGCTGCTCTAAAGATAAAGAAACTGAGGTTGAGAGAGACTCGTTCACCTCTGCAACAAAGGTCTTGTATTTTAAACATTTTCTTTGGAGTTTTGTCTCATTAATAACACATTAACTATAGAAAAGGCAGATAAAAAATAAGTAGAATTCACTCAACATCTCACTTCCCAGAAGTAAGCATTGTGAACGCTTGGAAAGTATGTCCTTCCAGTCTTTTTTCTATACCAGGAGACAGTGTGAGTCGTGGTGGGGGCATAGACACCAAAACCTGCTCAGCATCACACCTTAGCTCTGTGGCTTTCTAGCATATGACTGACTTTGGCAGGTTGTTTAACTTCTCCGTGCTGTAGTTTCCCCATCTGTGAACTGGGGATAATAACAATACCTAACATTTGTGTAATGATTAAGTAAGTCAACATCTCTGCAGTACTTAGAACAGTGCCTGCCACATAGAAAGCCCTTAGTTACTGAGCTTTTTTTTTCCTTTTTACAAAGATGAAAAGTGGTATATATTCTATTGTTACCTTTTTTCACTTTTTTTTTTTTTTTTTTTTTTTTTTTGAGGCAGAGTCTAGCTCTGTTGCCCAGACTGGAGTACAGTGGCATGATCTCAACTCACTGCAACCTCCACTTCTCAGGTTCAAGTGATTGTCCTGCCTCAGCCTCCTGAGTAGCTAGGATTACAGGCATGTGCCACCACGCCCAGCTAATTTTTGTATTTTTAGTAGAGACGACGTTTCTCCATATTGGCCAGGCTGGTCTTGAACGCCTGGGCCTCATGTGATCCACCCACCTTGGCCTCCCAAAGTGCTGGGATTACAGGTGTGAGCCACCACGCCCGCCCCTTTTTTCACTTTTTAAACTCAGGATATTGTGAGCATGTTTCCATGTATATATACATTCATTGTTAGCCATATTTTATGTTATGACCATCTTTGATTAATTTACTATTCTCCACTGTTATTTCCAATTTTTTGCTATTATATGCTGAGTTGGATGTCCCTATAAATAAATCTTCATTTCTGTAAATAAATTTCCTTTAAATAAATTCTTAGGGGTGAAAGTACTAGGTCACAAGGTAAATATACAGGTAAGACTTTTGATACATATTACCAAATACTTTCCAGAAATTATGTATCCGTGTATGCCCCCACCATCAGGCTAAAAGTCAGTCCCAGGCTTCTGGCTTTGAGGATACTGTTCGCTGTCCTTATTGTTTATAGCTGCTTTCCTGACATTGGATCTGTAAGAGGAGTTGGTGAATTTACGTTGGTGAATTTCTTTGTTTTTTTGAGACGGAGTTTCACTCTTGTTGCCCAGGCTGGAGTGCAATGGCACAATCTCGGCTCACTGCAACCTCTACCTCCTGGGTTCAAGCGATTCTCCTGCCTCAGCCTCCCAAGTAGCTGGGATTACAGGCATGTGCCATGACGCCCAGCATATTTTTTGTATTTAGTAGAGACAGGATTTCACCATGTTAGTCGGGCTGGTCTTGATCTCCTGACCTCAGGTGACCCACCCACCTCGGCCTCCTAAAGTGTTGGGATTATAGGCATGAGCCACCTCGCCTGGCGGTGAATTTCTTTTGACAGGAAATAGTCAAAAGAATTTTAAAAGGTTTTTTTAAAGATCACGTGTTACGTATGGCCTTTGTACAAAGTATGCCTGTGGGACAGCTTTTTCTGGGGAACATGGAGCTAATGAGGTCCACTTATTCGTCACAGCCTCCATAGCTGTCAATTTGGCAGTTAATGAGCTACAAACGTCTGGAATTTCCACTGAGTCAGGCAAGCCAGTGTTTGTTCTCTGGCTGATGGCTTGGGTTTGGAAAGAGACTATGAGTCAAGCTTCCATGGCCCGAGAGCCTGGATTTTGCCACAGCAGAAAAAAAAAAGAACAGATTGACATAGTCTTAACACATGATTAAACTGCTAGGTGACACCGTGGCATGACTTCCACTCTTGGGTAGAGCAGGCAACAAAGGAGTCGCCATTCGCCCACAGTTTCCAAGGCAAAAGGAGGTGAAGTAACTTGCTCAAGTTCAGTCTGATCTCTTGATTCCAGTTCACCGTGATTGAATATTTATACCATCTCCTTGCCTTTGACTGTTATATCTTTATTTTGTTTTGTTTTAACTGTTACTTATGCAATTCAAAGGTATGATACTTTGCATATTACAAATGTGTTGCACATTAAATAATAACAATAAGTATCGAGCACTCTACTATGAGCAAGGTACACTGTCCTAAGCAATTTAAAAAAAAAATTTTTTTTTTTTAAATAGGATCTCACTCTGTCACCCAGGTTGGAGTGCAGTGGTGAGATCACGGCTCACTGCAGCATTAACCTCCTGGGCTCAAGCAATCCTCCTGCCTCAGCCTCCCGAGTAGCTGGGACAACAGGTGTATGCCACCGTGCCCGGCTAATTTTTGTATTTTCTGTAGAGACAGGGTTTCGTCATGTTGCCCAGGCTGGTCTTGAACTCCTAGGCTCTAGTGATCCACCTGCCTCAGCCCCTCAAAGTGCTGGGATTACAGGCATGAGCCATTGAATCGGCCTGTCCTAAACAATTGATACGCATTCTTATTTAATTCTCATCACAACCTACTGAGGTCACTAGTAGTACTGCCTCATTAAATGGATGAGTAAACTGAGATTCAAAGAGGTAGGCTAAGTCATTTGCCCAAAGTCACATACCTCGAACTTGAACCTGGGTCAGCCTGATGCCAAAACCTGCTCTTAGCCACTCTGCTACACCGATCTAGTCTTCAGGGTCCATATTGCTAGGAAGCGCTCGGAATACAGTATGCTCTAAATGGGAGGTAGCCACCCTTCTGGTTCCATGCTATCATTGGCCAGTAAAATTGCACGTATATTCTCATTGCCGATTAGAAAAAAATAAGAAAAAAAAACTAGAGTATTTATAGATCCTCATGTGTTTTGTTTCTTTGATTGATTGTTTGTTTGTTTGTTTGTGAGACAGGGTTTCACTCCTATTACCCAGGCTGGAGTGCAATGGTGCGATCTCGGCTCACTGCAACCTCTGCCTCCTGGGCTCAAGTGATCTGCCTGCCTCAGCCTCCCAAAGTGCTGGGATTTCAGGTGTGAGCCACCTGCCTGGCTAGAGTTATTTTCAAAGCCCACAAGTGTGGCCCCTGCAATGGCAGTCTTACAGCAAGATATTGTACTAAGAGGCAGAAGCTGAGGGAGCAATCAGCCTAAGGAGAAGCATTGCCCACTGTGAAGGAATTGCAGCCGAGAGAGCTCATGAAGAGAATTTGCTGAAGAACAAGTGCCATGAGAGAAAGAGGCAGCTTTAGCTATCTGTCAGGCCAGGGAAATGTCACAAGAGTTCTAGTCAAGTAGGAACTTTCTTACCGTCTTCTGCCCTTCTTCCTCCCTGATTACAACCCTTAACTATAGTTAAGGCCAGACATGGTGGCTCACACCTGTAATCCCAGAAATCTAGGAGGCCAAGGCAGGTGGATGACTTGAGGTCAGGAGTTCGAGACCACCCTGGCCAACATGGTGAAACCCCGTCTCTACTAAAAATACAAAAATTAGCCGGGCGTGGTGGTGCGCACCTGTAATTCCAGCCACTCTGGAGGCTGAGGCAGGAAAAAAAAATCACTTGAAACCAGGAGGCAAAGGTTTCAGTGAGCTAAGATTGTGCCACTGCTCTCCAGCCTGAGCAACAGAGTGAGACCCTGCTTTTTAAAAAAAACAAAAACAAAAAACAGGGCAGGCGTGGTAGCTCATGCCTGTAATCCCAGAACTTTGGGAGGCCGAGGTAGGTGGATCACTTGAGATCAGGAGTTCAAGACCAGCTTGGCCAACATGGTGAAACCCGGTCTCTACTAAAAATACAAAAATTAGCCAGGCCTGGTGGCGTGCACCTGTAATCCCAGCTACTCGGGAGGCTGAGGCAGGAGAACTGCTTGGACCCAGGAGGTGGAGGTTGCAGTGAGCCGAGATTGCACCACTGCACTCCATCCTGGGTGACAGAGTGAGACTATCTAAAAAAATTAAATAAATTAAAAACAAAAATTTTTTTTAATTGTGTTCACAGCCGCCGCCGCTCCACTGTCACTCTCCAAGGCCAGCGCCACCTCTCACTCACCGAGCTCCAGCCGAAGGAGAAGGGGGGTAAGTAAGGAGGTCTCTGTACCATGACTCGTACAAAGCAGTAAAGAACCCAGGAAGCAACTGGCTACGAAAGCCGCTCGCAAAAGTGCGCCCTCTACTGGAGGGGTGAAGAAACCTCATCGTTACAGGCCTGGTACTGTGACACTCGGTGATATTAGACATTATCAGAAGTCCACTGAACTTCTGATTCGCAAACTTCCCTTCTAGGGTCTGGTGCGAGAAATCGCTTAGCACTTTAAAACAGATCTGCGCTTTCAGAGCTCAGCTGTCGGTACTTTGCAGGAGGCAGGTGAGGATTATCTGGTTGGCCTTTTTGAAGACAACAACCTGTGTGCTATCCATGCCAAACGTGTAACAATTATGCCAAAAGACATGCAGCTAGCACGCCGCATACGTGGAGAACGTGCTTAAGAATCCACTATGATGGGAATCATTTCATTCTCAAAAAAAAAAAATTCTCTTCTTCCTGTTATTGGTAGTTCTGAACATTAGATATTTTTTTCCCATGGGGTCAAAAGGTACCTAGTATATGATTGCGAGTGGAAAAATAGGGGACAGAAATCAGGTATTGGCAGTTTTTCCATTTTCGTTTGTGTGTGAATTTTTAATATGAATGCAGAAACATAAAGCATTAATGCAAGTTAAAATGTTTCAGTGAACAAGTTTCAGTGGTTCAACTTTACAATAATTGCAAATAAACCTGTTAAATTTTTCTGGACAATGTCAGCATTTGGGTTTTTTTAAAACAAGTACATTTTTTTTTTTTTGGAGACGGAGTCTTGCTCTGTCACCCAGGCTGGAGTGCAGTGGCGCAATCTTGGCTCACTGCAAGCTCCGCCTCCCGGGTTCACGCCACTCTCCTGCCTCAGCCTCCCGAGTAGCCGGGACTACAGGCGCCTGCCACCACGCCCAGCTAATTTTTTGTATTTTTAGTAGAGAGGGGGTTTCACCGTGTTAGCCAGGATGGTCTCGATCTCCTGACCGCGCGATCCACCTGTCTCGGCCTCCCAAAGTGCTGGGATTACAGGCGTGAGCCACCGCGCCCGGCCTAAAAGAAGTACATTTCTTATTGATGGCAACTAAATGGTGTTTGTAGCATTTTTGTCATATAGTGGATTCCATCCATTCACTATATTTTCTACCCGAGTTGTCCTACATGCAAGTACATATGTTTAACATTGTCTGTCTTCTGTGCTGTTCCTGTAAGTTTTCTATTAAAATACATAAAAAATTTTTTAAGTACTTAGAGACAAATGAAAATGAAATGACAACATATCAAAACTTATAGGATGCAATGAAAATAGTGCTCATAGGAAAATTTATAGCTGTAAGCGCTTATATTAAAAAACAAGAAATATCTCAGATCAACAACTTAATTTTACAACTTAAGGAACTAGGAAAAGAAAAGCTAAACCCAAAACTAGCAGATGGAAAGAAATAATAAAAATTAAAGCAGAGATGAATGAAATAGAGAATTGAAAAATCATAGATGCCAGGCACATTGGCTCACACCTATAATCCCAGCACTTTATAAGGCCGAGGTGAGAGGATGACTTGAGCTCAGCAGTTCAAGATCAGCCTAGGCAACATAGACCTTGTCTCTACTAAAATAATAATAATAAATAAATAAAATTTAAAAAAGGAAAAAGAAAAAGAAAAATAATAGAGAAAAATTTTAAACCCAGAGTTGGTTCTTCAAAAAGATTAACAAAATAGGCAAATCTTTAGCTAGATTGGCTAAAAAAAAAAGAGAAGACTCAAATTACTAAAATCAGAAGTGAAAGTGGGCACAAATGAAAAGGATTATAAGAGAATACTATGAATAATTATACACAGTATACATTGAATAATTATACACAGAATACTATGAATAATTATACACACATCTATACATTAGATGAAATGGATGAATTCCTAGAAACACAAAACCTACTAATACTGAATCATGAAGAAATAGAAAATATGAATAGACCTATAACTAATAATGAGATTTAATCAGTAATAGAAAATCTCCTGACCAAAAAAAAAAAAAAATCTCCTGGCAAAGAAAAGCCCTGGACCTGAGGGCTTCACTTATGAATTCTATCAAATGTTTAAAGAATTAACACCAACCCTTCTCAACCTTTCAAAAAAATGGAAGAAGGAAACACTTCCTAACAAATGCTATGAGGCCAGCATTACTCTGATACTGAAGACACACAAAGATACCACAAGAAAAGAGAACTGTGAACCAGTATCCCTTATGAACATAGATACAATAGCCCTTAACAAAATACAATACTATCAAGCTGAATTCAACAGTATATTAAAAGGATTATTTATACACATGACCAAGTAGGATTTATTCCTGGAATGCAAAGATAGTTTAACATATGAAAATCAATCAAAGTAATATACCACATTAATAGGTTGAAGGGGAAAAAATTCCACATGATTAGCTCAATTGATGCAGAGAAAGCATTTGAAAAAATTCAACATTTTTTCATTATAAAAACACTCAAGAAACTAGGAACAGAAGAAAATACCTCAACATAATAAAAGCCATATATGAAATACAGCCAACATCATACTCCCTGGTGAAAGACTGAAATAAGGCAAGAATGCCTGCTTTCACCACTTCTGTTCAACGTAAAACTGAAAGTCCTAGCCAAAGCAATTAGTCAAGAAAAAGAAAAAAAGGGATTGAAATTGGAAAAGAAGAAGTAAAATTCTCTCCATTTGCAGATGGTATAATCTTATATGTGGAAATGCATAAAGATCACACACAGACACACAACTGTTCAAACTATCTGAAAATTTTGGCAAAGTAGCAGGGTACAAAGTCAACATACAAAGGTCAGTTGTTGCATTTCTAGACACTAACGATTAATAATCTGAAAAAGAAATTAAGAAAACAATTCCATTTATAATAGCATCAAAAAGAATAAAATACTTAGGAGTTAACCAAGGTGAGAGACTTATACCATGAGAAATAAAAAACATTACTGAAAGAAATCAAAGACATAGGTAAGTGGAAAGACATCATAGATTAGAGAAGACTTAATATTGTTAAGATGTCAATACTATTCAAAACATTCTATAGATTCAATGCAATCCCTATCAAAATCCCAACATTTTTTACAGAAATAGAAAAATCCACCCTAAAATTCATAAGGAATTTCAAGAGACCTTGAATAGCCAAATCAACCTTTAAAAAGAAGACCAAAATTGGACATCCCACATTTCCTGATTTCAAAACTCACTACAAAGCTACAGTAATTAAAATAGTATGGTACTGGCATAAAGACAGACATATAGACCAATAGCACAGAATAAAGAGCCCAGAAATAAGCCCTCACATACATGGTATAATAATTTTTGTCAAAGATGCCAAAATCATTCAATGGAGAAAGGACAATCTTTTCAACAAATGGGGCTAGGAAAACTGGATGTAAAATACCAAAGAATGAAGTTAGACCCTTACCTAACATCATATGTGAAAATTAACTCAAAATGGATCAAAGACCTAAATGTAAGAGATAAAACTATAAAACTTAAAAGAAAACATAGGGCAAAAGCTTCATGACATTGGATTTGGCAATAATTTCTTGGATTATAGCACCAAAGGCACAGGTAACAAAAGAAAAAATGGACAAATGGGACTACATGAAAATCAAAAACTTTTGTGCATCAAAGAACACTATCAGCCGGGCAAAGTGGCTCACGCCTGTAATCCCGCACTTTGGGAGAACAAGGCAGACGGATCATGAGGTCAGGAGTCCGAGACCAGCCTTGCCAACATAATGAAACCGCATCTCTACTAAAAATACAAAAATTGGCCGGGCATTGTGGCACAAACCTGTAGTCCCAGATACTTGGGAGGCTGAGGCAGGAGAATCGCTTGAATCCGGGAGGCAGAGGTTGTAGTGAGCCAAGATCACACCACTGCACTCCAGCTTGGGCAACTGAGTGAGACTTTGTCTCAAAAAAAAAAAGGACATTATCAAACAGAGGGAAGAGGAAAATTATGGAATGAGAGAAAACATTTGCAAATCATATATCTGATAAGGGAGTAATATCCAGAATTTATAAATAGCTCCTAAAACTCAACAAAAGAAATAAACTAATTCAAAAATGGGCAAAGAGCTGGGTGTAGTGGCTTATGCCTGTAATCCCAGCACTTTGGGAGGCTGAGATAGAAGGATCACTTAAACCTAGGAGTTCAAGACCAGCCCTGGCAACGCAGTGAGAACCCCATCTCTATAAAAAAATTAAAAGTTAGCTAGATGTGGTATGCATGCCTGTATTCCCAACTACTTGAGAGGCTGACATGGGAGGATCGCTTGAGCCCAGGAGTTCAAGGTTGCGGTGAGCTATTATCATTGCGCTGCACTCCAGCCAGGGTGAAAAAGCAAGACTCTGTCTCTTTAAAAAAAATAAAGAAAAGTGCAAAGGGCTTGAATGGACGTTTATCCAAAGAAGATATACAAATGCCAATAAGCACATGAAAAGATGCTCAATAACACTAATCATGAGGGAAATGTAAATCAAAACCACAATGAGGTACCACCCAACACCCATTAGGATGCTACTATCCAAAACAAAAAACAGAAAATAACAAGTATCGGCAAGGATGTGGAAAAATTGCAATTTCTGTGCAGTATTGGTGGGGATGTAAATTGGTACGATTGCTGTGGAAAATAGTATGGCAGTTCCTCAAAAACTTAAAAACAGAATTACCATATGAGCTAGCGATTCCACTTCTGGGTATGGAATCGGAAAACAGGGTCTCAGATAATTGCATACCCATGTTCAAAGCATTATTCACAATAGCTAAAGCATGGAAGCAACCCAAGTGTCCATCCATGGATGAATGGATAAGCAAAATGTATAATATACTTACAATGGAGTATTATTCAGTCTTAAAAAGTTAGGAAATCTTGACACATGATACAACATAAATGAACCTTAAGGACATTATGCTAAGTGAAATAAGCCAATTACAAATGACAAATACTGTATGATTCCACTTACATGAGGTTTCTTGAGTAGTCAAATTTAAAGAGACAGAAAGTAGAACTTCAGTGGTTGCAGGGGCTGAGAGGAGAGGAAATGAGGAGTTATTATTTAATGGGTACAGAATTTCAGTTTTGCAGGATAAAAAGAGTCCTGGAGATGGATGGTGATGATGGTTGCACAAGAATACGAATGTACTTAATTTCATTAAACTGTACATTTATAAATGGTTAAGTTGGTAAATTTTACGTTATGTGTATTTACAAATGAGGAAGAAGAAGAAGTAGGCCGAGAGTGGTGGCTCACACTTGTAATCCCAGAACATTGGGAGCCTGAGGCAAGAGGATTGCTTGAGTCCAGGAGTTCAAGACCAGCCTGGGCAACATAGTCAAACCCTGTCTTTACAAAAAATAAAAAATTAGCCAGGCGGCCGGGCTCAGTGGCTCACACCTGCAATCCCAGCACTTTGTGAGGCCGAGGGTGGGGGGGTAGATCACCTAAGGTCGGGAGTTCGAGACCAGCCTGACCGACGTGGAGAAACCCAATCTCTACTAAAAATACAAAATTAGCCAGGCATGGTGGCTCATGCCTGTAATCTCAGCTACTCAGGAGGCTGAGGCAGGAGAATCACTTGAACCCAGGAGGTAGAGGTTGCCATGAGCCGAGGTCACACTATTGCACTCCAGCCTGGGCCACAAGAACAAAACTCCGTCTAAAAAAAAAAAAATTTAGCCAAGCATGGTGGTGCACACCTATAGTCCTAGCTACTCAGGAGGCTGAGATGGGAAATTCACTTGAGCCTGGGAGGTTGAGGCTGCCGTGAGCTCTGATGGTGCCACTGCACTTCAGCCTGAGCAACAGAGCAAGACCCTGTCTAAAAAAAAAAAAAGAAGAAGTAAAAAAAGTAAAATAAAGGTATTTCTTTATACCATGGATTTTGTTTCAACATAGTCATTTGTCTAAATATTTAAATAAGAAAGCTAATATTTAAAATAATAAAAGATGTTCTATCTTTCTACCTTGACAAATTTACATTCACAACTAAATTAACCCCAACCTTTTATGTCATTTGGATGCAGTTGCCTTTTGTTTCGAGGTCATGGAGCAAAAGATGTGCAGAAGCATTTCCCTGGGGTGTGAACAGTGTTAGTCCTAAGAATGGCTGTCAAGCGTTACAGGTTGTGTGGTGCCAGCACTGAGTAGCAGACATGCCCATATGTTCTTGTCATGTGCAGTAACCCGTGTAGCCACACAGTCCTTTGACCCCTATGAACCCGTGGCTGGAAGATTTCAGTTTATTTAGACTTGCAAGTTTCTTTCTTTATTTTTTTCTTTTTTCCAGACAGAGTCTCACTCTGTCACCCAGGCTGGAGTGCAGTGACATGATCTTGGCTCACTGCAACCTCCGCCTTCAGGGTTCAAGCGATTCTTCTGCCTCAGCCTCCTGAGTAGCTGGAATTACGGGCGTGAGCCACCAAGCCCAGCTAATTTTTTATTTATTTTATTTTTTTTTATTTTTAGTGGAGACGGGTTTTCACCATGTTGACCAGGCTGATCTTGAACTCCTGACCTCAGGTGATCTGCCCGCCTTGGCCTCCCAAAGTGCTGGGATTTACAGGTGTGAGCCACCGCACCCAGCTAGACTAGGAACTTTCATTCTTGTGTTCATTTATTTCAAGATAGAATGATAATTGTCTGTGTCATTAACAGTTATTGTTTGTAATTTGATTCTAATATTTCCTTTTCTTTTTTTTTTTTTTTTGAGATGGAGTTTCACTCTTTTTGCCCATGCTAGAGTGCAATGGCTCAATCTCGTCTCACCACAACCTCTGCCTCCCAGGTTCAAGCGATTCTCCTGCCTTAGCCTCCCAAGTAGCTGGGATTACAGGCATGCACCACCATGCCCGGCTAATTTTGTATTTTTAGTAGAGGCAGGGTTTCTCCATGTTGGTCAGGGTGGTCTTGAACTCCCAACCTGAGGTGATCCGCCCGCCTCGGCCTCCCAAAGTGCTGGGATTACAGGCGTTAGCCACCGTGCCCTGACTAATATTTCACTTTTATCTTATTTAATAAATTAATTTGATGTATGCTTGTGACATGGGGTTCTCTAACCCCAGAGCAAGGGGTTGTGGAGCCCAGAGCAAGGGCCTCTCTTGCCTGATCTCAGGGGTAATATATTTGCTTGTATGTCCTTAAAATCTAATATAATGAAATGTAGATCAACTATGGTATCTAATAGTTCTGTGACAGCTATCTCCACTAGAAGGATCCTGGAGCAGGCATTGACCACATACAAGGACCACAATTGCCACCAAATACTGTGGCTCAGGGTTCTCCTTTTGGCAGCCCTTATCTGGTAAGACCCTGGCAAAGTTGACACTTCAAGCCCTCCCTTCTTCCTTCCTTTTCAAGGATCTGGACGCATAAGAGTTACAGGCTCTATACACAGGGACTTTCCTTCCTGGAAACCCGGTAGGAAATCCCATTATGGCTGCCTGTTTGCCAAACTATTCCCTTGACTGACAGGATGCAGCCTATTCAAACTTCTCTGTGTCTGTTGAAAAAATGCATGTATAAAAAAGGCATGGCCTCACGTAATTAATTAGGCATCTGTAAGGGAGAGAAGATGATCTTTCCCTTACGCATCGCAGGATTCACGGCTGAGAGCCCATAAGAAAGAACAGATAGGCCAGGCACGGTGGCTCACGCCTGTAATCCCAGCACTTTGGGAGGCCAAGACGGGTGGATCATGAGGTCAAGAGTTCAAGATCAGCCTGGCCAAGATGGTGAAACCCCGTCTCTACTGAAAATACAAAAATTAGCCGGGTGCGGTGGAAGGCACCTGTAATCCCAGCTACTCAGGAAGCTGAGACAGGAGAATCGCTTGAACCTGGGCGGCAGAGGTTGCAGTGAGCCAAGATTGCATCACTGTAGTCAGGCCTGGGCGACAGAGTAAGACTCTGTCTAATAAAAAAAAAAAAAAAAAAAAAAAAGAAAGAAAAGAGAGAACATAGAACAACAGAGAAGCATAATAAATCTATTTAATACAAATTTTATGTGACATAGGTGACTAAGAAATTAAGACTCCGCCAGGCACGGTGGTTCATGCCTGTAATCCCAACCCTTTGGGAAGCCAAGGCGGGTGGATCACCTGAGGTCAGGAGTTCAAGACCAGCCTGGCCAACATGGTGAAACTCCATCTCTACTAAAAATACAAAAATTAGCCAGGTGTAAAAATTAGCCAGGCGTGGTGGCAAGCGCCTGTAATCCCAGCTACTCGGGAGGCTGAGGCAGGAGAATCGCTTGAACCCAGGAGGCAGAGGTTGCAGTGAGCCAAGATCGCGCCATTGCACTCCAGCCTGGGCAACAGAGCAAGACTCCATCTCAAAAAAAATAAATAAATAAAAAATAGGCCGGGCGTGGTGGCTTACGCCTGTAATCCCAGCACTTTGGGAGGCCGAGGCGGGCAGATCACGAGGTCGGGAGATCAAGACCATCCTGGCTAACACGGTGAAATCCTGTCTCCACTAAAAATACAAAAAATTAGCCAGGCGTGGTGGCAGGCGCCTGTAGTCCCACCTCCTCAGGAGGCTGAGGCAGGAGAATCACTTGAACCCAGGAGGCAGAGCTTGCAGTGAGCTGAGATCGCACCACTGCACTCCAGCCTGGGCAACAGAGCGAGACTCCATCTCAAAAATAATTATAATAATAAATAAATAAATAATAAAAAAATTAGCCGGGTGTGGTGGCGGGCGCCTATAATCCCAGCTACTCAGGAGGCTGAGACAGGAGAATTGCTTGAACCCAGGAGGCAGAGGCTGCAGTGAGCCGAGATCTTGCCACTGCACTCTGGCCTGGGCAACAGAGTGAGACTCCGTCTCAAAAAAAAAAAAAAAAGAAAGAAAAGAAAAGAAAACAAAAAGAAATGAAGACTCAAAGAAAGAAACAGGGGAAACTTTAGTTTTATGGACAGTTATGCAAAGTATGACTGGAAGAAGAAAATGTATAATCCAATACCTTTTCTGATAATACACCAGGGGAACTTAACCTATTTGTCCTAATTCTTCTCTGTGTCTGTGTCTTCATTCCCTTCCTCTGGGTACAGGGAATAACTCCAGCTTTAAAGGAAAGTCAGAGAATTCTTTCATGGCTTACTTTAGGGAAGAATAGTGGAAAGTCAGAGAGCCCTTCATGCTTCTGCTGTTTTCTCAAATGTCAAAGAGGCCATATTTTGGGGTAACATGTCCTAAACTGTGCCCCATACTGTGGCATTAAAGAAATCAAGTTGGACTGGGCACGGTGGTTCACACCTGTAATCCCAGCACTTTGGGAGACCGAGGTGGGCGGGTCACCCAAAGTCAGGAGTTCGAGACAAGCCTGGTCAACATGGTGAAACCCTGTCCCTACTAAAAATACAAAAATTAGCCAGGCGTGGTGGTGCACATCTGTAGTCCCAGCTACTTGGGAGGCTGAGGCAGGAGAATTGCTTGAACCCGGGAGGTGGAGGCTACAGTGAGCCAAGATCACACCACTGCACTCCAGCCTGGGTGACAGAGAGAGACTCCATCTAAAAAAATAAATAAATAAAAAATAAAAAAATCAAGTTGAAGAAAAGTATATTTTCATGGCTAGGCGTGGTCACTCATCCTTGTAATCAGAGCACTTAGTGGGGGCCGAGGCAGGAGAATTGCTTGAGTCTAGGAGTTCCAGACCAGCCTGGCCAATATAGTAAGACCCCATCTCTACAAAAAACAAAAAATTAGCCAGGCGTAGTGGCACATGCCTGTAGTTACTCAGGAGGCTGAGGTGGGAGAATCACTTGAGCCTAGGAGGTTGAGGCTGTAGTGAGCCATGGTTTTACCACTGCACTCTAGCCTGGGCGACAGAGAAAGGCCCTATCTCAAGAAAAAAAAAAAGAAAGAAAGAAAAAGAAAAGTTATGTTTTGTTAAAGGTAAGTGTCAAAATAGATTGCCAAATTAAAAAAAGTTTTATAGTATTATATAAAAGTATATTCAATAACACACTTTTATAGAAAGTGTAACAGCTGTATTTGTTATTTATTGATGCATAACAAATTATTCCAAAATTTAGCAGCTTGAAACAACACACGTTTTACTCACGGTTTCTGTAGGTCAGAAATCTGGGTGCAGCTTAGCTCGTCCAGAAGACGAGGCTCTCTCAAGATTGAGAGTTGGTTCAGAGTCTTTCACAAGATTGCAATGAAGGTGTCATCACAGACTGCAGTCATTTCAAGGCTTGGCTTGAGAAGAATCCACTTCCAAACTCACCGCATGGCTGTTGACTTGAGGCATCATTTCCTTGCCTTGTGGACCTCTCCACGGGGCAGCTTACATTATGGCAACTGTTTTCCCTCAGGGTAAGTTAGGGAGGATGAGAGCTTGCAAGGTAGAAGTCATCGTCTTTCTGCAACCTAATCTCAGAAGTATCCCATCACTTTTTTTTTAATTTAATTTTTTTTTAGAGACAAGGTCTCACTATATCATCCAGGCTGGTGGTCTTGAATTCCTGGGCTTAAGTGATCCTCCCACCTTAGCCTTCCAAAGTGTTGAGATTACAGGCATGAGCCGCTGTGCCCAGTCTCTCTCTCTCTCTCTTTTTTTTTTTTTTTTTGTAGTAAAATACACATGACATAAAAGTTACTATTTTAACCCTTTTTAGGAGTACAGTTCAGCGGCATTAAGTACAATCTTCACCACCACCCGTCTATAGAATTCCTTTCATCTTGCAAAACTGAAACTCTCTACCCATAAAACAATAACTCTGGGCCAGGCACAGTGGCTCACGCCTGTAATCCCAGCACTTTGGGAGGCCGAGGCAGGTGGATCACCTGAGGTCAGGAGTTTGAGACCAGCCTGGCCAACATAATGAAACCCTGTCTCTACTAAAAATACAAAACTTAGCTGGGCATGGTGGTGGGCGCCTGTAATCCCAGCTACTCAGGAGGCTGAGGCAGGAGAATCACTTGAACTCGGGAGGCAAAGGTTGCAGTGAGCCGAAATGGCGCCACTGCACTCCAGCCTGGGCAACAAGACTGAAACTCCGTCTGAAAATAATGATGATAATAATAATAACTCTGCACTCCTCCTCTCTTTCCAGACCCTGCAACCACCATTCTATTTTCTGTTTCTATCTCTATGCAATTGACTACTTTGGGTAACACATATAAGTAGAATCATACAATATTTATTCTCTTGTGTCATATTTGTCCTCTTGTGTCTTGTAGCTTATTTAATTTACTGACCATAATGTTTTCAAAGTTCCTTCATGTTGTAGCATATGTTAGAATTGTCTTCCTTTTGGCCAGGCACAGTGGCTCACGCCTGTAATCCCAGCACTTTGGGAGGCTGCGGCGGGCGGATCACGAGGTCAGGAGATCAAGACCATCCTGGCTAACACGGTGAAACCCCATCTCTATTAAAAATACAAAAAAAAATTAGCCGGACATGGTGGCGGGCGCCTGTAGTCCCAGCTACTCGGGAGGCTGAAGCAGGAGAATGGCGTGAACCTGGGAGGTGGAGCTTGCAGTGAGCCGAGATTGCGCCACTGCACTCCAGCCTGGGCAACTGAGCAAGACTCCATCTCAAAAAAAAAAAAAAAGAAAAAAAAGAAAAAAAAAGAATTGTCTTCCTTTTTCAGGCAGAATAATATTCCATTGTATGTATATTCCCATTTTGTTTATCCATTGATCTGTCAACAGACATTTGAGTTGTTTCCCCTTTTTGGCTATTGTGAATAAGGCTGCTACGAACATAGGTATTCACAGGCTGTTCTAGTCCCTGCTGTCAATTCTTTGGGGTGTACGCCCAGAAGTGAAATTTCTGGATCATATGGTAATTCTAGCTGTTCCCTCAGAAGCACGTGATCTTTGTTAGACCCTTATTAGTGGTTCTGCTTTTTGCCCTTTGAAGCATGTGATCTTTGTACCTACTCCCTGTTCTTACACCCCCTCCCCTTTTGAAACCCTTAATAAAAACTTGCTGGTCTGAGACTTAGGCAGGCATCACGGTCCTACTGATATGTGATGTCACCTCCAGCAGCCTAGCTGTAAAATTCCTCTCTTTGTACTGTCTCTCTTTATTTCTCAGCCGGCCTACACTTATGGAAAATAGAAAGAACCTATGTTGAAATATTGAGGGTGGGTTCCCCCAATATGGTCCGGGGGTAGAGAAGAGAATTTTCTGAAACTAGAACATAAAAATGTAAGGGTTAATGATGTAACCACCCAATGGATTCTTCCTGCCTGCTGCATAAACAAAGACCACAGCATTGCAGTAACGAAAGAGTACAATAGACATGAGGCCGGTCACACAATGTGACAGACAGAATTAGGACTCAAATAAATCTCATCCAAAGCTGGTAGTTTAGGAGTTTTCCAAAGGCACTTTCGAGGAAGGGCTGCGGTGGCTAGGCTTGCTGCTGATTGGTTGGGACAGAGATGAAATCATAGGGGGTGGAAGCTGTCCTGAGTGCTGAACTACTTCTGAGTGGGACCACAGGAGCAATGTCGGTGGGTAGAGGCAGAGCCAGGTACGGGTGGAGCCATTGGTTTCAGACTTCCAAAAACTGAAAAGATACTCAAAAGGCCAATCTACAATAGTGGTGTTACCTGCAGGAGTGGCTGGCAATTAAACAATTTCTTCACCTTAGCAGAATTCAGATTCCTCTCCTCCCACAGCCTGATGACCTTTCATTGGCTTAACAAAGACAGTTGAGTTTTGGGGAAGGCCTATTATCATTTAAAGTATAAACTAAATGTCTCTCAAAGTTAGCTCAGCCCCAAAGCCCAGGAATAATTAAGGGAAAGGCAAGATGGGTGTGGATTAGATCAGATCTCTTTTACTGCCATGATTTTCTTACTGTTATAATTTTTGCAAAGGTAGTTTCTCTTTTTATTTTATTTTATTTTATTTATTTATTTATTTTTTTATTGATCATTCTTGGGTGTTTCTCCCAGAGGGGGATTTGGCAGGGTCATAGGACAATAGTGGAGGGAAGGTCAGCAGATAAACAAGTGAACAAAGGTCTCTGGTTTTCCTAGGCAGAGGACCCTGCGGCCTTCCGCAGTGTTTGTGTCCCTGGGTACTTGAGATTAGGGAGTGGTGATGACTCTTAAAGAGCATGCTGCCTTCAAGCATCTGTTTAACAAAGCACATCTTGCACCGCCCTTAATCCATTTAACCCTGAGTGGACACAGCACATGTTTCAGAGAGCACAGGGTTGGGGGTAAGGTCACAGATCAACAGGATCCCAAGGCAGAAGAATTTCTCTTAGTACAGAACAAAATGAAAAGTCTCCCATGTCTACTTCCTTCTACACAGACACGGCAACCATCCGATTTCTCAATCTTTTCCCCACCTTTCCCCCCTTTCCATTCCACAAAACCGCCATTGTCATCATGGCCCGTTCTCAATGAGCTGCTGGGTACACCTCCCAGACAGGGTGGTGGCCTGGCAGAGGGGCTCCTCACTTCCCAGAAGGGGCGGCCGGGCAGAGGCGCCCCCCACCTCCCTCTCGGACGGGGCGGCTGGCCGGGCGGGGGCTGACCCCCCACCTCCCTCCCGGACGGGGTGGCTGGCCGGGCGGGGGGCTGACCCCCCCACCTCCCTCCCGGACGGGGTGGCTGCCGGGCGGAGACGCTCCTCACTTCCCAGACCGGGTGGCTGCCGGGCGGAGAGGCTCCTCACTTCTCAGACGGGGCGGTTGCCAGGCAGAGGGTCTCCTCACTTCTCAGACGGGGCGGCCGGGCAGAGGCGCTCCTCACATCCCAGACGGGGCGGTGGGGCAGAGGCGCTCCCCACATCTCAGACGATGGGCGGCCGGGCAGAGACGCTCCTCACTTCCTAGATGTGATGGCGGCCGGGAAGAGGCGCTCCTCACTTCCTAGATGGGATGGCGGCCGGGCAGAGACGCTCCTCACTTTCCAGACTGGGCAGCCAGGCAGATGGGCTCCTCACATCCCAGACGATGGGCGGCCAGGCAGAGACGCTCCTCACTTCCCAGACCGGGTGGCGGGCGGGCAGAGGCTGCAATCTCGGCACTTTGGGAGGCCAAGGCAGGCGGCTGGGAGGTGGATGTTGTAGCGAGCCGAGATCACGCCACTGCACTCCAGCCTGGGCACCATTGAGCACTGAGTGAACGAGGCTCCGTCTGCAATCCCAGCACCTCCGTAGGCCGAGGCTGGCGGATCACTCGTGGTTAGGAGCTGGAGACTGGCACGGCCAACACAGGGAAACTCGTCTCCACCAAAAAAATACGAAAACCAGTCAGGCGTGGCGGCGCGTGACTAGGCACTAGGCAGGCTGAGGCAGGAGAATCAGGCAGGGAGGTTGCAGTGAGCCGAGATGGCAGCAGTACAGTCCAGCTTCAGCTCGGCATCAGAGGGAGACCTTGGAAAGAGAGGGAGAGGGAGACTGTGGGGAGGGGGAGGGGGAGGGGGAGGGAGAGGGAGAGGGCAAAGGTAGTTTCAATGGGATTATGAAAATTGGTATATTTTGCAAATGAAAAATAAAATTGTAAGTCCCCCAACCATCTGAATGGATCCTCCTCTCAACCAAGAGCATTCCAAAGTTAACCTGAAAAATTAGTTCAGGCCATGATGGGAAGGGGGAGTTGGACATGCCTCGTTATTCCCTCCTCCCTTTTGGAATTCAGACACAGCTGACCAGCATTAACATTAAAACAGATCTTAAGACTGATAGAACAGGTCAGGTGCAGTGGCTCATGCCTGTAATCCCAGCACTTTGGGAGGCCAAAGTAGGCGGATCACCTGAGGTCAGCAGTTCGAGACCAGCCTGGCCAACATAGCAAAACTCTGTCTCTATTAAAAATACAAAAATTACCTGGGTGCAGTGATGGGTGCCGGTAATCCCAGGTCCTCGGGAGACTGAGGCAGGAGAATCACTTGAACCCAGGAGGCAGAGGTTGCAGTGAGCCGAGATTGCACCAATGCACTCCAGCCTGGGTGACAGAGCAAGACTCCATCTCAAAAAATAAATAAATAAATGTATTTTAAAAAGCTCCCTTGTCCATTCCCATTATATCTTTCCCATTGCGAACACCAACAATTGTTTATGAAGGCTAGAGTCTTTTGTTATAATGTTGGATGCATTAGGCCTCAGGGGCAGGTCTCTGACCTTCCGCTGCCTCCTTTCATCTGCCCCAAGGCAGGACTTGGAGTCTTAAGACTCTCCGATGAGAGGGTCCCACTCTATACCCTGTGGGAAAGAATGCTAATATCATGAAGCTTCCATAAAAACCCAAGATTGACTAGGTCAAGAGAGCTTCCAGATAGCTGAACACGTGGAAGCCAGCAGGAAGGGGAAGAAAAACTGGTCCAGGTGCTGGGAGGGTGGCGCACCCCAACTCCACAGGGCCAGAAGCTCCTGCGCTTGGGCCCCTTCCAGACCTCACCCTATGTATCCCCTCATCTGGCTGGTTATCTGTTTCCTTTAACATAGCTTTCTTAGTAAACCAGTAAATGTAAGTGTTTCTCTGAGTTCTGTGAGCCACTCTAGCAAATTAATCGAATCCAAAGAGGAGGCTGGGGGAACCCCAGCTTGAAGCCAGTCGGTCAGAAGTTCTGGAGGCCCAGACTTGTGACTGGGAGAGTGGAGAAGGAGGGAGCAGTCTTGGGGACTGAACCCTCAACCTGTGGGATCTGGCACTGTCTCTGGGTAGATAGTGTCAGACCTGAATTGGAGGCCACCTGGCTGGTGTCTGCTGGTTGGTGGTAGGGAGAGATGCACACACGTTTGGTTATGTAGCAGGACAAGCCGCAGACAAAACCCCTCAGACACTGAGTTAAAGAAGGAAGGGCTTTATTCGGCCGGGAGCTTCGGCCAGACTCACGTCTCCAACAACCAAGCTCCCCAAGTAAGCAATTCCTGTCCCTCTTAAGGGCTTACAACTCTAAGGGGGTCCGCATGAGAGGGTCATGATGGATTGAGCAAGCAGGGGGTACATGACTGGGGGCTGCATGCACCAGTAATCAGAACGGAACAGAGCAGGACAGGGATTTTCACAGTGCTTTTCCATACAATGTCTGTAATCTATAGATAACATAACTGGTTTAGGTCAGGGGTCCATCTTTAACCAGGCCCAGGGCTCGGCGCCGGGCTGTCTGCCTGTGGATTTCATTTCTGCCTTTGAGTTTGTACTTCTTCTTTCATTGGAGGCAGAAATTGGGCATAAGACAAGATGAGGGGTGGTCTCCTCCCTTAGTCACAGAAGTTTTCTTCTGTGTAGTTGATCATTGTGGTGTGAGAGTAGAGGAAAAACCCAGTGTTAGGAGAGTTTCTCCCTAGACAATCTTTCATCAGTTATATGATTTGCAACTATGTCCTCCCATTCCCTAGGTTGCCTTTTGAGAAACTGTTGATACTATCCTTTGATTTAGAAAAGTTTTTAAATTTGATGAAGTCTTGTCTGTTTTGTTCTTTTGTTGCCTGTGTTTTTGGTTGTCATAGCCAAGAAATGATTGTCAAATCCACTGTCATGAAGCATTTGTCCTATACTTTCTTGCACGTTATGGTTTTATCACTTACATTTAGATATTTGATCAGTTTTAAGAGTTAATTTTTTATTTTTATTTTTTTAGAGACAGAGTCTCACTCTGCCGCCTAGGTTGGAGTGCAGCGATACAATCATAGCTCACTGTAACCTCGAACTCCTGGGCTCAAGGGATCCCATTTTTAAGTTAATCTTTGTATATGATGTAGGTGAGGGCCTCACTTCGTTCTTTGGCACGTGAACATGCAGTTTTCCCAGCCCCATTTGTTGAAAAGTTATCATCCTTTTCCATTCAATGGTCTTGGCAGCTCTGTTCCATTGATCTGTATGTCTGTCTTTATGCTAGTTCCCGCTGTTTTTGATACTGCAGTTTGTAGTAAGTTTTGAAAGCAGGAAGTGTGAGACTTCCAACTTTGGTCTTTTTCAATTGTTTTGGCTTTTCGAGGTCCCTAATATGCCATCACTTTTGCTATATGCTATTTGTTAGACGCTAATCACTAATCCCCACACTCAAGGAGGGGAGATTACCCAAAGGATTTGAATACAGGGAGGCAGAAATTACTGCAAGATATTTTAGGGGCTGCCTACTACAATAGCTAACTTTTTTTTTTTTTTTTGAGATAGAGTCTCACTCTGTCACCCAGCATGGAGTGCAGTGGCGCAATCTCGGCTCACTGCAAGCTCCGCCTCCCAGGTTCACACCATTCTCCTGCCTCAGCCTCCTGAGTAGCTGGGATTACAGGCGCCCGCCACCACGCCCAGCTAATTTGTGTGTGTGTGTGTGTGTGTGTGTGTGTGTGTGTTTTTAGTAGAGACGGGGTTTCACCATGTTAGCCAGGATGGTCTCAATCTCCTGACCTGGTGATCTGCCCACCTTGGCCTCCCAAAGTGCTGGGATTACAGGCGTGAGCCACCGCGCCCAGGCTACAATAGCTAACATTTACTGAGTACTTAATATAGTAAGTCATATGTGTATATACTCGTATAATCTTCACAACAGCCCTGGGAATCAGAAATATTACTATGCCTGATTTGTAACAGAGGAAATTGAGGTTTAAAGAGATTAAACAATTTACCCATGGCCCTCCAGCTGGGATTCAAACCCAGTCTGTCCAACTCCAAAGCTGTGCTTTTAACCCTTACACTGCCTATGCACACATAATTACTTCCATGTCTCAGATGAATGGGAAATGTTGCTGGTTATCATTTAGAGCTTAGCTTGATGATTTGCAAAAGTCTCAGATGACTGCTCATGAGTAGAAGAATAAGCGCTCTCAGCTGAATTTAGTATTAGTCAAATGAATTTGAGAAATCCTATTTTAGTTCAATGCCAACTTGTTATAGAAGTTTGCTACCCACTGTGGAAAAGAAAGGACAAACCCATAAACATACTGAAGAATTTTTCTTCTTGCTGCAATGGAAACTATTTATGTTCTCCAGCTTCTATAAGAAGAAGCTTGGCTCGAAGGAAGCTTCTGGACCTAATTTCATAAGCAGCTGCCTCATAACGTAAAAATCTCTCTCAGACATCTCCTAGAGCTTCTGATTCACGTCACACATGAGAGAACTCGGTGAAAACAAGTTTCCACAGAGCCTCTTCTCCTAAGAAAGTTCTGCTTTCAAATAACTCCATCTGCACCTCCTCCCCAGCCAGATTCTAACACTGGTGAAGAGACAACCTCCTTCTTACCCTGAGGAACGTGTCAGGGAGTGTCTGAATGAGTTATAAAGATTCTCTTCTCCTCTTTTCCCCCTTCTTTTGTGACCACATCTGCAAACTCTGAAGAAAGAACATGTTGGTTTGGGTTTAAAACCCAGAATAGAAAGCTGGCATTAGAAACGTTTCAGGAATGCTGAGAATTTTTAGAGGTGTTCTTTTTTTTATTTTTTGAGACAGAGTTTCGCTCTTGTTGCGTAGGCTGGAGTGCAGTGGCGCAACCTCAGCTCACTGCAACCTCCGCCTTCCAGGTTCAAGTGATTCCCCAGCCTCAGCCTCCTGAGTAGCTGGGATTACAGGCATCCGCCACCAGCCCCAGCTAATATTTTGTATTTTTAGTAGAGATGGGGTTTCACCATGTTGGCCAGGCTGGTCTCGAACTCCTGACCTCAGGTGATCCACCTGCCTCAGCCTCCCAAAGTGCTGGGATTACGGGTATGAGCCACTGCGCCTGGCCTAGAATGTGTTCTTAAAGGTTCTTGTTCTCATTATGTTTTTATGAGCAGGTATAATTGTCTTAGTGTTTCGGCTTAATAGAGGAATCCACTCCATTCAAATATTTTTTTTTTCTGAATCCCAACTCAGTCCTTGGCACTGGATGGGATGCTGTGAGGGTGCAGAGAGGAATAAGACGTGGGGCTTGCCCTTAAGGAGCTTTAACAGGAAGACCCAGAAATAGGAGCAACTATGTCTGCTATAAGGCAGAACAGGCCAGATGCTATCAGGGAGTTGCAAGTAACCATAAACATGTGCCAAACACAGTCTCTACAAAAAAAAAAAAAAAAAAAAAAAAAAAAGCAGGGTATGGTGGCTCAAGCCTGTAGTCCCAGCTACTTGGGAGGCTGAGGTGGGAGGTGGGAGGATCACTTGAGCCCGGGAGGTCGAGGCTGCAGTGAGCTGTGGTTGCGCCACTGCACTCCAGCCTGGGCAACAACCAGAGTGAGAACATATCTCAAAAAAAAGAAAAAGTTTTCGGCCGGGTGCAGTGGCTCACACCTATAATCCCAGCACTCTGGGAGGCTGAGGCAGGTGGATCACCTGAGGTCGGGAGTTCGGAACCAGCTTGACCAACATGGAGAAACCCCATCTCTACTAAAAATACAAAATTAGCCAGGTGTGGTGGCGCACGCCTGTAACCCCAGCTATTCAGGAGCCTGAGGCAGGAGAATCGCTTGAACCCGGGAGGTGGAGGTTGCGGTGAGCCGAGATCGTGCCATTGCACTCCAGCCTGGGTGACAGAGTGAGACTCTATCTCAAATAAATAAATAAAGTTTCCTCCCCTCTGCACATGCACTCCTTTCATTTACAGAAGCCCTTTTCTACACTCTCACAAGCTGTCCTGAGAGTTTCACCCACCCCCGCGGGGACAGCACAGTGTTAAGAGCACAAGCTCTGGAGCAAGGCAGCCTAGTGTTGAATCCCAGCTCTGCCGTGCAGACGATGCATAACTCTGGGCAAGTTACTTAACATCTCTGGGACAGTTTCCCCATTGGGAAAATGAAGATAATATTTCCTGTTGGCCCAGCACAAGTGGCTCATGCCTGTAATCCCAGCACTTTGGGAGGCCAAGTCGGGAGGATCACTTGAGCCCAGGAGTTCAAGACCAGCCTGGGCAACATGGCAAAACCTCATCTCTACAAAAAATACAAAAATTAGCTGGGTGTGGTGGCACACGTCTGTAGTCCCAGCTACTTGGAGGCTGAGGTGGGAGGATCACTTGAGCCCAGGAGGTCTAGGCTGCAGTGAGCAGTGATCGTGCCACTGTACTCCAGGCTGGGTGACAAAGCAAGACCCTGTCTCAAATAATAATAATAATAATAATAATAATAGTAATAATATTCCTTATCTTGTTGGGTGGTTATGCAGATTAAGTGAAGTGGTCAATTTAAAGGGTTTAGTGGTCAGTTCATACAGAGCATTCAATGAATTAGCAGTTGTGACATCTCCATTTCCTAAATGAGAAGGCTGAGGTGTAACTGGTCCAACTGATTTGCCCAGAATTATTCAGCTAGTAAGCAGTAAGGGCAGGGCTTGAGCCCAAGACTTCTGGCTCCAAGTCCAGTGCTCGTTCTGTTGTTTAGCAGCCTGAAAACTATGGGAGTCCAGGACCTGACCCAGGGGCTGGGGAGGAAGAGCAGGAAGTGGGAGGAGTGGAGCTCCAGAGAGGTTTCCTAAGATAACATGGAATGGAGACTTTCTTTGAGCTGCTATATGTGAAAGCCTTCGTCTAAGGATTATTTTCAACAGCAACTCAATTTATTGGGTATCCTACTCAATGTATTAGTGTAATTTCTTTCTTTACATTGAATGTTCAACACCTTTTTTTTTTTTTTTTTGAGATGGAGTCTCACTGTGTCACCTAGGTTGGTGTGCAGTGGCGTGATCTCGGCTCACTGCAACCTCTGTCTTTCGAGTTCAAGCGATTCTCCAGCCTCAGCTTCCTGAGTAGCTGGGATTACAGGTGCACGCCACCCCACGCCCAGCTAATTTTTGTATTTTTAGTAGAGACATGGTTTCGCCATGTTGGCCAGGCTGGTCTCAATCTCCTGACCTCACGTGATCCACCTGCCTGGCCTCCCTGTTGGGATTACAGGTGTGAGCCACTGTGCCCAGCTGAATGTTCAATTTCTTTTGATTGATCCCTCTTCTGTGTTCCCAAACACACTGTACAAATTCTGCTATTGAAGAGTAATTGCCCCAAAATTTAGTGGCTTAAAGCAACAAGAATCATTTCATCATCTTTCAAGGTTTCAGAGGGTCAGGAATTCAGAAAGGGATTGCCTGTGTGGTCTGACTTGGGGTCTCTCATGTGGTTGCTGGTGGTGAATGGTGAACGGAGCTGGATGGGCATAGCTCTGCCTTCATTTACTCTCAGAGCGGGCCAGGCGCAGTGGCTCACGCCTGTAATCCCAGCACTCTGGGAGGCCGAGGCGGGCAGATCACGAGGTCAGGAGATCAAGACCATCCTGGCTAACACGGTGAAACCCCGTCTCTACTGAAAATACAAAAAACTTAGCCGGGCGTGGGTGGCGCGCGTCTGTAGTCCCAGCTACTCGGGAGGCTGAGGCAGGAGAATGGCGTGAACCCGGGAGGCGGAGCTTGCAGTGAGCCCAGATCACGCCACTGCGCTCCAGCCTGGGCAACAGAGTGAGACTCCTTCTCAAAAAAAAAAAAAAAAAATTATCACTCTGACATACTCTACTGGTTGAAATGGTCTCAAACGTCTTCTCAGGTTATCTTTGGAAAATACAACCCACCAGGTATGCTTTTGTGTCTACCTTTCCTGCCAGAACACTCATTCATGCAGTCACTCAGGTACTCATTTGTTCCCTCATCCAACATTTGTTGAGTACCTGTTGCTCTCCAAACACTAAGGCAGGCCCCTTATATAGATTATTTCATCTAATATTCAGGTCAACCCTTTGAAGTAAATGCATAATCCCCGTATTTAACACATGAGGAAGCTAAGGTTCAGAATGGTGCAGTGACTTGCCCAAAGTCATGTGAATGAGTCGAGAACCCATGATTTGAACCCATAACTATCCATTCCAGAGCCTATGCCCGTTCCTTAACCAGCCTGCCCTCCCAGGATCAGCATAACCTGGCTGCCTTCAAGGCTTTTGAGTTTGTACCTTGGCTAAGCTCTGTGCTCTTCATGCCCCCAGGACTGGTCAGAGGGGCTGGGGAAAGGAACGAGGGAAACACTGTCTGGGGCCAGTGGGAAGGAACCCCAAGTCCTGTGCCAGCTATGGAACTTCCACTTGTGGTCCCAGGGGTTCTGGCCACACAGTGCAGGGTTGGGATTCATGCCCTTATTGAGGAGACAACACCTATTCACACATGACCAACAGGGGTTATTTTGGTGCCAACTCCAGTCAGCTGAGTGTCAGCATGGAGTGCTGAGTTGAGAAAGATCATGAGCAGAATCTGGGCTGGGCAGGATTAAGGGTCTTGATCCATTAGTTATGTCTGCCACTGATACATAACCAGGTATGTTGGCACATGGGCCTTGCATCCCAATCTTACAAAACTACATCTCTTTTCATATGGGACAATACTAAGAAGCAAGCACCACAAGGGCAAGGATTTTGTCTGTTTTCATCCCCGCTATATCCCCAGTGCCTAGAACAGTGTCCTTCAGGGATTAGGATCTCAGTGAATATTTGTTGCATGAATGAGACAATTATGGTTTAGTGGTTAAATGGATTGACTCCAAGCCTGTCCCAATTCTAGGTTTGAATTCCATCTGTGCCACTTGATGGCTGGATAATATTGGATAAGTTGCTTTGTTTAACTTTTCTGAGACTCACCTACTTCATTCGTCTATTCATTTATTCATTCAACAAATATTAGTTGAGCACCTAATGGATGTTGAACACCTAATTTTGGGGATGTACCAAACACTGTTCTAGACACAGGGGACGTAGAAGTGACCAAAATAGATATAGATCCCTGCTGTTATGAAGTTTATATTTTAGGAAGGAGGAACAGAAAAATGAACAAATGAAATATACAACAGGTGTTGGCTGGGCACGGTGACTCATGCCTATAATCCCAGCACTTTGGGAGGCCAAGGCCAGCGGATCACAAGGTCAGGAGATCGAGACCATCCTGGCTAACACTGTGAAACCCTGTCTCTATTAAAAATACAAAAAGTTAGCCGGGCGTGATGGCATGCACCTGTAGTCCCAGTTACTCCAGAGGCTGAGGCAGGAGAATAGTGTGAACCCGGGAGGCGGAGCTTGCAGTGAGCCGAGATTGCGCCACTGCACTCCAGCCTGGGGGACAGAGCGAGACTGTCTCAAAAAAAAAAAAAAAAGAAAAGAAAAGAAATATACAGTAGGTGTCATGTGATGATAAATGCTTTGGAGAAATACTAAATGAGTCAGGGGGCCAGGCGCGGTGGCTCACGCTGTAATCCCAGCACTGTAATCCCAGCACTTTGGGAGGCCAAGACCGGTGGATCACCTGAGGTCAGGAGTTCGAGACCAGCCTGGCCAACATGGCAAAACCCCATCTCTACTAAAAATACAAAAATTAGTTGGGTTTGGTGTAATCCCAGCCTATAATCCCAGCTACTCGGGAGGCTGAGGCAGGAAAATCGTTTGAACCCAGGAGACGGAGGCTGCAGTAAGCCAAGATAGTGCCACTGCACTCCAGCCCGGGTGACAGAGCGAGACTCCATCTCAAATAAATAAATAAATAAATAAATAAAATTTTTAAAAATAAAATGAGTCACAGAACAGGAATTCTGGAGTGAGGTGGGAGAAGATTTGCCTCCTGGCCTATAGGACCATGTGAAGATTACACTCCGGAGTACAAAAGATGGTGAACTTGGTCTTACCCAAAACACCTAGAGCTCCTCTTACCTACTTCCTGGGGAATATTATGTTATATTTGAATATGTAACACAATATAGATATATAATCCTTACTGGTAAGTGTTGTGAGGGTTAAATAAGAAAATATTTGTGAAAAGTTTAACTCTGTGTCTGGTATACAGTGAGGGTTCAGTGAGGAGGTTTATTAGTGTTTTCCTTTCATTTATTCAGTAGACATTTACTAACTATTGACTATACACCAGAACCAGCCACCTGGGGCTAAGTGTTATGACTCAGTTCAGCCAATGCTTCACCTTCCCAACTGGACTGTAAACACGTTGAGGGCAGGAGTTATGTCTAATTCAGTCCCACATGGAAAGTCAGAGCAGGATGGTCTCTCCCATCTTCTGCTTTTGTAGGAGAAGAATCTGAGGCTCACACTTGTTCAAGGCCACATGGCAGGATGAGGCAGTGCCAGAACTAGAACTTGGTCTCTGATCTGGTCTTTCCTCCCCTGTTGCTTCCTCATCCATCCAAGGATCTCCCGAATCCCCGGTTATTAACTCTTGGCTATACCCTTTTATGGGTCCTGCAAGCTGTTGTTAAAGACAAAATTATTAGTGACACTCATTCAAGATGGTAAGGAAGCGTTTATTCAAGGGGGGGGGGCGCATCATGACAGGTATAAAGACCACTTCAATGGGGTTTTGCAGTTGGGGGGACTCAAGTCCACATACAGAATCAGCAAGTGGAAATTTATAGCCAAGGAGCAGGGTGGGGATCACCGGATGAAAAATTACTAAGAGAATACATCAGAAGTAAGGGGAGGGGGGCTTCTGGCTAAGCCAACCTAACATCCTGGCTGAAGGCAAGCCAGGATCATCAGATGTCACCTGGGAGGTGGTGGAGGATGAAGGACCCTATCAGATATTGAGGGTGATCAGACATGGAGGACAGGAGATTCTAGCTAAATCAACTTCACAGGATTCTTGCTGACATTGACCAATGCAGAGATGAACACAGAAGTCAAGGTCTCGTTGAAAAGTTCAAGGCTAGGCCGGGCACGGCGGCTCTCGCCTGTGATCCCAGCACTTTGGGAGGCCGAAGCGGGAGGATCTTCCAAGGTCAGGAGTTCGAGACCAGCCTGAGCAACATGGAGAAACCCCCTCTCTATGAAAAATACAAAATTAGTCGGGTGTGGTGGCACATACCTGTAATCCCAGCTACTCAGGAGGCTGAGGCAGGGGAATCGCTTGAACCCGGGAGGTGGAGGTTGTGATGAGCTAAGATTGTGCGCCATTGCACTCCAGCCTGGGCAACAAGATCGAAACTCCACCAAAAAAAAAGAAAGAAAGAAGAAAGAAAAGAAAAAGAAAAAAGAAAAGTTCAAGGCCTGAGTAGAGTTTGGTCAAGGAATCTTTGTCACTATTCAGCCTGTGATATAAAACCATGAAGTCGTTCAGTCAACTTTTCCTGGAAGTTCAAACCTATCCACAGCTTCTCCAGCCAACTGGAGTCGGGAGTGCCCAGCCAGTTGGATGCTTTGGCATCTGCTCAGAGTGGAAACTGCAGCTGCAGACTTTGCTGCGGTTGTTCAGTCGCCAGTGACCCAGCCAGTCCAGCGGCATGAAACGCCTCCTTCTGACCCATTTGTTTTAACCCCTGTGTTGGGGCCCTGGACTCTAACTTCTCTTTGTACAGAAAACAGCTCTTCCTGCCACCCCTGGCCCCTTTGGGCTCTGTTTTGTCCTTAGCCCTAACTCTCTTTGCCCTCCCTCCACGTCTCTGAACCCTTGCAAGGATGGGAGTGGGAAGTGGAAGACAGGTTTTTCCCTGTCCCTCTTCCTCCAAGAGGTTGCACCCCCTAATGGGCTACCTTCTCATGTCCCCTGTCCTTTGTGTCCTGCTGATCACTCCAACTCAGCACCTGGGCCCCAGAATGCATCTTATGTCTTTTTGACTCATTCTCCAAGCACAGTTCTAGACACATAAACAGACAAATAAATACTTGCTGGCTAATTGACAGGTACAGCAATTTAAGGAAACAAAACAAAAACTGAACGAGAAATGGGACTTGTGACAAGCTGGGAAGACTTCCTGGAGGAAGAAGGACTTATGTTGGGCCTGGAAGAAGGAGTCAAGACCAAATTGATAAGCAAGAGTCAGAGGGCATTGCAGGCTAAGAGAATCAAAGGTGTAGAGGTGAAAATATGTGGGCAGATTAGAATTCCAGACCTAGAGAAGAGGCTCTCTAATAAGTATTTTCAGCTTGTGATCCATTGGTGAGTAATAAAAATTATTTCTTTGGCTACAAATGGCATAGTTAAATAAAATAAAATTAATTAGAACTGAATAAAATAAAAAGGAAAATATCAGAGTGTATCCCGTATAGTAAGAATTATTGGTTTCACGAAACTGAAGTTGCAATTTTACATATAGTATGTATTATATGTGTTTCTGTTTTTGTTTTTTGTTTTTATGTTGTTGTTTGTTTGTTTGTTTTTGAGATGGAGTCTTGCTCTGTCATCCAGGCTGGAGTGCAGTGGTGTGATCTCAGCTCATAGCAACCTCCACCTCCCAGTTTCAAGCAATTCTCCTGCCTCAGCCTTCCGAGTAGCTGGCACTACAGGCATGCACCACCACACCCGGCTAATTTTTGTATTTTTAGTAGAGACAGGGTTTCTCCATGTTGGCTAGGCTGGTCTTGAAATCCTGACTTCTGGTGATCCTCCCACCTCGGCCTCCCCAAGTGCTGGGATTACAGGTGTGAGCCACTGCTCCCGGCCTTATATGTGTATTGAGTCATGATATAAAATGAATCTTTCATGGATTGCAGTAAGAAAAAAAAAAGTTTTAACTTCTTACCAAACCCAGCCTGTTCATTTCACAGATGACGGGGCTGAGGCTTATAGAGAGTTAGAATGGGGCTGGGATTGGACACTGGGGTTTCTGACTCCCAGTGTCCTGTCTCCCCACACCATCCCACCTTCCAGAGGTAAAGGAACAGATCAGACCCACCTCCCAGACTCTATGGCTTCCATTATTTTTGCCATGCCAGGGACACTCAGCAATTATTCATTCAACAAATACTCTCTGAGTATTTGTCCAATCATGGGTTGGACACTTGTGCCAGGTACCGGGATAGTATGGAATTTATGATGGGTGTGTGGGATTTTACTGCCTGACATGGGTTTTCTCCTGGGTTAACTTTTATATTTTTTGTTCAGATTGGAGATGTGAAAGGAAAATTATCCCGACACTTGTTAAAATGGTGAAGATAACTTTAAGACTATTGCAGTAGGGGTGTTGCAACGGATTGCGGGGAATCAGACGCAACTCCAAATACAACACAGATAAGTGGGAATTTATAGCCAAGGAGCTCAGTGACTGGGGGGGTCTGTGGGTGGAAATTTACTATCAAAAGACTAAATTACAACAAATTGGCCAAGTGTGGTGGCTCACGCCTGGTGTGTAATCCCAGCATTTTGGGAGGCCGAGGCGAGCAGATCACCTGAGGTCAGGAGTTTGAGACCAGGCTGGCCAACACGGTAAAACCCGTCTCTACTAAAAATACAAAATTAGCTGGGAGTGGTGGCGCATGCCTGTAATCCCAGCTACTTGTGGGGCTGAAGCAGGAGAATCGCCTGAGTCCAGGAGGCGGAGGTTGCAGTGAGCCGAGATTGTGCCACTGCACTCCAGCCTGGGCAACTGAAACACTCCATCTCAAAATAAATAAATAAATAAAATTACAACAAATTTAGTTTAAAGATCTTAATTGGCATTTATTTGTGATTCTAGAATAGAGCAACACCTCATTCTGTAAAATGTAATAAGTGTTCCCATGAGCCAAGCAGAAGGTTTTAGTTTTATAGACAGAAAAGGGGTGGGGAAAGCAGAAACAGAGAACAAAAGGGGGATTCATTTCCTAGTAAAGGTTAAAGCAGAGGGAACATGGGCCAGGTGTGGTGGCTCATATCTGTCATCCTAGTGCATTGGGAGACTGGGATGGGAGGATCGCTTGAGGCCAGGAGTTCGAGACCAGCCTGGCCAACATGGTAAGACCTCATCTCTATAAAAAATAAAAAATAAAAATTTAAAGGTTTTTTTTTTTTTTTTTTTTTTTTGACAGAGTCTTGCTCTACCACCAGGCTAGAGTGCAGTGGCGCGATCTCAGCTCACTACAACCTCTGCCTCCCAGGTTCAAGCGATTCTCCTGCCTCAGCCTCCCGAGTAGCTGGGATTACAGGCACACGCCAACACACCCAGCTAATTTTTGTACTTTTAGTAGAGACGGGGTTTCACCATGTTGCCAGGCTGGTCTCAATCTCCTGACCCGTGATCTGCCCTCCTCGGCCTCCCAAAGTGCTGGGATTATAAGCGTGAGCCACCACACCCGGCCTTAAAGTTTCTAAAAAGCAGGCCAGGCGCAGTGACTCATGCCTGTTATCCCAGCACTTTGGGAGGCTGAGGCAGGCCTATTGCTTGAGGTCAGGAGTTCGAGACCAGCCTGGCCAACATGGTGAAACGCTGTCTCTACTAAAAATACAAAAAAAAAAAAAAAAAATTAGCCAGACACGGTGGTGCATGCCTACAGTCCCAGCTACTCAAGAGGCTGAGGCAGGAGAATCGCTTGCAAAAGGTGGAGGTTGCAGTGAACTGAGATCATGCCACTGCACTCCAGCTGAGTAACAGAGCAAGGCTTCGTTTCAAAAAAAAGTTTTTAAAAAGCAGAGAGCACTTTGTTATCATGCCTGCCAAAATTGGCTTGTTTGGAGGTTTGGTGTTTATCTGGCTCTCTCCTGGTTTCTCAGAAGGTCAGATAAACAACTTAGTTTTGGCTTGGTAGCATGGGCTTCGGCACGAGGAACTCCATTTCGGTCTGCTCTATTGGGCCTCGTGCAGGAAGTTCAGTTCAAATCAATGTCCTCCTATAAATTTTAACATTACTAAGAGGAGACGTCAAGAATATGGAGATTCTTGTTAAACAGACCTAACAAGATTCTTGCTAAAGGCAGGCCCAGGACATACACATCAAAGGTGGGCGATGAAGAACTTTATCAGATATCCAGGGTAGGGGGATGACTTAGCAGGATTTTTTGCTAGGACTGGGCTGGGCCAACCAAAGACAGGACAGAGCCAAGTTCAAGTTCTAATTGAAAAGACAGAGGAACCTAACTAAAGTTTGCTCAAAAAGAGTGTTTGTCAGTGACAGCATCTATATTTATCTTATTACCTTGTTTATACCAACCCCTGATATTTATATGGTGTTTTCCATTTTTTCTTTTTCTTTTCTTTTTTTTTTTTTTTTGCATGTAATTGCTAGGTGGTATTACTAGATGGAAAAACTGAAATTCAAGAAAATTAAGTCACACAGCTATTCAGTGGCAAACTGGGAACAGAGGCCCAGGTCCCTCTGGTTCAGAGCCCAGACTCTCAATCCTTGTGCTATGTTGCTTCTCATGGAAGCTGGAAAATCCAAATATAATCTTCTGCTACCAAAGCTGCCTGCCACAGTCCTCTTTTGGAGAGGGGAACGTTATCAGCCTGTGCTTGTACTGCTGGCTGAGCCCTATGGTGAGAGTCGAGACAATCACTAAATGCTCTCAGGTCCCGCAGCCTGGTAGGCTCAGATCTGCCTTGGCATCTGCCCACATGGCTATTTATAGAATTGACTGTTTACTGCTGGGGCTGGGCAGGGGCTGGGCTGGGGCTGCGCAGGAAGGCAAAGGGCAGCTCTAAAGAAATAGTCACGTGCTGGGCGCTGGCATTTTTTCAGACACTGGAAGCCCCAAGTTTGGCTCCAAACTCTGGTTCTATTAATCAACCCTCTAATTCATCTCTTCCACTGTGTTCTCTCCTCTGCCCCCATGGCCCAGCCTGGGTTCCTCAATACCTCTGGCCTGGAATTGTGGCAGCCCAGAAAGAAACACATCTAAACGTTAACAGCATCTACCTCCCTGTGGTGAGATCAAGAAGCATTTTTGTTTTCTTCCTTCTATTTTTAAAAAGTTTTCCAGCCGGGCGCGGTGGCTCACGCCTGTAATCCCAGCACTTTGGGAGGCCGAGGTGGGCGGATCACGAGGCCAGGAGATCGAGACCATCCTGGCTAACACGGTGAAACCTCGTCTCTACTAAAAATACAAAAAATTAGCCGGGTGTGGTGGCGGGCGCCTGTAGTCCCAGCTACTCGGGAGACTGAGGCAGGAGAATGGCGTGAACCCGGGAGGTGGAGCTTGCAGTGAGAGATCGCGCCACTGCACTCCAGCCTGGGCGACAGAGCGAGACTCCGTCTTAAAAAATAAATAAATAAATAAATAAATAAATAAGTTTTCCATACCATTGATGGGCATTTAGGTTAGGGGGAGAAAAAAAAAATAGAAAGAAGTTTTCCAAAATGTCCAAAATAAGAATGTTGGGTTTTTCAGGGAGACCTTTGGTGGGTTTATTGCCTTAAGCAGCCCCCTGCCGTCTATGACGCACTGTCATGGATTCTGTCCAAGGTCTCTCTTGTGGAATTGGTTCATCAAGGGATTGAATTTTTATTTACTTATTTATTTATTTTGACGGAGTCTTGCTCTGTCGCCAGGCTGGAGTGCAGTGACGCGATCTCAGTTCACTGCAGCCTCTGCCTCCTGGGTTCAAGCAATTCTCCTGCCTCAACCTCCTAAGTAGCTGAGACTACAGGTGCGTGCCACCACGCCTGGCTAATTTTTGTATTTTTAGTAGAGACAAGGTTTCACCATGTTGACCAGGATGGTCTCAATTTCTTGGCCTTGTGAACTGCCCGCCTCAGCCTCCCAAAGTCTGGGATTACAGGCGTGAGCCACGGCACCTGGCTGGACTGAATTTCTTTTATCCCGTTTCCTCCCATTTCCCGCAGCACCAAAAGTAACTCTCCTCTGGGGTACCTCTGGGTGGATAAGTATCCTTAACTTTAAATGTGTCCTTGTGAAATATGTTATACTCTTGTATATATAGACGTTTTCTAATTTACAAAATGGTCACATGTTAGAAGGCTTACTTTGCTTCCTTTTTGACGTGGCACATTGTTGGTTGCTTCTGTTTACTTTCTTTCTTTTCTTTTCTTTCTTTTTTTCTTTTTTTCCAAGACGGAGTTTCGCTCTATTGCCCAGGCTGGAGCGAAGTGGCACGATCTCGGCTCACCGCAACCTCTGCCCCACGGGTTCAAGCAATTCTCCTGCCTCAGCCTCTTGAGTACCTGGGATTATAGGTGCCCGCCACCATGCCTGGCTAATTTTTGTACTTTTATTAGAGACAGGGTTTCACCATGTTGGCCAGGCTGGTCTTGAACTCCTGGCCTCAACTGATCTGCCTGCCTCGGCCTCCCAAAGTGCTGGGATTACAGGTGTGAGCCACCGCACCCGGCCTGCTTCTGTTTACTTTCATAATTGGGGGAAAAAAGGCCTGACAAATGGGCAAAATTTGGGTCTGATGGATTTCCTTTTTTTTTTTTTTGAGACAGAGTCTTGCTCTGTCACCAAGGCTGGAGTGCAGTGGCACAATCTCGGCTCACTGCAACCTCTGCTTCCCAGGTTCAAGAGATTCTCCTGCCTCAGCCTCCTGAGTAGCTGGGATTACAGGCGCCCACCACCACACCTGACTAATTTTTCTATCTTTTAGTAGAGACAGGTTTCATTATGTTGGCCGGGCTGGTCTTGAACTCCTGACCTCAAGTGATCTGCCAGCCTTGGCCTCCCAAAGTGTTGGGATTACAGGCATGAGCCACCCCACCTCACTTGGCCCGGTGGATTATATTCTTGAAAATGATGGAAAGTAGATTTTATTTTATTTATTTATTTATTTTTGAGACAGAGTCTCGCTCTGTCGCCCAGGCTGGAGTGCAGTGGCACAATCTTGGCTCACCGCAAGCTCCGCCTCCCAGGTTCCTGCCATTCTCCTGCCACAGCCTCCCGAGTAGCTGGGACTACAGGCGCCCACCACCAAGCCCGGCTAATTTTTGTATTTTTTAGTAGAGACAGGGTTTCACCATGTTAGCCAGGATGGTCTCGATCTCCTGACCTCGTGATCCGCCCGCCTCGGCCTCCCAGAGTGCTGGGATTACAGGCATAAACCACCGTGCCCGGCGGATGGAGAGTAGATTTTAAGTGTTCTCACCACAAAAATAAGTATATGAGGTAATGCATATGCTAATTGGTTCAATTTAGCCATTCTACAATGTATATGTATATTACAAAACATCACATTGTACATGTTAAATGTATACAATTTTTGACAATTCTAAAAAATTAATTAATTTTAAAAGGAATACTGTATAGCAGGGTTTAAAAGGCAAAACATAACAACAGTTTTGGTGAAAATATGTTATCCCATATGATTGCAGACACATTTTGTTTTATTTTCCCAAGTTAATTCAGGGACCAACATTTACACTGAAAACTGAATAATCTTTTTTTTTTTTCTTTTCCTCCATCGCCCAAGCTGGAGTGCAGTGGTGCAGATCATGGCTCATTGCAGCCTTGACCTCCTGGGCTCACATGACCCTCCTGCCTCAGCCTCCTGAGTAGCTGTGAGTACAGGCATACATCACCATGCCCAGCTAATTTTTTATTTTTTGTAGAGACAGGGTCTCGCTATGTTGCCTGGGCTGGTCTCGAACTCCTGGGCTCAAGCAATCCTTCCTTCCTCCTCGGTCTCCCACAGGCCTGGGATTACGGACATGAGCCACCATGCCTGGCTTTGAACCATCTTAGGGTCAGTTGGTTCAGACAGTGCAAAGACTGCTTCCCTGTGGCCTGACAGGAAAAGTATACCTCTCGGGAATGTTCCTCCTCAGATCAGACCCTCAATATGACAGCACTCGGCCCCAGCATGGGGTAGATCCATCCTGTAGATGGCGGCATCTCACAGTACAAGGGCTGCTGAGGCCAGCTCTACCCAAGGAGCTGAGAAAACCGCCTCCTAAACCCTCACCTACAATTGCTCCTGGCCCTCCCAGGGCAAAAAGAGAACAGACTTCCCCTGTGGGCCCCATCAGCCCTGCCCAGGGGACTGAGAGATCATGGAGCTTCCTTATTGATTCTCTTGTCCAGTGCTGCCCATAGGGAGTCCAAGGACCGACAGCATCTGCTTCCCCTGGGAATTAGTTAGAAATGCAGATTCTTGGGCCCCATCCCAGAATACTGAATCAGAATCTCTGGGAGTGGGGCCCAGCAATCTGTGTTTTGGGGTTTTGTTTTTCAAGTCAAGGTTCTCTCTCTGTCACCCAGCCTGGAGTGCAGTAGCATAATCAGAGCTCACTATAACCTCAAACTCCTGAGTTCAGGCAAGACCTCCTCCCGCCTCAGCCTCCCAGAATGCTGGGATTACGGGCATGAGCCTCCTCACCCGGCCCCAATCTGTGTTTTAACAGGCCCTGTGGGTGACTTCCATGCACTCAGGCGTTTCAGGGGCACCTGTTATCTCCAACTTCCTCATTTTAGGAATGGAGAAATTGAGAACAGATACAGGAAGCAACTTGTTGGTCAGCCAGGCAATGGCAGAGACCACACAAAAACTCCGCTTCCCAGCGTTCCTTCCACTTGAACTTTCAGTAACTTCCTTTCTTTCTTCCTTCGTTCATTCATTCCTTCACTCATTCATGCCTTCCACCTCCAATTACATGCTTTGGGCTGCAATGGAGGACCAGGCGTTTGGGGACAGCCTCACCCTTCTTCCCCATGTGGGGCTTTCTCAAGGCCAGAGGTCTAGGATTCAGGATTGTGGAAGCATCTGCTAGATCTCTTCCAGCTCACCCCTGGGTCTCCAATTCCAGCCCAGATAGGAGTCTGATGTAGGCTGCAGGCGGGCCCCACTCCCCAGCTCCTTCTGGTCTTCTTTTCCTCTTTCTTGGCACCTGGGGCTCTCTGTCCCATTCCTCACTGCCAATGTCTTGCTCTTGGGAGAGATGCAAGGGCTGGAGGCTGTTACTGTTCCATTTCCCAAAGGGATGAATGATCAAATTAAAGGCCCTTCCCAGCAATGGCTTTGCGCTGAAGGAGCCAGGACTAGGTCCAGACCAGGGTTCGCAAGTTAGCATCTTGAGCTGGATAATTCCTTGCTGTAGGGCTGTCCTGTGCATTGCAGAATGGTTAGCAGCATTCCTGGCCTCTCCCTAGCAGATGTCAGTAGAATTCCTCCACCAGGTTGTGACAACCAAAAATGTCTCCAGATATTGCCAAGTGTCCCCTCTGGGTGGTGTTGCCAGATAAGACAGAGAATGCCTGGTTACATTCTTTTTTTTCTTTTTCTTTTTTCTTTTTTTTTTTTTTTTGAGACAGAGTCTCACTCTGGAGCCCAAGCTGGAGTGCAGTAAGGCGATCTCGGCTCCCTGCAACCTCCGCCTCTGTGGCTCAAGCATTTCTCATGCCTCAGCCTCCTGAGTAGCTGGGACTACAACTACGCACCACCACACCCAGCTAATTTTTTGTATTTTAGTAGAGATGAGGTTTCACCATGTTGCCCAGGGTGGTCTTGAACTCTTGATCTCAGGCAGTCCATCTGCCTCTGCCTCCCAAAGTGCTGGGATAACAGGCGTGAGCCACCACGCTAGGCTGAGCATTCTAATCGCACATAAGCAACAAGTAATTTTTAGTGCCTGAATGTCTCAACTATTGTTGCATTACCTCACATACTTATTTTTGTGGTGAGAACACTTAAAATCTACTCTCCATCATCTTCAAGAATATAATTCATTGGGCCAGGTGGGGTGGCTCATGCCTGTAACATTTTTTACTTGAAGAATCTTGCAACTCTACCTCAGGGGCAAAATCTTTCTTCATTGGCCCAGATCAGGGTCTGGGGTGTGGGGAGCAGTTAGTGAGAGGATCTGATGAGATAATCATAGGCCATGAGTTTACAAGGGCAAAAACTTTGCCATAATCATCTCTGTATCCTTAGAATATAATGGCGTCTCATTAAATATTTTATCTGAGAGTGGGTGTGAGGACACTTGGAACTATATCAGATACCATACCTGAGTACATCCAGCCCAGGACTGGACATTAGGGACATACTCCCTAATAAATATAAACTGAAGATAATGTTTAGTTTGACTCACATAGCATTTTTTAAAGGTGTGACTTTGGGCTTTACATTCTAAAATTGGCAACTGGCTGAGCATGGTGGCTCATGCCTGTAATCCCAACACTTTTGGAGACTGAGGCGGGAGGATTTGCTTGAGCCCAGGAGTTCAAAACCAAGCTAGGCAACATAGTGAGACCCCCATCTATACAAAAAAATTAAAAAAAAAAAATAGCCAGGTGTGGTGGCACATGCCTGTTCTGCCGGCTACCTGGAAGGCTGAGATGGGAGGATCACTGGAACCCAGGAATTTGAGGCTGCAGTGAACTATGATCGTGCCGCTGTACTCCAGCCTGGGCAACAGAGCGAGACCCTGCCTCAAAAAATTAAAATAAAATAAAATAAAGTAAAATAAAATAAACAGGAAGTGGCTGGGCGTGGTGACTCACCCTGTAATCCTAGCACTTTAGGAGGCCAAGGTGGGTGGATCACTTGAGGTCAGGAGTTCAAGACCAGCATGGTCAACATGGCAAAACCCTGTCTCTACTAAAACTACAAATTAGCTGGAGGTGGTTGTGTGCACCTGTAGTCCCAGCTACTCAGGAGGCTGAGGCAGGAGAGTTGCTTGAACCCAGGAGGCAGAGGTTGCAGTGAACCGAGATTGCGCCATTGCACTCCAGCCTGGGCAATAGAGCGAGACTTGGTCTCAAAACAAAAACAAACAAACAAAAAACAAAACACACACACACACACACACACAGGAAGCTATCACATAAGTCAAGATTTCTGGTATCTCTTGAAAAATACAGCACAACTTCCAAATGCTTGGAATATCTGACAATTTGCCTATACTCCCAAGCAGAAAAGCTTGGCTGGAACTAAGAGGTACCTGCCCCTCTCTACTGGCCCAGATCAGGGTCTGGGGTGTGGGGCAGATACCTCTCAGCTGGGCCAGTAGAGAGGGTCAGGTACCTCTCAGCTCCAGCCAAGCTTTTCCACTTGGGTCCTGTGTTCCCCCTATTACCCACAGTCCCTACCACTCCCTATTGCCCCACACCAGGATCCATCACCCATTATGTTAATCTGCCTGTAGGCATTTGCATTTCAAAGCTCTGGCCTAGTGGTGAAGAGGCATTGGAATGGCATGTCCTTTTAGGTGATCTACTGTAATGTTGGTGCATTATCCCCATTTTACAGATAAAGAAACTTGCCTTTGGGGAAGTTAAGTGAATCAACATTTTAACGAGGCTGTATTAGAACCCAAGTCCCTTGACTCCAGGGTCTAGGCCCATGCCCCACCCTGGCCAGAGTTCGTTGTAAGAGATAACTCAACCGCAGGGGCAAGAGCATTGTGGCACCAGGGACCTGGAGGGGAAGTGGTAACAGGCACGGAAGGCCAGACCTCCTCACACTCACTCATCTGTGAGAAAGTACAAAAGCAAGAGAAAGCTGGCTTGGGGTGGCACTCAACAGGTGCTCTGAGTGGCACCCACGGCCAGGTCCTGGGAGAGGACAGAAAACAACTGGGACTCCTCAGCCCCCGGCAGCTCCCAGTGCCCAGCCACCCACAACACAACCGTGAGTAGCTTTTTTTGTTGTTTATTTTAGGCTTCTTCCTCATTCCCCAACACCTGTATTCTTTTTTGTTTGTTTGTTTGTTTTTGAGACGGAGTTTTGCTCTGTTGACCAGGCTAAAGTACAGTGGCACAATCTCGGCTCAGTGCAGCCTCACAGGTTCAAGCGATTCTCCTGCCTCAGCCTCCCGTGTAGTTGGGATTACAGGTGTGCACTACTGCGTCTGGCTAATTTTTGTATTTTTAGTAGAGACAGGGTTTCACCATGTTGGCCAGGCTGGTCTCGAACTCCCGACTTCAGGTGATCTGCCCACCTTGGCCTCCCAAAGTGCTGGGATTACAGGCATGAGCCACTGCACCTGGCCAAAACCTGTATTCTTACCTTATCCCTTCCCTCCAGGGACACAAGAAGCCAGGTGGGCCTGTCTGGGGCAGGGGATAGATGTCATTTCAGGACACCTGGGGTTGTGGAGGACCAGTCGCAGGAAAGTTCAGGGCTGGCATCCCCCTCCTAGGACCAAGAATCAGGACTTTGGCTTTCATTTCATTACAGAGACAAGAATCACACACACAGAGATGGCCTTACTGTGTGCCAGGCGCTGCCCTAAGAGCCTTTAGTGGTTGGATTTATTTAATCCTCACAACAGCCGTATGCAGTAGGAGCTATCACTGTTGTCCACTTGATAGGTGGGGGCTAGGTGACCCACCTGAAATCATGCGGGCATTGAATGAGAGCATTGGCTTGAGCCTAGGCACTCCGGCTTCGCGGCCCACCCTTCAGCCACCAGGCTATCCTGCCTTACGAGGTGTGGACTGCAACAGTAGATGGGGGCCAGGAAATGACAGGGGCTGGCAGAGGCCTTTGAGATGACCAGGTGAGTCCTGCGCTCTCATTTTATAGATGGGGAGACCACAAGGTAGTGTTAGGGGCACACTGGACTCAGGAGGCCAGGGGTCTGCTTTGGTGTAAGTTCCACTCAGCGGAGGGAAGAGCAGTATTTTCCAGTGTGCCCTGGGGTCAGCGTCCAGGTCTGAATCCCAGCTCTGCCACTGGTAGCTCGATGGCCTAATGCAAATCACTCCATTTCTTTCCTGCTCAGCTTCCTCTTCTGAGAAACATGGGCCTGAGAAGGTCACTCACAGGCTTGTTGCGAGTCAACTGTCTGATGCGGGCACAGGGCGGGCAGCAGCACAGGGCTCGGGAATGGCTGTGGTGGAGAGTTTGATCTTCACCCCATCTGCTCTTGCTGTGGATCTGAGATGAGGATAAAATGAGGCCTGGCTGCTTTTCCCTGGAATGAGTGGCAAGTAGACACGTTGGCAGCATGAAAACCAGGATGGAGGCTGGGGAGAAGTTCAGGGAGAGCTCAGGAGGTGGAGTCCCAATAATCCTGGCCCCAGCTCTGTAACCACCTTGTGGCTTACCAGAGTGACCCCCTAACCTGCGCTGGGCAGGTGAAGCATATCCTTTACCCTTTGGCCGGCTAAGGCCAGGATAAGGCAGTGAAGACGGGAAAATGGCAGCCTGGCTCAGCCAAGCAGAGCCCTCCAGCGCCAGCCCCCTCTCTTCCCACCTCATTTTACAGTACCAGTCACTCTTACTGCACACCCTCGGGTGTGCATAAATTGATCTTTTCTTTATTCAGTTGAAGTCACATTCAATAGGACCCTGAGCCTCATCCTACTGGGCTAGGAGGAAATTTAATCTCCAAGTGCACTGAGCTTCCCTCACTCCCATCCCCACCCATGCACATTGACCCAGAGGACACACAGAACATAAGCGTGAGGGAGGCTCCTGGGTCCTCCTACGATGGATGCCCATTGCCCAAATGGACTTGATTGTCTGAAGTCCAGCCTTGCCCACTTCCCTGGCATGCCTGGAGTCCAGATTCTTTGTAAGACCTGAAACCACTGTGTCTCATTTTGACATCCAGGATATATCACCCAGTGACTTCCCCCAGAGGTCCTGCCATCTTCCCAGAAAGCAAATTCTAGGTGCCCAAGACCTCGGTCCCCTCCCAGCCAAGGACAATCTCTCCTCTCCCCTTGGCTGTGGATGGCAGATGGACACTCTTCTCTCCCCACCCCCCACCCACGTGACCTAACCTTCTCACTGCGCTCAGGTTCTCAGGAAAGGACAGGAAGAAGGGTTGTCTTCAAATAGCTTCTGCTTCCTACTCTCACCCCTGAAAAAAGTCCCCGAGCCACGAGACACAAAGGGCACTCTGAAAAGAGACAGGCAGCCCTATCTTACAGATGAGAAAAACCAAGACTCAGCAGCAGTGTTGACTTGCTCAGTGTCACACAGCCAAGGAATAGCGGAGCCAGTGTGAGCAGAGAGTCCTGCGCTGTGGGTTCAGAGCTTGTGCTATCAATCACATGGAATCACATGGAAACCCAAGTCTCCCTCATCAATTACTCAGGCAACCTGGGGCAAGTTACATCACCTTTCTGAACCTCAGTTTCTTCAACTCTAAAAATGACGCTATCATAGCATTCCCAACCTGCCTCAAAGGGGCTCTTGTTTTTTGTTTTTTGTTTTTTTGTTTTGTTTTCTTTTCTTTTCTTTCTTTTTTTTTTTTTTTTTTTTTTTTTGAGACAGCGTTTTGCTCTTGTTGCCCAGGCTGGAGTATAATGGCGTAATCTCAGCTCATTGCAACCTCTGCCTCCTGGGTTCAAGCGATTCTCCTGCCTCAGCCTCCCAAGTAGCTGGGATGACAGGCATGCACCACCACGCCCGGCTAATTTTGTATTTTTAGTAGGGATGGGGTTTCTGCATGTTGGCCAGGCTGGTCTCGAGCTCCCGATCTCAGGTGATCCGCTCTTGTTTTTTTCTTAAGCGAAGATTGATGAAGCATTTACTACACATTTGAGCTCTGTGACCGTTCCTCATTAAGTCCTCACCACAGCCTAGGAGGGGGCTGCTATCACTAACCACATTTGCAAGGTGAGAAACTGAAGCTCACACAAGCTTAAGACTTATCCAAGGGGCCGGGCATGGTGGCTCATACCTGTAAGCTTGGCACTTTGGGAGGCCCAGGCAGGAGGATAGCTTGAGCTCAGCACTTCAAGACCAGTCTAGGAAACATAGTGAGACCCTATCTCTACAAAAAAAAAAAAAAAAAAATTAAAAATTAGCCAGGCATGGTGGCACATGCCTGTGGTCCCAGCTACTCAGGGGGCTGAGGTGGAAGGATTGTTTAAGCCTGGGAGATTGAGGCTGCAGTGAGCTATTATTGCCTGGGTAACTGAGCAAGATACTGTTTCAAAAAAAAAAAAAAGAAGGAGAGAGACTTGTCCACAGTCCCATAACTGGTGGTAATGGCAAAGCTGAGACTCAAGTCCAGGTCAATCTGGATCCAGAACCAAGCCATATTGTGGTGGGAATCAAAATAGGAGAACGGGAGTGGAAATGCCTCTAGGTATGGAGATGCAGGGCAGGCTCGGGGACTCATGATCAGGGTTGTCTTTACTGTGTCGCTCGCCAGGCTGCGTTTCAGATGCCATCACATGGACAACCCGAGAACCTGCGCTGGGGAGGAAATTGGAGGGATATCATATGAATATGGCCGGCTTCTCTCCTCCCACCCCAAACTGAGCAGTCCAATCCAGTCTTGTGAGGTGTCTACTCTGTGCCAAGACCCTGAGGCTCTAGCCCTTGGCCCAGGTGACTTCCTGTTTCCATGATGATCTCTGACAGACCTTCCCTGACTGTGCTTAGGCATTATCTTATGTAATCCTCACCTCGGTCCTGTAAAGGCAATTCTCTTTCTCTCCCCAAGCTATAAATGAGGACACTGAAGTCTCGGGAGAGGGCAGAGTGGGAACCCACGCACAGCCAAGGCTCTCGGTCCCCAGCTATGCTGCAGGGACCACCAGAAGAGTAAGATCAGGTCTCAGCCTTCTTCCAGCAGAACCCAGAACAGTGTAAAACTGTTCTCTTTTCCCTCCATCTCCTGGGGAGAGAAAGGATGTACTCAGTCCTCACGCCATGCAGCAAAGACCTCAAATGCCAAGGAGAGAAAATGACAGACAAGGCCAGATTAATGGGGGAGGAACTGCATAGTGGAGTTAGGGCCAAGCAGGGAGGGAAGGATTCCCCAGCAGGCGAGGGAGTGAAGGCTGCTGGGGCCCCATCCAGTCGGGGAGGATGTGGGTGAGCCCATGAGCAGAGGGGACTTCGTGGTTCGGTGTCCGGTGAGCTTCACGGCTTCTCCTCCCCTCCCCCACCTGCTTCCACTGCCCAGAGAGGAGGTCTCTGATCTCCTGCTCATACAGTGAGTCAAAGGCAGCTTTTCCCACTCCCTCACCCCCACCACCCCACCTGTCTCTCAGAGGCTCCCTTGCCTCCCTAGAGGTTGAGGCAACCCCTAAGTTCCTCTTTGAGAGCCACAGCTGCGTTCACAGTGTTGCCTCAGCCCAAATTCATTGAGTTCGTCCTCTGTGTCTCTCCCTGGGTCTGTTTGGGTCCTGGAAAATCTGATGGAGCTGGAAGCTGGGGAATAGAGCCCACTGAGAGCAAGGAAGGAGCCAGAGGGTGCTTCACTGACCTTCTGTAGCCCTCCCTCCCTTCCAATGGGCCCATTTGACAGATGAAGCCACTAAGGCTGAGACACAACAGGCAGAGACAGGAGTCAAACCCAAGTCTGTCTTCCCACTACTTTCTACCAGCTTTTCCCACTAGGGAGGGAGATGTTCCAGAAGGTTCACATCATTAGAAGGTCTTGATGCCTGTTTCCATTTTTTTAAAAATTAGTGAATAATTATTGTAATAGTTAAAAGATTTTTTCTCAATGTGAGATCTTCCTAGGATAAGTGGAAGAATCAAATCTGGCAGGTATAGCCAGGCATCGCTTGAGCCCAGGAATTCAAGGCTGCAGTGAGCCGAGATTGTGCTACTGCACTCTAGCCTGGGTGACAGAGCAAGATCCCTATCTCAAAAATAAAATAAATATTTAAAAAGCGATAGTTGGCCAGGCACGGTGGCTCATGCCTGTAATCCCAGCACTTTGGGAGGCCCAGGTGGGCAGATCATGAGGTCAGGATATCGAGACCATGCTGGCCAACATGGTGAAACCCCGTCTCTACTAAAAATACAAAAATTAGCCGGGCATAGTGGCATGTGCCTGTAATCCCAGCTACTCAGGAGGCTGAGGCAGGAGAATTGCTTGAACCAGAGAGCCGGAGGTTGCAGTGAGCCAAGATCACGCCACTGCAGCCTGGTAACAGAGGGAGACTCCATCTCAAAAAAAAAAAAAAAAAAAAAAAGCAGTAGTTAGTGGTGATAGAACAAACTAGCTCATGACTCACAACCAGGCAATTAATCATTCAGCTACAGCTTTGGCTGATATATGGCTTTACATCGTTTTTGCTCTTAATCTGATATCATTTAATTTATACCCTTACTGAGCCAATGATTAAAGACAGCATAAGAAACTGATATCAAAAATACAAGGAAGCTGGGTACGGTAGCTCACGCCTGTAATCTCAGAACTTTGGGAGGCTGAGGTGGGTGGATCACTTGAGGCCAGGAGTTTGAGACCAGCCTGGCCAACATGGTGAAACCTCATCTCTACTTAAAAAATACAAAAATTAGCCAGGTGTGGTGGCACACGCCTGTAATCCCAGCTACTTGGGAGTCTGAGGCTGGAGAACTGCTTGAACCCGGGCGGCAGAGGTTGCAGTGAGCCGAGATCACGCCACTGCACTTCAGCCCGGGCAACAAAGCAAGACTCCACCTCAAAAAAAAGAAAAGAAAATACAAGGAAATGATGGTGTTAACTCCTCTGCAGATTTGCTTCAAGATTCTTCTTTTTTCTCTTGTTTTTTTTTTTTTTTTTTGAGACAAGGTCTCCCTCTGTCACCAGGCTGGAGCATAGTGGCGCGATCTCGGCTCACTGCAACCTCCACGTCCCAACCTCCACCTCCCAGGTTCAAGCGATTATCCTGCCTCAGCCTCCCATGTAGCTGGGATTACAGGTGCATGCCACACGCCCGGCTAATTTTTTTGTATTTTTAGTAGAGATAGGGTTTCACCATGTTGGCCAGGCTGGTCCCGAATTCCTGACCTCAGGTGATCCGCCCACCTTGCTCTCCTAAAGTGCTGGGATTACAGGAGTGTGCCACCATGCCCGGCCTGCTTCAAGATTCATAAATTACATTTATCTGATCAACTTTCTTATATGGCATATTAGAGAAATCCTACTACTTCACAACATTTCAAAGGTTGGTAAGAAGAGAGAAAGATGTATTCTGTCTTTTCCTGTACTGGGTATAAAAGAGATCTACACCTGCAAGGCATATACAGAGAGGCATGCAAATAGGGGCCTGAGACATATTTTTTCTTTTTTTTTTTTTTGACACAGAGTCTCACTTTGTCACCCAGGCTGGAGTGCAGTGGTGCAATCATGGCTCACTGCAGCCTTGACCTCCTAGATTCAAGTCATCCTCTCATCTGAGTCTGTCAAGTAGCTGAGACTACAGGCACATGCCACCACTCCCAGCTAAATGAAACCTATTTTATCTTATCATATAGCAAACATAAAATTACTTTTAAGAAGTATGAATTGGCCGGGTGCGGTGGCTCACGCCTGTAATCCCAGCACTTTGGGAAGTGCTGAAGCTCAAGGTGGATCACTTGAGCTCAGGAGTTCAAGACCAACGTGGGCAACGTGGCAAAACTCCATCTCTAAAAAAAAAAAAAGAAAGAAAAAAAAGAAAGATAGGAAAACAAAAAAAAAAAGTTAGAGAAAAATTTTAAACAATACACTTATTGTAAATAGTACATTTTATTTAAAATCACTTCCTTTTTCATGGGCCATAGAAAATTATGAAATGGCTCGAGTAGTTTCCACTGGGGTTTGTAAAATTAAGTTTTCTATGTCCCATACATACTGTTTAATCCTCACAACAGTCCTGAGTGGAGGTATTTTCATTATTCCCATTTTACAGACAAGGACAGTGGGGCTCAAGGAGACGACGTAATTTGCACGAGAGAACACAGCTTTAATAAGGGGCAGGAGGTGGGTACAGTGGTGTGGGCCTGGAGTCCCACTGCTAGAGAGTCTGAGGGGGGAAGACAGCTTAAGCCTAGTTCTCCAAAAAACATCAGAGTGGGAGCAGAATCAGAATCACAACTATGACTCAGGCTGCCTCTGTCTACCTATTTCCTCCTTATTCTCAGTTGGTTCCGAGGGTAAGTTCAGGACCAACTGAGAATCTGTGTTCAGAACCAACTGAGAATCTCTTTTACACAGAACAGGAACAGGAACTAGAAATCCAGGCCACCTTGCAAGTTTGGCTCCCGAGGCCTGAGATTGGCTTGATAGAGTGTCCCGTGATCCCGCTAGATCCCAAATCCCAGGCCAGAGATTGCAACATGTGTTCTTTGTTATGGTCCCAGGGACCAAAAGCCAACAGATGCACAAATGCACCTTAATTAATTCTATTAGAGAGAGGTAGAAGGAACTTACAGGAGGATCAGCTCCCCAGATGTCTGGCCTATCCCTGGCTGTTCCTCGTCTCTCCGTGGCCTGAGTCCTCATGCCAGGTTTAATTCATCCATCAGCCTCTGCCCAGCTTGTCCCTTTGTCCCCTCCAGCCCCTTTGCCACCACTCACAGATCTTATCAGCCCCATGAGTCAAGCCTCTCTGCTGATGCTGGTTTCCCCAACTACAGAACAGGAGTGATACTAGTCCCCCATCATGGATTTGTTGTGTAGAATATATAAATTAATATATAAATATATATAATATATAAAGTGCAAAGATGGCTGGGCGCGGTGGCTCATGCCTGTAATCCCAGAACTTTGGGAGGCCAAGGCAGGTGGATCACCTGAGGTCAGGAGTTTGAGACAAGCCTGGCCAACATGGTGAAACCCCATCTCTACTAAAAATACAAAAGCTAGCTGGCGTGGTGTCGGGTACCTGTAATCCCAGCTACTTGGGAAGCTGAGGCAAGAGAATCGATTGAACCCGGGAGGCGGAGGTTGCAGTGAGCCGAGATGCACTACACTCCAGCCTGGGCAACAGGGCCAGACTCATCTCAAAAAAAAAAAAAGAAAGAAAAGAAAAGAAAAGTTAAGTGCAGAGAATAGTGCCTGACACACGGTATACAGTAGGTGCAATTTCAGTATTAGTTGCTACTATTGTCATAATCACCAGAGTGTTTCAAGAGCTGAGCCTCCATGGCTCTCCACATCGCTTCACAAACTCCCCTGTTCTGGGAACCAGCCTGAATTGCAACCTCAACCCCCGACTGATGCAACCCTATAAGCAAACCAGAATCATGGCTGGGGTAGGGGCTCTACCCTTTGGGATCTGGCCAAACCAGGAAGAGGTAGAGTGGCCTGGAGGCAAACCACAGGTGATTCAGAATGTTCACCACGTGGTTAACCCTGTCTTACTCCTGCTTTAGAGAGAAGCCACCATGAAAAGTCCTCATCATCAGGGGACAGACCTCTCTGTTCCCTGGTTATAATGCCTTACTTTGTATGAAAGTTTCCTTTCCTACAGAGAGCACTTCATGGACAGAATGGGTGACTGGCCACTTCCAGGTGTGATTTTAACAATGCTCCTCCCACCCCCAGACAAATGCATACTTCCCGATGGCTGACAGATTTCACAGTAACAGGCTACCCTCAGGGTGAAAGAGATCCACACATGCTTATCAGTCATTTATGCTGTAATATCACAGAGCATCAAATAATTTTCTGTAGTAGACTTTCTTTGAAAGAGGGAGATAGGCCTTTTAGTTCTTGTTATAAAAATGAAGATTAGCTAGGTGCAGTGGCTCACACTTGTAATCCCAGCACTTGGAAGCAGCACCAGGCCGATCACCTGAGGTCAGGAGTTCGAGACCAGCCTGGCCAACATGGTGAAGCCTTGTCTCTAATAAAAATACAAAAAAATTGGCTGGGCATGGTGGCAGGCGCCTGTAATCCCAAGCTACTCGGGAGGCTGAGCCGGAAGAATCACTTGAACCCGGGAAGCAGAGGTTGTAGTGAGCCGAGATCGCACCACTGCACTCCAGCCTGGGTGACAGAGCGAGACTCCAAAAAAAAAAAAAAAAACAATGAAACGAACAAAAAAACCAGAGTTCTGAGTGACATCACCTGGATCACAAAGGAGCTCCCTAGTGGGGCAAAGCTAAGATTCCTGTCTTCAGGCAGTGTGAACTCTGGAATCTGGTAAAGCAGAAAATCGGGAGCCCAAATGCAATTTTTTAACATTTCAAAGGGCCCCCCAGAAAGATTAGAGAGAAGTCCCCGGGAGAAAGCCGCAGGAGCCAGCTGAGCAACTAGGAGGCAGGCTCCTGTGACAGTTGCAGACCTGGGCACAGGTTTGGGTTCACATCGGGCTCTGCCCTTTTGTGCAACCTCAGACAAGTCACTGCATCTTTGCGCCTCCGTCTCCTTGTCTGCAAAACAGAGATGATGATAATAGGACCACCCTTCCTGACTTACTGTGAGGATTAATTGCATTTTACACAACTAGCTATTGTTAAAGTGAAGCTCCCCACAATCCCATTTTCACCCTTGCATTTATGGCCTGGCAGGTTAGGTTCTGCAAGGCTGTTTCACAGATACTATGAGGAGCACTTTTGATATGTTAACCTAGGCATGCCCTTCTTACTGACGCACGTTAAAAAGAAATGCTTTTTTTTTTTTTTTTGACAAAGCCTGGGGTCTCACTCTGTCACCCAGGCTGGAGTGCAGTGGCACATCACGGCTAGCTGTAGCTTCAACCACCTGGGCTCAAGTGGTCCTCCCACCTCAGCCTCCCAAGTGCCTGGGACCACAGGCATGAACCACTACCCCTGGCTAATTTTTTTTTATTTGTAGAGGCGGGGTCTTCCTATGTTGCCCAGGCTTGTCTTGAACTCCTGGGCCCAACCGCTCCTCCCACCTCAGCCTCCCAAATTGCTGGGATTACAGGTGTGAATCACTGCACCCGGCCTCACTTTGAAAATTAGAAAGCAGGTTACCCTCCTTGAGGATGCTGGCATGTGTCAGAGAGAATACCTCCAACCAATCCATTAAAAAGCAGTTATTGCTGCGGCCAGGCCTGGCCCGGCTGCGCTAGGCTAGGCTCTGGCAGGATCGCAGGGGCGGGGGTGGTAGGGGCACGGGTGGCAGCCCCGCGGGTCGCAGCGCCGCCGCCGCCGCCGCCCATGAATGGTGCTGCCCCTGGCCTGCCATCACCGCCGCGTCGCTCAGCGCCCGACCTCCCTGCTTTTGCTTGCAGAGCCGCTCCCGAGGCCCCGGCGCGGCGCGAGGGCGCGGGGCGGGGGTCCACAGGCTCCGAGGCTGCCCCCGACGCCCCGCCCTCGAGGATGGCGGCGGAGCTCTACGTCCCCGCCAGCGCCGCGGCCGCGGTCCTAGCCCACAGCAACGCCGGCGCCGCCGTGGGCAGGAAGGCCGGGCAGCGCAGCCTGCACCGCGCCCCCGCGCCCGCGCCCGCGCAGCCCACACTTGGCAACAACCACCCGGAGAGCCCCAAATGGCGCGGTCCCCCACGCTGCGCGAGAGGAACGCGCTCATGTTCAACAACGAGCTCGTGGCCGACGTGCACTTTGTCGTGGGACCCCCGGGGGCGACCAGGACGGTGCCCGCCCACAAGTACGTCCTGGCTGTCTGCAGCTCCGTCTTCTATGCCATGTTCTACTGGGACCTGGCGGAAGTCAAATCTGAAATTCACATTCCAGACGTGGAGCCCGCAGCCTTTCTGATCCTATTAAAGTACGTGTACAGTGATGAGATCGATCTGGAAGCGGATACGGTGCTGGCCACTCTGTAGGCTGCTAAGAAGTACATCGTCCCAGCATTGGCAAAAGCCTGCGTCAACTTTCTGGGGACAAGTCTGAAAGCCAAGAACGCCTGCGTCCTGCTGTCCCAGAGCCGGCTGTTTGAGGAGCCCGACCTGACCCAGCGCTGCTGGGAGGTCATCGACGCACAGGCCGAGATGGCCCTGCGGTCCCAAGGCTTCTGTGAGATGGACCGGCAGACGTTGGAGATCATTGTCACTCGGGAGGCCCTCAACACCAGGAGGCGGTGGTCTTCAAGGCCGTCCTGAACTGGGCCAAGGCAGAGTGCAAGAGGCAGGGGCTGCCAGTCACCCCACGAAACAAGAGGCATGTTTTGGGGCGAGCCCTCTATCTGATCCGAATTCCAACCATGACCCTAGAGGAGTTTGCCAACGGCGCTGCCCAGTCAGACATCCAGACATCCTGACTCTGGAGGAGACCCACACCATCTTCCTGTGGTACACGGCCACCAACAAGCCCCGCCTGGACTTCCCCCTGATCAAGAGGAAGGGCCTCACCCCGCAGAGGTGCCACCTATTCCAGTCTTCTGCCTACCGCAGCAACCAATGCCAGTACTGCGGGCGCTGCGACAGCATCCAGTTTGCAGTGGACAGAAGGGTATTTATTGCGGGGCTAGGCCTGTGTGGGTCCAGCTCTGGGAAGGCTGAGTACAGCGTGAAGATTGAGCTCAAGAGGCTTGGGGTAGTTCTGGCTCAGAATCTGACCAAATTCATGTCGGACAGATCCAGTAACACCTTCCCGGTCTGGTTTGAACACCCGGTCCAGGTTGAACAAGACACCTTCTACATGGCCAGTGCTGTTCTGGACGGCAGCAACCTCAGCTACTTTGGGCAGGAGGGGATGACGCAAGTGCAGTGCAGAAAGGTGGCCTTCCAGTTCCAGTGCTCCTCGGACAGCACCAACGGGACTGGGGTCCAGGGTGGGCAGATCCCTGAGCTCATCTTCTATGCCTGAGGTGCCCGGGGAGGCTGCAGCAGGTCGGCGAGTGGATGGAGGGGAAATCAGGACACTAACTGCTTCTTGACACCATGAAAGGCCACACTTAACCTTGTCTCTCTTTGGCATGTAGTCAACTGAAGCTTGATTCTGTGAAGTAGGCACCTTTTCCACACAGCCAGAGCTGGGGGATTGGAGTCTTAGGCATCTCTGGTACACTGGGGTGCACGTCTCAGGTGGAGGAAGATTTAGGGCACAAGACAGGCCCCAGATCCCCTCCCAATGGCACCCATGCCACCTGCTTTGAGGGGTTGCATGTTCCTGCCACCCTCTTGGATACTAAGTGGTTCCAAGCTTAACTGTAGACCTTCCCTTCAAATCTAAAATCGGCAAAAAGTCACTTAAAATAAGGGACTTCTGTAATAAAGGTTGCCTACAATTAAAAAAAGAAAGAGTTACTGAGCAGTGACCATGGGTGAGGCAGGTGCACTTAAGATACGGGAGTGAACAAAACAAATAATAAGCCTTAACTCCCTTGGAGCGACCATTCTAGTGTCCTATTACTCAAATCAGTCTCCCCCAGCATTCGAGGATCAGAGATTTTAAGGACAATTTGGTTGGTAGCTGGAAACGTGGCTCGGTAAAATGGTCCAAGGTGGGAAGGATAAAAATGAGATTAGGGAGGCCAGGCACGGTGGCACATGCCTGTAATCTCAGCACTTTGGGAGGCCAAGGCGGGCGGTTCACCTGAGGTTGGGAGTTCAAGACCAGCCTGATCAACATGGAGAAACCCCATTTCTACTAAAAATACAAACTTGGCCAGGCGTGGTGGCACATGCCTGTAATCCCAGCTACTTGGGAGGCTGAGGCAAGAGAATTGCTTGAACCTGGGAGGCGGAGGTTTCAGTGAGCCGAGATTGCACCATTGCACCCTAGCCTGGGCAACAAGAGTGAAACTGTCTCAAAAAAAAAAAAAAAAAAAAAGAGATCAGGGAAGAGATGGTTGCCCAGAAGTATAAGAGAGACCCCATGCCCCTCCGTCTATAAGCCTCTAGGGGTTCACCTTGCCTGCCGCCTAGACAGAGCCGATTCATCAAGACAGGAGAATTGCAATAGAGAAAGAGTAATTTATGCAGAGCTGGCTGTGCGGGAGACCGGAATTTTATTATTACTCAAATCAGTCTCCACCAGCATTCAAGGATCAGAGTTTTTAAGGACAGTTTGTTTGGTTGCGGGGAGCCAGTGAGCCAGGAGTGCTGATTGGCCAGGGATGAAATCACAGGGGGTCGAAGCTGTCCTCTTGCGCTGAGTCAGTTCCTGGGTGGGGGCCACAAGATCACATGAGCCAGTTTATGGATTTGGGTGGTGCCAGCTGATCCATCAAGTGCAGGGTCTGCAAAGTATCTCAAGCACTGATCGCAGGAGCAGTTTAGGGAGGGTCAGAATCTTGTAGCCTCCAGCTGCATGACTCCTAAACCTTCCTTCCTTTCTTTCTTTCTTTTCTTTCTTTCTTTCCTTTCTTTCTTTCTTTCCTTTCTTTCTCTTTCCTTTCTTTCTCTTTCTTTCTCTTTCTTTCTTTCTCTTTCTTTCTTTCTCTTTCTTTCTTTCTCTCTCTCTCTTTCCTTCCTTCCCTCTTTCTTTCTTTTCTTTCTTTTTTTTCTTTTCTTTCTTTCTTTCTGACAGAGACCCCTCTGTCGCCCAGGCTGGAGTGCAGTGACGCAATCTCAGCTCACTGCACCCTCCACCTTCCAGGTTCAAGTGATTCTTCTGCCTCCCCCTCTCGAGTAGCTGGTATTACAGCATGCACCACCACACCTGGCTAACTTTTGTATTTTTAGTGGAGGCGGAGTTTCAGCATGTTGGCCAGGCTGGTCTTACCTCCTGACCGCAAGTGATCCACCCGCCTCAGCCTCCCAAAGTGCTGGGATTACAGGCGTGAACTACCACACCAGACCCTAAACCATAATTTCTAATCTTGTGCCTAATATTAGTCCTACAAAGGCAATCTAGTCCCCAGCCAAGAAGGAGGTGTACTTTGGGAAAGGGCTGTTATTGTCTTAGTTTTAAACTAAGTTTCTCCCAAAGTTAGTTCAGCCCAGGAATGAACAAGGACACCTTGGAGGTTAGAAGCAAGATGGAGTCAGTTAAGTTAGATCTCTTTCACAGTCTCAGTCATAATTTTGCAAAGGTGGTTTCACATCTAGGCTGCCCAACTTCTGTGGTCAGGGTCTGGCACCAGATATATGAGTCTGAATTCTGACTCTGCCATTTACAAACTTTGTGACCTCGGCAAATCCAGTCTAGCTGAGCCTCTGGTTCCTCATAGATAAGATCGTGAAAATGAGACAGTCTATCTCCAAGGGCAGTTTGGAGGATAAAGGAGACAGCGCATTTCTTTGTGGTAACATTTAAAATCTACTCTTTTAGCAATTTTGATACGTGTATCATAATATCACATTGTATTCCATAAATATATACAATTATTATTTGTCCATCAAAAATAGAATGAAAACATTTAAAAATAATATATAGTACGGGCCAGGTGTGGTGGCTCACGCCTGTTATCCCAGCACTTTGGTAGGTGGAGGTGGTTGGATCACCTGAGGTCAGGAGTTGGAGACCAGCCTGGCCAACATGGTGAAACCCCGTCTCTACTAAAAATACAAAAATTAGCTGGGCATGGTGGTGCACATCTGTAATCCCAGCTACTCAGGAGGCTGAGGCAGGAAAATCACTTGAACCTGGGAGGCGGAGCTTGCAGTGAGCCAAGATCGTGCCACTGCACTCCAGCCTGGGCAGCAGAGTGAGACTTTGTCTCAAAAAAAAAAAAAAAAAAAAAAAAAAAAATTGGCCAGGCGTGGTGGCTCAAGCCTGAATCCCAGCACTTTGGGAGGCTGAGGCAGGCGGATCACAAGGTCAGGGGATCGAGACCATCCTGGTTAACTCGGTGAAACCCCGTCTCTACTAAAAATGCAAAAAATTAGCCGGGCGTGGTGGTGGGCGCCTGTAGTCCCAGCTGCTTGGGAGGCTGAGGCAGGAGAATGGTGTGAACCTGGAAGGCGGAGCTTGCAGTGAGCTGAGATCATACCACTGCACTCCAGCCTGGGCAACAGAACAAGACTCCATCTCAAAAAAAAAAAAAAAAAAAAAAAAGCCGGGCGCGGTGGCTCACGCCTGTAATCCCAGCACTTTGGGAGGCTGAGGCGGGCGGATCACAAGGTCAGGAGATCAAGACCATCCTGGCTAACATGGTGAAACCCTGTGTCTACTAAAAATACAAAAAAATAATAAAAAAATAGCTAGGCATGGTGGCGGGTGCCTGTAGTCCCAGCTACTTGGGAGGCTGAGGCAGGAGAATGGCGTGAACCCAGGAGGCGGAGCTTGCAGTGAGCCAAGATCGCACCACTGCACTCCAGCCTGGGTGACAGAGTGAGACTCCATCTCAAAAACAAACAAAAAATAAAAATAAAAATAAATATATAGTATGGATTTGAACAACAACAGAAAAGGACACAGTGCTTGTAAAAGGCCTTTCACAGTGCCTGCCACAAAGGAAGCACTCAGGAGAGAGTGGCAAATTTATTTTCTTCACATAGTTAAACCACAACAACATATTGCAACAGTTTGCATGCTGAAGCAGAGATAAGAATCCAGCTGCCTTCTCATAAACCAGACAATTAAAGAGATTTGCCACAAAAAGTTATTTTCATTTAAAAATATGTTACTTCAGGGCGGGCGTGGTGGCTCATGCCTGTAATCCCAGCACTTTGGGAGGCTAAGGCGGGTGGATCACAAGGTCAGGAGTTCAAGACCAGCCTGGCCAACATAGTGAAACCCTGTCTCTACTAAAAACACAAAAATTAGCCAGGTGTGGTGGTCCCAGCTACTCAGGAGGCTGAGGTGGAAGAATTGCTTGAAACCGGGAGGCAGAGTTTGCATTGAACCGAGATCGCACCACTGCACTCCAGCTTGGGTGACAGACTGAGACTCGGTCTCAAAAAAAAAAATTCTATTAACATGCAATAGGATTATTAATTTTTTTTAAGTTCTCAGTTTTAGTCTCTAATACAGCAAGTACTAATAGGTGTAACCTACATCAACAAAAGCTATTTATTGCCAAGGTAACTTTTAAGACGGTAAAGGGTCGCTGAGACCACGAAGTTTGAGAACTTCTGCCCCAGGCTTTCGTGATCTGCCTTTCTCTCGCCAGCTCTTTTGCAATCTGACAACACCCCTGTTTTCTGCCCCATGTGATTAATTGCATAACTGCCATGTTTGAAGGACCTTTTGAGATCTCATCAAAAAACCACTCCTGGCAGGGTGCAGTGGCTCACACCTGTAATTCCAGCACTTTGGGAGGCTGAGGCGGGTGGATCACCTGAGGTCAGGAGTTCAAAACCAGCCTGGCCAAAATAGTGAAACCCCATCTCTACTAAAAATAGAAAAATGGTGGCAGGCACCTGTCATCCCAGCTATTTGGGAGGCTGAGGCAGGAAAATTGCTTGAAGCTGGAAGGAGGCAGCTGCAGTGAGCTGAGATCTCGCCACTGTATTCCAGCCTCCAGCCTAGGTGACAGAGCAAGACTCTAGAAGAAAAAAAAAAAAAAACACTCCTGGTGCAGATGGACCTACTGAGAAGGAGGCTATTGTGCCTGAGGTTACACAGCCATCAGTTCCACCTGGGACTGGAACCAGCATCCTTCCTATCTCCTTAATCCAGGGCTCTCGTCATGACGGCAAGCTAGCAGGTGCTCCCTGGCACAATCTCAGCTTCCTGTTCTTTCATCTCTAAAAGTCTTGAGTGGAGACAGGGTCTTCCCCCTCTGCTTTCCTGTCCCACCCTTCCCTCCTGCCTCTCATCTCCCTCTTTGACACTCCTCCTACCAGCCCAAGGGCACAATAGAGATGACATCGTCACTCTCATTGGTTACCAACTAGCAAAGAACTTGAGAAAGTGAGGAGAAAGCTCTAATGTGTTCACATATATAGCATCTATATAAGCTGCCATTCATGGAGGGCTTAGTGTGTGGCAGGCACTGTATTAGGCCTGAGCTAACTCAGTTAGTCTTCATGCCTCCCCACCACTGATGAGACAAGTACTACTTGTTACTCCTGTTTTATGGATGAGGGAACTGAATGAAAGAGATGAATGAAGTGAGTGTCTTTACTTGAGAACAAAAAGCTAATAGTACTTGGCAGAGCCAAGATCGGAACTCAGTGCTATCTGACTCCAAAGCCCAACAGCCTGATGGGTAAATCCTTGTCGGTGAGAAGGTCCAGACTCCACCAGTAAGGTGGGGAAAGGACTAAAGTCTAGGGCCTGGCAGGGTGTGGTGGCTCATGCCCGTAATCTGAGCATGAACTTTGGGAGACCAAGGCGGGAGGATCACTTAAGGCCAGGAGTTTGAGACAAGCCTGGGTGATATAGTGAGACCCCATCTCTACAAAAAGTAAATAATAATAACAATAACTCAAGGCCAGCTAATGGTAGCAATGAAGGCATTACTGAGAAAAAATGGTCAGAAAAATAAAAGTCAAAAAGAGAGAGAAAATAGATGGGATTTGCCCCTGGAAATAAAGACAAAAGATTGTGCGTGGTATCAGGGCCCCTCACCCTATGCAGAGTCATGCATTCCATCCTGCCTCTTTACCAATCTGACCTTGTCATGACACAAGGACTTAAGTCCTGGCCGGGCACGGTGGCTCACGCTGTAATCCCAGCACTTTGGGAGGCCGAGGAGGGCGGATCAAGAGGTCAAGAGATCAAGACCATCCTGGCCAATATGAAACCCCGTCTCCACTAAAAATACAAAAAATTAGTTGAGTGTGGTGGCGCGCACCTGTACTCCCAGCTACTCGGGAGGCTGAGGGAGGAGAATCTCTTGAACCCGGGATTTGGAGGTTGCAGTGAGCTGAGATCACGCCACTGCACTCCAGCCTGGTGATAGAGCGAGACTCTGTCTCAAAAAAAGAGAGAGAAAAAAAAGGACTCAGGTCCTGGCTTTGTCCGCCACTTGCTATGGGTTTTTGGGCAAAGGACTTGCCCCCTCTGAATCTATTTGCTCATGGAATAGTTGAGCAAAACCTGCCTCACATAATAGCCGTGAGCCTTCCCAGGCTGTGTAAATTGTCAAGTATGTTATGAATGTAAGCATTATTAGTCCATTCTCTAAAAGAGAAGTTGCTGAATTATAAAATAATTGAAAGAGGAAGAAGATATTTGGAAAGACTCAACAAAACTGTCCTGTTGGCAGATTTCTTTTCTTTTTTTTTCTGAGTTTTGCTCTGTCACCCAGGCTGGAGCACAGTGGCGTGACCTTGGATCACTGCAACCTCCACCTCCTGGGTTCAAGCGATTCTCCTGCCTCAGCCTCCAAGTAGCTGGGATTATAGGCACACGCCACCATGCCTGGTTAATTTTTTTGTATTTTTAGTAGAGATGGGGTTTTGCCATGTTGGCCAGGCTGGTCTCAAACTCCTGACCTCAGGTGATCCGCCCACCTCAGCCTCCCAAAGTGCTAGGATTAGAGGTGTGAGCCACCATGCCCGGCAGTGTTGCAGATTTCTAATTAGTCAGTTAATTTACCAAGTATTTGTTTGGAGATGGGAGGGGAGAATGCAAAGCAACTGGATGGGATCCTAGTTTTCAAATAAATGGACAAGAGAGTGGATTCCCAATGTCCCCAGCAAGTTTCTTTTTCTTTCTTTCTTTCTTTTTTTTTTTGAGACAAAATTTCACTCTGTTGCCCAGGGTGGAGTGCAGTGGCAGGATCGTGGCTCACTGCAGCCTCTGCTTCCCAGGTTCAAGTGATTCTCCTGCCTGGCTGATTTTTTTATTATTATTATTTATAATACAGATGGGGTTTCACGGTGTTGGCCAGGCTGGTCTCGAACTCCTGACCTCAAGTGCTCCACCATCTTGGCCTCCCAAAGTGCTGGGATTACAGGTGTGAGCCACTGTGCCTGGCCAACTTTCTTTCCCTCCCTTCCTTCCTTCCTTCCTAGCTTCCTTCCTTCCTTGCTTCCTTCCTTCCTTCCTTCCTTTTATTAAAAAAATTTTTTTTTTTTGAGACAGAGTTTCACTTTTGTTGCCCAGGCTGCAGTGCAATGGCATGATCTCAGCTCAGTGCAACCTCCACCTCCCAAGTTCAAGTGATTCTCCTGCCTCAGCCACCCGAGTAGTTAGGATTACAGGCGAGCCACAACGCCCAGTTACTTTTGTATTTTTTACTGTAGAGATGAAGTTTCACCATGTTGGTCAGGCTGGTCTTGAACTCCTGACCTCTGGCGATCCACCCACCTCGGCCTCCCAAAGTATTGGGATTACAGGCATGAGCCACTGTGCCCAGTCCCTTTTTTTTTTTTTAATTTGAGACAGGGTCTGCTCTGTCACTCAGGCTAGAGTGCAGTGGTGTGATCACGGCTCACTGCAGCTTCACTCTCCTGGGCTCCAGCAATCCACCACCTCAGCTTCCTGAGTGGCTGGGACTACAGGCACACAACACCATGCCCAGCTAATTTTTGTATTTTTTGTAGAGATGGAGTTTCATGTTACCCGGGCTGGTCTCTAAGCCCTGGGCTCAAGTGATCTGCCCACCTCAGCCTCCCAAAGTGCTGGGACTACAGGTATGAGCCATGGTACCCAGCCCCCAGAAAGTTTCTTAACATTCCTGAGCCCCAATTTCTTCATCTATAAAATACAGAAAATAATAAGATTCTTGAAGGGTTGTTTTGAGATTTAAATGAGATAATGTGTAGAAAGTGCTAGCACAGTGCCAAGCACTCATCGTTATCCCCCAATCTTCTTTACAAATGGCAATACTGGGACAAGAGAGAGTAGGTGGCTTCTGGATAGATCCAGCTGGTGCCAGAGCCAGGGCTCAAACCCTGAGCACCTGAGATTCCGAACTCAGGACTGTTTTCTTTCCACCACATCCAACACTCTTGATAGTTCAATCAGGCAACCAATCTCCTGCTTAATTAGTTTTAAATAATTATTTAATCTGCACATACAGAACATAGGGATTAGTTTCCCCATTCACAGAGGAAGAAACTGAAGCTCAGAGAGTTTGAGTAACTTTCCCCAAGGTCACACAGCCTATCAGTGGCCGACCTGAGATTTGAACTCAGTGATGTTTCCTTCTAAAGCCTTGGCACTTAACCTTGACTAAAGTGGAAAGAGGCCTCAGACATCATTTAGCTCTGCTCTGCCCAGGAGAGAGGCTGGAGATGATGATGCAGAAGGAAGGTCCAGGAAAGGTCTGGGGAGACTGAGTGAATCCAGACAGCCTGGGTGGGGGTGATGAATGGTGAGTGGACAGCAGGCTGGGGATGGAATCCTTCGGCCCCACAGGGAAGACTGAGTTTCTTTGATAACCCGTAGACATTAGAGAAAGGGACTATAGATAGAAGACCTTAATAACAATCCTTTGCTCTTAACCTATACATTACACATTCTTTCCTTTTATTTTTTTGAGACAGAGTCTCGCTCTGTCGCCCAGGCTGAAGTGCAATGGTGCGATCTCTGCTCGCTGCAACCTCCACCTCACAGGCTCAAGTGATTCTCCTGCCTCAGCCTCCCAAGTAGCTGGGATTACAGGCACCCACCACTACTCCTGGCTAATTTTTGTAGTTTTAGTAGAGACAGGGTTTCACCATGTTGGCCAGGCTGGTTTCTAACTCCTGACCTCAAATGATCCGCCTGCCTCGGCCTCCCAAAGTGCTGGGATTACAGCATGAGCCACCACCCCCAGCCTACACATTCTTTCCTTAAAAAGAGTAGAGGTGGCTACATTATAAATTGGGGCAGTTAAAATAAAAGCAAGGCATTAGAAACCACTAAAAGGAGCAATAAATAAATCAAGAACCGACCTTGAATGGCCCTGTGACTGCACTTCCACACTGCATTGAGCTCTGGGCTTGCTGGCAGCCAAGGGAAAAAGAAGCACAGAAGTGGGTCTGAAGAAGGCTGCTTTTCTCCTAATAGACATTCATTGATTCTATAAATCCATTTTAAATACTTAGATGCTTACTTTGTGCCAGGCTTCATGCCAGTTGAGGTGCTGGAAACCCCAGGAGGAATTTATTAAAGGAATTGACTCAGGAAACAACTCCTTTGCCAGCCCTTTTCATCTCTCCTCTAGGAAAGCTTCCATATTTTGCCTTATATCAATAAACCTCCCCTGGGACCTATATCACTAGAGAGATTTTAAGTTCCTTCCCTGCCCAGTGCTGTCCCACCTCCACTGCCAAACCCATTTTAGGAGTGACTGTCCTGGTGGCCTGTTCACAAGGTCAAGAGCCTGGGCAGGCACCATCCTTCTAGTTCACACTCTGCTTCAGGGCTGCTGCTTGTGGTTCCAACCTCTTTCTGCAAGTCTGGTTCTCCGGGCCAGGAACACTAGGGTGAGAAATATGGTCAGGCTCAGGAGGCACAAGGACTTGGAGTGGTGAGAAGTGTCTGTCATGGGCTTGGGATTGAGGAGTGGGAGCTTGAGGCCATCAAATTGCCTTGCCTGGCTGGGCTGAGTTCCATCTCCCCAAGACTGTTTTGCTCAGCTCTGGCTGCTATCAAAAGACCTCCACCAAGAGTCTACTGTGGGGATACCATTGTGCTAGGAGACACTTTTTTGAGCAAGTGAGATACAAAGATGACTCCACTCCCAGACCCAGATATTACTCACAAGACAAGGAGCTCACAATCCAGGAAGCAAGATGTGGAATGGACACATATAATACAAGGTAGACAGTGGTCTGTGCAGTAAGACTCAATAAAGGGAGACCAGAGAATGCTTCTTGGAGGAGGTGGGTTTTGCTATCAAAGTAGTTATAAAAAGAGGTAAGATTTGGGCTTTTTTTTTTTTTTTTTTTGAGATGGAGTTTTGCTCTTGTTGCCCAGGCTGGAGTGCAATGGCATGATCTCGGCTCACTGCAACCTCTGCCTCCCAGATTCAAGCAATTCTCCTGCCTCAGCCTCCCAAGTAGCTGGGATTACAGGCACCCACCACCACACTTGGCCAATTTTTGTATTTTTAGTAGAGGTGGGGTTTCACCATGTTGGCCAGGCTGGTCTCGAACTCCTGAACTCAGGTGATCTGCCTGCCTTAGCCTCCCAAAGTGCTGGGATTATAGGTGTGAGCCACCGTGCCTGGCCTGATTTGGATTTTCAGTATAATTCATAGGCTCACACACACACACACACACACACACACACAAAAGATTTGGTCAAAAAACCCCACAGTCTACAGCCCCAAATCCCAGAAAACTTTATTACAACTGCAATCAAGGGCTACAAAGAACAGAGGGAGGCCAGCCAGGAGCAGTGGCTCACGCCTGTAATCTCAACACTTTGGGAGGCTGAGGTGGGCAGATCACTTGAAGTCAGGAGTTCGAGAACAGGCTGGCCAACATGGTGAAACCATGTGTCCACTAAAAATACAAAAAATTATCCAGGTGTGGTGGCTCACGCCTATAATCCCAGCTACTTGGGTGGCTGAGGCACAAGAATTGCTTGAACCTGGGAAGTTGAGGTTGCAGTGAGCTGAGATCACACCACTGCACTCCAGCCTGGGCAACAGAACAACAATCTGTATTCAAAAAAAAAAAAAAGAAGAAGAAGACCAGAGGGGGACTAAGAGAAGAAACGTGGAAGGAAAGCCCCATGGCTGAACACTGCAGCAGGGGCCCAGCCAGCTGGGCAGCAGGTCAAGAGGGTCACTTTGATCTATTTCTTTTTTTTTTTTTTGAGACAGAGTCTCACTCTTGTTGCCCAGGCTGGAGTGCAGTGGCGCGATCTCGGCTCACTGCAAACTTCGCCTCCCGGATTCAAGCAATTCTCTTGCCTCAGCCTCCCGAGTAGCTGGGATTACAAGAGTGCACCACCACGCCCGGCTAATTTTGTATTTTTAGTAGAGATGGGGTTTCACCATGTTGGCCAGTCTGGTCTCAAACTCCGGACCTCAGGTGATCTGCCTGCCTCGGCCTCCCAAAGTGCTGGGATTATAAGCGTGAGCCACCTCGCCCAGCGGGTCTGTTTCTGATGGGTCATTCTTGCAGGTTGAACAAGTTTTCCAAAATGTGGTGGTTTGTCCTCAGTGGTGGCAAAGTGTCAGCTGAGAGTAAGTAGGGATTGTTCTATCTGCCTTGGCTCTCAGGCGAAGGTCAGGCATAGCTGGAGGACAGAATCCTTTTCTTCTTCTTCTTTTCTTTTCTTTTCTTTTTTTTTTTTTTTTGAGACAAGGTCTCACTCTGTAGCCCGGGCTAGAGCACAGTGGAACAATCACTGCTTACTGCAGCCGTGACTTCCTGGGCTCAAGTGATTCTCCTGCCTCAGTCTCCCCAGTAGCTGGGACTACATACATGCACCATGCCCAGCTAATTTTTGTATTTTTTGTAGAGATGGGGTTTTACCATGTTGGCCAGGCTATTCCTGGGCTCAAATAATCCACCTGTCTCTGCCTCCCAAAGTGCTGGGATTACAGGCAGAGCCCCCATGCCTGGCACAGAATCCTGTAAGAACACTATAAACTAACTCTATTAAGCATCTCCTGCCTTTGATTAGATACCTACTGTAAACCAGGTACAGTGACATGAATTTGGTAAACTTGTATCATTAATCTGTATAATCATGTGATATGGATAGTATTTCTCCCAGTTTACAAGTGAATGAAACAGAGGCTCAGAGAGGTGCAGTAAGGTGCCCAAGGTCACACATCCTGAAAGTTGCAGAGCTGAATTTTAATCCAGGAAGGTCTGGTTCCCAAACCTGTGACATTGTGATCCAACATGCTAAGTTTCCTCGAGGAGACCTTGGGAATCACCTCCATCAATCCAACTGCTTTGAAGATGAGAAAAGAAAGGCCCGGATGGTCAGGCAAGGTGGCTCATGTCTATAATCCCAACATTTTGGGAGGCTGAGGTGGAAGGACTGCTTGAGGCCAGGAGTTTGAGACCAGCCTGAGCAATATAGCAAGACACTATCTATATTTTTTTAATAGAAATCAAAGAAAGAAAAGAAAGGCCTTAGATAGGAAAAGGGACCTGCCTAAAGTCACTCAGTAGCAGGACAAGGACTAGAACCTAGGCTTCCCTACTCCCAGTTGGGGATAAAAACGGTGAGGCTTGTGGCATCAAATCTCAGCTTCCCACTGTAGGTGTGGTAGCCACAGGCAGGGTATCATTCTCTTCCTTACCTCCAGCTCTGAGAGATTTAAACCCAGCAGCAACGTGGGACCAGCCGCTACTGTGGCTTCTTTCACTTCACGCTTTCACTTCAGGTTAGAAAAACCCCCAGGCACACCTTTTCTGAGCAGGTTCTCAGGTCCCAAGTTTCCCTTCCCAGATGCTCAGTATGAACCAGGCTGTAGGCTGCAGCCCCTAACACCAGCCCCACCATGGACGCTCCCTATGTGAAGTGCCATATGGTTTCTGAACAGTGGTATTTTTGTTAGGTGAAGAAAGGACTTGGTCATGGTGGTTCACTTTTTTCTTTTTCTTCTTCTTTATTTATTTATTTATTTTTTTAAACTGAATCTAGCTTTATTGCCCAGGCTGGAGTGCAGTGGCGCAATCTCAGCTCACTGCAACCTCTGCCTCCTGGGTTCAAGTGATTCTCGTACTTCAGCCTCCCGAATAGCTGGGATTACAGGCACCTGCCCCCACTCCTGGCTAATTTTTGTATTTTTAGTAGACAGGGTTTCACCGTGTTGGCCAGGCTGGTCTCAAACTCCTGACCTCAAGTGATCTGCCCTCCTCGGCCTCCCAAAGTGCTGGGATTACAGGCGTGAGCCACCGCGCCTGGCCTTTTTTCTTTTTTAATCAGGCAGCCCAGAATAGGTTCAGAAAGACTCCCGCTTCTCTTTTACTCTTACATCTGTACAGCATCAGGTCACAAAATGTTTTTGCATGCATCGGTGATTCTTAATATTCAGAACTCTGCTGGCACACTGATAAAAAGTGTGAATCCTTCTACCCCAACCAAAACATGCACAGACATAAAGTCTTAAATATGCCTCGAAAGGACCGATACTCCCATCCAAGCCTACCCATGGACCCAGGGTAAGAAGCTATGATGGAGGTCATCAGCCCATTTGGCATCTCAAGGAGAATGGCATAGGTATTGTTACTGTCATTTTACAAATGAGAAAAGAAAAGGGGCTCAGAATGTTGAAGGGACTTGCCCAAAGTCACCTGATGAGCCATGGTGGAGGTGGAACTAGAACACTCTTCACTGTGGCAAACACTAAGTCTGTCTCTGTTGTGGGAAATTAAGGAACCAGAGAGACCGAACGGAGTGCAGGAAAGTGTCTATTTAAGGTGTACACTGGCTCAGTGGACATGTGTCCTGAAAGTCTGAGCCCAGGACAAAGAAAACGAGTCCCCTTTAAGCATTTTGAGGTGGGCATTATGTGAAGCAGGAAGCAGGCTTACAAGAGCAAGAATAAAGGCTGTTGTGACACTTTTGCAACATGTCTTACATCTCTGGGAAAACTTGGTTTGCAGCTTATGCTTATTTGTCTTGTGACCTTGCAGCTGTGCAGGGGAGAAAGAAGCAGGAGTTTAAGGAGCCTACAAAATATGTGGAGGGTAGATATGGTTAATGTTTCTTGGGACAGACGGTTAATTTTTTTTTTTTAACTTTAACTTCGGGGGGCTACTTAAATTTTTTTTTTAGCCTTGGTTAATATAGCAATTTATTTTATGAGCTTTTTTAACTATTACTATAATTTTTACTATTATTACTTATACCATTATTCTGTTATTTTCTTAATTTCCTACTTCATCTCTGTGCTGGATGTTCAGACACAGTCTTCACCCTGGAAAAAGGCCCTGTCTAGAAGCCAGAGATTCTGACTCCAAAAGGGATTTATAGCTGTCCAAAGGGAAGACAGTGAGCTGGGTTTCCCGTTGCTCTGTGTGTCCCATTGTCAGATGCTGGCTTGTTAAGACCTGCATCCAAATGCCTGAATTTCTTTCCCTTATCTACTTTGGATAATAACCACACATGTTGGTGGCCATGCCAGGCCTAGATGAGACCTGAAGCCAGCCTCCATCAGCCCCAGCATCCCTCTTCTAGGCTGAATTCTACATGGGGTGAGCCATTTCCTGACTGGAAGGGGTTGTTTTCCAAGGGAAACAAGGGAAGAGAGTCCCTGGGTGGCAGGTGATGGGGCAGGGGGTTCCTAGCAGGGTTGCAGGGATCCTCTTAGCCCCCTGAGCTGGAAACTTTCAGAAGTAGCCAAGTGGGGATGTGGGAGCTGAGAAAGGCTTGCACTGTCTGTCACTCACTAGTGACCAGGGTGGAGAGGTGAGCTGGCACCTTTTTCTGTCTGAGCTCAGGTGTGACCTTGACAACACTCAACAAAGGTTACCAGCCTGGCCAACATGGCAAAACCCTGTCTCAATTAAAAATACAAAAATTAACCAGGCATGGTGGCGTGCACCTGTAATTCCAGCTACTTGGGAGGCTGAGGCAGGAGAATCACTTGAACCCGGGAGGCACAAGTTGCAGTGAGCCGAGATTGTGCCACTGCACTCTAGCCTGGGCAACAGAGCAAGACTCTGCCTCAAAAACAAAAATAAAAAACAAAAAAAACAAAAAAACCGCAAAGGGTGTCTGTCTCCAACTTCTCTGCATAGGGCCATCTCTATGCCTATTGCACTGGAGTTTTGCCTTGTGACTCGGGATATGTGGATAATTGCAGCTCTGCTGCTCATATGTTGGGTGACCTTAGGCAAATTATATCCCCATTCTTGGACTGTTTTCTGGATGGCAAAATGATGGCGTTGGATTAGAAGAGAGGTTTTTCAATCTGTTCCTAGAGGAACCTGGGCTGCCTTGAAGAAAGGACATAGTGATATGAATCCCCCTGCAGTCAAGATATGGCTTACTCCATGTAGAATCCACCCTAGAAGAGGGATGTTGGGGGTGGCGGTGGCTGGCTTTGGGCCTCACCTAGCCCCGGCATGGCCACCAACATGCGTGGTTATTAACCAAAGTAGGTAAGGGCAGGAAATATGGGCATTTGGATGCAGGTCTTAACAAGCCAACGTCAGGACGCACAGAGCAACAGGAAACCCAGCTCCCTGTCTTCCCTTTCGACAGATAGAAATCCCTTTCGGAGTCAGAGCCCCTGGCTTCTAGACAGGGCCGTATCTACCTGTTTTATAAACAGGGGTTATGCAGATTGCAAGAAGCACCTATCCTCTTAAAAATTTTAAAGTCGTTGGGTTGTAATAAGAACTGACATTTATTGAGCTCTTATAATGCACCAGGCATATTATTCTTTTTTTTTTTTTTTTTGAAATAGAGTCTCGCCCTGTCACCCAGGCTGGAGTGCAGTGGTGCAATCTTGGCTCACTGAAATCTCTGCCTCCCAGGTTCAAGTGATTCTCCTGCCTCAGCTTCCTGAGTTAGCTGGGATTACAGGTGTGCGCCACCACACCCAGCTAATTTTTGTATTTTTAGTAGAGACGGTGTTTCACCATGTTGGCCAGGTTGGTCTCAAACTCCTGACCTTGTGATCTGCCTGCCTTGGTCTCCCAGAGTGCTGGGATTACAGGTGTGAGCCACCGTGCCTGGCCACCCCCCCGCCGCCACCCTTTTTCTTTCCTAGGACAGATTCTCGCTATGTCGCCCAGGCTGCAGTACAGTGGCGCAATCTCAGCTCACTGCAACCTCCGCCTCCTGGGTTCAAGTGATTCTCCTGCCTCAGCTTCCTGAGTAGCTGGGATTACAGGCGCACGCCACCACGCCTGGTCAATTTTTGTAGTTTTAGTAGAGACAGTGTTTCACCATGTTGGCTGAGCTGGTCTCAAACTCCTGATCTCGTGATCCACCTGCTTCAGCCTCCCAGAGTGCTGGGATTACAGGTGTGAGCCGCCGCGCCCGGCCCAGGCATATCATTCTTAGCAACCTCACAGAGTAGGTGAACTAACCCCATTTGAAGATGTGCCTAAGAATAATAATAATCACAACAGTGGCAACAATGAACACTTCCATGTATGATAGTAATTTATTTAAATACTCAGAAAACCCCATTTTACAGATGAGAAATGAGAAGACCAAAGCATTAGGTATTTTGAAAGAGGTCACTGGGTAGGATTTAAACCTACATGGTTTGTTCCCATCTCCCTCACACTCATACTTGGGGTCTACAGTATTCAAGACAGCCCCTTTCCATCCAAGTGCATTTCATTAATTAATAGCTTTTTTTTTTTTTTAAGGAGATGGTGGTCTTTCTCTGTCAACCAGGCTGGAGTGCAGTAGCATGACCATAGCTCACTGCAGCCTCCAACTCCCGGGCTCAAGGGATCCTCCCATTTCAACCTCCCAGAACTCCGTGATTACTGGTGTGAGCCACTGTACCCAGCCTCAGTTAATAGTTTTTGAGGCCGGGCATGGTGGCTCATGCCTGTAACCCCAGCATTTTGGGAGGCCGAGGTGGGTGGATCACGAGGTCAGGAGTTCAAGACCAGCATGGCCAAGATGGTGAAACCCCACCTCTACTAAAAACACAAAAAATTAGCCAGGCACAGTGGCAGACGCCTGTGATCCCAGCTACTCGGGAGGCTGAGGCCGGAGAACCGCTTGAACTCGGAAGGTGGAGGTTGCAGTGAGTTGAGATCATGCCACTGCACTCCAGCCTGGGCGACAGAGTGAGACTCTATCTCAAAAAAAAAAAAAATTGTTTTTGAGCACCTGCTATGCAGCAAGCATTGTGCTGAGCCACTAAAGGTCCAGAAATAATAAAGCCTTAGTTCTGACCTCGACCAGCCGTGTGGCCTCAGCCCAATGCTTTAACATTGCCGACCTTTTATTATCTGTGAAATAGCAATAAGCATAACTCTAATATCATAGAGTTGCGGGGATTAAACTAGATGGTCAGCTGGGCATGGTGGCTCACACTTGTAATCCCAGCACTTTGGGAGGCTGAATCGGGTGGATCATTTGAGGTCAGGAGTTCGATACCAGCCTGGCCAACATGGTGAAACCCCGTCTCTGCTAAAAATACAAAAATTAGCTAGGTGTGGTGGTGTGTGCCTGTAATCCCAGCTACTTGGGAGGCTGAGGCATGAGAATCGGTTGAACCCAGGAGGCAGAGGCTGCAGTGAGCCGAGATCGCGCCACTACACTCCAGCCTGGAATCCCAGCACTTTGGGAGGCCAAGGCGCGCAGATCACTTGAAGCCAGGAGTTCGAGACCAGCCTGACCAACAACCCCGTCTCTACTAAAAATACAAAAATTAGCCAGGCATGGTGGCAGGTGCCTGTAATCCCAGCTACTCGGGAGGCTGAGGCACAAGAATCGCTTTAACTCGGGAGGCAGAGTTTGCAGTGAGCCGAGATTGTGCCACTGCACTCCAGCCTGGGCGACAGAGTGAGACTCTGTCTCAAAAAAAACAAAAACAAAAAAAGACATAAAGATGTCTATAGAGAGGCACAGATTTTTCCTTTTGCCTCAGGCAAGGCTCGGTTTTCAACTCCAGTCTGGGGAAAATCCCTCCAGATTCTCTAAAATGTTATATTCCTGCCTGCAAGTTCTCTTCACTTTTATCTACTCATAAATCCTCTAAACTCTCCTTAAGGATTAGGCTTTACAAGGGATTGGCCCAACACTGTGGGGGGTTTTTTTGTTTTTGTTTTTTTGTTGTTTGTTTGTTTTTTGGAGATGGAGTCTTGCTCTGTCACCCAGACTGGAGTGCAGTGGTGCAATCTCAGCTCACTGCAACCTCCGCCTCCCGGGTTCAAGCGATTCTCCTGCCTCAGCCTCCCAAGTAGGTGGGACTACAGGCGCACACCACCATGCCTGGCTAATTTTTTGTATTTTAGTAGAGACAGGGTTTCACCGTGTTGCCAAGGCTGGTCTTGAGCTCCTGAGCTCAGGCAATTCGCCTGTTTCGGCCTCCCAAAGTGCTAGGATTACAAGCATGAGCTACCACGCCCGGCCTAACACTGTTTTTAAGATTCATCATTGTTGGCACGTTTTCACCACTTTGTGGTATTCCTTCGTATGGCTGTATTACAACTTATTTATCCATTTTCCAGTTGATGGACATTTAGAATTGTTCTTCTATTTCAAAAATGCCAAAGAGAACATTCTTGTACATGCCTCCCTGGACGCACCTGCAGGAGTTCCTCCAGAACGTATTCCCGGGACTGCAATTGATGTATCGTCAACTTCACCAGATTTTGCCAAGCTGCTCTTCAAAGTGTCTGTGTCAACTTACACCCCCATCGCAATGAGAGTTCTTTTGGCTCCACGCCTTCTCCAGCACTCAGTATTGTCAGCCTTACTTTTTTACCGATCTGATGGGAGTGAAACACATTTCTCTGTCTACTATTGAGGTTACGCATCTTTTCAAAGGATTATTGACCATTTCTCTCTCATGCCCTGTATTTTTCTTCATTGTGGTTGCTCTCCTTTTTCCTTTAGTAATCTTGCCTGTGGTCATCTATTTTATAATCTTTTCAAACAGCCAGCTTTGACTTTGTCAGTTCTTTCTCTTCCCTATAGTTTTGCCATGTCATTAATTTCTGCTCTTATTATTTCTGTCTTCTGCTTTCTTTGAATGTATGCCATGGCCCTTCTTCTAATTTCATGAGTTGCATGATGAGCTCATGAGGCTTTTTTATCTTGTAGTATGAGCGTTTATTATTAATTTATTTATTGAGAACAGAGTCTCGCTCTGTTGTCCAGGCTGGAGTGCAGTGGCACAATCTTGGTTCACTGAAACCTCCGCCTCCCAGGTTCAAGCGATTCTCCTGCCTCTGCCTCCCAAGTAGCTGGGATTATAGGCACCAGCCATCATGCGGGCTAATTTTTTTTTTTTTTTTTTTTGTATTTTTAGTAGAGGCGGGGTTTCACCATGTTGGCTAGGCTAGTCTGAAACTCCTGACCTCAGGTGATCCACCCGCCTTGGCCTCCCAAAGTGCTGGGATTACAGGTGTAAGCCACCGCACCTGATAGTATCAGCATTTAGAGCTGTAAATTTCCCTTTGCATACGACTCAGATGAATCTCACACATTTTAATGTCTCACAATTTCGTAGTCATTCAATGCCAAGTATCTTCTAATCGCCTTTATGAATTTTTGACCCAGGAATTGTTCAAAAGTGTGTCTTTTTTTCTTTTTTCACACATCAGACTGGTAACGTGACAATGTCATCATAGGTTTGAGGAACATCTCACACGTGAGCGTGAAAACCAGTCATCACGCTTATGAACTACGAAGGGATCCCGAAGTGTGTTTTTAAAGATCCATACCTGAGGCCAGGCACGGTAGCTCATGCCTATAATCCCAGCACTTTGGAAGGCCAAGGTGGGCAGATAACCTGAGGTCAAGAGTTCGAGACCAGCCTGGCCAGTATGGTGAAACCCCATCTCTACTAAAAATACAAAAAATTAGCTGGTCGTGGTGGCAGGCACCTGTAATCCCAGCTACTTGGGAGGCTGAGGCAGGAGAATCGCTTGAACCTGGGAGGTGGAGGTTGCAGTGAGCCAAGACTGCTCCACTGCACTCCAGCCTGGGCACAACAGTGAGACTCCATCTCAAGAAAAAGATCCATACCTATGAACTTTGTTAGTAATTTTTTTTTTTAAAGACAAAGTTTCGCTCTCGTTGCCCAGGCTGGAGTGCAATGGCACGATCTTGGCTCACCGAAACCTCCGCCTTCCCAAGTTCAAGCGATTCTCCTGCCTCAGCCTCCCGACTAGCTGGAATCACAGGCAGGCACCACCATGCCCAGCTAATTTTTTGTATTTTTAGTAGAGACGAGGTTTCTTCACGTTGGTCAGGCTGATCTCGAACTCCCTACCTCAGGTGATCCGCCCGCCTCGGCCTCCAAAGGGCTGGGATTACAGGTGTGAGCCACCATGCCCGGCCTAGCAATTTTTTTTTTCTTTTTTTGAGACAGGGTTTCACTCTGTTGCCCAGGCTGGAGTGTAGTGATGCTCATTGCAGCCTCCGCCTCCTAGGTTCAAACGATTCTCCTGCCTCAACCACCTCAGTAGCTGGGATTACAGGTGTGCACCACCAGGCCTGGTTAATTTTTGTATTTTTAGTAGAGATGGGGTTTATTAGAGACAGGCTGGTCTCAAACTCCTGGCCTCATGTGATCTGCCCGCCTCGGCCTCTCAAAGTGTTGGGATTATAGGCATGAGCCACCATGCCCAACCAGTAATTTTTTAAAATTATTATTATTACATATATTTTTTGAGACGGAGTCTCACTCTGTCACCCAGGCTGGAGTGCAATGGTGTGATTTTGGCTCACTGCAAACTCCGCCTCCTGGGTTCAAGCGATTCTCCTGCCTCAGCCTCCCGAGTAGCTGGGATTACAGGTGCCTGCCACCATGCCCAGCTGATTTTTGTATTTTTAGTAGAGATGGAGTTTCACCATGTTGGCCAGGCTGGTCTCTAACTCTTGACCTCAGGTGATCTGCCCGCCTTGGTCTCCCAAAGTGCTGGGATTACAGGTGTAAGCCACCACGCCCAGCCTTAATTATTAATTTCTAAATAAATTTTATGTGGTCAGAATACAATTTTATACAACAGATCATTTTATATTAATTTATATTTATAATTATATTTAAATTATATGTAATATGTTAATTTATATTTAAATTACATATATAAACTATAGGCTGGGTGTGGTGGCTCACATCTGTGATCCCAGCACTTTACGTGAGGTCAGGAGTTTGAGACCAGCCTGGCCAACATGGTGAAACGCCATCTCTACTAAAAATATATATATTAAAAAAAGCCATGCCTGGTGGCAGGCACCTGTAATCCCAGCTACTCAGGAAGCTGAAGCAGGAGAATCACTTGAACCCTGGAGGCGGAGGTTGCAATGAGCCAAGATCGCGCCATTGCACTCCAGCCTGGGTGACAAGAGTGAAACTCCATCTCAAAAAAATAAAAACTAAAAATAATACATTTTATATATTAGAAGGTGATAGTGGTATGGAAAAAATAAAGACGAGGTCAGTGTAAAGAAAAGCAAAAGAGCTGGAGGTTGGGCTAGGTGCAGTGGCTCATGCCTGTAATCCCAGCACTTTGGGAGGCTAAGGCGGGCAGATCACGAGGTCAGATCAAGACCAGCCTGACTAACACGGTGAAACCCCGTCTCTACTAAAAATATGAAAACTTAGCCGGGCATGGTAGTATGCGCCTGTAGTCCCAGCTACTCGGGAGGCTGAGGCAAGAGAAAGGCTTCAACCTGGGAGGCGGAGGTTGCAGTGAGCCGAGATTGTGCCACTGCACTCCAGCCTAGGTGACAGAGTGAGACTCCGTCTCAAAAAAAAAAGAGTTGGAAGTTGGGATGAGTTAGGGTATTACATGGGGTAGTCAGGGTAGGTGTCATTGAAAAAGTAAGATCTGGGCAAAGACTTAAACAAGGTGAGAGCAAGCCAAGTAAATGTTGAGGGAAAGGTGATCCAGGAAAAGGGAACAGCCAGTGCAAAGGACCTGTGGCTGAAGAGAAGACTGATTAAGAAGCCAATGTGGCTAAAGCTGGGTCACCAAGGGAATCATGGTAGAAGGGACCATAACACTAAGGACTTTGGCTTTTACATAGTGGACTAGGGAGCTATGCAGGGTTTGGGACAGAGAAATGACAAGATCCTATATTTTTAAAGGATCACCCTGACTGCTATGTTGAAACTAGATTAGAAATGGGCCTGATTAAAAGCAGGGGGCCCAGTTAGGAAGCTATTGCAATAAACCAGATAAGAGATGATGCCTGGTTTTTTTTTTAAGCCTAAAATTAATCAATGTCTTTACCCACTTCCTAGATAAAGCTTTAACTCTATTCATCTCTTTCTTGTCTTGCATTTTTGTCATTCACAATTTTATTTCTACTTTGTTTTTGTTTTTGTTTGAAACAAGGTCTCATTCTGTCACCCACACTGGAGTGTGGTGGCACAATCATAGATCACTGCACACTGGACCACCTGGGCTGAAGTAATCCTTTGACCTCAGCCTCCCAGGTAAATGGGAATACAGGCATATGTCACCACGCCTGGCTAAATTTTTATGTCTTGTAGAGATGGGTTTCACCATGTTGCTTAGGCTGGTCTTGAACTCCTGGGCTCAAGCAATCCTCCTGCCTTGGACTCCCAAAGTGCCAGGATTTCAGGCATGAGCCACTGTGCCCAGTCTCCACTTTGGTTTTGTTTGTTTGTTTTGTTTTGTTTTTTGAAACAGAGTCTCACTCTGTCACCCAGGCTGGAGTGCAGTGGCATGATCTCGGCTCACTGCAACCTCTGCCTCCCAGGTTCAAGCAATTCTCCTGCCTCAGTCTCCTGAGTAGCTGGGACTACAGGTGCACACCACCACGCCTGGCTAATTTTTGTGTTTTTAGTAAAGATGGGCATAAATTACTCACTATTATCATTGTTGTTTTATAAAGCCATTTGCTTTTCTTTACTCATATTTGTCAACTTACTTGCTCACTATTCTTTCTTGCCGTTCTTTTCTTCCCTTTGGGTTGAATTTCCTTCTAAAATGCACATTCTTTAGATGTTCCTTCAGTGAAAGTCTGTTAGTGAACAATTTTCTTTGAATTTTTTAGACCTCATTCTTGAATGATAGTTTAGCTGGGTATAAAATTCTAGACTGACAGTTTTTTCTTTATTTTTTGGCTTCTATTGTTGCTGATCAGAAATCTGCTCTTAAAATTAATTATGGTTCTCTTACAGGTAATTTGGCTTTTCATTCTTACTGCCTTATATTTTTCTTTGTCTTTGGTATTCTGATATGTATGCTATATGATATACATGAACATGGAATGTGTTTTTAAAAATTCTACTTGGGGCTGGGTGTGGTGGCTCACGCCTATAATCCCAGCACTTTGGGAGGCCGAGGTGGGCATATCACCTGAGGCCAGGAGTTCAAGCCCAGCCTGGCCAACATGGAAAACCCCTTTTCTACTAAAAATACAAAAATTAGCTGGGCATGGTGGTGCACACCTGTAGTCTCAGCTATGTCAGGAGGCTGAAGCTGGAGAATCACTTGAACCTGGGAACTCTGTCTCAAAAAAAAAAAAATTCTGCTTTGGGTTCCCTGTGATTTCCAAATCTGAATAGTCTTATTTTTCATGGATCCTGAATAATTCTTTTTTGTTGTTGAGGCAGGGTCTCATTCTGTTGCCCAGGCTGCAGTGCAATGGCATGATCATGGCTCACTGAAGCCTTGGCCTCCCTGGGCTCAAGTGATCCTCCCACCTCAGCCTCCCAAGTAGCTGAGACAATAGGCATGCACCACCATCCAGCTAATTTTTGTATTTTTTTGTAGAGATGGGGTTTTCCCATGTTGCCCAGGCTGGATGGATAATTCTTTACTACTACCTCTTTGACTATTGCCCACCACCAGTTTTCTCTGTTTATCCTCTCTAACACTCCTCTGAGATATAAACATTTTTACTCAATCCTTCATAACTCTTAACTTCTCTTTCTTGTTTTCCATCACTTTATCTCTTTGTTCTGCATTGTGAGAAATTTCTTCAGAGCTACATTCTTTTTTTTTTTTTTGAGATGGAGTTTCACTCTTATCGCCCAGGCTGCTGTGCAGTGGTGCGATCTCAGCTCACTGCAATCTTTGCATCCGGGGTTCAAGCGATTCTCCTGCCTCAGCCTCCTGAGTAGCTGGCATTACAGGTGTCCACCATCGTGCCCGGCTAATTTTTGTATTTTTAGTAGAGACAGGGTTTCATCATGTTAGCCAGGCTAGTCTTGAACTCCTGACCTCAGGTGATCCATCACTTCAGCCTCCCAAAATGTTGGGATTACAGGCGTGAGCCACTGTGCCCAGCCCCAGATCTACTTTCTTTTTTTTTCTTTTTATTTTTTTTGAGATGGAGTCTTGCTCTGTTGCCCAGGCTGGAGTGCAGTGGCGCCATCTCGGCTCTCGGCTCACTGCAAGCTCCGCCTCCCGGGTTCACGCCATTCTCCTGCCTCAGCCTCCTGAGTAGCTGAGACTACAGGCACCTGCCACCATGCCCAGCTAATTTTTTGTATTTTTAGTAGAGACGAGGTTTCACCGTGTTAGCCAGGATGGTCTCAATCTCCTGACCTCATGATCCACCCACCTTGACCTCCCAAAGTGCTGGGATTACAGGCGTGAGCCACCGTGCCCGGCCACCAGATCTACGTTCTAGATCAATGCTTTTCAGTTGTTCTGTTTTGCTCTTTAACTCATCCCTTAAGGATCTCTTTTTTCAATGATTTTATTTTTGACTTCCAGAAATTCTACTTGAATCTTTTTCAGATCTACCCAGAAACAATCTCTCATTCTGTACTCATGTTTTTAATTCTTTATTGTTTTTATATCAGACTTTTTTTTTAAGGTATACCCAAGAATTATATGAAGTTATTGAAAGTGGAATTCTACTGTCTGACGTTTCTGCTGACTCTTGCTCATGTTTCCTTATGCATTTTGCATTGTGAACTCAAATTTCACGGGCCTTTATATGTGGTATTCCTATACAACCTGTTTAGAAAGTGAATCGCTCCAAATAAATGTTTAGTTTGCTTTCTAATAATGTCTAATAATAAACCGTACAATATCTAGGTTCCTGAGGGTTTTTTCTTCAATATTTGTGACATATACTAAAAAGTTACTTCTTATTGACATTCATCTTTTTTTTTTTTTTTTTTTTGAGACAGAGTCTTGCTCTGTCGCCCAGGCTGGAGTGCAATGGCACAGTCTCGGCTCACTGCAACCTCTGCCTCCTGGGTTCAAGCAATTCTCCTGCCTCAGCATCCCAAGTAGCTGGGACTACAGGCACGTGCCATCACGCCCAGCTAATTTTTTGTATTTTTAGTAGAGACGGGGTTTCACCATGTTAACCAGGATGTTCTCGATCTCCTGACCTCATGATCCGCCTTCCTTAGCCTCCCCAAGTGTTGGGATTACAGGCGTGAACCACCGTGCCCAGCCAACATTCAAATTTAACTGGACTCCTATATTTTATCTAGTATAAAATGTTTTGGCCAGGCGCAGTGGCTCATGCCTGTAATTCCAGCACTTTAGGAGGCTGAGGTGGGTGGATCACCTCAGATCAGGAGTTCGAGACCAGCTGGCCAACATGGTGAAACCCGGTCTCTACTAAAAGTACAAAAATTAGCCAGGTGTGGTGGGTGCCTGTAGTCCCAGCTACTTGGGAGGCTGAGGCAGGAGAATCTCTTGTGCCTGGGAGGCAGAGGTTACAGTGAGCCGAGATCACACCACTGCACTCCAGCCTGGGCAACAGAGCAAGACTTTGTCTCAAAAATAAATAAATAAATAAATAAATAAAAATTAAAATAAAATAAATTGTTTAATCTTCTGTACTTTCTCTTCCCATCACTTGATGTTAAGCCAAATTCATAAATCCCATCCCCAAATAGTTGTTAAAACTTCAGTACTTTACTTGCCGAAATTGGCAAATTAACAAAACAAAATGTAAAACAAACAAAAAAACCCTCAACCTTATCACTCTAGATTCCATTTCTTCTTGGTTTTGATTTCCTCTTGGTTTTGACCTTTTGGGATTTCCCTTGCTTCAAAAGGAAGTCTTAGGATTAGTCTTTTGGAAAATGGAAGGCCAAAAATCTCACAAGTCACTTCTGCTTGTTGCATTCCCACGTACCTCCCCTGAGGCAGCCAGGACAGATCTGGCTTCCTGCTTGGATGGAGAAAGGGCAAAATACAGGCAAACAAAACAGAAACTGATTTTCCCACATAGAATCCATCCATACAGGTAGCAGTTTTGGCTACAGTCAGTTATCAGGTGAGGTCATTCTTGTGCTTACTGAAAAAGATTATTTTCTTCTTCTCATTGTACTGCAGCAAAGCCTTCTAGACAAGCTCAGTGGAATCTGAAGGGCCCACCCCATGGAGGAATGCTGGGTGACAGAGATAGCCAATGGCTCCAAGGATGGCTTGGATTCCAACCCTATGAAGGATTACATGATCCTGAGTGGTCCCCAGAAGACAGCTGTTGCTGTGTTGTGCACTCTTCTGGGCCTGCTAAGTGCCCTGGAGAACGTGGCTGTGCTCTATCTGATCCTGTCCTCCCACCAACTCCGCCGGAAGCCCTCATACCTGTTCATTGGCAGCTTGGCTGGGGCTGACTTCCTGGCCAGTGTGGTCTTTGCATGCAGCTTTGTGAATTTCCATGTTTTCCATGGTGTGGATTCCAAGGCTGTCTTCCTGCTGAAGATTGGCAGCGTGACTATGACCTTCACAGCCTCTGTGGGTAGCCTCCTGCTGACCGCCATTGACCGATACCTCTGCCTGCGCTATCCACCTTCCTACAAAGCTCTGCTCACCCGTGGAAGGGCACTGGTGACCCTGGGCATCATGTGGGTCCTCTCAGCACTAGTCTCCTACCTGCCCCTCATGGGATGGACTTGCTGTCCCAGGCCCTGCTCTGAGCTTTTCCCACTGATCCCCAATGACTACCTGCTGAGCTGGCTCCTGTTCATCGCCTTCCTCTTTTCCGGAATCATCTACACCTATGGGCATGTTCTCTGGAAGGCCCATCAGCATGTGGCCAGCTTGTCTGGCCACCAGGACAGGCAGGTGCCAGGAATGGCCCGAATGAGGCTGGATGTGAGGTTGGCCAAGACCCTAGGGCTAGTGTTGGCTGTGCTCCTCATCTGTTGGTTCCCAGTGCTGGCCCTCATGGCCCACAGCCTGGCCACTACGCTCAGTGACCAGGTCAAGAAGGCCTTTGCTTTCTGCTCCATGCTGTGCCTCATCAACTCCATGGTCAACCCTGTCATCTATGCTCTACGGAGTGGAGAGATCCGCTCCTCTGCCCATCACTGCCTGGCTCACTGGAAGAAGTGTGTGAGGGGCCTTGGGTCAGAGGCAAAAGAAGAAGCCCCGAGATCCTCAGTCACCGAGACAGAGGCTGATGGGAAAATCACTCCGTGGCCAGATTCCAGAGATCTAGACCTCTCTGATTGCTGATGAGGCCTCTTCCCAATTTAAACAACTCAAGTCAGAAATCAGTTCACTCCCTGGAAGAGAGAGAGGGGTCTTGGCACTCTCTTCTTACTTAAACCAGTCCCAGACACCTAGACACGGACCCCTTTTTGCTGATGAGTGTTGGGACTGACTCCTGGAAGACAGCCTGGCCTTGCCCACCTGCACACAGTCTGTTGGATAGGTAGGGCCACGAGGAGTAGCCAGGTAGGCGAGACACAAAAGGCCTGGGACAGGGTCAGTACAAGTCAGGTCAGGCTTCATGCCTGCATCCTCCAGAGACCACAGGAGCCAAAGCGAGCCTCCAGGCCCAGCAATGAGGGACTTGGGAGAAATCTGAGAAGAATGGGTTGTTCTCTTGGGAAGTCAGGGTATCAGATGGGATGGACATCCAGGTCTTCTCTCTGCCTAATTGTCAAGGCCTCCTTGGCTCTGGAGCTATGAAAGGCCCCACTTTCAAGTCACCCTTGCCACTGAGGACCGAGGACTATGCTATGATGAGGATTAAGGTGTTGACTTGCCTCTTTCAGAGATAAATGACAAGCCTTCAGTTTGGGGCATCCTGTTGTTTGGGCGAGGACCCTCTCTGATATTCTGATAATCCCCACCTGTAACCTCAGGTCCCTGGAAATACAGAGGAGGCTGGGATCGCCTGAGACACAAAAATCTTTGGAGAATTTTCTTGACCCTCTGAAGTCCTTCCAGCAGCAGTCCTGGTGGTGCTGCTGGAAGCAGGCAATGTCCTAGTCTAACCTAACTCGAAGAAAAAAAGGAAGATATTCACAAAGATTGTATAAATCTCCAAACTGTTCCCCTATCTGCCCCCAATTCAGCTCCCTTGCCTCCTCCACACCCCTATTACATATAATAAGCAGAGCAAGTGGGAGGAGGGGAAATGTCCTTCCTATATGCCAGGTATGGGGCTGACATTTCAGTCTATTGACCCCAGCTAGAATATAGCTCCATGATTTTAAAGATCTCAGGGGCCAGGCATGGTAGCTCATGCCTGTAATCCCAGCACTTTGGGAGGCCAAGGCAGGTGGATCACCTGAGGTCAGGAGTTTGAGACCAGCCTGACCAATATGGTGAAACCCTGTCTCTACTAAAAATACAAAAATTAGCAGGGCATGGTGGCAGGCACCTGTAGTCCCAGCTACTCGGGAGGCTGAGACAGGAGAATTGCTTGAACCCTGGAGGCAGAGGTTGCAGTGAGCCGAGATTGCACCACTGCACTCCAGCCTGGGTGACAGAGCAAGACTGTCTCAAAAAAATAAAATAAAATAGATCCCAGGGTACTCATTTTTCATATGAGGGAGGCTGGGTTCCTCCCAGAGGAGCCTAAAACAGCCAACAAGAGAAATTGTTGGCGGCAGGAAGATTGCAGAGGAATTCTAATGCAATTATTTGGGACCTCAAATGGAATAAAATGAAAGATATTGGTTAAACATGTCTTCGTTTAATACTTTCAAGACAAAATATCCACTAGCTATTCACTTATTCATTCATCTCATAAACATGAGCCAGGCTCTGTGCAGGGTCCTGAGTACCCAGCCATAAATGAGACTGTGCCCCTGTCTCATGGGGCTTACAGTCTATATCCTGCTTGCAAGACAGCCAATAAGTCAATAAAGAAGATAATTACAGGCAGTACAACAAAGGAAATATGCAGGTTCATGTCATGTAATAGGGATTAATTGAGTTAACTCAATAAACGGTAGGATAGACCTACCATGTGCCGGCTCACTTTTATTGAGCCTTTACTATGTGCCAGGCAGGGGGCTAAGTGTTTTTAAATGCCTTATTTCACTTCATGTTTCCCAACAACCTAATAAGAAGGTCTTAGTTATCTTCATTTTACAGATGTGGCAACCTCAAAGATGCAAAGTCACTTGTCTAAGGTCACCCTGCTAAGTACCAGAGCTGAGGTCTCCAACCTAGTTCTGTTTGACTTCAAAGCCTGCCCTCTTAACCACTAACCTTTTGTCCTAGTTCAGTCAAATTCTGCTTGATTATTGCTCATTAGGGATAATATTAGCTATCTGTAGCATCAGATTGCTGCAAAGTTAACTCATCGTAGATTCTCAATATACTCCATTTTATTAAATGGCCCCGTATTAATCTCCTGTAATAAATTTCACAAATCCAGTGGCTTATCAACAGAAATTTACTGTCTCATAATTCTGGAGGCCAGAAGTCAAAATCAAGATGTGGTAGGGCCCTGCTCCCTCCAAAAGTTTAAGGGGAGAATTATTCCTTGACTCTTTCAACTTCTGGCAGTCCCTGTCATTCCTTGGCTTGTGGAAACATCACTCCTACCTCTGACTCTGTCTTCATATGGCATTTCCTCTGTGTCTCTTGGTGTCTTTTTTTTTTTTTTTTTTTTTTTTGAGACGGAATCTCATTCTGTTGTCCAGGCAGGAGTGCAGTGACATGATCTTGGCTCACTGCAACCTCCACCTCTCAGGTTCAAGTGATTCTCCTGCCTCAGCCTCCCAAATAGCTGGGACTACAGGCACCCGCCACCACACTCAGCTAATTTTTGTATTTTTAGTAGAGATGGGGTTTCACCATCTTGCCCAGGCTGGTCTTGAACTCCTGACCTCAAGTGATCCGCCCACCTTGGCCTCCTAAATTGCTGGGATTACAGACGTGAGCCACCATACCCGGCCTGGTGTCTTTTTTAAAGAATATCAGTCACTGGATTTGGGCCCACCCTAATCCTAATAGTATGACTTCATCTTAATTTAACCAATTATATCTGTAGAGACCCTGTTTCCAAATAAGGTCACATTCACAGATTCCAGGTGGACAAGAAGTTTAGGCGGACACTATTCAACTCAGTACAGACCCAGGAACAAAGTCCACCCACTGGGCTGTGTTGAGTGGCAGTCACTAGTTTATCCTCCCTCAACAAGATGAGCTCCAGGTTGACCTCTGCATCCCCAGTGCTCAGTCAGGACCCAGCAGAGCATCTGAAGGGATCTGGTCAATATGTGTGGAACTGAACTGTTTCTGAAAAGCTCTGACGTATGTTTTGGAAAATCAAATCTTGTTTTAATCCAGACACCAATCTTTTTGTAAGGCAAACAAGTAGCATAAATGTTTAAAAGTGAATTTGCATGTTTATATACTGTCATTCCTTAAAGTTGAAGCATGCCTTTCTTTATTCATCGGTGGAATCCTTTCTCATTTTGGCAAAGAAAATGCCCAAGTGCCTGGCACAAACAAGCACTGAGTAAATACTTCTTGAATGAATAAAACTAGATTCTAAAAATCATTTGATCAAACGCAACTCCACACTTTCTACTTCTCTTCTTTTAGAACCACACTGTATTTCTGCTTTTTTTTTTTTTTTTTTTTTTTTTGACATAGAATCTCACTCTGTCACCCAGGTTGGAGTGCAGTGGCATGCAATCTTGGCTCACTGCAACCTCTGCCTCCTGGGTTCAAGCAGTTCTCCTGCCTTAGCCTCCCATGTAGCTGGGATTACAGGTACCCGCCACCATGCCCAGCTAATTTTTGTATTGTTAGTAGAGATGGAATTTCACCATATTGGCCAGGCTGGTCTTGAACTCCTGACTTCAAGTGATCCACCCACCTTAGCCTCCCAAAGTGCTAGGATTACAGGTGTGAGCCACCACTCCCAGCCCCTATGTCTGCTTTAAGTGGAGAAGCAGAGCTTATGAGGGAGGAGAACAAGGGTGCAAAAGGGACCTAGATATCACTGAGAACTGCCCTTGTTGTTTGGTTGAGGAAATGGGCCCAGACAGTGGACAAGACTTGCTCAGGGAGACAAACGAGATGGTGTCCAGTGCAACAAACCTAGGTTTCCTAACTTCCAGTTCTGTCCACTCTACATCAGTGCCTCTCACCTGTCCCTGCAGGTTCACATTTTGGTTATGTGGATAAGGAGAAATAAATTGAAGATCACAATGTCCCATTTTATCTTCCCCAAGACAAGCTCTGTAACATTAAAGACCACTATGCAAACCGATTACTAGAAAATGTGTGTGGATGGGTTCGGTTTTTTTCCTAAGGTGTTCATGCTTACTGTTTTGGGCAATATTTCAACATAATCTGGCAGAAAAAGAAACAGAAGATAAAGAAAATAGCTGTAGGCCGGGTGCAGTGGCTCATGCCTGTAATCCCAGCACTTTGGAAGGCTGAGGCTGGCGGATCACTTGAGGTCAGGAGTTCGAGACCAGCCTGGCCAACACGGCGAAACCCCATCTGTATTAAAAATACAAAAATTAGCCAGGCGTGGTGGCGTACCTGTAAACCCAGCTACTCGGGAGGCTGAGGCAGGAGAATGGCTTGAACCCAGGAGGTGGAGGTTGCAGTGAGCTGAGATTGCAGCACTGCATTCCAGCCTGGGCGACAGAGCAAGACTGCATCTCAAAAGAAAAGAAAAGAAAAAAGAAAAGAAAAGAAAAGAAAACAGCTGTGATTCAGCAATAGTCATTTTCTCTCCTTGTCACTGCCAGAGTGAGGAAGTGCTGGGTTCTGTCAACATAGGCTCTGACTTCTCATGAGGTGCAAGAAAGAAGCAGCATGAACAAAGGCATAGATTTTGCACCTGGAGACACGTATTCTAGTCCCACCTCTGACTCAAACTAGCTGCATGATCTTGGGCAGCCCCCCAGCCCTCTCTGGGCTTCAGTTCCCTCCTCGGTACAATGGGAAGGGTAGGGAAGAGGATGGTGCCTAGGATCTTCAAAGTCCCAACTCTGATGTGCTGCCATTCTCTCACTGGCATGTGGGAACTGAGTGTGCTACGTGGAGTCATGAGACTTCTTCTTCCTTTTCTTTTTCTTTTTTTTTTTTTTTTTTTTTGAGACCGAGTCTCACTCTGTCGCCCAGGCTGGAGTGCAGTGGTGCGATCTCGGCTCACTGTAACCTCCACCTCCCGAGTTCAAGCAATTCTCCTGCCTCAGCCTCCTGAGTAGCTGGGATTACAGGCGCACCCCATGCCCGGCTAATTTTTGTATTTTTAGTAGAGATGGGGTTTCACCATGTTGGCCAGGCTGGTCTCAAACTCCCGACCTCAGGTGATCTGCCCACCTCGGCCTCCCAAAGTGCTGGGATTACAGGCGTGAGCCACCTTGTCTGTTCAGAGACTTCTGACTTCCGTATTTCCCTCGCTAATGGCCTCACCTCCCGTTTGAGTATGTGCAGCATGTGCAAATTGCAGAGGAACTGGGGAACTTCCCTGCCAGGCAATCCTGGGTCCTCTTGGCTCTCCACTTCCTCCTTCCTTCCTTCCTTCCTCCTTCCTTCCTTCCTTCCTTCCTTTCTTTCTTCCTTGGTCTGGCTCTGTCGCCCAGGGGCTGGAGTGCAGTGGCGGTATCTCGGTACAAACTAAGCTATTTGAAATGCCTCGGAATTCCCAAAGAAAGCTCAGTAAATACCAGACAGATGAAACGGTCCTGCCCGCTCTCCCTCTTTCAGTACCCAGTTTTCTCTTTCCTCTCCTTTCATAACGTTTCTTCCCATCATCCCTCTACCTCCTTATTTCTGTCAGGGCTGTTAGATACCCTTCCGGTCTGTTATCTCCTCCTCCAGCCTTGTGCTACAGGACAACTCAAAAGCCCCCTATGGCTCCCAAGTGATCACTAAATAAAACTCGTGATCTCACTTCAGCCTACCCCTGCAGGATTGCTGCGGCAAAATGGACTACTCCCAGAGGCGTGATCACGGTTCGGTTCACTGCAGCCCAGACTTCCCGGGCTCAAGCGATCCCGAACCTCCCACCTCAGCCTCTCGAGTAGCTGGGACTCCAGACGTGCACCACTACGCCAGGCTCATTTTGTTTATTTTTTATAGAGACAGGCTAGTCTCCAACTTGTGGGCTCAGAGCGATCCTCCCGCCTCGACTTCCGAAAGTGTTAGGATTACAGGCGTGAGCCACTGCGTCCGGCTCAATGGACTCCTTCTTAAATGTGAGTTCTCCGCACACACTGGGCCTTGCTCACCTCCACGATTTAACCTCGCAGTTAAGTCCCTTTTCAAGGTTTTTATTCGTCCTTCAGCGAAGCGCTGTCAACGCCTCCCTGCGTCTTTCCCTTCTTGAGCACCAGAGGGCGCTCCTCCGACCCGAGGAGGAAGCGACTCGGGCCAACCTGTCCAGGTTGTCCCACCCCTTTTTCCTTCCGGGCCAATCGTTAGTCAGAGTGGGCGGAGCCGCCCGCGGGCACCTGCGCGTTAAGAGTGGGCCGCGTCGCTGAGGGGTAGCGATGCGGGCTCCGGGGATGAGGTCGCGGCCGGCGGGTCCCGCGCTGTTGCTGCTGCTGCTCTTCCTCGGAGCGGCCGAGTCGGTGCGTCGGGCCCAGCCTCCGCGCCGCTACACCCCAGACTGGCCGAGCCTGGATTCTCGGCCGCTGCCGGCCTGGTTCGACGAAGCCAAGTTCGGGGTGTTCATCCACTGGGGCGTGTTCTCGGTGCCCGCCTGGGGCAGCGAGTGGTTCTGGTGGCACTGGCAGGGCGAGGGGCGGCCGCAGTACCAGCGCTTCATGCGCGACAACTACCCGCCCGGCTTCAGCTACGCCGACTTCGGACCGCAGTTCACTGCGCGCTTCTTCCACCCGGAGGAGTGGGCCGACCTCTTCCAGGCCGCGGGCGCCAAGTGAGTGTGGTCCCGGGGAGCGGCGCCCCTTCCCGGCTCGGGCGGCAAACAGGAGGTGGGGCTGGGCGGCCAGCTGGGGCGCGCAGCTGCCGGTCGCCCCCATGACCCCGGGGCCCGCGTGTGGCCTCCTGCGGCCACAGGAGTGAGCCTGGCACACCTGATGAGGAGGAGGAGGTGCGTTTGACTGGGGACTGATAAATGAAGGTTCAGGGAGATGGCAGGCTGGGAAGCCCTGGGTATCTGCACCTGTGCACCGAGAGGGCTGAGTTAGGCCATACCTGATGTCCCTTTCAGATTGACAGCACTATCAGGACTCCAGGGTTTCAAATCAGTGGTGTGGAGCCTGGTTCTAATTCAACTGTGAACCTGGACATGTCACTTCAGCCTCCCTGCAGCCTCTTCTATGGTTGTAGAAAGGGGTTATATAAGGATACAACCCTTTGAGCCCTAATGTCTCTAAGAGGGAAAGAGAGGGGAGTTCTGGTGTGCAGTGTATTTGGGCAACAGTACAGATAGTCATTCGTTTGCTCCTCTCAATCCCTTTTACGTAGGAAGTGTCCAGGAAGGGTCTGACTCTCTCTGAGAACTGTTGGAACTTGGGGGTGGCTGGTTCAGAGAACAGAGTAGAGAGCGCTGGGGTGGGGATAAGGGGAGACCACGACCCATGAAGTTGTCAAGGCAGGGGCTTGTCCTGAAGGAGTGAGCCTTGAGAGCCCTGTATTGACAGATGTTAAGTCAGGGAGTGGTTACTATCAGCTTCTAGAAAGATTCATTCGGCTGCTGGGAGAGAAGTGGGTTGGAGAAGAGTAAAAATGGAGGCGGGGAGGTTTCCCCAGCCCCTGGCTTAGAGCAGTCTTCCATCCTTACCTTGGTTCCTCAGCCATCTTCCGGGTTTTCGTTTCTCTTGAACTTTGAATTCACTTGTACTAAAGAGAAGTTACAACTGGCATTTAGTGTTTGCCATTAAATGTATGGGAGTATAAGACTTGATTAAGCAGAGGAAGTGTTTGTCTCCTAGGGGCCTTAGGGATCCATAACTTACAAGTGAGAAAAATTAAAATCTGGGAGATAACCTCTTTCCATGCCTTTTATTTCATGGATGAGATGACTGGCCCAAAGAGAGGAAGGAATATAATGTCCTAGACTCCAGGTCTCATGACGTCAAGGTTGTTTCCACTGCACCAGGGTCTGCAAACTGGCCAGAGGGATTGGTCCTCTGCCAGTTTTTTAAGGCCCATGAGGTGAGAATGGTTTTTACATTTTTAAAGGGTTGTAAAATGTTTTAAAGAAGAATACACTACAGAGAGGAATGTGCTCCCACAGAGCCTAAAATACTATCTGGCCCTTCAAATCCTGGAGTTCCCTACTCTGGCCAATGATTGAACCATAAAGTGCATTACCTATTTTTGTGCCATAAAAGCAAATTAAATATTGAGTGATTTGGTTGTTATTTCAACACTTGCCTTTTCTCCCAGTTATTGGGTCTTTTGTCACCTCTATAATAAATGAGAGGCAATTTATGTAGGCTTGGTAAACCAAACAGCTTAGTTTTCTAGAAAGTTTTCTATTTTGTTGTTATTGTTGTTTTGAAACAGTTTTGCTCTGTAGCCCAGGCTGGAGTACAGTTGCATGATCTCGGCTCACTGCAACCTCTGTCTCCCAGGCTCAAGTGATTCTTATGCCCCAGCCTCTCAAATACCTGGGACTACAGGCACACACCACCATGCCCGGCTAATTTTTGTATTTTTAGTTGAGATGGGTTTTCGCCTCATTGGCCAGGTTGGTCTTGAACCCCTGACCTCAGGTAATCCGCCCACCTTGGCCTCCCAAAGTGCTGGGATTACAGGTGTGAGCCACCATGCCTGGCCAGCAAATGGCTTAGTTTTCTATTATCTGCCATTTCCAGTAGAGCTCTTTCTCCTTCAGGGCAAAGAATGAAAGAAAGTTAATCGTTCCTACCAGAAGTGTTGAAGAATCAGAGAGCTAAGGTGCACTTCTTTTCCCTTACCCACTCCTTCCTTCCCTCTGGGCCTCCTCCTTTGCTGGGGACTGAGGGTTGGGACTTCCTCAAATCTGCTTCCATTCTTGGAGCAATGCCCAAGGGGAATTGTGACTGCAGCAGCTTCCTGGATATCACTAATATAGTCACTGGTACAAGTACATTTGTTGTGGTCAAGTTCTTTCAGCTATTTAAAAAGCCTCAGGCATGCTGGGCAAGTTCATGCAAGTTCACTGCCCACTTCCTTTGCTCATGTGGTTTTGCTGTCCACAGGTATGTAGTTTTGACGACAAAGCATCACGAAGGCTTCACAAACTGGCCGAGTCCTGTGTCTTGGAACTGGAACTCCAAAGACGTGGGGCCTCATCGGGATTTGGTTGGTGAATTGGGAACAGCTCTCCGGAAGAGGTGAGTGTCCAGGGATGGTTACTCTGTTATCTCTTTGGATCTGGCTGTCAAGAGTTCTGTACCTCCTCTACTTGCGTGTGTTTTCTAGGTTTGCATATAGCAAGTAGCCTGAAGGGCTTTTGGCCTTCTACTCCTGTGTGTTTTCTAGGTTTGCATATAGCAAGTAGCCGGAAGGGCTTCTGGCCTTTGAATTGGCAGTGTTTGATGCTTCACAGTTTTCACGTGACCAAAGGGGACACCGTTACAGAAGTTCATGGCCATGTCTGGTTAGATGAAGGATACCCAACATAGACTACGATGCTACTTGATGTCCTGTTTGAGGAGTAGGCTGAGTGTCTGTATAAATCATAAAGTTTGATTGGAACACAGCCATGCCTATTCATTTATGCACTGTCTGTGACTGCTTTCAAGCTACAATTTGAGAGCTGAGATAGAGACCAAATGGCCTGCAAAACCTAAAACACTGTCTGGATCTTTAAGAGTTCACTGGTCGGGTGCGTTGACTCACACTTGTAATCCCAGGACTTTGGGAGGCAGAGGCAAGCAGATCATGAGGTCAGGAGTTCAAGACCAACCTGACCAATATGGTGAAACCCTGTCTCTACTAAAAATACCAAAATTAGCCGGGCGTGGTGGCGTTTGCCTGTAGTCCCAGCAACTCGGGAGGCTGAGGTAGGAGAATCACTTGAACCCAGGAGGCGGAGGTTGCAGTGAGCCAAGATCGCACCACTGCACTCCAGCGTGGGTGGCAGAGCGAGACTCCGTCTCAAAAAAAAAAAAAAAAGAAAAAAGACAAAAAGAGTTTGCTGACTCCTGTCACCTGCTCAGTTTGTTTCTCAGCACTGTGCTTTGCTTAAAGTCCTGCTGTAAAACTCTGAGATATTGATTAGATATGGACTTCAGGAGTCATGATTTTTACCATCTTTATTTAGTCCCTGGGTCATATGATGAAATACTTCAGTTGTTTTTTATCTGTGTAATTGCTTCTTGCATTATAAGGTTTTTGTAACACTCACCATTCTTAACCCAAAGCAAGCTTTATTAAATATGAAAATAGGTCATCAACCACATTTCATTTTGTGTACGTTAAGAACTATTAGTTTGGCCAGGCGTGGTGACTTACGCCTGTAATCCCAGCACTTTGGGAGGCCGAGGCGGGTGGATCATGAGGTCAGGAGATCAAGACCATCCTGGCTAACACAGTGAAACCCCGTCTCTAGTAAAAATAAAAAATAAATTAGCTGGGTGTGGTGGTGGGCACCTGTAGTCTCAGCTACTTGGGAGGCTGAGGTAGGAGAATGGCGTGAACCCGGGAGGTAGAGCTTGCAGTGAGCCGAGATTGCGCCACTGCACTCCAGCCTGGGCGACAGAGCGAGACTCCATCTCAAAAAAAAAAAAAAAAAGGAAAAAAAGAGAAAGAACTATTAGTAAATCTTAGATAAATAAAACGATAAACCTATATTCATTTCAACTGTGTGGAAAATGTTACTAATGATTATTTCTGAGTAAGAGTACTTTGCATATTTGATTTTCTATTTTCCAGTTTCTTTAAATATGAAATTTTATGATTGACAGGGAAGACATTTTTTAAAAATAAGGCTATATGGTTTTTTGTTTTGTTTTGTTTTGTTTTTGTTTTGAGACAGGGTCTCACTCTGTCGCCTTTGCTAGACTCCAGTGGCACAATCTTAGCTCACTGCAATCTCTACCTCCTGGGCTCAAGCCATCCTCCCACTTTAGCCTCCCAAGTAGCTGGGACTACAGGCTCGCACCACCACACTCAGCTAATTTTTACAGTTTTTGTGGAGACAAGGTCTCACTATGTTGCCCAGGCTGGTCTCAAACTCATGGACTCAAGGGATCCTCCCACCTCAGCCTCCCAAAGTGCTGGGATTACAGGCATGAGCCACTGCGCCCAGCAGGACTATACTCTGTTGGGATAATTGACTTAAAAGATAAAAGATGGTTTAAATAATATTTTGGTGTTAAGATATTTATGTATAAAAGGTAGTTATGTGTTTAATCAAAAACACAGTAAACCTCATTTTGCTTAAGTGAATAGTGAATAATTTAAGGAAATGGTTTTGGATCCCATTCCTCTCTATATGCTCTTATGAGTGAGTGCCACTGAAATGAAAAAATGCTAGAACTGATTTTCCTTAAAATAAATTATTTGTTCTATGCTTAATGACAGTTGCTGTTCTGTTTTTCTGTTTAAGGAACATCCGCTATGGACTATACCACTCACTCTTAGAGTGGTTCCATCCACTCTATCTACTTGATAAGAAAAATGGCTTCAAAACACAGCATTTTGTCAGTGCAAAAACAATGCCAGAGCTGTACGACCTTGTTAACAGGTAAGACACTGAAATATTTTGGCCCTATGACTTTTATCAATGAAATCAGAGCTTCCTATAGGGTACCATTAAAGTGGAGGAGGGATAGGTATGAAAAAAACCTAAAAGACATCAAAATAATAAAAAGTGGTGGTTGTATTAAGACAAAATATGTTCTTTCCTCCTGCCTTTCAGAACTTCTGTCATGTGGCCATATTGCCTTCTACATTGAAACAATCACACAAAACCCAGGATGGCAGAAAGTCAAAATTTTAGTTCCCTTCTTACATGCCGTTTTCCCTATGTCAGGACCCTGGAGAGGGGGTGGTTTGGCATCGGGCAGATTTGTGTTTGAATTCTGGCTCCTGTTACTTACATGCCTTAAACAGAACACTCTCCTGAGCTTGATTCTCACTCTGTAAAGTGGGGATAATAATGCCTTCTTTGTAGGGCTCAGAATAGTATGTGAAATGTATCTGTCACGGTGCCTGGTACAAAGTAAGGCTGTTGTTATTACCATTATTCTTTAAATGATCACTTTCACTTAGGGATTTGTCACTAGTTCTTCACAATGTTTTATCCCCATTTGCCTTTCTCGAGCCTGGGGACTCATAGAGGACGGTAGACCCTTAAAGCTTCAGAGGCAGCTGCCTGGACCCTCACTTTAGAGCAAAGGAAAATCACCTTTAGCCAGGCGCAGTGGCTTACGCCTGTAATCCCAGCATTTTGGGAGGCCGAGGCAGGCAGATCACTTGAAGTCAGGAGTTCGAGACCAGCCTGGCCAACACGGTGAAATCTCGTCTCTACTAAAAAATACAAAAATTGGCCAGGCATGCTGGTGCATACCTGTAGTCCCAGCTACTCGGGAGGCTGAGGCAGGAGAATCTCTTGAACCAGGGAGGCAGTTGCAGTGAGCCGAGATCCTGCTACTGTACTTCAGCCTGGGCTACAGAGGAAAACTTTGTCTCAAGAAAAGAAAAATTACCTTGTATTCAGATTCTATCCAGATGACTTCTCTTAAGAAAATAGTAACAATTGTAAGAGACCATCAGAGACATGGACAGATTTAGAATTACTGAATCTTAGATCCCCACTCTTTTATCGTACTTGGCTATGTTGCCTTGAACAAACTACTTATCTTTCGAGATCTTGGTTTCTCTATCTGTGAAATGGGATAATAGTATATCCTAGAATCATGAGAACTAATGAGGTAATGAGTTTAAATTGCCTAGTACAATTTCTTATACACAGTAAATCACAGACCATCTGTTATATCTTGCCACTTAGTGATCTTCCTAGAGTTTACCTGCCTAATTATGGAGTACAGTGGACAAATGGGCAGATTTGTATTTGAGTTCCACCTCCTGTTACTTACAAGCCTTGTCACCTGAAACAAATTGCCCTACTGAGCATCAAAGTCTTGCTGCTCAAATGAGAATAATAATGCTTACCATATAGGTATATACATATGTATTTATGTATATACACACAACATACATGCCTTATAGGGCTCAGAGTAATAATATGCTAGAGTACAAATGGGGCTCCAGTGGATTCCATAAGTCCTTTACAGTACAGACTTTGGTAATTATCCACAAAAATGCATTTTATGAATAGTTCCAACTCTTAAAACATCTTCAAAGCAAATCTTAGTCTTATAGTCCTGAAGCACCATTTTGTTTCCTTTGCTTCCTTGAAACACCATTCTTTTTTTTTTTATTATACTTTAAGTTTTAGGATACATGTGTACAATGTGCAGGTTAATTACATATGTATACATGTGCCATGCTGGTGTGCTGCACCCATTCTTTTTTTTTTTTTTTTTTTTTTTTGAGACGGAGTCTCGCTCCGTCGCCCAGGCTGGAGTACAGTGGCGCAATCTCGGCTCACTGCAAGCTCCGCCTCCCGGGTTCACGCCATTCTCCTGCCTCAGCCTCCCAAGTAGCTGGGACTACAGGCGCCCGCCACCATGCCCGGCTAATTTTTTGTATTTTTAGTAGAGATGGGGTTTCACGGTGTTAGCTAGGATGGTCTCGATCTCCCGACCTCGTGATCCGCCCGCCTCGGCCTCCCAAAGTGCTGGGATTACAGGTGTGAGCCACTGTGCCCGGCCAGCTGCACCCATTCTTAATTGGAATTAGTTGCTGAAAGGAAACCAAATTGTTTGTATGCTGATTACACCTCCATTTCCTAAAAGGCATAAAGAAAAAAGATTAGGGCAGGCACAGTGGCTCATGCCTGAAATCCCAGCACTTTGCGAAGCCGAGGCAGGTGGATCACTTGCTGCCAAGAGTTCAAGACCAGCCTGGCCAAGATGGCAAAACACTGTCTGTACTGAAAATATGAAAATTAGTCAGGCATGGTGGTGCACACCTGTAATCCCAGCTACTTGGGTGGCTGAAGTGCAAGAATCACTTGAATCCAGCAGGTGAAGGTTGCAGTGAGCCGAGATCACAGCACTGCACTCCAGCCTGGGAGACAAAGCAAAACAGTCTCAAAAAAAAAAAGGAAGAAAGGAAAAGATCAGGAGGAAATATACCAAAATGCTGTGTGTTTTTTTTTTTTTTTTTTGAGACGGAGTTTCACTCCGTCGCCCAGGCTGGAGTGCAGTGGCGCAATCTCGGCTCACTGCAAGCTCCGCCTCCCAGGTTCACGCCATTCTCCTGCCTCAGCCTCCCGAGTAGCTGGGAATACAGGCGCCCACCACCACACCTGGCTAATTTTTTTGTATTTTTAGTAGAGACGGGGTTTCACCGTGTTACCCAGGATGGTCTCGATCTCCTGACCTCGTGATCCGCCCATCTCGGCCTCCCAAAGTGCTAGGATTACAGGTGTGAGCCACTGTGCCCAGCCTGCTGTGTTTGTTTTAAATGGTGGTTTTATTAGCAAACTGGTTTTATTAGCAAATGTTTTCAGTTTTCCACATCCTCTGCACTGTGATAATTTTTATGCCACATACTTTCAAAATGAAGGAAAATTAATTTTAAAATATTTGTTGCAAAAATCAGTCCACAAGTCAAATGCAGTGATGTGCACCTGTAGTCCCAACTACTCAGGAGGCTTAGGCAAGAGGATCGCTTGAGCCCAGGAATTCGAGACTATAGTGCATTGTGATCATACATGTTGATAGCTGCTGGACTCAAGCTTAGGCAACATAGCGAAACCCCATCTCTAAAAAAAAAAATGGTCCATAAGATTTTACTGTGAACATGTTCAGATAATAAGCTCTGTCCTGATCACATGTCTTCCAGCTATAAACCTGATCTGATCTGGTCTGATGGGGAGTGGGAATGTCCTGATACTTACTGGAACTCCACAAATTTTCTTTCATGGCTCTACAATGACAGCCCTGTCAAGGTATGTGATTATATGACTTCTTATTTATCTCCTATGAAGAAAGAAAGTGCAAGGAGCCAAACTCTGGAGTAGACAACCACAGCAGCAGCAATAATAAACAGGAATATCAACATGGGGGCAGTAGGGACTGGGACACTTAATGGATGTTAAAGGTTTCTCCTTTAATCTTCCCTGGCTCCCTTAGAGTATAAGTTTTCTTCTCCTTTAGTGTTGTTTTTTTTTTTTTTTAATTGAGACAGAGGCTCACTCTGTCACCCAGGCTGGAGTACAGTGGTGCGATCTCCGCTCACTGCAACCTCTGTCTCCCGAGTTCAAGTGATTCTCCTGCCTCAGCCTTCCGAGTAGCTGAGATTACAGGGGCCCGCCACCTGGCCGGCTGATTTTTGTGTTTTTAGTAGAGACAGGGTTTCGCCATGTTGGGCAGGCTGCTCTCGAACCCCTGACCTCTGGTGATCCGCTCACCTTGGCCTCCCAAAGTTCTGGGATTACAGGCGTGAGCCACCGCACCCGGCAATCTCCTTTAGTTCTTAACTTTGACAATATAGGTTTAAACAGTGGTAAATTTACATAGTAGACTAAAAATAGTAATTACAATTCCCAGACCACTACAGAAAAAATAAACTCTATTAAGCAAACAAATGTTATAAATGAGAAAACCACCAAAAAGATATTAAAACATATAATAAAATACAAAGAAAACATATAAAAGACATACAGGCCAAGCATAGCAGCTCATGCCTGTAATCCCAGCACTTTGGGAGGCCAAGGCAAGCAGATGACTTGAGTCCAGGAGTTCAAGACCAGCCTGGGCAACGTAGTGAGACCTCATCTCTACAAAAAATAAAATTAGCTGGGTGTGGTGGCACGGACCTGTAGTCCCAGCTACTCGGGAGGTAGTCCCAGCTACTCAGGAGGCTGATGTGGGGGGAGGCTGACGTGGGAGGATCACTTGAGCCCAAGAGGTCAAAGCTGTAATGAACCTAGATCACGCCATTGTACTCCAGCCTGCGTGACAGTGAAACCCTGTCTCCAAAAAATAAAAATAAAGAAAACATATAAGATACACAAAACCTACAAAATTAAATGGTAGGAATAAAATGCAGATGCCTACAATCCCACCTACTCTATGTTGATTTTATAGTTTAACTCTCAAGGGACACACTTACTTCCCTTATATCCAAATCCTTGGGGGAATGTTGCCTACCCAGTACGCCTCCCTATAATCAACACTATGAGGCAGTGCATAATGGCTGCCCATTTACAGTTTGTATTTTAGCGTACTTGCAAAGTAGCGGAAACCCTAATCTTCACTGTAGCAAATTTCACGATTGTACATGTTCTAGATTTGTTGTGGATTTAAAAGGAAAATCTTAAGTGTAAAAGCAGTTTGTACTGAGGTACCTTGGTAGTTCATAAATCTCTAAGGGTCTTGGCCAGGTGCAGTGGCTCACGCCTGTAATCCCAGCACTTTGGGAGGCCAAGGCAGGCAGATCACGAGGTCAGGAGATCGAGACCATCCTGGCTAACACAGTGAAACCCCATCTCTACTAAAAATACAAAAAGAAATTAGCCAGGCGTGGTAGTGGGTGCCTGTAGTCCCAGCTGCTCAGGAGGCTGAGGCAGGAGAATGGTGTGAACCTGGAAGGCAGAGCTTTCAGTGAGCCGAGATCGCGCCACTGCACTCCAGCCTGGGCGACAGAGTGAGACTCCTTCTCAAAAAAAAAGTCTAAGGGTCTCATTGGGTCTCTATTACTAAGCTCAGAAAATGGGAAGAAAGAAAAAAACAGATTCTATATGATGCACAGAGACAGATTAAGAGTGGTTTTCTAAGGCCGGGCGTGGTGGCTCACGCCTGTAATCCCAGCACTTTGGGAGGCCGAGGCTGGTGGATCACGAGGTCAGGAGTTCAGGACCAGCCTGGCTAACACGGTGAAACCCCGTCTCTACTGAAAATACAAAAATTAGGCCGGGCCTAATTTTTACATGCCTGTAGTCCCAGCTACTTGGGAGGCTGAGGCAGGAGAATGGCGTGAACCCGGGAGGCGGAGCTTGCAGTGAGCCAAGATGGCGCCACTGCACTCCAGCCTGGGCAACAGAGCGAGACTCTGTCTCAAAAAAAAAGAAAATACAAAAATTAGTCGGGCGTGGTGGTGGGCACCTCTAATCCCAGCTACTCGAGAGGCTGAGGCAGAGAATTGCTTAAACCCGGGAGGCGGAGGTTGCAGTGAGCAGAGATCGTGCCACTGTACTCCAGCCTGCGCAACAGAGCGAGACTCTGTCTCACAAAAAAAAAAAAGAGTGGTTTTCTGGAACTTGATGAATGTTTGTGACCTCCCAGATGTGCAGTTCATCCCTAGGTAATGAACTCTGATGTGATGTCATATCGTAATTGTCTGCATATCTGTCTCTGCTAGTCTCTGCTGGATCGTTGAGGGCAAGAACTCTGTTTTATTCACCTTGGAAACTCAGTGTCTGCCACAGTGTGAGCCTCATGGTAGTTGCTGAATAAATAGGAAAAGTAGGTGGGTGTTGAACCAAGAATTCAGATTGTTAATACCCCATTTGTCTCTGAAATGGCGTCTATGTATATATGTTCAGGGTGTATACCCCTCGAGCTAGGTCGCTTGCTACGTGAGGTTACAGTCTAGTGTTTGTGCTTAAGGAGTATCACAGAAGGAAAAATGACTAGCCAAAGATGCAGGATTGGGAAAGGGAAGAAAATATCAACCCCAGTGTCATTTAAAAAGCATGACTAGCTAGACAGCCTGAACTTTTTTGGCTTTTTTTTTTCTTTTCTTTTTTTTTTGAGAGGGAGTCTCGCACTGTCGCCCAGGCTGGAGTACAATGGCACGATCTCGGCTCACTGCAACCTCCGCCTCCTGGGTTCACACAATTCTCCTGCCTCAGCCTCCCGAGTAGCTGGGAGTACAGGCGCACACCATCACACCTGGCTAATTTTTTGTATTTTTAGTAGAGACGGGGTTTCACCATGTTGGCCAGACTGGTCTTGAAACTCTTGACCTTGTGATCCACCCGCCTCAGCCTCCCAAAGTGCTGGGATTACAGGCGTGAGCCACCGCTCCCGGCCGGCCTCTCTTAAACAATAATTCCTAAGCAACCAGGACCTTCTGTGTGGGTGTGCCTCAACCCATCTTCACAGTAGCTTCGCAGACATATGGGGACTGTAGATTCTCCTTCATTTCTACCAGGATTTATTGAGAGCCGGTGCCGTAGCATGCCGCATGCTAAGCCTTGGAAATGCTGAATGAATGGTTTCTGCTCTTAGGGAACTACAGTCTGAAGAGAAAGACAGACATACAAACAAAGTACATTGTAGGGTGACCAGTATGATAGTAGAAGTATGTCCTGAGGTCTCCACAATCCATAGACACTGGTTCGAATGCCAAAGTGGAGGGTACTGCATTAGCTTCTGTGGGATGAAGGAGTGCATGGTTGTGTCTGTCCTTGACAGGCTGAGTGTACAGGGAGCGTTCACATCACCTGAGGACTCTGAGAAAGAGGAGGTGTGGCAAGGAGACACCTTTATTCACTCTGAGCCAGAGTCTGGGCACACTGTCACTTTTATCCCTCCCTCTCAAACCCCTGTGAGGTGGGTGATATTTGCCTTTGGATTTTGTTTGTTTGGTTGGTTTTGTTTGTTTGTTTTTATAGATAAGTAACTAACTTAAAAGGTAAAGTTACCTGCCTAAGACCCCTTGACTACTAGGTGGTGGAGCCAGCTATGAACCTCAAAGCCCTTGATAATCTTGTAACCAGGCATAAACTCTGATATGATGTCATATTGTAATTGTCCACATATCTGTCTCCTCTGCTAGTCTCTGCTGGATGGTTGAGGGCAAGACCTCTGTTTTATTCACCTTGGAGACCCAGTATCTGCCCACAGTGTGAGCCCCATGGTAGTTGTTGAGTAAATACTTATTGAATAAGCGGATGGGTAGGTGTTGAATGAAGAATTAGGATTGTTAATACCCCATTTTTCTCTGAAATGGCTTTTACATACCTGTTCTTGAATTGATCTTGAGTTGTCCTTTTCAATTCTGTGACCCATGATGCCCAGACATTGATAATCAAGTACCAGACATTGGATTGAACTAGTTACAAATAATGACTATTCTTCTATTTCTCTTTGGCACTTAACTAGCTTCCATAGGAGAAACTTCATACCAATGTGAATGACTCTAAAACAGGCAAGAAATGGGAATTTTAAACTTTTAATAAATCTCTTTTTGCCGTGATGAATTGAACATGGTTTCAGTTTTGTTTTTGTTTTTGTTTTTGAGACGGAGTCTCGCTCTGCTGTTGCCTAGGCTGGAGTGCAGTGGCACGATCTCGGCTCACTGCTACCTCCGCCTCCCAGGTTCAAGCGATTCTCCTGCCTCAGCCTCCCAAATAGCTGGGACTACAGGCATGTGCCACCATGCCCAGCTAATTTTTTGTATTTTTGGTAGAGACGGGATTTCACCGTGTTAGCCAGGTTGGTCTCTATCTCCTGACCTCATGATCTGCCTGCCTTGGCCTCCCAAATGGTTTCAGTTTTTATCTTGTATTGGCCACTCTGTTATAAAATATGCTGCATTTAACATTTACATTAAGATATTCCATGTATGATTTATCATTCTTCAGCTAAACCTTGAAGTAAGAAAAAGAATTTGCTATTTTTTTTTTTTTTGAGTGGGATTGTCTTAAGACTTTTTTTTTACGTAAGTAAGGCTGGGATTATATAGTTGGAAAACAGCCTGCCATGGGTTCAGATACCTGATTTGTAGTTCCAGCTTTTGAAACTGCCTAGGGGCATGGCCCCAGGCAGGTCCTCTCCTGTTCATTTCTCCTCTTATAGAAAAAGTGATTTACCAGATGATCTTTAAAGCAAGCTCTCCCAGCCCTGACATGTATCTCTGCAGCAGGGTTTCTCTACCTCAGTACTGTTGACATTTAGGGCTGAATATTTCTTTGCTGTGGGGGCTGTCCTGTGCATTGTAGGACGTTTAGTAACATCCCTGGTCTCTACCCACTAGATGGCATACCACCCCCGTTGTGACAATCAAAAATGTCTCTAGACTTTACCAAATGTCCCCTCCAGAGCAAAATTGCCCCCAGTTGACAGCCACTGCTCTAGACTAAGTTTCTTGCTTCCAAATAGAGCCTTACCAAAGTGTATTACATAAAGAAGTCAAGTGGTTTTACTCCTCATGACCAAATATTCTTTCCCTCCTTAGGATGAGGTGGTAGTAAATGACCGATGGGGTCAGAACTGTTCCTGTCACCATGGAGGATACTATAACTGTGAAGATAAATTCAAGCCACAGAGCTTGCCAGATCACAAGTGGGAGATGTGCACCAGCATTGACAAGTTTTCCTGGGGCTATCGTCGTGACATGGCATTGTCTGATGTTACAGAAGAATCTGAAATCATTTCGGTAAGAGCACCTTTGAGTTTTTTGTTTTTGTTTTTTTTTTTTTAACATGCAGTATGATTTATTTTATATAATGTTCAAAAGCTTGCAAAAACAGCATATTGTTTACAGATGCATATTTTGGAGGTAAAATTATGAAGAAAAGCGAGATCATTATAAACAAAATTTAGGAGGGGGCTGGGATGGAGAAGGGCATGCAAAAGGGCTTTAACGGTGTTGGTTGTAATCTATATCTTAAAGTGGGTGTGGGTAGTAGGGTGTCCAGTTTTTTATTTATTTATTTATTTATTTATTTATTCTTTATTGATCATTCTTGGGTGTTTCTCACAGAGGGGGATTTGGCAGGGTCATAGGACAATAGTGGAGGGAGGGTCAGCAGATAAACAAGTGAACAAAGGTCTCTGGTTTTCCTATGCAGAGGACCCTGCGGCCTTCCGCAGTGTTTGTGTCCCTGGGTACTTGAGATTAGGGAGTGGTGATGACTCTTAACGAGCATGCTGCCTTCAAGCATCTGTTTAACAAAGCACATCTTGCACCGCCCTTAATCCATTTAACCCTGAGTGGACACAGCACACGTTTCAGAGAGCACAGGGTTGTGGGTAGGGTCACCGATCAACAGGATCACAAGGCAGAAGAATTTTTCTTAGTACAGAACAAAATGAAAAGTCTCCCGTGTCTACCTCTTTCTACACAGACACGGCAACCATCCGATTTCTCAATCCTTTCCCCGCCTTTCCCCCCTTTCTATTCCACAAAACCGCCATTGTCATCATGGCCCGTTCTCAATGAGCTGTTCGGTACACCTCCCAGACGGGGTGGTGGCTGGGCAGAGGGGCTCCTCACTTCCCAGTAGGGGCGGCCGGGCAGAGGCGCCCCTCACCTCCCGGACCGGGCGGCTGGCTGGGCGGGGGGCTGACCCCCCCACCTCCCTCCCGGACGGGGCGGCTGGCCAGGCGGGGGGCTGACCCCCCCACCTCCCTCCCGGACGGGGCGGCTGGCCGGGCGGGGGCTGACCCCCACCTCCCTCCCGGATGGGGTGGCTGCCGGGCAGAGACGCTCCTCACTTACCAGACGGGGTGGCTGCCGGGCGGAGAGGCTCCTCACTTCTCATATGGGGCGGTTGCCAGGCGGAGGGTTTCCTCACTTCTCAGATGGGGCGGCTGGGCAGAGACGCTCCTCACCTCCCAGACGGGGTCGCGGCCGGGCAGAGGCGCTCCTCACATCCCAGACGGGGCGGCGGGGCAGAGGCGCTCCCCACATCTCAGACGATGGGCGGCCGGGCAGAGACGCTCCTCACTTCCTAGATGGGATGGCGGCCGGGAAGAGGTGCTCCTCACTTCCTAGATGGGATGGCGGCCGGGCAGAGACGCTCCTCATTTTCCAGACTGGGTAGCCAGGCAGAGGGGCTCCTCACGTCCCAGACGATGGGCGGCCAGGCAGAGACGCTCCTCACTTCCCAGACGGGGTGGCGGCCGGGCAGAGGCTGCAATCTCGGCACTTTGGGAGGCCAAGGCAGGCGGCTGGGAGGTGGAGGTTGTAGCGAGCGGAGATCACGCCACTGCACTCCAGCCTGGGCACCATTGAGCACTGAGTGAACCAGACTCCATCTGCAATCCCGGCACCTCTGGAGGCCGAGGCTGGCGGATCACTCGCAGTTAGGAGCTGGAGACCAGCCCGGCCAACACAGCGAAACCCCGTCTCCACCAAAAAAATACGAAAACCAGTCAGGCGTGGTGGCGCGCACCTGCAATCGCAGGCACTCGGCAGGCTGAGGCAGGAGAATCAGGCAGGGAGGCTGCAGTGACCCGAGGTGGCAGCAGTACAGTCCAGCTTCGGCTCGGCATCAGTGGGAGACCGTGGAAAGAGAGGGAGAGGGAGACCGTGGGGAGAGGGAGAGGGGGGAGAGGGAGAGGGAGAGGGGAGTTTTTTGTTTTTTTTAATGAAATGGGGTCTTGCTCTGTCATGCAGGCAATAGCGCAGTGGCACGATCATACCTCACTGTAACCTCAAACTCCTGGGGCTCAAGTGGTCCTCCCACCTCAGCCTCCTGAGTAGCTAGAACTACAGGTGTGCACCTCTACAACCAGCTAATTTTTAAATTTTTTGTAGAGACAGGGTCTTGCTATGTTGCCCAGGCTGGTCTCAAACTCCTGGCCTCAAGAGATCTAGCCTCAGCCTCCCAAAGCACTGGATTACAGGCATGAGCCATGGCAGCTGGCCTGAGTTCACTATTTTTTAACTATGGATCTCAAACCACTTTTTATTATTATTATTATTATTATTACCTTCTAACATACTATATGATTGATTTTAATTATTTTTTTCCTCTTTTTTTAAATTTTACTTTAAATTCTGGGATACAAGTGCAGAGTGTGCAGGTTTGTTTCATAGGTATACATGTGCCATGATGGTTTGTTGCAAACTATCAACCCGATATCTAGGTTTTAAGCCCCACATGCATTAGGTATTTGTCCTAATGCTCTCCCTCCCCTCACCCCCACATTCCAACAAGCCCTGGTGTGTGATGTTCCTCTTCCTGTGTCCCATGTGTTCTCATTGTTCAACTCCCACTTATGAGTGAGAACATGTGGTGTTTGGTTTTCTGTTCCTGTGTTAGTTTGCTAAGAATGATGGTTTCCAGCTTCATCCATGTCCCTGCAAAGGACATGAACTCATTCTTTTTTATGGCTGCAAAACCAGCTTTTTTATGTAAGAGTGATGTCCAGCTTCATCCATGTCCCTGCAAAGGACACATTCTCTTTTATGGCTGCAAAACCAGCTTTTTTATGTAAGAGTGATGGAAGTACTCTGGATAGAAGTGCAGGTCAATAGAACCCTTTTAAGGACATTGAATAGACTAACAGAAACCTGTCCTAAGGAAATAATTAGAGTTACACAAGAAAGTTGTGCAGAGGTCCTTCCCAGGATTATTTGTATGTATGTATGTATGTATGTATGTATGTATGTATGTATGTATGTGTATATTTATTTATTTATTTATGAACGAACTTCACTCTGTCACCCAGGCTAGAGTGCAGTGGTGCGATCTCGGTCTGCTGCAACCGCCGTCTCCCGGGTTCAAGCAATTCTCCTGCCTCAGCCTCCCGAATAGCTGGGAATACAGGCACGTGCCACCATGCCCAGCTTATTTTTGTGTTTTTAGTAGAGACAGGGTTTCTTCATGTTGGCCAGGCTTGTCTCGAACTCCTGGTAACCATAAAAATGTTGACAAATTTAATATGGGTTAATGTTTAGAGCACTGAATGAAAAAACAGTTACATATTGGCTGGGCACAGTGGCTCATACCTGTAATGCCAACACTTTAGGAGGCCAAGGTGGGAGGATCCTTTGAGGCCAGGAGTTCAAGACCAGCCTGGCCAAAATAGAAAGACCCCATCTCTATTATTATTATTATTTTTAATAAAGTTACATATTGGCTGGGCATGGTGGTGGCTCACACTTGTAACTCCAACACTTTGGGAGACCAAGACAAGAGGATTGCTTGAGGGCAGGAGTTTAAGACCAGCCTAAACAACATAGTGAGACCCCATCTCTATTTTAAAAAATAAAAATAAGTGGCCAGGCACGGTGGCTGACACCTGTAATCCCAGCACTTTGGGAGGCCAAGGAGGGTGGATCACAAAGTCAGGAATTCGAGACCATCCTGGCCAATGTGGTGAAACCCCGTCTCTACTAAAAAATACAAAAAAAATTAGCTGGGCGTGGTGGCACATGCCTATAATCCCAGCTACTCAGGAGGCTGAGGCAGGAGAATTGCTTGAACCCAGGAGGCAGAGGTTGCAGTGAGCTGAGATTGCGCCACTGCACTCCAGCCTGGGTGACAGAGCTAGACTCCGTCTGAAACAAAAATTTTTTTTAAATAATAATAAATAAATAAAATAAGTTACATATTATTACAACTATATAAAATTAACTACATAGGAAAAAGACTAGAAGAAGACATCAAAAGTTAATGGTGTGGTGTCACTTGGAGTACTGTAATGAATTCTTATAATGAATTCTTTAATTCTTTTTTTTTTTTTTTTGAGATGGAATTTCGCTCTTGTTGCCCAGGCTGGAGTGCAATGGCACGATCTCAGCTTGCTGCAACCTCCACCTCCCGGGTTCAAGTGATTCTCTTGCCTCAGCCTCCCGCATAGCTGGGACTACAGGTGCCTACCACTGTGCCCAGCTAATTTTTGTATTTTTAGTAGAGACAGGGCCTTCACCACGTTGGCCAGGCTGGTCTCAAACTCCTGACCTCAGGTAATCCACCTGTCCTGGCTTCCCAAAGTGCTGGGATTACAGGTGTGATCCACCATGCCTGTCTGAATTCTTCAAATTCTGTAATGAATTTAAAATTTTCTCTATATAACCTTAGTTTTTCTGAGCTGCCTGGATATGTATAATACCTGTTCAAGGTCACAGTAAAAACACACACACCCAAATCCCACTCCAGAAGTCTTAAAGAATGTATCTCTTGGCTGAGCACGGTGGCTCACACCTGTAATACCAGCACTTTGGGAGGCTGAGATAGGTGGATCACAAAGTCAGGAGTTCAAGACCAGCCTGGCCAACATAGTGAAACCCCATCTCTACTAAAAATACAAAAATTAACTGGGCATGGTGGTGCGCACCTGTAGTCCCAGCTACTCGGGAGCCTGAGGCAGGAGAATCACTTGAACCCAGGAGGCGGAGGTTGCAGTGAGCCGAGATTGTGCCACTGCACTCCAGCCTGGGAGACAGAGCAAGAGTCCGTCTCAAAAAAAAAAAAAAAAAAAAAAAAAGAACGTATCTCTTTATAGCAGTTTTCCCAAAGGGGCAGCATGTTCATTTATATAGCCCAATGCGTAAGGAATGTCCTGAAATTCTCAGCTTCCCTGCCCACACCTCATGTTTCTGGGGCATGACCCTTCCCACTGCACTCAGCACCATGAGAAGTACAGTGTCACAGGAAGTGCTCCATGGCCACTCCCTGAAATTCAAGTTAATATAATATAGCCTGATTTTTCATTTACTCACATGAGCCTAACCTGCTTTTATAGTGACAAAAATATATATAGAGAGAGAATTTTTAGCTCAGGTGCGGTGACTCATGCTTGTGATCCCAGCACTTCGGGAGGCCAAGGCAGGCAGATCACCTGAGGTCAGGAGTTTTGAGACTGGCCTGGCCAACGTGGTGAAACCCTGTCTCTACTAAAAATAGAATGATATTAGCTGGATGTGGTGGCGCATGCCTGTAATTCCAGCTACTCAGGAGACTGAGGCAGGAGAATCGCTTGAACAGGGAGGTGGAGGTTGCAGTGAGCCGAGATGCAGTTGAGCCAAGATCACGCCATTGCACTCTAGCCTGGGCGACAAGAGTGAAACTCCAGCTCAAAAAGAAAAAAAAAAAAATTAAAACAGCAGAGGATATTTAAAAAACAGAGTGTGCCCTAGATTCTTTTTCTTCTCTGTCTATTTTAAGCATGATGCCAGGCTTGGCATTCATAGCTAGACTTTCATTGTTTCTGTTCTCTCCAGGAACTGGTTCAGACAGTAAGTTTGGGAGGCAACTATCTTCTGAACATTGGACCAACTAAAGATGGACTGATTGTTCCCATCTTCCAAGAAAGGCTTCTTGCTGTTGGGAAATGGCTGAGCATCAATGGGGAGGCTATCTATGCCTCCAAACCATGGCGGGTGCAATGGGAAAAGAACACAACATCTGTATGGTGAGTCTTGTCTTCTGTTGTGTGTAAGAACAGAACAGTGCCCCATCCGGAACTGGTATCTCCTTGGGTCCACAATGTCACAAGCCAGGCTGGAAGTTGCCTTGAGAAAATCCAGAAGGTTATTTTCCTATAAAATTTGTACCCCATTTGAGTTATGTCTCAGGCTACTTGGTTATCTTTGACTAGTGAAGGGAGAGAGTGGGTTTGGTGAAAAGGGAAGGAGCAACAAAGCATCAGTCAATTTATTGAGATTATTACCCTGCCCCCTAAAAATAGTAATAATGAATGCTTGGATTGTACGGAGCCCCATCCAAAATTCTTTCCATTCATACTTGGACTTCTGGATCTAGTTATTTGATCTTGGGCCCCATTTTTTCCACTGCAGAATGGAGTGATGATGCTTTATAGTGTTGTGAGGATTAAATGAGATGAGTGCCAGGCACAAACTCAGTGTTCAATTAAAGGGAACTGCTTTTATTATACCAGAGAGCTTAGGTCTCTGGATCTAATCCCTCTATTAATCCCTCTGTTTTGGATGAGTTTCTGTTTAGTGGTTGTCTTAGTCCATTTTCTGTTGCTATAACTGAATCCCACAGGCTGGATTTTTATTTTATTTTATTATTATTTTTTAGACAGTCTCACTCTGTCACCCAGGTTGGAGTACAGTGGCAGAATCTCAGCTCACTGCAACCTCTGCCTCCAAGGTTCAAGCAATTCTCCTGCCTCAGCCTCCCAAGCAGCTGGGATTATAGGCACCCGCCACCACGCCCAGCTAATTTTTGCATTTTTAGTAGAGATGGGGTTTCACCATGTTGGCCAGGCTGGTCTCAAACTCCTGGCCTCAAGTGATCCACCTGCCTCTGCCTCTCAAAGTGCTGGGATTACAGGCATGAGCCACTGCACCTGGCTTAGACTGGATAATTTTTAAAGAATAGAGGTTTATTTAGCTCACAGTTCTGGAGGCTGGGAAGTTCAAGAGCATAGCACCAGCATCTGGTAAGGGCCTTCCTGCTACATCATGACATGGTTGGGGATGAGAGTGGGCATGTCCACTCAGGTCTTTCTTCCTTTTATAAAGCCATCAGTCCCATCATGGGGCCCTGCCCTGATTACCTTATATGATCCTAATTACTTCCCAAAGGCCTCACCTCTAAATACTATACCATCGACATATGAATTTGGGGATTAAGTTTCCATCATGAGATTTGGGAGATGCATTCAAACCATAGTAGTGATTTTCATCCTCTTCTCTAAACATAGTGAAATTTCAGAACAGGCTGGGTGCAGTCTCAGAAAAAAAAAAAAAGAAATCTCTGAACAACAAATTTGTTTTCATTGCATGTCTTGTCCTTGTTATAGTCTCTGCTATTTTCACATGGATTTGGAATAGAAAAGAGATTTGAATAATAAGGTAAATGGCTCTATTTATTTGCAGTAACTGATGTAGGAGATAATTTTTAAAGACAACTTAACCCAATTGGTAGGGAAAATAGATAGTATCACCAGATAGAGTTTTATAGACTGCCTCCTTCCTGCACACCTTCATTGGTATTGAGTTATTGGTGCTCCCTAGTAACAGTGACAGACTCGAGGACTGGGATTTGGTAGATAATTGAAAGGGGAATGAGTGGCCTTGTGCAGTGCTTCATGCCTGTAATCCCAGCACTTTCTAAGGCCAAGGTGGGAGGATCACTTGAGCCCAGCACAACACAGCAAGTTGTGTTGGGCAACACAGCAAGACTCCATCACTTAAAAAAAAAGAAATTAGGCCCAAAACAGTGACTCACGCCTGTAATCCGAACACTTTGGGAGGCCGAGGCGGGTGGATCACCTGAGGTCAGGAGTTCAAGACCAGTCTGGCCAACATGGCGAAACCCCGTCTTTACTAAAAATACAAAAATTAGCAGGGTATGGTGGCAGGCACCTGTAATCCCAGTTACTCAGGAGCCTGAGGCAGGAGAATTGCTTGAACCTGGGAAGTGGAGGTTGTAGTGAGCCAAGATCACGCCACTGCACTCCATCCTGGACAACAAGAGCCTGGACAACAAGGCTTCGTCTCAAAAAAAAAATAAATAAGGAGCTGAGTGCAATGGCTCATACTTGTAATCCCAGCACTTTGGGAGGCCAATGCAGGTGGATCACTTGAGGCCAGGAGTTCAAGACCAGCCTGGTCAACATAGCAAAATGCCATCTCTACTAAAAATACAAAAGTTAGCCAGGCGTGGTGGTGCACACCTGTAATCCAGTGACTCAGGAGGCTGAACCACAAGAATTGCTTGAACCCAGGAGGCGGAGGTTACAGTGAGCCAACATCACACCATTGCACTCCAGCCTGGGCAACAGAGGGAGACTCTGTCTCAAAAAAAAAAAAAAGAAAAGAAAAGAAAATTAACATTAAAAAGGAGGAAATGTATAAAGTTGTATATCAGGATAACAAGTCAGGTATCTTTGACAGTGTTGTTTCTGTTTTCCCAGGTATACCTCAAAGGGATCGGCTGTTTATGCCATTTTTCTGCACTGGCCAGAAAATGGAGTCTTAAACCTTGAATCCCCCATAACTACCTCAACTACAAAGGTAAAGAGGCTTAGTCAGTCTTAAGATGTAACTTTCTGTAAAGGAATTGGCAGATCCTTCCTTTCTTCCTTCCCTGCCAGGTTTCTCCCATATTCACACCTCTTTTAGACTGGCTTTCCTGCCCTGGCCCAGCGTGGCTGTTTCCTACCATAGTCAGCCTGTATTCTATACTCATTAGTGCATTACCAGTTTGTTTCATTCCCTTTTGTTTTCTGCAGATAACAATGCTGGGAATTCAAGGAGATCTGAAGTGGTCCACAGATCCAGATAAAGGTCTCTTCATCTCTCTACCCCAGTTGCCACCCTCTGCTGTCCCCGCAGAGTTTGCTTGGACTATAAAGCTGACAGGAGTGAAGTAATCATTTGAGTGCAAGAAGAAAGAGGCGCTGCTCACTGTTTTCCTGCTTCAGTTTTTCTCTTATAGTACCATCACTATAATCAACGAACTTCTCTTCTCCACCCAGAGATGGCTTTTCCAACACATTTTAATTAAAGGAACTGAGTACATTACCCTGATGTCTAAATGGACCAAAGATCTGAGATCCATTGTGATTATATCTGTATCAGGTCAGCAGAAGAAGGAACTGAGCAGTTGAACTCTGAGTTCATCAATTGTAATATTTGGAAATTATCTACAATGGAATCTTCCCTCTGTTCTCTGATAACCTACTTGCTTACTCAATGCCTTTAAGCCAAGTCACCCTGTTGCCTATGGGAGGAGGTGGAAGGATTTGGCAAGCTCAACCACATGCTATTTAGTTAGCATCAGTTGTCACCAACAGTCTTTCTGCAAAGGGCAGGAGAGCTTTGGGGGAAAGGAAAAGGCTTACCAGGCTGCTATGGTCAACTCTTCAGAAATTTTCAGAGCAATCTAAAAGCGCCAAAATTCGCTATGTTTACAGTGATACTATTAAGAAAATGAATGTGATTCTGCTCTGTCTTTTTAAGTATGATCAAATAAAAAATTTGTACATCACAATCATTTCTACCAAAAAAACATGGTATAGCTTTCTTTTCCTAGTTTCAACTTATACTGCTTATAGCTTTAAGATCAGTTTCTGGTTTGTGTGTGTTTTTTTTTTAAGGAGATTTGCAAAATCTCCTTAACACTGAACAAAAAATGTAATTCCTGTGTTTTTTCTGCTTCTCACTTCTAATACCATTCTTCTGAATTGACTACCAGTTCAGCCTCTTTGTTAGAGATCTAATCAAGTTTTCTATTTAATTTTTCCTTAATAGATATGTTTAGAAATCTTGTTTTGTTTTGTTTTGAGGCAGAGTCTTGCTCTGTTGCCCAGGCTGGAGTACAGTGGTGTGATCTCGGCTCACTGCAACCTTCACCTCCCAGGTTCAAGTGATCCTTCCTCCTCAGCCTCCCAAGTAGCTGGGACTATAGGCACACCACGATGCCCAGCTAATTTTTTTTTTTTTTTTTTTTTTGTAGAGACGGGGTTTCACCATGTTGCCCAGGCTAGTCTCGAACTCCTGGGCTCAAGTGATCCACCTACCTCACAGCCTTCCAGAGTGCTGGGATTACAGGTGTGAGCCACCACACCCAGCCAAGTAGATATATTTAGAAATCTTTATCCAACATTTAAGGAATATGTGTTTTTCTCAAGCACATATGGAACATTTGCAAATCTCAAATACCAAAGAAGCAACATCATATAAGCTATTTAGTGTCTACAATATAATTAAAGAACAATAACAAAAACTTGGAGAAGAAAAAACTGTGTTTGTAAAAGTTAAAATACACTAACTCATTATGTTACTGATTCATAAATTTATGGATTGTGCCATGAGATATAAAGAATTCCAAATATGTAGTTCTTGTGAGGCAAATGAAGCCTGGTTGTGAAAGAAAAAAGTAACACATTAGTGTAAGTAGATTAGCACAGCCAATTTTAATTAGATCACTTTCTGCCCAGAATTAGAGAGCAAGCTGATGATAATAATATTGCTTATATGGTTCTTCACAGTCTTAAAGCAACTTCATGCACACTTCTAAAAAAAAAAGAAAAGAAAATACTTGGAATGATAGTAACACTATATATTGAACCTTATAAGATGTAGCTTTAAAAATAAAAGTACTTCAGGAAAATATAGCGTTAAATGTTTATGTTAAAAAGAAGGCTGGAAAGAAGTAATGAAGGCCAGGTACAGTGGCTCACGCCTGTAATCCTAACACTTTGGGAAGGAGAGGCGGGTGGATTTCTTGAGTCCAGGAGTTCCAGACCAGCCTGGGCAACATAGCAAGACCCCATCTCTACAGAAAATACAAAAAGTAACCAGGCGTGGTGGTGCACACCTGTAGTCTCAGCTATTTGGAAGGCTTAGGTGGGAGGATTGCTTGAGCCTGGGAGGTCGAGGCTGCAGTGAGCTGAGATGGATCACACCACTAGACTCCAGCCTGGGTGACAGATCAAAACCCCGTCTCTAAATAATAAAATTTAAAAAGCAAAGGAAGTAAAGGGATGTAAGGAGCAGCAAGGATTAAACCAAACTGTCATTGTTCTCAGGTGATGAAACTGTCCACATAGAAAACCTCAAATAATATACAAATGAATTATTAGAATTAATAAGTTGTTGGATCAGAGACAAAAATCAATTACATTTCTACAGTCCAGAAACTAGAATACAATGAAAATATTCCATTTATCATAACCAAAGATATAAGTAACTAAAATGAAATTAGCAAGAGTTGTGCAAGAAGCACCAAACCATTGCAGCTCCAATGGCCCCAAGTTTCCAGCTTCCATTTCCCAAAGGAAGGGGATGCAAGGGTGACAAGATGGTGCCAGGCAGCCTCTCTCAGACCTTTTGGAGTTTTCTTGACCCAGCCTTGCTGACTTTGTAGAATGTGTTGAGCAAATCCTGTTGGGTGAATCCATGAAAAATTCCAACTCCTGGTGGCAAAATCGCAAAATTCCAGCCCTAGAAATGTTCTCAGATTTTTTTTTTAAGACAGAGTCATGCAGTGGCATGATCTTGACTTACTGCAACCTCCACCTCCCAGGTTCAAGGGATTCACCTGCCACAGCCTCCCGAGTAGCTGGGATTACAGGCACGTGTATTTTTAGTAGAGACGGGGTTTCACCACGTTGCCAGGCTGATCTCGAACTCCTGACCTCAAGTGATCTGCCCGCCTCAGCCTCCCAAAGTGCTAGGATTACAGGTGTGAGCCACTGCGCCTGGCCAAAATGTTCTCAGCTCTTAAATCTTCTAGAAGACACCAAATGTCTGGAGTGGTTTACGGCATGAATCCAGGATCATTTTTATCAAGAGGAGTAGAAGAACCAAGTCCTCAAAAATTTAATTCCAAAGTATGGCCCCAACACTATGTCTTCAATACGTCCAATGTTTCAAGTGTACCCGTGCTCTTGGGCATTATTCAATGATGGCAGCTAAGAAAACTGACAGCCCAACTCCTTTCAAAATCAAGCCCCCAATGTGTCCCCAACAATAATTCAATATTGTATCCAATGTCATTTTTTTTTTTTGAGATGGAGTTTCACTCTTGTTGCCCAGGCTGGATTGCAATGGTTTGATCTTGGCTCACTGCAGCCTCTGCCTCCTGGGTTCAAGTGATTTTCCTGCCTCAGCCTCCCGAGTGGCTGGGATTACAGGCACCCACCACCACACCCGGCTAATTTTTTTGTGTTTTTAGACAAGACAGGGTTTCGCCATGTTGACCAGGCTGGTCTTGAACTCCTATTCTCAAGTGATCCGCCCACCTCAGCTTCCCAAAGTGCTGGGATTACAAGCGTGAGCCACCACGCCTGGCTGTATCCAATGTCTTGAGTAAATCAGCTTTGTTGAGTGTTATTCAAGAATGGCTGCTATGAAAACTTGGAGAAACTCCTTTCAAAATTGAGTCCCAAATGTGTCCCTAATCCTTAAATCTTCAATGTTGCATCCAATGTCTGAAGTAAATCCACGCTATTGGATTTGATTGCAGGCTAGTTCCAACAGAGACAGGTAGATCCAACTCCTTGTAAAATCAAATCTCAAACTGTGTTCCCATCTCTGAGACCCAGACTGCATCTAGTATCTGGAGTAAATCTGTGCTGTTGGACATGATTTCAGATTCCAGGATAGTTATGATAGAGATAAGTAATTTCAGCTTCTTACAAATCAAGGTCCAAGGTGTGTTGTTTCCTTTCCCTGAGCAGGTGGAATAGGTCTGTGGAGAGTGACGGGTGCAGATGGTTTGCTGTGAAGATGTGGATGGAACCCCTTACAAAATGGAGGTCCAAGGTGTGTCCTGGTTCTTAAACTTGAACTCCTGGCCTCAAGCCATCCTCCCACCTCCACCTTCCAAAGTGCTGGGATTATAGGCGTGAGCTACCACGCCTGACCTCAATTCTTAAGTTTTCCAGACTGTATCAGATCTTGCTACTAAATCTGTATCCAGTAAATCCATGTTGCAGGATCTTCCACAATGGAGATAATAAATTGAATGCCTTAAAAGATTTGACCTGAACTCAAATGTCTAAAGTCATTCAGTGTTGAAATGACCAGGCAAGGTCAGGATGGATTGCAATGAAGAGTGGGTTGAACGCCTTATAAAGACCCACAGTGTGTCTCAACTCTTCAGCTAGGGACCTTGGGAGGCCACTCACTCTCATTTGCCACAAAATCCTAGCGTGACAAACTATTTTTGCACTGTGCTTATCTTAGGAAACTCCGTCTCAAAAAAAATCTTATTTTGCACTGTGCTTATCTTCCCAGGCACCAGAACAGAAGGGAAAACTTGTACATAGTTGCAAATAACTTCACACTACTCCATCCCCTCTACTGCCACAGAATCTACTTTGAGGCACTAAGGAAAAAAAAAGACATCAGTTTGAAAAGTGCCCCTATCAGAGCAATATGAATTCTGCTAAAATTGAAGCAAGAACAAACATCAACATTTTTTTTTGAGGCAGTGTCTTGCTCTGTCATCCAGGCTTGAGGGCAGTGGCGCAATCACGGCTCACTGCAACCTTTGCCTCCCAGGTTGAAGAGATTCTCCTGCCTCAGCCTCCCAAGTAGCTGGGATGACAGGCACCTGCCACCACGCCCAGCCAACTTTTTGTATTTTTAGTAGAGACGGGGTTTCACCAGGTTGGCCAGGCTGGTCTCGAACTCCTGACCTCAGGTGATCTGCCTGCCTCGGCCACCCAAAGTGCTGGAATTACAGGCGTGAGCCACCACACCCAGACAAACATCAGATTTATGATGAAGCTTCAGTGGAAGAAGGTGAAATCACTGATGCTTTATGAAAAGTTTATGAGAACAATGCCTCAAATAAATCAGCAGTTTACAAATGGATAACTTATTTTAAGAAAGTGTAAGACAATGTTGAAGGTGAGGCCTGCAGCAGCAGATCATCTATATCAATTTTTGAGGAAAAAATTCACTTTGTGTCCCAACTGAAGAGAACTGGCGATTAACAGCCCAAACAACAGCCAACATCATAGACATCTAATTGGTTCGGCTTACACAATTCTGACTGAAAAAGTTCAGCAAACTTTCCACTGAATGGGTGCTAAAAGTATTGCACCCAGATAGGCCAGGTGCGGTGGCCCATGCCTGTAATCCCAGCACTTTGGGAGGCCAAGGTGGATGGATCACAAGGTCAGGGATTCGAGACCAGTCTGGCCATTATGGTGAAACCCTGTCTCTACTAAAAATACAAAAATTAGCCTAGTGGTGCGTGCCTGTAGTCCCAGCTACTCAGGAGGCTGAGGCAGAAGAATTGCTTGAACTCAGGAGGTGGAAGTTGCAGTGAGCCAAGATCGAGCCACTGCACTCTAGCCTGGGCAGCAAGAGCGAAACATCGTCTCAAAAAAAAATAATAATAATAAAATAATTTTTTAAACTCACCACCTCAGCTTTATAAAGCAGAACTTTTATTTATTTATTTATTTATTTATTTATTTATTTATTTTTATTTTTTTTGAGGTGGAGTCTTGCTCTTGTCGCCTAGGCTGGAGTGCGGTGGTACAATCTCGGCTCACTGCAACTCTGCTTCCCAGGTTCAAGAAATTCTGCCTCAGCCTGAGTGGCTGCGCCACCATAAGCGACTAATTTTTGTATTTTTAGTAGAGACGGGGTTTCACCATGTTGGTCAGTCTGGTCTCGAACTCCTGACCTACTGATCTGCCCGCCTTGGCCTCCCAATCACTTGAACCTGGGAGGAGGAGGTTTCAGTGAGCCGAGATTGTGCCACTGCACTCCAGCCTGGGCAACAGAGTGAGACTCTGTCTCAAAAACAAACAAACAGAAAGGCCAGGGAAAGCTTCACCAAAGAGTACTTCCCCACTTCAGGACAACGCTCCTGACTTCTTATTGTTTTGTAATCTTAAAAAAATCTTTAAAGGGGCCGGGCGCAGTGGCTCAAGCCTGTAATCCCAGCACTTTGGGAGGTCGAGGCGGGCGGATCACGAGGTCAGGAGATCGAGACCATCCTGGCGAACACAGTGAAACCCCGTCTCTACTAAAAATACAAAAATTAGCCCGGTGTGGTGGCAGGCACCTGTAATCTCAGCTACTCAGGAGGCTGAGGCACGAGAATTGCTTGAACCCGGGAAGCAGAGGTTGCAGTGAGCCGAGATTGCGCCACTGCACTCAAGCCTGGGCGACAAAGCGAGACTCCAAAAAAAAAAAAAAAAAAAAAAAGCTGGAGGCCGGTAGATCACGAGGTCAGGAGATCGAGACCATCCTGACTAACACGGTGAAACCCCGTCTCTACTAAAAATACAAAAAATTAGCTGGGCGTGATGGCGGGCGCCTGTAGTCCCAGCTACTCGGGAGGCTGAGGCAGGAGAATGGCGTGAACCCGGAAGGCGGAGCTTGCAGTGAACCGAGATTGTGCCACTGCACTCCAGCCTGGACGACAGAGAGAGACTCCGTCTCAAAAAAAAAAAAAAAAAAAAAAAATCTTTAAAAGGCACCCATTTTTCTTCAGTTAATAATGCAAAAAAGACTGCATTGACGTGGTTTAATTCCCAGGACCCTCTGCCCTTTAAAGGTAAACTAAATGCATATCATAGCTTTACAAAAATGTCTTGCCCTTGATAGAGCTTATACTGAGAAATGAGGTTTATATTTTTTATTTTAATATTTTGATTCCATTTTCCAATAAGTTTTTAAAGTCCCCTCATATACCTAGAGGCGAAATTACTGGGTCATATGGTAACTGTATGTTTAACCCCTTTTGTTGTGTGTGATAAAATATATGTAACATAAAACTTGTCACTTTAAACATTTTTAAGTGTACAATTCAGTGGCATTATTTTCACAATGTTGTGCAACTGAAACGGGTAAAGTTCCTTTTCCCCCTCTCAGGGCGTGCGAGGGGGGTGTGGCGTGCGACGGGGGTGTGGCGTGCGAGGGGGGTGTGGCGTGCGACGGGGGTGTGGCGTGCGAGGGGAGTGTGGCGTGCGAGGGCGGTGTGGCTCGCTTCTTCAGTGCCAGGCTGCTCAAACCTCTAGGGGGGCATACAGACAGGCAGAGGCTGTGGGCCTCCAACCCCACGGCAGCATGTAGGGGTGGATGCTTACAGCTCCTGGAGCCCCAGTGGGCGTGTGTTACAGGGTGCTCTTTTAGTTTTGCTGTCTATAGGCGACTTGTGTTAGTTAACCAGCTCGAGTGGGCTCTCAACCTTGTCATAGGACAGAGAGGGCTTTCTATATGCCGGGTTCTTGCCTTGGTGTACCAGAAGAATTGGATCACACCTGGGCTTAGAGAATGGGTGCAAGGTTTTATTGAGTAGAGGTAGCTCTTAGCAGATGTTGGAAGCCAGAAGAGAATGGAGTAGGAAGGTTTTCCCCTGGAGTGGGGCCACTCAGCAGCCCGGGACCCCCTTCCACAGTCCCAGCCAAACTCTGCGTCGTTCTGCTGGTCAGCGGCCTGCTGGCGTGCCAGTGCCTGCTGATGTGCTCCTCTGGACGTCCAGCCGCCTGTGTGTTCCTCCACTGATGTGCTCCTCTCCATGTCCGGCTACCTGTGTGTCTGCCTGCTAAGGTCTTGGGGGTTTTTATAGGCACAGGATGGGGGCGGGGCAGGCCGGGTGGTCTTGGGAAACGCAACATTGGGACAGGAAAACAAAAATGCCTGTCCTCACCTAGGTCTGTGGGGGTGGAGCTGCAGTCAAGGACCACGTTCTCACGTCCTCCTCTACCCAGCACTTCCTTCCCACCTTTCCATGTCATTTATAGGGACCATGCTCTTCTTCCCTTCCCAGCACTTCCTTCCCACCTTTCCATATCATTTATAGGGACCATGCTCTTCCCTTCCCAGCACTTCCTTCCCTCCTTTCCTTATCATTTATAGGGACCACGCTCTTCCCTTCCCAGCACTTCCTTCGCTCCTTTTTATGTCATTTATAGGGACCATGCTCTTCCCTTCCCAGCAATTCCTTCCCTCCTTTCCTTATCATTTATAGGGACCATGCTCTTCCCTTCCCAGCACTTCCTTCCCTCCTTTCCTTATCATTTATAGGGACCACGCTCTTCCCTTCCCAGCACTTCCTTCCCTCCTTTCCTTATCATTTATAGGGACCACGCTCTTCCCTTCCCAGCACTTCCTTCCCTCCTTTATATGTCATTTATAGGGACCATGCTCTTCCCTTCCCAGCACTTCCTTCCCTCCTTTTTATGTCATTTATAGGGACCATGCTCTTCCCTTCCCAGCACTTCCTTCCCTCCTTTCCTTATCATTTATAGGGACCATGCTCTTCCCTTCCCAGCACTTCCTTCCCTCCTTTCCTTATCATTTATAGGGACCATGCTCTTCCCTTCCCAGCACTTCCTTCCCTCCTTTCCTTATCATTTATAGGGACGATGCTCTTCCCTTCCCAGCACTTCCTTCCCTCCTTTCCTTATCATTTATAGGGACCATGCTCTTCCCTTCCCAGCACTTCCTTCCCTCCTTTCCTTATCATTTATAGGGACCATGCTCTTCCCTTCCCAGCACTTCCTTCCCTCCTTTCCATATCATTTATAGGGACGACGCTCTTCCCTTCCCAGCACTTCCTTCCCTCCTTTCCTTATCGTTTATAGGGACCATGCTCTTCCCTTCCCAGCACTTCCTTCCCTCCTTTTTATGTCATTTATAGGGACCATGCTCTTCCCTTCCCAGCACTTCCTTCCCTCCTTTTTATGTCATTTATAGGGACCATGCTCTTCCCTTCCCAGCACTTCCTTCCCTCCTTTCCTTATCATTTATAGGGACCATGCTCTTCCCTTCCCAGCACTTCCTTCCCTCCTTTCCTTATCATTTATAGGGACGATGCTCTTCCCTTCCCAGCACTTCCTTCCCTCCTTTCCTTATCATTTATAGGGACCATGCTCTTGCCTTCCCAGTACCTCCTTTCGGTATCACAACCGTTACTGCTACGTATTTCTAAAATTTTTCATTACCCCAAACAGAAATTATACGACCATTAAGCAATAACTCACCATTCCTCTCCCCACACCACCCCAGCCCCTGGGAACCTCTAATTTACTTTCTGTCTTTATAAATTTGCCATTCTAGGTATTTTATATAAGTGGAATCATACAATATTTGTCATCTTGTGTCTGGCTTATTATAGCATAACATTTAACATATAATATTATAGCATAATATTTCAAGGTTCACCCATGTTGTAGCAGGTATCAAAATTTTACTCTTTTTTTAAGGTTGAATAATACTTCATTGCATGTTTATCCGTTCATCAGTTGATGGACATTTCAATTGTTTATGCCTTTTGGCTTTTGTGAATAATGCTGCAATGAACATTGGTGTATAAGTATGTGTTTGAGTTCCTGACTTTCAGTTCTTTGGGGTATATACCTAGGAGTGGAATTGCTAAGTCATATGGTGAGTCCGTGGTTAGCGTTTTGAGGAACCACCAAACTGTTTTCCACAACAGTTCTACCACTTTACATTCCCACTAGCAATGTATGAAGGTTCCAATTTCTCCACATCTTTGTCAACACTTATTTTCTATTTTTTTAATTACAGCCATCCTAGTGTATGCAAAGATTCTTTTATTTTTAGGCCACTTCTTTTCAGTTATGATTTTCTGGGAAATATCCATTTCAACACAGTTTTCAGATTTATTGTCCATAAATTTGTACACTAAACATTTCAGTGTGGTGGTGGTTTTTTGTTTTTGTTTTTGTTTTTTCTGAGACAGAGTCTTGCTCTGTTGCCCAGGCTGGAGTGCAGTGGCATGATCTCGGCTCACTGTAACCTCCACCTCCCAGGTTCAAGCATTTTCCTGTCTCAGCCTCCAGAGTAGCTGGGATCACAGGCGCCTGCCACCACCCCCGGATAATTTTTGATTTTTTTTTTTTTTTTTTTTTAGTGGAGACGGGGTTTCACCATGTTGGGCCAGGCTGGTCTTGAACTCCTGACCTCGTAATCCACCTGCTTCAGCCTCCCAAAGTGGTGGGATTACAGGTGTGAGCCACCGCGCCCCACCTTCAGTGTTCTTTTAAAGGGCAATAAATGGGCCGGGTGTGGTGGCTCACGCCTGTAATCCCAGCACTTTGGGAGGCCGAAGCGGGCGGATCACGAGGTCAGGAAATCGAGACCATCCTGGCTAACACGGTGAAACCCCGCCTCTACTAAAAATACAAAAAAAAAATTAGCTGGGCGTGGTGGCGGGCGCCTGTAGTCCCAGCTACTCGAGAGGCTGAGGCAGGAGAATGGAGTGAACCCGGGAGGCGGAGCTTGCAGTGAGCTGAGATAGCGCCATTGCACTCCAGCCTGGGCAACAGAGCGATACTCCGCCTCAAAAAATAAATAAAAAATAAAAAAATAAAGGGCAATAAACGGCCGGGCACGGTGGCTCAGGCCCATAATCCCAGCACTTTGGGCGGCCAAAGCAGGTGGATCACCTGAGGTCAGGAGTTGAAGACCAGCCTGGCCAACATGGTGAAACCTCATCTCCATTAAAAATACAAAAATTAGCTTGGTACGGTGGCACGTGCCTGTGATCCCAGCTACTCAGGAGGCTGAGGCAGGAGAATCATTTGAACCTGGAGGCACAAGTTGCAGTGAGCTGAGATCGCTCCACTGCACTGCAGCCTGGGTGACAAAGCAAGCCTCTGTCTCAAAAATAAAAAATAAATTTAAAAAGGCAGTAAACATGTATGCCTTTTTTGTGATCTGTTGTGAAGCTTGTCAATTTTATTAGACTCAAAGAACCAAGTTTCTTTTTTGTTGTTGTTGTTGTTGGATGATCCTCTTTGTTGTAATATTTTCTTATTTTATTCAAATTTCTACCTTTTCAGGCCAGGTGCAGTGGTTCATGCCTGAAACCCAGCACTTCAGGAAGTTGAGGCAGGCAAATCGCTTGAGCCCAGGAGTTCATGGCGAAACCCCCTCCACAAAAAATACAAAAATTAGCTGGGTATGATGGTGTATGCCTGTAGTCCCAGCTACTCGAGAGGTTGAGACAGGAGGATCACTTGAGCCCATGAGGTTGAGGCTTCAGTGAGCTGTGATCAGACCACCACATTTTACTCTGGGCAACAGAGCAAGATGCTGTCTCAAAAAACAAACAAATTTCTGTCTTTTATTTTGTCTTTTATTTTACTTACTTTTTGTCTGTTGTTTTTCTCACACCTTTTTCTTTTCTTTTCTTTTTATTTATTTATTTATTTTTGAGATGGAGTCTTGCTCTGTCACCCAGGCTGGAGTGTAGCAGCATGATCTCGGCTCACTGCAACCTCTGCCTCCCAGGTTCAAACGATTCTCCTGCCTCAGACTCCCGAGTAGCTGTGACTACAGGCGTGTGCCAACATGCCCGGTTAATTTTTGTATTTTTAGTAGAGATAGGGTTTCACCATGTTGGCCAGGCCAGTCTCAAACTCCTGACCTCAGGTGATCTGTCTGCCTCGGCCTCCTAAAATGCTGGGATTACAGGCATGAGCCACTGCATCTGGCCTCACATCTTGAGTTAGAAACTTCATTCACTACTCTTCAACTACCTTTTCCAATACAAGCATTTGTCTTTTAATATATTTCCATTATCATTTAATTCTAAGTATATTGTAATTTCTTTTTTTTTTTTTTTTCCTTTGGAGATGGACTCTTGCTCTGTCACCCAGGCTGGAGTGCAGTGGTGTGATCTCGGCTCACCGCAACCTCCGCCTCCTGGGTTCAATTAATTCTCCTGCCTCAGCCTCTGTAGTAGCTGGGATTATGGACATCAGCCACCATGCCCAACTAATTTTTGTATTTTTAATAGAGACAGGGTTTTGCATGTTGGTCAGGCTGGTCTTGAATTCCTGACCTCAAGTGATCCACCCTTCTCAGCCTCCCAAAGTGCTGGGATTACAGGCAGGAGCCGCCACACCCGGCCTATTATAATTTCTTTCTTTTCTTTTCTTTTTTTTTTTTTTAGACCGAGTCTTGCTCTTCTTGCCCAGGCTGGAGTGCAATGGCACAATCTTGGCTCACTGCAACCTCTGCCTCCCAGGTTGAAGCTATTCTCCTGCCTCAGCCTCCCAAGTAGCTGGGATTACAGGCACCTGCCACCACGCCCAGCCAATTTTTTGTATTTTTAGTAGAGACAGGGTTTCACCATGTTGGCCAGGCTGGTCTCAAACTCCTGACTTCAGGAGATCCACCTGCCTCAGCCTCCCAAAGTGCTGAGATTACAGGTGTGAGCCACTGTGCCTGGCCTATAATTTCTATTTTGATTTTTTCTTTGACCCATGAGTTAGGGTTTTTTTCCCCATACTTTCCAAGCATAAAGTTATGTCTAACTTAATTGCTCTAACTTGAGTTTTCCATCAGAATTGTGTAAACTGAACCAATTGAGATGTCTATGGTGTTGGCTACTGTTTGTGCTGTTAATTGTCGGTCCTCTTCAATTAAGGCACAAACAAGATGAGTTTATTCCCCAAAAATTGATGTGTATGACCTGCTGCTGTGGGCTTCATTTTCAACATAATCTCATCTCTTCTTAAAATGAGTTATCCAGTTGGGTATGGTGGCTCATGCCTGCAATCCCAGCATTTTGGGATGCCAAGGTGAGAGGATCACTTGAGCCCAGGAGTTCAAGACCAGCCTTGGCAACATAGTAAGACCCTCATCTCTACAAAAAATACAAAACAAAAAATTTAGCTGGGTATGGTGGCATGTGCCTGTCATCCCAGCTACTTGAGAGGCTGAGGTGGGAGGATCACTTGAACCCAAAGGCTCAAGGCTGCAGTGAGCTATGATTGTGCCACTGCACTCCAGCCTGGGTGACAGAGAAAGACCCTGTCTCAAACACACACACACACACACACACACACACACACACACACACACTTATCCATTTGTCATTAATTATGGTTAATTAATAGGATATACATGTCACCAATTTTTTGAAATTTGCTTTATGGACCAGAATATCATAAACATTCATAAAAGTTGACACTGACTAAGTTCCACTACTGTAAAAAGTCTGCTATTGCTCTCACAGGATTTGCAGAAAGGCAGATGTTGGATTTAAACATTATTATTCCCACTTGCAGAAGAGATGTCATCTGCTTTTAAGGAAAAGCTATAAACAGAAATTTGCTGTTGTGCATTAGAAATGCAATCTGAGGCCAGGCGTGGTGGCTCATGCCTGTAATTTCAGCACTTTGGGAGGCCGAGGCGGGTGGATCACCTGAGGTCAGGAGTTTGAGACCACCAGCCTGACCAATATGGTGAAACCCCGTCTCTACAAAAATTAGCCAGGTGTGGTGGTGGGCACCTGTAGTCCCAGCTATTGGGGAGGCTGAGACAGGAGAATTTCTTGAACCCAGGAGGTGGTGGTTGCAGTGAGCCAAGATCACGCCACTGCATTCCTGCCTGGCGACAGAGCAAGACTCCGTCTCATTAAAAAAAAAAAAATTAAAAAGAAAAAAAAAAGTCCTGGGAAAAAAAACTATTACCATAAAATCTGAAGGTCTGAGAAAGGTGCACAGAATTGTGGTGAATCTTATTTACTACTGCGGTCTTAGCACCTAGCACCAACTTGTGCCTTAATCACAGCAGCCATCTCTTTTAGTAATTTGGAGAGAAAGGAAGAGGAAAGAGGGAATAGTGTTATCATGTAGCAAAGAAAGCATTCTCTAGAGTCAGATTTGGGTCTGAACTTACCTACCATACATGATCTTAGAAAAGTTATTTAATGTCTCTTAAGCCTCCGTTTCCTCATTTCTCAGATGGAAAGAGTAACATTTATGTTGCAGAGTCTGATTACTCATGAAAAGTTACTATATATCACAACCAATACAGAAAATATACTTAATAAATGGTAGGGGCTATTGTTAATAATTATTGTAAGCTTTGTAATTGAGGGTGGGTTACAATGCAAAAAAGGAAACATCTTGGTTAAAATAAGATTCCAACTAAGGGTGACCCTGAGCAAAGTCTGTAACAGTTGCTAGTGTTACTCTTTCAGTATTTACTTCATGCCACCAAATGTGCCTGGTATTGGAGACACCACATTCAACAACCAGTTAAAGTCTCTGCCCTTTAGTTTAGACATTTGCCTCAGAGCTGTGCTTGTAAGTTATTTACTTTTGAGAATTTGCCAACAAGGGCTTTTAGGGGGGCAAACAGAGGAAGGAGAGAAGCCTCGTGTCTGTGACAATTAGGAGTAGTAGGGACTGGGGAGCTGGCAAGGGTATGCCTTGCCTAAGTCTTTTTTTCTTGTGCAGTTACTTATTTTTTTTTATTGTTTAAAATATATATAGCATAAAGTTTACCATTTTAATTCAGTGCCATTAAGTACATTCACATTGTTATACAACCATCTCCACTATCCAGAACTCCTTCATATCCCAAACTGAAATTCTGTACCCATTAAACAATAACTCCCAATTTCTTTCCACTCCCAGCCCCCAATAACTACTATTCAACTTTCTTTCTCTATGAATTTGACTATAATAAAGTCCTCATTGTAATAGTTAGGATTCTCCAGAGAAACAAAACCAATAAAAGATGATATATAGGCCGGACCCAGTGGCTCACGCCTGTAATCCCAACACTTTTGGAGGCTGCTGGAGCACCTGAGGTTAGGAGTTCAAGACCAGCCTGGCCAACATGGTGAAACCCCGTCTCTATTAAAAAAAAATGCAAAAATTAGCCAGGCGTGTTGTTGGGTGCCTGTAGTCCCAGCTACTCGGTAGGCTGAGGCGGGAGAATCGCTTGACCCGTGGAGGTTGCAGTGAGCCAAGATCGCGCCACTGCACTCCAGCCTGGGCAACAAGAGCAAAACTCTATCTTAAAAAAAAAAAAAAAAAAGATATGTATATGTATGAAATATGATCTGCTGTCAGCAAGCTGGAGACCAAAAAAAGCCAGTGAGGTGTAGCTCCAGTTGAAGCCCAGGGGCCTGAGAATGAGAGGAACCAATGGTGTAGTGTAAGTCCCAGTCTGAATGTAGAAGAGAGAATTCTTCCTTCCCCACCTTTTTGTTCTATTCAGGCCTTCGAAGAATTGGATGATGCCCCCCACATTGAGGGAGTAATCTGCTTTACTCCCTTTACTGATTCAAATGCTAACCTCATTCAGAAATGCCCTCACAGACACACCCGGAAATAATGTGTAGTCAAATATTTGGATACCCTGTGGCCTAGTCAAGTTGACACATAAAATTAACCATCACACCCACATAAGTGGAATCATGAAATTTGCCCTTTTGTGTCTGGCTTAGCAGAATATTTTTAAGGTTTATCCATGTTGCAACATGTGTCAGAATTGTATATCTTTTCAAGAATGAGTAACTATTGTAGGTATACAATATAGCACATTTTGTTCATCCATTTATCTGTTAATGCACATGTGCGTTCTGTACGCCTTTTGGCCATCACAGATAATGTTACTATGAGCAACATTATTGCTCATTGTGTTAGACAGGGTTCTCCAGAGAAACAGAACCAATAGGAGAGTTTTTATATATATATATATATATATATATATATATATATATATATACACACACACACACATATGCATATATAATAAGTATATTATATATAAATATACTATATAAAAATATATAATTATAAATAAAATAAAATATAATATATTTATTATATAATTTGTTATATAATAATTTATAAGTATATATTATATATTAATATATTTAAAATTATATATGTAAATTTATATATACATAAAAGCTACTCAGGAGGCTGAGGTGGGAGGGTCACCTGAGCCCAGGGAGGTGGAGGCTGCAGTGAGCTGTGATTGCACCACTGCACTCCAGCCTAGGTGACACAGTAAGACCCTGTCTCAAAAAAAAAAAAAAAATTAGGCTGGGCGCGGTGGCTCACACCTGTAATCCCAGCACTTTGGGAGGCCAAGGTGGATGGATCACTTGAGGTCAGCAGTTCGAGACCACCCTGACCAACATGGTGAAACCCCATCTCTACTAAAAATACAAAAATTGGCCAGGTGTGGTGGTGTATGCCTGTAATCCCAGCTTCTCGGGAGGCTGAAGCATGAAAATTGCTTGAACCCAGGAGGCGGAGGTTGCAGCGAGCTGAGATTGCACCACTGCACTGCAGCCAGGGTGATAGAGTGAGACTCAGTCTCAAAAAAATAAATAAATAAAACAAAAATAAAAACAAACATTACCATATGATCCAGGAATTTCACTTCTAGAAATATACTGAAAATAATTGCAAACAAGGAATTAAACAGATATTCACATACCAATAATGTTGCTATGTTGCTCATAAATATATATTCTTGTATATACAGAATATAAATATATATGTATATTTATAAATAAATTTATATTCTATACATTCTATATATAAATATATAAATAAATATATTTATATTCTGTATATACAAGAATATGTATTTATGAGGAACATAGCAACACTATTGGTATATGTACATATGTTTAAGTCCATGTTTTCAATTATTTTGGGTATATTCCTAGAAGTGAAATTCCTGGATCATATGGTAATTTTTATTTTTATTTTTTATATTTTTTCAGACAGGGTCTCACTGTCACCTAGGTTGGAGTGCAGTGGTGCAATCACAGCTCACTGCAGCTTCCACCTCCCTGACATTTTAACAATATTAAGTCTTCTTGGCTGGGTGCTGGGACTCACATCTTTAATCTCAACACTTTGGGGCACCAAAACAAGAAAGATCACTTGAGCCCAGGAGTTCAAGACCAGCCTGGGCAACATGGCAAGACCATTGTCGGCCAAAAAATTTAAAACTTAGCTGGTTGTGATGGTGCATGCACCAGTGGTCCCGGCTACTCAGGAGGCTGAGGTGGGAGGATGGCTTGAGTGCAGGAGGCTGAGGCTACAGTGAGCTATGATTGCACTATTACACTCCAGCCTGGGCAAGAGAATGAGTGAGACCCCATCTAAAAAAAAAAAAAAAAGGCTGGGTGTGGTGGCTCACGCCTGTAATTCCAGCACTTTGGGAGGCCGAGGAGAGCGGATGACTTGAGGTCAGGAGTTTGAGACCAGCCTGGCCAACATGGTGAAACCCCGTCTGTACTAAAAATACAAAAATTAGCTGGGCGTAGTGGCAGGTGCCTGTAATCCCAGCTACTCGGGAACCTGAGGCAGGAGAATCGCTTGAACCCGGGAGGCGGAGGTTGCAGTGAGTCGAGATTGCGCCTCTGCACTCCAGCCTGGGTGACAGAGTGAGACTCTGTCTCAAAAATAAATAAATAAGTAAACAAACAATAAAATAAATAACAATAAAAATAAATTAAAAATTAAAAAATTCAAAGCAAAAGCAAACAAACTAAAAAACAGTATTAAGTCTTCCAATTCATGAACATGGGATGTCCTACCACTATGTCTTCTTTAATTTTTTTCACCAATGGTTTATAATTTTCAGTGTACAAGTCTTGAAAGACATATTTTAAATAATACCATGCCAGTATGTTTGGGCCGAGTGCAGCCCTCTAACACAGGTTTGAGAATTCTGTGAGTAATGCTCCCAGTGTCATGATAGAGAAAATTTCCAGTGCTGCTGAAGCCTAACAGAATAATTATCATGTCTTGTTTTTTCCCTAGATAAAATCTGAGCTCCTTAAAGTCAAGGAAAGTGCCTTCACTGCCTTCCCTGAGAATACCAGACACACAATTAACATCCAACCAGTAGCCCCTGTGACTATTTAAAAATGCAAATTCAATCAGATTTCCCTACTCTAAATCATTCAAAATCACTGCTATTAGGACAGCTGGTATTAGTGTGTTCACCAAAGCCCTGTGACAGTTCCTGCCAAACTCTCCAATCTTAGTAGGAAGTCCCCTTCCTACTCCCTCCCCGCTCTCCAATCATTCCAGCCTTCTTTTCATCTTGCTAAAAAGGTGTTTTCAAACAATTCCAAGTGCAGCCCACAGTAAGAAATTTATTTTACATTGCAACCTTGTTGATATATATAATGAACAAAAGTTTTGCAAAGCAGTACTTGGCTTTACTACTTTTATACATTGTATTCTAATATTTTTCTTATTTATTATTATTATTTATTTAGTTTTTAGACAGAGACTCGTTCTGTCACTCAGGCTGAAGTGCAGTGGCGTGATCTCGGCTCACTGCAACCTCCGCCTCCCAGGTTCAAGTGATTCTCCTGTCTCAGCCTCCTGAGTAGCTGGGATTACAGGCACGCACCACCATGCCCAGCTAATTTTTGTATTTTTAGTAGAGACGGGGTTTCACCATGTTGGTCAGGCTGGTCTCGAACTCCTGACCTCAAGTGATCCGCCCACCTCGGCCTCCCAAAGTGTTGGGATTACAGGCATGAGCCACCACACCTGGCTATTTTTCTTATTTATTGAATAGACTTGGGGTCTCACTTTATTGGCCAGAGTGGTCTTCAAGTTCTGACCTCAAGTGATCCTCCCACCTCGACCTCCCAAAGTGCTGGAATTACTGGTGTAAGCCACTGCACCCAGCCTTTTCTCTTTTATTATTATTTTTATTTTTTTAGATCACTCTTTTATTATTTTATAGAGCAATATTTTATATTTGGGGCCTGGCACAGTGGCTCACGCCTGTAATCCCAGCACTTTGGGAGGCCGAGGAGGGTGGATTGCTTCAGCCCAGGCCAACATGGTGAAATCCTCCATCTCTACTAAAAATACAAACATTATCTGGGCACGGTGATGGGCACTTGTAATCCCAGCTACTCCGGAGGCTGAGGCAGGAGAATCGCTTGAACCCCGGGGTCAGAGGTTGCAGTGAGCCGAGATCACGCCACCGCACTCCAGCCTGGGCAACACAGTGAGACTTCGTCTTAATAAATAAATATAGATGGATAGATAGATAGATAGATAGATAGATAGATAGATAGATGATAGATAGATAAAATTCTAGTTCTTTGTTTTAAATAAAGTTTGTACCCACTAAATTGATACTGTGACCAATTAGTGGGGTACAACATACAGTTTGAAAACAGTGCTCTGGCCGGGGGCGGTGGCTCTCGCCTGTAATCCCAGCATTTTGGGAGGCCAAGGCGGGCGGATCACCTGAGGTCAGGAATTTGAGACCAGCCTGGCCAACACGGTGAAACCTCGTTTCTACTAAAAACACTAAAATTAGCCAGGCGTGGTGGTGCACACCTGTAATCCCAGCTACTCGGGAGACTGAGGCACGAGACTCTCTTGAACTCGGGAGGCGGAGGTTGCAGTGAGCCGAAATCGCGCCACTGCACTCCAACCTGGGTGACAGAGTGAGACTCCATCTCAAACAAACAAAACAAACCAACAAAACAAAAGAGAGAAAAACAGTGTTCTCAGCATTTTCTTTGCCTCAGGGCCATTGCGAATGCTACACCGTCTGGAAAGTTTTTCTTGTATCCTCTTCACCTGGATAGATTTTTTTTTTTTTCAGCCCTTCAGAAAGTACACCTAGATAAATCTTAATCATTTTTTTAAGGTATGAAATCTAAGGATGCCCCCTCTCTGGAGCTGCCTGCCTGTGTTTGAATCCTGAAGATCGTGATGCGTGAGTTAATCCGTGCTAAGAACTCGGAACAGTGAGTAGCAAATCGTTGCTTCTTATAGTGCAAGTTAGAAATGACACAACTGTTTGTGTAACTATTAATATGTGTCTCCTCACACCTCCCACACTCTAAACACAAGAAGCCACAGAATTTGGTTAATTTCTTTTCATGTTTTTGTTTGTTTGGTTTTGGGTTTTTTGTTTTGGACAGGCTCTCACTGTGTCGCCCAGGCTGGAGTGCAGTGGCACGATCTCCGCTCGCTGCAACCTCGCCTCCCGGGTTCAAACAATTCTCCTGCCTCAGCTTCCCAAGTAGCTGGGATTACAGGCGCCCACCACCACGCCCGGCTTTTTTTTTTTTTTTTTTTTTTTTTTTTTTTTTTTGGATTTTTTGGAGAGACGGGGGTTTCGCCATGTTAGCCAGGCTGGTCTCGAATTCCTGACCTCAGGTGATCTACCCGCCTCGGTCTCCCAAAGTGCTAGGATTACATGGTGTCCAGGCTGATTCTGTTCATCTTTATATTCCTAGCGTCTCACTTGGCCTGGCATGGAAGAGGCGCTCGGAATCAAAACGGAGAGAGGCTGGGGGTGGAGCCAGCTTCGGAAGTCACGGCGGAGGGGCGGGGGCGGGGCCGCGCCCACCAGACGAGCCATCGGTCACGCGGGGCCCAGCTGGACTGCCGCGGGGGATTCTGGGCCAAGATGGCAGCAATGAGGAAGGCGCTTCCGCGGCGACTGGTGGGCTTGGCGTCCCTCCGGGCTGTAAGTGCCCCGAGCCGCCGAGGCGGCGGCCCTGCAGGCACTCTGACTGTCAGGGTTGGGGGCTTGGCCCGTGGTGACTGCTCTCTTAGAGGCGAGGCCGGACAGCTCTCAGGCCAGAGTCGGGAGGGCGTTGGAGTCCTGGACCCTCCCTTTTCCCCTCAAATCCTTTGAAGGGGATGGGAAAACTGAGGTCCGGAGAGGTGGAGTGACTTGTCTGGGTCATGGAGACCTGGGACGCCATCCTAGGTGCCCTGATTCCCCGCCCAGGGCCCTTTCCGATGACCCTGGCCCCTTTCTCCCTCTAATTGAACTTCAGACCTCTCCAACTCTTCATTAGTGAAAATCAAGAACACGCTTCCATTTCCTTCGTCTCCATTTCCAACTGTTGTTGCTTTTAGAGATGCTTGGGGAACTATCCCAGCCTACCGAGCGGGACTTGCGTTGATTGGAGCCAAGCTGTGATTCCCTTGGAATTGCACTTTGATCCTGTTCGATCCTGATGTTTTCCCCTCTCCCATTCTCAGCGCAGAAAAAGTGTGGGAGACGTAGCTGTATGGAGCAGAAAAAATAAAAGCTGAAGCTAGGGTGTCCCAATAGTTCTGCCACTTTCTAGACTTAATGACATAGTTATTTACTTTCTCTAAACCTCAGCTCTTTCGTCTGTAAAACGGACAACATTCCCTTGGGGTTGTTTTGGAAATTAGAGAAAATGTAAGTAACACATCTGGCAGTGTTCTGGCTCCTAATAAGTGATCAGTCGGTGGTGGTATTTTTACCTTAGGGAGTTGAGAAGGAGTTATAACTGTATAGAGGGAAAAATACACTCCTGGCACTGGGTCCCTCTCAGAAAGCCACGTTAATATCTTTACTTGGCCATTCACCTGCACCACCTGCTCATGTGTAAAATGAAGATGGCAATTCCAACTTGGAAAGTTAAACGCAATAGTAGATATTAATAAGCTTTTAAGAAATATTTGGTGTAATGAGATGGCCCTCCATGGGGTTCCAAGCATAGGAACCAGTATTAGTATTAGGCCTAGATATGGGTTCAAGTCCAAGCTCTGTCACTTTCTAATTGTGATTTTTGGGTAACCTTTCTGAGGCTTAGTTTCTTCACCTACGGAGTTGGGATAATAATAGTCCCTGGCCTGTAGTTTAACACTGGGTTTAGTCAGTATTCGCTGTTGGTGTTGATGCAGGTACACCATACCTCAGGACACTGTGGCACAGTACTTGTGTGGTTAGGGGGACCCTCTCTGAGCAGAGCTTTACAGAGGAGGAACGGGATGTTTAACCAGGAGAAGACTGTGGACCGAACGAACGGTGGTAAAGAGGCAACAGTGGCCCAGAGGTTAGGAGCTTGTGCTCTAGAGCCACACTGCCAGGTTTAGATATTGCCTCAGTGAGTAACTCCCCATGTCACCTCGGGAAGATTACTTAATCTCTTTGGGTCTCAGATTTCTTTTCTTTTCTTTCTTTTTTTTTTTCCTGAGACGGTGTCTTGCTCTGTCATCTGTCACCCAGACTGGAGTGCAGTGGCTCAATCTCAGCTCACTGCAACCTCTGCCTCCCAGGTTCAAGCGATTCTTCTGCCTCAGCCTCCCAAGTGGGGCCTTAGATTTCTTACAGTAAAATGGGGATGATGATAGTTCCTACCTGATAAGATTGTTGAGAGGACAGTATGGGTTAATATGTAAATGGCTCACCAGGCGTGGTGGCTCATGCCTATAATCCTAGCACTTTGGGAGGCTGAGGTGGGTGGATCACTTGAGGTCGGGAGTTCGGGACCAGCCTGGCCAACCTGGTGAAATCCTGTCTCTACTAAAATACAAAAAATTAGCCAGGTGTGGTGGTGCGCACCTGTAGTCCCAGCTACTCGGGAGGCTGAGGCAGGAGAATCACTTGAACCTGGGAGGTGAAGGTTGCAGTGAGCCAAGATCGCGCCACTGCTCTCCAGCCTGGAGACAGAATGAGACTGTATCTCAAATAAATAAATAAATAAATAAATATGTAAATGGCTCTTGTATGTGCCTGGCAAATATTAAGTGTTTAAAAACTGAATTATTATGTGAAGAGCTGTTACGGGGAAGGAAGGAAGTGGAATTGAGTTTATAATGTTCTAATAAAAGCAGCTTGGAAGCAGGTTTTAGAAGCTTTTTTTTTTTTTTTTTTTTTTGAGATGAAGAAGTCTCGCTCTTGTACCCCAGGCTGGAGTACAATGGCACGATCTCAGCTCACTGCAACCTCCTCCTCCTGGGTTCAAGCAATTCTCCTGCCTCAGCCTCCCGAGTAGCTGGGATTGCAGGCACCTGCTGCCATGCCTAGCTAATTTATGTGTTTTTAGTAGAGATAGGGCTTCACCATGTTGGCTAGGCTGGTCTCGAACTTCTGACCTCAGGTGATCTGCCCACCTCGGCCTCCCAAAGTGCTGGGATTACAGGCGTGAGCCACCACGCTTGGCCTGAAGCAGGTTTTAGATTATTTCAGCAACACTCAACTGTTATTTATCGAGCCCCTATTATGTCCCAGGGCCTTAGAAATACAGCATTGAATAAAACAAAGTCCCTGTCTCATGAAACTTATGTTCCAGTGAGATAGTTTTAGGGTGATATACTAGCAGAGGCTGAACATCCCTGTTGGAGGGAGATTCAAGTTGCAGGGACCTTCCAACTTAGCCTGTTGACGTCATGAAATTCAATGGCTCATCGCCTTAGTCTCTAAGAAAGCTTGTTGGCTAAAACAAGGCCAGTCAGGTGAGTTGTACATGTTCCAGCTGCTTCCTAGCAGGGAATTCCTGGGGGACTTCAGGGGGTTGAGATCCTTAGCGGATCACACAGTGTGCCTTCCGCTTTGCCTCGTTGTAGTATATTTATCCAGATTAAATCTGTAAAACAAAGTTGATTTGAAAAGTTACAGTATCAAGACAGGTAGAGGAAAGAGGAAAAAAAAAGTATTGTGTTACTTGATAGGGAAGACTAAGATTTTGAGCTGACTTTATATAGAGGAGACTCAGGGCATTTTGTAAAAACTGTCTTCAGCTACTGGGGGTGTCACCTCCCCTTAGACCCATGCTTGTCATCACCCAGCCTATGACTGTAACAGAAGAGAGCCCTCCTGCATCTCGCCCATACCCCGAAAAGTCCAGGACTGACTACTCCTCCCCACACTCAGTAATTGCTCTCTTCTGGGACAGCTGTGTCCTTCATGGTTTATGTGTTATTTTAATAACTTTAAAGAGTGGCTACTTTGTACCAAACACGGTGCCAAACACTAGGGATGAAGTGGAGTTGAGACAGACAAGGTCCCTCAAAGAGCTTATGTTCTACTGGAAGAGACATTGAGTAGGCATTCTTTATCGTGCTTTGAAGGAAATAATTATAGCTCTGCAATAGCGAAAATAATGGGGGTGGGAGGAATGGCAGCTTTGCAAAGGGTGGTCAGAGGAAGCCTCTCTGCAACTGAAAGATGAGAGAGAGATGTAAGAACAGCCAGTTTTTTTAAAAAAAGCCAGATGAGGAACCCTGGGGCAGAGGGAAGAGAAGGCAGGGAGCTTAGCAACCTGTTGGGTGGAGGTTGGGAGTGGACAGTAGGGGCGAGTGATGATTCCAGGAGGTCAGAGGAGGCAACTCATACAGTCTTTTCTTTTCTTAATTGGAAAGCATCAAGTGACATATAGAGTCATTTAATTTTTTTTTTTGAGACAGGGTCTCGCTCTGTTGCCCAGGCTGGAGTGTAGTGGCACAGTCATAGCTCACTGCAGGCTCAACCTTCTGGGCTCAAGCGATTCTCCCACCTCAGCCTCTTGAGTAGCTGGGACTACATGTCCATTCCACCACACCTGGCTAATTTTTCTATTTTTAGTAGAGACGGGGTTTCTTCATCATGTTGGCCAGGCTGATCTCGAACCTCTGGCCTCAAGTGATCTGCCTGCCTTGGCCTCCCAAAGTGCTGGGATTACAGGCATGAGCCACCGTGCCTGGCCTTTTTTTATTTTTTTTGGAAATGGAGTCTTCCTCTGTCGCCCAAGGTGGAGTACAGTGGCACGATCTTGGCTCATTGCAACTTCCACCTCCCTGGTTCAAGCAATTCTCCTGCCTCAGCCTCTTGAGTAGCTGGAGTTACAGGCGTGCACCACCACACCCGGCTATTTTTTGTGTATTTTTAGTAGAGATGGGGTTTCACCATGTTGGTCAGGCTGGTCTCAAACTCCCGACCTCAAGTGATCGCCCGCTTCGGCCTCCCAAAGTACTGGGATTACAGGCATGAGCCACTGCCCCCCGCAATACCTGGCCTTTTTAAACTACTTCTAACATACATACAGCAGCATACAGAGTCCTATAGGCCATGGTGAATAGGTGAAATGGCTCAATGAAGTTCTGGCTTATGCAGTAGGGTACATGCGATGCCTTTGACAGAGATGGAAAGGATGGAGTCAGATGGGCTTTAGGAGAAATTAGAGTTCTGTTTCGGGACTGCTATATGAAGAGATGCGAATAGAGCTGTCAGGTAGGCAGTGGAAAAGGAGTCTGGACTTCAGGGGAGAACCGGTACTGGAAGGATGAATCTCTTGCTTGTTCCTGTTACTAAGTGAAATATTCTTTTTGTTCTTAATTCTAAAATAGACCAAATGTGAATTAAATGGTGAGAAATATTTCTTCTTGTCTCATTATTAGTGAAGATAGATCCATTCTTTCATATTGGTCTCCCTGGGAATTGTGGCAATCTCTTCCTCATACTTTTTGTTTCCTCTTTTAAACCAAAGGTCAGCACCTCATCTATGGGCACTTTACCAAAGCGGGTGAAAATTGTGGAAGTTGGTCCCCGAGATGGACTACAAAATGAAAAGGTAAAGTTGGAAATGAGCCAAAAAAACAGTTTTTTCAAGCATCTGCTTTGAGTATTACGTGTGATAGGTGCAATGGCAGTTGACAGAGCTATGCAAGATGTGATTCCTCTGCACAAGTTAGGGGAGAGTAGAGGAGGCCAAACAGGGACAGACACCTGTGACAGTTAAATGATCTAAAATGGTGGGGCAAGCTGGATGGGTGGCTCATGCCTGTCATCCCTAATTACTTGGGAGGCTGAGGTGGGAGGATGGCTTGAGCCCAGGAGTTTGAGACCAGTCTGGGCAATATAGCAAGACTCTATCTTATTAAAAAATATATGTATATATATAAACTGAATGGTGGTGCAACAGGTTTGGTGTCCCCAGGTCCACAGCCCAGTGGGGTGGGGTAGACCCAGCAATTCCATGTAAGGGGATTTATCCAAAGCAAGTCACGAAGGCCAAATGTAGAGATTTAGCCTTGGGGGTGTTCCTTACAAACCTGTTTGGTAAGCACAGAACAGTTGGAAACAACTTAAATATTTAGTATGAGGAAAGTTGGGTCAGATACACTATGGACTTTTTATAAAATGAAATATTATGAAGCCATTAATAACATAGGTATATATAAAGTGACTCAAGCAGTTTATAAAATAGTACATGTGACTGGGCATGGTGGTGGCTCATGCCTGTAATCCCAGCACTTCAGGAGGCTGAGGCAGAGCACGATTCTGTCTCCAAACAAAAACAAATAGTGCATGTGCGCGTACGCACGCGCGCGTGTGTGTGTGTGTGTTTTTGGGAGATGGCATCTCACTCTGTCACCCAGGCTGGAGTGCAATGGCGCAATCTCGGCTCACCTCAACCTCCTCCTCCCGGGTTCAAGTGATTCTCCTGCCTCAGCCTCCCGAATAGCTAGGATTACAGGCCCCTGCCACCATGCCCAGCTAATTTTTGTATTTTTAGTAGAGATGGGGTTTCACCAGGTTGGCCGGGCTGGTCTTGAACTCCCGACCTCAGGTGATCCACCTGCCTCAGCCTCCCAAAGTGCTGGGATTACAGGCATGAGCCAATGCGCCTGGCCATGTATTTTTTAATCTTAACACTTTTATGTAAGAAAAAAGTTTATATATGTATGGGAGCATTTATCTAGACTAGGACCTAGACCAGCACTTTCTGTGAAGATGGAAATATTCTGGACCTGAGCTTTTCCATGTGGTGGCCACTATACCCATGTGGCCCTTGAGAACTTGAGATGTGACTAGTGTGGCCAAGGAATTGTATTTTTATTTTTATACAATTTTTATTAAATTTAAATAACCACATGTGACTAGTGACATATTGGGCTGCACAGATCTAGAAAGTTACACACCAGGGTGTTAATAGCGTTATCACTGGGAGATTCTAAGGGTGGTTTTCTTTTGTTTTTGGCATGTTTTTCTGAAAGAATCATATATTGATTATTTTTTCAATAAGAAAAGCTTTTTTCTTTTTCTCTTTTTTTTTTTTTTTTTTTTTTTTTTTAGCACGTCCATCCTAGCTTTAATAGTGAGTGCTTGTTGGAAACAATAGTGTGTAAGTTCCCGAAGGGCAGAATCCTGTCTGTTCTGCTTCTGCTTACTGCTATATCCCCGGCACCTAGCACAATGCCTGCAACATGGAGGGCTTTCAAAAATTATTTGACAGGCTGGGCATGATGGCTCATGCCTGTAATACTGGCACTTTGGGAGGCTGAGGCAGGCAGATCACCTGAGGTCAGGAGTTTGAGACCAGCCTGGCCAACATGGTGAAACCCCATCTCTACTAAAATAAATGAGCTGGGGTGGTGGCATGCTTGTGTAATCCCATCTACTCTGGAGGCTGAGGCAGGAGAATCGCTTGAACCCGGAAGGCGGAGGTCGCAGTGAGCTGAGATTGTGCCACTGCACTCCACTCTGGGCAATACAGTGAGACTCCATCTCAAAAAAAAAAAAATTTTGTGGAAAGATTAAGTTAGAGCAGTGGGAGAGAAACTGGAGAAGGCAGGCAAGGGGAGGACCTAGCGAGAAGGACCTGGAGTATTTTTGTGTGTTCTTTTTGTTTGAGACAGGGTCTTGCTCTGTGTCACTCAGTGCAGTGGCACAATCATTGCTCACTGCAGCCTCGACTTCCCAGGCTCCAGTGATCCACCTCAGCCTCCTGAGTAGCTGGATCACAGACACGTGCCACCACGCCTGGCTAATTTTTGTATTTTTTGTAGAGAGGGGGTTTCGCCATGTTGCCCAGGCTGGTCTCAAACTCCTAAGCTTAAATGATCTGCCTGTCTCAGCCTCCCAAAGTGCTGGGATTACAGGCGTGAGCCAATGTGTCCGCCTGGACCTGGAGTTCTTAGAATTTTTTGCGTAATCCTGTAAATATTAGGGAGCCATAGAAAGCTTTTGATGCAAGAGAATGGAAGGTTGGAAGCTGCATTTTAGGAGGATTCCTGTGTAAGATGAATTAGTGGCTTGAGACTATGCCATGTTATATACAGGATAATGATGGTAGATTTGGAAAGAGGAATCCATGGAATCTGTTGAGCTACTGGACATGGTGGGGAGGAAGATAAAGAAGCTATACGCTGAACACATGAGGCTGAAGTCCTATGCCAATTGGGAGACAGAAGCGAGGAGGGTGTGATACTTTGGGGGCCCCATCCCATACTCCCCAGAGGGTTAGTCATCTCTGCCCTTTCAGGCCATCACACATTGCTCTCAGTTTGTTTATGATGGGATTATAAATTAACACACATTTACTTACGGGAAAGCCTGCATGGCAGAATAATGTTTCTATGTAAATAACTCCTTTTCAGGTGAGAAGCTGCATCCACTGCAAAAAATTATCTATAGTACTTGAACTAACAGGTACTGCATTTTGAGGCTGTTTTGTTACTAACTTTGCTGCCTTGGTGTTTCTCTCTCCACTATAGAATATCGTATCTACTCCAGTGAAAATCAAGCTGATAGACATGCTTTCTGAAGCAGGACTCTCTGTTATAGAAACCACCAGCTTTGTGTCTCCTAAGTGGGTTCCCCAGGTGAGCCCTAGCCCTCAATGAAAGGCCTTTCTCTAGGGATGAAAAGTTTTGCATTTGCCTTTGAAGCAAGTAGAAGTTGAGAACATAGGTTTCCAAGCCCCTGGCTTTGAGAGGTCTCAGGTGATTCATAGCACTGTGTTGCAGCAAAAGAACATGACCCAGGATTCAGGGCCTTGGGTTCAGTCTTGGCTCTGCTCTGACTTGCTCAGTGACATTGCTAAGGCCTTCCCCTCCTCAGTGTTAGAGATGACCTCTTCTAGCCCTAAAGTCTAAAACCCTCTATGCCTGTCTGTGGTTTCTTTGTTTGTAAAAGAGGAAGACTGACAACTCCTGCTTCACAAAGATAGTTAAGTGAAGAAGAAACATCCTGTTACAAAGGAGTGCTTAACACAGAGCTGAGCTCAGTGCCTGGCCCAGAGTACATTCTCAATAAATGGCTGGTAGTAGTATTCCTGCTGTTTCTGCATATGTAAAGCTGGCAGTATGGGCCATATGGAGAAATTGGGATCTCAGCCAAACCAAGGGCCCTTCTGAGCCATCAGCAGTCAAACAAACAGTAAAAGTATTGGAGAGACTCAGCTCTGCAGAAGGAATTACTCGCTAAGAGTTCTGGAGAACAGAGGTTTTGTGATGAAAAGGTTTTCTCTAACTGAACTCTCTGTCTGCTCTTGGTGATGACTTGGCAATGTCTCCCTTGGTTCCTAGATGGGTGACCACACTGAAGTCTTGAAGGGCATTCAGAAGTTTCCTGGCATCAACTACCCAGTCCTGACCCCAAATTTGAAAGGCTTCGAGGCAGCGGTAAGAGGATAGCTTGTTGGTGGGGGCTCCTGAAATGAGATTGATGGCATTGGTCCCTGCCTTGTCTTGGCGCCTCAGTCCCCTGTCCTGGGATGTCCATCTGAATAGCTTGTCTGTCAGCCAGACCCTGGGGCAAACCTGGCCCTGCCACTCACTGCTCTGTGATCTTGACAAGTTGACAAGCCTATAAAATAGGGCTAAATGATAGTACCTGAAGTTGTGAGCATTTCAGAAGATAGGATGCATGTACATTGCTTAGCAAGAGCCAGATAAAAGGTAACTGCTTAATAAATGTTAGCTCTTTTGATTATCCACTTCTTTAGAGAAATGTAACCAAACTCTCCACAAGAGTTTCAACAGTAGTTGCTGGCATCTGCCAACTTTCTTACAATTTTAGACAAGAACATCTTTGGAGGCGTTGGTTCTGTATTTAGGCAAAAACCTTTTTTTGGCTGGGCACAGTGGCTCACACCTATAATCCCAGCACTTTGGGAGGCTGAGGCCGGAGAACAGCTTGAGGCCAGAAGCTTGAGACCAGCCTGAGCAACATAAGGAGACCTTGTCTCTACAAAAAAAAAAAAAAAAATCAATTAGCTGGCTGTGATGGCATGCACCTGTAGTCCTAGCTACTCGGGAGACTGAGGCACAGGATGGCTTGAGACTAGGAGTTCGAGGCTGCAGTGAGCCATGATAATACCGCTGCACTCTTCCAGCCTGGGTGACACAGCAAGAAAAAAAAAAAAGCTTTTTCTCAAGAGTGACTTCCAGGGTGGTGATGGCAGTGGTGGTGGTTTCCTTGGGGAAAATCAAAGTTTTTTTTTTTTTAATTAAGAGAAATTACTGTGTTTGTTTCCTAGTGCTACTGTAAGAAAGCACTACAGGCCGGGCGCGGTGGCTCACGCCTGTAATCCTAGCACTTTGGGAGACCAGGGCGGGCGGATCATGAGGTCAGGAGATCGAGACCATCCTGGCTAACACGATGAAACCCCGTCTCTACTAAAAATACAAAAAATTAGCCAGGCTTGGTGGCAGGTACCTGTAATCCTAGCTACTCAGGAGGCTGAGGCAGGAGAATCACTTGAACCCGGAAGGCGGAGGTTGCAGTGAGCCAAGATCATGCCACTGCATTCCAGCCTGGGTGACAGAGCAAGACTTTGTCTCAAAAAAAGAAAAAAGAAAAAAAAAAAGAAAGCACTACAAATTGGGTGGCTTAAAAACAACAGAAATTTATTCTCTCACAGTCTGGAGGCCAGAAGTCCCAAATCAAGGTGTCAGCAGGATTGGTTCCTTCTGAGGCCTCTGGGAGAATCTGTCCTATGCCTCTCTGCTGGGGTCTGGTGGTGGCCAGCAGTCCTTGGCATTGCCTGGCTTGTAGATGCATCTCTCCAGTCTTTGCCTCCGTTTTCCCAGGGCCACCTTTTCTGTGTCTCTGTGTCTTCACTTGGCCATCTTTTGTTTTTGTTTTTTTTAGACAGAGTCTTGCTCTGTCGCCCAGGCTGGAGTACAGTGGCATGATCTCGGCTCACTGCAAGCTCCACCTCCCAGGTTCAAGTGATTCTCCCACCTCAGCCTCCCGAGTAGCTGGGACTACAGGCGTGTGCCACCACGACCGGCTAATTTTTTGTATTTTTAGTAGAGATGGGGTTTCACTGTGTTAGCCAGGATGGTCTCGATCTCCTGACCTCATGATCTGCCCGCCTCGGCCTCCCAAAGTGCTGTGATTACAAGCGTGAGCCACTGCGCCCGGCTGGCCATCTTTTTTTAAGGTCACCAGTCGTATGGGATTAGGGGCCCACCCTATTCCAGTATGGCTTCATCTTAACTAATGATATCTGCAATGACGCTGTTTCCAAATAAGGTCACATTCTGAGGTGCTGGGTTTTAATCCTTCAACATATATTTTTAGGAGGACACAATTCAACCCATAACATTCACATAACATAAAATTTACCTTAAGAGAAATTTTTTGCTACTCTGTGTCAGTGTTCTTTAAAGAGAAAAGTGCTGGCCGGGCATGATGGCTGACACCTGTAATCTCAGCACTTTGGGAGGCTGAGGTGGGTGGATCACAAGGTCAGGAGTTCGAAACCAGCCTGACCAACATGGTGAAACGCTGTCTCTACTAAAAATACAAAAATTAGCCGGGCGTGGTGGTGGGCTCCTGTAATCCCAGCTACTCAGGAGGCTGAGGCAGGAGAATCGCTTGAACCCAGGAGGTGGAGGTTGCAGTGAGCCGAGATCATGCCACTGCACTCCAGCCTGGGCAACAAAGCAAGACTCCATCTCAAACAAAAAAAGAGAAAAGTGCTGAAAGGAGTTCACCTGGATGTTGGCAGGTTGCTGCTGGAGCCAAGGAAGTAGTCATCTTTGGAGCTGCCTCAGAGCTCTTCACCAAGAAGAACATCAATTGTTCCATAGAGGAGAGTTTTCAGAGGTTTGACGCAATCCTGAAGGCAGCGCAGTCAGCCAATATTTCTGTGCGGGGGTGAGTCAGAGCACATTGGTATCCTTTCCTCTGTACCGTTCTGGAATGGGGCTAGACTCTGACTCAAGTGGTCCTCCTGCCACAAACTTCTTATCCTGGGTGGGGGCAGCCTGAGCTCCACACCTAGACATCTTTTCCCAAATAAGTGTGGTCAGAAGAAATCCTAGGAAGTACTTTCTCTCAAACCTGAATTTTGGGTCAGTTTACCAGCTAGCCATGATAGCATGCGCCTGTAGTCCTAGCAACTTGGGAGACTGAGGCAGAGGATGGCTTGAGACCAGGAGTTTGAGGCTGCAGTGAGCCATGATAGCACCACTGCTATCATGCTAAAGGAATCTAGCAGGACAGGACACTAACGGGTTTGTGGAGGTCAGTTGAGTCCTGGCTTTATCACTAGCTCTTCACACATCCCTGGAGAATTACCTAGGCTTCTATGTTTCCAACATCACATCTCTAATATCAGTGGTTCCAGGCATTGTGTGTGTATTATCTATAATAATTGAAACCTCACAATAGCCCAGCAGGGAGTAGGTTATCCTCACTTTATAAATTACAAAACCGAGGCCCAGGAAGGGCGAATACTCTACTGTAAGGTCACACTGCTGTGCAAATTGCAGCCAGAGGCCGGGCATGGTGGCTCACACCTGTAATCCCAGCACTTTGGGAGGACAAGGCAGGTGGATCACCTGAGGTCAAGAGTTCAAGACCAGCCTGGCCGACATGGTGAAACCCCATCTCTACTAAAAATACAAAAATTAGCTGGGCGTGGTAGTGGATAGAAACCCCGTCTTTACTAAAAATACAAAAATTAGCTGTAATTCCATCTACTTGGGAGGCTGAGGCAGGAGAATCACTTGAATCTGGGAGGCGGAGGTTGTGGTGAGCCGAGATCACACCACTGTACTCCGGCCTGGGTGACAGAGCAAAACTCCATCTCAAAAAAAAAAAAAAAAAAAAAAAAACATTGCAGCCAGAATGATCGTTGAAAAGTGCACATCTGGGCTGAACATGGTGGCTCATGCCTGTAATCCCAGCACTTTGGGAGGCCGAGGCGGGCAGATCACCTGAGGTAAGGAGTTTGAAACCAGCCTGGCCAACATGGGGAAACCCCATCTCTACTAAAAATACAAAAATTAGCCGGGCGTAGTGGCATGCACCTGTAATCCCAGCTACTCAGGAGGCTGAGGCGGGAGAATCACTTGAACCCAGGAGGCAGAGGTTGCAGTGAGCCAAGATCACGCCACTGCACTCCAGCCTAGGTGACAGAGTGAGACTCTGTCTCAAAAACAAAAACCAAAAAAACCCCACAAAAGTGCACATCTGATCACATCCCTCCTGGTTAAAAAGCTTTCAGTGACTAATCAAGTGCAGACTTTTTAATGAGGTTTACAAACCCTGCATGATTTGGTCCCGGCTCTTTTCTGTAGCCGTACCGTTCAAGTTCCCTTCTGGCCCCTGCTTCCTCTTCATGGTACACTCCAGCCCAACTGGAACTTCTTTCTGTTTGTCACATGCCTCCACTCTTGCCTCTGGGCCTTTGCACGTGCTCTCTCTAGACTCAGAACAACCTTCCTTGGGAGGCCAAGGTGGGCAGGTTGCTTCAGCCCAGGAGTTTGTGACTGGCTTGGGCCTGGGCAACATGGTGAAACCCCAGCTCTACAAAAAAAAAGCCAGGTGTGGTTGCATGTGCCTGTAGTCCCAGCTACTCAGGAGGCTAAGGTGGGAAGATCACCTGAGCCTGGGAGGTCCAAGCTGAAGTGAGCCAAAATCATGCCACTGCACACCAGCATGGGTGAAAGAGTAAGACTCTGTCTCCAAAAAATAAAGAACACTTCCTCCACATCATGCTTCTCGGGGATAACTCCTGCTCATCCTTCAGGTCTTCTTGTGGGAGTCAGTTCCTCTGAGAAGCTGCTCCAGTCCTTCAGCTGGAGTTAGTGCCCTTCTCTGGGACCCCATGGTGTCGGGACATCCTCTAAATGTAGCACTTAGCTGCTTGTTAAATTCCCTCCCTGCCCCACCCCACTAGACCGTGCACTCCATGAGGGCAAAGCCCACATCTCTCCCAGTCCCTGGGGTGCTCCACTCTCCCAGCTTGGGGCCTAGCCACAGTGGGCACTCAGTCACTGACGGGCAGGTGGATGAATGGGGAAGCAGGTGCTCCAGTAACATTGGCCCAACTCCCAGATCTGTGTCTTTCTAAGCATCTCTCTTACCTTTTTCTTGCTCAGCAGTGGTTGGAGAATAAGTGGGAGCATCAAAATGGAAAAGTACACTGAGATCTTTGAGTCTGAAATTATTTATCTGTTGAACATTTATTATGCCTCTTAATATGCAGAATTTGCTTGACTCTAAAGGGTTTTAAAGACAGCTCCCAAAAGGGCAGGTGGGAATAGAAGTCACCTACATCCCAAATCCACCCTCCTTACCATAGCCCTAAGACCCATGATCAGACCTGTGCCCACCTTGCTGACCTCCTCATCTCATACTTCCTTTCCCCTTGCTCTGTCTGCCTCAGCTGTCCTTTGTTCTGTCTGGAGCATGCCTGGCTCTTCTGTCTCAGGGCTTTGCCCAGGTCTTCCCTCTGCCTGGAATGCTCTTCTCACAGACCACCCCCGGCTCCTCTCGGCTCCAGCATCCTGTCCTCAGAGGGATCTTTCCTGGACCCTCACTAGTTGGCCTCCTCCACTTGTTCCTATCATTTCCCATCTTTCCTCTGTGGCACATCACTTCTGAGATTTTCTCCATTACTTACTTGGTTGCTTTTTTATTGGCCATCTCCCTAACTTGAGATAAGCTCTGAGAGGGCAGGAACCTTATCAGTCTTGCCCACTGCTCTGTGCCAGTGCCTGGCACATAGCAGGCAACTCAGTAAACATCAGGTGAATAAATGAATGAATGAATCCTCTAGCATCTCACTGGGGCAGCTCATCCCTTGGTCCTCAGGCCAGCCCAGCCTGTTACTGACTCATATCCAACTCAGCTCTTGTTCTGAGTTTGGTTTTACCCAGTCTTTGGTCTCCTTTTGGAGTACTGGCCCCAGCTCCTCTGGCACGTAGTTTTGCTCCATCTCCCCACCTTACAACCCAGCTGCTTACTCTCCTTGCCCTCTCTAGCTCCTCCTCCGCTTATTGTAAATCCTTGGCTGCCTCTCCTGAGGCCTGTGCAACTTCTGCTTCCTCAATTGTAGGTCCATTGTCCCCCAGTTCCCTGCCATTGCTCTCTACTGCCTCCTCCTGGCACTGAATTGTACCATCCCTGCCCTTACTCCGCCCAGCTGCAGGTGTTGATTGCACACTGATCAGAAATGTGTGTTAAACAGCCCTGCCTCAGTTCTGCTAGCCAAAAAGCTCAGGACACTGACCTCATTCCTCCCCTGTCTTCCCACAGGTACGTCTCCTGTGCTCTTGGCTGCCCTTATGAAGGGAAGATCTCCCCAGCTAAAGTAGCTGAGGTGTGTGCATGTGTCAGGGCGGGGGGTTTGGTGAGGGTTGGCCACCTTGTCTGCCCCTGAGCGCATAGGTTCCTCTCCCCACCCTTTCTGGCAGGTTCCTGACTTCATTCATTCACCCAGCTCCTTCATTAAGCTCCTGCTGTGAGCACAGCCCTGCACTTGCTCCCTAGAGGCCCCCCTCCTAGCCGAACATGTAGTCCTTGAAGCCCCTGGCCTCTATCCAGCCTGAAAACCTCCAATTCAGTTTCCAGTCTGGTCGTTGAGGTGATTCTCTGAGGAGGGGCTCCTTACCCAGGAGTTCCCATAGTTCCTTGTAGTGATTGAAAGGCCACAACCCTGATGTCCTCTGAACAGTCACCAGGTCAACACTGAGAAGAACATGGCATGGGAATTGAGTTTGACCAGCCCAAGAACTTATGTCATTTAGTCCTCAAAACCACTGTGCAAATTTGGTATTATTATTCCCTTTTACAGTTGAGAAAACTGACACTAAATAACTTGCCACACAGGTTACAAATGGTGAAATCAGGTATCAAACCCCATTTTTTCTCTCTCCAAAGCCCACTTCTTCCCAGGATACTTTGTGGCATCCAGATAGGTGGAATGGTAACAGTAGCAACTGTTTCTTGAGAGCAGCTGCCCTGCTCCAGGTCTTAGCCTCAGTTGCCACAATCCTTGCCGTATGACCAAAGGGTCATCACCATTTTTCAGAAGCAGAAATTGAAGCTCAGAAAAGTGAAGTTGCTTGCCAAGGCCCACAGCTAGTGAACAGCAGAACTAGGACTTTAACCCAGCATCTCGTGACTTCAAAGGCCTGCTCCTTCCCCTGCACCCTGCTGCCCCCTAAAGGCCAGCCACTGCCGCCCCACACTCTGCAGGGCCACTGGGGAAGCGACGTCACCATTTCATTTATTTAGCAGATCACTGGTGTCTTCTGGTCCCCTTTCCCTGCCACATCCCTCTGCACCTTGTCCAGCAGCCCCGTGTGGGCAGCAGCTCCTTGGGTGAGGCCATCTTTTTTTAAGTTCACCAGTCGTATGGGATTAGGGGCCCACCCTATTCCAGTATGGCTTATTCCAATTGGACCCATATTGGACCTATTCCAATATGGACCCATTTTGCAGTGGTTTTAGAGATGTGCAAATGGGCTTCCAAAAATTTAAATAGTGATGTACCTCTATTAAAAAATATAACTATTGGCCGGGCACGGTGGCTCACGCCTGTAATCCCAGCACTTTGGGAGGCTGAGATGGGCAGATCACAAGGTCAGGAGATCGAGACCATCCTGGCTAACATGGTGCAACCCCGTCTCTACTAAAAATACAAAAAATTAGCCGGGGGTGGTGGTGGGCGCCGGTAGTCCCAGCTACTCGGGAGGCTGAGAAAGGAGAATGGCGTGAACCCGGGAGGCGGAGCTTGCAGTGAGCTGAGATTGCGCCACCGCACTCCAGCCTGGGCAACAGAGGGAGACTCCATCTAAAAAAAAAAAAAAAAAAATATATATATATATATATATATGGACTATTGATTGGCCGGGTATGGTGGCTCATGACTGTAATCCCAGCACTTCGGGAGGCCGAAGCATGTGGATCACCTGAGGTCAGGAGTTCAAGACCAGCCTGGCCAACATGGTGAAACTCCGTCTCTACTAAAAATACAAAAAATAGTGGGGCGTGGTGGTAGGTGCCTATGATCCCAGCTACTTGGGAGACTGAGACAGGAGAATCACTTGAACCCAGGAGGCAGAGCTTGCAGTGAGCCGAGATTGTGCCACTGCACTCCAGCCTGGGCGACAGAGTGAGACTCTGTCTCAAAAAATATATATATGTAAAATATATACATTTTTATACATATGGTCCAAGCTACTTGGGAGGCTGAGGTGGGAGGATTGCTTGAGTCTGAGAGGCCAAGGTTGCAGTAAGCCGAGATCACACCACTGCACTCTAGCCGAATGACAGAGTGAGACCCGGTCTCAAAAAAAAAAAAAAAAAAAGAAAAAAAATATAACTAGCATCTCAGACCCATGATTTCATGGATTTTATTGCTGAGGATAAAACGACATGGAAGGAATCAACTTCACTGATTCCAGCACCTGGGTCTGACAGTATGATGTGACAGCCGTAAGTGAGACTGAAGTCTGAGGGGCACAGGTAGGGAGGAAAGCACGGGGGTTGGAGCTTCAGGACTGTGGGCTGGCTCCAGCGGCTGGCTCTGCCCCTTACGCCTCAGTCTCCTGATCATAGATTGAGGATCATCATTCCCAGTTGGAGTGGTGAGGAGCATGTAATCCAGTAGGAACTGAGTGCGTCATACCCAGAAGTGTTCTGCCCAGGCAAAGGCCCCCTCTTCTGAGTGCATGGATCCCCTGGCTGGTGGATTCTGTATCCTCCAAGTGCCTGCTTGCTTCCTTAGGTCACCAAGAAGTTCTACTCAATGGGCTGCTACGAGATCTCCCTGGGGGACACCATTGGTGTGGGCACCCCAGGGATCATGAAAGACATGCTATCTGCTGTCATGCAGGAAGTGCCTCTGGCTGCCCTGGCTGTCCACTGCCATGACACCTATGGTCAAGCCCTGGCCAACACCTTGATGGCCCTGCAGGTAATCAAAAGCATATGCCCATTCTCCCAAAGGTCACGGTGGGCAGGACAGCTTGTTATCATTTATTCTTTCAGCAAACATTTACTGATGCCAGTATGCCAGGTTCCAAGCTGGCAATGGTGGACACAGTCATGGTGACCCTGCCCAGATGTGAAGTGTACAGCTCTGTGTTGGGGAGACAGTCAAGGGAGTTACATGGCAATCCCACTGCATTATGACAGATGCCATGAAGGGAGGAAGCATGGGGCTCAGGAAGCCTAGAGGGGCCCCATCCCAGCTGAGGAGATCTGGGAGGATTTGCAAAAGAGGCCTCAGTGAAGCTTGAAGAACATAAAGTAAGCTGCTGTTGAGGGAAGAGGAAAGATGACTAGGCAGAATTGCACCTCAGGACTGATGTGGGGTTCAGGGAGGACTCATACAATATACAGGGTTTTCAGTGTGCGGGTGTGTAGCAGAAGCAGATGAGGAAGCAGGAGGTAGAGAAGCTAGCAGAGGTCACTCAGAGGGAGAGGCTTTAATGCCGTTCCCCACAGATTGAGCTAAGACCTCAGATTAGTTTCCTTTGAGGTTTGCTTCTCGTGGGCTGGTCCAGAATGGAGATCCATTGGCTGGCAGCCAGATAGAAGGAGCATTCTTAGTGTCTGACCACAGCTACCTTGCTGTAGCATTGGCCTAACCTTCCATCTCTAGGATAGTGATGGCAGTTCCAGCCACTTTTTTTTTCCTCTCAATTATCCCCTAGAGGTTCGTGTCTAAGCCAGGTGAGTCTGTTATGTTCTGGGTCGGTTTCCTCAGAGTTGTGGCTGTCAAGGTTAAGGTTCGTAGTTCTGTGGTCTCCTCATTTTTCAGCTTACTGTGATACCCTGCCCTGGTTCCTGGGCTTTCCTTCAGCTCATGCGTTTCCCAGCCAGGCAGACAGGAAGAGTGACTTCCTCTCCTATGCCTTGCCAGGCAGGTAAAGGGGAATTCTGCACAGCTGAGGTGAGTCTGAGGCAAAACTTCATCCTGATCACGCTCAGGACACTCCTGCTCCTCTGTGCTTCTCTGTTTCATGGCAGTGATATCTCAGAATCCCCTTTTTGAAAATTTATCAGGGAACAGGTTGAGCTGTGTGACGTCTGGCAGTAGCTTCCTCTGACCTCCCTCTTCCATCAGTTACTTCGGAAATATGGATCGATGTGCCAGGTTAAGTGCTGACTTAGACAATGGTAACAAGACCCAATCCCTGCCCTCTGGGAGCTCATGTTATGGTGGGTGGGGAAGACAGATGGAAGATTACAGGCGTGTAAATAGCACATTGTAAGACCATTTATTCACCTATTAAAACCTAACCTAACGGTGCCTAGTGTGCTAGGCACTGTTCTCAGCATTAAGGATTCAGCTGTGACCAAAACAGAGTCTCTGCCCTCATGAGGCTGACACTCTAGTACTATGAGACAGATAATAAATAAACAAACATACAGCAGGCCAGGTGTTCATAAACACTGTGGAGAAAAAATGAAGCAGGTTAAGGCAGTGCCAGGCCTTTCTGTAGAGTGGCCTCACTCAGAAGGTAGCATTTGAGAGAGACCTGAGGGAAGCGAGGGAGTGAGCCCTGCGGATCCCTAGCAGGGAGGGGGAGGGAAGGGAGCCCCACCCAGGAAAGCAGGCGCAGAGCCCTGAGGGAGGAGTGTGCTTGCTGTGTTCAGGGATCAGGAGGAGGCATGTGGCGGGAGCAGTGTGACTGAGGAGAGGGGGGCAGAGATGTCAGGGTTAGAGGAAGGCCAGATCGGGGGCCTTGTAGGACTTTGACTCTTTCAGACTGAGCTGGGAAGCTAACAGAGAGTCTTGAGCAGGGGCGGGGAGGGAGATGATCTGAAATGTTCCGTTTGAGAGGCTCCTCGGCTGGGCACAGTGGCTCACACCTGTAATCCCAGCACTTTGGGAGGCTGAGGCAGGTGGATCACTTGAGGTCAGGAGTTTTGAGACCAGCCTGGCCAACATGGTGAAACCCTGTCTCAACTAAAAATATAAAAATTAGCTGGGCGTGGTGGCGTGAGCCTGTAATCCCAGCTATTTGCGAGGCTGAGGCATGAGAATCACTTGAGCCCGGGAGGTGGAGGTTGCAGTGATTTGCAGTGAGCTGAGATGGCGCCAGTGCACTCCAGCCTAGGCAACAGAGTGAGACTTCTTATCAAAAAAAAAAAAGAGGCTCCTCTGGGTGCTGTGTAGAGAATACACTGTAGAGAGAAGAACCAGTTTGGAGCCTACAGCAATCCAGGTGAGAGACATGGCAAGGAGGCCTGGAGGGCAGAGGTGCGTGACCGGATCTCAGCAGTTCGTGTTCTGATCTGTGAAGCTCGAGACATCTATAGGCAGGTGTGTTAACCTGGGTGCAGTTAACTGGGAGTGAGTGGAGATAGAGAAGCTGTCTGAGGAATGAGCAGTAAGGGCTCCAACCGAGATCAGGGAGGTGAGGAAGAGCCAGCAAAGACTGGATCGAGGCCTCAGGAGAGGCTAGAGCACTAGGAGGAAAACCAAGGGATGTGGAGCCCTGGAAGCCACATGGAGAAGGTGTCCAAGATGATGCGGCTAGTCAAGTGCAAAGATGAAGAGACTTGACCTTTGTACTTAGCTACATGGAGGCCACCAGTGGCCTTGACTAGAGCTGTTTCAGTGGAGGAGTTGTGGGGACGCAAACCTGTTTCGAATGGGTTCAAATGAGAATGGTAGATGTTAAATGGGAACAGCTCTTTTGAGGGACTTTGCTTTGAATGGGGGGAAAGAAATTGGAGGTTAGAGGGTTCCAAAAAGGTTTGTAAAAGATGGGAGAGATCGCAGGCTGTGTGAAGATGACCCAGTGGAGGGGAGTAACAGGTTGCAGCAGAGAGGGAGAGACTTACTGGAGCACATCCTGAAGCAGGTGGGAATGGGCCTCACGCCAAGGTGGAGGGGTTGGCCTTGGCTAGGAGCTCAGGGTCCATCTCAGGCAGCATGAGGGACAGTGGGTCTGTAGGCCCAGATGTAGGCAGGTGGGTAGATGTGATGGTGGGAATCAATGGAGACATCTCTTGATTGCATCCATTTCCATAAAGCAGCAGATGAGAATGAGGATGGGGAAGGGGGTGATAGAGGTTTAAGAAGAGAGGAGAAAGTGAAATAGTCATTTGGGATAGTGGGAGGTGACTGACCTGGGAAGATGGGATGTGGCCCTCGTGTGGCAAGGCCCTGACTGAGTGAGAGTAGCCTGGAGGTGGTGGGGGGTAAGTGGGGGGGGGGTAATAAATGAATCACAGTAAACAACAGGGGTCTGAAATCTCAGCAGTGGGAGGGGGTTAGGCTGGTGATCAGAAAAGGTCTCCCTGAGCAGGTGGCTTTCAGACTGGAACCTAAAGAATGAGAGTTCACCATGAAAGGAAAGATACTGCTGGCAGAGGAAACAGTTTAACAGAAACTAAAAGGAGAAGCACTGTCTCTTTCTGTGGGATTGTCATGTCAACAGAATCATAAGCCAAAGCAAAGAATGACTCTAGAATTTCAGGCAACAGACGATTGGGAGGTTTGCAAGGCTCATCTCTGTGGCCTCTTGTCCCCAGCAACAACTGTGTTTCACCATCCTTATGTTTCTAGATGGGAGTGAGTGTCGTGGACTCTTCTGTGGCAGGACTTGGAGGCTGTCCCTACGCACAGGGGGCATCAGGAAACTTGGCCACAGAAGACCTGGTCTACATGCTAGAGGGCTTGGGCATTCACACGGTAAGCCCACCCACCCCCTGGTGGCGACAGCCCCGAACTGACCAGGGGGCCTGAAGCTGAGAACAAAAGTGGATGGGGGTATTTGGGGTTGTTAAGGTGCTGAGGAGTAAAGAGGGAAAGGGTTAGCCAGGCGCAGTGGCTCATGCCTGTAATCTCAGCACTTTGGGAGGCTGAGGCAGGAGGGTCACTTGAGCCCAGGAGTTTGAGGCTGCAGTGAGCTATGATCCTGCCAGTGTACTCCAGCCTGGGTGAAACAGCAAGACCCTATCTCTTCAAAACAAAACAAAAGAGGGGAAGGGTGTTGGGGATTATGGATATTTGATCTAATATTTTAATGTTTGTGAGAGTAGGGTTGAGTGAGGCCACACGCATGGGCATAAGAAGGCTGGAGTGTCAGGGTGACTTTGACAGTTCAGTCCTAGGAGACACCAGGAACATGGAAGGGGCCCTGGGAAGGGTCAGGTTCATGACCTGAAATGAGTCAGTTCTCTCTTGGCTTTGTTTTGTTCTCTGTAAAATGAGGACAGTAGCGTTAGACAGCTCACCAGGGATCCGCCAGAGTCCACCAGGGCCCTCAGTGGCGGGACGGAAGCAGAATAGCATCTGTGCTTAAAGATCAGATGGAACTGGGTTTAAAGCCTACTCCTGCCACTCCCAGGCTATGAGACCTCAGACAAATTATTTCATCTCTCTGAACCTAAGAAATGGGAATAATAATGCCATCCATCTCATGGAGCCATTGTGAGGATTAAGTAAGAAAACGTACGTAGAGGGCCAGGCGCACGCCTGTAATCCCAGCACTTTGGGAAGCCAAGGCGGGTGGATCACCTGAGGTCAAGAGTTTGAGACCAGCCTGGCCAATATGGTGAAACACTGTCTCCACTAACAATAGAAAAATTGCTGGGCACGGTGGCTCACGCCCGTAATCCCAGCACTTTGGGAGGCCAGGGTGGGCAGATCACCTGAGGTCAGGAGTTCGAGACCAGCTTGGCCGACATGGTGAAACCCCATCTCTACTAAAAATACAAAAATTAGCTGGGTGTGGTGGCACGCACCTGTAATCCCAGCTACTCGGGAGACTGAGGCAGGAGAATTGCTTGAACCCAGGAGTCAGAGGTTGCAGTGAGCCAAGATCACGCCACTGTACTCCAGCCTGGCGACACAGTGAGACTCCCTCTCAAAAAAAAGAAAAGAAAAATTAGCTGGGTGTGGTGGCACACACCTGTAACCCCAGCTACTCGGGAGGCTGAGGCAGGAGAATCACTTGAACCCGGGAGGCAGAGGTTGCAGTGAGCTGAGAGCGTGCCATTGCACTCCAGCCTGGGCGACAAGAGCAAACTCTGTCTCCAAAAAAAAAAAGAAAGAAAAGTTATGTAGAATGCTTATCACAGAGCTGAGCACAGAGTGCACTTCAGCAAATATGAGCTACTGTATGAACAGAGGGTTTCTGTCTGGCCCTTTCAGTTGGTGTTTTTATCCCTCCCTCTCTGCCTCACAATTGTCACTTGAATATCAGTTTTTTACCTCTGTGGGCCAGGCCCTGTGCTGGGCCCTGAAGAGGGAGTACTGAACAAGACTGATAAGATCTGTGCCCTGGTAGTGGCACTACAAACCATGACAGAGATTGGGCATCTTACATGAGGGGGAGTCAGAGGAATAACCCAGGTGCCAGACAGACAGGAGCTCACAGGCAGCTGGTGCCCCGCTGTCAAGGAAAAAGCCTGTTTATCTTCACCTTTACTTTTCAGTATCACAGTTGTCTGTCCATGCTGATGTTTTCCCTGGTGTTGAGGGCATACCATGACTTACCGCATCCTCTAACTTGTTTCTCAAAGGGTGTGAATCTCCAGAAGCTTCTGGAAGCTGGAAACTTTATCTGTCAAGCCCTGAACAGAAAAACTAGCTCCAAAGTGGCTCAGGCTACCTGTAAACTCTGAGCCCCTTGCCCACCTGAAGCCCTGGGGATGATGTGGAAATAGGGGCACACACAGATGATTCATGGATGGGGACATGGAAATGAGAATAGGTTAAATGGTGCAGGTACCTCATAGCCAGCTCTACACAGAGGTCTCTCCTGGCAGAAAGCAGGCGAAGGGCAGGAGGAGCTGCTTGGCAGAAGGACCTCCTGCCCAGACCTGAGGAGTGAGAGGCTTTGAGGGCTGAAGTCTCCCTTTGTTACGGACCCTGGCCCAGGAGTTGAATGCCTGAGGACGTGTGGGAACCCCGTTCCCTACTTAGCATGATCCTTGAGTCTCCTCTCTGGATGGAATCCGCGAGCTGGCCACCTGGCCACCCTCTACACGGCTCCACCCTGCCATGGCCGTGGGGCCCTTGCTCTCTGACTTCTCAGGACACAGGTCATGGAGGTTCTTCCCAAGCTGGCAGAGGCCATTTGTGGAAAGTGGAGAGCTACGTGGTGGCCGTCTGCCAACTCCAGCATCTCTGGAAAATCTCCACGCTGAATGTGATTTTTGAAAACAGCTTATGTAATTAAAGGTTGAATGGCACATCATAATTCCAGCATTCGGTTGTGCAGCTGTGTGTATACATGCGCGTGGGGGAGTAAAATACTTTACCATGTTGCACTCTGAGAGGAAAATGGAGACTATGAACTAGTTTATTAATCTTTGGATTTCCTCCCTGTTTCCCCACCTGAGCCCCAAATCCATAGTGACTGGAAATCAGTGGTTTTGGGCTTACTCAGGAGGCTGCTTGCGGCAGTTGCTGGCCAGAACACCCGACGGGGTTGTTTCTGAGCTTTGCCTCTGTGACTGGGGCTATTGCACAAGCTCCCCTGAGGACACACTTGCTGCTTTGGGCCTCGGTGGCCCGGCCTCTCCCTGGCGCTCCCGGGCCCGGGAGCGCTCACCTGTCGGTTCCCTGGACTCTGCGGGCAGGCGCTGGCTGATTCCCGGCTGCGCGGACACCTGTGCGCTCCTGCATTTAGGGCTCCTTTGCTCTGGTTTCATCACGCAGGATGTCACATTTTGTGCATATTATTCTCTAGCTCTACTACTTTTCATTGTAAACAAACAATCATTTTCTAACCTGCCGTCGTGGAAGGCAGAGTGCAGACCGACCCTTCCCGGCAGGTGGGGGCTGAGAGCCAAGAGCGCTGGAACCGCTAGTGTGGCCTGACAGCTTCCTCCAGCTCCTTGGTTTATTTGCAAACTGGACTTCCAGCACCAGGCCCCCTGCGACCCCCTCCTGCCTTAGTCCCGTGGGATCGGGTAGTTCAAGATTTTGAATTCATGGTTTGGCACACACCGGCAAGTCTGAAAACCTGCGGGTCAGAGTGGGGCGGAGGCGTGGGCCCCCTACCCTCTGCCCCCTGCCCCCTCGGAAGCGCAGCCCTCTTCCAGGGGTTGGGACGAGCTAGCGCGGGGACCCGGGGCACCGGCAAGGACCCACCCGCTACTGGGACCTGGCGCCGGCGGCGCCTCTCGCGGGGTGGCACCGCCCACTTCCGCCTTCCGCGGGCGCGCGCTGCGCAGTCTTCGTCACAGCGCGGAGGCCTTTTGTCCTCCCGCCCTCCCCGTAGTGGCCGTAACCCGAGTGACATGTTTCCTTGGGGGCGTGGAGGGGCGGGGTCGGGGCCGGAGTGGGCCGTCAGCACTTAAAGGGCCCGCGGCTCGGGCGTAGGAGGCGGTGCCTCTGCAGCAAGCGTGGGGCGCGGGAACCCGAGCAGGTTCGGGAGACGGAATGAAGGGCCGGGTGGGCTCGCGAGGGGCCGGGGAGTCCGCGGGGAGCGAGGGAGTTTCCGAGGGGCGGGTCGTGTTCCTGGCAGCGTCCCTCCAGGGCAGGCCCGCCCCCTTTGTCCCAGTTCCCCGCTGCCCGGGCTGGGGCGGCCGGGGTTCATTCATTGCCGGCCTGAGGACTCCTAGCTCGGCCCCGCTCCGCGCTACAGCCCAAAGCCCAGCCTGAGACCCAGCCGCCCTCGTATGCCCACGGCCTAGCTCCCCTTCCCTCCAACAGACAGACTGGGAAAACCGAGTGGGCGACGGCTGAGCAAGGTCACTCCGCTGTCGGGGGCGCAGCCGGCCTCAGACCAGCTTTCGTGCTTCCCAGGGCCTCTCTGCGACCACTTTCGGGGTCCGCGCCAGGCGCGGGGCGGGGGCGGGGGCGGCTTCGGCGCGGCGGGCAGAGTCCAGCGGGCAGCGGTGGGGGAAGGGCGAGCCGCCTGGGGAGAGGGCCGGGCTGCGAGCCTGGCGATCCAGATTCCAGCCCGCTGTCGCCAGCTGTGGGACCGAAGGGCAACTGTTTCACCTCTCTGGCCCTAGTATCTGTATCTGTAAAGTGCCAGTGATAACACCTGTCTCACCGAGATGCTGGGGGAATTCAGGAAAATCATGCAAAAGTGCCTGGTACGGAGCCTGGCACGCAGAGGGCTCTTGGTCAAGTGGGTTGGAGCTGCGTGAGCCCAGAAGGGGATAGAGGCAGCGTGGAGGAAGGCGGCAGCGGGCCCGGTCGCTGGGAATGAAAGGCCTCAGTGTCTGGGGCTTCCTCCCCGTACTACCCGCAGAGTTTGTTCAGGGTGGAGGTGCGCACCTGGCCAAGTCCACGTCTACACGGCCCACCCAGAGTAGCCTAAGTTGGGCGGGATTCCTAACTCTGAGCCAGGAGTGACCGGGCTGGCCCTGGCATGGGCAGAGGCTGAGCGGGGGTTGGGGTGGGGCCCCCTCCAGGACCAACCACGGTGTGGTTGCCCCTGAGCTGGCCTCAGCCTGCCTGGCAAAGGACCTCACCCTTGAGGCCATGTGATCTATTTCCTGCTTCCTCCCAGCTGACCCTTGAGGGAAAGGGGGTGGGGGCCGCCTAGAGCAGGAGGTATTAGTCACTGCGCCCAGGAGCCAGTTTACACCTAGCGAAGGCGGAGGCATTGGACAAGCCTGGGTCTGAGCAGACAGAACCCCTTCCTGCGACCCTGGAGTCCCAATCGTGCTGCCATTTTCCTTCTGCCCAGGACTCTCCAGTCCTCAGTCACCTTGGACAAAGAAGTGTGGATCCTCAGATTCCATCTTTTCCAACTCCAAGGCAAGTGGAACTAGAAAATAAGGTGCCTGTGTGTCAGGTCTCCCCAGCTCTGCTGTGGCGGGCCCTTAAGATCACCTCACTGAACCCTCACGCTGCCTCATGAAGTTTATACAATTATTAGCTCTGTTTTACAGAGATAGAAACTGAGGCCAAGAGGCTAATTAATTTCCAAAGCCTAAGGCCAGAAAGTGATGGTACCCAGACTTGCCCCAGGGCTGACTTCTGAGCCAGTCTGGTACCTAGGGCACACTGCCGCCTCCTTCCAAAGCGAGCTTAGGGGGCAGGATTCCAGTGGGAAGGAAGCTCTGAGCAGGCAGCCTCAGCCACCTCTGAGACTCTGTATCCTGGGCCAGGTGCCATGGCAGAGAAGGTGCTGGTAACAGGTGGGGCTGGCTACATTGGCAGCCACACGGTGCTGGAGCTGCTGGAGGCTGGCTACTTGCCTGTGGTCATCGATAACTTCCATAATGCCTTCCGTGGTGAGCGGGGCAGTGGGGCTGGGGCTACTTGAGGGGATGGCAGAAGCAAAACCCTGGGTTCCACCTCCACCACCGGGCGGGGAATGTGTGTCTGGCTAGTCCCTGGGAACACAGCACCCCATGTCGTGATGATGTGGCCTACATGTACCCTACCAGGAGGGGGCTCCCTGCCTGAGAGCCTGCGGCGGGTCCAGGAGCTGACAGGCCGCTCTGTGGAGTTTGAGGAGATGGACATTTTGGACCAGGGAGCCCTACAGCGTCTCTTCAAAAAGGTGGGTGCAGGCTGGGCACGGTGGCTCACGCCTGTAATTCCAGCACTTTGGAAGGCCGAGGTGAGGAGATCACTTGAGCCCAGGTGTTCAAGACCAGCCTGCTCAACACAGTGAAACCCCATCTCTACAGAAAAATACAAAAATTAGCTGGGCATGGTAGCCCATACCTGTGGTCCCAGCTACTCGGGAGGCTGGCATGGGAGGATGGCTTGAGCCTGGGAGGTGGAGGTTGCGGTGAGCTGAGATGGCACCACTGTACTCCAGCCTGGACAACAGAGCGAGACTGTCAAAAAAAAAAAAAAAGGTGAGTGCAGGCAGGCAGGCTGAGGGCATTGCCAAGGACTAAAACCAGTAGAGCAACCTCTGGCCATGTCACCCCTGCAGTACAGCTTTATGGCGGTCATCCACTTTGCGGGGCTCAAGGCCGTGGGCGAGTCGGTGCAGAAGCCTCTGGATTATTACAGAGTTAACCTGACCGGGACCATCCAGCTTCTGGAGGTGAGAGGCATGGGACAGGGCACAGACACTAGGAGGGTGTCCAGCTGGACCCCAGCCTGGCAGGCAGTGCCAAACACAGAGCCCAAGCTGTATCATCCTGGACTCATGTCTTTACCTCCCAGTCTCAGTTTCCCCATCTGTAAATGAGAGTGCTCATCACCTCAGCCCCATTCTCCTGTGGAGGAGTAACAGGGTGGGAGTAATGTGTGAGGCAGAGGTCACTGATGCCATCTCTCCACGGCCAGATCATGAAGGCCCACGGGGTGAAGAACCTGGTGTTCAGCAGCTCAGCCACTGTGTACGGGAACCCCCAGTACCTGCCCCTTGATGAGGCCCACCCCACGGGTGGTTGTACCAACCCTTACGGCAAGTCCAAGTTCTTCATCGAGGAAATGATCCGGGACCTGTGCCAGGCAGACAAGGTGAGGGCCCCCTTGACAGTGCCCTGGCTCCACTGATCGATGGACTCCTCAGGGCCCACCCTGAGCCCAGGGGTGGGATTCCGAACACCCCCACTAAGGAGGAAGCTAAGGCTCAGGCAGTTGCAGTGGAGGGCCCCATCCCCTGCTTGTTTCTAAAGATAATAAATAGACAACTGGCCGGGCGCAGTGGCTCATACCTGTAATCTCAGCACTTTGGGAGGCCCAGGTGGGCAGATCACCTGAGGTCAGGAGTTCAAGACCAGCCTGGACAACATGGTAAAACCCCCATCTCTACTAAAAATACAAACATTAGCCGGCCATGGTGGTGTGTGCCTGTGGTCCCAGCTATTCGGGAGGCTGAGGCACAAGAATTGCTTGAACCTGGAAGGCAGAGGTTGAAGTGAGCCAAATCAGGCCACTACACTCCAGCCTGGGCCATAGTGAGACTCCATCTCAAAAAAACAGAATAGGCATGAGGAGGGCTCTGGGTTCAGCTGGGACACGCTGCCTGTGCCTCTGGCCTCACCACCTGACCCACATCCCACAGACTTGGAACGCAGTGCTGCTGCGCTATTTCAACCCCACAGGTGCCCATGCCTCTGGCTGCATTGGTGAGGATCCCCAGGGCATACCCAACAACCTCATGCCTTATGTCTCCCAGGTAAGGCAAAAGGGAAGGGACAGAGGAGTGGCCCTGGGGTTAAAGCTGGTGCCTGGGATCTGGGACGAACTGACCTGATCTCCACCTCCAGGTGGCGATCGGGCGACGGGAGGCCCTGAATGTCTTTGGCAATGACTATGACACAGAGGATGGCACAGGTGAGCCTAGGACCAGGGGGACCTAGGAGTGGGAGCCAGGAAGGAGAGTCAGGGGGAACAGACTCCCCATCCAACACACTCCCTTCTCTGCAGGTGTCCGGGATTACATCCATGTCGTGGATCTGGCCAAGGGCCACATTGCAGCCTTAAGGAAGCTGAAAGAACAGTGTGGCTGCCGGGTAGGAAGAGAAGGGAGAAGTGAGGGAGGGGAGGGACCAGATCCAGGCAGAGCGGCCCAGAGGCGTGGTCAGTCCAGCCCGCTCCATAAACCCTGTTCTCCGTGGGCCAGATCTACAACCTGGGCACGGGCACAGGCTATTCAGTGCTGCAGATGGTCCAGGCTATGGAGAAGGCCTCTGGGAAGAAGGTAGGCCCCCCCGCCCCACCCACCTCACCCACCTCACCCCACCCAGCTCTCAGCAACAGAGCAGCTTTGGCCCTTCCCACTCACCTCTCTGGAGGGTACCTGGCACTGCCCAGTCTCCTCAGCCTGCCTAGCACCCGGTGCCTGCGGGCCAGCCGCTGCTCTGCACTTCTGCTTCTTAAAGACCTGGCCAGCAGCTGGGCCAGGGCCGGCTCAGCTAAGCTCCAACTACCTCCTGTCTTGCAGATCCCGTACAAGGTGGTGGCACGGCGGGAAGGTGATGTGGCAGCCTGTTACGCCAACCCCAGCCTGGCCCAAGAGGAGCTGGGGTGGACAGCAGCCTTAGGGCTGGACAGGATGTGTGAGTGCTGGCCTGACCCCTGCAGTTAGGGGCCAGGGAGGGGCTAAATCAGATCTGGGCATGCCCACCCAGGGCGGGCTGTGGGGTGGGGGAGGCTCTGCATTCCACCGTGGGCCCTGAGCACACACCTCGCCGTGTTGCAGGTGAGGATCTCTGGCGCTGGCAGAAGCAGAATCCTTCAGGCTTTGGCACGCAAGCCTGAGGACCCTCCCCTACCAAGGACCAGGAAAAGCAGCAGCTGCCTGCTCTCCAGCCTCTGGCAGGAACTCAGGGCCCTGGAGCTGCTGGGGCCAAGCCAAGGCCTCCCCTACCTCAAACCCCAGCTGGGCCCGCTTAGCCCACCAGGCATGAGGCCAAGGGCTCCACTGACCAGGAGGCCGAGGTCTCTAACTCTTATCTTCCACAGGGTCCAAGAGTTCATCAGGACCCCCAAGAGTGAGTGAGGGGGCAAGGCTCTGGCACAAAACCTCCTCCTCCCAGGCACTCATTTATATTGCTCTGAAAGAGCTTTCCAAAGTATTTAAAAATAAAAACAAGTTTTCTTACACTGGGGCAGGTTCTCACAGATGGTCACTATCCACCCCTGGAATAGAATCAGCCAGGCCTGAGCGTTGAGGAAGCAATTTCTTTAATTTTATCGGAATCCAGGACACAACAAGAAAAACACCCAAAAACCACATGGAGACAGAAGACGAGACACAACTCCTCCCCCACTGCCTCCCTGCTCTAGAGTGGGGACAAAGTGGGGGTGAGACAGCTGGGGGGAGACCTGAACCTCAGTCCAGCCCTACAGGCTCCAGGCCTGCAGGGAAGGAGGGTAACGGGGAGGCAGGGCCCAGCCCCCCAGTGTGGGGAAACAGCTGAGGGAAGGCCCCCCTCAAAAGGCTCCACCTCCTCACCAGCACTCCTGCCCAGGGACAGGGAGCCCACAGCAGCAAGGGGACCCCGGGGCCATGGCCACATTCATGACTGAGAAGCAGCTGAGTGGAGGCAGGAGACACGATTATCTGGGCAGAATCAGTTGGGGCAGGGGCCTGGGGGGGCCCCATGGGCCAAACCCTGAGGTCACAGGAGGGGGCCCAAAGCGGGGCTAGTGAGTGAGGTCCTGAGTGAGTGGGTCAGCGGCTGGGCCCCTTTCTCCAGCTGCCTGTAGCCCCTCCAATACTGCTGCCAGGGGGGCCCGCCTCCAGGGAAATGGATAAGAAAGCAGCCTGCCCCTGCTGCAGACAGAGCCAGGTGGCTAAGGCCAGGAAGGAAGGCCCGGCCAGGCCTTGCCACCTGCCCCCAGAGGCCTGTGGGAAAAGGACAGGTCAGGAAGGGTGGGGACAGGGGCTCGACCGGCTCAGATCCAAGATGGTGCCACGCTTGCTTGCTGAGTCCCCCATGAGCTGGGGTACTGCACTGGGGCCAGCGACTAGTTAGACAGGAGGCAGCAGCTTCTCAAGAAATTCCTTCACAGCTGCCATCTCCTGAGGGGATTAAGAGGGGATCACGAGAGGCACCTGGCTGGAGGCAGAGAAGTGGGAGTGGGAAATGGTCCCCCCACTGACCTGAGGACAGGAGCTGTGCATGACACCCGGGTATGTCTTGAACTGGACCCTGGCAGGTGTGACAACAGACCGGAGCTTCTCAGCCGTCAGGGCCCCAAACCGTACGGGCACCATGGGGTCCAGCTCCCCATGGCACTGGAGTATGGCCAGGTCCTTGGCACTGCCATTAGCTGCCTGGAGGCCGGACAGGACTCAGGGCAAAGCTAGTGCTGCAGCAGTCCCCAAGCCACGAGGATGCAGACACAAAGGGCGGGGGGGTCAGTGGGGACATTCACCTGGGGGAAGGCCCGGTGCAGAGGCAGCCAGCAGCTCAACGCCACGATGCCAGCCAGAGGGTGGGGGCAGGTGAGGGCCGTGTAGAGGGACAGGGCCCCGCCCTGGAGGGAGGAGAGAGAGGGGTCATGAGGGCACAGCTCACTCACCGGCCACCCCTACCCCCTACCCCCCCACCCCTCTCCCCTCACCTGTGAAAAGCCTCCCAGGACGATTCGATTGGCAGGGATCCCGTTCTTCATTTCATGCTCAATCAAGGCCTTGACTGGGGGAGGGGGCATGAGTGGGTAGAGGGAAGCTGCCAAGGGGCCCAATAAGGGAGCTAGGCTGAGGAACCGCCCAGCGCTTTCCTGGGGGGCAGGGGAAGGAGGATGTGGAGGAGGGGCTGGGGTCTTACTGTTCTCTGCTGCCTTCTTGATGCCAGCCTCGTCCTCTGGGGCATCTGGACTCAGCCCCATCAGGTCAAACCTTGGGAGTAGAGGCACTGGCAGCTATAGAAAACCCCAGCCAGCCCCCTGTGGCTCCCTCAGCCCAAGTGTCCTCGTCCCCCTGCCCACCCCCACTCCCAAACTCACCAGGAGGGCATCACCATCTTCATGTTGAGGGTCACAGGGATCCTAGGCCTGGGGAAAGAGAGCCAGAGGGCCCATCATGCTCAGGAGGAATGAGGAGGCCAGAGCTCAGAGCCCGGAGTGGGGCCGCGCCGCCCCTGGTGGCCCCTCCCAGCAGGCAGGGCCTGTGTTTAAGGTGTTGCCAGGCAACCTGCCACGTGGGGCTGGAGGCTGTGGTTGGGGCAAAGCGCCAGTAATGGAGAAGCAGAGCCCAGCGCTTGGTGTGACGGGGTCCCAGGTAGTCGGTGAGTACTTGGGGAAGGGGCAAAGGGAGGTGTGGGTTCTAGGAGAGCTCAGGTCTAGGAGGCCCTAGGGCTGGGGGCTGGTGCTGGACCCCACTCCTGGGGGCTCCACAGGAGCTCAGGCTGAAAATGCCACTTCTGACTGCCCTGAGCCCAAGCCCCAGGATGCAACTGACAGGAGAGAACAGGCCTGGGATGACAGGACCACCCCCAGATGATCCCCAGCCTCAGCCCCTCCCTTGCTGGGGTGACACTCACGCATGGGGACAGATGTACTTGACGTGAGGGAGCCGGATGGTGGAGAGGGCGTCAGCCCAGCTGTGCCTGTAGGAGGGACGGGAGAAAAGGCTCCGATGTGGTAGGAAGAGAAGGCCTCTCCAGTCCGCTGCTGGGCCAGGACCCCTCCTTAAGGAGCACCCCTCCTCAGTCACTTACCCTGTGTCTCCAAGTCCATGTAAAAAAATAACCTGGAAAAGGATGGGAAATGGGGAGACAGGAAGGCTTCCCCTAGGTCCTCCAACTTCTGCCCACCCCTCCCCCACCCCCAAGGACCTGGGGGAACCCAGGTAGCAGCCAAACAGGTTACTACCCCGAGCCTGCTGGCCTCAGGATACTCCCTGCTCATCACTGCCACCTCCATTTTCCCACACCCCCTCCAGCCGGTCCTCCAGCTGCTCCCACAGTGTCTGGCCGTGGGTGAAAGGGGACCCTTACCGCGGCCGTTTCCCGCTCAGCTCCAGACACGGTGGCAGCATCGGTGAGCAGGGGCACAGACATGGTGTTACCACACATACACCACACGGCTCCACGGCGGGGGCCTGCATACATCGGGGCGGCGGTCAAGAGCAAAACCAGGCACAGGACACACTCCTGGCCCAAGAGGCCACCAGGCCATCAGCCCCACACAGCACCCAGGTTCTGTCCTGGGCACAAAGAATAGTCAAGCAAGAAGTCCCAGGGCACAGGAGAAGAAGTCTGCCTCAGTTCCAGGGCTGAAAGGCAGAGACAGCCTCCCTAGTGGCCCAGAACATGTGTCTCTGGTTCTGGCCCAACCACAGGACCTGAGCTTGCTGGAGACAGGCAGAGGCAGGGCATAGGGACTGTAGGGCAGGGGGCAGAGGGGAGGCAGCGGCACGCCTGCTTCATTCCCCCTCTAACTCCTCAGGGGTGAGTGCCTTCCCCCTCCTCTCCAATCATCCCTGGGTCCCTGCCTCCCCAACTCCGGGCCCTATGGGAAATGGAGAGAAAAGTGCCAGGGAAAGGAGCTTCCATCCCCTACTCAGTGCCGCCTCCAACCCCCATCTCAACCTCCCCCCACCCAGCCCCCATCCAGCCTTCACAGCAGTTTCTGGCCCATCCATTCCCAGACCCCCAGGGGGCTGCCCATGTCCCCAGAAAGCGTAAGAACTCCACCCACCCCCAAACTGGTGCTCCACGCCCCCCCTAAACGGAGCTACCTGCTGCTGCTGCCACTGACTGCAAACGAGCCCTGGCTTGACCACGCTCTGGGACTCCCAAACACACAAAAGAATGTCAGGCTGGCTGGCCCCTCCCCATCCTCGGCGTCCTCCAAACTCGCCGGAAGCTTCCACTACCTGCCTCAAGTGCCTGCCCACCCCTCCCAACTGGCCTCACCTTCCATCTCTGACCCCTGAGGGCAGCTCCCCACAATGGGATCGTTCACCTGTGACCCGGGGTTCCTCTTCCCATGGGGAATGCACCTCCTGCCCTGAGCTGCGATTCCCTTCCTTCTCCACCGTGGGGACTTGCACCTCCCGCCCAGGCTCCCTCCTCGGAGGGGTGCCTTCCCCCTGACCTGTCTCTCTCTATACACCTTGAGAACTTCCACCCTGACCCAGGATCTCCCGCTCCCCACAATGGGAACTTCTGTTCTGACCAAAGGTCACCCTACCCAGTGAAATTTTCTACCCTGACCCAGGACTCCCACCTGCCCACAATAAAGCTTTGTACCTTTGACTCTGGGGAAGCCCCCGCCCCACAATGGGCTCTTCTATTTCCGACCCTGAAGTCTGTCTCTTTATACTCAGACACCCCCTTGCCTAGCCCCGCTCCACTCCCGAAGTCCCCAAGACTGGACAGCGCCTTCGCACCTCACTCCCCACCCCCATCCCCCCCATCACGGTTCCCCCTCCCCGCTCTCCGGGACCCTCCCGAGGCCGACCTCCCCCTACACGCCCATCCTCCGCAGCCGCCGGCTGGGTACCTCCACTCCCTGGGACTTCCGAGGCCGCTTGGGCGATTCTCCTCTTTCTCCCGCAGACACACTCTTCCCCCTCGGCCGCCCCCGCCGGAACTTCCGTTCGAGTCCCGGGAACCCAGCCATCGCGCTGCCGGAAGTAGCCTGGCCGACAGTACGGAACCCGGAAGCGGGGACCCGGCTTCGCTGGATAGAAGCTGCCATGTTGGAGGCGGCGGGGCTACTCCCTGTCATTCAGCCGCGCAGTCGCTGGGTTCTCACCCGCTCCCACCTTGTAGATTCGAGACAGGGCACCCAAGACTCCCACTTGCTACCACCACCCATGCGCCTCCTGGAGGAGGGCCGACCGGAAGGAGAGGCATCCCTCACACTATTGTTTGCATAAACTTTACCACCTTCCCATCCTCATGGGACACACCTCTTAAGGCCTCGGGTGTCTGCCACTGGCTTTCATGCCCTATTCCAGGATCATGAATGGAATGACACACTCTGAACCGAAGAGACCTTACAGATCATCTAGTTCTCCAGCCTTGAAGATGGGGAAACTGAGGCTCAAGGAAGGCATGTAAACAGCAACCTCGGGATTCCATTTAAATTCTGCCTCTCTGGATCTGCTTCCTGATATATAAAATGGTAATAACCACCCTGCCTCCTTCACAGCTTTGTTGGTAGGCTTAAATGAGGTTGTGTGAACATGGTTTATACAGTAAAATCACAGCGTGAGGTGTTAATCACGCAAAAAAGGACCTAGGAAAAATACAAAGGCCGTATCAGGAGAGCTGGACAGGCACTGGCAGTGTTAGCGCTGCCCTTCACAAGCAATGTCATGCAGACAGTGCACAAAACGCTGCCATCAAGCTGAAGTGGAAATAGGTATCAGGGACCACAGAAAAGTCAGAAGGCAGGCAAACTGAGTTGAAGGAGCATGTCCCTGAGAATGTGTGGGGATCTGCAAATAGGAAATGAGTCACACTTGACCCTCAGCCGCTTAGGACTCACTCTCCCAGCCTAACCTATACTAGTGTTTTCTTTGAACAGAAAGAAAACAGTACAGCCAGGCGCGGTGGCTCACTCCTGTAATCCCAGCACTTTGGGAGGCTGAGGCGGGCGGATCACGAGGTCAGGAGATCGAGACCATCCTGGCTAACACGGTGAAACCCTGTCTCTACTAAAAATACAAAAAATTAGCCTGGCGCTGTGGCGGGCGCCTGTAGTCCTAGCTACTCGGGGGGAGGCTGAGGCAGGAGAATGGCGTGAACCCGGGAGGCGGAGCTTGCAGTGAGCCAAGATAGTGCCACTACACTCCAGCCTGGGCAACAAAGCGAGACTCTGTCTCAAAAAAAAAAAAAAAAAAAAAAGAAAGAAAAGAAAAAGAAAACAGTACAAAGTTGGAAGCTCAACAAAGCACTTTCCCCCAGGCCCAGAGGCACTTTGGTCCTAAGTACTCAACAGGTCAGGGAGCCTACAATACCAGGATTCGGGGCAGGAAACCTTTGAGCCTATGGGACCACCACAAGCCAAGGACCCAGGACTGAATGTCAAAAGAAAATGGAGGGTAATGTCCCCACTTATGGAAGAATGAACAGTTCCTCCTGCAACCTCGATCACCTGAGACACCATGACACTTAAAACAAATTCTTCAGAGTGAAGCTTCAAATTCAGAGGCTCAGTCCCAGGAGCTGTGATTAATGCTTTAATTAGTGGAATTAGTGAAGGGCTAGTCTGCTCTAAGATTTTTAACTTTATTTTTCCCCCTACTCCAAATTTAAACATAGCCCTTCTTTTAACTCCAAAAAATGATCCAACTGAAATAAAGAGGCTGTGGCTGAGTGAATAGGACCCTTCATGCTTTTCAAGAACAGCATTTGCATTCTGGTTTATTTCAGGCTGCATTTTAGAAATTTTGAGGGCCAACAAGGTTTGGTGGTAGCAGACCTTTCCTAGGACAGGCTGGAGAAACAGTGGCTATATCCTCCAAACAACAGCATGGGCCAATGCCTCAGAGGAATTCTCCCAAAAGGATCAGATTCAACACTAATTCCCTTTATTACCTGTTCCTGTTTTCTGCAAGGGAGAGAATACTGACCATATCAAATCCCCTTTTTAGATACTTACATTCTCTTCAATTGCTAAACTGACTTTCAAAATTTAAGTCCAAAGTCTTTGGTCTACCTGGAGACCACATGAGCTGCTCAATTACTTTCCTCACCCTCATTTCTTCTGATGAGCTCCAAAATCTGTTCTCCCTTATTTTTGTAAATGTCATTCTACAAATCACTTCCTTTTGTGCAAAATGAAATATAGGGTTTTGTTGTTGTTGTTTTGAGACAAGGTCTCACTCTGTTGCCTCAGGCTGGGGTGCAGTGGCGCAATCATGGCTTACTGTAGCCTCGACCTCCTGGGCTCCAGTGATCCTCCCACCTCAGCCTCCCAAGTGGCTGGGACTACAGGTGCACGCCACCATGCCCAGTTAATTTCTGTGAAATACAGGTTTTCAACCCCACCTTCTTCTTTACTATATATGGGTGTAGGAGTGTTTTTGGCCTACTGTACAAAATTAAGCTTGACCATTCCTGGAGAAACTGATCCAGTCTTGATTTTTTTTTTTTTTTTTTTTGAGACGGAGTCTCACTCTGTCACCCAGGCTGGAGTGCAGTGGTGCAATCTCAGGTCACTGCAAGCTCCGCTTCCCGGGTTCATGCCATTCTCCTGCCTCAGCCTCCTGAGTAGCTGGGACTACAGGCTCCCGCCACCGCACCCGGCTAATTTTTTGTATTTTTGGTAGAGACGGTTTCACCGTGGTCTCGATCTCCTGACCTCGTGATCCGCCCACCTCGGCCTCCCAAAGTGCTGGGATTACAGGCGTGAGCCACCGCGCCCGGCTCCAGTCTTGATTTAATTGTGGCACTTCCTATAATCTACCTAGTCCAAAACAACAACAAAAAATTTCAAAGTTCAGTACAGTTCCCCATGAAATGAAAGTTGCATCAGTGGCTATCAAGAACTCAAAAGAAAATACAAACATTAAGTCTGGCAAGGATTTATTAGGAAGCTTATTAGTCACAGTGAATAAAAGCCATGAAAAGAAGAACTCAAATCTCCAAATTCTGGCATCGGACTTACAACACTAGTTAGAAGCTAATAAACATTAAGGAATTTCCAAGGGGAATCTTAACTAAGTCTCAATCTTACTGACCAGATTACCCACACACATAGAAATGATCCCCATGCTCTCCCCAGACTGCTTAGCTAGGCAGTGGAAAAGACCTTCTCCCCAAGCTTAAGCTATCACGCATCAGCAGGAGACTCCTGTCCTTCTAGCTATAACCACAGGACACATGTGCGTGACAGACAACTCCAAGCTGGGCAACTTGACAAGAATGCTGAACAATGAGAGGGGAAAGGAGCAAGCAGGAACAAGTGTTTTAGTTGGAGACCCTCCTGATGGCTACTACTAACACAATCCGGAGGCATCAGAAAGTTTCCTATAGCCCACAAATAGTTTCCTTTAAAAAAACAAAAACAAAAACAAAAAAACAAGTCACACAACAATCTTGCCACAAAGCAACATGACACTTGGAATCACATGGCCACATTAACTGGAAAAGCAAGTGTTACCCATGACTGCCAGATGCCACCCAGCCCAAGACCCAATTTCCACAGCGCCCTAGAGAACCACGATGGTCCCCTGGCACCTACACAACCCTCCCAGTGGTGTCGTATCTTCCGTAGGCCAGGTTTCTGCAGCAAGCCCCAAAGACAAAGCTTGGCAGAGGCTGTGGCAGCCAACTCTCTCTGGAGCCTCATCCCTTTGTCCTTCCCAACAGGTAGTCGTACATCTTCACTGACACAGCGCCTCTATGGGAGCCTTGGCCAGCCCTTAGGAAATAAAGTGTGTCTGTGGGGTAACCTGATGGACCCTATGGTCTGCTGGGTTGGCAGATGCTTCGTAATTGCAGATGGTCACCTCGTGTCGGCGAAGCTGCAAGAAAATTGAGGCTGGGTCAGCCAGCCATTAAAAGAACTGTCCTTTCCCACACCACACACATTGCGGTAGTCCTTATTCAGGTTCATTTCTAGGAGTCATCATTTAATATCTCCTTATTTTAATACTTAGATGTCATCATCTAATATCTCCCAATTTTGATACTTTTTAACTCCAGAAAGCTGCAAAGATCATTATCATTGATTCACCCTGTAACTTTGAAGATTCAGTCTCCCTACTATAATGGGGGTACCATGAGAATAGGAACTTGTCTATGGTATTATCTTATCCCTGGTTCATGAATAGAAAAGATTATCAAAAATACTCAATGAAAGCATTTGAAAGTAGAAAACTGTGAATTAATATAAATGACAATTTCAGGCTGGGCAAGGTGGCTCACACCTGTAATCCCAACATTTTGGGAGGCTGAGATGGGCAGATCACCTGAGGTCAGGAGTTCGAGACCAGCCTGGCCAACATGGTGAAACCCTGTCTCTACTAAAAATACAAAAAAATTAGCCAGGCGTGGGAGTGGGCACCTGTAATCCCAGCTACTTGGGGGGCTGAGGCAGGAGAATCACTTGAACCTGGGAGGCGGAGGTCGCAGTGAGCTGAGATATATATATATATATTATATATATTATTTATATAAAAATAACAGTTTCAACCCCCTTAAAAATACCTGTAGTTTCTCAAATGAGACGAAAAGTTTATACTGATAAAACCAAGAAAAATAATAAACTGGGAGTAATTATGACACTTGCTCTTTTCCCTTCCCTGGAAGCTCCCATCACCACAGTGTGCAGATATGTAGACATGAGGGGAAAACCTTTCCAACCCCATCTTACCTCAGTCCACTCTCCTCTCAGGCCAATATAAAAGACCTTTGTCGTATCTGCTCCGAAGTTTTTTGAAATATGAATTGAGAGATGATAGACATTTGAAAAACGAGAAATTCTAGAGGATGACAGGAATAGGGAAAGAAGGTATGAATTATAGTTCAATGAGTATCTCACCACCATGTGAAACAACAATTCAGCTCCAGCTTGTAAAAGCCAGGCAAAGTCAGAGCTCCTGAGTTCTTCCTTCTCCTTTGGACAGGCAATTAATTCAATGACCATTTACTGAGCACCTGCCAGATCCTGTCCAAGGCAGTAGGGATAAACACTGCTCCTGCCCTCAAGGAACAGGAATGAGAAATGCTGCATAACCCAGCAGGGATTCTAAAGCACATTTAGTGTTAACCTAAACTAATGGGAGACACATCTTTCCTAAAACCACCCTAGGAGTTCATTCAGATCTGCCAATTGCTTGCAAGTTAACAAGTCTGTGGCTTGCACTGAATCTCTGCCAAAAACTGACCAAGCCAAAGATCAAGTCTCCTCCACTGTTTTAACTCATTTCCAATGCTAAGAGAGCAGGAGACTGGCCAAAAATAAATGGCAAGCCCTATAAGAAGCCATAGAGAATGGAAGACAGGCCCAGTGCTTACTTTGTAGCATACTCTAATTCTCCTGTAAGATCCCGGTTCAGACTAAAGGTCTGATCTGGCTCCCTTTCTGTATCATCAAAGGACATCTGTGGAATATTCTTGTACCTGAGAAAGGAAAGGAAAGAAAAGTCAAGAAATGTGCATTATCACGTTTCAGGTTTTCAAAATTTTCTACTGACTGCTTAAATGGCTTTGGTTCTATCAATAGGAGACTGAATTTGGGGGTCATATTTTAGAAATGACATTTTATACAAGTATCTCCAAATATCTTTTTTTTTTTTTTTTTTGAGACAGAGTCTCACTGTGTCACCCAGGCTGGAGTGCAATGGTACAATCTCAGCTCACTGCAACCTCCACCTCCCAGGTTCAAGTGACTCTCATGCCTCAGCCTCCTGAGTAGCTGGGACTACAGGCGTACGCCACCATGCCCGGCAAATTTTGGTACTTTTAGTAAAGACAGGGTTTCACCATGTTGGCAATGCTGGTCTCTAACTCCCAACCTCAGGTGATCCGCCTACGTCGGTCTCCGAAAGTGCTGGAATTACAGGCATGAGCCACCGCGTCTAGCCTACAAATATCTTTAATCCAACAAAAAAAGAGCTGAGATCTGCAACATAACCCCATGGCATCTTTGAGTGGGTTAATATCACATGAGAAGCAATACACAAAGAGACGGCTCAAACTAGGTCACATGCAGCAAATGCATGGAGAAAATAAACAACTCAGCACATTCAGACCAAACTGAGGATGTTATTAAATAAAACAGCTTACTCATGGGAAAAATACATACTTTGGCAGAAACATATTACACACAGTTAAGAGATAAAAGATCAGGTAACCCAATGCTCAAGCATTTTTTTGTGTCCAAAAACCACGCCATACACTCAGTCACCTTACAGTTCTTAAAACATTTATAACATGAGGATTTCCATTTTGAAAGATCACAAAAGACTGCAATCTCACATCCAAACCGCTAGAGAGGGTGCAATGAGCCAAGATCACGCCACTGTACTCCAGCCTGGGTGACAGAGAGACTCTGTCTCAGAATAAATAAAAAGTAAACTGCTAGAGAAGAAAATGTTTTTCAAAGAGTAATCTAAAAAGCAGCTGTCTCTATAACCCACAAATTCCCAAAGACTAAGCCACATGTCCCCACCAATTCCAGGGTGTTTTATTGACACACCCACACAGAAGAGGCCTCGATATTAGCTGGGGCAAAATGCATGTAATTTAAGAAAGCCGCCGGGCGCAGTGGCTCACACCTGTAATCCCAGCACTTTGGGAGGCCGAGGCGGGCAGATCATGAGGTCAGGAGATGGAGACCATCCTGGCTAACACGGTGAAACCCCGTCTCTACTAAAAATACAAAAAATTAGCCGGGCGTGGTGGCAGGCGCCTGTAGTCCCAGCTACTTGGGAGGCTGAGGCAGGAGAATGGCATGAACCTGGGAAGCGGAACTTGGAGTGAGCCGAGATGGCGCCACTGCACTCCAGCCTGGGCAACAGAGCGAGACTCCGTCTCAAAAAAAAAAAAAAAAAAAAAAAAGAAAGCAAATGTTTACTTCAAAGTGTTTCTAAGAATGATGCACCACAGAATAATAATAATAGTAAACATTTATGAGCGGCATAATGAGAAGCAGTATAGCGCTGTAGTTAAAATCTAGAGCTAGACTTTCTAGGATTCAAGCCTGGCTCTGTCACTTACCAGCTGAGTAAATTTGGGCACCTGATTTAACCTCTGTTTCCTCATCTGTAAAATGGGAATGGTAATAGTACATATTCCACACGGTTGGTATGGAGATGAAATTGAATCGATTCTAAGTAACGCATATATTGAAAAAACTTTACTATGGAAAAGTTCAAACTTACACAAAAGCAGAGATTACATAATGAATCTCCACATACTTTTCACTCATCTTCGATGATCAACATTTTGTTGATCTTGCCTATCAGCCTGATTTTGCTTAAGCTCAATATTTTAAAGCAATCCCAGACACATCATTTCACCTATAAATATTCCAGTATGGGCCAGGCGTGGTGGCTCACGCCTGTAATCCCAGCACTTTGGGAGGCGGAGGCAGGCGGATCACTTGAGGTCAGGAGTTCGAGAGCTGCCTGGTCAACATGGCGAAACCCTGTCTCTACTAAAAATAAAAAAAAAATTAGCCAGGCCTGGTGGTGTGTACCTGTAATCCCAGCTACTCAGGAGGCTGAAGCAAGAGAATCGCTTGACCCCAGGAGGCGGAGGTTGCAGTGAGCCAAGATTGGGCCACTGCACTCAAGCCTAGGCAACAGAGCAGAACGCCGTCTTAAAAAAACAAAAAATACACACACACACACACACACACACGTATATATACGCATATATATGTGTATATATGCGTATATATGTATATATACACATATATGTGTATATATATATGCGTATATATGTATATATACACATATATGTGTATATATATATGCGTATATATGTAGATATACATATATATATACACACATGTGCCTGTGATCCCAGCACTTCGGGAGGCTGAGGTGGGTGGATCACAAGGTCAGGAGATCGAGACCATCCTTGCTAACACAGTGAAACTCTATCTCTACTAAAAAATACAAAAAATTAGCCAGACATGGTGGCGGGCACCTGTAGTCCCCGCTACTCAGGAGGCTGAGATGGGAGAATGGCGTGAACCCAGGAGGCGGAGCTTGCAGTGAGCCGAGATCGCGCCACTGCACTCCAGCCTGGGCGACACAGTGAGACTCTGTCTCAAAAATAAAATAAAATAAAATAAAATACATATATTTAATACCATTTTACAATAATTGACAATATCAACAGATAACAAAATTAACAGCAATTCACTTTTTTAAATTTTTTTTTGGCTGGGTGCAGTGGCTAGCTCCTGTAATCTCAGCACACTGGGAGGCTGAGGTGGGCAGCCTGCTTGATCCCAGGAGTTCAAGACCAGCCTGGGCAACATAACAAAACCCCATCTCTGCAAAAAAATACATAAATTAGCTGGGCGTGGTGGCACACGTCTGTATTCCCAGCTGCTTGGGAGGCTGCGGTGGGAGGATTGCTTGAACTGAGGAGGTCGAGGCTGCAGTGAGCTATGATCACACTACTGCACTCCAGCCTAGGTGACAAAGTAAGGCCCTATCTCAAACTATATAAATAATTTTTTTTTAAGCCTTGCTCTGTTGCCCAGGCTGGGGTCCAGTATATGATCTTACGATCTTAATTCACCATAACCTTTAATTCCTAGGCTCAAGTGATCCTTTCGCCTCGGCCTCCCCAAAGTGCTGGGATTGAGGCATGAGCCACTGTGCCCAGCCCAGTGGTAATTCTTTTTTTTTTTTCTTTTGAGACAGAGTCTTGCACTGTCACACATGTTGGAGTGCAGTGGAGTAATCTTGGCTCACTGCAACCTCCGCCTCCCGGGTTCAAGTGATTCTCCTGCCTCAGCCTCCCGAATAGCTGGGATGACAGGCGACTGCCACCATGACTGGCTAATTCTTGTGTTTTTAGTAGAGACAGGGTTTCACCATGTTGGCCAGGCTGGTCTTGAACTCCTGACCTCAGGTAATCCGCCTGCCTCGGCTTCCCAAAGTGCTGGGATTATAGGTGTAAGCCACTGCGCCTGGCTGAATGGTAATTCTTTAGTAACATGTAACACCTCATCTGTGTTCAAACTTCCCTGATTTAATACTCTCAATCTAATTTTTCTGGATGTGTCAATGACATGTCATAGTTCAATAGCATTTTTTCTGTATTAATTGAATATAATGGTACATTTTACAATCAATGACATCTTACATTTGATAAAGTATAATATATGTAGTGTGCTTAGAACTGAGGGCTATGTATTCGTATCTGTTCACCCAAAATTGGACACTTACTGTGTTCCAGACCTAATCTAAGCTCTTTACATGTTTTATCTCATTTAAGCCTCTCCACAATCTTATGAGGTATGTATGCACTGTTACCATTCCCATGTTAGATATAGAAAATCCAGGCATAGAGAAGATAAGGTCTCAAAGTCATGAAGCTAACAAGTGGTACAGCCATTATTTGAACCCAGTTTACTCCAGATCCCACACTCTAAATCACAATGCAGCATGGATGCCTAATATTCTCAGGTCAGTCCATCAACTTCCAAGTAAATGAGTCTCCAAAAGCATCAAAGGTATTATTTCCTTAAAATGATTAAATACATGGATTTGCTTTCAAATTCATGTTTCTAATACTCAACTATAATATATCTTAAATCTCTGGAAGTCCTTTAATCAATTTTTCAGATGAATTTTTTTTTTTTTTTTTGAGACAGAGTCTCACTCTGTTGCCCAGGCTGGAATGCAGTGGTGCAATCTTGGCTCACTGCAACCTGCACCTCCGCGGTTCAAGTGATTCTCATGCTTCAGCTTCTCCAGTAGCTAGGATTACAGGCCTGTGCCACCGCACCCAGCTAATTTTTGTATTTTTAGTAGAGACAGGGTTTCGCCATGTTGACCAGGATGATCTTGAACTCCTGGCCTCAAGTGATCCGCCCGCCTCGGCCTCCCAAAGTGCTGGGATTTGAATTATTTTTTTCTTTTGAGATGGAGTCTTGCTCTGTCACCCAGACTGGAGTGCAGTGGCACGATCCTGGCTCACTGCAACCTCTGCCACCTGGGTTCAAGCGATTCTCCTGCCTCAGCCTCCCAAGTAGCTGGGATTACAGGCGTGTGCCACCATGCCCGGCTAATTTTTGTATTTTTAGTAGAGACGGGGTTTCAGCATCTTGGTCAGGCTGGTCTTGAACTCCTAACCAGTCTCGGCATCCCAAAGTGCTGGGATTACAGGTGTGAACCACCATGCTCGGCCTTTAGGATTTGAATTTTTTATTTATTTGTTTTTATTATTACTTTTGAGATGGGGTCTCATTCTGTCATCCAGGCTGGAGTGCAGTGGCGAGATCTCGGCTCGCTGCAACCTCCGCCTCCCAGGTTCAAGCAATTCTCCTGCCTCACCCTCCCTAGTAGCTGGGATTACAGGCACGCACCACCAGGCCCAGCTAATTTTTGTTTTTTTAGTAGAGACGGGGTTTTACCAGGTTGGCCAGGCTGGTCTCGAACCTCAGGTGATCCGCCCGCCTCAGCCTCCCAAAGTGCTGGGATTACAAGTGTAAGCCACTGTGCCCAGCCTATATATCATCTTTTATTGGTTTTGTGAGATAAGCTACTGCACCCGGACTGAATTTTTTAAATGTAAAGTTCTTCTTATATGTTTCTCCAGCACTCAGAAAGCAGTTTTCCCCTTCTTTTAGGAAGGCTGTTCTGGAATAAGGTAAGTTGTCAAAAAGGGTACTAGCTCTGGTGGCAAAAGATTCAGTGTTGCAAGAGGTATACACAACTTTGCTAACTAAATGCCACGCAAAGTCAGGTGGAGCAATTCCATGTCAACAAAACACATAAGATCATTACTGTATGAAATAGCAAGGAAAAATGTTGAAGCTAACCCCTAGAATCCATAAAGATCATATGAGATCTGCAGCTAGTTATTAAGAAAACTGCAGAGTCATCAACAAGTGACATTTACACAATGCTCTCTGAATGAATCATGTCATAGTAAGCACTTTGAAATATGAGACACGCTGTTGGGCCTAAAGATGCTTAATCTAAAAAAGTCATTAATTCAGGAAGAAATATATGTATTCCAATGCAGAATGAGAACAGGACCAAGATATTTTAAAAGGGGAAATATTAAACCCGGTAAGAAGAAAATGATACTATTCTGGAATAAAATGTTACCAGAAAAAGAGAATTAGGAGCTCCTTTGAGGGCCTAAGCCTTTGCCACTTACAGTCTCATCTCAGAGGGGTGTGAGTCATCATCCTCTCCCATTATAATGATGCCTTTGAGCTTGACATTGCCCGTAAATCTGCCAGAATGCAAAAGAGAAGGTTGTCAAACCTGAGTTTGAATACCTGTTTAGTTGTGTGACCCTGGGCAAGACCCTTCCCCTGTATGGGCTTCAGTTTACTCATCTGTCAACTTGTACTAGATAATTTCTAAGATCCTGTCTACCTCTAGCATTCTACAATTCTAAGAAATCTACCTCAATTTCTCAGTTATTGTTCTACAAATACATCTGTTTCCAGTCTGCACCAAGAAAGCTATGATGCTTTCCTCCTCAAACCCACCAAAGTAATTTATCCCATTTCTAGAAGCAAATGTGTGCTCTTGACACCAGTGAATGAATCCATCTGAGGCAACTGGGTACAGCCTATTTAGCCTGAGGTAGGCACCAAGGAGATACTTACGGAATATTAAACAGAAGCTCTTCATCTGCATCACTTTCAACAAACTGGAGGGGATGGGGAGGGGGGAGGAGAAAGCAACAAATATTTGCTGAGAGCCTACAATTTCAGGCATCTCCCACCCTGCTCTACAACTGGGGTGCAATGGGAAGAGTCACTCTCCCTTGGTTTTCCAAGACTTATTAACTTGAAGCTAACCAGTCTTATCCAGTGTCATAACAGCCACAGGCCACCCAACTGGAAGGTTCTTAACAAAAAGCCCATGAATGAATTTCCAGGGTCGAAGAGCCTTCTGAAGTGTGAACTGAAAGGCAGGTGTTTATGTGCATTTTTCTGAGAAGAAGGTCCACTGCTTTCAAACAGATAGCAAAGGGGCCTGCGACCCCACAATGTAAAGAACATTTGCTCTATATGGGAACCACCTTTCATCTCCCTAGGCTCATCTTCACCAGGTAATATGATGAGGCAGCCATTAGCACCAATGGTCCAACGGCCCTCACGACCATCCTCTCTAGCCCACACAGCCCTGGAATAGAGCGTTAGGCTGTGTAGCTTGACAAAACTGTCCCCGTTCCCTCTAGGCCTCAGTTTCCCTATATGCAAAATGGGGAGACAACGCTGCTCGCCTCCCAAAGAGCTGGCAGGAGACAGGCACGGAAAAGCGCTTGGCAACCAGGCTGTCGTTATTCTTAACATCAGAAATGAGTAGACCGACGGCCCGAGGCCCCACACGCACCCTGCCCCGCCCGCCCCAAGCCCCAGGCGGCCCACCTTGGAGCGGTCGGTCCGCTCCTCCCACGGCTTGAAGACGCCGCGGCCGCTGCCCTCGCGGCTCTCGTTAAGGCATTGCAGCCGCTCCAGGTCGATGCGCAGGTACAGGCCGTAGGCCAGGCCGCGCTGCTCGGGCGGCTCCTCCCGTTCGGCGGCGCAGCGGCAGCCACCCCCGCCGTGGCTGTGACCGTGCGACATGGCAACGCCGCCACCTGCGCGTCCTCTCGGCCCCACCGCCGCGCTCGCTCGGCTCGGCTCGCCTCAGACCAGCTCCGCGCCGTTCAGCTCCGGCAACTAAGCGCGCCGCGCCTGCCGCGTCGTAAAAAGCGCCGCTGCGCGGCGCATGCGCGTGGGGAGAAGGCGGGGGGGCGGGGGGGGTGGGGTCGAGCGGAACTGACGTAGGACGCGCGCCTCCCAGGTGCCAGAGTTCGTATATGACTCCAGTCCTGGCGCTGGATGCTGCTGCTGTTCCAGCTTCCTAGGTGTGGAAACTGAAGGACCAAGAGATTAAACAGGTGTGCTGAGTAAACTCACAGGCTGAGATTCGAATTATCCTCCCCCGACGAGGATGGAGCCTTCGCTGTCTTCCTTGATCGCCACGTTTCTTTGCGAGCCGATGAAGGAAAGCGTGAGGAATGATAAGGCCCTGGAGACTGGAGAACGCGAGCTTATCGCTGTCTCACATGCGCACGGCTTAGACGTTGAGAGCTCACAGGCCCACTTGCATAACCACTTTCTTGATAGCGGGGTTACAGCTTGAGAGCATGGGGCTTTGTGCACGGCCAGACCTAAAGACTACTCCTGGGTCTGCTACTGGCCATTGTGACACCTTAAGTCATTTCCCCTATTCTGAGACTCCGTTTCCCCGTCTGTAAGGTGGAAAGAATAGTATCTGTTTCATAGGATCACAGTGAGTATTAAATGAAATAATGCAATTAAAGAACTCAGCAGGCCGGGCGCGGTGGCTCACGCCTGTAATCCCAGCACTTTGGGAGGCCGAGGCGGGCGGATCACGAGGTCAAAAGATCGAGACCATCCTAGCCAACATGATGAAACCCCGTCTCTACTAAAAATACAAAAATTAGCTAGGCGTGGTGGCGCGAGCCTGTAGTCCCAGCTACTCGGGAGGCTGAAGCAGGAGAATCGCTTGAACCCGGGAGGCAGAGGTTGCAGTGAGCCGACATCGCGCCACTGCACTCCAGCCTGGCGACAGAGCAAGACTCTGTCTCAAAAAGAAAAAAAAAGAAAAAACTCAGCAAATGGCTGACACATGATGGGCATTCAGTAGCCGATGGTTATTACGGTCAAATCCAACCACAGCAACTTACTAGCTGCGTGGCCTTGGGCAAGTGACTTGATCTTCTGAGACTCAGTTTACCCCCTGTGAAGTGAAGGGATTGGACTAGATGATCTCTGCGTTTCCTCCCCCATGTGATATTTCAAAGTACTTTTTTTCGAACAGCTGGTTGTGGCCTGTCAATAGGTTTTAAAATCCGTTTATAGAGAATTGTGATCAACATTTAAAAAAAAAATAGAATACAAAAAAAAAAAAACCCAGAATGTATCACACATTTCAAGTCTCAATTGATGAAACTTTTGTTTCAGTTTTGAGTTTGTATTCAGACACAATATGATGTGTTTTTCATATTGTGGGTTGAGATCAAAATAATTAAAAGTCACTGTTTAGAGGTGAAATAATCTTGTTTTCAGGATAGAATGTTTTCCTACTCCCTGGTGGGGAAAAGACAGGATACAGAAAGAGAGTTATGGGATACCCTGGCTACCCTCTTCCCTTCACATCTGGCTCTGGAGTGCTCAGTGGGGCTGGTGAAGTATAGACCAAAATATCCATTTTTTCAAGTTCCATTCAGAAATATTTTCTGGGCCACATGCAGTGCCTCATGCCTGTAATCTCAGCACTTTTGGGAGGCCAAGGTGGGAGGATCACTTGAGCCCAGGAGTTTGAGACTAGCCTGGGCAACATAGGGAGACCCCATCTTTACAAAAATAATTAAAAATATTAGCCCAGCATGGTGGCTCATGCCTGTGGTCCCAGCTATTTGGGAGGCTGAAGTGGAAGGATCTCCTGAGCCTGGGAGGGTGAGGCTGTAGTGAGCTGTAATCATACCACTGCACTCCAACCTGGGTGTCAGAGCAAGACTGTCTCAAAAAAATAAAAACAAGAAAAATATTTTGATGTCCTATTTTAGTTACTTGTGCAATAAGCAAGCTTGGTTCTGTTTCAAAATAGCTCAGTGCCGTGAATTATTCCTGCTTTTAGGTCACAGTTTCAGGTAAGGGACCTGGAATGTGGCAAACAGTAAATGTTTACTTGACTGATATACTTGGTAGCCTTTCTTTGGTAAGAGTGTCCTTTTGAAGAACCAACTCAGGCCTTACCCCGGAGATCTACTCATTTTGGCTTTTTCCTGTTGCCTTCATTAATGATTTATTTGAGCACTGTGTGCTAAGCACATTATGTAGTTCATCTCAATTAATTGTCACATGAACTTTAAGAGCTAGGTACAGCCAGGTGTGGTGGCTCACACCTGTAACACTTTGGGAGGCCGAGGCGGGTAGATCACTTGAGGTCAGGAGTTTGAGACCAGCCTGGCCAGCATGGTGAAACCCCGTCTCTACTAAAAATAGAAAAATTAGCCAGGCATCGTAGCGTGTGCCTGTAATCCCAGCTACTCGGGAGGCTGAGGCAGGAGAATCGCTTGAACCCAGGAGGCAGAGGTTGCAGTGAGCCGAGATTGTGCCACTGCACTCCAGCCTGAGCGACAGAGCGAGACTCCATCTCAAAAAAAAAAAAAAGAGAGCTAGGTGCTATTACCTACTGTTATCTCCAATTTGAAGATGAGGAAAACTGAGGCTGAAAGAGGCAAACTAACTTGTCTGAGACTAGGTAAAGTTAGGAGGTAACCAGGCTTTGAACACATCCTGTAGTGTTCTTGTAACACATCAGTAGTTTCCTGGTTAGGGTGGGGAGGTTGAGGCGGGAGGTGCACACAAAGTAAATATGCTGTATCAATTAGCTTATGCTGTGTAACAGATTACCCTAAAACTTTGATAGCTTTAAACAACAAACATTGATTAATTCGCATGATCCTGTGGATTAGCTTTTCTGGGCCAGTTCAGCTTGGGCTGGAAAGTTTGGGATGGTCTCACTCTCGTCTGCTTGATGCTGGCTGTTAGCTGGGATGATGGGACCACGTGTCTCCAGCAGACAAGCCTAGCTAAATTACATGGTGATAATTGCAGAGTTCCCAGGAGCAAGAGAGGGCAAGACTCAATTGCACAAGCACTTTTTTTTTTTTTTTTTTTTTTGAGATGGAGTCTTGCTCTGTCACCTAAGCTGGAGTGCAGTGGCACAATCTCCGCTCACTGCAACCTCCCCCTCCCGGGTTCAAGCGATTCTCCTGCCTCAGCCTTCCGAGTAGCTGGGATTACAGGCGCCTGCCACCACGCCTGGCTAATTTTTGTATTTTTAGTAGAGATGGGGTTTCACCATGTTGGGCAGGCTGGTCTCAAACTTCTGACCTCAGGTGATCTGCCCACCTCGGCCTCCCAAAGTGCTAGGATTACAGGCATGAGCCACTGCGCCCTGCCAGCACAAGCACTTTTTAAGCCTTACATCTATAATCTTTCTATAATGACCCATCAGCCAAATCCAAATTCTAGAGTGGAGAGCTAGACTGTAGACTTCACCTCCTGATTGGAAGAACTGCAAAATACTGTGGCTCCTCCCCTCCCAGTAGGTCTGTATTAGTTGTCTTTTGTTGTGTAACAAATTATTCCCAAACTTAATGGCTTAAAACTGTAGCAGGACAAGCTGCAGATAAAACCTGTCAGACACCAGGTTAAAGAAGGAAGAGACTTTATTCGGCCAGGAGCGTTGGCAGAGTTGTGTCTCAAGAACCAAGCTCTCCAAAGAAAAAGTTCCTGGCCCTTTTAAGGGCTTATAACTCTAAGGGGGTCCACGTGAAAGGGTTGTGATAGATTGAGCAAGTGATCTATAGGTAACACATGTGGTTAGGGTGGGGGCGTTAATCTTTAACCTCAGGCCTGGTAAGTGGCATCAGTTGGTCTTGCCACTGACTTCATTCCTGTTGTTTTTCAGCTTTTACTTCTTCCTTCTCTTCAGAGACAGTAAGAGAAATGGCCTCTCTCCTCAAAACAACAATTAACATTTATCATCTCACAGTTTCTGTGAGTTAGGAATTTGAGAGCGTCCTAGCTGGGTGGTTCTGGCTTGGGGTCTCTCATGAGCCTGAAATCATATGAAGGCTTGGCCAGGGCTGGAGAAGCCCCGGCTGGCAAGTTTGTGCAGGCTCTTGGCAGGAGGCCCCAGTTCCTTAACACATGGACCTCTCAATAGTACTGTTTGAGTGTCCTCATGATACAGCAGCTGGTTTTCAGCAGAACAAGTGATCTAAGGGCAAGGTAGAAACCACCAATGTCTTTTATGACCTAGCCACAGAAGTCCCATATTGTCAATTTTGCAACATCCCATGGTTTCACAGGTCAGCCATATTCAGTGTGTGCGGGAACTTCATAAGAGTGCAGATACCAGGAGGTAGAAATCATTAGAGGCCACCTTAGTGGCTGGCTACCATGCTGCCATACATGTTAAGTGGCACTGAAAATGGCTTTATTCTACTGTACTTAATTAGTAGTTTGGCTGTGGATAGAATTCTTTCATAATTGTGAAGAAATTGCTCTGGTTTTCTTCTGGCTTTGATAAATACAATGCTGTTCTGAATCCTGATTCTTTTTATGGGTTTTCCCCCCACCCCACCCCGTTTTCTGGAAGCTTTTAAGATCTTCTCTTGGTATTCTAGAATGTGATGATTTTTGTTGTGCTTTGGTCTCTTTTGTCATTCATTGTGCTGGATACCTGAGGGACCTTTTCAATTTAGAACCCCTAGAACAAAGTGTGAGCACACAGGTTAGGACCTCTGCATGCGTGGACACAAGGCCCTTCCAGGCACACAGATTTAGAGATATGGAGAGAATGGGGCAGGGCTAGGGTCCTGTTCTCTGCCTCTCACCACCTTCTAGTACAGAACTCTGAGAGGCCCAAAAATGTGAATGTGGTCTTCCAGGTCATTGTGAAGGTTTATTTATTGACATAGCAGAATAGATTGTCTTTTATTTAATAGTTCATTAGGGTCATTTATAACTTTTTAAGTATGCATTCAGCTGTATTCTTGCTCCTGTCCTGCAAATATTAGGTTTGGCCTGCTAGGCAAATTGCTTAACCTCTCTAGGTCTCAGATTTTTTTCTTTTTTCTTTTTATTTATTTATTTTTCTAGGCCTCAGATTTGTCTTACATAAAATGGGAATCATAACAGTACCTATGTTGTGGAGTGCTATGACAGTAATGTGAAATAACACATGAAAGTGTTTGGTATAACATCTGGTCCACAGGGAAAGGCTATTACTGTAGCCGCCCCCCTCCCCTGCCCCTGACTCGGTTTTGCTTTCTGTGGTTTCAGTTACATGCAGTCAACCACTGTCCAAAAATATTAAATGGAAATTTTCAGAAATAAACCATCTGTAAATTTTAAATTGCATGCTGTCCTGAGTAGCGTGATGAAGTCTTGTGCTGTCCCGCTCTGTCCACCTGGGGAACCTGAATCGTCCCTTTGTCTAGTGCCTCCACGCTGTATACACTCCCTGTTCGTTAGTCACTTACTAAGTAAGTGCCCTGTTCGTTATCGGATCGACTGCCGTGATATTGCAATGCTTGTGTTCAAGTCACCCTTATTTGACTTAATAATGGCCCCAAAGTGCAAGAGTAGTCATGCTAGCAATTTGGATATGGCAAAGAGAAGCCATAAAGTTCTTTCTTTAAATGAAAAGGTAAAAGTTATAATAAGGAAAGAAAAAATAAAGTGTGCTGAGGTCGCTAAGATCTGTAGTAAGAACGAATCTTCTATCTGTGAAATTATGAAGAAGGAAAAAGAAATACCTGCTAGTTTTGCTGCCACACATGAAACTGCAAAAGTTATGAGCACAGTGCCTGATAACTGTATTACATCATATTGCTATAATTGTTCCATTTTATTATTAGTTGTTTAATCTCATCGTGCCTAATTTATAAATTAAATGTAATCATAGGTATGTATGTATAGAAAAAAGCATAGTACTGTATATATAGCGTTCAGTACTATTTCAGTCATCCCCTGAGGGTCTTGGAACATATCGCCCACAGATAAGGGGGGACTGCGGATAATCCCCAGTTTATGGTGGTTCGACTTATGACTTTGTGACTTTACAGTGGTGCAAAAGTGGTAAGAATTCAGCATTCTCCTCGACAAGTGGACGAGCATCTACTGTGCTTTCACAGCGGCTATCACTATTGCCAGCAGCAAGACTGTCAGCTCGGCGCCCTCGTCTGGTTGGATGGGAAACTGCAGTTGCTAAGGGAGCTGGGTTTGTAAGGAGCCGGCCAGGGTTGCAGGGTGGCTTAGCTGTGATTTGGGAGTAATGCCTTGTGCCTCTGCTTACTGTCTCCTCTCTTGCACTCCTATGTTGCAGGAATCTCTGAGGACAAATGGGAATTCTCACTGATTTCTAGGACTACCCTGGGGCAGGTAAGAAAAGCATCCAAGTTTTTTCCCATTGCTCCATTTATAAACTTTTTTTTTTTTTTGGAGATAGGGTCTCACTCTGCCACCCAGGCTGGAGTGCAGTGGCACAGTCTTGGCTCACTGCAACTTCTGCCTCCTGGGCTCAACCAGTCCTCCCACTTCAGCCTCCTGAGTAGCTGGGACTACAGGTGCATGCCACCATGCCCAGGTAATTTTTGTATTTTTTGTAGAGATGGAGTTTCATCACATTGCCTAGGCTGGTCTCGAAATCCTGGACTCAAGTGATCTGCTGGCCTCAGCCTCCCTAACTGCTGGGACTAGAGGCCTGAGCGACCACCCCTGGCTGTAAACATTTTCTTAGCTCAAGGATTGCTGAATTTGTATCCATTTTCTTCTCTCCTATCTCAATTGGGTGGGTGAAATGATACTGTTAATTATTTTCTGTTACTTTTGAATGCTTCTTTGTGGCGAACTGAGGGCATAGTAATACTGTAGCAGCTAACAACCATATGGGTCCCGAGGGCTTTACTAATGTTATTTTTTAATTTTCCTAATTGCAGGTGTTTTATTATTAGCTTCATTTTATAGATGAGAAAACTGGGCACAGAGAGGCTGAGTTACTTGCTCAAGTTCATACAGGTGGTCAGTAGTAGAGCTAGGATTTGAACCCGGCAGTCAGCCTCGGGAGTTCATGTTATTTTTATTTATTTATTTTTTGAGACAAGGTCTTGCTCTGCCACGCAGACTGGAGTGCAGTGTCGTGATCTCAGCTCACTGCAGCCTTGACACCCCCAGGCTTAAGTGATCCTCCTGCCTCAGCCTCTTGAGTAGCTGGGACTACAGGCACACATCACCATGCCTGGCTAATTTTTGTATATTTTGTAGAGACGGAGTTTTGCCATGTTGCCGAGGCTGGTCTCAAACTCCTGGGATCAAAGGATGCGCCCCTGTTAGCCTCCCAAAATGCTGGGATTATAGGTGTGAGCTACCGAGTCTATGTTCTTTTTTTTTTTTTTTTGAGGCAGAGTCTCGCTCTGTCCCCCAGGCTGGAGTGCAGTGGCGCGATCTCAGCTCACTGCAAGCTCCGCCTCCCGGGTTCACGCCATTCTCCTGCGTCAGCCTCCAGAGTAGCTGGGACTACAGGCACCCGCCACCACGCCGGGCTAATTTTTTCTATTTTTAGTAGAGACGGGGTTTCGCCGTGTCAGCCAGGATGGTCTCGATCTCCTGACCTCGTGATCTGCCCGCCTCAGGCTCCCAAAGTGCTAGGATTACAGGTGTGAGCCACCGTGCCTGGCCTGAGTCCATGTTCTTAACCACACTGAACCTCCTCCAAATATTATTTAATATTTATGATTTACGATGTGCCAGGCTGAGACCCCAGAGCTTAGGCTCTTCTCCACCATGCTGCACTTACCAGCTGTGTTACCTTGGACAAGTCATTTTCCTCAGAGCTTAGGTTATAACAACAACTGTTTACTAAATGCCCACTCCGTGATTGGCGCCTGGCCTAATCCATCATCATCATCATCCTGGCTAACATGTCCTGAGCTGTTTCTGTGTGCCAGGCACTGTTCTAAGCATTTTAACACTGCAAGGTTGATTTATTTTCCCTTGTTTTTTTTTTTTTTTTTTTTTTTGAGATGGAGCCTCGCTCTGTCACCCAGGCTGAGTGCAGTGGCACAATCTCAGCTCACTGCAACCTCCACCTCCTGGGTTCAAGTGATTCTTCTGCTTCAGCCTCCTGAGTACCTGGGACTACAGGCGCACACCACCATACCCAGCTAATTATTATTATTATTATTTTAATTAATTAATTTTTTTTTTTTGAGACAGAGTCTCACTCTGTCGCCCAGGCTAGAGTGCAGTGGCATGATCTCGGCTCACTGCAAGCTCCATCTCCCGGGTTCACGCCATTCTCCTGCCTCAGCCTCCCGAGTAGCTGGGACCACAGGTGCCCACCACCACGCCCAGCTAATTTTTTGTATTTTTATTAGAGACAGGGTTAGTAGAGATGGTCTTGATCTCCTGACCTCGTGATCCGCCCACCTTGGCCTCCCAAAGTGCTGGGATTACAGGCGTGAGCCACAGCACCCAGACTTTTTTTTTTTTTTTTTTTTTTGTGAGATGGAGTCTCACTCTGTCACCTAGGCTGGAGTGCAGTGGCGTAATCTCGGCTCACTGCGACTTCCACCTTCCAGGTTCAAGCAATTCTCCTGCCTCTTCCTCCTGAGTAACTGGAATTACAGGCTCACACCACCACACCTGGCTAATTTTTGTATTTTTAATAAAGACAGGGTTTCACCATGATGGTCAGGCTGGTCTCGAACTCCTGACCTCGTGACCCGCCTTCCTTGACCTCCCAAAGTGCTGGGATTACAAGCGTGGGCCACCACGTCTGGCCTAATTTTTGTATTTTTAGTAGATACCGGGTTTCACCATATTGGCCAGGCTGGTCTCGAGCTCCTGACCTCGTGATCCGCCTGCCTGGGCCTCCCAAAGTGCTGGGATTACAGGTGTGAGCCACCACGCCCAGCCTATTTTCCTCATTTTTAGAGAAAGAAACTGAGAGATTAAGTGACATGCTCAAGTCCACATGGCTAGAAAGTGTGGGGTTTGAAGCCAAGTCTGACGTCTGACTCCACAGCCTGTGCCCTTAGCTGCCCTTCTCTGAGCCTTGTGGATTACCTAGAGCCCAGGCTGTCATGATTACCTTTGGAGGTTTTTTTGTTTTTTTTGGTCAGCATACATTTTTCTCTGGATTTTTAGTTTTTTCCAATAAGTTTTGGGGGAACAGGTGGTGTTTGGTTACATGAATAAGTTCTTTAGTGGTGATCTCTGAGGTTTTGGTGCACCCAACCTTTGGAATCTTTAATGCTGTTAGCAAATATTCCCAATTCTCTGCATCCAGGAACATGGATGGATTGTGCTTCCTTGACCCCATGAATTAAGGTGCAGCCAATGCAATATGATGGCAATGATAGATGTCACTTCTAGACAAAACTTAACAGTTATATCAATATTGTAATTAATATTATTTTTTATTATTATAATTAATGTTAATAATATATTAATATTCTCTACTTGCCTCGAAGATCTTACAAGCATGGGAATGGCACCTCCCTTAGCCTGGGCCCCTGAGTGAGGATGACATAAAGCAGATCCCTGTCAGACTCACAATGGACAGGCGGTGAGACCTCTGTTGTTGCAAGCCACTGAGATTTGAGGGTTGTTGCTGCAACAGAACCATGTCCAAGGCTTCTCAACCTTGGCTCTATTTACATTTTCGGCCAGATAATTCTTTGTTGGGGGAGGGGCGCTGTCTTGTGCATTGTAGCATGGATAGCAGCATCCGTGGCCTCTGCCCACTAGATGCCCATAGCTCCCCAACAACAGCGACAACCAAAATGTCTCCAGATGTTGCCAAGTGTCATACTGGGAACAAAGTCACCTCTAGTTGAGAACTACTGCTGAGCCTATTCCTTTTTCCTTTTTTTTTTTTTTTTTTTTTTTGAGACAGGGTCTCACTTTGTCACCCAGGCTGGAGCTTTGTCACTCAGTGCAAACTTTGCTTCCCAGGTTCAAGAGATTTTCCCACCTCAGCCTCCCAAGTAGCTGGGACTGCAGGCATACGCCACCACACCTGGCTAATTTTTGTATATTTTGGTAGAGACGGAGTTTCACCATGTTGGCAGGCTGGTCACAAACTCCTGACCTCAAGTGATCCACCTGCCTCACCTCCAAAGTTCTGGGATTACAGGCATGAGCCACCGCACCTGGCCGGCCATTTTCTTTAAATCCAGAAGAGGTGGCAACACTGGGCCCTGTCTTCAACCCGGAAGCAATAAAGTGGAGCTGTGTGAATAGCTCCATTTTCTTTCTGTTCCCATCACAGCCTGCTGTCACATACCAAACCCCTGGTATTTGAGTTTGTGGCCGTAAGAAATTAGGTGGTCTTCCTTTTTAGTGGTTGTTAGAAGCTGCAGTTTAAGGGACCCGAAAAAATTAGAATGGGGCCCCAAAACAGAAAAGTCAAACTAACTCTGAGGAAGCAGGCACTAAGATTTCATTTATCAGGAAGGACTTGTTGACCTCAAAATAGTTCTTAGCTTGTGACCCTGAAGTTTGAATTCCCATCAGTAAAAAACAAAACCTTTTTCTTTCATTCCACATTTAGAGGGAAAGAAGGAGGGACACTAAAATGTGGCTCCCCTTCTGTCATTGAATCCTTATAAGAATTCCTGCAGAGTGTCATAATTCCCATTTTACCAATGAGGAAACTGAGGCTCAGAGAGGTGTGGGAGTGGTGGAGGCAGGATTTGAACCTGGGTCTCATCCCAAAGGTCATGCATGCTTTTTCCACTACACTAGACATTCCCAAACCAGGCCGCTCATCGAGTTCATTGGGGGAAGCCTACAAAAGCGTACCTGTTTCCAGATCCTACCTTTGACCTATTCAACCATATTTCTTCAGTAGGGCCCAGAAACCTGTACTTTAAAGAATTATTTGTGGCCGGGCGCCGTGGCTCACGCCTGTAATCCCAGCACTCTTGGAGGCCGAGGTGGGTGGATCACGAGGTCAGGAGATCAAGACCATCCTGGCTAACACGGTGAAACTCCGTCTCTACTAAAAATACAAAAAATTAGCCGAGCGTGGTGGCGAGAGCCTGTAGTCCCAACTACTCGGGAGGCTGAGGCAGGAGAATGGCGTGAACCGGGAGGTGGAGCTTGCAGTGAGCGGAGATCGCGCCACTGCACTCCAGCCCTGGTGACAGAGTGAGACTCCGTCTCAAAAAAAAAAAAAAAAAAAAAAAAAAAAGCCAGGCGCGGTGGCTCACGCCTGTAATCCCAGCACTTTGGGAGGCCGAGGCGGGCAGATCACGAGGTCAAGAGATCGAGACCATCCTGGCCAACATGGTAAAACCCCGTGTCTACCAAAAATACAGAAATTAGCTGGGCATGGTGGCGCACACTCGTAGTCCCAGCTTCTCGGGAGCCTGAGGCAGGAGAATTGCTTGAATCCGGGAAGCGGAGGTTGCAGTGAGCCAAGATCGCGCCACTGCACTCCAGCCTGCCAATAGAGCAAGACTTTGTCTCAAAAAAAAAAAAAAAAAAAAGAATTATTTGTGCAGTTATTTGATAACTGTCTCCCTACTAGATGAAAGCTTCATGAGGGCAAGGGCCATGTCTCTTTTTTTTTTTTTTTTTTTTTTGAGACGGAGTTTTGCTCTTGTCCAGACTGGAGTGCAGTGGCACAATTTCGGCTCACCGCAACCTCCACCTCCTGGGTTCAAGCGATTCTCCTGCCTCAGCCTCCCAAGTAGCTGGGATTACAGGCATGCACCACCACGCCCAGCTAATTTTGTATTTTTAGTAAAGACGGAGTTTCTCCATGTGGGTCAGGCTGGTCTCGAACTCCTGGCCTCAGGTGATTCATCTGCCTTGACCTCCCAAAGTGCTGGGATTACAGGCATGAGCCACCATGCCTGGCCTTTTTTTTTTTTTTCTTTTTTCTTTTTTGAGACAGGGTCTTGCTCTTTCACCCGGGCTGGTGCGCAGTGGGATGATCTTGGCTCACTGCAGCCTCAACCTCCCCGAGTTCAAGCAATCCTCCCACCTCAGCCTCCTGAGTAGCTAGAACTACAGGTTCATGCCACCATGCCCAACTAATATTTTATTTTATTTTGTTTTATTTTTATTTTATTTTGAATGGCATGATCTTGGCTCACTTCAACCTCCACCTCCCAGGTTCAAGGTATTCTCCTGCTTCAGCCTCCCGAGTAGCTGGGATTATAGGCATGTGCCACCACACCCGGCTAATTTTGTATTTTTAGTAGAGATGGGGTTTCTCCATGTTGGTCAGGCTGGTCTTGATCTCCTGACCTCAGGTGATCTGCCCGCCTCAGCCTCCCAAAGTGCTGGGATTACAGGCATGAGCCACCGCGCCTGGCCTAATATTTTATTTTTTTAGAGACAAGATCTCACTATGTTGCCCAGGCTAGTTTCAACCTCCTGGACTCAAGTAATCTCTCACCTTGGCCCCCCAAAGTGCTGGGATTACAGCTGTGAGCCACTGTCCCCAGCCTGCCATGTCTGACTTAGTCAGTGACACAGAGTGGGAAGCAATGCAAGTATTTGCTTACTACTAAATCAACAAGCTTCCTAGTCCTGACCTAGGGACCTGCTGTGAAGAGCTATTCCACTGTGGCAAATTCTCTGGAGCAGTTCTCAAACTTCAGTGTACATTTTAAGAATTGCTTAGTGTCGGCCGGGCGTGGTGGCTCATGACTGTAATCCCAGCACTTTGGGAGGCAGAGGCGGGTGGATCATTTGAGGTCAGGAGTTCAAGACTAGCCTGGCCAACATGGTGAAACCCCGTCTCTACTAAAAATACAAAAATTAGCCGGGTTGTAGTGATGCATGCCTATAATCCCAGCTACTTGGGAGACTGAGGCAGGAGAATCGCTTGAGCCTGGGAGGCGGAGGTTGCAGTGAGCTGAGATCACGCCACTGCACTCCAGTCTGGGGAACAGAGCAAGACTCCATCCCCCCAAAAAAAAAATGCTTAGTGTCAGGCCAGGCACAATGGCTCATGCCTGTAATCCCAGCACTTTGGGAGGTCGAGGCAGGTGGATCTCACCTGATCTCACCTGAGGTCAGGAGTTCAAGACCAGCCTAGCCAACATGGTGAAACCCATCTCTACTAAAAATACAAAAGTTGGTGGTGCACGCCTGTAGTCCCAGCTACTAGGGAGGCTGAAGCAGGAGAATCACATGAACCCGGGAGGCAGAGGTTGCAGTGAGCCGAGAGTGATCAAGCTACTGCATTCCAGCCTGGGTGACAGAGTGAGACTTCACCTCAAAAAAAAAAAAAAAAAAAAAAAAAAAAAAAAAAAAAAAAAAAAAATCGCTTAGTGTCTCAGTCATTTCAGGCTACTGTAACAACTTACCATAGACTGACTGGCTTAGGCAACAAACATTTACTTCTCACAGTTCCAGAGGCTGGAAGTCCAAGATCAAGGCGCTGGCCAATTCTGTGTCTGGTGAGGGCCCTCTTCTTGGTTTGCAGACTGCCGTCCTCTCATTTCCTCACATGGTGGAGAACAAGGAGCAAGAGCAACTCTCATTTCTCTTATGAGGGAGAATCCTATTCATGAAGCCTCTACCCACGTGACCTAATTACCTCCAAAGGCCTATCTAATACTGTCACACTGGGTCTTAGGATTTCAGCATAGGCATTTTGGGGGGACACAAACATTTAGTCCATAACACTTGAGTTGCATCTTTTTAAATGCATATTCTGAGGCCCCAACCCAAGACTCTGTGCTTGAGAAACAGATACAGTGATATAAAATTTTGATGGCTGGAACTTTCCTTAGTCTTTGAAAAGAGTTGAGACAATAGACATCATAGAGAAGTTCAGGGGGCCGGGCGAGGTGCCTCATGCCTGTAATCCCTGCACTTTGGAGGCCAAGGTAGAGTGATTAAGCTCAAGAGTTCAAGACCAGCCTGGGCAACACGGCAAAACTCCATCTCCCAAAAAAATACCAAAAAATTATCTGGGAGTGGTGGTGCACATCTGTAGTCACAGCTACTTGGGAGGCTGAGGTGGGAGGAATACTTGAGCCTGGGAGGTTGACGCTGCAGTGAGCCAAGATCCCACCGCTGCACTCCAGCCTGGGTGACAGAGTGAGACTGTCTCAAAAAGAGTGAGAGAAAGAAGTTCAGGGGCCTCTGAAGACAAACTGTTTCACCATTTAGCAAATAACCAGGAAGAGATGAAAGTGGATGAGAAACCCTGTGATGGGGGCATCTGTCAAGTTGATAAGCCAGGTAGGATTCTGCTGGGCATCAGTTACATGAAGCAGACAAAAGATATCATTCTTAGAAATGACTGTTGAACTTGAGGATAAAGAATTTTTAGGCTGGGCACGGTGGCTCACACCTGTAATCCCAGCACTTTGGGAGGCCAAAGCGGGCAGATGGCTTGAGGTTGGGAGTTGCAGACCAGCCTGGCCAACGTGGTGAAACCCTGTCTCTACTAAAAATATAAAAATTAGCTGGGCGTGGTGGCACATGTCTGTAATCCCAGCTACTCGCGAGGCTGAGGCTGCAGTGAGCCGAGATCGTGCAACTGCACACCAGCCTGGGCAACAGAGCGAGACTCCATCACAAAAAAAGAATTTAAAAAAAAAAAACAGAAACGACTCTGGCCTTGGCTCAGGCATCTTTTGTTTTGGAGGTCAGCTTTGCTTCAGAGGCCAAATTGGGTATGCATGTCAGTGTATGAGATGGTAAATGTGACTGAGAGCATGTGTTTTGGAGTCAGGCCAATACATAGCACCACTGCTCACTGATTCTGTGAACTTAGGCAAGTTCTTCATCTCTCTGTGCTTCGGTTTTTCTCATTTTCATTAAAACAATTTTTTAAAATTTATTTCTACAGACACTATGGTGACTTAAGTTCTCATTTTTATTTTTTAATCCCCTGGATTTACCAGGATTAAGTTGTCATTTTTAAAATGGGGCCATGACTGTTTACCTCACAGGATCATTGTGATAACAGAGGCAGTGTACAGAAGAAGGAATGGTGGCACCTAGTAGGTGCATAATCAATAAAGTCAGTTACTCCTCCCTAACTGTTAAGTGTCAGAGTCTATTACTCCATATCCTAAGGTCTAATACAGGTCCTGGCTCAGCAAATGTTTAATTAATCGATAAAGGACAGATTTGTATGTTTGATGGAAGGTCCAATCCACTTGCTGTATGCAGGGTTGAAGCCAAATCCATGGCTCCATTAGCAAGTGCTAAAGCTCCTGCAGGTCAGCCAGAGCCACCACAGCAGGTTCTCATTAAGTCTTTGCTGGCACGACTTTCCTGCATTCATGTTCCTTCTGTACTCATTAGAACGCCCGTGTAAGCTGAGACCTACTGGTCCCTCACAGCCCGTGGAAACTGAAAGGCAGAGTGGCACAAACCTTGCAGTTAGAGAATCACGGTGTCAAATCCTTCCTTTTGCCACTTTATTAGCTACGCAACTTGGCCATGTTAATTTCACTCCTTTCCCCCCCCTCCCCGTTTGTTTTTTATTTTTTTGGAGACAGGGTCTTGCTCTGTCGCCCATGCTGGACTGCAGTGGCAATCATGGCTTATTGCAGCCTCAACCTCCTGGGCTCAAGCCATCCTCCCACCTCTACCTCCCGAGTGGCTGGGACCAAAGGTGTGTGCCACCACACCCAGCTAGTTTTGTATCTTTTGTAGAGATAGAGTTTTGCCATGTTGCCAAGGCTGGTCTCAAACTCTTGAACTCCAGCAATCCACCCTCCTTGGCCTCCCAAAGTGTTGGGATTACAGGCATGAGCCACAGTCCCTCCTAACCCCCTACCCCTGTTTTTTTTTTGAGACAAAAAAAGAGATGGGGTTTTGCCATGTTGCCCAGGCTGGTCTTGCTCTGTCACCTAGACTGGAGTGCAGTAGCATAATCACAGCTCACTGTAGCCTCGACCTCCCAAGCTCAAGTGATCCTCCCACCTCAGCCTTTCACATAGCTGGGACTATAGGTGCACCATCACACCTGGCTAATTTTTAATCTTTTTCTAGAGACAGGGTCTCAATATGTTGCTCAGGCTGGTCTTGAACTCTTGGGCTCAAGCAATCCTGCCTCCGCCCTTCAGTGTTGGGATTACAGATATGAACCACCATGCCCGGCCCCATTTCACCCCTTTGAACCAGTTTCTAATTTTAAGATGGGGTTACCAGGGTTCCAAGTATAATAAGGGACAGTGCCTGTTCCCCACAAATGCTGAGTTCCCGCCCTTTGCTCACAGAATTCTTTCCGTCTGAAATTCCTCTTACTACTAAATTCGGCATCGTTTAAGGCCCAGCCCAAGGATGCTGATTAAGATCTCTGCCTTAGGAGGGTGCGGTGAGCTGAGATTGCCTCCTCCATCTCAAAAAAAAAAACAAAAAAAAAAACTCTGCCTTAAACAGTCCAAGAATCAGGCATTTTCTAACTTCTTTCCACTGATGCTATAAGTAAGGAAGACACAGTATATGGAGTTTGTTTTTTATTTAGACATGGAATTTTCCTTTTCATATAACTTATCTAATTAAAATATTCATCTCGGTAGTTACCACAAAAAAGTAACATAGAAAATTGTATTTACATTTTGGGACCAAAATACAAATGAAGAGCAGGATGACACCTTGCTCCTTTCCCTCCCGCTTCCCAGAAAGAAAAAGCCCCAAAGAAACTGCTCAGTACACCAAGGATCACAAAAGGGTAATTTGTAATTTGGTGATTTGTATGTAGTGTAGCACAGAAAAAAAATTGCACAAGTTTTTCCATAAATGAGACCAAAGGTTCAAATTCATCCTGTGTCAGGTTCAAATTCATCCTGTGTCTGCTCTGCAGCCATTTTAGTAAGCTGGGCAAGGAGGTCATTTAGAAATTGGGTTTTTCCTCTTTCCCCTGACTCTTCGCACCAAGTCACATCCCTGATGTAGATACTCTTGGGGGAGGGGAAAACATCTGGCTCTATGCAAACAGGGCTCATCAAAAATCTTTATGTGCCAAAATGGATACTGACATTGCTATGAACAAATCTGTTTTTTCTTCCCTCCCTGCCTAAAGACTCCTAATAAGGGACATTAAATCATACACAACTGAATCTAAGATATGAAAAACTAGTTTCAATGACAAAGACTTGAACACACAGTTAAGAGATAAATTCAAGGTGGTAGACACCTAGAAAAAGCTATTCTAGGCAGCAGACATCTGGCACCTGACCCAAATGTTCATTTGGTTTCAGTTAAGAGGCTTCCTAATATTAGATTTGTGGGGCAGGCTAGGGATAGGGGTGGAATGGTGGTACAAGTAACCAAGAGAAGTAAAGTAATGCTTTACCCATTCAAAAATATAGCAAATTAAAACATAGTAACATTTGTGTCCTGTCACAATAGGCACCCTGCACAGCAATACACACTGAACAATGTCGAGTTTCTGCTGAATAGACTTCCTACGTTGCTCTGGAATTCGAAGTTGGCCTAACTGAGGTCTCCAGTTACAGAAAACACTGGCTCTGTATCCTGGGCTTTGAGAAAACTTATCAGGCTGTCACACTTACCATCCCTTCAGTCTGCTTGTCAGGTTCCTTAAGGACGCATATCTCAAATGTATGGCATCTACCTCTACCTGGGTCACAACCAAGTGGGTTTCTACTAGATCGGTGTTCCTTGACAGCCAACAAGGGAGCTGACACTGCCCTCCTAAGTTCTGATCTTGCTCCTGTTCAACTGGAACTTGATGGATCCCATGTGGTTTCCCCCATCCTGACGCTGTGGCTCAGACACTCTCCCTAAGCTGGTCCTTCCCTCCAAATCCTGCCTTAAACACACTCAGAAGGTAGAAAACACTTCAGCAGCAAAGTCCTCTTCCCAAGCCAACAGTTGTGTTCTTCCAATCACATGATCTTACCTTTTCAATAAAAGGCAAAACAAACCAATTTCCAACATAGCATTACAGCCTTTAAAACCATTCACTTCTCATAGTGATTCACAGAGAACAAGAGATTAAAGTGCTGGATTTTAAATGTCTAAAGTTGCCTTCAGGGCTACAAAAAGCCCTGCCGTGTGTGTTTTTCCTTCATGGTGTTGAGGGGAAGGAAAGATAGGGAAGGGCAGTGGGGAGAAACCCTAAAATTTTCAATCAGAAACTGGAAATTGTAAAAGTGGGAGGTGGGGAGTTCTGTGCAAATCAATCTCCCAAGGTTCTGCGTCCTCTAGTGAGCCTCAAAGAAAAAAAAAAAAACAAAAAGGTGGGGACTCGCAAAAAGGATGAGGGAAAGGCTCCAGACCTACAGAGCACCTCCCTTAATAAATACCAGTTAGTAAGAAAGAGATGCACCTGCACAGGAATGCACAGCAACAGTGGGGAGGGCCTGAGGTGGAGTCCGCCGAGCACCCTGTCGCCCCACTGAGGCTCCCTTGGGGACAGGCGGTCTAGTGCTCATTCCTTGCCCTACGTGCAGCAGGTACTGTGCAGGCTCTGGAGATGCCCAGTCCTCTGTCTGGACCAGAGTCCACACAGAGCTGAGCTGGGGCAGGAGACTGGCTTTCACTAGGCTTTCATCTGATTTTAATAAGGACCTGGAAGATAAAAGGCTAAATGTGTGGTAGAGGACAAAAAACAAAAACAAACCTGGGGGATAATATAAATACAATCTGGGGGCAATATTTATTAATTAAAACTACGTCTTATAGTTTACAAAGATGCTAATGAACAACAAAAGTATAATTGACCTTTAAAATCCTCAGTGAGACAGAGGCTTCACATCTTCAGAATTCTAAAGTGTGCTCCAGGCAGGGAGGCGGGGCTGTGGCACGCAGGTTCCCAGGGGCAGCACCTGCAGACTGCAGGACTCGGAGACCAAAAGGATCCACAAAGCAAGACTCCAGTCTCCTGTAGAATTCCATTCCCCAACCCCCACTGTCCTTGTATTCCTGCCTCCCCAGATTCCATTTCCAAGGCAAGTCCTCAGTTTATCGTCGGGAGAATCTGTTCTTGAAAGCTTTAATTGTCTTGGCCATCATTGGGGCAATTTCTGTGAAAAGAGAAACAAGGCAGCTGTCTCAGATCTGTGGCGGCTTAGACACACCCCCAGTAGTTTACAGTCAAAGCCAGCTCTGCTATTCTTGGCTGTGCACCACCAGGCAGAGATACAAGTAGTAACTATCTCCTCTGTTCACAATGCAATAAAAGCAACAGCACAGAGCAGACACTTTCGGAGGACCTGCCAGGGGCATGACCACCACTCTCTCTAACCACCTGCACCAAGGCTCAGAGAGCCTGGCCAACTTGCCCATGGTTGTACAGTAAGGTACAGAATTACAATTCAATCTCTGTCAGACTTTCTTGTTTTTATTTTTGTAAGGAAAGAGTCTCACTCTGTCACCCTGGCTAGGGTGCATTGGCACAATCACAGCACACTGTAGCCTCTACCTCCTAGACTCCAGAGTAGCTGAGACTACAGGAGTGTGCCACCATGCCTGGCTAATTTTTTTTTATTTTCTGTAGAGTCAGGGTCTCACTATGTTGCTCAGGCTGGTCTCGATCTCCTGGGCTCAAGCACCCTCCTACCCCAGCCTCCCAAAGTGCTGGGATTACAGGTGTGTGTGAACCACTGTGCCCCGGCCCTTGCCAGACTCTAAAGGCCATACTCAGTCATAACTTAACTTTGCCTCACAAATAGCCAAACCAGTAAACAGCACGTCTACCCCCAATCTGTCCAGTGTAGAAACAGGTCTAAGGTGGCTATGCAAGTACTGCCTAAGGAAGGCCAGCCTGCCTCCTGAATGGTTCATCTGAGCATAGCTGTAGCTCAAGCCAGGACTCCCACCCTCCCATGGGCCCTGCAATTAATACAGAATAAGACTTAAGTTAGGACATCCCCTTAGGATACTGGGGATAGTCTATGGTAATAAAGTTAACAAAATACAAAATAGACGCAACTAGATATAAAGAATAAATATTTGGAAGACCCGGCCAGGCATGGTGGTTCACGCTGGTAATCCCAGGACTTTGGGAGGCTGAGGCGGGCGAATCACAAGGTCAGGGGTTCGAGACCAGCCTGGCCAACATGGTGAAACCCCGTGTCTACTAAAAATACAAAAAATTAGCTGGGCTTAGTGGCGGGCACCTGTAATCCCAGCTACTTGGGAGGCTGAGGCAGGAGAATCGCTTGAACCTGGGAGGTGGAGGTTGCAGTGAGCCGAGATCACGCCACTGTACTCCAGCCCAGGCGACAGAGTGAGACTCTGTCTCCAAAAAAAAAAAAAAAAAAAAAAAAAAAAAAATAAATAAATAAATTGGAAGACCCAATTAGATATAAAGAATAAATATTTGGAAGCTAGAGTTATAAGACTATAAAAAAACAGTAAGAGGGCCTGTCATTTAGCTGTTAATATTAGTAATTATGAACACTGTGGTATTGCCTAGAGAAGTCAGTTTATATTTAGGTGAAAAAAGAAGAGTGCCAAAATGGTCATTCACAATGATATTTATTTATTTATTTAGAGACAGTGTCTCACTCTGTCATCCAGGCTGGAGGGCAGTGGCACAATCCCAGCTCACTGCAACCTCTGCCTGCCAGGTTCAAGCAATTCTCCTGTCTCAGCCACCCGAGTACCTGAGATTATAGGCACATGCCACCATGGTGGGCTAATTTTTCTATTTTTAATAGAGACAGGGACCATGCCTGGCCAGATACTATTTTCTACTTTCACTTTTTTTTTTTTTTTTTTTCCAGAGACAGGGTCGGCCGGGCACAGTGGCTCACGCCTGTAATCCCAGCACTTGGGAGGCCAAGGCGGGCAGATCGCGAGGTCAGGAGATCGAGACCATCCTGGCTAACATGGTGAAACCCCGTCTCTACTAAAAAATAGAAAAAATTAGGTGGGCATGGTGGTGGGCACCTGTAGTTCTAGCTACTTGGGAGGCTGAGGCAGGAGAATGGCATGAACCTGGAAGGCAGAGCTTGCAGTGAGCTGAGATTGTGCCACTGCACTCCAGCCTGGGTGACAGAGCGAGACTCCATCTCAAAAAATCCTCCCACCTCAGTCTCCTGAGTAGGTGGGACTACAGGTGTGTACCACTATGCCCTATTTTTTAATTTTTTGTAGAGGGTCTCATTATGTTGTCCAGGCTGGTCTTGAACTCCTGGATTCAAGGGATCCTCCTGCCTCAGCCTGCCAAAGTGCTGGGATTACAGGCATGAGCCACTGCACCCAGACTCACTATAACTATTTAAGAGATATAATGCACTATGGACAAAGCAGGGGGAAGGAGGGACTGACATTCAGACCAGCTATGTGCAAGGCATCATGTACATGCAACATGCAGTCCACAAAATGTAATACAGTGAATAATGACATTGAGAGTTAAAAACTAGTGCTGAAATAATATTTGAGCAGGAACTCCAAGTTACTTACTCTTCACAGTGGGTTTCCTAGGATCATAGGAAACAGTGCTGCTGACCACTGGTGCCAAGTGGGCACTGCTGGTGCTTGGGCCATCATAGGCCGGCTCCTCAGGGCTGGGGTTAAAGCTGATGCTACTGGCGGAAGCATGGCTGCTTCCCATGGGGTACGGGGCTGGCTTGATCCTGCAACACAGGACAACACTGGTTAGGCATGAGCACAAGAAATCTGCCCTGAGCATGAACAGCCTGAAGCTGGCCTGTGTGAGGATGACTCACCCTGTTTGTGGCTTTGACCAATGGACCCTATCACCCTGGATTCTGGTGGTGGCTCAGAGATGTCTCCATTATCCTTTCAGAAAAAATGATAATCTCAACTAACTTTTCACTGTTTTGGTATAAATCTGTATTTTGAAAAGGCTAATGTGGCTTAGACAAAATAACAATCATTGCAGAAATGTGTTTTTTGTTTAGATGGGAAAAGGGAAAGCATAAGGGAATGTTTCCCATAAGCCAGGCTTTGCTCTCCATTTAATCTTGACTACCCTAGGGCAGGGGTAATTATCACCTTGCACTGCAGTCCAAGAAGCGGAGGCTGAGGGAGGTGAGGGAAGTGCTGAGCTGATGAGGTCTGCCTCCAGAGCCCACAGTCTGCACTGCCTCACTTTCACCAAAAGCAATTTGCTTCCTGCCGCTATGGCTACCTCTAAGGGTTGATAGCACACAAAAGCCAGGTAAGAACACAGATCTTACTTGATTTTCTCAGGGACAGCTGCTCCTCCCGTTCCAAACTTTTCCTGCCTCCTCCGGACGTCACGAGGTGGCTTGGCCACAGAGTTGACAAAGGCCATCTTTGCTTGTCGGCCTGTGGAATTATGGAGATGAACATCTGCCTTCTTGAGCAGAGATGCTACTGTTATTTAAATAATCCACGGGCTTTTTGAGTGCCCTGAAACCCCACTTGTAGGGTAGAATGGGCGGTGGCAGAAGAAATACCCACCCTGCTACCTGATGTAGGGGCAAGCAGTCCTACACCAGCCAAGCCCACCAACACCCTGCTATTGACCAGAACACTCATCCTGCCAGTTCTCCCCCAGCTCTCCCGTCTCTGTTACCTTTGGGCTTATTGGCATGTGCGAACTGGATATTCTTTGTTAGTACTCGTAGCCGCTGCTCTCGGGCGTCCTGAAGCCGCAGGTACATCTCTCGCCACGACTCATACTCTTCGGGTCTTTCTTCCTTAAAGTCTCGGTGACAATGAACTTTCCATAATTGATCTGTTTCTTCAATTAATACCTGAAACCAGAACCAGGACATCATTTGTGTACAAGCACTTTTCCATATTTTTTTTTTTTTTTTGAGACAGAGTCTTGCTCTGTCGTGTAGACTGCAGTGCAGTGGTGCAATTTTGGTTCACTGCAACCCTTGCCTCCTGGGTTCAAGCGATTCTCACGCCTCAGCCTCTCAAGTAGCCAGGACTACAGGTGCTTACCACCACGCCCAGCTATTTTATATTTTCAGTAGAGATGGGGTTTTGCCATGTTGTCCAGGCTGGTCTCGAACTCCTGACCTCAGATAATCCGCCCACCTTGGCCTCCCAGAGTGCTGGGATTACAGGCGTGTGTCACCATGCCCAGCCTCATATCTTTTTCTGATTATTTAATTACCTAGGAGTGACCAGTTTCCCAAAAATTTTTTGGTCTTCATCTTAGTAGTATGTTAAAATACCACAATTCTAGGAAAAAAATAACTCCCTAAATTTTAAAAATGCGAAGTGTGAGGCACTATGCTAGTTGCTTTTGGTGGCTGTGACAGAATATCACAAAAATCTGTGTAACATCAGTCTTTTCCTTTAGAAAATCAGCAAAGGGTAGAACTGCGATCAAGTCAAATCAGGTACTTCCCAACACTACGCTGAACTGTGATGGCAAAGGGGCAACCTAAGAAGGATGTTAAGTTATTGGCCAGGCGCGTTGGCTCATGCCTGTAATCCCAGCACTTCAGGAGGCCAAGAGTCTGAGAGTCCATCTCTCTAAAAAATAAAAATATTAGCCAGCTGTGGTGGTATGTGCCTGTAGTCCCAGCTACTTGGGAGGATCACTTAAGCCCAGGAGTTCAAGGATGCAGTAAGCCATGATTAGGCCTCTGTACTGCAGTCGAAGCAACAGAGGTAGACCCTATCTCCAAAAAAAAAAAAAAAGGTGTTAGGTCATAGAACTTTCAGAATTAAAGAGAGACAGCTGATGCAATCAAATGTGTATACCCTACATCCTAAGGAGGATTCTGGATAAATCTTGATGTTTCTTAAGAGACATCCAGCCAATCACCAGATGTCAGAGTGTCAACACAAAGTGCTTTCCCCGCCCTGGGTCCCAGCTACTCTGCTGCCAGAATTCTCCCTTTACCTTCATGACTAGGCAAGCTCAAGGGAGATGTTAAGTGTTTTTCTTCTCCCTTTGAATCCCACCCTGATCCTAGCCCAAGAGGCCCACTTAAGGTGCCAGGAGCAAGTGCTAATAACATGCTTGTTTAAAGGCCCAGTGGCAAACCAAATATATCCAGAACAATGCTCTGACCACTGATCTGCCCTTCAGCCACAGCGGAGTCACAGGGACAAAGCTATTTCTGGAGGTACAAGCCAGAAAACTGCCCTCTTCCCACCCAAACAGAATACTCACATGATTGTATTCCTCTATGCGATACAGCTGATCAGGTGTACACCTCTCCAAAACGGGTTCAAGAACAGAGTATGGGACTCCTCCCACTTCAAAGATTGCTGCAGAGAAACCAAAGGTGAAGACACTGAGTAGCAGCCAAGCCACCCAGTGATAAGGTCCAAGTGCTACAATGTGCTTGAGAGCTAGAGAGAAGCGTGTGACTTACAATCGATGTTGTTTTTAAGTACTCGGATGCATTGCTGGTGCAAGGTCATCATTTTAGGGAGATAGGCACACTTGGAACCAGAATACACCTGCATCTTGGAATTCATTCTGCGCCCAGTAAATCCAGCTTCTTCTTCTTCCTGGGGTGAAGAGAACGCTATAGGGCAAGAAAAACACAAAAGGCCCTAAGTGATCCAGTGAAAACTCTCCTTCTACCCCCTTCAGCCTCCTACTTCCCTTTCCCAATGGCAATCCACGCTACAGATTTTTGTAGATCCTTCCAGAGAATTTAAAAATAAGCTCCTGTAATCCCAGCACTTTAGGAGGCCAAGGCACATGAATCATCTGAGGTCAAGAGTTCGAGATCAGCCTGCCCAACATGCACCTGTAGTCCCAGCTACTCAGGAGGCTGAGGCAGAGGAATTGCTTGAACCTAGGAGGTGGAGGCTGCAGTGAGCCAAGATGGAGCTACTGCACTCCAGCCTGAGTAACACAGCAAGACTCTCAACAGCAACAACAAAAAAAAGCAAATGTATCTTATTCCTTTTAAGCCAATGAATCAATTAATAACATACTCACTACATACATTGCTTTTTTTCATTTGCCACATCTGAGAGATCATTCCATGTCAGTGCATAGACTTTCCACATTTTTTTTTTACTGTGGCATAGGATGCCACTGTGTAGATGAACCATGATTTATCTGTTAGTCTCCTGCTGATAGACCCTTATGTGGCTTCTACTTCTTTTGCTATGAAAATTAGACATTTTTTTCTTTCAGACAAAAATCCTATGTAACACATAGGATAAAGGGCTGCTAATAACAGCAGCAGCAATTTACTGAACAATTACTATGTGATAAACCCAGAGCAAAAAGGCATCACTTCTGAATTCATTAAACTGAGCCCTATGGGGCAGATACCATTATAACTCCCATTTACACAATATATACAACTAAGGTCCAAAGAAATTAAGATATTTCTCAAGGTCATATAACTTGCAGAAACCAGAGTTGGGATTCAAACCCAAGCCATCAAACTTCAGAGTCTATGCACTTAGGAAATGCATCAAAAATCTGATGTTATGGTGATAGTTTTTTTGTTTGTTTTTGAAACAGTCTTGCTCTGTCACCCAAGCTAGAGTGCAGTGATGCAATCAGAGCTCACTGCAGCCTTGAACTCCTGGGCTCAAGTGATACTCCCACCTCAGCCTACCGAGTACCTGGGATGTGCCACCATGCCTGGCTACTTTTTTTCTCTTGTAGAGACAGCATCTTGCTGTGTTGACCAGGGTGGTTTAGAACTCCTTTTTTTTGAAATAGAGTTTCCCTCTTGTCACCCAGGCTTGAGTGCAATGGCGTAATCTCGGCCCACTGCAACCTCCACCTCCCAGGTTCAAGCAATTCTCCTGCCTCAGCCTCCGGAGTAGCTGGGATTACAGGCACGCACCACCATGCCTGGCTAATTTTTGTATTTTTAGTAGAGACAGGGTTTCACCATGTTGGCCAGGCTAATCTCGAACTTCTTACCTAAGGTGATCTGCCCGCCTCGGCCTCCCAAAGTGCTGGGATTACAGGAGTGAGCCACCACGCCTGGTTGGTTTAGAACCCTTGGCCGCAAGCAATCCTCTTACCTCGGCCTCCCAAAGTGCTGGAATTATAGGTGTGAGCCACTGTACCCTGCCTTGAATGAATTTTTAAATCTTTTTCCCATTAAGAAAAAGAAGATATAGAAAATTACCTTTTCGCTTTGGCTGGAAGGAGGATATCAGCTCGAGGGAAGGCAGTGGACGGTAATTGGCCTGTATCGCGGGTAACGGGAGGTCTGGCAACACTGGCAACACATCAGGCACCTGCAGGGGACAGACCCATGGGTGGAGAGTCAGTGAGTAGAAGCACAGCTCTCTTTCCTACAGTCTATTCCCGGGAGCATTAACTGGACATCTTGCACAGGAAGATCCAGGTTGGAGGGGGCCACAGTCATGTCTGACACCACCTCAGTCAGGAAATAAATACAGATGAGCCCATCACAAGAGAATAATGCAGAAAATTCTTATTTGCGGTACCATATACCCTGACAACCAGTGAAGCCCAGAGGAAATTACTGCACACTGAAATTCAACATGCCCCCCAAAAGCAAGCTAAGGAAAACAGTGGCAGGGCAATCCTCTGAGCTCTGCAGGGCCAGGTGCTCTGGGTGGGAAGCCACCAAGGGGCTGAAGGGGTTACCTTTCTCAGCTTGGCTAAATCAGCTCCAGCCGGCTTCTCTGACTTGGTTTTGTTCACCTTGGGTAATTTCTGAACTGAGTCCAAGTTTTTACCAGTGCTTTTAGAGTCATTTTTTTTAAGTCCTTTATCTCCAAGTGCCGTGGCTGAAGTTTTCACAATCTTTTTCTTTTTCTTCCGGGGCTGGTCATAGCTGAGGTAGGATTCAAAAGACATGGTTGGCTGCTCGAATTCATCCTCCATATCTGTCTCCTCAACTTTAGGGAGGGAGCCCAGTGACTTTCTATCCAAATTAGTTTTGACTTTCCCTTCTGGAGTCTTTAGGTTGTTAGAACCCTTCTCTTTTACCTTGGGCAACAGGTCTCCTGCTCCTTTTCCTGTGTCAAAGCTGTCCAGACCTTGCTTGCTTTTGTCCAATTTGGCTTTCTCTGGGTCTCTGTGCTTTGGCTTTTTCAGGTGGTTGTCTGAAGCGGCCTCTGAGGGAGGCAAACACTTCTTCTTCAGGCTGCTGCCCTCTCTGTCCTTCTCTTTCTTTACGCCACTAGAGGGCGGTTTCTCCCTTGCATTGTCCCCTGAGGGTGGCCTTCGGTTCTCCTCTTTGGAGAGGGCCTTGTGTGATTTCTCTCTGCTCACCACAGAGGCCTTCTCATCACTCTTGGCATCCACGGGGCGTTTGTCCTTGTGGGAAGATTTGTGCTCCTTGTTTTGACTCACAACCCCTTTCCCATGGGGTTCACCCAGGTGTCGTTCTTGGCTGGCCCCGAGTCTGTCCTGAAAGGCATTGCTGTGGCCTTTCCCAGGCTTCTGGTGTGAAACAATGGGCTCCTGGTCCTCCTCCAGGGATCTGTAGTGGTCGACGTACATCTGATGAGGACTGGTACAAGATGGAGGGGATTGAACATGGCCATAATCAGAAGACTCAGGGTCTGAAGAGTAAGTTGGTGACATTCTGTGACACCTCTTTCTCTCATCTCTCCTCTCATGACCGTGAGACACTTTGTGAGGTCTCTCGAGCTCCGAGAGTTTCCTATGTTTCTTCTGCCTGTGGTCAGGGCTATAGGATCGGCTCCCCGTGGCTTTCCAGGTTTCTTGGTAGTCCCCCTCCATCTCCTCCTCCTTCTGCAGGGCATCCCGAGGGCGCTTTCGGGAATTGCTCTTCTCAAAGTCCTGTTCATCAGGCTCAGCATTTCTAAAATAAAAGAAAAAGCAGACAAAGTAGGTCTAAATCTTGCTTCTTGAGGGACAAAGTCACAGAATCTGAACTCACCAAAGAAGTGAAGATGCAGAGTTAGAAACAACAAGGTCTTAAGAAGAAGATAAGTAGGTTATGCTTAAAGATACTCAAATCTTAAAACTGGGAAAACCCAAATGAGAAATGGTGAGTTTAACCACAAGATGCAAAGATCAAATATCTCATATACATGAAAATGTGGAGATTTATTAAAACATGGGGACATGTTTAATTTGTTATATAAAATGGGGGCTGCTCACTATTTATCTAGTTCACAACTTAAAAAAATGCCATTTAAGGAGCAGTTAGAAAGAAACATACCAGGCCAGCCGCGGTGGCTCACGCCTGTAATCCCAGCACTTTGGGAGGCCGAGGCGGGCAGATCACGAGGTCAGGAGATCAAAACCATCCTATCCTGGCTAATACGGCGAAACCCTGTCTCTACTAAAAATACAAAAAATTAGCCGGGCGTGGTGGCGGGTGCCTGTGGTCCCAGCTACTCAGGAGGCTGAGGCAGGAGAATGGCGTGAACCTGGGAGGCGGAGCTTGCAGTGAGCCGAGATCACGCCACTGCACTCCAGCCTGGGCAACAGAGCGAGACTCTGTCTCAAAAAAAAAAAAAAAAAAAAAAAGAAACGTACCAAAATGTTCATAACGTTTGTCTTTGCGTGATAGAAATAGGAAATTTTGATTTCTATTTTTAATATTTTCTAATATTCTACAATGATCATGGATTATTTTTTATAATTGAGGCAAAACAATTTCAGAAGGCAAAAGAGAAATAATAAAGAAAACCTTTTCTATCTGTAAATTTAACCATGAAATTGAACAAACCTAAAGAGAAATGTTCTTACCGTTCCACAGGAACCAGCTTCTTCCACTGGGCCACTAGGTCCCTGGCAAAGCTTCCAACATGCTCGTGTTTTCGCAAGCTATTTACTGTTTTCCCAACCCCAGTCTCCTAAAATTTGACAAAGTAATTGTTAGAGGGGTCTGGAACTAGGCTAACGTTTTTCTAAAGAAATAAGGCTTTCTACTTTGAGAAACTCAACAAGCAATACTTCCTTCCTACAACATACCCTGCAAATCTTAACACTAAATTACTTTGTGTCTATGCCCCAAATCTCTAATGACACACAGTAGCAAAGCGTACCAAGTTCAGAACTTTAATAACAAGAGTGATTAGGGCAGGTGTTAGGCACTAAGATAAGAGCTTTGCATACAGTTCTGAATCAGTCTTTACAATAACCCTGTGAAGCAGGAATCAGACCCATTTTACATAGGAACAGCCTAAAGTCATAGAACTCAGATTTGAATCTGGGACTAATTGATGCCAAAGTCAATGTTCTTTTAATTCTAATTTTGAAATAAAGTCATTTAACAATATTCACCACTTTAACTAAAGTACATAATTCAGTGGTTTCCAGAACATTCACAATATTATATAACCATTATAACCATCTAATTCCAGAACATTTACATTACCCTAAAAAGAAATCCTGTTCCTCCCAATTCTCCTAGCCCCTGGCAACCACTAATCTACTTTCTGTCTATGGATTTGCCTATTCTGGACATTTCATATAAATGGAATCAGACAATATATGGCCTTTTGTGTCTGGTTTCTTTCACTTCCAAAGCCCATACTTGTAACCTTATTCTACACACTCTCCAGTGAGAAGGGAATGGGATATCATTATATAATATTTAAAGTCACACAGTTCTTACCGCAAGAATGTCTACTGTAATAGGCAGGGTGGAGAGTTTCTTCAAATATTTCAATAGCTGCAGAGAAGAAAACATTAATTTCAATAGTCAAATTCACTTTAACAAGAATATCTGATTATTAAGTGCTTAGTGCTAACCATTTACAGTAATGAGTATAAGTATTATGCCTATTTACAGTAGTAAGTAATATCCCTATTTTACAAGTATGAAAATAGGCTCATAAAAGTTATGTTTCTTGTCCCAAGATGCAAGTGGGGCAAGATTCACTCAGGTCTGTGGCTTTAGATTCCCTGCTTTCAACCACTGTGCTACACCAAGGGGAAATAAGATGTAGAGAAGAGAATCAAAACTTACCAACTCTGATAAAAGCCATCAACAACTATCATTTTTGCCCTAGTTTTGATAGAATTTATGAGAAAGGTACCAATTTTAGGGGAATTACCCATGGACCTGGCACAGAGGAAGTAAAAGGAAGAAAAGGCCTCTACAGGAAAAGACCATCATGTTTCCAGAAGGGCCACAGTGTTTAACAGAATTGTTTTCTTCTACATAAGTGTAAAGCCAAGAGTAATTTCAAGTTGCCAGAATCAGAGCTTGGATGTTAACGGTGGACACAAAATGCCTGGGTAGATTAGAAAAGTGATCTGGGTTTGATCACATTTCCTTCCTATAGTTCCTAAAACTAGGTCAAAATCAGTACAGCAGAGCTGTTAAGATGGAGTTCTGGAGTCAGAGACAGGCTTGACAATCTGGCTTTGTCACTCGATGAGTGATCTTGAATAAGTCAAAAACCTCCCCAAACTTCAGTTACTTCATCTGCAAAATAGGAACTTGGTCCTGTCTCTACTTCACAAACTATGAGGATTCAGAGACAAACCATGTGCAGTCCTTAGTCATAGTGTCTAGAACACTATGAAAGCTCACTAAATACTTATCATTTCATTCATCGACTGACAGCTTTCAGCGTTCTGCCCTTGATCTTCAACCAGATATTCCTCAGCCAATTCCTACTTGCTCTAACAAAAGTTATGACTGGCCAAACCTTTCTCTAGGAAATGTCTACGTGTATCTAAACATACTTACCATACAAGGAGTGCTTCAAAATACAAGTAGTTTAAAATAGATAACTGTGGTTACCTTTGCATTTAAATATTATATAACAAGATCTGCTTTTACCATGTGTGGCCCAGACTATAATTGGTATGCCATATTGCTATTAGGTGGAGTAACAAGTCTGTTTTTCTGGTCATTCTACTTCAATCATTACTTAACATGGTCACCAGACAGAGCAATTGGATCACAAGTGATAATCTTGAGATCAAGTAAGAGGCCAAGTGGCATATCTAGGGAGTCTCACCTTCATAGATGAGTGAAAATTATCCCCCACTTCAAATCCTATCACCACCATCATCCAACTCAGGAAAAATTTTGTGTTTCTTGCCACCCAAGCTATGGGTGCAAAGACTAATGCCAATTCCTTCACTTAAAGGAAAATTTTAAATCACTGAAAAGGTCAAAAACAAGTGGTTCTCTCATAATGCCATTCCTTGGAAGGGGTAGGTTGGGAATATTCACATACCATCTATTGTGTGTCAGCTACTACACTAAGCTCTTACACGTTACCTCATTTCATTCCCACTAACCAACTCTATAAAGTGGATGTTATTCTCCCCATTTGACAGATATTGCAACTGAACCCAATCAGGTTAGGTAACTTGCTTAACAAGCTGGAAAGTCAAATGTGTCTACTACAGTTAAGTAAAGCCAGGAGAAGCATCCAACATCAGAACACTGTCCTTAGGAAATGAAAATAGAGCGGCAGCACATATACTTCTTAGCATACTTGCAAGAAAGCAGAAAAACTCCTCCTGTGATGTCATTAGACAGTTCAGAACCCACATAGTAAAGGAGGTCACCAAGGGAACAAAGGTGTCCCAGGACCTCTACAAAGCCAACATATAAGGATGAGGCTGGAAGTCACTGTGGGTGTGTTTATCTCAAAGCCTAGCACTAACTGGAAGAACAAATCCTGTCTTTCTGCTTTACTTTGGGTTATTAGGGGTGATTTAAAAGCAGACAAAACTAAAACCCTCAAGATTTTCAGACTCATTTAGTCTAACACAAGAGAAAAAAGGACTTCACAACCCCTCTATTTTCAGTAAATTTCAAGAAAGAACAAAGCAATAACAAGGCAAAGGCACATTGGGCATCCTCAGGTGGATCGAAACTTGCTGTTATCAAACAAGATACCAACTATAGAGCTTGTAAGAACTGGTAACAGGCAACTGAGAAATATCAAACATTTGCAAGGTACATGTTGAGGCATCTCAGTTGTCCCCTGTACAATCCTTCAACCCAAAAAAGCAAAAAATATTTTTAATGTCACCTGCCATCAAAATGTTCTTGGTAGCTTTCACAGTGAAAATGTAACACAGGACGAGGATCCTTTTTTTTTTTTTTTTTTTTTTTGGAGATGGAGTTTTGCTCTTGTTGTCCAGGCTGGAGTGCAATGGTGCCATCTCGGCTCACTGCAACCTCCGCCTCCTGGGTTCAAGAGATTCTCCTGTCTCAGCCTCCCGAGTAGCTGGGATTACAGGCACCACCACCATGACCAACTAATTTTTTTATTTTTAGTAGAGATGGGGTTTCATCATGTTGGCCAGGCTGGTCTCGAACTCTTGACCTCAGATGATCCGCCCCTCTTGGCCTCCCAAAGTGCTGTGATTACAAGCGTGAGCCACTGCGCCCGGCCAACTGTGTGTGTGTGTTTTTTTTGTTTTTTTTTTTTTGAGACGGAGTTTCGCTCTTGTTGCCCAGGCTGGAGTGCAATGGCGCGATCTCAGCTCGCTGCAACCTCTGCCTCCCGGGTTCGAGTGTTCTCCTGCCTCAGCCTCCCGAGCAGCTGGGATTACAGGCGCCTGCCACCACACCTGGCTAATTTTCGTACTTTTAGTAGAGAAGGGGTTTCACCATGTTGGCCAGGCTGGTCTCGAACTCCTGATCTCAGGTGATCTACTCACCTCGGCCTCCCAAAGTGCTGGGATTACAGGTGTGAGGCACTGCACTCGGCCTAAGGACAGGTAATTTTTATCAGCCATGAACTATGAAACATAAAAACAGAAACCAAGTGGTCCTAGGCTGCTGATACCTTCTCCCTTAAGTGAGCCAAGATAACAGATGAAAAAGTGAAAACAGAGTTACAGCAATGTCTAGTACCAAAAAATCCATGAACACAGGTGTGGAATCAAACCCTTGGCTAATAATGGTTTGAAAGCAAGATCTGGTTGTAAATTCAACAGGGCTATATAATCATCTTGCAATTTCACATACAACCTGTAGGAGCTTGTTAGGTTACCAGAAGGTTGAGAGGAACAAGGCCAACATGACAGCTTGCAATTTTCCCTCTGCAGTTAACTCATATCTGAATGCCGACTATTATGCCCTTTGCAAAAATGATCTCCCAACATTTTCTCATCTTCATGATGCTCACTTCACAATGCAAAGCTAGAAGTTCAGGGTGATTTTCTATCTAGAAAGAGCCCAAATCCTCAAAAAAAAAAAAAAATCATTAATAGTTCAACTAGGTTGAGGTGGAATAAGCCTTTTCCTAATTTTGTATTTCATGCAAATCAACTAATAGAAAAACTACTTCCAAATCTAAATTCTAGTTAAAAAAAAAATGACTGTAGACACTACATAGAACATTTTTATCTGACAGAAATAAAGAACAAATAGTGGGTAGTTATTATATGGCACTGCTTTAAGGTATCAAACGTCAGTCACAGATCTTACAGTGTTCAGGAAAACAAACTAGTACTAAAAAATAATGACCATTTATTAGATGTCCACAAGGGGTTACTGTAAAAAGAAACTTGTAAGTATGCCTGACCACTAGGTACGGTACTGAAGCTGCAACAGAAAACATGGCACAATGAAAGCATTTTAAGTTTTCCCAGATTTGTAACTAAAATGGCTTCCTGAGGAAGTGAATCTTCGAGCTAGGTATGAACGAAGAGCCTTAAAAAGTGGTCTGATGGTGAGAGGCTGTGTACGGCCTTTGGAATTGCAGAAACCCTACCTCCAACAGGCTAGAACAAGGTAAAGAGAAAGTGGCTCTTCAAGAAAAAAAACCCCAAAGAATGACGATTGGTTTTCTGAGCACTGACTTTCAGCCTGGTACCTTAGCCTTTCAGGTTAGTCCTAGGAAGCAGCAGGTGAGGAAGAGGCTCAGCAGAGCAGTTCCCCCACGGCCCTAGCCCTCCCTCCACGACTTCCTTTTCCACCAGGACTGAGTTCCAACTCCTAGAACTGCCCGCCCCGGCCAGAATGATGACGGAGAATGCCAAACACATAAGTGCTTTTTCATCGTTGTACTTCCACTTAAAAAATCCTGACAACTGAGTTCAAGACCAGCCTGGCCAAGATGGTGAAACCCTGTCTCTACTAAAAATACAAAAATTAGCCAGGCGTGGTGGCGGGCGCCTACAATACCAGCTACTCGGGAGGCTGAGGCAGACAATTGCCTGAACCCGGGAGACGGAGGTTGCAGTGAGCCGAGATCGCGCCACTGTACTCCAGCCTGGGCGACCAGAGCAAGACTCGCCTCAAAAAAAAAAAAGAAAAAAAAAAATCCTGACAACCACCAGACTGTCTCCTGGAGACCAGAGAAGTGAGTGACAGAAAGATGAAAAGGTACAAGAACGCGTTTAACTTAATATTCAGTTTGTACAATAAACAACAAAAACTAGTTAACTACAATTAAAAATGGTTGTCCATCACTCGAACAACGAGAAACGGTAGCTCTTACCTTCCTATTAATGGCCAAAAGGAAACCTAGCTGCGACTTCCAACCCCGGGCCCCCGCCTCTTTTTCAATTCCAACCTAAGTTTTCAGGAGTATGCTTAGGTGACGCGAGGCTTTATTCTGTTTTGAAAGGGATTCACTGAGAAAGCGAAAGGTCCACGCTCTGATATCCAGCCGGAGAGTAGTAACCGCGTCTCCGAGAGGCGCGGACCAGACCGCGAGTCCAGGCTCCGCAGCGTTCGGGCGCCCGTCTTCTCCTCCCAGCGAACACGCACCCGCTGGGGAGTCCGCGCCGCTCCGCGGGGAGCCGGGCACCAGCGCAGGCACCGGGAGGCCAACGAGGCGGCGGCCAGCGCCCTCCCGCCCCGGGCACGCTCTCCCGCAGGAAACAGCTGGCTCGGGACGCCACGGAGCGCCTCTGGGAGGAAGCGCTAGGCACGCGGTGTCCGCACCGGGCGCGCCCCCATCCCGGGCCCGTGAGGGAGGGGGAGCGGCCGGGGCCCCGCGTCCCGACGCCCGACGCACGGGGTCCCAACGCGCGGGCAGCGGTCAATGGCCGCGAACTTCACGACCCCAGCCCCGCGGGGCCTGGCTCAGGGTCCCAGCCCCCGAACCCCGCCACGCTCGGGCCGCGACCGTTACGGGGCCCTCACCGACCCAACGCCCATCCCGCTACGCGCCGCCCCCTCGCTTACCTTCTTAGGGTCCGGGTTCGCGGCCAGGCGCGCCTGCAGCTTCTCCACAACTTGGAGCGCCGACTCCGCCGCCATCGCTGTCACTGGCGCGGCCTCCTCGCCGGAACTGGGCTCGCGTCGCGTCCTCGGGCCGCAGCTCCGCCCTCCGTGCATCCCCGGCGGAGACGGAAGCGCGCCTGGCCCCTTCCGGGCCTCGGCTGGGGTGTGTGGGGGGCGGTGGGCTGCAGGCTCCGCCCCCAGGGCCCGCTCCCCAGCGCCCACCCGGCGGCCGCGCACTCCTCGCGCCCCTGGCCCAAGTGTGCGCGCTGGGGGCTGGGGGCTGCTCGGGCCGTACGCGCCTCCGCCGCCGGCACCCCCGCTCCCTGTGCTCGCGTGCTGAGCCCAAGCCTGGAAGACCTCTCCAGGGTCTACTTCAAGACGGAATGAGGCCACCGCGCCAGACCCTGGCCTTATAAATGCCAACGCTTTCTCCCGCCTGGGGCTTAGCCACACCCTAATCAACACCTTGTCAGGGGTCCCGGGCTGGTGCCCGTCCTAGGAGTCCGCAGGCACCCGCGGTAGCAGCCACCCTAGGCTGAGCACACGATGCGTCAGTAGTTAGACTATCTTTTCCAGCCTCAGTACAACCTGATGAAACGAGTTGTATGATCTTCATTTTACAGATGAGGAAACTGAGGTTCAGGGAGACCAAATTAACTTGCAGATGGCCGCAGGACAGGAAAGAACTGAAAATGGAACCTGAATCTAAGATGTCTAGGACCATTGTGAGCGCACATTTCTGAACAGGTCGAGGAATTGAGGCCCAGAGAAAGGGATTTTTCAAAATCCAAACAGCTTAGTTCCTTCCATGAGGCAATAATAGCCCATGTGTCTTGTTTTCCCCACAAACAGTGTCTGGCACATAGGCACTAAATAAATACTTATTGCATGAATGTATAGATAGATAGATGTTTCCTCTGATGACTTGCCAATGAGCCGTATGGCTTGATTAGAAGAGCCCAAGATATTATTCTTCAGGCCGTCTACTCTCATCCTAAAAGCACTAAGTTTTACCATTACTAATACTACTACTAAAAAGAGCAACTAAATAGTTGCAAACTCACTTAAAGTACCAGCACTGATTACATCTCATTTGATCACATCAAAGCAGAACCTAATCAGATCTTCAGCAGCAAATTGGCAATGCACCTAGCCTGATCTCTCCCTCAAAGCAGGAAAGCCCAGAGATTCTTCCAGATTCTAGCTCTGGAAGAAAGAAAAACATCTTAAACACAAGTTGTTTCTTCAAATGAGCATTCATTCACTCACTATGCTGAAAAGCCCTCTCTACCATGTCCCTACTCCTCCATTTGGCGCCCCTCCCCCAGTTCCCTAAGCAACTGACCACCTTTTCAGGGTGTAAATGGTCAGTTTATTTATCTGTCTTGCCACTGGGCTGTTTATTTATCAAGTACAGTAACCGACCTGTCCAACTTTGAATCTCTGCCACCTAGCATCATCTAGACCTTATAATCAGCATTGGATATAAAGTCCATACAAGACTAATGACCATCCACTTGGTACCCTAAGGCTCAACTGAGGGATGTTGTAGAAAAGGCATTGAACTGGGTGTGAGAAAACTTCGATTCTAGTCCCAGCAGTAGTGTCTCCCTCCTCTGCGTAGCAAATACTTTTACATTTTATATTCCTTCCATTTTGAAAATGTACCACTGGTGTAATGGAATACAGACTGATTCTTGAAGCAGAATTGCTGAGTAATTGGCCTGGCACATACTCGGGACACATGAAACATTCTGCAGATGTTATCCAGAGAGAGCTCAATAACCAAAATGAAAAGAAACAATGAGGTTGGGCACAGTGGCTCATGCCTGTAATCCCAGCACTTTGGGGGTCAAGACGGGAGGACTGCTTGAGCCCAGGAGTTTGAGACCAGCCTGGGTAACGTAGTAAGACCCAGCCTCTACAAAAAATACAAAAATTTTAAAATTAGCCAGGCATGGTGGTGCGTGCCTGTGGTCCCAGCTACTTGGGAGACTGAGTTAGGAGAACCATTTGAGCCCAGGAGATCAAGACTGCAGTGAGCCATGATCGCACCACTGCTCCAGCCTGGGCAACAGAAAAAACAAAACCAAAAAAAAACAGAAAGAAACAACGAATGCTTCTGGGGGATCCTGGAGTGGGTGTGCTGCTCCCAGACAGCCACCCCTATGTCAGACTGAGTCAGGCTTACCTGCAAAGTACTCTTACATTTGGATATATGACTTTTTTTTTTTTTTTTTTTTGAGACAGAGTCTCACTCTGTTACCCAGGCTGGAGTGCAATGGCGAGATCTGGGCTCACTGCAACCTCTGCCTCCCAGGTTCAAGCAATTCTTCTGCCTCAGCCTCCCGAGTAGCTGAGACTACAGGCATGCGCCACTACGCTCGGCTAATTTTTGTATTTCTAGTAGAGACGGGGTTTCACCATATTGGCCAGGCTGGTCTCGAACTGTTGACCTCAAGTGATCCACCCGCCTCAGCCTCCCAAAGTGCTGCGATTACAGGCATGAGCCACCACGCCTGGTCTGGATATATGACTTCTAGGATGAGCAGCTAATTATACATGTGTAATTCTCTGATTTTTTAAAAAAACTTTTCAACCACTTCTAAAATTGGTACTCTGTATGTATTCACTGGGGGATTACCATTGTAACCCTTGGTTTACACACGAGTGTTCAACACAGGAATGAGATCCCTAAGGTCAGAGGCTATTTACCCATCTTCAATCAGCAACATTTAGCACATAGGTGAGATTCAGTAAGTTTCTTGAAAACTGAAATAATTATTATTAAATTTAAATTATTAAATATAAGGCTAGCCTGACGTGTCATCTGAAAACCTAAGAGGGGCTCCTCAGCTCTCTTATCAGCACTACAGAGCCCTCTGCGAGAGTAACTAAAAGACCCATCCTATTCTGTTTGGGAGATGAATTCAAGGCTATACTAGGGGAGGAGGATGGGCAAGGAGGCTCTCATCTGCTCCGTACACTTTTTTGAATTTTTGCAGCAAGTATAGTCTACTCAGTATAGTCTCGTTCAGTCGCCCAGGCTGGAGTGGTGACGCGATCTCGGCTCACTGCAAGCTCTGCCTCCCGGGTTCATGCCGTTCTCCTGCCTCAGCCTCCTGAGTAGCTGGGACTACAGGCGCCCGCCACTACACCCGGCTAATTTTTTTTGTATTTTTAATAGAGATGGGGTTTCACCGTGTTAGCCAGGCTGGTCTCGATCTTCTGACCTCGTGATCCGCCCGTCTCGGCCTCCCAAAGTGCTGGGATTACAGGCATGAGCCACCGCACCCAGCCCTTACTTTATTTTTTTTTGAGACAGGGTCTCACTCTGTTGCCCGGGCTGGAGTGCCCTGACACATTCACGGCTCACTGTCAGTCTTGACCTCCTGGGCTCAAGTAATCCTGTTGCCTCAGCTTGGGACTACAGGTGTATGCCACCATGCCCAGCTAATTTTTTTATTTTTATTTTTTGTAGAGAAAAGGTCTCACTAGGTTGCCCACGCTGGTCTTGAACTCCTGGGCTCAAGTGATCCTCCCGCCTTAGCCTCCCAAAGTGTTGAGATTCCAGGCATGAGCAACTGCACCCAGTCTGGTCTATTTTTATAATGAAAATAACTTAAAGGTATTTTAATTTTGGAAAAGAGTAATCCTAGGCTGGCTAGCATTAGAGAGATTTAAAACACTGAAAGACAAGTTAAAAAAATTTTCAGGCCGGGCGCAGTGGCTCATGCCTGTAATCTCAGCACTTTGGGAGGCAGAGGTGGGTGGATCACCTGAGGTCCGGAGTTCGAGACCAGCCTGGCCAACATGGTGAAACCCCGTCTCTACTAAAAACATGAAAATTAGCCCAGCGTGGTGGCACCTGTCTGTAATCATAGGTACTCAGGAGGCAGAGGCAGGAGAATTGCTTGAACCCAGGAGGCAGAGGTTGCAGTGAGCCAAGATTGCGCCATTGCACTCCAGCCTGGGCAACAACTGTCTCAAAAAAAAAAAAAAAAAAAAAAATTGGCCGGGTGTGGTGGCGGGTGCCTGTAATCCCAGCTACTTGGGAGGCTGAGGCAGGAAAATCACTTGAACCCGGGAGGCGGAGGTTGCAGTGAGCTGAGACTGCGCCATTGCACTCCAGCCTGGGCAACAACTGTCTCAAAAAAAAAAAAAAAAATTGGCCGGGTGTGGTGGCGGGTGCCTGTAATCCCAGCTACTTGGGAGGCTGAGGCAGGAAAATCACTTGAACCTGGGAGATGGAGGTTGCAGTGAGCTAGACTGCACCATTGCACTCCAGCCAGAGCAACAAGAATGAAACTGTCTCAAAAAAAAAAAAAAAATCAACCATCTTGTCCTCATAGCAGAGAGGAGCCCTTTCATAAAACAGTCAAGTAAGATTCTGCGGGCCTGACAGTGTGCTAAGTGAGGCATGGTGGCTCAAGCGGGCTTCCTCCTTGGACCTCTTCTGCCGAGAGGTCTGCCACTCTATCTTAGCAAGTAGGCAGCATCTGAAGTTGCTTGGATGGTGGTGTAAAGAACAAAGCTTGGAGCTTAGTGACAACCTGGGCTCCAATCCCAATTCCACCAATGCTAGCCATGGCTCCTGATCAAGTTACTTAAACTTGCTGAAATTTTTTCCTCCTACTGTATAGATATCCTGAGGCTTATTAATATGTCAAGTAATTGGCATATAATAGGTCTTTTTGAAAAGGCAGCAATTATTGGGGAAAATGCATTGCCTTGGTAAAGAAAATATAATGTGCTGCTGTAAAGCAAGATATAAAATCCTCCATCTGGCAAGTTTTTTTTGTTTTTGTTTTTGTTTTTGTTTTTGTTTTTGTTTTGAGACAGAGTCTCGCTCTGTCAGCCAGGCTAGAGTGCATTGGCAGGATCTTGGCTCACTACAACCTCTGCCTCCCGGGCTCAAGCAATTCTCCTGCCTCAGCCTCCCCAGTAGCTGGGATTACAGGTGTGTGCCACCACGCCTGGCTAATTTTTGTATTTTTAGTAGAGACAGGGTTTCACCATGTTGGCCAGGCTAGTCTCGAACTCCTGACCTCAGGTGATCCGCCTGCCTCAACCTCCCAAAGTGCTGGGATTACAGGTGTGAGCCACTGTGCCTGGCCCATCTGGCCAGTTTTGTTCTGCACAGCTGTGGCCACTGTTCTCTTCCCCATGGGTTCATGTTTCTGAATTGACTACACTCATCTTTGTTTCACATCCTTCAACCAACATTCAGTTGGTTATTTACTTACGGATGGCATCTTTTTGGGTTTCACAAACTGAATTCACCCTCTTCAAATATAGTAATGGCATGTGGAGACTGCCAGCTCCAGGGTGTAGTGTTTGAGATTCAAAATCCACAACTTTCACATAATGTCTTGAAAGGTGGATGAAACTTTCCACTAACAATTTAAAGATATCAGACCTAGATAACCTCTGAGGCCTTTTGTCAAAAGAGGGTAGAACACAGACTTCTCTCTGCTCATGACAAGCAGTCTACTGAGAATCTGTATTTACTAGGGGGAAAAAAGCTACCGTTAAAATTAAAAAGTAGGTCGGGCACAGTGGCTCATGCCCGTAATCCCAGCACTTTGGAAGGCTGAGGCGGGTGGATCACCTGGGGTCAGTAGTTCGAGATCAGTTTGGCGAAACCCCGTTTCTACTTAAAATAAGAAAAATTAGCCAGGCTTGGTGGTACATGCCTGTAGTCCCAGCCAGTCCGGAGGCTGAGGCAGGAGAATCGCTTGAACCTGGGAGGCGGAGGTTGTAGTGAGCCGAGATAGTGCCACTGCACTCCAGCCTGGGCGACAGAGCAAGTACTCTGTCTCAAAAAAAAAAAAAAAAAAATTAAAAAGTAACAAGTATACTTTGATACTGTTAAACTTTATGGATTTATATAAATTGTATCCAGGTGGAAGCCTGTCTGCAGGCCTTCCCTTAGCTCTTTATCTTGTTTTATTTTTGTTACAGCACTTAGACAATTTGAAATTACCTTACTTAAGTGGCACATAGCGCACTTAAGAGGCACTTCTTATAGTCTCTTCCCAATATGTAAGCTCCATGAGACATCACTGTAGCTAAAACAGTGCCTGGTTACCTAATAGGCGCTCCATATTTTTTTTTTTTTTTTTTTTTTGAGACAGAAGTTTCACACTTGTCATCCAGGCTGGAGTGTAATGGCACAATCTCGGCTCACTGCAACCTCCACCTCCCGGATTCAAGCTATTCTCCTGCTTCAGCCTCCAGAGTAGCTGGGATTACAGGCGCCTGCCACCATACCCAGCTGATTTTCGTATTTTTAGTACAGACGGGGTTTCACCATGTTGGCCAGGCTGGTCTTGAACTCCTGACCTCAGGAGATCCGCCCACCTTGGCCTCCCAAAGTGCTGGGATTACAGGCGTGAGCCACCACGCCTGGCCAGCACTCCATAAATATTGACTGAGATGAATGAAAACTTTGCCTACCAGCATTGTTGTACAGATCACATGAGAAAACACTTGGCAAAGTGCTATAAACAATGCTCATTTTACTGATGAGTAAACTGATACTTAGGAAACAAGTGACACCGTGCCCTCAACCCCAGAAACTGAGAATGTGGTTGTGGTCTTTGCTGAGAGTACTCTTGGAACAAAGTTGTTAGACAAAGTGTGAGCTGCTGGGCATGGTGGCATGCACCTGTAGTCCCAGCTATTCAGGAGGCCTGAGCCCAGGAGTTCTGGGCTGTAGTGCACTATACCAATCAGGTGTCCGCACTAAGTTTAGCATCAATAAGGTATACCCCCAGGGAGCTGGGGACCACCAGGTTGCCTAAGAATGGGTGAACCGTTCCGGGTCGGAAATGGAGCAGGTCAAAGTTCCCATGCAGATCAGTAGTGGGATCATGCCTATGTACAGCCACTGCACTCCAGCCTGGGCAACATAGTGAGACCCTGTCTCAAAACAAAACAAATGTGTGAGCTAAAGGCAACTAGCCTAGAAATGATGGGGGATAACAGGAAAAAGCAAAAAAGGAGAGTGGGGAGAGAGAGGAAGAAGGAGCAACTGACTGATTTGATCGATTAAGTTTTCATCCCCAATATTGGCAGATGTCTCTGAACTCTGTGAATTTGAGTGTCCACAGATTACAAACTCTCAAAGGGGTCTATGTCTCTCTCCTCTCTTAAAAAATAAAATAAAATATTGGGCTGAGCGCAGTGGCTCACGCCTGTAATCCCAGCACTGTGGGAGGCCAAGGTGGGCGGATCATGAGGTCAGCAGATCGAGACCATCCTGGCTAACACGGTGAAACCCCATCTCTACTAAAATACAAGAAATTAGCTGGGCGTGGCGGTGGGCGCCTGTAGTCCCAGCTACCCGGGAGGCTGAGGCAGGAGAATGGCGTGAACCTGGGAGGCGGAGCTTGCAGTGAGCCGAGATTGCGCCACTGCACTCCAGCCTGGGCGACAGAGTGAGACTCCGTCTCTAAATAAATAAATAAATAAATAAATAAAAATAAAAATAAAAGATTAAAGACTACTGAGTTAAGAAGGGAAGAAGAAAGCAACAGCACAAAAGGGGCTGGGAATGCCTGCCATTTGTGAGGCTCCTCTCAGTGGCTCAGCTCTGTGCTACCTTTACATACTTTTTTTTTTTTTTGGAGATGAAGTCTTGCTCTGTCACCCAGGCTGGAGTGCAATGGCATGATCTTGGCTCACTGCAACCTCTGCCTCCTGGGTTCAAGCGATTCTCCTGCCTCAGCCTCCTGAGTAGCTAGGATTACAGGCGCATGCCACCACACCTAGCTAATTTTGCATTTTTAGTAGAAATGGGGTTTCACCATGTTGGCCAGGCTGGTCTTGAACTCCTGACCTCGTGATCCACCCACTTCGGCCTCCCAAAGTGCTGGGATCACAGGCGTGAGCCACCGCGCCAGGCCTACATACATCATTTTAAGAACAGAGCACTCGAAGTTCAGATAGGTTAAGTAACTTGCCTCAAATGTGGGAAATGACTAACCCAAAATGTGAGCCAAGTCTGCTCAGCTCCAAAGCCCACACTAGCCTGTACTCTGTGTCTGAACACCTGGATGCAGGTCACCCCTCCTCCATCCCTAACTCACTGTATGACTCTGGCCATCTGTTAACAGAGGAGGGTTGATTGGCCAAAGTAATGATAACAACAACAATGATGATGCTAACACTACTAATTCTTGAGTGCTTACAATGTGCCAGGCACTGTGCTAAGAAATTTGCAGTAATTCTGAACTTTATCCTTAAAATAATCCTCAGTATAGACATATAGTCTCCATTGCACATTTGAGGAAGCTGAGACTTGCTGAGGCTCACTGAGGCTATATGACCTAGACAAGGTCAAAGGGCTTGTAAGCAGCACAGCCAGGACCCAAGCCAGATTTGTCTGGCACAAACACTCAAGCTCTTTGACCGTAAGCTGTCTTGCTTCCTGTTGCCCAAGAAGCCACCTGGGAAGATACTTCCAACACTTCATTCGTTCATTCAATGCAGCTTTGGTGCATGTGGCTGGAGTGGAATAAGAAAGGGGAAGGGTGGTATAAGATAAACTTGGCAAGAAAGGCAGAGGTAGATTACAGGGTCTCGGAACCTTATGTAGGATCCATGATAAGGAATTTGAATTTTATTGTAAAGTTTTGTGGATTCTAAGTAGAGGAGTAGCAAAATGTACAATTATCTTAACACTGAACACAGTATATCAAGAATTAAGGGCCAAGCACAGTGGCTCATGCCTGTAATCAAAGTGCTGCCTGTAATCCCAGCACTTTGGGAGGCCGAGGCCAGCGGATCACTTGAGGTCAGGAGTTCAAGACCAGCCTGGCCAACATGGCAAAACTCCGTCTCTACTGAAAATACAAAAATTAGCCAAGTGTGGTAGTGCACACCTGTAATCCCAGCTACTAGGGAGGCTGAGGCAGAAGAATTGCTTGAACCAGGGGACAGAGGTTGCAGGGAGCCAAGATCGTGCCACTGAACTTCAGCCAGGGAGACAGAGAAAGACTCTGTCTCAAAAAAAATAAAATAAAAATTAAGGACTACAATCTATCTGATACTGTACTGTACTTTAAAACAAACTCAACAATCCCTTGTAAAAGTCACCTGATCACAGAGACCTTTCCTAATCACCCTATGCAAAATAGCTTTTCTTCAAAGTACTTAACACTATCTTGCATATTTTGTATCGTTTCTCTGTCCACCCCTAGAATATAAGCTCTGTGAAAGCAGGAATGTTAGTTTTGGTGTTTAAATTTTTTTTTTTTTGACAGTTTCACTCTTGTTGCCCAGGCTGGAGTGCAGTGGCATGATCTCAGCTCACTGCAACCTCCACCTCTTAGATTCAAGCGACTCTCCTGCCTCAGCCTCCGAGTAGCTGGGATTACAGGCATGTGCCACCACACCTGGCTAATTTTGTATTTTTAGTAGAGATGGGGTTTCTCCATGTTGGTCAGGCTAGTCTCAAACTCCCGACCTCAGGTGATCCGCCCACCTCGGCCTCCCAAAGTGCTGGGATTACAGGCGTGAGCCACAGCGCCCAGCCAAAATTTTTTTTTAATTTTTAAATTTTTTATTTTTTAATAGAGATAGGGTCTCAATGTTGCCCAGCCTGGTCTCAAACCTCTGAGCTCAAGCAATCCACCTGCCTCAGCCTTCCAAAATGCTGGAATTAACATGAGCCATGGTGCCTGGCTAGACTTTGTTTCTGTTCGTTGCTTTGTTGTTCATCATCACCTAGTACAGGGCCAGATAGGCCATCAATTTTTTTTTTTTTTTTTTTTTTTTTTGAGACAGAGTCTCACTCTGTCACCCAGGCTGGAGTGCAATGGCGCGATCTCAGCTCATTGCAACCTCTGCCTCCCAGTTTCAAGCGATTCTCATGCCTCAGCCTCTCAAGCAGCTGGGATTACAGGCATGTGCCACCACACCTGGCTAATTTTTGTAATTTTAGTAGAGACAGGGTTTCACCATATTGGCCAGTCTGGTCTTGAACTCCGGACCTCAGGTGATCCACCCATCTCAGCCTCCCAGAGTGCTCCGAACAGGCATAAGCCACCACACCTGGCCAATAAATCTTTATTGAATGAATAAACAAAGGTATATTATACTTCCCCCAAATAACAGTCTATGCTCACTGTCTATGCTTGTCTCTCAGCCACCCGTCAGTGCAATTTGAATTTCGGTTTCCATTCTCACCAGTCTACTGGAAAAAACTTTTGTAAGGTCACCAGTGAAATCCCAATGACAATACCTGAAGGTGTTTTTGTTGTGGCAGATCTCTGCTATATCTGACATTTGTGATCACTCCACTCCATGAAATTCCGTTCTGTTGGCTTCTATGACACTTTACTCTCCTGAATAACTTCCAAAGTTTCTGACTATTGGCTGGACGTGGTGGCTCACGCCTGTAATCCCAACCCTTTGAGAGACCAAGGCGGGCGGATCACCTGAGGTCAGGAGTTTGAGACCAGCCTGGTCAACATGGTGAAACTCCATCTCTACTAAAAATACAAAAATTAGCTAGGCGTGGTGGCGTGAGCCTGTAGTCCCAGCTACTTGGGAGGCTGAGGCATGAGAATCACTTGAGCCTGGGAGGTGGAGGTTGCAGTGATTTGCAGTGAGCTGAGATGGCGCCAGTGCACTCCAGCCTGGGTGACAGAATGAGACTCTGTCTCAAAAAAAAAAAGTTTCTGACTATTCCCTCTGTCACCTTTATGCTCTCCCTTTTTGCTACTTCTCTACCTTGAATGCTGTAGTTCTTCAGGATGTAGTCCTGGGCGCATGACTTTTATGACAATACACACCCTTTTTGGGCATTCTCATCTACTCTCATGGTTGCTACCACCATCTATAGGCTGGTACTACCCAAGTCTATAGGTCTAGTCCCAGGCTTTCAGTTGCCTGGATAGAGTTCAGAATCCATCTGAATGGACATTTCCCCATTGGTACTCCCCCGTCTCTATGACTCAGCAGGTTAGAGATGGAATGTGTCATCTTTTTCTTAAATTTCCTCTCTTCTGGTGAGCTAGAAGCTGTTGAGACAGAGAGGACTAAGCACCTTGCTGCCCTCAAGACCTCCATCTGCTCCATAAGGGAAGGCAAAAATCTACTCTTAGGCTGGGAGGATTTGCAGGAAAACACTCATCAAAATGGCTGCTTCCTTAGCTCCTCTATTGGAGGGCTGATACCCCAGTCTTGAGGACTATCTGTACCCAGTGGCTCTGCTCTGAACCCTCACCCTGGGCATCTCCAATTGGAGGGCACCATGGGCACCTCAAATGTAAGATGTGCAAGATTACCTCATTATCTTCCCTCCTAAATCATCACTTCCCCCCTCTATAGCTGGCACCATCACCTGCCCCTAACCCTCCAGGATAGAACCCTAAAAGTCCTTTTTTTTTTTTTGAGTCAGAGTCTCACTCTGTCGCCCAGGCCAGAGTGCAGTGGGACAATCTCAGCTCACTGCAACCTCCACCTCCCGGATTCAAGAGTTTCTCCTGCCTCAGCCTCCCAAGTAGCTGGGATTACAGGTGCCTGCTACCACGCCCAGCTAAGTTTTGTATTTTTTTAAGTAGAGATGGGGTTTCACCATGTTGGCCAGGCTGGTCTCGAACTCCTGACCTCAAGTGATCCACCTGCCTCAGCCTCCCAAAGTGCTGGGATTACAGGAGTGAGCCACCGCACCTGGCCCTGAAAGTCATTCTTGATTCTTCTTTTCTCTCCCACCATATCCAAACAGTCCTAGTGATTTTCATTCTCAAACATTTCTTGTTTCCATTTTCTCTTCTATATTCTTATTGCCATGAACCTTCTTAGCCTCTTAACTGATGTCTGTGCTCTCAAAATGTCCAATTACATGCTGCTGCTTCTTCTTTTTTTTTTTTGACACAGAGTTTCACCCTTGTTGCCCAGGCTGGAGTGCAATGGCATGATCTCGGCTCACTGCAACCCCTGCCTCCTGGATTCAAGCGATTCTCCTGCCTCAGCGTCCCGAGTCGCTGGGATTAAAGGCACCTGCCACCACGTCCACCTAATTTTTGTTATTTTTAGTATAAATGGGGTTTCGCCATGTTGGCCAGGCTCGTCTCGAACTCCTGACCGCAGGTGATCCACCTGCCTTGGCCTCCCAAAGTGCTAGGATTACAGGCGTGAGCCACCGCATCCAGCTGACATGCTTCTTCTTGAGACGGAGTCTCACTGTGTCACCCAGGCTGGAGTGCAGTGACTCGATCTCTGCTCACTGCAACCTCTACCTCCCAGGTTCAAGCGATTCTCCTGCCTTGGCTTCTCGAGTAGCTGGGACTACAGGCATGCGCCACCACACCCAGCTAATTTTTGTATTTTTCATAGAGACAGAGTTTCACCATGTTGGCCAGGATGGTCTCGATCTCCTGACCTTGTGATCCACCCGCCTCAGCCTCCCAAAGTGCTGAGATTATATGCGTGCCTTACCACGCCCAGCCAACATGCTTCTTTAATAATTTCTTAGACTTCTATTGTTTGTGGAAGGGGAAATTTATAGGCAGAGGTTGGTGGGCAACAGAATCTAGCAAGAGATTTGTTTTTATTGAATTTCTTTTTACAATTACCTTCTTTATATGGCAGGTGATAATACTTTTTAAATTTTTGACCTAAACTTTCCTTTTAAAATAAATTTAAGTTAGAAAAGTGAGTCTTGGCTGGGCGCAGTGGCTCATGCCTGTAATCCCAGCACTTTGGGAGGCCAAGGCAGGTGGATCGTGAAGTCAGAAGTGTGAGACCAGCCTGGCCAACATGGTGAAACCCCATCTCTACTAAAAATACAAAAATTAGCTGGGTGTGGTGGCATATGCCTGTAATCCGAGCTACTCAGGAGGCTGAGGCAGGAGAATTTCTTGAACCCAGGAGGTGGAGGTTACAGTGAGCTGAGATTGTACCACGGCACTCCAACCTGGGGGACAGAGCAAGACTCTGTCTCAGAAAAAAAAAAAAAAGAAGAAGAAGAAGAAGAAAAGGAAGTGAGTCTCTCTGAATAAAAATTAAGTGGATCATAGTAGGTTGGTAGGAACTCAGAGAAGGTAAAAATCATGAAGGTGGATAAAAAATGACAGAAGTTAGCTGGGCATGATGGTGGCACCTGAAGGCTCAGCTACTCAGGAGGCTGAAGCAGGAGGATCCCTTGGGCCCAGGAGTTCGAGGCTGCAGTGAGCCTTGATTGCACCACTGCACTCCACCCTGGGAGAAAGAGTGAGACCCTGTCTCTAATAATAATAATAATAATAATAATAATAATAATAATAATAATAATAACAGAAGTTTGGGAAACAATATAAAGTCCAAAACTCTTAGGGTGACATATTAGCTTGAAACCACATGAAATTGATGATATCTATTTTGATATACAAAAAATGGCAGTTTCATGGCCGGGCATGATGGCTCACGCCTGTAATCCCAGCACTTTGGGAGGCTAAGGCAGGCGGATCACCTGAGGACAGGAGTTCGAGACCAGCCTGGCCAACATGGTGAAACCCTGTCTCTACTAAAAATACAAAATTAGCCAGGTGTGGTGGGTGCCTGTAATCCCAGCTACTTGGGAGGCTGAGGCAGGAGAATCGCTTGAACCTGGGAGGTGGAGGTTGCAGTGAGCTGAGATCATGCCACTGCACTTCAGCCTGGGCAACAAGAGTGAAAACTCCGTCTCGGGGAAAAAAAAAAATGGCAGTTTTAGGTCCAGCGCGGTGGCTCACACCTGTAATCCCAGCACTTTGGGAGGCTGAGGCGGGTGGGTCATCTGAGGTCAGGAGTTCATGACCAGCTTGGCCAACATGGTGAAACTCCGTCTCCATAAAAATAAAAATACAAAAATTAGCTAGGCATGATGGTGCATGCCTGTAGTCCCAGCTAGATGGGAGGCTGAGGCAGGAAAATCACTTGAACTTGGGAGGCGGAGGTTGCAGTGAGCTGAGATCATGCCACTGCACTCCAGCCTGGGTGACAGAGTGAGACTTGATCTCAAAAAAAAAAAAGCAGTTTCATATGGGTCAATATAATAGAAAGTCCTACATTTTCAGGCCCCTATGTTCCAGCAAAACCAACTGCTTGTCATTGTTGTGCACCTGCAACATTATTTGTTGCCTCTGTGCCTTTGCCCAAGCCAGTTCCTTATCTGGATACCCACACACTCTTAGGATTCAGGTGTCCCCACCTTCTGGAACCTTCCCTGTCATCTGTCCCCCAAGGCAGGTGAAGTGCTCCTCCTCAGTGCTTCCCTAATGCAGTCAGCATGGCTGTCTAAATGTTTAGGTTTGTCTACCCCACTAGCCTATGAACTCCTCTAGGGCAAGGACGATTTTTTGGTAGCTAACCAAATATGTGAGTTAATGAATATCTACAAAGAAGGGAGGCCTAACTCTGCCGGGAGAGCCACAGAAGGTTTCAGAAAGGGACCATCTGACCTAGATCTTGAAGGAGGAGGAGGAAGGAATTTGCCAGATGATAAGTGAGTGGAAGGATACTCCAGTTGAGGTGACAGCAGGTGTAAAGGGGCTGGAGTTCCAATGGAGCCTGCAGTGTTAGAGGAAATGTAAGCACGGCTTGAGAAGGGTGCATGAAGGAGAGCCAAGAGAAAAAGGCCATCTTCATAGGGGATACCCTCCCTCCTGAATCTTGGTCAAGACACCCTGAAACTGATAAACACATCCACAAATACTCCCCAGTGGGTACTGATTAAAGGGCCTGTGGGACTAGAGTGTTCTTCTACCTTGAAGACAAAAACAAAAAAACAAAAAAAAAACAAATCATCTGAGCACAGATGTAAAACCAGCCACATGGAACCACTATGTTCAAACTAGCATGACCTTCTGCAGCCCTCAAGGAACTACTCTCTAGAGAAGTCACTGTAGGCCGGGCGCGGTGACTCACGCCTGTCATCCCAGCACTTTGGGAGGCTGAGGTGGGTGGATCACCTGAGGTCAGAAGTTCGAGGCCAGCCTGGCCAACATGGTGAAACCCCGTCTCTACTAAAAATACAAAAATTAGCTGGGCGTGGTAACAGGCACCTCTAATTCCAGCTACTCGGGAAGCTGAGGCAGGATAATTACTTGAACCTGGGAGGCGGAGATTGCAGTGAGCTGAGATTGCCCCACTGCACTCTAGCCTAGGCAACAGAGCAAGACTCCATCTCAAAAAAAAAAAAAAGAAAGAAAGAAAGAAAGAAAAGAAAAAAGAATCATTGTTCCCTTAAGGCCAGCAGATTCCCCTTTCACTTCCTGGTTTGAATGGGGCAGGACACAGGCAAACCTCTAGAAAGTGTGTTTCCTCACCAAAGTGGGGAGTTGTGATTGTTGAATACGCTGATAACTAAATCAATAATACTTGTGCCAAGAACTAGAGAATAAAGAAGAAATACGCTCTTGAAATAGGAATAAAGATTCATTCAAATATTTATTGAACCCCCCCTCTGTGGCGGTACTGGGCTTGATGCTTGGCCTCCTGAGATGTGCAGACAGCCCCAAACCTAAACAAGAGTCCAGGCTAGTGGATGTGATGTTATTCAAAAGAAATATTTCACTAGGGAAGCCCTAAATCTCTCCATACCTAAAGGATGATCTGAAGACTTAAAACAAAAATTCTACTGAGGGAGAAGAAAGTTCTATAGATGTATTTTTTTTAAATGTTCAATCTCAGCAGTAATCAGGGAAATGCAAATTGCATTTTAATTTGAATTGAAACACCATTTCAAGCCCACTAAACTGATTTAGTACCTGATAGGATGACTGAGCCAGCACGCCTGAGGTGGCAGAACAGTAAACATGACCAGGTACTGAGGAGCTACAGGTACAGCAGGCGCTTAGTAAATATTTTGCTAAGTCAAGCACAGAAAGCCTAGAACATAGATAGCAAACTGGCAGCTTGTGGGCTAAATACAGCCTACCGACATGTTTTGTTTGCTCTCCCAATGTTTACAAAAATGAAATAATTGCCAAGAGTTTAAAATGAGGAGATTTCACAACTTCTCTTGAGAAACAGTAAGATCCAGCAGCTCCTGGCCCAGTCTCCATGGGGCAACACGTGGCTGCAGCTGAGAGCAACAGAGAGAGCCCTACGTCTTTCACCACATCCCCACTACAGCCCCGGCCTCCCACGCTGGGGCTGCTGCACCATCTTCCGTTCTGTCTAGCCCTAGAAGCACAGAAGTACGCTCCTCCTTGGCTAGAGATTTAATGGGATCCACTCTCAGGAAGAAAATTCAGAGACTGGTATTACCAACTCTGCAATGGAGCCAGGAACTACGGCCAGGGACAGTTTCTTCAGTGAGATACTGACATCCTATTATCCCAAATCCTTAAAACCCTACAGGGTTGATGCTATCATCAACATTGTTCATTCACAATTGGAAACTGAGGCATAAAGAAGTTAAGAAATTTGCCCAATGGGTGGCAAAACAGGAATGGAAACTCAAGAATTTCTGACTTAGCTAATATTAATTAAGCATATTAATATGCTAAGCACTTAAATGTATCACGTGAGCTAAATAATTTGATTCTCACTTCAACCCTGTGGGATAGAAACAATTACTAAGCCCATTTTACTTGTGAGGAAACTATGGCACAGAAGGTTCATGACTAGTCAAAGGCCACACAGCTAATTGGAGGCAGAACTGAGATTTGAATCCAGCAGTCTTACAACACAGCTTGAATCTCGCAAGGCAGGTGGCTGCCTGCCTCTAGTAGCTTCTGCAGAGTGAGTCCCCACTTCACCAACCCCACCAATTCCCTCTTCATGTTCACCACTGTTACCAGTTCAGTGCCTTTTTTTCAAGACAGAAGCACTGTCTATGGTGGCTTTTAATACCCCAATGGGATGCCACATACCATCCTGCAACATGCTTACCCTTCTCTTTTTTTTTTTTTTTTTTCAGACGGAGTTTCACTCTTGTTGCCCAGGCTGGAGTGCAACGGTGCAATCTCCGATCACCGCAACCTCTGCCTCCTGGGTTCAAGCAATTCTCCTGCTTCAGCATCCCGAGTAGCTGGGATTACAGGCATGCGCCACCACGCCCAGCTAATTTTTTTATTTTTAGTAGAGACGGGGTTTCTCCATATTGGTCAGGCTGGTCTTGAACTCCCGACCTCAGGTGATCCACCCACCTCGGCCTCCCAAAGTGCTGGGATTACAGGTGTGAGCCAGCGCGCCCGGCCCGCTTATCCTTCTCTTAATAATACACTGTGGAGCACCTTCCATATCAGCATGCTATTCCATTTTGTAGACTTACTGTAATTTATTTAACTTATAAATATTTAAGGCAGGGTAAGGTGGATCATTCCTATTATCCCAACACTTTGGGAGGCCAAGACGGGAGGAGCACTTGAGCCCAGGAATTTAAGACCAACCCAGGTAACAAAGCGAGCGAGACCCAGTCTCTACAAAAAAAAAAATTTTAGGCCAGGTGCGGTGGCTCACGCCTCTAATCCCAGCACTTTGGGAGGTGAAGGCAGGCGGATCACCTGAGATCAGGAGTTCAAGACCAGCCAGGCCAACATGGGGAAACCCCATCTCTACTAAAAATACAAAAATTAGCCAGGCGTGATGGCAGGTGCCTGTAATCCCAGCTACTTGGGAGGCTGAGGCGGGAGAATTGCTTGAACCTGGGAGATGGAGGCTGCAGTGAGCCGAGATCGTGCCATTCCAGCCTAGGCGACAGAGCAAGATTCCATCTCAAAATAAATAAGTAAATAAATAAATAAATAAATAAGGCAGGTGTGGTGGCTCACACCTGTAATCCCAGCACTTTGGGAGGCTGAGGCGGGTAGATCATGAGGTCAGGAGATGGAGACCAGCCTAGCCAACATGGTGAAACCCTGTCTGTACTAAAAATATAAAAATTAGCCAGGTGTGGTGGCACGTGCCTGTAGTCCCAACTACTCGGGAGGCTAAGGCAGGAGAATCACTTGAACTCAGGAGGCAGAGGCTGCAGTGAGCTGAGATCATGCCACTGCACTCCAGCCTGGGCGACAGAGCGAGACTCCGTCTCAAAATAAATAAATAAATAAATATTTATTTATGTTGTCCTCTGTTTTTTTCTTTTTCTTTTTTTTGAGATGGAGTCTCGCTCTGTCACCCAGGCTGTAGTGCAGTGGCGTGGTCTCGGCTCACTGCAAGCTCTGCCTCCCGGGTTCACGCCATTTTCCTGCTTCAGCCTCCTGAGTAGCTGGGACTACAGGCACCTGCCACCACACCTGGATAATTTTTTTTTTTTTTTTTTTTTGTATTTTTAGTAGAGACGGGGTTTCACCATGTTAGCCAGGATGGTCTCGATCTTCTGACCTTGTGATCCGCCTGCATTGGCCTCCCAAAGTGCTGGGATTACAGGCATGAGCCACCGCGCCCGGCCTTTTTTTTTTTGAGACAGAGTCTCGCTCTGTCGCCCAGGCTGGAGTGCGGTGGCGCCATCTCGGCTCACTGCAAGCTCCGCCTCCCAGATTCACGCCAGTCTCCTGCCTCAGCCTCCCAAGTAGCTGGGATTACAGGCGCCCACCACCATGCCTGGCTAATTTTTATATTTTTAGTAGAGACAGGGTTTCACCATGTTGGCCAGGCTGGTGTCGAACTCCTGACCTCAAGTGAGTCTGCCCGCCTCAGACTCCCAAAGTGCTGGGATTACAGGCGTGAGCCACTGCGCCCGGCCTAGTTTTTCCTTCTTTAAAAAACAACTGATGCATTCACCTAAATTTGTGCGGTTGGACACTGTAGGATAATTCTAAGTAGAATTCTGGAGTCAAAGTCATGCATCTATAAGATTTTGATAGATACTGTAAAATTCTCCTCCAGAAAGGCTCTGCCAATGTACATTTCCACCAACACTGTAAGAAGTGCCTGTTTTCCATGCCCTTGCCTACGATGGGTACATTTTCCTGTTGCTTTTTCTGTACCACACATAAACTGCCTCCCTTAAGCTGCCTTCTTGTTTTTATAATTTGTTCAGTTTCACCAGCATGATTACAACTATAAAAGGAACAAAACAAAATAATCTACGTCTAGGAAACACACCAAAATGATGGCAGTGATTGGATTTATGTGGGCATGACATAAGTGATTTTTTTTTTTTTTTGAGATGGAGTTTCGCTCCTGTTGCCCAGGCTGGAGTGCAATGATGCAATCTTGGCTCACTGCAACCTCCGCCTCCCAGGTTCAAGCAATTCTCCTGTCTCAGCCTCCCGAGTAGCTGGGATTACAGGCATGCGCCACCATGCCCAGCTAATTGGGTATTTTTAGTAGAGACGGGGGTTTCTCCATGTTGGTCAGGCTGATCTCGAACCCCTGACCTCAGGTGATCCGCCTGCCTCGGCCTCCCAAAGTGCTGGGATTACAGGCGTGGGCCACCGAGCCCGGCCTATAAGTGATTTTTTTTTTCAGTATTTTCTAAATGCTCTTAAGTGAGTATTGCAGAAATTTTCTCCCTTTTCCCCCACCCATCCCTTTATTTTTTATTTAAAAGAAGAAAAATGCCCAGAGTGTTAATCTTCAGGGCAACATGGAGGAGAGTGGCTAAAGAGACTGTTGCCCTGTAGTGCAGTCAGGTTTTGTAGGACAACTGATGCTTCCCCTGCTGCCCTCCACAACTCTCACAAGTGGATGGACTGAATAGGGAAGGTGGTAAAGAAGAAGTGAAAGTAGCTGGAACTACTCAGGGCCTGAGGCAAGGTGAAAAAGAGTAAGAAGCCCGAAAAGGGGCTGGGTGCAGTGGCTCATGCCTGTAATCCCAGCACTTTGGGAGGCCGAGGTGGGGCGGATCATGAGGTCAGGAGTTAGAGCCCAGCCTGACTAGCATGGTGAAACCCCGTCTCTACTAAAAATACAAAAATTAGCTGGGCATGGTGGTGGGCAGCTGTAATCCCAGCTACTCAGGAGGCTGAGGAAGGGGAATAGCTTGAACCCAGGAGGCAGAGGTTGCAGTGAGCCGAGATCACACCACTGCACTCCAGCCTGGGTGACAGAGCGAGAATCCGTCTAAAAAAAAAAAAAAAAACCAAAAAAGCCCAAAAAGAGATCAGACAGCTGTTTATAGAGGCCGGTTAGAACTTTACTCAGCAAGAGGCAGGGCGCGGTGGCTCACGCCTGTAATCCCAACACTTTGGGAGGCCGAGGCGGGTGGATCACGAGGTCAGGAGATGGAGACCATCCTGGCTAATGTGGTGAAACCCCGTCTCTACTAAAAATACAAAAAAAATTAGCTGGGCATGGTGGTGGGCGCCTGTAGTCCCAGCTATTCGGGAGGCTGAGGCAGGAGACTGGCGTGAATCTGGGAGGCGGAGCTTGCAGTGAGCCGAGATGGCGCCACTGCACTCCAGCCTGGGCGACAGAGCGAGACTCTGTCTCAAAAAAAAAAAAAAAAAGAACTTTACTCAGCAAGGAAACCCTCCCTAAACCTGTTTCTGCCCCTACTTCCCACTCCAGCAAAGGGCACCATTATTTGCCAAGTGGCTCAAGTCTGAAGTCAAGGGGCTATCCTGGACTCTGACATACCTACCCATCCACCTCCATTCACCAGATCCTACTGATGTTATCTTCCAACTCCCTCAAAACCTATTTGCTTCTTCCATCTCATTCTCTCTAACGTGGATTAAGCTGCAACTGCCTCTCCACAACTGCCCTCTGCACCCTGTTCCACCCATCTCCTGCAGAGCTGTCAATTCAAATTGACTCTGATATGCAAATCTGATTTCGAGTAAAACCCTTCAGTGCTCCCCTGTGGCCTGCAGCCCTGGTACTCTCAACCCTGGCTACACATTACAGTCACTTGGGGAGCTTTAAAACTGATCCCAACACGAAGTCCCCATATCTTAAGAGACTCAGACCAAATGTTTTTAGTTCTTTTTTTTTTTTTTTTTGAGATGGAGTTTTGCTCTTGTTGCCCAGGATGGAGTGCAATGGCACGATCTCAGCCCACCGCAACCTCCACCTCCCGGGTCCAAGCGATTCTCCTGCCTCAGCCTGCCGAGTAGCTGGGATTACAGGCACGTGCCACCATGCTCGGCTAATTTTGTATTTTCAGTAGAGACAGGATTTCTCCATATTGGTCAGGCTGGTCTCGAACTCCTTACCTCAGGTGATCTGCCCACCTTAGCCTCCTAAAGTGTATTACAGGCATGAGCCACTGCGCCCAGCATTTTTTTTTTTTTAAGACAGAGTCTTGCTCTGTCACCCAGGCTAGAGTGCAGTGGCACGATCTCAGCTCACTGCAACCTCCGCATCCCAGGTTCAAGCGATTCTTGTGCCTCAGCCTCTTGAGTAGCTGGGATTACAGGCGCCCGCCACTGCGCCCGGCTAATTTTTGTATTTTTAGTAGAGATGGGGTTTCACCATCTTGGCCAGGCTGGCCTCGAACCCCTGACCTCGTGATCCACCTGCCTCAGCCTCCCAAAGTGCTGGGATTACAGGAGTGAGCCACCACGCCCAGCCCATGTCATTCTTTTTCTTTTTTGAGACAAGGTCTTGCTGCCACTTAGGCTGCAGTGCAGTGGTGTGATCACAGCTCACTGCAGCCTCAACCTCCCACCTACCTCCCAAGTAGCTGGGACTACAGGTGCATGCCACCATGCCCACCTTATTTTTTTATTTTTTGTAGAGATGGGGTTTCACTATGTTGCTCAGGCTGGTCTCGAACTCCTGGGCTCAAGCAATCTGCCTGCCTCAGCCTCTCAAAGTGCTGGGATTACAGGCATGAGCCACAGTGCCTAGCCTGTCATTCATCATTCTTTTTTTTTTTTTTTTTTTTTTTGAGATGGAGTCTCGCTTTGTCACCCAGGCTGGATAGCAGTGGTGCAATCTCAGCTCACAGTAACCTCTGCCTCCTGGGTTCAAGCGATTCTCCTGCCTTAGCCTCCCGAGTAGCTGGGATTATAGGCACACACCACCACGCCCAGCTAATTTTTGTATTTTTAGTAGAGACATCGTTTCACCATGTTGGCCAGGCTGGTCTCGAACTCCTGAACTCAAGTGATCTGCCCACCTCGGCCTCCCAAAGTGCTGAGATTACAGGTGTAAGCCACCGTGCCTGGCCCTGTCATTCATTCTTTCAGCAAAAATTTACTAAGCATCTACTATGTGCCACGTGCCTTGCTTGCACTGATGTGCCTGGTACATAGGCACAGTATGAACAGTAACATTTAGGCCCCTCATAAAGCCTACAGCCTGTTAGGGTCAATGAGGCTCTTAGTGTTTTTTGGGTTTTTTTTTTTTTTTTTTTTTTTTTGAGATAGAGTCTCTTGCCCAGGCTGGAGTGCAGTGGCACAATCTCGGCTCACTGCAACTTCCACCTCCCAGGTTCAAGCGATTCTCCTGTCTCAGCCTCCCGAGTAGCTGGAATTACAGATGTGTGCCACCATGCCTGGCTAATTTTTTTTCTATTTTTAGGAGAGATGGGGTTTCACCATGTTGGCCAGGCTGGTCTCGAACTCCTGACCTCAGGTGATCCACCTGCCTTGGCCTCCCAAAGTGCTGGGATTACAGGCATGAGCCACCATTCCTGGGCTGAGGCTCTTAGTGTTTTTTTTGTTTGTTTGCTTTTTTTTTTTTTTTTTTTTTTTTTTTGTGGCTCTTAGTGTTTTAAGCCTTACTTCTGGCCCCTCTCACCTCTTACTCTTTGTTCTAGTCATCATGACAGAGTTGGGATTTCCCAAACTTGCCCCATTGCAGCCTCAGGGTCTATAAATATGCCAACCCAAAATTCCAGCCCTCAGCCTCCTGGCCTCATTAAGACTCAGTTTGAGAATCACTTCCTCTGAGCAGCCTGTACCTAACCCCACCCCAGATCTGCCCCAGATTATCGTGCACCCATCACTGGAGGAGTCTCTCGTGTGGTCGTCACTGTCCATTTCTTTGTGTGATGTCCTCACTAGACTGTGAGCTCCTTGCAAGCAGGGACTGTGACTAAACCATCTCTGTATCCCTGCTGGGGGCACTAACTAGCTGGTGAACCCATAAGTACGTGGACTTGAACGGCCCAGTGGAGGGTCTGTATGAGAGGTATCCGCATAGGGCAATACACGGTGTGAGAGAAGAACTGCAGCTTCAGAAGGGCTAGGAGGCCAGGTTCTCAGCAGGAGTTTCCAGAGCACATAGCCTGTAACCACCAGGAAACAGGCAGAGATACAGAGCCTCGAAGCTGAGAAAGACAGTGCCTTACTTCTCCTTGAAGAGGGGCCTTGTGTGGTGAAAGTAACACATCTGTGTTCTAATTTGACTCCTCACCGGCTATGTGACTTTGGGTTAGACGGACCTCTAATATTTGCATGGCTGATGGCAAAAGTGTATACAGAGGCCCACATACCATTTATCTAAATATTTAAAAGTTAAAAACTAACAAACCATTAAATACAGTTTTTACTCTATCCTATCCTATTCTGTTCTCTTACTTCGATGAATATACCTTCATAATGACCTGGGGCTAGGTTTAAATTTAACATTCTCAGATTCCTAAGAGTTCTTGGGGATGTGGTGGCACAAGGAGAACTAGCCCCTAACCTACATGCTGTTCTTCCCACCTGCATTAGGCAGAATAATGTCCCCTCCCCACCCCAGGTGTCCACACCCTGATCCCAGGAACCTGTGAATATGTTATCTTACATGGCAAGGGGGAATTAAAATTGCTAATCAGGCCAAGCATGGTGGCTCACACCTGTAATCCCAGCACTTTGGGAGGCCGAGGCAGGAGGATCACTTGAACTCAGAGGTTTGAGACCAGCCTGGGCAACATTGCAAGACCTCATTTCAATTTATATTACAAATTTATTTATTTTAATACAATAAAAATTGCTAATCAGCTGACCTCAAGATAGGGAGATTATCCTGGATTATTGAGGTAGCCCAAAATAATCACAAGGGTGCTTCTAAGTGAAAGCGAGAAGCATGAGTCAGAGTCAGAGAAGATGTGATGACAGAGGCAAAGGCTGGAGTGATGGGATTGCTGGCTTTGAAGGTGGCCACCAGCCAAGGAACACAGGTGGCCTCTAGAAGCTGGAAAAGGCAAGCAAACAGATTCTCCCTGGAGCCTCAGGAAGGACACAGCCATGGCTATACCTTGATTATAGCCCAGTGAGACCCATTTTGGACCTCTGGCCTCCATAAATGTCAGATAGTAAGTTTGCGGTAATTTTTTTACAGCAGAAATAGGAAATGAATACACTGCCTTAGTCTCTGTCCTGCACCACAGGGCCTCACGTTCAGCCCAGGGGTCACACCAGCTCCTAAGTGCAAAGTCACACTCACAGACAGATGCCCCTTGGCCACCCCTTGGGCCTAGGGGTACACACACCAGTGTTCTGGGGAGGAGGGACCCAGGGAAGAGGCTCTGGAAAACAGCAGGGAAATCTGGGGTTGTGACATGTGTAGCATGGTCTAGAAAGGGGTATGGGCTTAGGGTTGGCACAGCTCCTAGGCTGCACGGCCTCCTCACCTGCTCACTTGGGGTAAATGGCTTCACCTCCCTGAGCCTCATCTGTAAAATCAACCATGTGGATCATTATTGAGCACATCATCTGAGCCAAGTGTCCTACTTAGTATCAGAGATTTGAGAATGCCTCATCCTTGTCCTCAAGGAACTCATCTCCTAGTAATTCTGACCTCACAGGGCTTCTACCCAAGAAGGGAATGGTAGGTAAAGCAGCTGACACATAGAAACCCCTCAATAAACTTTATTTTCCATTCCTTTCTACTTAACCAAATCAAGGGGCTTACCAATTAAAAATAAAAATCCCTTGCCCAAACTCTTTGATGGATTCCATCTGCTCCTAGGAGGGGCCTAAAATCCTTTGCAAGCCCAACCTCCACCCCACTCTGTGTTCCACATACAAACCTTGTAATTCCTCAACTCCACCAAAGGGGCGCTCCTGCTTCTGGCCTTCGCCTTGCTGTTCCTGCTGCCTGGAATGTCTTGTCTTCCACAAACACCCACCCCTTCTCACCAAGCTTTCTCTTTCAGGGCTTAGTTGAAATGCCATTCTCCTGGTGAAGCCCTTCTCGGTTTCAGAACCCCACTAACCTGAGCAGGTTTACCTGCCATCTTCTCTCCCAACACCAGATAGGACTCTCTGTAGCACTGACCATGATGGCTATTATATGACTACTATTTGTATTACCTTTTGTTGGTTAAATATAAAATGAATTTATTTTCATAATTTTAAATTTCATGTTCTTCAAGACAAAGTCTCAAATGTATTATTTTTGTGTTGTGGTAAAATAAATACATATATCTAACATTTAGCTATGCCATTCAGTCAGTGGCATTCTGTAGATCCACACTGCAACCATCACCAGTATCCATCTTATCCATCTCCAGGACTTTTTCCATCCCATGCTCAAACTATGCACCCAATAAACAATAACTCCCTATTTTTCCCTCCCCCAGCCCCTGGCAACCATAGTTCTATTTTTATCTCTGTGACTGTGACTACTCTAGGTACCTCACACAAGTGGAATCATAGAATATTTGTCCTGTTCTGATTGGCCTATTTCACTTAGTATAGTGTTTTCGAGGTTCACCCAAATGGTAGCACGTATCAGGATTTCATTCCTTTTTTTTTAAGGCTGAGTAATATTTCATTGTATGGACAGACCACGTTTTGTTCATCTATTCATTTGCTGATGGATATTTGGGTTGTTTCCACTTTTGGCTATTACGAATAGGGGTGCTATGAACATCAGTGTACACATATTGGTTCCTGGGCTTTCCATTCTTTTGGGAATATGCCCAGAAGTGGAATTGCTGGATCAAATGGTAACTCTATACTTAATATGTATTACTTTTTGTCCACTTTTTATTGGTTTATGCTCCCTCCCCACTTCCTCCACTGTAGTCTAGCACCATGAGGGTAGAAGCCACGTCTGTCTTCCTCTGTGTTTCATTGTGTGGTACCCTCACTAGACTGTGAGCTCCCTGCAGGCACAGATTGTGACTAAACCATCTCTATATCCCTGGTGGGGGCACTAAATAGTTGGTGAACCCATAAGTAAGTGAACTAGAGCAAAGCGCCTAAAATAAAGGCGATACATCGATGGGTCCAGCATGGGCTTGGCCCTTCAATCAACATTTGTTAAATTAATGAAACAATGGCAATTTAGCTGACTTGGGTGAAGGCTGGAAGCCTGAAGCAGATGTCACAGAAGAAAAGTGACAACAATTCCTGACGGGGATTTTCACTCCCAGAGGTCCCAAAGAGACTGACTGGCCATAGATCTGCCTGGTTTTCTCCCTTTCTTTTTCTTTCTATGACTGGCCATAGATCTGCCTGGTTTTCTCCCTTTCTTTTTCTTTCTTTCTTTTTTTTTTTTTTTTCCGAGATGGAGTCTCACTCTGTCGCCCAGGCTGGAGTGCCATGGCGTGATCTCGGCTCACTGCAACCTCTGCCTCCCGGATTCAAGAGATTCACCTGCCTCAGCCTCCTGACTGAGTAGCTGGGATTACAGGTGCACACCACCATACCCGGCTAATTTTTGTATTTTCAGTAGAGATAAGGTTTCACCATGTTGGTCAGGCTGGTCTCGAACTCCCTCGTGATCTGCCTGCCTCGGCCTCCCAAAGTGCTGGTATTACAGGCGCGAGCCACCGTGCCCAGAGATGAGCTCTCGCCATGCTGCCTGGCTGGAACGCAGTGGCTATTCACAGGTTCAATCACAGCATGCTATGGTCTTCAACTCATGGGCTCAGCCTCCCACGTAGCTGAGACTACAGATGCAAGCCATGTTTTTGTTTCCTTAAGTTTTCTGACATTCATGCCTTTACATGGGGTTTCATACTCCCTATGTTCTTATCTGAAGCTATTTGGTAGAATCATATAAAACTGAGCCAGGCACTGTGGCACATGCCTGCAATCCCAGCTACTTGGGAGAATGAGTGGGAGGATTGCTTGAGCCCAGGAGTGTGAGAACAGCCTGGGCAATATAGCAAGACCCCGTCTCAAAAACCAAACCAAACAAAATTGAGCCCACGGATCTATGCTTCGTATCTCCTCTTGGGGCAACAGAGCACAGTGTGAGGGGTCACTGTGAATCAGAAGGATCAGGGTTAGCATTCAAGTTCCACCACTTCCTGGTGGTGACTCTGAGGCCCTCTTTTCCTTGTAAAATAGGAATGTTATATATAATTCATAGGACAACTGTAAAGATGATCTCAAATATGTCAAACACCTAGAACAAAGGAGATACATACTGGCCATGTTAGTTCTCCCTTATCTCCTCCTCCTCCTGTCTTTCTCCATTCCTCTCAATCCCCCTGTGTGTGCTCAGCTGATAGACATGATAATATCTTTTTTTTTACATCAGCATGAGGGAAATTTATAAAACAAGGACCAAAGGAATATATCCTGGAGCACAGAGGAATTCATTATACACACATTCTCTCCATAGAGGTTCAGTCCACAATTAAAGCTGAGAGATTCTGGCCCGGCGCAGTGGCTCGCGCCTGTAATCCTAGCACTTTGGGAGGCCGAGGTGGGCAGATCACCTGGGGTCAGGAGTTCGAGACCAGCCTGGCCAACATGGCAAAACCCCATTTCTACTAAAACTACAAAAATTAGCTGGGCGCAGTAGTGGGTGCCTGTAGTCCCAGCTACTCGGGAGGCTGAGGCAGGAGAATCACTTGAACCTGGGAGGTGGAGGTTGCAGTGAGCCAAGATCGTGCCATTGCACTTCAGCCTGGGCAACAGAGCAAGACTCTGTCTTAAAAACAAAATAATAAAAAAAAAAAAAAACTGAGAAATTCTTTACAATTCCCAGATAAGAAATGTTAGACACATTGACAAACACTGACCACATGACCACATGGATGATGGCAGCAACTCACAGGTCTACACTGTGGTGGGGTTTGCCTGGCACTGTCACATACATGATCTCTCTTGAACCGGGCAGGAAACAGATGGAAAGCATAAAGATTTACCTAAGGTTACACGGCCTGCATAAGGCAGTAGGGTATAATGCAAAGCATTCAGGAGATTTGGGTTCAAATTCTGACTCTGTCATTCCCTCATTCTGTGACTTAAAGCGATATAAAGTAAATGAGACTCTGATTATCTGTTTAAAAAAAGATAATTACTTGAGGCATATGATTTTTAGACACTTGTCCTCTACAGTATGATACTGTACCTTCTTTGAGAGAGAGAAAGGACAAACTGAATGCAGAGGGGGAAAGGCGAGCATCAAGTTCCACCCAAAGGATGCTTGGGGAGAGGTGCTGGGAGGGTGGTGTGTCGAGGGAGGGCATGGAATCTGTGTCCTCTCCCCCATACCTTGCCTTTGCATCTCTTCATCCGGCTGTTCACAAATTTAAGTGTCTCCCTGTGTTCTGTGAGCCATTCTAGGCAAATTAATTGAACTCAAGGAGGGGTAGTGGAACCGTGATTTATAGTCTGTTGGTCAGAAGTATAAGTGATAACCAAGTTGTGACTGGCATTTGAAGTGGGGGCAGTCTTATGGGACTGAGCCCTCTATGGAAAAGAGCAGGACACCAGGCAGAACAGCACCTAGAGACCTTTAAAAGTAAGCCAACGTCATAGTAACCACACAAGGGTTGATCCCTACAGGAGACTTGGTGCTCACCGCATAAGCCCAAGCAAGCCTAAGCCTTAGCATCTTGATGCAACTATGACCAAAGCTTCCACCTGGTTTCTCTGCTTCTGCCATACCCACCCCTGCAATTCATTCTCCACACTGCCACTACAGTCACCTTTTCAAAATTGAAAATGAGGGCTGGGCACCGTGGTCCATGCCTGTAGTCCCAGCCACTGGAGAGGCCCAGGCAGGAGGATCGCTTGAGGTCAGGGGTTCAAAACCAGGCTAAGCAATATAGCAAGATCCCATATTTAAAACTTAAATAAAAGAAAATGCAGCCATATGCCCTCCACAGCTGAAAACTCTCTAACAGCTCCTGATCTCACTTCATAAACAAACAAACAACCAAATAAATAATGCTTAGAAGACCAGTGGCATCAGCATCACCTGGGAACTTGTTAGAAATGCAAATTCTTTTTTTTTTTGAGACAGAGTTTTGCTCTTGTTGCCCAGGCTGGAGTGCAATGGCGCAATCTCGGCTCACTGCAACCTCCTCCTCCCGGGTTCAAGCAATTCTCCTGCCTCAGCCTCCCAAGTAGCTGGGATTACAGACATGCACCACCACACCCAGCTTATTTTGTATTTTTAGTAGAGACAGGGTTTCACCATGTTGGTCAGGCTGGTCTCGAACTCCTGACCTCAGGTGATCCACCTGCCTTGGCCTCCCAAAGTGCTGGGATTACAGGTGTGAGCCACCACGCCAGGCCTAGAAATGCAAATTTTCATCCCCATTTAAGATCTACTGAATCGGAATCCCTAGGGGGCCCAGGAGTCTATGTTCTTTTTTTTTTGAGATGGAGTCTCACTCTGTCGCCCAGGCTGGAGTGCAGTAGTGCAATCTCGGCTCACTGCAAGGTCTGCTTCCCGGGTTCAAGCGATTCTCCTGCCTCAGACTCCCGAGTAGCTGGGGGGACTAGAGATGCCTGCCACCACACCCAGCTAATTTTTGTATTTTGGGTAGAGACGGGGTTTCACCATGTTGGCCAGGTTGGTTTCAAACTCCTGGCCTCAAGTGATCCACCCACCTCGGCCTCCCAAAGTGCTGAGATTACAAGTGTGAGCCACTGCACCCGGCCTGGACCTTGCTTTAATATGTCAACTTCCCTCTTAAAATATAAACCTCCAAACTGACCATAGTCTTCCAGATATGCTCTGATCAGTGGCAGGTACTTTGAAAGACTGGACCAGGATACTAGATTAACTATCTCAAGCCAAGCTCTTTATTCTGTAATTGCTTTATAGAACCTACATTAGATAACTTCAAATTTGTTGTTACCATCTTCAAAAACATAAGAAAAGTATTGACTTGAAAATTATAGACCAACGCTTGTCAATTCTACTGAAAACATCTGATATTCTAGAGGATAAAAGACTTTTGAGAATTCCCAAGTATATGCCTCCATATAACTGTCTCTAGAATATGAAATAAAATATAACTAGAAAAAGACTCTCGGATACCCACTGATCATATAAATCCAGGACTACAGTGCTTTATAGAGTTAGTTAAATTATCTTTCCAACTTTTGCCTGACCTTTTTCTTCTTTGATAATTTTTTTTTTTTTTTTTTTTGTGAGAGGGAGTCTCGCTCTGTCACCCAGGCTGGAGTGCAGTGGCGCAATCTTGGCTCACTGCAAGCTCTGCCTCCCGGGTTCACACCATTCTCCTGCCTCAGCCTCCTGCGTAGCTGGGACCACAGGCGCCCGCCACCACGCTCAGCTAATTTTTTGTATTTTTAGTAGAGGCGGGGTTTCACCATGTTAGGCAAGATGGTCTCGATCTCTTGACTTTGTGATCTGCCCACCTCAGCCTCCCAAAGTGCTGGGATTACAGGCATGAGCCACCGTGCCCGCCCAGTAATTTTTATACTGGATGTAAATGATGAGAACAAATGGCTTTTCCTCTGCTGCAGAATGAACAGTACTGTCTATACAGAGGCTGCCTCCCATCATGGATCCAAGTCTCTGATGAAGCTGACCTCTATCTCCAGCTGATTTCCATCTCAGAAACCGTTTTCTTTAGATTGCCTCATTTTCTCTCGTCTTCCATCACCTTCACTAGCAGGTGACTTTCATATAGATGTCGGTTACGGTATCTCAGCAAAATTATAAATTAAAATTTGCTATGGACTTTCAGGGTTGCACGTAAACAGCAGTAATTAACACCAGATGTCACTTGACTAGCTTTACTTGCCACCCCCTCTCCAACTGCCTCAATTAGGCCAAATCATCTCTCATCAGGAATATGGCAAAATGTTCCTGCTGCTTCTGCCTTTGCCCTGTACACTGCCCTTGTTCCCTGTACACTGTTGCTAGGATGAGCTTTCTTTTTTTTTTTTTTTTTTTTTTTTGAGATGGAGTCACTCTCTCGCCCCGGCTGGAGTGCAGTGGCGCGGTCTCGGCTCACTGCAAGCTCCGCCTCCCGGGTTCACGCCTTTCTCCTGCATCAGCCTCCCGAGTAGCTGGGACTACAGGAGCCCGCCACCACACCCGGCTAATTTTTTGTATTTTTAGTAGAGATGGGGTTTCACCGTGTTAGCCAGGATGGTCTTGATCTCCTGACCTCATGATCCGCCTGCCTCGGCCTCCCAAAGTGCTGGGATTACAGACATGAGCCATCGCGCCTGGCCTAGGATGAGCTTTCTAAACATGAAGGTAACTGATAATAGTTATGACCATTTGTGTCATAGTTATATGCCAGGTATTTACATTATTTTTGCTCCTCATAACCAAGTCAGATAGGACTATTTATTTCTATTTACCAAAGAAACTGAATTCAGATAAATTAAGAAAGTCATGAAGATCACAAGGTTATTAAGAGCCAGAACTAGGATTCCATCCCAGATCTCGATGGCTCCAGAGCCCATGCCCTTCCCAATGCAGCTGACTGGATTTCAAGATCAGGCTCAGGCTCTTTAGGTTGATGTTCAAGGCCCTTCAAAAATCTAGTCAATTCAGTCCCATTTCCTGTCAGGCCCCCAACACTCTCTCAACTCCAGGCATACCAAATACCTAATATCCTTCTTGCTTCCATAACTTGGTGATCCCTATTGCCTTGCCTGAGATGACTTTTCTCCAAACTCTTTTCTTTGCCTGGTTTGTCATGATAATAGATTTAAATCAAACGGGTTTTTTGTAATCCGCTCCCCCCACCACCTCCCGCCCCACCACTCCTTCACACAGTGCTCACAGAACTACCTAAGCAAACTCCTGCCACACCATATGTCACCCTGTGTTCTAACCTGCTGTATCCTACAGTGTGGGGTGGCACTACTGGCAGCCCAAATGATTTTAGATGGCACATGGATACCATATTAATTAACAATGAATCACAAAGTGAGAAAGTCATTCTCTTTCCAGTTCTCTTTCAATCTCTCTGACGACAATGAGGAAGGGTCAGTATGGTGCTGGTGTATTAAGGTGGTGATTAACAGCATGGCCTCTGGAGCCAGACTGCCTGGGTTCAATCTCTGCTATACCACTTAACAGCTGAATGGGTTCTCTGTGCTGTATCCCCCAGATCCCAACACACAGCCAGGCACACAATAAAAATTTGCCAAATGAATGAGTTCAGCAAACATTCTTAGAACAGAATCAATGGGAGGCACTCCTAAGGCTTGACAGAGGACAGATAGATGCCTTCCGAGTTCATGAACCTGAATCCAAGAGAGATGTTTATAGTCTAACACAGTTCCTTCACGAACCTGAATCCAAGAGGGATGTATATAATCTAACACAGTTCCTTCACGAACCTGAATCCAAGAGGATGTATATAGTCTAACACAGTTCCTTCACGAACCTGAATCCAAGAGGGATGTATACAGTCTAACACAGTTCCTTCACGAACCTGAATCCAAGAGGGATGTATACAGTCTAACACAGTTCCTTCACGAACCTGAATCCAAGAGGGATGTATACAGTCTAACACAGTTCCTTCACGAACCTGAATCCAAGAGAGATGTATACAGTCTAACACAGTTCCTTCACGAACCTGAATCCAGGAGGGATGTATATAGTCTAACACAGTTCCTTCACGAACCTGAATCCAGGAGGGATGTATATAGTCTAACACAGTTCCTTCACGAACCTGAATCCAAGAGAGATGTATATAGTCTAACACAGTTCCTTCACGAACCTGAATCCAAGAGAGATGTATATACTCTAACACAGTTCCTTCACGAACCTGAATCCAAGAGGGATGTATATAATCTAACACAGTTCCTTCACGAACCTGAATCCAAGAGGGATGAACCTGAATCCAAGAGGGATGTATATAGTCTAACACAGTTCCTTTATGAACCTGAATCCAAGAGAGAGGTATATAGTCTAACACAGTTCCTTCATGAGCCTGAATCCAAGAGGGATGTATATAATCTAACACAGTTCCTTCATGAACCTGAATCCAAGAGGGATATTTATAGTCTAACACAGTGGTTCTCAAAGCTTGGTTCCGGGATCAGCCTCAGCATCACCTGGGAACTTGCTAGAAATGCAGATTCTCAGACACCCCAGATTTACTGAATCAGAGATTCTGAGGGTGGGGGCCCAACAATCCAGCTTTTACAAGCCGTACAGGAGATTCTAATGTACTCTCAAATTTGAGCATCACTGATCTTGTAGGACAAAGATGCAGAGCAGCTGGAAGGCAGGCAAGGCAGAACCCAGAAAGCACAGACAGAGAGGAAAGAGCTGCTTGCAGGACATCTCTGTATCAGAACAGACCTGCAGATTGAGACACTACTAGGAAGAGCCATGAGAGTTCAACCTTGTCAAGATGGTGAAATGATTTGTCTCTTATGGATCTGTCAGATGCTAGGCAGGAAACCAGGCCATCTGGGTTAGGCTTGGCTCTGCTACTAACCAGCTGTGTGATCCTGCGCATGGCTCTTTACCTCTCAAACCTATTTCTTTACCCATAGAGGCTGCATTGAGGGTCCTGCCCTCAGGTAGAGTTCCCCACACATGGCGCAGGACTCTCCCAGTGACTCATCCCTACCTTTATTTCTACTTCACTGAGAAAATGAAAGCAATGCGAAGAGAACTGAAGAGAACTGAACCCAGGACTGAATCTTAGGGTACTTCAGCATTAAGAGGCCTGAGAGGCGGCCGGGCACATCCACAGAACTCCATCCCGTATCTACCACCAGCCAACATGTGCACTCACACAGGCAGGCTCCCAACTTATCACCAACACCCCAGCCACGCTTCTATCCAAGTCTAAACCCCCTCTGTGTGCTACAAGCCAACCCTTCTCACCCACTCAAGGATATTGCTACTGCAGGTCTCCCTTCTCCCACATCAATTTTTCTCTCTACTGGATTTTCTCAGTCATAGAAAGTTTTTTTCCCACTTTTGTTCCCCTTGACAGCAGAACTCCTTGGAAGCATTGTCTACCAGTTGTCCCCAGTCACTCTCCTCACCTTCTCTCTGAAGCCCACTATACTCAGGCTTTCTGGCCCATCACCCTGGCAGCACTGCTCCAGAGAGGCCACGAGAGGCCTTCATGCTGTGAAGTCCAATGCCTAATTCAAAGTCCTCGTTTTACCGGACTCTTTGGGAGCACTCACCTCAGTTCATCATCCCTCCTCCTTCACACACCCTGACTTTACTTCCAGGTTACCAGGCACTTGGTTTATCTCCTACTTTACCGGTCCCTCTTTCTCCTTTGCCAATTCCTCTTGTTTCCTCACAACTCTTTTTATTACTATTATTATTCTTATTTTTTGAGTTGAGACAGGGTCTTGTTCTTTTTTTTCTTTTTTTTTTTTTGAGACGGAGTCTCGCTCTGTCGCCCAGGCTGGAGTGCAGTGGTGCGATCTCGGCTCACTGCAAGCTCTGCCTCCCGGGTTCACGCCATTCTCCTGCGTCAGCCTCCCGAGTAGCTGGGACTACAGATGCCCGCTACCACGCCCGGCTAATTTTTTGTATTTTTAGTAGAGACAGGGTTTCACCGTGTTAGCCAGGATGGTCTTGATCTCCTGACCTTGTGATCTGCCCGCCTCAGCCTCCCAAAGTGCTGGGATTACAGGCGTGAGCCACTGCGCCCGGCCAAGACAGGGTCTTGTTCTTTTGCTGAGGCTGGAGTCCAGTGGTGTGATTTCAGCTCAGTGCAGTGTTGTACTGCTGGACTCAAGCAATCCTCCTGTCTTGGCCTCCCAAGTGGCTAGGACTACAGGTATGCACCACCATGCCTGGCTAGTTTTTTTAAAACAATTTTAATAGAGACTCACTATGAGGCTTTGCTATGTTGCCCAGGCTGGTCTCGAATGCCTGGCCTCAAGCAATCCTCGCACTTTGGCCTCCCAAAGTGCTGGGATTACAGGTGTGAGACACTGTGCCCGGCCGCCTCTCAGGCCTCTTAATGCTTAAGTACCCTAAGGTTCAGTCCTGGGTCCTTTTCCCTTTCTGTCATACTCACTCCCCTATGACTTCATCCAGTCTCAAGACTGTAAATACGGACCTCCCTATGCTGAAGACCTCCAAACAGATATCTGCAGACCAGCCTCCAGAATGCCTACTCAACATCTTCCTTTAGATGATAGATTTTAAGTTACGCATGTTCAAAATGGAATTCCTAACTGTCAAATCTGTTCCATGCTACCTTCTCCATCGAAATTAACAGCAACTCCATACTTCTTTTGCTAGGGGCCAGAAACTTGAGTCATTCTCAACTTCACTTTCTCTCTTATCTTTCATCCAGTTGTCCATGGAAATCTTGCTGGTTTACCTTCAAGATGTATCTATCATCTGCCCATGTCTCACCACCTCCAATGCTGCCACGACGTCTGGACCAGCATGAATGCCTGGCCTCAACCTCCCGGGCTCAAGCCATCTTCCTGCCTCAGCCTCCCAAGCAGATAGGACTACAGTTGCACAAGAGCACTGAGCTGACAATACTTTCTGATAAGTCTTCCTGCTTCCACCCTTACCCCCCATATTCTGTTTTTAATATGCAGTTACAGTTTTAAAATGGAAGTCAGATCATGTGATGCCTCTGCCAACCTAGCAAGGAGTGATTCATTTCGCTCCCAGTAAAGGCCATAGTCTTTCTAACACCCTACACAGCCTGCACAGCGGCTGCCCATCATCTCTGACCCCCTCCTCCTCTTGCCCTCTCACACTGCCTGGCTGTAGTGGGCTCAGTGCTATAACGCACCTCTGCCTGAAGGCCTTTGCTCTAGTCTTCCATCTCTCCAAAAGCTCCTCCTCACAGATCCAAGTGCCCAACCCTTACCCACTTCAAATCTCATCTTCTCAGTGAGGCCTCCTCTGACCAGCCTTTCCTCACCCCCTCACCCCACTCTACTTTTTCTTTTCCCAACACACATACCATCCTATAACATTCTCTGTAATTTACTCGTGGATTGCTTATTGTCTGTCTCCCTCCATTAGAATGTAAGCTCCAAGGCAGGGATCTTTGTCTTTGTTCACTGATGTATCCTATGCCCCTTAAACAGTGCCCAGCACATGGTAGACGCTCAAAAAAAAGTTACTGGATAAGTGACTTTAGTGGACACACTTTTGTTTTGTTTTTGAGATGGAGTCTCGCGCTGTCACCCAGGCTGGAGTGCAGTGGTGCGATCTCGGCTCACTGCAAGCTCCGCCTCCCAGGTTCACACCATTCTCCTGCCTCAGCCTCCCGAGTAGCTGGGACTACAGGCGCCCGCCGCCACGCCCGGCTAATTTTTTTTTGTATTTTTAGTACAGACGGGGTTTCACCGTGTTAGCCAGGGTGGTCTCGATCTCCTGATCTGGTGATCTGCCCGCCTCGGCCTCCCAAAGTGCTGGGATTACAGGCATGAGCCAGCGCGCCCGGCCGTGGACACACTTTTAAAAAATTTTTCTTTTTGTTTTTTCTCTTTTTTTTTTGAGACAAAGGCTTGCTTGCTCTGTCTCCCAGGCTGGAGTGCAGTGGTGTGATCTTGGCTCACTGCAACCTCTGCCTCCCAGGTTCAAGCAATTCTCCTGCAGTAGTTGGGACTATAGGTACCCGCCACCATGCCTGGCTAATTTTTTTTTTTTTTGAGATGGAGTTTTCGCTCTTGTTGCCCAGGCTGGAGTGCAATGGCGCAATCTCAGCTCACCGCAACCTCCGCCTCCCGGGTTCAAGCGATTCTCCTGCCTCAGCCTCCCTAGTAGCTGGGATTACAGGCATGTGCCACCACGCTCGGCTAATTTTGTATTTTTTTTTAGTAGAGATGGAGTTTCTCCATGTTGGTCAGGCTGGTCTCGAACTCCCGACCTCAGATGATCCTCCCGTCTCGGCCTCCCAAAGTGCTGAGATTACAGGCATGAGCCACCATGCCCGGCCTCTGCCTGGCTAATTTTTGTGGTAGAAACAGGGTTTCACTGATGTTGCCCAAGCTGGTCTCCTGAGCTCAAGCAGTCCACCTGCCTCAGCCTCCCAAAGTGCTGGGATTACAGGCGTGAGCCACCGTGCCTGGCCTTTTTATTTTATTTTTTTTAAGACACAGGTGTCCCACTCTTACCCAGGATGAAGTGCAGTGGTGTGATCACAGCTCACTGCAGCCTTCAACTCCTGAGATCAAGCAATCCTCCTGCCTCAGCCTCCCAAGTAGCTGGGACCAAAGACATGCACCACTACACCTGGCTAATTTTTATTTTTATTTTTAATTTTTTGAGACAGAGTCTCACTCTGTCACCCAGGCTGGAGTGCAGTGGCGCAATCTTGGCTCACTGCAACCTCTGCCTCCCGGGTTCAAGTTATTCTCCTGCCCCAGCCTCCTGAGTAGCTGGGACTACAGGCGCCCACCACGCCTAGCTAATTTTTTTGTATTTTTAGTAGAGATGGGGTTTCACCATGTTCGCCAGGTTGGTCTTGATCTCTTGACCTTGTGATCTGCCTGCCTCGGCCTCCCAAAGTGCTGGGATTACAGGCGTGAGCCACCACGCCCGGCCTATTTTTAATTTTTGTTTGTTTGAAATGGAATCTCACTCTGTTACCCAGGCTGGAGTGCAATGGCACAATCTCGGCTCACTGCAACCTCTGCCTCCCGGGTTCAAGCGATTCTCCTGTCTCAGCCTCCCAAGCAGCTGGGATTACGGGCACCTGCCAACACCCCGCTAATTTTTGTATTTTCATTAGAGGCGGGGTTTCACCATATTTGTCAGGCTGGTCTCAAACTCCTGACCTCAGGTGACCCACCTGCCTCAGCCTTCCAAAGTGCTGGGATTACAGGCGTGAGCCACCTCACCCAGCCGGCTAATTTAGATAAAAAAATATGTAGCAATGGGGGGTCTTGCTATGTTGCCCAGGCTGGTCTCAAACTTCTGGCTTCATGCAATCCTTCCAAATGAGCCACAACACCCAGCCAGTCACATTTTTTAAACAGTTACATCTTTATTTTAGTATACTAGAAAGTAATACAATAAACATGTCAAACCTGCAAATTCAGTAGTAACAGAGTTCTTTTATAACTTTTAAACAAAGTATCAGGTAAATAATTGTATTTCCTAAGTAACCTGAAGGTGTTACTTCAAACTGAGAAAGCCTGCCCTCCACACAGCAGAGGCAAATTCAAACCCTCCACCATTCTGGAGGGCCTTTACTGGTAAGGGTTGCATTGGAGAACTCCCAAATCTGGCTGTGCATACAACTCACCTAGGAAGCTCGTTAAACTTTAAACAGAGTCCTTTGTTCCATTTTAAGTTCTCGGGAGTTGGGGCCTGGAATGCACATTTTAAACAAATATCTCAGGTGATTCTCCTATACCCAGCCCAGTACTGTGCAAGGCTTAAGGACTGGTGGATTAAATGACCTCTGAGGGCTCTTCTAGCTCAGAACTTCTGCCTCTGTGGTTGAAACTTGATCAACACATCACACACTGCAGCGTTTTTCAAATTGCGGATTAAAATCTACTTACTGGGCTGGGCGTAGTGGCTCATGCCTATAATTCCAGCACCTTGGGAAGCCAAGGCAGGCTCACTTGAGCCCAGTTAGAGGTTACAGTGAGCTGTGAACACACCACTGCACTCCAGCCTGGGTGACAGAACAAGTCCCTGTCACAAAAAACAAGCTCCTTAATAGGTGATATGATTTGGCCCTGTGCCCCACCCAAATCTCATCTCAAATTGTAATCCCCACGTGTGGAGGGAGGGACCTGGTGAGAGGTGACTGGATCATGGGGGTGGTTTCCTCCATGCTGTTCTCGTGATAGAGTTCTCAGAGATCTGATGGTTTAAAACTTCACCCTTTGTGCTCTCTCTCGCCTGCCACCCTGTAAGACATGCCTTGCTTCCCCTTCCACCATAATTTTAAGTTTCCTGATGCCTCCCCAGCCATGCGGAACTATGAGTCAATTAAAATCTCTTTTTCTTAATTACCCAGTCTCAGGTAGTTCTTTATAGCAGTGTGAAAACAGACTAATACAATGGGTTAGAATCAGCATTAGGGGCCGGGCACTGTGGCTCACACCTGTAATCCCAGCACTTTGGGAGGCCAAGGCGGGCAGATCACTTGAGATCAGGAGTTCAAGACCAGACTGGCCAACATGCTGAAAACCCGACTAAAATTACAAAAATTAGCCGGGCGTGGTGATGCACACCTGTAGTCCCAACTAAGGAAACTGAGGCAGGAAAATCGCTTGAACCTGGGAGGCAGAGGTTGCAGTGAGCTGAGATCACACCACTGCATTCCTGCCTGGACAACAAAGCAAGACCTTGTCTAAAAACAAACAAACAAAAAAATAAATAAATAAATAAGAGAGAGAGAGAGATCAGCATTAGGAAAAAAAAGTAAACAACTATACAATAGGACTGCATTACCTGTAGTAAGGTTGTTTCATGAAGCTTTTTCCAGAGGTGAGTATATATGTATGTAGTGATATACAAAATACATTTTTTGCCCTTCCGCTACTCTGAAGGGATTTTTTTTTTTTTACTGTGAACTGTAGTCAAAAACCTTTGAAAGCCACTGCTGTTGAGAAAACAATGATTCTCAACCTTCAGTGTTGTAAGAATGTGAATTCTTGAGCCCTACAAAAACCAAGTTTCTGAGAAGAGTTCAGGAATCTGTGTATATATTATATATGTATTTATATATATTTTTATATATGTATTTATATAATATATATTTATATATTATATATGTATTTATATAATATATATTTATATATTATATATGTATTTATATAATATATATTTATATATTATATATGTATTTATGTAATATATATTTATATATTATATATGTATTTATGTAATATATATTTATATATTACATATGTATTTATGTAATATATATTTATATATTATATATGTATTTATATATTTATATATTATATATTAATATGTATATTATATATTATACTATATATATTTATATTGTATATATTATATATTATATTATTTATATTATATATATGGTTTTGAGATGGGAGTTTGGCTCTTGTTGCCCAGGCTGGAGTGCAACGGCACAACCTCAGTGCACTGCAACCTCCGCCTCCCGGGTTCAAGCGATTCTCCTGCCTCAGCCTTCCAAGTAGCTGGGATTACAGGCACCCACGACCAGGCCTGGCTAATTTTTTGTATTTAGTAGACGGGGTTTCACCATGTTGGTCAGGCTGGTCTTGAACTCCTGACCTCAGGTGATCTACCTGCCTCAGCCTCCCAAAGTGCTGGGATCACAGGAATGAGCCACTGCCCCTGGTCTTTTTTTTTTTTCCTTTAGAGAGGGTCTTACTCTGTCACCCGGTGTGGAGTGTAGTGATGTGATCACGACTCACTGCAGCCTCAAATTCCTGGGCTCAAGTGATCCTCACCCCTCAGCCTCTTGAGTAGCTGGGACTACAGGTACCAGGACCCAACTCATCCAGTGTTTTCCTATACTTGGGAAGGAGGGGGTTGGAATGCCCACAGGTGGTACAAAATTTTTTTTTTTTTTTTTTTGGTGGTGGTAAGAAATGATTTGAAAAAACATAGTTAATGTCACTATACTGTTATATTGAGGAGAAATCTTATTTAAATAATGTCAAAGAGGGGCACTGGGTTTTTTTCTACCTGAAAAACAGGCAGAAGAGGCACAAGTATTAATACTTATTTTTGCTCACCTAGCAGCAGGGACTATATATCCATCTGGTTCAATGCTATGCTTCAGGTAGGTAAGCACTCAAATATTAAATGAATTCCTTGTCTTCTTTTCTTCACCAGCAAAGAATGATGCTCAAATCACAGAATAAAGCCTCTTAAATTTAAGCTTACCACAGAATACCAAGAATATACTCAATTATTACATAATATTTACAATACTTTAAACAGCTCCTACTATATATGCTGAGTGATTTACATATACTATCTTTAATTTCTGAAAATAACCCTGTAAGGTAGGTGTTATACCTATTTTACACAAGATCTGAGGCCCAGAGAGGCTGGCTAACTTGCCCACCTTCTCACCCAGGTAGTCAGTGGCAGTGTTGCTGTCTGTGTCCAATCTGAGCAACAAGCTGGTCTCAAGGGCCAGACACTAGCAATATAGAGTAAGACATGGCCCTGTGACTGAGATTACAGAATATCCGCTACAAAGTACATACACCTTCCATTTTAAGAAATGTTTTTCCTTTAATTGTAATTCAGGAGCTACTTGGGTGTTCGTCCGTATTTAGGATTTACTCAATTGTTGACAAGTAAAGGCCAACTCCATTTTGATGATTCCCAGCCTTCCTTGGGGATTTGGGGGAAAGGGGCTAGAAGGATAATCAGTGGAAGTACACCCTCCTCTGGAGTTTGCCTAAGTGACCACCCTGAGAGTAACAACCATTGCACAACTATTTCCTAATGTCAGGGGTGGAAGGGGAACCAAGTGGCAGTTACAGGCTCTTCACGGAAAACAAGCCTATACTATCTGCCAGGGAACATTCTGAGCACTTTATCCCACATTCCTGCAAGGCATCTGAGATGCTTACACTTTAAAATTTTTTTATTTCTTATCTTTTTGAGACGGAGTCTCGCTCTGTCATCCAGACTGGAGTGCAGTGGAGCGATCTCAGCTCACTGCAAGCGCCGCCTCCCAGGTTCACGCCATTCTCCTGCCTCAGCCTCCTGAGTAGCTGGGACTACTGGCACCCGCCACCAAGCCCGGCCAATTTTTTGTGTTTTTAGTAGAGACAGGGTTTCACCATGTTAGCCAGGATGGGCTCCATCTCCTGACCTCGTGATCCACCCTCCTTGGCCTCCCAAAGTGCTGGGATTATAGGCATGAGCCACCATGCCCAGCCTAAATTTTTTACTTTAATTAGACACAGGGTCTTGCTTGGTTGCCCAGTGATGCGATCATGGCTCACTGCAGCCTCAAACTCCTGAGTTCAAGGGATCCTCCTGCCTCAGCCTCAAACTCAAGTAATTAGGACTACAAGTGCATGCCACCACACCTGGCTAATTTTTGTAGAGTCAAGGTCTCACTGGCTAGTCTCAAACTCCTGGACTCAATCCATCCTCCTGCCTCTGCCTCCCAAAGTGCTGGGACTATAGGTGTGAGCCACCATGCCCTATTTTATTTTTTTGAGACAGGGTCTCCCTCTGTTGCCCAGGCAGGATTGCAGTGGCATGATCTAGCTCACTGCAACCTTCACCTCTCCAGCTCAAGCAATCCTCTCACCTCAGCCTCCTGAGTAGCTGGGACTACAGGTGCGCAACACCACTCCCGGTGGGGTTTCTCCATGTTTCCCAGGCTGGTCTTGAATTCCTGCACTCAAGTGATCTGCCCACCTAGGCCTCCCAAAGTGCTGAGATCACAGGCATGAGCCACTATGCCTGGCCTGTTTTTTTTATTGAAACAAAATAGATGTACATATTTTGGAGTACATGTGATATTCTGATACATTCGTACAATGTGTAATGATCAAATCAGGGTAACTGGGATATCTGCTACCTTAAACATTTATCTTTCTTTATGCTGGTAACATTAGAATTATTCTCTATTTTATGGCATGAACCTGGGAGGCGGAGCTTGCAGTGAGCCGAGATCGCACCACTGCACTCCAGCCTGGGCGACAGAGCGATAAGATTCCGTCTCAAAAAAAAAAAAAAAAAAGAATTATTTTCTATTTTAAAATACAAATCATTAACTAGTCACCCTATTGATCTATCAAACACTGGGTCTTATTTCCTCTAACTATATTTCTACACCCATTAATCAACCTCTTCATCCCCCCAGCCTTAAATTCCAAACTCTGTGCTCTTAGCCACTATGATACGCCATGTCATGTTTGAACAGAACTGATCTTTAAAGCAAAAAATAAAGCACTGTGTTCCAGAGGCAATCATCAGAGCATTTCAGAGTTGAGTCATGTTATCAAAGCCATACGTTCAAGCAGGGTAACTGAGAGGGTCTAGAATTTCATTTGTGCCTATTGTTGAATGCCTTTGCCTTTCAAGCTCCTTTTAGATTCCAGGTTAACTACTTACATACTTATTGCATAAAAAATTGTATCAATCTTAGGCTGAGCCAGGTGGACCACGAGGTCAGGAGTTCGAGACCAGCCTGGCCAACACAGCGAAACCCTGTCTCTACTAAAAATACAAAAATTAGCTGGGCATGGTGGCGGACGCCTGTAATCCCAGCTCCTCGGGAGGCTGAGGCAAGAGAATAGCTTGAACCCGGGAGGCAGAGGCTGCAGTGAGCTGAGACTGCACCACTGCACTCCAGCCTGGGTGACAGAACTAGACTCCGTCTCAGGGAAAAAAAAAAAAAAGTATCAATCTTGACAAAAGGTAATTACAAAACTTCCTAAAATCGTTAAAGGTCAACTGGTATCATCACACATCAGTTTGGTTCACTGATTTGTGAAAATAAACCATTTATACTTGTTTCCTAAGCTTTCCTGCATTTGCCACCTTAAGCAGAGTCAAGTTCAGTTCTCCTGGTGCCCTCCAGGTATCTTAGGCTGGATTCCCCTCTGACAACCACATTGTGGTTTCCATAACAAGCAGCTCTGACTAGTTCTGTATCCCCAGGCACTAGCATGGTCCCCAGTGGCTGGCAGCTTAAACTATGTGTGGGTGGTTTCTGGGCCAGAGTACCTAGAAGGCTTGGGCCTTAACCCTGTAGCACTCAGTTGCCTTTGGTAGACTACTCATTCTGGTCTTCAACCACCAGTTGGCTGGAGCACCTCAGCATTTGCGTTGAGTTTAGCAGGTTAGGACTAGCCAGAGTGTTAAACTGCAAGAAAAGGAAGCTTAAGCACACAGTTTAGAAGATAAAGGGTTATACGCAAAAATCCAACATACTCCACTTTAGAGGGCCAGACTGTAACTTGCCAGGTTTCTTGCCCATGGTCGTAACGCTAGCAGGGAAAGCAGAACCAAAATCAGAACATGGATAACTTGCCTTGGCAACACAGTGAGACCCCTTCTCTACCAAAAAAAAAAAAAAAAAAAAAAATAGTTGGGCATGCTGGCATGCAACTGTAGTCCCAGCTACTCGGGAGATCGAGGTAGAAGGATCACTTGAGCCCAGGAGGTTGAGGCTGAAGTGAGTCGTGATGGTACCACTGCACTCCAGCACATGACAGTGCAAGACCCTGTCTCAAAAACAAATGAAGATGGATAATCTTTTTCCTGTTTAGCATTCTTTCCACAATACCACACCATTGAACAGCTCAAGACACCTTGCAAGGACCTTAAAGGTACTCACTGGACAGAGGGCAAGACAGCAGGATAAAAGAGCCTCTATTGGATAGTTTAATGAAACTGACATTCCTGACATTTAGTGCCAGCTACATAATTATGTCCCATACATTTCCAAAATGAAATATTGTATAGCCACTGCAATGTACTGAGAACGCAACTGTTAAAGGGAAAAAGTAAAAACACCTCCCAACTATGTCTAAAGGAAAAAAAAGCCTTAGCTGTGTTTACTATTTGGTGTTTCTAATAGTAAAAGAGAACCCACTGTCGCCTCAGTATTGTAATTATTGTGTATAATTTTTTATTCATTTTTTTTTTCTGAGACAGGGTCCACTCCCAGACTTTCATGGGTAGCAGCTGAAGAAACGAGAAAAATAACCACACAGTAAGAACTTCATAAGAACTAAATGTATTAAGGAAACCTCCTTGGGTATCATGCCCTTCCTGCTTTTTTTGGCCACTACCTCTACACTTTAGTATGCGTACAAATCACCCGCAGATCTCGTTAAATTAGATTCTAATTCAGTAGGTCTGAGGTAGGGCCCACGAGTTTTAACAAACTCCCAGGCGATCCTATCTACCCACTTGGTACAAGTTCAACCACAAATGACAGTGCTTTAGATACCAATAGGACATTTGTTTGCAAGTCAAGCTTCTAGCCAGAATAGGGGCTAGCTGTCTAGCTACTGGGTGGTTGTCTGTCTCTAGTGGTTGCAGTCCTCCAGATGTTTCATGACCTGCCCAAAATCTCAATGCCATTTAGAGCTAGGACTAAAACCTGGTTAGCTCTTTGAACTCCCAACAGTGCTTCTTCCACTGGGTCAGGAGCACAGCAGTTTTGTTTTTAATGAGAAGTCAACTGAGTACACAGACAATACACAAGGACCAAATGAAGGCTTAGCAGGTTTATATTATTAAAATTGAGAGACTTTCTACATTTTGTATTTCTGAAATGCTTTACTTAGATGAAACCAGCATTTGTTCTCCACACCCAGCACTAATTAACTATCCATTCACCAGATCTGTTCTTAAACATGTTTATGGCATGTTATTTAATTCAGAAGTTAGTAAAAAACAAGTATGGTTCCCCCCTATAAACATGAAGATGAATTTTAAGAATGAGACTCCTTCACCCCATTTGAGGTGGGGGCCCTGGCCCTGTAGTAAAAGATTGAGAAATGAAAAGCTCATATTTTAAATGAAATAAAAAGTATATGGCAACATGTTCCACGATTCTCCCCTTTCACCAACTAGAGCTCATCTTACAGGATAAGGTAACTTTATTTTCATTTAAAAATGAGGCACACCAAATAATCTATTTCCAGGTTTCAAAATACCTACAAAAGCAGCAAATTTGAGAACCTCTGAACAGCAATGAACGGGTGGCCCAAGGACAACTGAACTCTAATTAGTCACAAATTAGTAAATTATCTAACTGAATTAACATGCGCTCCAAAATTTAAACCTGAAATTGAAAATGATGAACCAATGGCCAAGTATTGCGTCAGAAAAATGATGGCTTTTGCCAGGTGCAGTGGCTCACGCCTGTAATCCCAACACTTTGGGATGGTGAGTTCAAGACCAACCTGGCCAACATGGTGAAACCCCATCTCTACAAAAAAACACTAGCTGGGCGTGGTGGTGGATGGCTGTAATCCTAATTACTCGGGACGCCGAGGTGGGAGGATTGCTTGAACCCAGGAGGCGGAGGTTGCAGAGATCATGCCACTGCACACTCCAGCCTGGGTGACAAAGAGACTCTGTCTCAAAAAAAACCACCACCAAAAACAAACAAACAAAAATGGCGGCTTTTGAGCATCGACTTCAGTTAGATATAGAAAATCACTACAGGGGCCGGGCGCGATGGCTCATACCTGTAATCCCAGCACTTTGGGAGGCCAAGGCGGGCGGATCACGAGGTCAGAAGATCTAGACCTTCCTGGCTGACACGGTGAAACCCCGTCTCTACTAAATAAAAAAAATCAGCCGGGCGTGGTGGCAGACGCCTGTAGTCCCAGCTACTCGGGAGGATGAGGCAGGAGAACGGCGTGAACCCAGAGGCAGAGCTTGCAGTGAGATCGCGCCACTGCACTCCAGCCCAGGCAACAGAGCAAGACTCGTCTCAAAAAAAAAAAAAAAAAAAAAAGACAATCACCACAGGGAAAGTATTTTCATTTTTGCACCAAAGGGAAGCAAGCTAGCAGAAGTAATATTTCTTATACCCAAACACAAAAATGAAACCCCTTTTGAGCACTACGTGGCTGGTGCTAGTCTGAGCATTTTGTTAAGTATTAAATCATTTAATCCTCTGAGAGATACTACTATTACTGCCTCCTGATACAGATAAGGAAACTGAGGCAGATTAACAACTCACCCGAGGTAACAGTTAAAGGAAAGGGCTGGAAACGGAAAGACTGCCCTCTTATCTGCACATACTGCCTCCCAAGAACCTTATACTCTCATTGTAAAAGAAACCTGAGCCTGAACAGTTAAGTCTAAATTTAATCTCAACCATCACACCAAAGCCTGTCATTCCTTCATGACGCATCAATGCTGATAAAATTTCTAGTACAGAACAGAATCACTGAATAGCAGGGGGCCTCCTGGAACACAGGAGCACTGCACCCTGCTTAACCAAGGCTCTAAATTCAAACCCCAACATCAACCAAACCCTCCCCTCCAAATGGGGCTACTGCACCACAGCACATCAACCAAGGTGTGGCAAGCACAGGCAATGAATGCTATGAAGCTTGGACTTGGATCTGCCAGGAAATACTGGCATCCAATCAGAGGATGACGGGGTTGTTACCAGCTACTCCCATCGAAGCTTTAAGTGGCTTGAGGTCCAAGGACTTGAATATGGCCAGGATCCTTTCACAGAACACACAACAGAATTGCACATTTCACTGAAAACTTTTTATTGCTCTTTTGGATAGAAACGGGAATTTATTTGCCAGGAAGGATGATCCCATCATACTGAAAGAGAAGAGATTTAATTTTTTCAGAACAGGAGGCAACAGCAGAGATTGCAGCAATGGCTAACTTTTGAGAATTCACATCTGATTGATACATGAACTTGGGCTCTGAATCCCATCCTTTTCTGGACTAAATAGGAAGCTGGCTGGTTTTTACACTGTGCTGAACTGCACTATCATCTGAGAAAGGGGGCTCCTGTTAAAAGCCATATTCCTCCCCTTCCATCTACCCCCATTCATGGTGACAGGGAGAAGGCCTAGTTCTGGATGTTCTTTTAAACCATCATCCCTGGAAGCCCCTGATTTGTCAAGATGCCCAATATTCTAACTTTAAAGAAGATACCCAGCAAATAGTACTATATTTTGCATCCCCAAATCCCAACTCCATTCACCAACATCACATTCCACCACTTCACTTGAGATAAATCAGCTTTACCTTCTGCTGGAACCAGCGCATGGCCTCCTCTTTGCTGATTCTGTGTTTGGCCCCAATGCAGCCTGTCCTGCGCTTCTTGTCTGCGATGCTGAAACCTGGCCTACCCAGCACCTGTCCCAGGAATAACCAACAGTCACCTAGCCAGCTCAGAGTCAAGAGCAGATGGACAAGACTCACACATTACAGACAGATCTTCAAAGAGTCACTTGGCAGCCCAATGGATTCTGGAGCAAGACCCATGATCTGTGTCTGACAAAGCTGCCACCAGCATCCCACGCAACACACAGCCATACTGTAAGTTTGCTTTGGAGGCTGGAACTTTCAGCACCCCCCTAACCCAGCCTATTTTCCAGTGGTGCTGAGGATCCTCCATTACTGCTCCCAAATCTCCATTTTTCTTTTTAAAAGTAACATTTAAAAATCTATTGCCACACCAGCAGTGTAGAAAACATACAACTCTGAGAAGCACAAATATATATATTTTCTTCCTTCTGCTTCAGCTCAAAAATGCTTCCCAAAGGTGTGCTGTTCCTCCAACATCCTGTGAGTATCCAAGTCTTATTACTTGTCTGTCTAATGAGGGTGCCACCATCTTTCAGGTTCCACACTAGTCAGGACTTCTGATTTAGGCTATTCAGTTTTATTGTTGGACCAAAACACGGCAGTAACACAAAAGGTCATTTCTATGTTAAAACCCCCTTCCTGAGCAAACCACTGCATCACCCAAAGCTGTTTCTATAGGAAGAACCAGGGGGAGAACAGCCTCAGTGCAGCCAACCAACCCATAGGCCAAATGTGGCACCAATACTGCCTCTCTCCAAAGTTTCAAATCACTGGCTGGAGGGAACAGTTTCCTTCATCCACCTTTAAGCCATGTGGGTGCTTTACAGATCCTCGACTGCAAGTTCCCCAACAGCAGGGATCTTGTCCACCTTGTTCAGAGCTGCACCCCTACATTTGCCACAAATGAGGCACATTTCCCCAAGGGGGAGGAGAACACAAAGGCAGACAATATTCAAAGCTGCAACTCAACATGTGAACACCAACATACCACATATGAAATAAAGATTCCCCTCTCCTCACAGACCAGGAGCGGGAAAAGATTAAATATTCATACCACATAGAAGTCCAGGCCGTAGATACCAATGCTTGGGTCATATTTGATACCCAGATCGATGTGTTCCTGGATCCCAAAACCAAAGTTTCCAGTATCTGAGAAGTTGTTTTTTCTTAACTCATACTCCCGCACCTGTGGAGAAAAATGCAGCAATAACATTCCTTGTCATCTTCAACTCCCTCCCACCCCCAAGTAACTATTAATAGCTCAGCCTGCAACATGCACCCCAGAGCAAACAGAAGTCAATGAAACTTGGCTGAGAACACAACCTGACTTCCTCACTATACCTCGACTATAGATTCACACCCCAACTACCCAGTATGACCTCTCCCAGCTTCCAAAGAGCAGAGAAAAACCCAGAGAAAGCAGAGGCATGAAATGACTCCCAAGCATCCTTTTTCTTTTTTTTTTTTGAGACAAGAGTCTCACTCTGTGGCCTAAGCTGGAGTGCAGTGGCACAATATCAGCTCACTGCAACCTCTACCTCCCAGGTTCTAGCAATTGTCGTGCCTCAGCTTCCCGAGTAGCTGGGACTACAGGAGCCCGCCACCAAGCCCGGCTAATTTTTATCTTTTTTTAGTAGAGATGGTGTTTCACCATGTTGGCCAGGATGGTCTCGAACTCCTGGCCACAAATGATCCAACCGCCTTGGCCTCCCAAAGTGTTGGGATTACAGGCGTTGAGCCACCGTGCCCAGCCTCAAGCATCTTTTAAACCACCAAGAACAGTTTAACCCTGCTGATTGTAGAAAAAGCCTTTTAGAAGCTTAAGTAAATAAATATCAAGACACCAAAGAACAGAACATTAAATGTAACTTATCTACATGTGTTACTAAAGGAGTGCTGATCAATATCACTCCATTAGGGGATTAGGCTCACCTTTAGACCCTTCTCCAAGATTTCTTCTGCCTTGGCCCCTCGAACTGTGCAGTGGACAGCAATCTTTTCATTTCTCCGGATGCCAAAGGATCTGACAGTGTATCTAGCTGCAGGAAGTGGGTAACAAGGAGTCAGATGCCATCATACCCCCACTACACTCACCTCTTTCCCAGAACACCATCTCCATGACTTAAAGAGACATTAAGCATTCATCCACACTCTTTTAAGTTGTGGTGTTCTAATTAGTGTCTCCCACATCTATTAATAAGATTTCATCCACAGCACAGATTTTCCCATTTCCAGACATCCAGCCATCCTTCAGCAGTTAAGAACAGTCATAACGCCGAAGTTCCAGGAAGGGCAAGGTCACAACCAGAATAGGCCGAAGAAGCCACTAGTAAGATTATCATGTTCCAAAGAAAACAAAGCATTATTGACAACATCTACTATTTGCTGAAACCTTATTGTACTGTTATCCATATTTTACAGGTGAGGTTTTGAGAGGTTTATTAACTTGCCAAACATCACAGCTGGTAACAAAAAGCAGGAGTGGAATCCAAAGACTTGCCATATTTCACTGTCCTAAAGCAACTACACATGTACAACTCATTTTATCTTCCACAATTATAAAGTATTACCCTCTTTATGCAAAGAAAAAAGCAGAGGTCCAGAGAGCCCAGAGTCAGACCAGCAAATGGTGAAGCCATCACTCAAACCCAGGCAATCTGTATACAACTTTTGAGATAGGGTCAACCAGGCTGGAGTGCAGTGGCACTAATATAGGCCACTGAAGCCTCATGCTCCCGTACAGCCCTGTTCTTAATGCAGCCTATATAACCCTAACTGCTAATCAGATCTAATGATCTTTACTTCGTTCCTGACATTTCCACTCTATCTCATATCCTAGTTACTTAGGAAAATCTTTACTTGGGCTAGTCTTAGCTTAAGATCTGCTCAAATAAAATCTAGTGTTCCAATCCCACACGCCATCTTGAATAAAAAAAAAAAAAAAAGACACCTCTTGGCCGGCTCATGAATTTAATGCTTTAAGTGATGCCGACTGTCACTTTCTAAACAGACTCGACAGCAGGTAAATCAAGAAACAACCAAGCGACCCAAGCAGGCAAACCCTGTATGTCCTTGTGACTACTCACCTTTGGAAAACACAGGGGTCTGCCCTGTGAGCTGCTCCAACACCTTGGCTGCTCGCGTCAGTCTGTCTCCACTCTCCCCAACACAGATGTTGAGACAGAGTTTGCGGATGCGAAGTTCCCGCATGGGGTTCTCCTTTTCACCTTGATCCTGCTGCAACAGGGAAGAGCAGCAGTCAATACACTCACAGCTGAGGGCCCTGAGTTTTACTACTTTCTATCTGCACAGCATTTTTATTTCTGCTCATCCCAAATCGTAACGAAGACCCTGAATGTTTAAAAGGTATAATGTTTAGGGGACATCAAGGGAAGAAGACAGCTCGGAACCTATCCTTCCTCCACGAACGGAACGGGTGAAGAGAAAACTCAGGACAGTTATTGAGTGTTAAAAGATACGGACACTGAGATCGAACCCTAAGAGGCTCAGGGTAACAAAGAGCGCCCCCATTGTAAGGCCAACTAAGGGGAGTGAGCGAAGAAACAGAACTTAATTGCTCAGTTAACAGGAAACACGTGGTTATGCGACGTCCAGCATCCTATTCGGAAGCTGTCTAAAGGCTGGCACCTTCCCTAAGCGGAGCAACCGACTAAGGTTTCCTAGCACCGAGCAAGTCTCAAGTCCCCGGGACCAGGAAAAGGCCCGGACCCCCCTGCCTCAGAACCCTCCATTCACCCCATCTGCCCCCGCTGCAGCCTCCTGACCGTGCTTCTGAGCACTCCGGGCAAGTGCCCGGAGCCGCTCCTAAAACGATGGCAGGGAAAGTGACAGAATTCAACCCTGCGTCCTTGGCTCGAACGGCTCTGCTAGTTTTGGGCCAGCAGGCATTGCGGGCTCCATATTCCTCGGGCTGCGGGCGAAGTAGCCCCCGCAGGCTCGGCCTGCCATGGATGGCGACGGATAAAGGAAAGCAAATCCAGGTCCCAGCTACTCACCGCCATGATGGAGAGCAGGAAGAGAAAGCGGAGCTTCCGGCCGAGGGCCTTATGGGCCAGGAGGCGGGCTCTTTTCCCAGGCTAACCACAGAGATGAAGACGAGGAAGAGAGGCGCATTTGGCAAAGCCCTGCAGCGTCGGCTTCTCCCTTGTGGGTAGTGCTAGCCACTGCAGGCGACGCTGGCTGAAGACCGGGATCTGGGTTTTCCAAAAATAGTTTTTGAAAGCTCCCGAATCAGCACGTCCTTGAGTTTCCGGACCTTGAGGACGTTCTCTCCTCCCAGTGTCACGAGCTGGTGGTCCTTGTGTGATGAGAACGCCAAAACTACATTAAATCAATCATGCAAATTATGACGCAAATTTATTCTGTAACAACGTAAACAAATATAATTTATTTATTTATTTATTTTTTGAGACGGAGCCTCGCTGTGTCACCCAGGTTGAAGTGCAGTGGCGCGATATCGGCTCACTGCAACCTCCGCCTCCCGGGTTCAAGCGATTCTCCTGCCTCAGCCTCCCAAGTAGCTGGGATTACAGGCACGCACCACCATACCGGTCTAATTTGTTTGTATTTTTAGTAGAGATGGGGTTTCACCATGTTGGTCGGGCTGGTATGGAACTCCTGACCTCAAATGATCCACCCGCCTTGGCCTCCCAAAGTGCTGGGATTACAGGCGTGAGCCACCACTCCGGGCACAAATAGAATTTATACAAACGGAAAGGAGTGGTGGTTTAAGAGTCCCGAGCTTGAAGACAGGCAGATGTGGTCCTGTCTCGACCAGCTAGTAGCTATGTGACCTTGGGCAAGTTACTACAGGGTGCGTATTCCTAACCTGAAAAGCCTGGGACCAGACGGTTTTTAGATTTGGGATTTTTCCGGATTATGGAATATTCGCATAAACATAATGAGATATCTTGGGGATGGAACCCAAGTCTGAATATGAAATTAATTTATGTTCCATATACACCTTATACACATAGTCTGAAGGTAATTTTATACAATATTTTAAGTAAGTTTGTGCATGAAACAAAGTTTGTGTACATTGAACCATCAGAAAGCAAAGGTGTCACTATCTCAGCCACCCTTGTGGACAATCTCTGGTTGGTTGGCCTAACCATTTTTCCAGACTGTAAATGTATATGCTATTGATAAGCAATACTTTCTTACGCTTATTCACATATAAGTACTTAACAGCGGCCGGGCGCGGTGGCTCACGCCTGTAATCCCAGCACTTTGGGAGACCGAGACGGGCGGATCGCGAGGTCAGGAAATCGAGACCATCCTGGCTAACACGGTGAAACTCCGTCTCTACTAAAAATACAAAAAAAAAAAAAAAAAAAAATTAGCCGGGCGTGGTGGCGGGCGCCTGTAGTCCCAGCTACTCTGGAGGCTGAGGCAGGAGAATGGCGTGAACCTGGGAGGCGGAGCTTTCAGTGAGCCGAGGTCGCGCCACTGCACTCCAGCCTGGGTGACAGAGCGAGACTCCGTCTCAAAAATAAAAAATAAGTTCTTAACAGCAAAATATATGCTATGTCATTAATACAGTGAAAAAGTAATGTGTTCAGGGCAACTAAGCAGCAGAGGAGCATCACCAGAAAACCTGGATCAGCTGTGAAACAACAGCGACCCACCCCCCCTCCCCCCACCACCACACCCGACCCCGGCCCCGCCAACCAGGCCAGGTGCTGTGGCTCACACTTGTAATCCCAGCGCTTTGGGAGGCTAAGGCGGGTGGATCACTTAAGGTCAGGAGTTCGAGACCAGCCTGGCCAACGGGGTGAAACCCCGTCTCTACTAAAAATACAAAAATTAACCGGGCCTGGTGGTGCATGCCTGTAATCCGAGCTACTCGGAAGGCTGAGGCAGGAGAATCGCTTGAACCGAGGAGAAGAAGCTTGCAGTGAGCCAAGATCACACCACTGCACTCCAGCCTGGGTGATAGAGCAAGACCCTGTCTCAAAACAAACAAACGAACAAACAAAAAACAGCGACCACAAGTGGCAGGCTTTCAGTCTCCACCTATGATGCAGTGTTTTGATTAAAAGATTACTGTACAATGTATTTTTTTTTTTAATTTTTATTGATCATTCTTGGATGTTTCTCGCAGAGGGGGATTTGGCAGGGTCATAGGACAATAGTGGAGGGAAGGTCGGCAGATAAACAAGTGAACAAAGGTCTCTGGTTTTCCTAGGCAGAGGACCCTGCGGCCTTCCGCAGTGTTTGTGTCCCTGGGTACTTGAGATTAGGGAGTGGTGATGATTCTTAACGAGCATGCTGCCTTCAAGCATCTGTTTAGCAAAGCACGTCTTGCACCGCCCTTAATCCATTTAACCCTGAGTGGACACAGCACATGTTTCAGAGAGCACAGGGTTGGGGGTAAGGTCACCGATCAACAGGATCCCAAGGCAGAAGAATTTATCTTAGTACAGAACAAAATGAAAAGTCTCCCATGTCTACGTCTTTCTACGCAGACACGGCAACCATCCGATTTCTCAATCTTCTCCCCACCTTTCCCCCCTTTCTATTCCACAAAACCGCCATTGTCATCCCGGCCCGTTCTCAATGAGCTGTTGGGTACACCTCCCAGACGGGGTGGTGGCCGGGCAGAGGGGCTCCTCACTTCCCAGTAGGGGCGGCCGGGCAGAGGCGCCCCTCACCTCCCGGACGGGGGGCTGACCCCCCCACCTCCCTCCCGGACGGGGCGGCTGGCTGGGCGGGGGGCTGACCCCCCCACCTCCCTCCCGGACGGGGCGGCTGCCGGGCGGAGACGCTCCTCACTTCCCAGACGGGGTGGCTGCCGGGCAGAGGGGCTCCTCACTTCTCAGACGGGGCGGCTGCCGGGCGGAGGGGCTCCTCACTTCGCAGACGGGGCGGATGCTGGGCGGAGGGTCTCCTCACTTCTCAGACGGGGCGGCTGGGCAGAGACGCTCCTCACCTCCCAGACGGGGTCGCGGCCGGGCAGAGGCGCTCCTCACATCCCAGACGGGGCGGCGGGGCAGAGGCGCTCCCCACATCTCAGACGATGGGCGGCCGGGCAGAGACGCTCCTCACCTCCCAGGTGGGATGGCGGCCGGGAAGAGGCGCTCCTCACTTCCCAGATGGGATGGCGGCCGGGCAGAGACGCTCCTCACTCTCCAGACTGGGCAGCCAGGCAGAGGGGCTCCCCACGTCCCAGACGATGGGCGGCCAGGCAGAGACACTCCCCACCTCCCAGACGGGGTGGCGGCCGGGCAGAGGCTGCAATCTCGGCACTCTGGGAGGCCAAGGCAGGCGGCTGGGAGATGGAGGCTGTAGCGAGCCGAGATCACGCCACTGCACTCCAGCCTGGGCACCACCGAGCACCGAGTGAACCAGACTCCGTCTGCAATCCCGGCACCCCGGGAGGCCGAGGCCGGCGGATCACTCGCGGCCAGGAGCTGGAGACCAGCCCGGCCAACACAGCGAAACCCCGTCTCCACCAAAAAAGCATGAAAACCAGTCAGGCGTGGCGGCGCGCGCCCGCAACCGCAGGCACTCGGCAGGCCGAGGCAGGAGAATCAGGCAGGGAGGCTGCAGTGAGCCGAGATGGCAGCAGTACAGTCCAGCCTCGGCTCGGCATCAGAGGGAGACCGTGGAAAGAGAGGGAGAGGGAGACCGAGAGGGAGAGGGGAGAGGGGAGAAGGGAGAGGAGAGAGGGGACTACACTGTATTTTTTTTAAGGTGAGAAGAAACATCAGAAGCAGTTGAGGGAGCAGGAAGTGGGTCCCCTAGGGACAAGGAGGCATTCTCCTGGATGGCTTTTTAAAATGTTTCCTCCAGAGTCATCTGCCTTTTTTTTTTTTTTTCTATTTTTTTTTGTTTGTTTTTTGTTTTTTGTTTTGTTTTGTGGCAGGGTCTTGCTCTGTTGCCCAGGCTGGAGTGCAGTGGTGTGATCTTGGCTCACTGCAGCCATGACTTCCCGGGCTCACATGATCCTCCCACCTCAGCCTCCCACGTAGCTGGGACCACAGGTGCACACTACCATGCCCAGCTAATTTTTTAAATTTTTTGTAGAGATGGGGTCTTGCCATGTTGCCCAGGCTGGTCTCCAACTCCTGGACTCAAGCGATCCTCCCACCTTTGCCTTCCAAAGTGCTGGGATTACAGGCATGAACTGCCACACCAGGCTTCATCTGCTTCATTACCAATGGTTTTTGTCTTAGACATGATTTTGTTATGAATGCATTCTGCTCTTGCCCCTCAATAAGCTCATCATGCATTTTCTCTTTTTTTTTTCTTTTCTTTTTTTTTTTTTTGAGACAGAATCTCACTCTGTTGCCCAGGCTGGAGTGCAGTGGCTCCATCTCGGCTCACTGCAACCTCCACCTCCTGGGTTCAAGCAATTCTCCTGCCTCCGCCTCCGGAGTAGCTGGGATTACAGGCGTCCACCACCATGCCCGGCTAATTTTTGTGTTTTTTTTTAGTAGAGACAGGGTTTCACCATGTTGGCCAGGCTGGTCTCAAACTCCTGACCTCAAGTGATCCACCCGCCTCAGTCTCCCAAAGTGCTGGGATTACAGGCATGAGCCACTGCACCTGGCCTACAAATCTTTAAAAATGTAACATCATGTCTCGTCTTAAATTTCTGCAACCAGCCAGGTGCAGTGGCTCATACCTGTAATCCCAACAGTTTGGGAGGCCAAAGTGGGAGGGTTTCTTGAGCCTAGGAGTTTACGACCAGCCTGGGCAACATGGCAAGACCCTGTCTCTGCAAAAAATTTATTAGCCTGGCATGATGGTGTATGTGTGTGTGTTCCCAGCTACTTGGGAGGCTGAGGTGGGAGGACTGCTTGAGCCTAGGAGGCTGAGTCTGCAGTGAGCCATATTTATGTCACTGCACTCCAGCCTGGGTAATAGAGTGAGACCTGTCCCCACACCCCAAAAAATCTGCAATCAGCCTGTTGAATATTCAGTTTCCTTAAATTTTCTGTTCATCGTGATAGATCTTGCTTGTTTCACCTTCAGTATACCATTAAGCGGCACATGTTGGATGGATCCATCAGTGCAATGCTGATGGATCTACTCTTCTTTTTTGTTGAGACAGAGTCTTGCTCTGTCATCCAGGCTGGAGTGCAGTGGCATGATCTCAAGTCACTGCAACCTCCATCTCCGGGGTTCAAGAAATTCTCCTGCCTCAGCCTCCTGTGTAGCTGGGATTACAGGCACCTGCCACCACGCCCAGCTAATTTTTGTAGTTTTAGTAGAGATGGGGTTTCACCATGTTGGCCAGCTGGTCTTGAACACCTGACCTCAAGTGATCCACCCACCTCAGCCTCCCAAAGTTCTGGGACTACAGGTGTGAGCCATCGTGCCCAGCCAGATGGATCTACTCTTTCAATACACAATGAAGATCTTCATTTTTTTTGCTTTATGCATTGTTTTTCTCTTTTTCATTAACTTCTGTTCATCATTTTCAGCATATAGAACTTCATCAGTTTATCCTTCTGTTTTTTTCTTTCTTTTTTTTTTTTTTTGAGATGGATTCTTGCTCTTGTTGTCCAGGCTGGAGTGCAGAGGCGCGATCTCGGCTCACTGCAACCTCTGCCTCCCAGGTTTCAATTCTCTTGCCTCAGCAATTCCCTTGCCTCAGCCTCCTGAGTAGCTGGGATTACAGGCGCCTGCCACCGCACACGGCTAATTTTTTTGTACTCTTTTTTTTTTTCATTTTTTTCATTTTTTGAGTTGGAGTCTCCCTCTGTTGCCCAGGCTGGAGTACAGTGGCACAATCTTGGCTCACTGCAACCTCCGCCTCCTGAGTTCACGCGATTCTCCTGCCTCAGCCTCCCAAGTAGCTGGGACTACAGGCATGCACCACCACACCCGGCAAGTTTTTTGTACTTTTAGTAGAGACGGGGTTTCGCCATGTTGGCCAGGCTGGTCTCGAACTCCTGACCTCAGGTGATCCGCCCACCTTGGCCTCCCAAAGTGCTGGGATTACAGGCATGAGCCACCACGCCTGGCCATCCTTCTGTTTCTTTAGGTCATCTACGGTGTTTATGCCAACACCATACTCTTCTGTAGGATATTTCACACCTACACTTCTGTCCCATTTCTCCAGCAACTTGACTTTCTGTGCTATAAACATAACTGCTTCCTCTTTTTCTTTTTTTTTTTTTTTTTTTTGAGATGGAGTCTCACTCTGTTGCCCAGGCTGGAGTGCAGTGGTGCCATATAGGCTCACTGCAACCTCTGCCTCCCGGGTTCAAGCGATTCTCCTGCCTCAGCCTCCCGAGTAGCTGATTACAGGCGCCTGCCACTACACCCAGCTAATTTTTGTATTTTTGGTAGAGACAGGGGTTTCACCATGTTGGCCAGGCTGGTCTTGAACTCCTGACCTCAAGTGATCCACCCGCCTCGGCCTCCCAAAGTGTTGAGATTGCAGACGTGAGCCACCTTGCCTGGCCTGCTTCCTCTTTTCCTTATCACTATTACTCGTAGGGGTATCTGCAGGCCTTTCTTTACACTTTCAACAATATCTTTACACCACGGAACAGAAAATAATAATTAAAAAAACACAGTGAGTGATGTGCATAGATCTCTTCCCTATTTGAGGCATGTGGGGAACCTGCAGTTGGCATGTCTGGCCTGCACATGTGCCATCATGTTACCCCTTTTTTTTTGTTTTTTGTTTTTTGTTTTTTGTTTTGAGATGGAATCTTGCTCTGTCACCCAGGCTGGAGTGCAGTGGTGCGATCTCGGCTCACTGCCACCTCCGCCTCCCAGGTTCAAGTGATCCTCCTGCCTCACCCTCCAAAGTAGCTAGGATTACAGGCGCGCACCACCACACCCAGCTAATTTTGTATTTTTAGTAGAAATGGTTTCTACCATGTTGGCCAGGCTGGTCTCGAACTCAGCCTCCCACCTCAGCCTCCCAAAGTGCTGGGATTACAGGCATGAGCCACCATGCTCAGCCTTGTGTTACCTCTTGTGGACATGCTTTCATGGCGGAATCTGAGTGGGAGTGGAAAAGAGATATCACAGCTGAAGGGGGCTGGGAGCGTCTTTTTTCCCTCAGGAATGCTGAATAAACTGTATGCTGTGTACCTGCATTTTAACTGCCACCTGTCACATGAGGTCAAGTGTGAAATTTTCCACTGTGGCTTCATGTCAGTGCTCAAAGTGTTTCAGAGTTTAGAGCATTGCAGATTTGGGGTTTTCAGATTATGGATGATCAGTCTATAATTAGAATCCTATCAGCCTCAGTTTTCCTCATCTGTAAAATGGGTACCATAAGATAATTATGTAAAGCACATGATAAGCCTGAAATAAATTGTGACTCTTGTTATTAATATAAAGCTGGTATATCCAAGCAACACCGTCTTCTAAAAAGTGTTAGACATGGTATTATAATCAAGAGATGGCCTGCAGGTTAGCCTCTGATACACAAGGACTTCAACCCGGACAGTAAGAGGTCCCCCTGGCTTGCACTGAATCCTCAGCAGCAGGACCCATGGATAGGAGACCAGGACCCACGTTCCAGGCTGTAGCTAGCTTTGAGTCAGCCAGTTCCTTTAATAGGAACAAACTGATGGAAAGAGGAGAACACAGCAGGTTTTGGTAGGGAAGGAACCAAGCCTCTTCCTTCTGCTGGCACAATTCCCTTCTCTCATCCTCATAAGCCATAAGTGAGATAGAAGCCCCAGTCTCCCCTGATTTCACCCAGAGGGACCAGAGGGCACTTCTGGGAAACTGGGCTGATGGAGGAGGGCAAATGGAAAACGCCCCTCCTTTGAGCCTCCACCCTCAAGTACCCACTGGCCAACTCAGAGCTGGGGTTTCAGCCAGACTCCCAGGAGGGGCTGCTTCGAAACTTGGAATAAAGAAACAACAGAATGGGCCAGACACTGTGGCTCATGCCTGTAATCCCAGCATTTTGGGAGGCCGAGGTGGGTGGATCACCTGAGGTCAGGAGTTCAAGACCAGCCTGGCCAACATGATGAAACCCTGTCTCTACTAAAAATACAAAAAATTAGCTGGGTGTGGTGGCGGGCACCTGTAGTCCCAGCTACTTGGGAGGCTGAGCCAGGAGAATCGCTTGAACCGGGAGGCAGAGGTTACAGTGAGCTGAGACTGTGCCATTGCACTCCAACCTGGGCAACAAGAGCAAAACTCTGTCTCAAAAAAAAAAAAAAAAAAGAAAGAAAGAAAAAAGAAAAAAAGAAAAGAAAAGAAACAACTGAATGTAACACATGGTCCTGGATTTTCTTTTGCTATAAAGCATGTTATTGGGACAATTGGCAAAATCTGAATAAGGTCTATAGATTTCAGAAATGTACCATGTTTATGTCCTCATTCTGATTACTGGATCTTGGTTTTGTAAGAAAATGTTCTTGTGTTTAAATAAAAGCACATTCAGTATTTGCAGTAGAGGGGCATTGTATCTGCAGCTTACTCTGAAATGGCTCAGAATGAAACAAATTTAGAGGGGAAATAATAAAGCAAATGTAGCATGTAGAGGCTAAGGGAACTTCATCTTGGATTTTAATCTGCCATATTGACTTCTGATTTTTTTTTTTTTTTTAGAGACAAGTCTTGCTATGTTGTCCAGGCTGGTCTTGAACTCCTGGACACCTTGGCCTCCCAAAGTGCTAGGATTACAGGCATGAGCCACTGCTCCTGACTTCTGATTAACCCCAGTTCCAGGAATGCCTCTATGATTTCTACTTTATCTACTATTAAGAGCTGTAAATCCTGCCCTTTAGGTCAAAACAACCATGATGTTAGCATTGTAAACACTTAATATAAATCCTCTTCTTAAGCAGATTATAGGCTATGTCATACATAGCATTTTTGCCTTTCCCAGAGGGTTGACCTCAATTGTCCTACACATTTCTTCTGAAGCACATATACCCTTTCCCTATGGTATATGAGCCCTGGGTCTTGGGGGTAATAGTACGGGGACCCACTGTCTCACGGCTGCCTGAGACATGACTTCTCTTCTAAGTGTCTTACATGTTTCTTTCTGAGAAACTAGATTTGTCATCCTCTTTCTTCAGCCCATCAGCTCCCTTGGCCTTTGGGGGTAGGTTTGGATATACCTTCTCACCGCAGAACATGGTGAAGTTAAGTTTTAGGGAATCTGCTGAGCATAGTGGCACACATTTATAATTCCAGTGGTGGAAGAGGCTAAGGCAGGAGGATCCTTTGAGCCCAGGAGTTTGAGACTGCAATGAGCTATGATCCAACCACTGCACCCTAGCTTGGGTGACACAGCCAGACCATACCCGGCCCCCTCTCAATCAATCAATCAATAAAGGACTTGGGGAATCTGGGTGAAAGATATATGGGACTTCTTGCAACTTCTATGTAACTTAAAGGGAAACAGGTACCTGGGGAGATATAAAATTGAACTCATTCTCAAAAGCTCAATCCCCACCCCAACTCCACCTTTTCTTCAAACAAACTTCCCAGAATAGCTCTTAAGTGGCTGTATTACCCATACTGTGATAATGAGGGTGGCTGATTAATAACTAATTTACTGTCCCCACCAGGCACCAGCTCACTCAACCTTCAGCATCCCTGTGGAGGCAGATACTATTGCTTTCCCATTTTACAGATGAGCAGACAAACACATAGAAGTTTAGTAACTTTTTTTTCTTTTTTTCGAGATGGAGGAGTTTCACTCTGTCACCTAGGCTGGAGTGGAATGGCATGATGTCTCGGCTCATTGCAACCTCCATCTCCTGGGTTCAAGCAATTCTCCTGCCTCAGCCTCCCAAGTAGCTGGGATTACAGGTGCCCGCCACCACGTCTGGCTAATTTTTGTATTTTTGGTAGAGACAGGGTTTCGCCATGTTGGCCAGGGTGGTCTTGAACTCCTGGCCTCAGGTGATCTACCCGCCTCAGACTCCCAAAGTGCTGGGATTACAGGTGTGAGCCACCGTGTCCAGCCGTGTCCAGCTTTTTTTTTTTTTCTTTTTTTAGACACAGTCTTGCTCTGTCACCCAGGTTGGAGTGCAGTGGTGTGATCTCAGCTCACTGCAACCTCTGCCTCCCGGGTTCAATCAATTCTTGTGCCTCAGCCTCCTGAGTAGCTGGGACTACAGGCATGCACCACCATGCCTAGCTAATTTTTGTATTTTAGTAGAGATGGTGTTTTGCCATGTTGGCTAGGATGGTCTCAAACTCCTGACTTCAAGTGATCTGCCCTCCTCAGCCTCCCAAAGTGCTGGGATTACAGGCATACGCCACTGCACCTGGCCCTTTTTTTTTTTTTCTTTTCTTTTTTTCACTCAGTTGCCCAGGCTGGAGTGCAGAGGCACGATCTCAGCTCACTGCAGCCTCGACCTCCTGGGCTCAAGTGATCCTACCACCTCAACCTCCCAAGTAGCTGGGACCACAGGTATGCACCATCACACCTGGCCAATTTTTTTGTATTTTTTGTAGAGATGAGGTCTCACTATACTGCCCAGGCTAGTCTTGAACTCCTGAGCTCAAGTGATCCACCCACCTCGGCCTCCCAAAGTGCTGGGATTATAGGCATGCACCACCACTCCTGGTCTAGTAACTTTTAAGACAGTAATGAAATCAGGCAGTCTAATACCAGCGTCCCGTCCTATTTTAGAAGCCGACAGACCAGGCTAGGGCCCAGACCTTCCCCTCAGTTTTCCCTCCATGCGTTTTCTTCTTTACAAGCCCAGCTGTCTGGCTCTTGCATCTGGACTCCCAGTAACCCACCTGCCTCCTCACTGCTTGAGACAGAGGTCAGTAGAGGCAGAGGCAAAAAGACTTGCTTTGCTTTATCCAACGCCTCAAGCTCATCAGCAGAGAGAAAACCATATTAGCAGGATCAGGATTAAGATAGTTCAGACAGCCGGGCGCAGTGGTTTACACCTGTAATCTCAGCACTTTGAAAGGCCAAGACGGGCGGATGAGGTCAGGAGTTTGAGACCAGCCTGGCCAACAGGGTGAAACCCTGTCTCTATGAAAAATACTCAAATTAGCCAGGCGTGGTGTTGGGAGCCTGTAATCCCAGCTACTGGGGAGGCTGAGGCAGGAGAATTGTTTGAACTTGGGAAGTGGAGGTGGCAGTGAGCCAAGATCGCATCATTGCACTCCAGCCTGGGAGAAGAGCAAGACTCTGTCTCAAAAAAGAAAAGACAGGGCCGGGCGTGGTGGCTCACGCCTGTAATCCCAGCACTTTGGGAGGCCAAGTTGGGTGGATCACAAGGTCAGGAGATCGAGACCATCCTGGCTAACACGGTGAAACCCCATCTCTACTAAAAATACAAAAAAAATAGCCGGGCGTGGTGGCGGGCGCCTGTAGTCCCAGCTACTTGGGAGGCTGAGGCAGGAAAATGGCGTGAACCCAGGAGGCAGAGCTTGCAGTGAGCTGAGATCGCGCCATTACACTCCAACCTGGGCAACAGAGCCAGACTCCATCTCAAAAAAAAAAAGAAAAAAGAAAAAAGAAAAAGAAAAAGAAAAGAAAAGACAGTTTAGGCAAGAGAACAAGTCCAAGGCTTCTCCTTGAGCCACTCTTCCCAGGTGAGGCTCTACCACTCACTTCCTGGCTGCCTTCCTGGCTGCCTTGGTGACCTTGCTGCCAGTAGCTGCTTTTTTCTCCAATCTTGATGGCCCCAACAGCCACTGTCTGCTTCATGTCACACAGAGAAATGACCTAGGACATAGGGCGTGAAGAAATAGGGGGAATACTTTTCAGAGCAGGAGCTATGGGACACTTGCAGAAGAGGTCAAGTGGGCCAAAAGTGATCATTTGAGTTATATACATGAGCTCATGTTCATTCTCCCAATAATTCACAGTACATCTCTTGTACCCATTTTACAGGTGAGAAAAGTGAGGCAGAGAAGTTGAAGGTCACTTGGCTGCAATGGTTAAAAACCTAGAAGTTGGCCGGGAGCGGTGGCTCACACTTGTAATCCCAGCACTTTGGGAGGCTGAGGTGGGTGGGTCACCTGAAGTCGGGAGTTTGAGACCAGCCTAGCCAACATGGTGAAACCCTGCTTCTACTAAAAATACAAAAAAAGAAAAAGAAAGAAAAATTAGCTGGGCGTGGTGATTGGCGCCTGTAATCCCAGCTACTGGAGAGGCTGAGGCAGGAGAATCGCTTGAACCCGGGAAGCGGAGGTTGCAGTGAGCTGAGATTGCACCATTGCACTCCAGCCTGGGTGACAGAGCAAGACTGTGTCTCAAAAACAAAAAGAAAAAGAAACTAGAAGTCTCACACCAGTGCTTATATTCTTAGCTGCCCAACTCTCCTGCTGCCATCAGCAATGATGACAGGGAAAGCTTTCCTTTTGGTGCAGTCACCTTAGCAAAGGAATGCTCCCAGCCTCCAAGCAACCAGCAATTCCCCCATGCCCATCACAACCCATGCGGTGGTTCTCACAGTCAACTGGCAACCTGGGTGTTGCTTCTCCTGAGGTTTTTTGTTTGTTTGTTTTTTGTTTTTGGGAGACGGAGTTTCACTCTTGTTGCCCAGGCTGGAGTGCAATGGCGCGATCTCAACTCACTGCAACCTCCACCTCCTGGGTTCAAGCGATTGATTCTCCTGCCTCAGCCTTCCCAGTAGCTGGGATTACAGGCGCCTGCCACCATGCCTGGCTAATTTTTGTATTTTTAGTAGAGACAGGGTTTCATCATGTTGGCCAGGCTGGTCTTGAACTCCTGACTTCAGAAGATCCACCCACCTCAGCCTCCCAAAGTGCTGGGATTACAGGCGTGAGCCACCGCGCCCAGCCCTTGAGGGTTCTTGAAGGCATCCCTGACTTCATGTTGCAGAGAAAAGGCTTCGGCTCCTGGCTTTGTGTCTCATAATATTTTTGGTATGGGTAGGAAGACCTAACCCAACATTGCAAGATTTATGTTGGCAGCCTCTTTAGCCCAGCTCTAAAATTAGCCTTTATAGATTCACCCTTTTCCCCATTAACTGGGAGACCTGAGGGACTTGTTCTTCTTGCTCAGGCACAAATGTCTAACATATAGCACAGAACCTGGCACAGAAGCACTACGTGAAAGAGCCTACTCCCTAGATATTTGAGTTCAGAATGTAGTTCAAGCCCAGCCATGCAAGTGATACCTGGAGAGTCTAAGAAACATACTCCTAGGCTGCAGCCTTAACCAGGTAACTCTATCAGGGTGTGAGCCTCTAGGTTTAAAAGGCTTCATCAGTGGTTATGATAATCCAGCAGGTTTGAAAGCCACCGTCCTAGACAGCAGGAAGGGAAAAACCTCCCTACCCATCTCTGCTCTACTCACCTTCTCTAGAGCAGTGTTTCTCAAACATTGATGTGACGTCCATTTACCTGGGGGATCTTGTTAAAACGCAGATTTGAATTCAGCAGGTCTAGATGGAGAATGAGATTCTTCTATTTATCTTTCTTTTCTTTTCTTTTCTTTTTCTTTTTTTTTTTTTTTTTTTTTTGAGACAGGGTCTTGCTGTGTCTCCAAGATTGGAGTGCAGTGGCGTGATCATAGCTCACTGCAGCCTCAAACTCCTGTGCCCAAGCCATCCCCCCACCTCAGTATCCCCAAGCACCACCATGCCCAGCCAATTTTTAAAATGTTTTATAGAGATGGGGGTCTCGCTATTTTGCTCAGGCTGGCCTCAAACTCTTGGCCTCAAGCAATCCTCCTGCCTCAGCCTCCCAAAGCACTAGGATTTCAGGTATGAGCCACTGCGCTCAGCCAGATTCTGCATATCTAACTCCCAGAGCATGCCTGTGAAGCATGTCCATGAACAACACTTTGAGTAGCAAGGCTTTAGAGTGGCCCCCACCTTGCTGTGATACCAGGCAAGCCCCCTTCTCTCTGTGGGCTCTTCTAACCTGGCTCTCAGATCCTTGTGACTAGGTTCTACTGCCTGGCTCAGGTGGCCAACTGGCTTCCTGGACCCAGAAGGAGGAAGGGGCAGCCCCAGTGGCCAGGTGCTGTTGGGTCTTACTGAGGGGCGGGTAGTCTGAGAAGCTTTCCACGCACATGGGCTTGCCCAGGATCATCTGGGCGATGGCCAAGTCCCCAGACTTCAAAGCTCTGGGGTTGTCTTCCACTTTGTTGCCCAAGCGCTGGTTTGCAAACTTGCTGCTCTGCAAACATGCAGGCAATGTGGGCTGTGTGGCAGTACAAAACTGGTGAGTAGCCAGCTGTGGTGCAGCCAAGGTAGTTGAGAATGATCACCTGGAGGCCACGGTGGGATGGGGAGGGGAGAAAGGGGGGCATCAGCTAAGCCCCATGCAAAGGAGGTGACCCTGATCATCTAAGAGGTCAGGCACCTTGGGCACATTTTATTTTTTAATTTTTTGAGACAGAGTCTCACTCTGTTGCCCAGGCTGGAGTGCAGTGGCACGATCTCTGCTCAGTGCAACCTCCGCCTCCCAGGTTCAACTGATCCTCCTGCCTCAGCCACCCTAGTAGCTGGGATTACAGGCACATGCCACCATGCCCAGCTGATTTTTGTGTTTTTAGTAGAGATGGGGTTTCGCCATGTCTGGCCTGGCCAACATGTGTCCAGCCCCAGAATCTGTATTTTTGAAACACCTTCCCAGATGATTGTAAACCACTTGGTTTAAGAAATACTGCTTTTCAGCCAGGCATGGTGGCTCATGCCTGTAATCCCAGCACTTTGGGAGGCCGAGGTGGGCGGATCACTTGAGGTCAGGAGTTCAAGACCAGCCTGGCCAACATGGTGAAGCCCCGTCTCTACTAACAATACAAAAATTAGCTGAGCGTGGTGGCACATGCCTGTAGTCCCAGCAACTCGGGAGGCTGAGGCAGGAGAATCGCTTGAACTTGGGAGGCAAGGTTGCAGTGAGCTGAGATCCTGCCCCTGCACTCTAGTCTTGGCAAGAGTGAGACTCATTCTCAAAAAAAAAAAAAAAAATATTGCTTTTCAAGATGTTGTTGTGGAAACTAACAGATTCATTGAAGTACATTGGTTTGTTCAAGGGTGCACACAAATAAAAGGCAGAGTAAGAATTCTAACCCAGGCAGTCTGACTCCACCTCCACAGTGGTCAAGAGTCTAATACAGAGCCCATGCCCTGTGACCACTCTGAGTGAGCTGGCAGCCCTAGGAGCAGCGGGACATGCCCCTCAGTGGGTGTCTCACCTGGGAGACAAAGCTCGCCACCTCTGAGGGCGGGTCATTCTTGCTGTCCTGCCAGGTCACCTCGCCTGATGTCCTTTACTGATACGTTCTTCACATGGAAGCCCACCTTGTCACCAGGCAGGGCCTTGGTGCATCTCCACAGACTCGACTTCCATGGTGATGTTGCATGGGGCGAAGGTCACCACCATGCCTGCTTCCACCTGCCCCACAAGCACAGTGCCAATACCTGGAGGGACAGAGCACCCAGGGCCATCAGCAACCAGACCCCAGTAGGCCCCCAACCCCAAGCACCTCCACAAGGCATGAACTTATCCCCAGTCTTGTACCTGCCTGTCAGGGGCAGCTGCAGAGGCTTGTCCGTGGAGTGGGTAGCAGTGTGATTGAGTCCAGTGCTTTTAGCAGTGTCACACCTGCCACATTCCATTCCTTCCTGGTGACCTTACAGCCTTCAAACCAGGGCATCTGTAAAAGCCACCAAATGTGCAGCTCACTCAGCCCAGAGAGAGCGCAGATCTGATCCAGGGCCCAGCCTGCAATTAACATGAACCTCAAGGGATGCATTCTAAACCTTGGTTTCCCCATCTGTGAAACAGAGATCTCACCATCTACCTTACGGGCTGTTGTAAAGACACAGAAGACCACACATGAGCCATCCCATGACATCTACTGTGCACTTGCTAAATGATGATGATTAAATCTCACAGGCACTGTGAGATTGGCTCCCTGCATCAAGCTAATATATTTCAGAAAGCAGAGATTCCTGGAATCTGAATATCCCTTAGATCCCATTCTATCTGTTCATTACACAGGTGGAGAAACTGAGGTCCAGAGAAGGGAGGGACTTGTTAACATACAGCAAGTTAAATAAGTGTCAGGAGTAAAAATAAAAGTAAGATTCAAATACTCTAACACTCATTCTTTTCTTTTCTTTTCTTTTTTTCTTTTTTTTTTTTTGACACAGTCTCACTTTGTCACCCAGGCTGGAGTGGAGTGGCACAATCTCGGCTCACTTCAACCTCCGCCTCCTGGGTTCAAGCGATTCTCCTGCCTCAGCCTCCCCAAGTAGCTGGGACTACAAATGCACGCCACCATGCCAGGCTAAGTTTTGTATTTTTAGTAGAGACGGGGTTTCACCATGTTGGCCAGGCTGGCCTTGAACTCCTGACCTCAGGTGATCCACCCACCTCAGTCTCCCAAAGTGCTGGGATTATAGGCATGAGCCACCACGCCTGGCCTCTAACACTCATTCTGAAAACTAAGACGGTTTGGTGCAGTGGCTCATGCCTGTAATCCCAGCACTTTGGGAGGCTGAGGTGGGTGGATCACCTGAGGTCAGGAGTTCAAGACCAGCCTGGCCAACATGGCAAAACCTTGTCTCCACTAAAAATACAAAAATCAGCCTGGCACGGTGGTGCATGCCTGTAGTCCCAGCTACTCGGGAAGGCTGAGGAAGGAGAATCACTTGAACCTGGGAGGCAGAGGTTGCAGTGAGCCAAGATCACTCCACTGCACTTCAGCCTGGGCGACAGAGCAAGACTCCATCTCAAAATAATAAATAAATAAATAAATAAATAAATAAATAAATAAATAAATACTAAGACTAAAGTTTCTAAAGACTCAGACATTTCCCAGTGAAGTTGCCTGTATTAGTCCGTTCTCATGCTGTTAATAAAGAGATACCCAAGACTGGGTAATTTATAAAGAAAAGAGGTTTAATTGACTCACAGTTCTGCATGGCTGGGGAGGCCTCAAGAAACTTACAATCATTGTGGAAGGGGAAGCAAACACGTCCTTCATCACGTGGCAGCATGAAGGAGAAGTGCCAAGCAAAGAGGGAAAAGCCCCTTATAAAACCATCAGATCTCGTGAGAACTAACTCACTATCATGAGAACATAATGGGGGAAGCCGCCTCCATTATTTAATTATCTCCACCTGGTCCCACCCTTGACACATAGGGATTATTACAATTCAAGGTGAGATTTGGGTGGGGACACAGAGGCAAACCATATCAGTGCCCTGAAGAATGTGCTTCAGGGTCTCAAAACTGTTCCTAAGGATGCTGACTTGTAAGCAAAGCCACCATTGTTGAGTGTAAGACCTTCCAGGGGGATGATTTTCAGTATGGCAATGCATTATACACATACCTTTTAAGAAGATATAATATTTACTCATCTAAAAACCCTGGCCAAAGCTTACAGACAATTGCTTCTTGGCATTTTGGCTAAGATCAAGTGCAAAGCTCAGAGACATAATCTTTGCCTTCAAAGACTGGAAACACAGGACAGAAGAGGCATAGAAGGAACAAAGGTGGCTGATATTAAAGGCTAAGTGGGCAGCCGGACTATCACAGCAGCAGAGTTGGTAGACACATAGGCTTAGATCCAACACACTGCCAGAAACTCAATAAAATGCTTCTCCTTTCCCGTCACAGGTCCTGGAGTAAATCTATAGGCTTCAAAACTTCAGTCTCCCATCAGCATTGAAAACAATGCCAACTCCAACCTTAGCACAATAGAGGAAGGCCTCTCAGTAGCTGGTCGACCCTCAGACATGGGAGGATGCAGTGATTGCATCAGGGGAGGCTTTGACAGGTGGGGGAAGGGGGCTCTAGACAAGGGAAACCTTCCATGGCAGAGAACCAGAGCTACACAGTATAGAAGCCACACAAAGCATATCTTGCCTCATGGACTCAAAAATTGGTATCCCAAGGAAGAAAGCTACTGTTTCTATTCATATTCAACTCTTTTTGGGGTGGAGGAGTAGTGGATAAGAGGCTTTGAAAGCATTTTTTAGTAAGCACTTTTACATAAATAATTCAAGTTTGTAAAAGGAATATTTTTCTTTCTCAGAAAGGATAATTGAGGATCAGAAGTGGGTTGCCCAAGGCCCAGTGACTGGCAAATGACCAGATCAGAAGTTGAAAATGAGACCAACTCCCCAGACTCAAATACAAGCCTCTTCCCACTGAGCCTGCAGTGAGGGTGAGGTAGTGATGAACTTTACCCGTTGGTTTGATGAACTTGGTGACTCACTTGGTTCTATGCCAATCCATGGTCCTGCTACTACAAGCCTATGAGGTCAGCAAACTACAAGTTGAATATCTAGTTCACTAGCTGCAGGCTAACATGCTTTGTTCTTTTGGCATCTAGAATACAGTAGGTGTGTAATAAATGCTTGGAGGACGTGGGGATGAAACTCATGTGTCTCACTAGCTGAGATGTGTGATAATACTCAGGTTATGGGAAACAGGCACTGAAGCTTCAGGTTTCTGCTCTAATGTTATCTCAGAGCCCACCCCTGCTTGAATACCTGATGTACAGTAACTCTCCCATACTGTGTCCCTTCACCTTTTTGTAGAATTTTCTGAAGCACTTGTCATCGTCTGCCTTATCTCTTCCCAGTCTCCCAGGAGACTGAGCTCCAACAGCAGAGTTGCTTCTTATTCACTGCGGCACTCTCAGCACCAAGGACAGTGCCCGGCACACTGGCGCTCAGTCACCATTTGAAGGGACACCCTGCCCCTGCAGGTCTAGTCTTTTCTCAAGGGCAATTGGGCAGTCTGTGTCAGAAGATTCCAAAAATAATGCCTACCCTTTGTTTCATTTTTTTTTTTTAATGAAACTCTTGTAGAGGCAGGGTCTTGCTACATTGCCCAGGCTAGTCTCGAACTCCCGGCCACCAGTAATGCTCCAGCCTCAGCCTCCCAAAGTGCTGGGATTACAGATTTGAGCCACCATGCCCAGTGGTTCATGAGGAATTTATTTCATTAGGAGTTGATTATAATTAAACTACCAAAGACACATGGAAAGATTTATTTACCAAGATGCTTATGACAGGTTTTAATTTTTTTAGTAGAGTTAACATTCTTAATTATGGCAGTTTTTTGTTTTCCGAGACGGGGTCTCACTCTGTCATCCAGGCTGGAGTGCAGTGGCATGATCATGGCTCACTGAGCCTTGACCTTCCAGGCTCAAGCAATCCTCCCATCCCAGCCTCCTCAGTAGCATGCACCATCACGCCTGGCTAAGTTTTCTTTCCTTTTCTTTCTTTCTTTCTTTCTTTCTTTCTTTCTTTCTTTCTTTCTTTCTTTCTTTCTTTCTTTCTTTCTTTCTTTCTTTCTTTCTTTTTTTTTTGTAGAGACAAGCTCTCACTATGTTGGCCAACTGATATCTTGGACTTCTGGGCTCAAGCAATCCTCCCACCTTGGCCTCCCAAAGTGCTAGGATTACAGGCATGAGCCACCATGCCCAGCCCAATTATGGCAGTTTTTAATAAATTTAGAAACAATAGAAGGTGGTGACCTCAGGCTATCACCTAACTGCACTGTGTCCCAGTTTTCTTACTTTACCTGGGAATAAAATGCCTTCATCATGGGGTTGTATACATGTAAAGCACTCAGTCTTAAATCATTAATCACCATTTACAGTGAATCATGGATATAGCCAACCTACCTACGTAGTGAGATGTGATATAAAACACCCATTAACTCTCCAACAGTTTAAATGGCAAAGAAAGTTTTAAAAATGTGTATAGAGCATTATGTATAGTTTGAGTCCAGCTGTGAATACCTAGAAAGAATTGCATGAAAACTAGGTTATCTATAACTAGGTTATCTATAAGTCACGGGGTGGCAGTTTATGCTTCATATCTGCAGGAAATGCTTATTGTAAAGATGTTAGACATTAATTTTATAATCAGAAAAAGATAGCTATGTACACGTGGAGGAAAAGACTAAGAATTCTCAAGTTAATTATAGAAAAGGTAGGCTTTAGGCAAATGTACTAAGTAATAACAATTAGCCTGCGAGCACCAACTGTCTGTGTGAGCGGATGTCCACGTAAAGTCTTTTGTTTAATTCTTACAACCCCGTAAAGTGAGTCCAAAGGCCCAGAGCATTAATATTAATACCTCACCTGCTCCTTTACTGTGGGCAAAGGATAGAGTTGGGGCTTGAATTCAGGTCTGATGTTAGAACTCAACTCTTTTGGTAGGGAGATTCTTGTCTAGGAATGTCAAAAGCTATTTGAATGTGGGATCCCTGAGCAGAGGGACTGTGTCTTAGACACATTTATATTGCGCCCACATTGCCTAAGGTCAGATAACTTAGATACTGTAAGCATTGGCTAGAATTCTAGATCCAGCCAGCACTGCCCAACTTTCTGCAACGATGTAAATATTCTTACTGCACTCACTGTTCAATATGATAGCCATATGTGGTTGCTGGGCACTTGAAATGTAGCTAAGGAATTATTTCATTTGATTTCATGTTAGTAATTTAAATAGCCACACGTACCTAGTGGCCACAACATCAGTCCGCACAGTTTTATGCTTACTGATTATATAGTCTTGGGTGTACTCATGTCACTCATCTGTAACATGGAGGTCAAAGCAGCCCCCAAAAGGGGATGCAGATCGTTCCCAGTGATCAGTCCATGAGCACACTGTGAATACTGGATATTTATTCCAGGAGAAGCTCAAAGATTTAAGTGGGCAAGTCTCATTTAATTGGCCCTGCCCAGCCGGCCCTCACCTTGCTGCCAGGTTCCAGCATGTTGTCCCCATGCCAGCCTGAGATGGGCACAAAGGGCAGAGTCTGGGAGTTGTAACTAATCTTCTTGATGTAAGCCTTCACCTCCTTGCTGATCTCCTCAAAGCATGTACTACTGTAAGGTGGCTCTGTGATGTCCATCTTGTTGACTGTCACAATGAGCTGCTTCATGCCCAGTGTATAGGCCAGCAGTGTGTGCTCACAGATCTGCTTGTTCTTGGAGATGCCAGCCTCACACTCTCCTACACCACTTGCCACAATCAGCACAGCACAGTCTTCCTGGCCTGAGAGAGGAAGGCCCAGCTCAGACCTGGCCTGGGACACCCCCTGCCCATCCCCACAGCAGGGCCGAGGCAACCCTGGTGGTAGCTGTAAGGTGACTGTGATCATGTTCTTGATGAAGTCACAGTGACCCATGGCATCAATGATGGTGACATAGTATTGCTTTGTCCCGAACTTCTACAGAAAGATGTTGATGGGATGCCACTCATATGGTTTGGCTGTGTCCCCACCCAAATCTCATCTTGAACTGTAATTCCCATAATCCCCACCTGTGGTGGAAGGGACATGGTGGGAGGTAACTGAATCATGGGGGCAGTTCCCTCATACTATTATCATGATAGTAAGTTCTCACAAGATCTGATGGTTTTTTTAAGGAGCTTCCCCCTTCACTTGGCTCTCATTCTTCTTCCTGACGTCACATGAAGAAGGACATGTTTGCTTCCCCTTCTGCCATGATTGTAAGTTTCCTAAGGCCTCCCCAGCCATGCTGAACTGTGAGTCAATTAAACCTCTTTCCTTTGTAAATTACCCAGTCTCAGGTATGTCTTCATTAGCAGTGTTTCCACCCTGCCTTTAGCTTGTCCAGCACCCCGGAGCATGTGAAGGAGCCTTTGCCCATCTGGACCAGGAGTGAGAAGGAGAACTCCACGGTCACTTTTTTTTTTTAATGGAGTCTTGCTCTGTCACCCAGGCTGGAGTACAGTGGCGTGATCTTGGCTCACTGCAACCTCCACCTCCTGAGTTCAAGCGATTCTCCTGGCTCAGCCCCCTGAGTAGCTGGGATTACAGGCACATGCCACCATGCCCGGCTAATTTTTGTATTTTTAGTAGAAACAGGGTTTCACCATGTTGGTCAGGCTGGTCTCGAGCTCCTGACCTCATGATCCGCCCTCCTCGGCCTCCCAAAGTGCTGGGATTACAGGCATGAGCCCCTGCACCTGGCCTACCTCTACTTCTAAAGCTCCCCATCAACCAAGAAGAAAGTTCCCAAATAAGGTGAGAGTCAGAAGGGACAGTAACAGGGCAGTGTGATGGAGAAGTCTTTGAATTTTTAAATTTAAATTTAAATTTTTAGAGACAAGGTCTTACTTTGTCATCAAGGCTAGAGTGCAATGGCGTAAACATGGCTAACTGCAACCTCGACCTCTTCGACTTGCTGGGCTTAAGTGATCCCCCTTCCTCAGAGCCCCGAGTAGCTGGGACCACAGGCACATGCCATCATACCCGGCTCATTTTTGTATTTTTAGTAGAGACAGGGTTTCGCCATATTGCCCAGGCTAGTCTCAAACCCCTGAGCTCGAGCAATCCACCTGCTTTGGCCTCACAAAGTGTTGGGATTATAGGTGTGAGCCACCATCCCCGACACAAATTTTTAAAATAACAGAATATATTACTTGAAAAATTAGGCCCACCCGCCCGCCCTCCCTCCCTTCTTTTTCCTTTTTTTTTCTTTTTTCTTTTCTTTTTTTTTTTTTTTTTGAGATGGAGTCTCGCTCTGTCACCCAGGCTGGGGTGCAGTGGAGCGATCTCGGCTCAGTGCCAGCTCTGCCTCCTGGGTTCACGCCATTCTCCTGCCTCAGCCTCCCAAGTAGTTGGGACTACAGGCGCCCGCCACCACGCCCGGCTAATTTTTTTTTTATTTATTTTTAGTAGAGACGGGGTTTCACCATGTTAGCCAGGATGGTCTCGATCTCCTGACCTCGTGATCCACCCACCTTGGCCTCCCAAAATGCTGGGATTACAGGCTTGAGCCACCGCGCCTGGCCCTTCCTTCCTCCCTTCCTCCCTCCCTCCCTCCCTTCCTTCCTTCCTTTCTTTCTCCTTCCTTCCTTCTTTCCTTCCTTCCTTCCTTTCTTTCTCCTTCCTTCCTTCTTTCTCTCTTTCTTCTTTTCTTTCTGATGGAGTCTTGCTCTGTCACCCAGGCTGGAGTGCAGCGGCACAATCTTGGCTCACTGCACCCTCTACCTCCCAGGTTCAAGCAGTTCTCCTGCCTCAGCCTCCAGAGTAGCTGAGATTGATTACAGGTGCCTACCATCATGCCCGGCTAATTTTTTGTATTTTTAGTAGAGATGAGGTTTCACCATATTGGCCAGGCTGGTCTCCAACTCCTGAGCTCAAGCAATCCACCTGCCTCGGCCTCCCAAAGTGCTGGGATTACAGGCGTGAGTCATTGTGCCCAGCCTGGTTTTCCTTTAAGAGCAAGTTTTAGAGTCAAAGTGACCCAGGGCCATTCATAAAGTGCCTAGCCTGGCACATGGGCGTACCACATGGTCAGCAAGACTTTAAATTAGCAATAGCAGCAAACACTTATGTAATGCTCACCATGTATCTGGTGTTGTTTTAAGCACTTAAGTCAGATTATCTCATTTAATTCTCACAACAACTCAATGAAGTTTTATTTTTTTATTTTAATTATTATGTTATTGTTTTATTTTTGAGATGGAGTCACACTCTTTCGCCCAGGCTGGAGTGCAGTGGCACCATCTTGGCTCACTGTAACCTCCAGCTCCCAGGTTCAAGCGATTCTCCAACCTCAGCCTCCTAAGTAGCTCGGATTACAGGTGTGTGCCACTGCACCCAGCCTAATTTTTATTATTTTTTTATTTTTAGCTTTTGAGACAAGATCTCACTCTGTTGCCCAGAAGTACGACAGAGAGCACTTCTAGGCTGGAGTGCAATGGTGGCTCTATCAGCGCTCACTGCAGCCTTGACCTCCTGGGCTCAAGTGATCCTCCCACCCCCGGCTCTTGAGTAGCTGGGACAACAGGCACAGGCACCACCATGCCAAGCTAATTTGTGTGTGTGTGTGTGTGTGTGTGTGTGTGTGTGTGTGTGTGTGTGTAGACTGGGTCTCACCAAGTTGCCCAGGCAGGTCTTGAATTCCTGGGCTCAAGCAATCTACCCACCTTGATCTCCCACAGGGCTGAGATTACAAGCATGGGCCACTGTGCCCAGCCATATTTTTAATTTTTATTTTTTCTTTCTGAAAACACTGTGGTGACTTATTAATGAAGTTTTATTACCTCCATTTTGCAAATGAAATAAGAGAGGAATGAACTAGCTTAAGATCATACAGCTAATAAACAGCAGAACCAGGATTTGAACCCAGGGTGTTGGACTCTAAAGTTCAAGCCCTTGAACGCTACTCTATGGTAAATGGTAGCTATGACTGATGGTTACACCTGGGAACGTTGCACTTCTTTCAGCACTGGTAAAAATGAGGCTACTAAAAAAAGTCAATAGAACATATAGGTTACCACATCAGTCTCGCCAGCTGGGAGATCCTGGCTATTTGTTTATTTCAGCCGTAATTATAGTGCTGTGCTAAGCCCTGAGGCATAGTGGAGGATAAAACAGACCAGAGACCAGGTGGCTTCCTCAAGAAAACTAATCAGGTCATTCAGAGACAGGACTAGAACACCAGGCCTCCTGACTTTTGCTACTATAGGAATGTTTACAAAGTAGTTTTGAATGTACATTAGATAAGCAGATCCCAAAGAGTAGTCTAGGGACACATAGGGACCTAAGGGTTTTCAAGGTCAAAACTATTTCTGTAACAATGCTAAGACATTTTCCCTCTCATTCTCCCATGAGTGCACAGTGGTGTTTTCTAGGGGCTACATGACATGTAAAATTGCAATGGGCTGAAGAAGCAGATATGAGAATCTAGCTGTCTTCTATTAAGCCAGACAGTAAAGAGATCTGCAAAAATGTAAAACAATGCCATCCTTCTGTGATTTTTTGCTTTGGGAAATAGTTATTCTTCACAATTAAAAATGTGGTATGTTGGCTGGGCGCGGTGGCTCACGCCTGTAATCCCAGCACTTAGGGAGGCCAAGGTGGGTGGATCACTTTAGGTTGGGAGTTCGAGACTAGCCTGACCAACATGGAGAAACCCCGTCTCTACTAAAAATACAAAATTAGGCCAGGCATGGTGGCTCACGCCTGTAATCCCAGCACTTTGGGAGGCTGAGGTGGGTGGATCATAAGGTCAGGAGATCGAGACCATCCTGGCTAACACGGTGAAACCCCGTCTCTACTAAAAATACAAAAAATTAAAAAAAAAAAAAATTAGCCAGGCGTGGTGGCGGGCGGCTGTAGTCCCAGCTACTTGGGAGGCTGAGGCAGGAGAATGGTGTGAACCCAGGAGGCGGAGCTTGCAGTGAGCTGAGATCGCACCACTGCACTCCAGCCTGGGCGACAGTGAGACTCCATCTCAAAAAAAAAAAAAAAAAAAAAATTTGCTGGGCGCTGTGGCTTATGCCTGTAATCCCAGCTACTTGGGAGGCTGAGGCGGGAGAATCACTTGAACTCAGGAGGCAGAGGTTGTGGTGGGCCAAGATCACGCCATTGCACTCCAGTCTGGGCAACAAGAGCGAAACTCTGTCTCAAAACCAACAACAACAACAACAAAAAGTGATGTGTTAATATGTAAGGAGTTTATACTGCTATTTTAAAATAATTACATTTTTAATTTTTTAAAAATTTCATATTTTATTTATTTATTATTATTATTATTTTTTTGAGACAGAGTCTCACCCCGTTGCCTGGGCTGGAGTGCAGTGGTGCGATCTCATCTCACCGCAACCTCCACCTCACGGGTTCAAGTAATTATCATGCCTCAGCCTCCTAAGTAGCTGGGAATACAGGCACGCACCACCATGCTTGGCTAATTTTTGTATTTTTAGTACAGACGGGGGTTTTCCAAGAAGATTATGGAAAAAAGAATGATATGATATGGTGATTCTCCAACTTTCTGCTCTTGGGAACCCTTTACACTATTAAAGGGACTCCAAAGGGATTTGATTATGTAAATTAGAGCTATCTATATTCACTATATTCAAAATTAAAACTGAGTTGTTTTGTTTTGAGATGGAGTCTCACTCTGTCACCCAGGCTGGAGTGCAGTGGCACAATCCCGGCTCATTGCAACCTCTGCCTCCCAGGCTCAAGTGATTCTCGTGCCTCAGCCTCCTGAGCAGTTGAGATTCCAGGCACGCGCCACCACGTCTGGCTAATTTTTGTATTTTTAGTAGAGACGGGGTTTCTGCATGTTGGCCAGGCTGGTCTCGAACTCCCGCCCTAAAGTGATTGGCCCACCTTGGCCTCCCAAAGTGCTAGGATTACAGGCATGAGCTACCACGCCCCGCCGATAATTAAAACTGGAGCGGTGGCCCATGCCTGTAATCCCAGCACTTTGGGAGGCCAAGGCAAGCCAATCACTTGAGGTCAGGAGTTCGAGACCAGCCTGGCCAACGTGGGGAAACCCCATCTCTACTAAAAATACCAAAATTAGCCTGCCATGGTGGCACGCACCTGTAATCCCAGCTACTCGAGAGGCTGAGGCATGAGAATTGCTTGAACCCTGGAAGTGGAAGTTGCAGTGAGCCAAGATGGGCCATTGCACTCCAGCCTGGGCAACTCCATCTCAAAAAAAAAAAAAAAAAAGGAAAAGAAAAAAGAAACACATGGGGGCGCTCTCGCCACAAACTGCAGAGAAAAATGATCTTAAAACCAAGGACATTGGAGGGCCTTGGATGCCTGGGTGGCTGCTATTACAACACTTTTCTGATCACATTGTCACCAATTCTGGTCTTTCCCCTTAGGTTACAGGTAGTGATAGGGATGGTTGGGAAATGTAGCTAATTTCACCTTCCTGTAAGCTTTGTTTTCCATGAATTATTTTGCATCTTGGTGTATTGATGTAATTTCTTGGCTATAACTCCCACAAGTTCATAAAAGGTAATGTGAGGCCCTATGACACCCATCTCTGGCCTTTCAGGCTATGCTTCTGAAAGCATCTGTGGAGTGTTGGGAAGGAAACTGGCTTTGGCATCCAAAGACTAGGCACCAGGTCTCAGCTTCACCACTTCCTGGCTGTGTGACCTTTCACCTCTCTGAGCCTCATTATCTCACCACTAAGAGAAGGACGGTAATAGCTGCCCTCACAGAATTATTGTGAAGAGCAGATGAGCAGTAAAATGGCTTTGTCAACTGTAAAGTACTGTAGGAAGGTCTATATTTGTTATGACACTGGCCTGTGGAAATATGTAAATAAGTAAATATCTAATATGTGGTTTTTAAAGATGCTGATTCTTTGCTGTCCTAATTCCCTATTGTTGCAGAAATTTCATTTTACCTCTCAAGAGGTTTTTCTGGTATCTGGACTTTAAAAAATACAGGGCTGAGCTTTTGGCCAGGGTGATGTTGGTAGTGACCCGATTGTCTGGAAAGTCTTTCTGTGCACCAGCCCGTTAGAGTGCCAGAAATCCCACCATTGGCAATCTGCTGCTTTACATTCTTCTTATAAAACATCAACATCTCCTCTTCTTCTTTTCTTTCTTCCCTCCTTCCAAAGCCTTTTCCACTGGCTTGCTGATTCCTTAAATTCTACTTTCAGATCACTGAGTGATCTTGGCTCACTGCAACCTCCACCTCCAGGGTTCAATCAATTCTCCTGCCTCAGCCTCCCAAGTAGCTGGGATTACAGGCGCCTGCCACCATGGCTGGTGAATTTTTTTATTTTGCATTTTATTAGAGATGGGGTCACCATGTCGGCCAGGCTGGTTTCAAACTCCTGACCTCAAGTGATCCGGCTGCCTCGGCCTTCCCAAGTGCCAGGATCACAGGCGTGAGCCACTGCGCCCTGCCTACTTTCAGGCACTTTGATTTGGTCTAAGACTTCAGCTCCCAGCTAAAACTGCTTCTAGCTCTAAGGAAAACCAATACTGGGGCCTGGTGCATATATATATATATATATATATATATATATATATATATATATATATATATATATATATATTTAATATATAATATATATATATAACTTTTAAAAAAATATATATATATATAAATGTAACAAGGTATAGACATTTTGGAAAACAGTTTGGCAATTTCTTTTTTGAGATGGCGTCTTTCTCTGTCACCCAGGCTGCAGTGCAGTGGCATGATCTCGATTCACTGCAACCTCTGCCTCCCAGGTTCAAGTGATTCTCCTGTCTCAGCCTCCTGAGTTGCTGGGATTACAGGGGTGCACCACCACATCCGGTTAATTTTTGTATTTTTAGTAGAAGCAGGGTTTCACCTTGTTGGCCAGGCTGGTCTCGAGCTCCTGACCTCGTGATCCTCCCGCCTTGGCCTCCCAAAGTGCTGGGATCACAAGCATAAGCCACCGCGCCCGGCCTGCAATTTCTTATAAGACTAAACATGCAATTATCATATAACCCAGCAACTGTATTCTTGTGCATTTATCCCAGATAAATTAAAATTTAAGTTCACACAAAAACTTGCAGAGAAATGTTGTTTTTTGTGTTTTTGAGATGGTGTCTCGCTCTGTCTCCCAGGCTGGAGTGCAGTGGCACCATCTCGGCTCACTGCAAGCTCCGCCTCCCGGGTTCACGCCTTCTCCTGCCTCAGCCTCCCAAGTAGCTGGGACTATAGGCGCTCGCCACCACGCCCGACTAATTTTTTGTATTTTTAGTACAGACGGGGTTTCACCATGTTAGCCAGGATGGTCTTGATCTCCTGTCCTCGTGATCCGCCCACCTCGGCCTCCCAAAGTGGTGGGATTACAGGCGTGAGCCACTGCGCCCGGCCTGAGAAATGTTTATGGCAGCTTTATTTGTAACAACAAAATACTGGAAACAACCCTTCAGTGGGAGAATGGTTGACCAAACTCTGGTACATCCATACCATGGAATACTCCCCAGCAATAGCAAAGAATGAACTACTGATACATGCAGCAACCTAGATGGACATCAAGAGTGTTATGCTTAGTGAAAAAAAGCCAGTGTCAAAAGATTACATACTGTGTGATTCCATTTACATAACATCTCAAAGTGACACAACTATAGAGATGGAGAGCAGATTAGTGGTTGCCAGAGGACGAAGACGGGGTGAGGAGCTGGGAGAGGGTGAGGGTGGCTGAGAATACAAAGAGGTAGCATGAGGCTGTGATTTCGAGGTGATGGAATGATTCTGTATCTTAACTGTGGTGCTGGTTACACAGATTTGTACATAGGATAAAACTAGAACTACATACATACAAATGAATGCAGTTTTTAAAAATGGTAAAAACTGAGTAAGGTCTGTAGACTGGCTAATAGTAATACACAAAGAGCAATGTCAGTTTTCTGGTTTAGATGTTATACTATGGCTATATAAGATTTCACCATTGGGGATGGGTGTGGTGGCTCATGCCTATAATCCCAGCACTTTGGGAAGTCAAGGCAGGCAGATCACCTGAGGTCAGGAGTTCAAGACCAGCCTGGCCAACACGGCGAAATCCCATCTCTACTAAAAACACAAAAATTAGCTGGGTGTGGTGGCGCATGCCTGTAGTCCCAGCTATTTGGGAGGCTGAGGAAGGAGAATCACTTGAACCTGGGAGGTAGAGGTTGCAGTGAGCCAAGATCACGCCACTACACTCCAGCCTGGGCAACAGAGCAAGACTCCATCTCAAAAAAAAGAAAAAAAAAAAATCTCACCATTGGGGAAGCTGGGTGACTGATATGTGAATCCCTGTGTGCTGCTCTAACACTTGCCTTTGAGTGTGTAATTATTTCAAAACAAAGAGCTTAAAATTTGGGTGGGGGAAGTACCTAGGTGAGACCTCTCCACCATTGTCCAATGTGTTTATTGCAAGGATTCCCCCGCTGCAGAGTGGGATGCCACGTTGCCAACATCCTGCAGCTTGGAGCTGGGGTTGATGTTTATGTGGACTTTTCAGGTACCTGTGGAGGATGGTGGGGGCAGGAATACCTGATGAGTGGATGGAAGGAGAGAGAAAAGAAGTGGCAACTGTAGACAGATGAGTCAGGTATGGCACCAAGGACCAGCCTGAACATGCCTGAAAATCAGCCCATATGCCGAACGGAATAGGAGGGACTTGGGTCTCTGACTCCTAAGACAAAGACCTCTCCTTTTATTGAATTATGTGGTTTTCCAAATCTTTCTGTGATTATGCTTAGGGGATATTTTGAAGACTGCACAGTCCTGGAACCCTTCTCTTTAGTTGATCCTGATTATACAGGGAATGTTTGTGTCCTTCCAAATTCATATATTACAATCCTTACCCCAAAGGTGATGGTATTAGGAGGTGGGGTATTTGGGAGGTGATTGGGTGATGAGAGTGGAGCCCTTATGATAGGGATTAGTGCCTTTATCAAAGAGACCTCCAAGAGATAGCTAGCCCCTTGTACCATGTCAGGACACAGCAACAAGGCACCCTCTATGAATCAGGAAGAGGGCCCTCACCAGACACCAAATCTGCCAGCACTTTGTTCTTGGACCTCCCAGCATCCAGAGCTATAAGAAATAAATGTCTGTTGTTTATAAGGCACCCAATTTATGGTATTTTGTTTCAGCAGTCCAAACAGACTACGATAGTCTTTTTTTTTTTTTTGAGATGGAATTTCACTCTTGTTGCCCAGGCTGCAGTGCAATGGCACGATCTCGGCTCACCGCAACCTCCGCCTCCTGGGTTCAAGCGATTCTCCCGCCTCTGCCTCCCGAGTAGTTGGGATTACAGGCATGCACCACCATGCCCAGCTAATTTTGTATTTTTAGTAGAGATGGGGTTTCTCCATGTTGGTCAGGCTGGTCTGGAACTCCCGACCTAAAGTAATCCACCTGCCTCGGCCTCCCAAAGTGCTGGGATTACAGGCATGAGCCACTGCGCCCGGCCTTAAGATAGTCTTTTAAAAAACTTTAAAATAGTGCATTAAATATACAGAACACTTCTGCTTCTGGCCAAGATGAGATACCAGGGACCAGATATATTCTCCCAAGTGAAACAATAGAAAAAACTGGACAAAATCTATGAAACAATGGTTTTCTGATATTGGACCTCACCAGTGCAGGACAGTGATTCCCGAGAGAGGGGAAACAAATGAGGTGAGTCTTATGATTGCCCGCCCGCCCCCCACCTTGCTGCCTGGAACGAGTTTCTGAGCTGCGGCATGTGGAAGGGAGCTGCATTAAGAGGGTTGGGGCCGGGCACCGTGGCTCACACCCAGGTGGAGCCTGATGGACTTCTGGAGCTGAGCAGCTGGAGCTGAGAGTCCAGGGAGGCCGCAGATGGCTGGAGTTCAGGGCAGAGTATTGGAGAGGAGAGAGCTGCAGAGAGCTCTGCAGAGAGCTCCCTCTTCACTGATCAGCACATGTGTGTAAGGAAGCTTCCTGAGGCTGGGGAAGAATCACCTGAAAGGACCAGAGGAAAAAATCACTACAGTTCACATGGCGACAGGAGTACTCTGTGTTCCCACCAGGCAGAGTAGAAAACCTCTTAATTCCAGGGGGATTGGGTACAGTCCTCAGAAGTGTATTGTTTCAGTAGTGGGACAAAATAAGCCCCAGAATAAAGGCTGCTCTGGTCTCACCTAACAACCTCAAAGTCTGGCCAGGCACAGTGGCTCACGCCTGTAATCCCAGCACTTTGGGAGGCGGAGGCGTGGGGATCACTTGAGGTCAGGAGGTCAAGACCAGCCTGGCCAATGTGGCGAAACCCCGTCTCTACTAAAAATACAAAAATTAGCCAGGCGTGGTGGCAGGCACCTGTAATCCCAGCTACTCAGGAGGCTGAGGGAGGAGAATTGCTTGAACCCAGGAGGTGGAGGTTGCAGTGAGCTGAGATCATGCCACTGCACTCTAGCCTGGGTGACAGAGTGAGAATCCATCTCAAAAAAAAAAAAAAAAAAAAAAAAAAAGCCCGGGCACGGTGGCTCACGCCTGTAATCCCAGCACTTTGGGAGGCCGAGGTGGGCGGATCACGAGGTCAGGAGATCGAGACCACGGTGAAACCCCGTCTCTACTAAAGATACAAAAAAATAGCCAGGCGCGGTGGCGGCGCATGTAGTCCCAGCTACTCGGGAGGCTGAGGCAGGAGAATGGTGTGAACCTGGGAGGCAGAGTTTGCAGTGAGCTGAGATCGCACCACTGCACTCCAGCCTGGGTGACAGAGTGAGACTCCGTCTCAAAAAAAAAAAAAAAAAAAAAGACTCAAAGTAAACCTCAAAAGGATCAAACTGTTTCCAAGTAACCTTAAGTATCCCATAACACATTTCAAGAATATTCATAGGAACACGAAAATATCTAGCACCCGAAGAGGTGCAATTCACAATGTCTGGCATCATCAAATTAAAAATTACTAGGTATGCAAAGAGGAAAGTAAATAAGACCTAAAATGAAAAGAAAAATAAATTAATAGAAACAAACTGAGAAATGATACAGATGATAGAATTAATAGAAAAGGGATGTCATGATATCCTGGTTGGGCTAAAAAAAAAAAAAAAGAAGAAAGAAAAAGAAAAAAACAGAAAAGGGAATTAAATGTTACTGTAACTATACAGTATCCCACATGGTCAAACAGGTAAAAGAAAGATTAAGTATGATAAGTAGAGACATGGAAGATTTTGTAGATATGGGCAGGAGAGGGGGAGTCTTGTTATGTTGCCCAGGCTGGTCTTGAACTCCCGGCTTCAAGCAATCCTCTCACCTTGGCCTCTTAAATTGCTGGGATTACATGCGTGAGCCACCATGCCCAGCCTGGACGTGGAAGACTTTTCAAAGACCCAAATCAAACTTCTAGAAATTAAAACAACATGTAAAATGAAAAATACCCTTGCTAGGAGTGACAGCAGGTTAGATACTGCCAATGAAAAGATTGGTGAACTTGAAGGCATAGCAATAGAAAGTATCCAAAATGAAATGGATTTAAAAAAAAAAGATTTAAAAATAGTTACAGAGCATCAGGGAGCTTTGCAACAACTTCAAGCAGCCCAATATATATGTAAATGAAGTCCCCAAAGGAGGCAGAGGGAAAGGAAAGATAAAAAATATTTAAATAAATAATGGCCAATTTTTTTTCAAGCTTGATGAAAACTGTACTCCTACGGATCCAAAAACTTCAACAGACCACAAGCACTAAAATCCATGAACCTAACTTTGAAACCACACTAGGAAGCGAAGAGACAGCTTATCCCAGAGCTACAGCATGCATAATCAACTTTCCTCTGTACAAAGTTGTCTGTGTTCCTGCCTGGAACCACCCAGCAGAACAGAAGTGATGGAACTGCATGGTCCAAAGGAAAACTCCGAGGAGCTGGGTTTGGGTTCCAATTCTGCTTCAGTTAGCCCTTGAGGAATATTAAGGGGGTTGGGGCTGGGCACAGTGGCTCATACCTATAATCCCAGCACTTTGGGAAGCCAAGGCAGGTGGATCGCCTGAGGTCAGGAGTTCGAGACCAGCCTGACCAACATGGTGAAACCCCATCTCTACTAAAAATACAAAAATTAGCTGGTTGTGGTGGCAGGCGCCTGTAATCCCAGCTACTTGGGAGGCTGAGGCAGGAAAATCGCTTCAATCTGGGAGGCTGAGGTTGCAGTGAGCCAAGATCGCGCCACTGCACTCTAGCCTGGGCAACAGAGCGAGACTCTGTCTCAAAAAAGAAAAAAAAAACCAGCCTGGGCAACATAGTGAGACCCCCATCTCTACAAAAAATTTAAAAATTGTTTAGCTGGGCATGGTGGCAGTGCCTGCAGTCCCAGCCACTTGGGAGGCTGAGGCAGTAGGATTGTTTGAGCCCAGGAGGTTGAGGTTGCAGTGAGCCAAGGTAATGCCACTACATTGTAGCCTGAGGACAGAGTGGGAACCGGTATCTTAAAAAAAAAAACAAAAAAAAACTTGCAAAGCAAATTGTATCATTCCATCTTTGTAACAAAGCAAAAAATGAAAAAAAACTCAAAATATACACATATAGTGAATAGTGTGGATAAATAAATTCCAAAATCAACATTAGGTCTCACAATCCAACATTAGATTGTAGGGAACTACAGAGAGATTGACTTTTCGTATTTCCATCTAGTTTGTTTTATTACAATGGCATGTATTATTTTTGTAACAGAAAAATTTTATAAAAATTCAAAACAAAACAAAAACCAAACCCACACTGCCAAAGGTCGCGCCAAGGTTTCCACAACCCAAGGCCCTCCCAGAGCTTCTGAGCCCCCTGGAAAGCAGCTTGCACCTTCAGCCCCTAGGGGCGCTGTCCACTCAAGCCCAGGCCTGGAGTTCTGGTACAAGGCTGGCCATGGGAAAAAGCATTAAAGTCCCAGGACAGGAGGAAGACAAGCCTCCAGGAAGCCAGGGTGTCCCACAGATGGGAAACCCAGCCAGGACTGGGCTCAAGAAGGTGCTGCCAGTGCGGTTCTCGCCCTGGAGCTGCCTGGTGCTGGGGTGCAAGGGATGATGGGAGCGGAAAGTGGGAATAAATGCAGATTCTGGGACATAAGTCAGGACGCTTCAGATTGTGTTTTTGTAATAAAGCGGATTCCTTTATGGAACCCAAATACCAAACGCACCAAAGCTAATTTGTTCAATGCTTAGTCCTATTATTACCAATATTTACAAGTGTGCACCATGTGCCAGGCAGTGTGTTTTACACACATTAGCCTTTATTCCTCCTACATCACATGAGGTTCAATTTTATTACCATTTCCATTTTACAGGTGGGGAAACAGACTCAGAGAAGTGAAGTGACTTATTCAGGGCACACAGCCAGCAAAAGCCAGGCTAGGCTGCAAACTTAGCCCAGGCTCCCAGCCACCATGCTGTACTGCCTCCCAGCCTGCTAGGCACAGGGACATAGACGGAGCCTCGGCGCTTCTGTCTATGATGGAGACAGCACAGGTCTGGAGTGACAAGTCCTGCTTTGATCGCAGGAGCCCCATTGGGCTCAGGAGCACTGAGGTGGGGCGTTGGGCTGCAGGGATCTCTAGGCAGGACTGAGGAGTCCGCAAGCCGCACCTGAATTCTTACCCAGCCACTTTTGGCCTCTCTGTAATCCCCACGGCCAGCACCACACCCTGCCTCTAGAAGTTTGTAGCTCCCCCTCTAAAATGCTGGCCAAATCCCTCGCCTATATGCCTCTCAGCACAGTTGGCTTTTCTGAAAAACAATATAGTCCTGTGGCTAAGGACGTGGTCTGTAGGCCATGGAGGTCCACAGACCTGAGTTTAAATTCCAGCTTTGGCCAGGCATGGTGACTCACTCCTATAATCCCAGCACTTTGGGAGGCGGAGGCAGGTGGATCATTTGAGGTCAGGAATTCGAGACCAACCTGGCCAACATGGTGAAACCCTGTCTCTACTAAACATACAAAAATTAGCCGGGCATGGTAGCATACACCTGTAATTCCAGCTACTCAGGAGGCTGAGGCAGGAGAATCACTTGAACCTGGGAAGCGGAGGTTGCAGGGAGCCGAGATGGTGCCACTGCACACCAGCCTGGGTGACAGAGCAAGACTTCATCTCAAATAAATAAATAAATAGATAAATAAATTCCAGCTTTGACCCTGGTGGTATATGGGTGAGGTGGGGAGATAGAGATGGAAACCCCAAATATACATCAGCCCAGCAGCCCTAAACCGCCTTCTTTACTGTTAGGAAAACAAAACAACAACAACAAAATGGTGTCATGAATATGAACAGCATTGTCAGATGAATTAGTTGAAGTGGTTTTTTTTGGTACTGTGTCCTCAAATTTAATGGATTAAAAGGCCGGGTGCAGTGGCTCACGCCTGTAATCCCAGCACTTTGGGAGGCCGAGGTGGGCAGATCACCTGAGGTCAGGAGCTGGAGACCAGCCTGGCCAACATGGTGAAATCTCGTCTCTACTAAAAATACAAAAATTAGTCAGGCATGGTGGTGGGCACCTATAATCCCAGCTACTTGGAAGGCTGAGGCAGGAGAATTGCTTGAACCTGGGAGGCGGAGGTTGCAGTGAGCCCAGATTGCACCATTGCACTCCAGCCTGGGCAACAAGAGCGAGATTGCATCTCAAAAAAAAAAATGCGTGGATTAATGTGTCTTGTATATATATATTTAAAAAACCTCTACCAAAAACAAAAAATTCCAGCTTTGCTATTCACTAGCTGTGTCATCTGTGTGGCCTTTGGCAAGTGGCTTAACCTCTGAGCCTCAGTTTCCTCCTCCCAAAAATGAGAATACTAATATGTATTTAATATAAATTGTTTTTGTTTTTTTTTCTTAAGAGGCCAGGTCTTGCTACGTGGCCCAGGTTGGACTCAAAACTCCTGGGCTCAAGCGATCCTCCCGAATACTTGGGACTACAAGTACCACCACTCCCAGCTTTCATGCAGCTATTGAGAGGATACATTGAGGTCACGTATGTGAACACACCTGACACATATTGAGTATTCAAAAAATGACAGTTCTCTCTCCTGTGAACCTCTGCTTGTTTATTAAAAGGAGGAAGTTGGACAAAAATTCAGGGCTTCTCAATTTCTCTATTTAAAAACACCCGTGAGCTTTTCTCTTTTCTCTCTATATAGGTTTTGAAATTCTGGTTCATACACAATGGAATACTATGCAGCTGTAATAAAGAAGACTTTTCAAAATTAGTTAAGGGAAAAAAGTAAGGTTAGGAATAGTGTGTCTTGTACACTAGAATCTATGTTAAAAAGAAGGGGAGAGGCTGGGGAGTGGCTCATGCCTGTAATCTCAGCACTTTGGGAGGCCAAAGCAGGTGGATCACTTGAGATCAGGAGTTGGAGACCAGCCTGGCCAACATGGTGAAACCCTGTCTCTACTAAAAATACAAAAATTAGCCGGGCATGGTGGCAGGCACCTGTAATCCCAGCTACCCGAGAGGGTGAGGCAGGAGAAATCGCTTGCACCTGGGAGGTGGAGGTTGCAGTGAGCTGAAATCGTACCACTGCACTCCAGCCTGGGCAACAGAGCAAGACTCAGTCTCAAAAAAAAAAAGTGAGAGAACAATACATAGGCACACTCCCAGGTCTTTCATTCCCTCTACCACCCAGACTATGGCACAGTTTACAAGAGTTTCAACCCCCCACTCTGAGGAAGCCGCAAGTCCACCCAACGGCATGGGGTGATGCTCCCCAGGTTAAAGGACAGGATTTGAGGTTCACGGTTCCAGAAGCTCTATCAGTGCCTTAAATCTGATATTCTGGGATTCTCTACATCCAACAGCAGCAGAAATGCTGCAAGTTGGCATGGTCTGTGGCAGAGTAGGGAAGTTCTGCCTGGAGAAACCATTTCAGACCAGCTTTAGAAGAGGGAGAGGGAATGCTGCTAGCTATCTGACCCAACAAACTGATTTAAGTGAGTCACAGGGAGGGGGGACAGAATCTGTAGTGCCGTGGACAAAGCTGGCATCCCTACCCCCTCAACAGGGTCCTTGCCTTGGCCAGTCAGATATCCCACAGCCATGCGAGACAAGATGCCCCATCTGTTGCTGTGGTGTCTGGGATGCCAAATAAGAAGGCTGTGTACCTGGCGGAGGAGGAGGAGAGAGAAGAAATACCATTTAATTATTTGTGCCAGGAGACACCTCCCACCTCTGCCTCCCTCCTTCCCTAGGGCCTGGTCATGTGCATGTGTGCCAACCTCCCCCATCAGACTGTGAGTTCTGGCAGGCAGGGGTGGGTCTCATTCAACGCTGACTCTTAACTCCTAGCCAGAGCATGGCACAGAGTGGATGCTCACTACTTGTTCATTGAGTGACTTACTGGTGACCTGAAGTCATTCTCCATTTCTTCCCCTGTCATCCATTCTGTCACCCACTTCTGTCAGTTCTTCCTCGGAAATGCCCCAGGGTCAGCCCTCACTATTTGCTGCATGGGAAGCAGTCTAGGTAGTTAGTGGTTACGAGCATGGGCTTTGAAGTTGAGTTTTCTGGGTTTGAATCTTGATTCCACCTACTAAGTTGCAGGGAGGCCTCAGGAGACTCATCTTTTCTCCGCACCTCCAGGTCGTTACTAACATGCTTCCCTCTGCCAAGAATGCTCTCTCCTAATATCCCCACCTAGCGCATCTCATCTTCCAAGGCCCAACCCATCGGTCACTCTTTCTGAAGGCTGCTCTGAGCCCCTGGGCAGGAAGCATCTCTCTTCCCTCCTGGTTCTACTAGAGCATAGGTCAGACTTCTTGAACTAGCAGTTACAATATGGTAATAGACTATAGACTATGTCATGTTCATCTATGCATTAATTTATTTTGTTTTTTGAGCAAGTATGATTGAGCACCTACCATGTGCCAGGCACTGTTCTAGTCACTGGTGAATGAAAGCACCAAAGCCCCTAGCCCTGGGGAGCTGGCATTTTAGCTTCCCCCATGGTCCTAGAGGCAGCTCTAATGTGGTACAAACCACTTAGTCTTAGAGTCAGGGGAGCTGGGCTCAAATATTGGCCCTGATCTTCCATAGCTATGAGATCCTGGGTACATTTCTTTTTCTTCTCTTTTTTTTTTTTTTGGAGTGTGCAGTGGCACGATCTCAGCTCACTGCAACCTCTGCCCCCTCAAGTTTAAGCAACTCTCCTGCCTCAGCCTCCTGAATAGCTGGGATTACAGGCGTGTGCAACCACGCACGCTGGCTAATTTTTTGTATTATTATTATTATTATTATTATTTTTGTAGAGACAGGGTTTTGCCATGTTGGCCAGGCTGGTCTCGAACTCCTGACCTCAGGTGATCCACCTGCTGGGATTACAGGCGTGAGCCACCACAGCCAACTGAAATATTTCTTTACTGTGAAGACAAATGACTGCTCAAATAGGATGAAAGGCAGAATGAAAGGTAACTGACTTTACCTTTAATTGGCTTTGGTGGCTAAGAGACCACATAAAGGGCATAAACCTACCCGAGTGTTGTCAGACCTAATTTTTTTTTTTTTTTTTTTTTTGGAGTCTCGCTCTGTCGCCCAGGCTGGAGTGCAGTGGTGCGATCTCGGCTCACTTCAAGCTCCGCCTCCCAGGTTCACACCATTCTCCTGCCTCAGCCTCCGCAGTAGCTGGGACTACAGGCACCTGCCACCATGTCTGGCTAATTTTTTGTATTTTTAGTAGAGATGGGGTTTCGCCGTGTTAGCCAGGATGGTCTTGATCTCCTGACCTCGTGATCCACCTGCCTCAGCCTCCCAAAGTGCTGGGATTACAGGTGTGAGCCACTGTGTCTGGCCTGTCAGACCTAATTTTTTAATGGTGTCTCAAATTTCATGAAAGCATTATTCAGGCTAAATCCAGACCTTTTGCGATTGGATTTAGCCCATGGGTCCCATTTTTGTCCTCTGTTTGGGCTATCTACTTCTGACCTCCTATTTCCAGTCAGAGCCAAGCCTTTGCCCAGGGTGGGAAGGGTGGAGAGGGTAGGGAGAATAGAGGAGGGGAAGGAGAGGCCCCACCTGGGAGAGATGTCTTCAGGTTCACCAAGAAGCCTGCTTGGTTGAGTGTGGTCAAGGTCATGATGAGAAAGAACGAGATGACTGAGATGATGCAGTCACAGCCCCCATAGATCACAGCCAAGACCAATAGGGCAGGGCCTCGCATTTTGGGGGAAATAGTGGACCGATGGACAATCCTGTCCAGGTTAGACGCTCTCTTCCCTCCTCCCTTCAGTCCTCCCGGACTTCTCCTCCCAGTCATTATCCTCAGTCCCCACTCTGGCCCTTCCCCCTCCTCCCTCTCCCTCTCTGTTTCTTCTTCCCACCTTCCCCTCTTCTGCAGGGATTCACCAGAAGAACCCAGACTTAGGAGGCTGGCTAGTTGAGTGAGCCACCTGGTCTCTTTCTGCCTCAGTTTACTCATTAAGAGAATGGGGTGGCCAGGTGTGGTGGTTCATGCCTGAAATCTCAGCACTTTGGGAGGCCGAGGCAGGCGGATCACCTGAGGTCAGGAGTTCAAGACCAGCCTGGCCATCATGGTGAAACCCCGTCTCTACTAAAAATAGAAAATTAGCCTGGTGTGGTGGCACACACCTGTAGCTCCAGCTACTTGGGAGGCTGAAGCAGGAGACTCGCTTGAACCCGGGAGGCAGAGGTTGCAGTGAGCCGAGATTGCGCCATTACACTCCAGCCTGGGTGACAGAATGAGACTTCGTTTCAAAAAAAAAAAAAAGAAAAAAATTGATTCCTCAGCCACAACAGCTAAATTTCAAGTGCTAAGAGCCACATGTGGCTCGTAACCAATATTCAACAATATGGATATAAAATATTTTTGTTACCACAAAAATAGAAAGTTCTTTTTTTTTGTCTTTTTTTTTTCCTTTTTGTGGAGAATAGGGTCTCGCTATGTTGCCCAGGCAGGTCTCGAACTCCTGGGCTCAAGCTATCCTCCCACCTCTGCCTCCCTGAGAGCTAGGATTACAGGCATGCGCCACTGCACCTGGCAAAACCAGAAGGTTCTATTGAACAGCACTGCTCTTGGAGAAATCATCTGACTGTCTGAAAATGTAAGCCTGAGCCATGGTGCTAGGGGACCTGAGTTTCTGTCCAGCCCCATCACTGACTGGCCAGGCAGTCTTGGACAAACCACATACCTCTGCGCCTCATTCTCTCTATGAACTGTGGGCAGAGGTGGGATCAGGCAATATGTGAGTCTCCTTCAAGCTCTGACCTTCTGGGGTGAATTCCATGAGCTCTGAATTCAGTTTCCAGCTACCTCCACCCCAGTCCCTCTGGAGTGTCTCAGCTGGCCCAGACTTTTCCTGTCTACCAAGAGGAGATCAGATGAACTCACTTGCCCTCGGGCTGTGACGCACTATGTGTTTCTCAAGGGACAACATCTGACTGGACCTGGCCCAGTGTGAGCCAATCAGAATCTCCCTAACCAGAACCTGGTTTAGGGACTTAGGGTCAGTTAGTGAGTCTTTGCAGGTAGCTGAGACTGTCCCTGGGAGAAGCAGGTGGCTGCAGCCATGAGGCTGTGCGTGACTGAGTGGAGGAGAATGCCAGTCTGGAGAGAAGACAGGAGAGGGTGAGAGAGAGGAGGAGAGAGGAAAACACAGCCGACCTCCAGGGATTAGTAGTGAGAAGAATCCCCAGTTTAGGCTCTTGGAATCTGTGACACCCTTGTGTTTTTTAATACATTCTCCCCACTTTCTATTATTTCTACGAGTTCCAACTTATTTCTGTTTCTTGTCACCAAAGATTCCTAACCCACATAGGTTAAAGTGAAGGGGTTTGCTTTATTACTTTTCTGAAAAGTTGAGTAAGTTTTCAGTTGGAAAAAAGTGCAAGGTAAAAAAGGACACACACACACACACACACGTCATGCACGCAAAACTAACAAGAACAAACGAAAGGAAAACAGCTATTTGTTACTGATTTGACAAGTGTTTCTGGAGCACCTACACCATGCCAGGCATTGTATCCAGAGCCTTAGACACATGACCTTGTCTAATCTTCCCTACAACCCTTGAAAGGTGGGCAATGTTTTCTCCATTTCAGAGACAAGGGAATTGAGGCACAGAGAGGTTAAAGGACAGGGCAAGGACACACAGCTGGCCAGCAGCAGAGACAACTTGAGCCAGGGCTTGGCGAGAGGACAGTCAGCTGGGTCTTTCTGACATCAGCACAGCTCCTGAGCAAGGAGATTTCTTGGGTGGGGACCCACTTGGCTCAGAGAGTGCAGCAAGCCAGAAAGACCCCACCCTGCCATGAGGGCGCAACCCGGTCATTCTGGCCACAGGGGAGCACAGTGGTCTTTCCACGGTTTGAAGCGGGAAGGGTAGGTTCAAGAAGAAAATCCTCCGAAGTAAAAAATACTTGGAATCTTTCAAGATCTCTTGTTTTCCATCTTCTCCAGATTTCTCCTATAAAAAAGCCTTTCTGGATTGAGAGTACAAATCATTCCTCTCCTAGCTCCATGGAGGAAGGGAAGAGGCAATACCAAAATTGCTTCTGGAATCAAGAGCTTACTTTGCAGTTGCTCGACTTAATATACAAAAATCTCTTACGGCCAGGTGCGGTGGCTCACACCTGTAATCCCAGCACTTTGGGAGGCCGAAGCAGGCGAATCACCTGAGGTCAGGAGTTTGAGACCAACCTGGCCAACACGGTGAAACCTGTCTCTACTAAAAAAAAAAAAAAAAAAAGCAAGGCTTGGTGGTAGGCGCCTGTAATCCCAGCTACTTGGGAGGCTGAGGCAGGAGAATCGCTTGAACCCGGGAGACGGAGGTTGCAGTGAGCTGAGATCATGCCACTGTACTCCAGCCTGGGCGACAGAGCAAGACTGTCTCAAAAAAAAAAAAAAATCTCTTTCAAATCAATAAGAGGAGGCCACTGGCTGGGGTAGCTCATGCCTCTAATCCCAGCACTTTGGGAGGCTGAGGCAAGAGGATCACTTGAGACCAGAAGTTGGAGACCAGTCTGGGCAATATAGGGAGACTCCGTCTCTACAAAAAAAAAAATTTTTTTTAATTGGTTGGGCACGATGTCTCATGCCTGTAATCCCAACACTTTGGGAGGCCAAGGTGGGTGGATCATCTGAGGTCGGGAGTTCAAGACCAGCCTGACCAACATGGAGAAACCCCATCTCTGCTAAATATACAAAATTAGCCAGGCATGGTGGCACATGCCTTTAATCTCAGCTACTTGGGAGGCTGAGGCAGGAGAGTTGTTTGAACTCGAGAGGTTACGGTGAGCCAAGATGGCACCATTGCACTCCAGCCTGGGCAACAAGAGCAAAACTCCATCTCAAAAAAAAAAAAAAATTGGTTGGGCACAGTGGCTCATGCCTGTAATCACAGCACTCTGGGAGGCCAAGGCGGGCGGATCACCTGAAGTCAGGAGTTTGAGAACAGCCTGGCCAACATGGTGAAACGCCGTCTCTAGCAAAACATACAAAAATTAGGGCCAGGAGCGTTGGCTCACACCTGTAATCCTAACACTTTGGGAGGCCGAGACAGGCGGATCACGAGGTCAGGAGATCGAGAACATTCTGGCTAAAAGGGTGAAAATCCGTCTCTACTAAAAATACAAAAAATTAGCTGGGCATGGTGGTGGGCGCCTGTAGTCCCAGCTACTCAGGAGGCTGAGGCAGGAGAATGGTGTGAACCCAGGAGGCAGAGGTTGCAGTGAGCTGAGATCGTACCACTGCACTGCAGCCTGGGCAAGAGAGTGAGACTCCAGCTCAAAAAAATATATATATATCAGCCAGGTATGGTGGTGTGCGCTACTCGGAGGCTGAGGCAGGAGAATCGCTTCAACCCGGGAGGCGTCACTGCACTCCAGCCTGGGTGACAGAGCAAGACTCTGTCTCAAAAATAAATACATAAATAAAAATAAAAATTAGTGAAGCATGGTGACACACACCTGTAGTCCCAGCTACTCAGGAGAATTGCTTGGGTGTGCAGTGAGCTGTGATCTCACCACTGTACTCCAGCCTGGGCGACAGAGCAAGAGCAAGACTGTTTCTCTAAATAAAAGGCAAATTAAAACAGTACATCATTTCTTTTTATCTTCCAGGTTTTCAAGCAATAGAAAAATTATAAAAACCATTGTTGATGAAGATGCAGGAAAACAGGCACTCTCGCCGGGCGTGGTGGCTCATGCCTGTAATCCCCGCACTTTGGGAGGCTGAGGTGGGTGGATCACGAGGTCAGGAGATCGAGACCATCCTGGCTAACACAGTGAAACCCCATCTCTACTAAAAAATACAAAAAATTAGCCGGGCATGGTGGCGGACGCCTGTAGTCCCAGCTACTCCGGAGGCTGAGGCAGGAGAACGGTGTGAACCCGGAAGGCGGAGCTTGCAGTGAGCCGAGATCGCACCACTGCACTCCAGTCTGGGCGACAGAGCGAGACTCCGTCTCAAAAAACAAACAAAAAAAGAAAATGGGCACTCTCACAGTCTCATACTTTGCTGATAGGAGTTTCAAATGACATAATTTATCTGAAGGGTATTTTGGAAATATGCATCTAAAGCCTTAAAATGTGCATCCTTCTGACTCATTAATTCAACCTGAGATACTTTTCAAAGGAAATATAATTACAGGTGTTCTTTCCTGAGTTATTTACAACAGTGGGAGTGTCTCTGGGGTGGGCTGAGACTGCCAGGGTGGTGGGGGCACTCACAGGGTTTGGGGCAGCTGCTGTTTAACAACTGGAGCAGAAATATTTGCATAGTTTACCAACCAATACCACCATACTGCACATATTCAATGTCATTTTTTGTTTATTTGTTTGTTTTGTTTTGTTTTTGAGACAGAGTCTCGCTCTTGTTTTCCAGGCAGGAGTGCAGTGGTGCAATCTTGGCTCACTGCAACCTCTGCCTCCCAGGTTCAAGAGATTCTCCTGCCTCAGCCTCCTAAGTAGCTGGGATTACAGGCACGTGCCACCATGCCCGGCTAATTTTTATAGTTTTAGTAGAGACAGGGTTTCACCATGTTGGCCAGTCTGGTCTCAGACTCCTGACCTCAAGTGATCTGCCCTCCTCAGCCTCCCAAAGTGATGGGATTACAGGCGTGAGCCACTGCGCCCAGCCAATGCCAGTTTTTAAAACTAAAAAAAAAAAAAAAAAAATTAAGGGTTGCTCCTTCTTCCTCATAAAATTAGAGGTGGGAGCTGGAATGCGAGTTCTTGCCTTTCTAGTTGAGCACAGATGCAGGGGCTGCACTCCAGGTGGGCTCCTATCTGCAGGACCAGCAGCAGGACAAGGTCACCAGGGTCCAGCACAGCGGCTGTGGACACCAGAAGGCACAGCAAGGAAGATACCAGAAGCCCTATGTCCAGGGCTCGCTTCCAGCCAAAATCATGGCAGTCAAGGTGATGAGGATGCCATAGAAGGCACAGAAGAGGAAGGAGGCTCTCCTGTCTGAGCTCCAGCTGTTCAAAGGCACTTGCAATATGGGAGGGCTGGGACCCTCAGTGGGAGGGTTGCCACCTTAGCCCATTTAGCCCACTCCATGTTGCCCTGCAGTTTGTGTATATTCTCCCCATTTTCAGATGGGGAAACTGAGACTCAGAGAAGTGAAATGACTCATGCCAAGTCACACTGCTGGTAAGTGGGGGGACTGGGATTTCAATACATGTCCCTCATTTTCTGAGGTCTTTGCCAGTATGCCACTCTCAGTATATTTGTTGATGGATTGAGACAAGCTGAGTTAACATCTTCACCAGACTTGGGGAGGCACAGGGATTGGGGGTGTCCTCTGGGGGTCAAACCATCAGCAAATGAGATTTGAGTCAAGCTGGATCTCATTCAATGCAATGTTCCCCATGACATGCCACCTCTAGGCCTTTGCTCGGGCTCTTTCCTCTGCTGGTAGCACTCCCCTCCACAGTCCAAATCCTGCTTCACATGCCAATAGATGTCCACATTTACTCCGTCCGACAACCCGTCCAGATAGGTATGACCACGTTTCCCCATTCCAACAATGAAGAGATTCACGCTGGGAGGGGAAGTAATGTGACTAAGATCATCCAGTTAGTGAGTTACAGAGCTGGGATTAAAGCCCAAGTCTGTCTGAGTCCAGAGAACTTCTCACCTTTCACCAGATCTTAACTTTATAATTTAATAATCAACAACCTTGTGAAGTAGGTTGTTAGAGGTTAGAGACATTAATAGTAGGTTAGAGACACTATTTTCCCCTTTTACAGATAAGGAAACTGAGGCTTACAGGAGGCAATTAGAATAGTAGTTAAGTGGTTGGTCTTTGGGTTCAAATCCCTGCTGCAGCACTAATAAGTCGTGTGACCTTAGGCAAGTGACTTCACCTCTTTGAACCTCAGCCTCCCATGTGTAAAATAGGGTGAGTAATAGTACTCGCTTCAGAGCTTTTCGCAATGATTAAATGAGATGAAGGTATCTTATGCATTCAATGACCTAACACATGGAAAACACTTATCTGGATGGTAACTGGTATTTGTTGCCCAAGTGACGCCTGCCTGAATGGGACCACTTAAAGGGGAATTTCCTCCTTCTTGATAACAGGTTTCATCCACTGGGATTTCTCTCCAGGTCAGGCAGCTCTAAGAACCCCAGTCAGAGTAGAAACTTGAACCCAGGGAAGAGAGAGGCTGAGGTGGCCTCTGCAGAATGTGGTACCTTGGTTTGGGAGGAATGTGTCACATGGGGGTTCTTTGCCTGAGTCTCTGGACAGGTCTCACCAGGGGTGTTGGCTGAAGGTCGCTACTGTAGGTTGTTGCTATGTCTTCCTCATGGTCAAGTACACCCCACACATGGACATGAGCCTGACCATGGCCATGATGTGGGGAATAGGTGACTGTGAGGAAGACGTGCATGAGGCATATCAAGTTGAATGGGAGAAAGCAGAGGCCTGGAACTGGGGTCATGTTCCAGGATCTCATCCCACCCCAGGCCTCCAGAGGCTCTGCTGTCAGAGCCATTTTCAAGATTTAAAAAAGTAGGGCACATGCTTGGATTGTCCCATGTTACCAGCTAATGAAGAGCAGAGCCTGGAGTCGCACTAGGCTTATCTGACCTCCAAGTCCTCTTTCCCATTACTCTGGGGGAAGTCCCTCATTCAACACAAAGTCATAGCTTATGTCATGTGTCTCCTGGTGGGGACCCAGGAACCTCCCCTGCAGCATCCTAGTACCTGGCCCAGGGCCTGACCCTAATTGGAAGCACAATGAATGTTTGTTGACTAAATAAATGAATGACGCATTCCAAGCAGAGCCAGTTGCAGGTTCTCCCTGGGAAGGAGGTGGATGAAAAGTGAACCCACAGAGGCCGTTGAAGTCTCTTCCTGCACCCTCAGCCCTGCTCCTCTACCCACAGTCTGGCCTCCAACTCTGTTCCTCAGCCCCCAGCTTCCCAGAGGGGCTTTGGAACTCACAGTCAGCCCCTGGCATCCTTCTTAAAGGTCAAGAACACCAGGGAGGGGTGAGAGGCCTCCAGACCTGTAGATGCTCAGGACCAAGGGTTGAGCAGAATAAGGTCCCGGTTCTCAGGGAGCTCCTGAACTATTGGGCAAGAGAGGCCCAAAACGTGTAGTAGAATTCCCCACAAGGGAGGGAGCATGGAGGAGCTGTGGGGGCAGGGAGGAGGAGCCCTCCATGGACTGTGCATGGGTGGGGAGGTCAGGGAGGCTTCATTTCTAAGCTGGGGACTGAGAGCCAAGCAGGAGTTGACCAGATAAATAGGTAAGAAAGGGGTAGAGGAAGAATATGTTGGAAGATCCAGAGGAAGGAGATCTTGTAGAACACCCAGAGACAGGAAAGAAGGTCTGGCAAGGGCTGGAGAGGTGGGGTCCCTAACACACAGCCACGGAGATCATGCCCAGATCTCAGACGGCGGGGAGCTGCCTTTGTGTGCTCGGGATGCCATAACAAAATACCACAGACTTCGTAGCTAAATAACAGACATTGATGCCTCACTGTTCTGGAGGCCAGAAGTCCAAGATCAAGGTGCCAGCAGATTCAGTTTCTGGTGAGGGCTCTCTTCCTGGCTTGTAGACAGCTGCCTTCTTGCTGTGTCCTCACATGGCCTTTTCTTTGTGTGTGTGCTCACAGTGGGGAAGAGGAGAGTGAGCTCTGCAGTGTCTCCTCTTATAAGGCATGAATCCCAAGGGATCAGGGTCCCACTCTTATGACCTCATTTAACCTTAATTACTTCCTAAAGGCCCCTTTTCCAAACACAGTTGCAATGGGACTTAAAGCTGCAACATGTGATTCTGGGGAGGACACAATTCAGTCCACAGCAGGGGCCATGGAAGGTTTTAAGCAGGGAGGTCCTAGGGTAAGATTGGCCTTTGGGGAGCTCTTTCTGGCCGCAGAGGGGAGGATGGGCCAGAGCAGGCAGGACTGGAAGCTGTCTGAGTGGTTGCTCTAGTCTAGCGGTGAGAAGTGTCACTGGACCAGAGGCATGGCATTTGGAAGGGAGTGGGGGAGCTGCTCAATAAGCTTGGATCCGCGGGACTCAATGTGAAAAGAGGGCTTAGAGAGGGGGAGAGGTCAAGGATGACTGCCAGAGTCCCAGCTTGGGTAAGAGGGGGATGCAGGGACAGTTTCATGGGCATGTGACCTGCATGGTCCCACACACCAAAGGGCCCAGCGTTTGTTTAATGCTCTGCTGTTGCTGTCTTGAATTATTAACAGTTTTTTAACTGTTTAACAAGAGGCTCTGCATTTTGATTTTGCACTGGGACCTGCAAATTCTTGAGCCATTCTGCGTGGATGGGGGTCTGTGAACCTCTCTCCTCCTCCACAGATCACCAGACTGGAGCAGGGAGGGAGCTGGCCTCCCTACGACCTCTCTCTCTTGAGATGGTTACTTGATACCAGCCTTATTGCTGCCAAAACTAAAACAAGGACAAAAAAACAACAACCCTCCTAATTAACACCCTCAGCACCACTAGCAGTTAAGGGCAAAGGCTTTAGAGTCTCTGAGAAGAAAGCAAATCAGGTGCTGAATTTATTGCCTTTAGGAATTTTTAAGGCTCCATTGCCTTATCTATGGGGTGACCATGTACTTTATTGACCAGCTCAGTACGCTTCTAAGACTAGAATGGGAAAGTGGGAATAAAATACTCCCTATGCTGGGACAATAGGTGCCAACTGGATCTGTCCCATCCAAACTGGGACACATGATCCCCTACTTTTCTGTAAAATGGGATTAAATAGAACCATGCAGAGAATACAGGGGGGCCAAAGTAAGTGCTCAGTGAGCAGCACCTTCATTATTTCTTTTTATTTTTTTATTTTTATTTTTATTTTTTTGAGATGGAGTCTCACTCTGTTGCCCAGGCTAGAGTGCAGTGGCATGATCTCGGCTCACTGCAACCTCCGCCTCCCCGGTTCAAGTAATTCTCATGTCTCAGACTCCTGAGTAGCTGGGACTACAGGTACGTGCCACCACGCCCAGCTAATTTTTTGTGTTTTTTGTAGAGACGGGGTTCCACCATGTTGCCCAGGCTGATCTCGAACTCCTGACCTCAGGTGATCTGCCAGCCTTGGCCTCCCAAAGTGCTGGGATTACAGGCATAAGCCACCACGCCCGGCCTTTTTTTTTTTTTTTTGAGATAGTCTTGCTCTGTCACCCACACTGGAGTGCAGTGGCATGATCTCTGCTCACTGCAACCTCAGCTTCCCAGGTTCAAGACATTCTCTTGCCTCAGCCTCCTAAGTAGCTGGAAACAGGCACCTGCCATGACATCAGGCTAATTTCTGTGTTTTTAATAGAGATGAGGTTTCACCATGTTGGCCAGGCTGGTCTTGAACTCCTGACCTCAAGTGATCCACCTGCCTCGGCCTCTCAAAGTGCTGGGATTACAGGCATGAGCCACCGTGCCTGGCCATCTTATCATTATTTATTTATTTATTAGACAGAGTTTTGCTCATTGCACAGGCTGGAGTGCAATGGCATGATCTCGGCTCACTGCAACCTCTGCCTCGCAGGTTCAAGTGATTCTCCTGCATCAGCCTCCCAAGTAGCTGGGATTACAGGCATGTGCCACCATGCCTGGCTAATTTTTGTATTTTTAGTAGAGATAGGGCTTCACCATGTTGGCCAGGCTGGTCTTGAACTCCTGACCTCAAGTGATCCACCTGCCTTAGCCTCCCAAAGTCCTGGGATTACAGGCATGGCCATCACGCCCAGCCATCCTATCATTATTTCTATACTCTGCAGTCACTCTCAATTGATGTCTAAATGTCATTCACTTGTCAATCAATTACTCACTACCCACCATGTGTCAGGTACACAGCATTGGTTCTCCTGATGTGAAGATGTACTGATAATTCATCTATTCAGCCCACATTTTGTGAGCAGCTCCTATCTGCCAGGCTAGGTTCTGAGGCTAGGCTCGTTCTGGGGATCCAAAGATGAGTGACACCACTTGTCCTCCTGGGGCTTGCAATCTTGTAGGGTACGGTGGGTGAAAGCGTGTCTCCCAAAAATGCATGTCCACCTAGAACTTCAGAATATGACCTTACTTGAAAACAGGGTTGGCCGGACGTGGTGGCTCACGCCTGTAATCCCAGCACTTTGGGAGGCCGAGGTGGGTGGATCACGAGGTCAGGAGATCGAGACCATCCTGGCCAACACGGTGAAACCCCGTCTCTACTAAAAATACAAAAAAATTAGCCAGGCGTGGTGGCGGGCGCCTGTAGTCCCAGCTACTTGGGAGGCTGAGGCAGGAGAATGGCCTGAACCCGGGAGGCAGAGCTTGCAGTGAGCCGAGATAGTGCCACTGCACTCCAGCCTGGGCGACAGAGTGAGACTCCATCTCAAAAAAAAAAAAAAGAAAAGAAAAAAAAAGAAAAAGAAAACAGGGTCTTTGCAGGTGTAATTAAGATAAGTATCAAAATAAAATCATGCTGGATTAGGGTGGGCCTGAAATCCAATGAGAGTGTCTTGATAAGAGACAGAAGAGTGCACAGAGACACAGACGAAAAGGCCTTGTGAAGACAGAAGCAGAGACTGGAGGGCAGGGGCACTCCACAAAATGCCAAGGATTTTGCCAGCAGCCACCAAAAGTTAGGAGAAAGGCATGGAATGGATCTTCCCTTAGACCCTCCATCACCCAGGCTGGAGTACAGTGGCGTGATCTCAGCGCATTGCAACCTCCACCTCCCGGACTCAAGCAATCCTCCTGCCTCAGCCCCCCAAGTAGTTGGGACTACAGGCTGGCTATTTTTTGTATTTTTTCGTAGAGATGGTGTTTCACCATGTTGCCCAGGCTGGTCTCAAACTCCTGGGCTCAAGCAATCCTCCCACCTCAGCCTCCCAAAGTGCTGGGATTATAGGTATAAGCCACCGCGCCCAGCCCACCTTGATTTCAGACTTCTGGAAGAACCATGAGAATAAGTTTCTGTTGCTTTCAGCTACCAAGGCTGTAGTAATTTGTTACAGCAGCCCTAAGAAAATAATCCATAGAGGACACACATGACACCCACATTGATAACTAAATGAATAATTATATGATAGCTACCTCCAGGGAGAGGTAGCGATGAGGAGGCGTCACAAGGAGGCTTCTGGGGAGCTGGTTATGTTCACTTCTTGACCTAGAGGCAGGTTATGCAGATGGGTTCATTTTGTGAAGGTATATTGAGCTGTACACAGGATTTGTGTGTTTTTGTGTTTGTTATACTTCAGGAAAAACTTAAAAAGATAAATTGCACAGGCCAGGTGCGGTGGCTCATGCCTGTAATCCCAGGACTTTGGGAGGCCAAGGCAGCTGGATCACTTGAGGTTAGGAGTTTGAGAGCAACCTGGCCAACATGGTGAAACCCCGTCTCTAATAAAAATACAAAAATTAGCCAGGCGTGGTGGTACACACCTATAATCCCAGCTACTCAGAGGCTGAGACAGGAGAATTGCTTGAACTCAGGAGGCGAAAGTTGCAGTGAGCCGAGATCATGCCACTGCACTCCAGCCTGGGTGACTGAGTGAGACTCCATCCCCCAAAAATAATAAAACAAAATAAAATTTAAAAAGATAAATTGCATAGGTAGATGTATAACTATAGATTGTGTTAAGTGCTTTGAAACAAAACTCATGGGTTATAGGAGACAGTATTTTTTAGTCAGCTAGGACTGCTATAACAAAATACCACAAACTGGGTGGCTTAAACAACATACATTTATTCCTCACAGTTGTGGAGGCTGGGAAGTCCAAGATTAAGGTGCCAGCAGATTCCTGGTGAGGGCTCTCTCCCTGGGTTTGCAGACAGCCACCCTCTTGCTGGGTCCTCACATGGTGGAAAAAGAATGATCTCTTTTCTTCTTACAAAGCCACCTTTCTCTGTTTACAGTTTTGTAACATTGGTAATCTGTGATGGTAGCGTCTGTCATTTATTGAACACCTATGTTCCAGAAACTTTACTGTGAAATAGGTACTATTGTCCCTCATTCCAGACGAGGAGGCTGAGGCTCACTTGCCTGTTCCTGGTAGATGGAGAATCTGTCTCATACCCTTTGACCCCACTGTCACTGTCTCTGAGCCAGCCATGCCTCAGGATCAGGCCTGGGGTGCAGGTGGAGGGCGTTGGGGAGCTTTCTATTTCCCTTACTACTAGTCCCAGTGATGTGGAGGATGACAGCCTGGAGGGAGGTGTCTGGGACAGCATCTGGCCAGGTACCTGGTGGGATGGTTTGCCCAACTGCCTGGGATGAGCTGCTTAGCCTCCCCACTTTCCTGAAAACCCAGGGCAAGAGTGTGTCTGGGAGGGAGGAGGACAAAGAGACCCAGTCACCTGGGCCACCACCTGGAGTGGCAGTTGGGGAGGAAGTGGGAAACGCTGGCTGCTTCTCCAGCCCTGGCCTCTTTCCTTCCCATCCGCTGGGCCTGACTTCAGTGCCCACCTCTAGGAGGGAGACTCAGAGAACCAGACTCACCTGCCTCCGAGCAGCTGTGGAGGCGACAGCCAGGTCTTAATGGCCTCTCCAGGGTCAGCTGAGGCCTGCCACGGGCACCTCCCCTCATAGCTGGACTGCTATTCAGAACACTGCAGCTGCAAGAAATTAGAGAAGCGAGGAGGCTGAGCAAGGAGCTGGTGCCAGGGGAGATCAGGGAGGAAGGGAATCAGGGCACCTTCTGGTCCTCCCAGTTCCTGAAAACCTACTGTCAGGCTGTACTTCCCCAAACAGCGTTTAAGGGAAGCCAGCCCCCTACCACAGGCTGTGCACTGCTCTGAACAACTCCAGGAGGCATCATCACATAGGTGACCACACGTGGTCTTGTGGTTCTCCGCTGCCACCCATGCCAGCCCTGCTTGGGTCCTGTCACCTCATCCCCTCACTCACAAACCTGGTTTCCCCAGCCCGGCACCCAAACCCATGCTTCATCGATTCGTTCTTTCCTTTAATATGTGTTTGTCAAGTGCAAGAACCACCCACGGGGCTTTAAGTTCTAGGGACATAGTAGAGTCAAGGCAGTCACCTCAGCCTTTGCAGTCTGGTGGGAAGCTTGGAGAGATTAACATTAAGCAGACACCATGAAATCTGGCTTGATAAAACTCCAATTAACCCTCTTGAGAGTTCACCAGCAGTCTCCGTTCTCTCAATAAAATCCGCAGCCTGGAGCTCAGGAAACAATGAATGTTCAGAGCCAGGGTTTCCCTCTGCAACCTGCCCCCGCACATCTGGTTTTATCTAAATTCCTGGCACCTGCCCACTACCAGCTCCAACTGGGTCAGAACACAGGGCTTCTACCGAGTAAATACAAATATTTAACCACTTATACATATGATGACTACTTGGCAGGAGAAGCATTGCAAGTGTGTAACATGGGAATTCGACCCCATTTTAGCAATCCAGGAGGGCTTCCCAGGAGAGGTGACTTTTAAGATGTGCTCAGAAGGATGACTCAAAGTTGACCCAGACTTCTTGAGGGAGAGAAGAAGCCTTCCTGGCCCCTCAACAACCCAGATTGCTCAGCCACAGTCAGACAACCCATGCCACCAGGATGTCACCAAGATTTGACAACCGAGACTCTCAGACACTCTCTCTCCCTGGCACACATACACACTCGTACACACGATGACAGCCATGGGACGGCCAGGCAGCTGGACGTCTTTGTCCCCCACTCCCAGCCTGATGGCCACCCCATCAGTCCTTTGCTCCTTCACTCTGCTTCCCATCAGTCCCCTCCTTCTGGGAGTCACAACTCCCTGGGTTGTGATTCTGGCTTCATATTCACTGGCCATGTGACCCTGGGCACATTACTCAAGCTCCTGGATACTGCTCCTCCACTGTCAGTGAGGGTCATGATCCTCCCTGCCTCTCAGGGCCACAGAGAAGGTTAAGGCTCATAATTCCCGTAAAGCACCTTTGCAGCGCCTGTCCCTCCACAGTGGCAGCTCTTCTTAGCACGGTTGCTGTCACTATCATTCGCTGTGGCCTTGCTCTGGCCCCACCCCCATGCCCCTCCTTCTCCCAGCCTACTGTCTCCCCACTTCTGCCTGGGCCTCCTCTCTCTCTCCTCTCCCTCCTTCCAGAGCCTGAGACCCAGAATTCCTGAAGGGCTGGGGACAGGGAAGGGGCAGCCAGCTCCCCAAACAGAAATGTCACCTGCTTGGAGTCCCCAGTGGAGGGGTGGGGTGGAAGCTTTCTGCTCAGCCTTGAGAACCCTGCCCTAACCCCCCACAGAGCCTGATACAGGCTCAAACCTGCATCAGGTCAAACCACCCCCACAGAGACAGAGCTGGGTGGGTTAGGCCGCTACCTGAACCTGGGTCGCTGTCTGCAAGCCAGCCAGGGAGGGGACTGGCCTCACCCCCTCAGAGGGGTGAAGATGCTCTGGGATCTAAGTCCACACTGAGGACAGCGGGAGGTGGAGAGCACCTCACGGAGGGGGGTTTGAATCCCGGGGCCTCCTTTACTCCTCTGGATCATCTTTGAGAAGTCGCCTCTTCTCTCCAAGCCTTGGTCTCCTCATTGGTAAGATGAGGCTGGACAATTCCTGCCTACCACCCACTCAGGGCTGTTGGGAGAAACAGTTGAGAAGAGGGCAGAAGGGAATCCTGTCAAGCCTGGGAACCAACGCCTTTCCGTCGCCAGTTGAGCTCTACGTTTTGGCCAGCAGATGGCGCGATAGAAGCGCCAGTGTCTCCGTTCCAGGCCCCGGACATTTGTTAAACGTGGCGAAACTGTTACTCAAGATCCCAAACTCTAGAGCTGATGGATCTCAGATTCTACCCCCTTAAGCTGCGCGCGGTGGCTCATGCCTGTAATCCCAGCACTTTGGGAGGCCGAGGTGGGTGGGTCATGAGGTCAGGAGTTCAAGACCAGCCCGGCCAACAGGCTGAAGCCCTATCTCTACTAAAAATACAAAAATTAGCCCGGCCTGGTGGCGGGCACCTGTAATCTCAGCTACTCAGGAGGCTGAGGCACGAGAATTGCTTGAACCCGGGAAGCAGAGGTTGCAGTGAGCCGAGATTGTGCCACTGCACTCCAGCCTGGGTGACAAAGCGAGACTCCAAAAAAAAAAAAAAAAAAAAAAAAGCCAGGTGCGGTGGCTCACGCCTGTAATCCCAGCACTTTGGGAGGCCAAGGCCGGTGGATCACAAGGTCAGGAGATCAAGACCATCCTAGCTAACAGGTGAAACCCCGTCTCTACTAAAAATACAAAAAATTAGCCGGGCGTGGTGGTGGGCGCCTGTAGTCCCAGCTACTCGCAAGGCTGAGGCAGGAGAATGGCGTGAATCTGGGAGGAGGAGCTTGCAGTGAACTGAGATCCAGCCACTGCACTCCAGCCTGGGCGACAGAGCAAGACTCCGTCTCCATATAAATATATATATATATATATACCTCCTTAATAGCAATGTGACTGGGTAAGCTACTTAACCTCTCTGAACCTCAGTTTCCTCATCTGGCATCCCTTCTTCTGGGGTTGTTGGAAGATTGATTTTCTCCAGGATGCAGAGCGCAGCGTCAGTGCTCAGTGACATGACTGGTACAACCCACTCAAGGGCGAGGCTGCAGCTCCGTCTATCCCCGCTAAGCACCCCTGGTTTCAGCCACACCTCGTGCCCACTCCAGCCAGGCCTCCAGGTTTCACTCACACCCTCTGCCCTCTGACTGGAATGTTCTCTTCCTCCTTGTTTCATGATTTCCTAGGAACTTTGAGACTTCTTGGGTTTTTCCCTAATTGTATTTTGAAAACTTTATCCAGGTATTACTTATAGATCATACAATTCACTCACTTTAAGGGTACAAGTCAATGATTTTCAGTAAGTTTACCAAGTTGTGCTCGAGATTTGATTTTTAAAATCCTGCATCTCAAATTCTACCTCTTTCCTGAGTCTCAGACCATGTGTTCAGCTGCCCCTTGGCTGTTGCCCCTTGGCTGTCCCCTGCCCCGCCAACTCAGTACATCCCCAGCCGGATCCATCACTGTCTTCCCTTCCCTTCTCCTCTCCCATGTCCCTTCTTGGCCAGCAATCCCATCCTTTTTCTCTATGTTCTTAGCACTTTGTTCGAGACCTGGCACATAGTAGGTGCTCAATAAAGGTTTGCTAAGTGGGCTAGGCACATGGCTCACACCTGTAATCTCAACACTTTGGGAGGCTGAGGTGGGCAGATCACTTGAGGTCAGGTGTTCGAGACCAGCCTGGCCAACATGGTGAAAACCCATCTCTATGAAAAAATAACAAAAATTAGCCGGGCATGGTGGCGCGTGCCTGTAATCCCAGCTACTTGGGAGGCTGAGGCAGGAGAATCGCTTGAACCCGGGAGGTGGAGGTTGCAGCGAGCTGAGATGGCGCCACTGCTCTCCAGCCTGGGCCACGGAGCAAGACTCCATCTAAAAAAAAAAAAAAAAAAAAAGTTTGCTGAGTGAATGAATAAAACCAACGTGACCCTTTACCCACATTTGATTGTTCACCCCTCACCTCCCACCACCTAGTCACCTGTTAGATCTACCTTGGAACTGTCTGCCTGGTGTTCACCCTTCCCAGAGCCCTGCTGCCCTGGCCTTGTACTCACCCATGCCCTGCCTCACTGTCTCTCCTCTGTTTTTTTTTCTGTTTTTTTTTTTTTTTTTTACTTCTTCTCTGCCCCATCCCAGAGTGACTTCTCAGAAAAGCACACGTGATCCCACCACCCTCTCCCTAAGAATGTGCTACCCACTCATCTGCAATGATGTCAACACCCCCAAGTCTAACACCAGCAGCCCCCCGGGATTTGGTCCCAGCCCATTTCTTAGGCTCAGACTCAACCCGCTCCTTCCCCTCTCCAACTCTCTCAGGTTCTAATCATCCCAAACCACAAGAGCAGTATGATGCCGTGATTAAAAGGCAGGACGGGGTCAGGCTTCCTGGAGTCCGCATCCCAGTGGCAGCACCTCTCTGAGCCTCAGCTTCCTCATCTGTAAAATGAGAGTGATAATAGCATCGACCTTGTAGAGTTGTTGGGAGGATTAAATGAGGTGATGAAGGTAAAGCACTTAGAAAGGGCTTGGTACACGGTCCATACTCAATGTTAGTTTCGTTTCACTGACAACTCCCAGCTGAATTTCTGCTCGCCAGGGATAGACTGTCTTTCCCCTTTTTCTCCACTAGGGGTGCTGCAACCTATTTCACGATACCGGGGAGATGTGCTCCATCTGGGAGGCCTTCCCCAGGTCAGATTTAGCCAGCCCTTCCTGGGTCACAGAGCTTACCCACTGGGACCTCTCGTGCCACCTCTCCCAGGGCCAATCCAACCCCACGTCTTGCCCCACTTACCTCCCAAGCAGCCCTCAAATTTCTCCCCTTCTCTCAACCCCCTGCTGTCTCCCTGACACAGGCTGCCATCGCGCTCATTACGCACCCACTCTCCCCTTCTCTCCACCCCATTGCTGCCTCCCTGGCACCAGCTGCCATTGTGCCCATGCCTCGCCCACTCTGCCCCTCCAGTGTTCCATCCAGAATGGACAGCTGTCCTCACTGTCCTTCCCTGAAGCCTTCACTGGCTCCTAAGTATGGTCCACTAGAGCCTCAGCTGCATAACGCACCCCTTCCTTTGCCAGCTGGGTTCCAGCCACACTGGCCTCACAAGCACCCTGCCCTCTCCCAGCTCAGGGCCTTGGCACATGCTGTTTCTGCCTCCTGGACCCTCTTTCCCCACCCTATCAGTCCTTATTCAACTCCTTTAGATGCTGACCTCCCCAGAGATGCCATCTCTGACCCTCCCACCACCAAGTACATCAAGGTCCCCCATGATGTCTTCATAGCACTCTGTACTTCCTCTCCTTAACCCTTATCACCGTTTATAATATGCAGTTGAATGGCTATTTGAGGAATATCTGCCTCCCCACTTCCTTTAAAAGCTTCCTGAGAGCAAGGCTGTGGATGTCTTTCATTATGTCCCCAGAGGGTTGGCATATGCCAGAGGAGTGAATGAATAAAAAGGGAATATTTCCTTATGTGTCTTTCTCGCATGTCAGGTCCCCATTCCCAGACTGATCCCCTACCCCACCTTGGCCTGGAACTTCAGTGGGAATCAACAAATGCTGTATGGATGAATGATAACACCCTTTTCCTGGTTTCCTTAAGGTTGATATTTTAACTACTCTTAAAGAAACTGTGATGTGTTGTGATAAAATATTATTATTATTATTTTATTTATTTATTTTTGAGACGGAGTCTTGCTCTGTCACCCAGGCTGGAGTGCAGTGGTGCAATCTTGGCTCACTGCAACCTCCACTTCTCAAGTTGAAGCAATTCTCAGCCTCTCAAGTAGCTGGGACTACAGGCGTGTGCCACCACGCCCGGCTAATTTTTTTTTTTTTTTTTTTTTTGAGACGGAGTCTTGCTCTGTCGCCCAGGCTGGAGTGCAGTGGCTCGATTTTGGCTCATTGCAAGCTCCGCCTCCTGGGATCACGCCATTCTCCTTCCTCAGCCTCTCGAGTAGCTGGGACCACTGGCGCCTGCCACCACGCCTGGCTAATTTTTTGTATTTTTAGTAGAGATGAGGTTTCACTCTGTTAGCCAGGATGGTCTCGATCTCCTGACCTCGTAATCTGCCTGCCTCGGCCTCTCAAAGTGCTGGGATTACAGGCGTGAGCCACCGCGCCTGGCTGATAAAATATTATTAATAATAATATCTACATGGGCATTGGAGCTGGCTGTCACTACCCGCTTATTCTCCCAGGAAGGCATATTCTTTGATCACGAATATCTCTGCAGGCCTCTGTAATTAACTTTCTCAGCCCTGATTGACCCTAGGGGATTGGCAAGACAGTGTCACTATTTTCCTGCTTTTACAGAAGAGAAAAATAGAGGTTTAGGAAAATTAAGGGGCATGCCCACGGGTGGCTGAGCTGGCCTTCTGTGTCCCAGCCCTGTCAGTTACCACTCCATACCTCCCAAAGCCTAGATTTTAAGCCACGCCACTGTACCCAGGGCCTAGTGCAGTGACTGGTGAGAAGGAGAATGGTTAGTAATGGTTGTTGAATGAATACATGAGTGAATGAATGCCTTCTGGAAAGTCTTTTCAGGAGAGGGCCTTAGCTGCAGGGGCCAGACCCCAGGATACCCTGTTCCCCCTTGAGAGACCACCCAAAGATGCTTTCTCTGGTCAGGGCTCTACCTTAGCTGGGAGCCCATGAGGAGAGGAGAAAAAGGGTTCCAGGCAAGGGGAAAAAGAGTCTCATACAGCAGCATCTCCTGAGTACAGCACTTAACAGTTTGCAAAGCCCTTGCATTCACTGCCTCTCCCTGGGATTTCAGAGGAGCTCTTCAAGAAGCCAGGGCAGAACAAATAAACACACAAGGGAAAAAAAAGGAAGAAAAGCTCTCTTTTCCCTCTTTGCAAAGCCAATATGTGTGTTCTTCGTAAACATTTGAGAACTATGCTGTCCAATGCAGTAACCACTAGCCACATGTGGCCACTTAAGTTTAAATTAATTAGAATTAAATACAATAAAAATTTCATTTTTCAGTCTCACTAGCCACATTTATTTATTTTATTTTGAGGCAGGGTCTTGCTCTGTTGCCCAGGCTGGAGTGCAGTGGTGCAATCATGGCTCACTGCAGCCTCAACCTCCTGGGCTCAGGCAATCCTCCCACCTCCGCCTCCCAAGTAGCTGGGACTACAGTCACACACCACCACACCCAGCTAATTTTTGTATTTTTTTATAGAGATAGGGTTTTGCTATGTTGCCCTGGCTGGTCTCAAACCCCTGGGCTCAAGTGATCTGCCCACCTGGACCTCCCAAAGTGCTGGGATTACAGGCATGAGCCACAGGGCCTGGCCAACTAGCCATATGTGAAGTATTCTGTATGTGGCTAATGGCTATGATAATATTGAACAAGGCAGATAGAGAACATTTCCATCATCCCAGAAAGTTCTACTGGATAAAACTGATTTATGACATATAAATAAGCAAAAGGAAGGGAGGGAAAACACCTGTCATTCCATTTTCCAAAGAATACCACTGCTAACATTTTGGCATGGATATTTCCAGTTTTTTCTATGGGTGGGCAACATATATACATTTTTTTTCAAAAATGGGTTAATACTCTACAGTCTGTTTTATGGCCTGTTTTTTCACTCACCAAATTACTGTAAATATCTTTTCTATAACATATTTTTAAACGGGGGTGCAATGTTTGTATGACTACTATAATTTACTTGCTCAGTTCTCTACTCACAGGTATTTGTGTTGTCTTCTATCTTTTTAAACTATCAAGACAACTATTGTTTATTTTTTTAATTTAAACATTTTGTGTGACAAGAGCTGTATTTTATTTTGATATCAATTCATTAGTTTTGTAAAAGTGGTAGATGCTCATTATAGGAAAGTAAATAAAATACACGATGTGCAAAGAAGAAAAACTATCTCCCCAAATCCCTCTACCCCCAAATAACCATATTTTCTTTCAAAAAAAATTTTTTTTTTTTTTTGTGACGGAGTCTCACTCTGTCGCCCAGGCTGGAGTGCAGTGGTGCGATCTTGGCTCACTGTAACCTCTGCCTCCTGGGTTCAAGCGATTCTCCTGCCTCAGCCTCCCAAGTAGCTGGGATTACAGGCACATGCCATCATGCCCAGCTAATTTTTGTATTTTTAGTAGAGACAGGGTTTCACCATGTTGGCCAGGCTGGTCTCGAACTCCTGACCTCAAGTGATCCGCCGGCCTCAGCCTCCCAAAGTGCTGGGATTATAGGTCTTTCAATTTTTTATTGTAAGATCTTTCTTTCTCTCTCTCTTTCTTTCCCTTTCCCTTTCCCTTCTTCCTTTCTTTCTTGACAGGGTCTCATTCTGTCACCCAGGCTGGAGTGCAATGGCACAATCAGAGCTCACTGCAGCCTTGACCTCCTGGGCTCAAGCAATCCTCTCACCTCAGCCTCCAGAGCTACTGGGACCACAGGCGTTTGCCACCACATCTGGCTAATTTTTTTTTTTAGAGGCTGGATCTCACTACGTTGCCCAGGCCAGTCTCAAACTCTTAGCCTCAAGTGGTTCTCCTGCCTCAGCCTCCCAAAGTGCTGAGACCACAGGCATGAGCCACCACACCTGACTAGATTTTTCTTTTTCTTTTTTTTTGAGACAGGGCCTCACTCTGTCACCCAGGCTGGCGTGCAATGGTACAATCTGGGCTCACTGCAGCCTCAATCTCCAGGGCTCAAGCAATCCTCCCACCTCAGCCTCCTGAGTCTGGGACTACAGGTGCACACCACCATTTCCAGCTAATTTTTATATTTTTTTTGTAGAGATGGGGTTTCACCATGTTGCCCAGGCTGGTCTGAAACTCCCGTCTCAAGTGATCCTGCCAAGGCCTGCCTTGGCCTCCCAAAGTGCTGGGATGACAGGCGTGAGCCACTGTGCCTGGCCCAGATTTTTTAAACATACAGAAAGGTTGAAAGAATAACACAGTGAACCCCCCTACACCTCCCACCAGCTCAATTCAACAATGGAAACCACCACATTTTAAACATGTTGGTGTCCTCTTCCTAAATAGCTTCCTGGGTCTGAACACACACAGATATGTGTATACAAGAATGACATCACACTTTACATATTGCTCTTAATTTTTTTTTTTTCTTTGAGATGGAGTCTCGCTCTGTTGCCCAGGCTGGAGTGCAGTAGTCCAATCTCAGCTCACTGCAACCTCTGCCTCCCAGGTTCCAGCGATTCTCCTGCTGCAGCCTCCTGGGTAGCTGGGATTACAGGCGCACACCACCACGCCTGGCTTATTTTTGTATTTTTAGTAGAGACGAGGTTTTACCATGTTGGCCAGGCTGGTCCTGAACTCCTGACTTCAGGTGATCCACCCACCTCAGCCTCCCAAAGTGCTAGGATTACAGGCATGAGGCGCCACACCTGGCCTGCTGGTTTTTAAAAAAATGTTCACTTAATAATATATTATAAACATATTCTCAAGTTTCATGAAGTATCCTTTCACAATATCATTTTTGATGGCCCCTTAGTATTCATTATATGGCTCTATCATAATTTTAACAACCAACCCTTGTATGGTTGGACATTGATGTCATTTCCAATTTTTCACTACTATAAAAAAAGTTCCGTGAACATCCCTGCATCTTTTTGACATTGGGTAAGAATTACCTGAGGGTAAATTCCTAGACTGAGGATTCAGGAGTCAAAGGACTTGCCTCACACTAGGGTAATAGCAATTCACACTTTCACTGATAATGCCTGAGACTCTCCAGCTACCCACATCCTCAGCAATATAGAAACAGTCTCCCTCAGACTGCCAGGCTAGAGTGCAGTGGCATGATCACGGTTCACTGTAGCCTTGACCTCCTGAGCTCAAGCCATCCTCCCACTTCAGCCACCTGCATAGCTGGGACCACAGGCACGTGCCACCATGCAGGGCTACTTTTTAAAATTTTTTTGTAGAGCCAGGGTCTCACCATGTTGCCCAGGTTGGTTTTGAAGTCCTGTGTTCCAGCAATCCACCCACCTCAGCCTCCCAAAGTACTGGGATTATAGGCATCAGCCATCGCACCCAGCCCTCACCAATATTATTATTATTATTATTATTATTATTATTATTATTATTATTATTATTATTTTAAGACAGGGTCTCACTGTGTTACTCAGGCTGGAGTGCAGTGGACACCAACAAATAGCTTCCCAGTTATGCAAACGCTTTCATCTACTTAACGTATATTGATTCAACACCTACCATGAGCCAGGCACTCTTCAGGATAATATAGCAGAGGATGGCACAAAGTCTCTGCTGATGATGAGGACTACAACATTCTAGTGGGAGAGACATACAGTAAACAAAGGTCAGTTCTACAGTGATGAATGCCATGAAGAAACGACAAGCAGGAGAGAGGGCTAGACAGTGGGAGAGGTGAGAGAGGATTAGGGTGCTATTGTATGTATAACAGGATGGCCAGAGAAACTTGCCTAGTGATGAGCGGAAGTGAGCCCTGTCATGGATAAATGGGCAGGGGCAGTTACCTTCTCTAGGCAGAGGGAATACAAGGGCGAAGACCGGGAGGCGTGATTGTGCTTGGCTGCTCGAAGAACAGCAAGGAGGCCAGTGGGGCTGGGGCAAGGGAGGGAAAAGCAACAGGAGGTAAGGTGGGGAGGGGTGTGCACAGCTCAGGTAGGACTTTCTAGGCCACAGAACGGTGTTAAGATTTTCTCTGAGTGAGAGGGGAGCCACTGGGGCATTTGAACAGAGGAAGGAAGTAATTTGACTCATGTTTTAAAAAGATCACATTGGCTGGGTGCGGTGGCTCATGCTTGTAATCCCAGCACTTTGGGAGGCCGAGGTGGGCAGATCATCTGAGGTCAGGAGTTCGAGACCAGCCTGGCCAACATGGTGAAACCCCGTCTCTACTAAAAACACAAAAATTAGCCGGGCGTGGTGGTGGGGGCCTGTAATCCTAGCTACTGGGGAGGCTAAGGCATGAGAATCACTTGAACCCGGGAGGTGAAGGTTGCAGTGAGCCGAGATTGCACCACTGTACTCCAGCCTGGGGGATAGAGCGAGACTTTGCCTCCAAAATAATAATAATAATAATAATAATAAATGAATAAATGAAAAGATCACATTGGTTATTCTATGGGGTATAAAGGCAGCAGGGAGTGCTAGGATGAAAGCAGGGATGCCCAGCACGGTGGCTCACACCTGTAATCCCAGCACTTTGGGAGGTCGAGACAGGCGGATCACGAGGTCAGGAGATCGAGACCATCCTGGCTAACACGGTGAAATCCCGTCTCTGTTAAAAATAAAAATAAAAAAAATTAGCCAGGCGTGGTGGTGGGCGCCTGTAGTCCCAGCTACTCGGGAGGCTGAGGCAGGAGAATGGTGTGAACCCAGGAGGCGGAGCTTGGAGCGAGCTGCCCTCCAGCCTGGGCAACAGAGCGAGACTCCGTCTAAAAAAAAAAAATTGGCCGGGCGCGGTGGCTCACGCCTGTAATCCAGCACTTTGGGAGGCCGAGGTGGGCGGATCACGAGGTCAGGAGATCGAGACCATCCTGGCTAACACGGTGAAACCCCGTCTCTACTAAAAATACAAAAAATTAGCCGGGCGAGGTGGCGGGCGCCTGTATTCCCAGCTACGCGGGAGGCTGAGGCAAGAGAATGTCGTGAACCCGGGAGGCGGAGCTTGCAGTGAGAGGAGATGGCGCCACGGCACTCCAGCCTGGGCGACAGCAAGACTCCGTCTCAAAAAAAAAAAAAAAAAAAAAGAAAGAAAGCAGGGAACGTCACTGAGAGGCTCTTACACAACTCCAGGCAAGAAACAGTGGTGCCTCGGACACAGGTAGTAACGGTGGAGACGGTGAGATTGCGGAAGCTTTGGAAGGTGGAGCTCATGCTATTCCTGATGGGTCAGTTTGGGGTGTAGAGATGGGACAGTTGAGTTTGTCAGCGGGAGGTCATCGATGACCTTGACAAGAGCAGTTTCAGTGGAGCGATGGGGGTGAAAGCCCCACAGAGAGAGCTGGAGAGAGAAAAGGAAGGAGGGATGAAGATGGTCAATTCAGAAAACACTGAGATGTTTTCCTGGAAGGGGGAGCAAAGAAATATGACGGTGTGGGTGTGGGGGTGTGTGTGCATGGGCTTGTGCATGTGTGTGTGTGTGTGTACAATTGGAAGAACTGCAGCCGATTGTGTGGTGATGTGAATGAGCCAGCAGAAGAGGGGGACCCCTGGAGCTGTGGGAGAGACGCAAGGAATTGCTCACTGTTGTCCTGGAGGAGGTGAGAGAGGATGAAGGGCAGTGTCCCAGTGGAGGGCGTAGAATTCAAGTTCCACAAGGCGTCCAGGTAACAGGCACGGATACAGGCGGGAGTGAAGGGAGAGGTGGAGTCTGAGGAAGTTTCCTTCTGATTGCTTCTGTTTCCCAGTGAAACAGAAAGCAAGGTCTCCAGCAGCTGACAGCTAGTACAGCAGGTTCTTTTTTTCTCAGGTGTTATAGATAGCTGCGCCTTCCGCTCACCACAGGTGAAATGGTTGGCTTGTATCTGGGGCCACACCACATAAAAACCATTTGAACAGCAGGATCACACTCAGCATGATGAGAGCCCACATGAGGCTGGAAGTGCAGGAACTTGGACCGGCGGGGGGAACCTGGCAGGTCACATTCCCTCTCAAGGGGTGAGTGCTCACCAAGTGGAATTGGAGTGTGACTCTGTAGCAGTGATTCATGCACAACGTGCTCTCTCTCTCTCTCCCCTCCCTTTACACGCGTGTTTAAATGTGTGTAAATTAGGCTGGGTGCAGTGGCTCACGCCCGTAATCCCAGCACTTTGGGAGGCCAAGGTGGGCAGATCACTTGAGGCCGGGAGTTCGAGACCAGCCTGGGCAACCTGGTGAAACACCGTCTCTGTGAAAAATACAAAAATTAGCCGGGCGTGGTGGTGCACATCTATAACCGCAGCTACTTGGGAGGCTGAGGCATGAGAATCACTTGAGCCCAGGAGGTGGAGGTTGCAGTGAGCCGAGATCACGCCATTGCACCCCAGCCTGGGTGACAGAGCAAGACCCTGTCTCAAAGAGAAAAAAAAAATGTGTGTAAGTTAAATGCACCATGATGAAGACTCCACTATAAATGGTGCCGCTGGAACCTCGGGCCTCCTGACTCCACATCAGTTTTGTCTCTACTATAATACTCCATCTCTCATCACACATCACTAGGGAGCACCAAAATTGCAGGGAAGAGGGTAACCCAGGCTGAAAGGAGGAAGAGAGCACTTAAACTAGAAAATTCTAGAACATCAGACCTCGATGGACCTTCACAGATCATTTGGTCCAACACCCTTATTTGACAGACATGGAAAATGTCATTCACTGACTCCCCCAATATCACACAACAGAATCCTCATCATCCCCATCATCATCCCCATCATCATCATCCCCATCATCATCATCACCATCACCATCATCCCCATCATCATCATCCCCATCACCATCATCCCCATCACCATCATCCCCACCATCATCATCCCCATCATCACCATCATCCCCATCATCATCATCCCCATCACCATCATCCCCATCACCATCATCCCCACCATCATCATCCCCATCATCATCATCACCATCATCATCATCCCCATCATCATCACCATCACCACCATCATCATCATCCCCAACATCACCATCATCATCATCCCCATCATCATCACCATCACCATCACCATCATCATCATCCCCATCACCATCATCACCATCACCATCAACATCACCATCATCACCATCACCATCATCCCCATCATCACCATCATCATCACCATCACCATCATCCCTATCATTATCATCCTCCTCCTGATCACCATAATTGTCATCTGCATGGAAGCTAGCCTATATTGATTACTCCCTGCTGCCAAGCTGTGTCCCATTTCATCATCAAAGCCTCTTGAGGTGGCCACTCTCATTATTTTCATTTTACAGGTGGTGAAACATCACAGAGCAGGTAAGGTATAAACTGGGAGACCCTCCTCCCACCCACTCTGTGAAAACCTTTACTAGAGATCTCGCATTGGGCCACTAACCCTAAGATAGGAGGCAGAAGGGGGCTCCCCTTGAAACTCGAAAGAAGTAAATTTAAGACCAGTAAAGGGAAGTTTTGCTTCACACAGAGGGGGTACTGGCTAAAAATACTAGTGGCTTCAAGAAGTATTTAGATCAGTTCATAGATAGTTGATCACAAGGCAGTCAGAGTGATCTTTTAAAGACATAAATTAGGCTGAGCATGGTGGCTCACGCCTGTAATTCCAACACTTTGGGAGGCCAAGGCAGGCGGATCACTTGAGGTCAGGAGTTTGAGACCAGCCCAGCCAACATGGCAAAACCCTGCCTCTACTAAAAAAAAAAAAAAAATTTCCTTGTTGTGGTGGTGGGCACCTGTAATCCCAGCTACTCTGGAGGCTGAGGCATGAGAATCACTTGAACCTGGGAGACAGAGGTTGCAGTAAGCCGAGATCACACCACTGCACTCCAGCCTGGGTGACAGAGCAAGACTCTTGTTTCAATAAAATAAAATAAAGACATATATCAGATCACAACACTCTGCTGTCCAAAACCACCCACTGCACTTGGAATAAAATCCAGCCCCTGGCCAGGCGCGGTGGCTCATGCCTGTAATCCCAGCACTTTGGGAGGCCGAGGTGGGCGGATCACGAGGTCAGGAGATTGAGACCATCCTGGTTAACACGGTGAAACTCCATCTCTACTAAAAATACAAAAAAAAAAAAAAATTAGCCAGGCATGGTGGCAGGCGCCTGTAGTCCCAGCTACTCGGGAGGCTGAGGCAGGAGAATGGTGTGTACCTGGGAGGCGGAGCTTGCATTGAGTAGAGATGGCACCATTGCATTTCAGCCTGGGCGACAGAGCTAGACTCCGTCTCAAAAAAAAAAAAAATTCCAGCCCCTTTGCCCTGGTGCTTCCCCACCTTCTTCCTGCTGTCATCTCCGTGTTCACTTGGCTACAGCCACAGCCAAAGCCATGGCCACACTGCTCTCCTTGCAGTTCTTGAAATGTCAAGCTCTTCCTGCCTCAGGGCCTTTGCACCTGCCCTTTTCTCTTCTGGGCCACCTTCTTCTGCTCTTTGCCTGGGTGGCTCTTTCTCCTCCTCCATGCCTTGGCCTAAATGTCAACTCCTACAGGGGGCTTTCCCTGCATGACCCCTCAGCTGAGTCAGTGCCTGGTCTCTGTCTCGTCACCCTCTGTCTCGTCACCTTGTGGTTTTCTTCCTTGCCTTTGTCACAACCACGTTATTTTATTTATTTACTTGTTTTGTGTTTGTCTCTTTCTGTTGGACAGTGAGCTGCATGATGTCAGTGTCATTGTCTGTCTTTTCATTCCTGTGTCCCCAGAATGGTGTGCTGCAGGCCCAGTGCCTGGCATGTACTATTTATTTATTCAGCACTGACTGCACCACCCCACCTCCAAAGCCCTTTATATGAATTAACTCGTTCATCAGTCCTCACATATCAACCCTGTAAGAGAGGACTTTATTATCATCCTTACTTTATAGAAAGGAAACTAAGGCACAGATAGGTTAGAAATTTACCCGAGGTCACAGCTAGTGAGAGGCAGAGATGAAAATCTAGTCAGGGGGGTCCTGAATCTATGCTCTTAACCACAACCATCTACTCCCTCTCCAGTGTTTACTGAGAAAGTCATCAGTAGACATTTGAGAAATGAATAAATGAGCCAGGTGCAGTGGCTCACACCTGTAATCCCAGCACTTTGGGAGGCTGAGGCAGGCAAAGCCCTTGAGGTCAGGAGTTCAAAACCAGCCTGGCTAACATGGTGAAACCCTGACTCTACTAAAAAATATACAAAAATTATCTGGGTGTGGTGGCATGTGCCTGTAGTCTCCGCTACTCGGGAGGCTGAGGCAGGAGAATCATTTGAACCTGGGAGGGAGAGGTTGCAGTGAGCCAAGATTACACTACTGTACTCCAGCCTGGGTGACAGAGTGAGACTCCATCTCAAAAAAAAAAGAGGGAAAGAAAGAAAGAAATGAATGAATGAGAAACAAAGGGGTGGATACTAAGGGCCCTGGAATCAGACATATGTAGGTTTGAGGCTGGCTCTGTCCTCCATGAACTTGGGTCCCAGATTCTAATTCTACTAAAAAATAAAAACAAAAAAAAAACTTCTCCAAGAATGCCTCCAACCAATAAGCAAAGGCTAAACAACCTAATAGAAAAGTGGGCAAAAGGACCGGACAGCCAATTTACAGAAAAAGAAACCAGAATGCAAAATAAACATATGAAAAGATGTTTCGGCCGGGCACGGTGGCTCACACCTGTGATCCCAGCATGAAGCAGGCAGATCACCTGAGGTCAGGAGTTCAAGACCAGCCTGGCCAATATGGTGAAACCTCATCACTACTAAAAATCCAAAAAAAGGCCGGGTGCAGTGGCTCACGCCTGTAATCCCAGCACTTTGGGAAGGCTGAGGCAGGCAGATCACGAGGTCAGGAGATCGAGACCATTCTGGCTAACACGGTGAAACCCCGTCTCTACTAAAAATACAAAAAATTAGCCGGGCATGGTGGCGGGCGCCTGTAGTCCCAGCTACTCGGGAGGCTGAGGCAGGAGAATGGCGTGAACCCGGGAGGTGGAGCTTGCAGTGAGTCGAGATCACGCCACTGCACTCCAGCCTGGGAGGCAGTGAGACTCTGTCTCAAAATAAAAATAAAAATACAAAAAAAATGAGCCAGGCATGGTGACAGGCACCTGTAATCCCAGCTACTCGGGAGGCTGAGGCAGGAGAATTGCTTGAACCCGGGAGGCAGAGGTTGCAGTCAGCTGAGATCGCACCACTGCACTCCAGCCTGAGCAACAAGAGTGAAACTCCGCCTCAAAAAAAAAAAAAAAAAAAAAAGATGTTTCATCTTATTAGAGAGGTGCAAATGGAGACCGTGTGAGGAACAGTGAAGGAATCTGATCATACTCTGTTGGGGATGATGTGGAGGTACTGGAATTCTCATCCACTGTGGCAGAGGAAAGGAAGAATGTTAGTCAATACAAGCACTTCAGAAAATCACTTGGCAGCATCTTGTAAAGCTAATTATGTGCATACCCAATGACCCACAATTACAGTCTGAGGTAGGTAGCTTAGAGGAACTCCTACATGTGTGCACCAAGACATAGGTGTAAGAATGATCATGGCAGCCTTATTGGTGATAGCGAAAAACTGGAAACAATCCATGTGCTCATCAACTGGAGAATGGATAAAGTCACTGAATTCTATTTGACAACGGAGTACTAGACAGCAGGAAAAAGGAATGAAGGCCAGCCAAAAGTGCAAAATCATGTACGTATTTTAGAAACATAGTGATGCATGAAAAAATCAAGCCAAAGAAGAATGCACATGCATTGTGCTGTTTATATAAAGATCAAAAAACAAACGTAATAATGTGTTGCACAGGATCCTCCCCATTTGGTAAAATTATTTTTTTTTTCAAAGCAAGGGCATGGAATGATAACCACAAAATTCAGGATAGTGTTTACTTCTGGAGGAAGGCAGGGAATAGGACTGGGGAGGCACACACAGGTGGCCTCAGTGGTGCTGGTGAAGGCCTAGTTCCTAAGCTGGGGCCATGGGTTCACAGGTGTTTGTCTTCATATGCCAGATATTCAACACACATTTTTTGTAATCATCAAATATTACATAGTAAGTTTTGTTTTTTTTAAAAAAATGTAGTTCCTAGGGTTGTTGTAAAAATTAAATGGGGCCGGGTACGGAGGCTCATGCCTGTTATCCCAGCACTTTGGGAGGCCAAGGTGGGTGGATCACCTGAGGTCAGGAGTTCGAGACCAGCCTGGCCAACATGGTGAAACCTAGGCCCTACTAAAAATACAAAAATTAGCTGGGTGTAGTGGCTCATGCCTATAATCCTAGCTACTTCAGAGGCTGAGGCAGGAGAATTGCTTGAACCCAGGAAGCAGAGGTTGCAGTGAGCTGAGATCATGCCACTGCACTCCAACCTGGGCGACAAGAGCGAAACTCTGTCAAAAAAAAGAAGAATTAAATGGGAGTGCAGACAGATTTGTTTATTCATTCAACAAACATCTGCCATATGCCAGGCATCCTCTGAGATGCCAGGGAAGATACAAAAAAGGAGAAGACTATGCAACTGGGACAAGGTGGCTCAAGATTAGAACAGCTAACAGTACCAGCTTTGGATCCAGAGAGACCTGGGTACAAATCCCAACTCTGCTACTTACTAGCTTTGTGACCTTGGGCAAGCTACCTAACCTCCCTCTTCCTCAGTTTTTTCATCTGTAAGTCAGGAATAATAATCATGTAAATGGTATGAGGCTGAGCTAAAGCTACAAAGATTGACTGGCTTGACATGGTACTGAGCATTGGGTAAGAGCTCAGTAAATGTCACTGAGGCAGGAGAATGGCGTGAACCCAGGAGGCGGAGCTTGCAGTGAGCCAAGATCGCGCCACTGCACTCCAGCCTGGGCGACAGAGTGAGACTCGGTCTCAAAAAAAAAAAAAAAAAAGGCTGTTAGAATCATCCAGGTGAGAGATTATGGAGTCCTGAACTAGGGGACCTGGGGTGCAGAGGGACAGGAAGACTAGGAAGAAGGGGACAGATTCTGGAGCAAAACTGGGGAGATAAAATGGATTGGATTGGAAAGCTGGATGAGGAGCTGAGGAGCAGACCTCACCTGGGACAATATCCAGGTGTGTTGCCCTGAGACAGAGAAACCAGAAGAGGCAGGTGGCAGGGGAGAGTGAGATGATGAGTTTGGAGCTGGTCAAGTTGAGTTGGATGCAGGGGAGTTGCCAAGCAGAGATGTCTAGGAGGTGCTGTGTTTATGAATCAGGGACTCAGGAAGGGCAGAGCTCAGCTTAAAGAAGGTAACTGGGAGTGGGTGAGTTGTCCTGGGAGGATGTAGAGGCTGCGCAGTAGGCCGAGGTGCCCATGACTGCGGAGGCAGGAGGAGGAAGGGCTGCGGGGGCCTGCAAGGGAGCTGCTAGCTAGATAGGAGGAAGACGAAGAAGGGGATCCAAACTTGCCCTGAAGTTGAGGGAGGTGACAGCTTGGAGGAGAAAGGTGAGGTCCACTCCAGAGTCAGGTGTCACAGAAGGGCTGAGAAGAGGTCACTGGATCTAGCCATCAGGGTTGTCCATGCCCTGGGCAGGAACATTTTCCTGGTGTGAGGGGGACTGGACTCTGGAGAAGCTCAACGGTGAAAAGTCTTTCTCAGTGCACCCAGGGTGAATCATGGCCCCTTCCCAGCCGAGGTCCATTCTGCCTGCTTCTTCATCCTGCCCCTCACACTCCATGGATGGTACTCCGTGCCTAGTCCTGGTTGGTCTATACACTCCAGGAGCAATCGCTAGGAATCACGATAAGTGTATTCTCCATTTGAGCCTTGTTTCAGTCAGTCCTGAGAGGTCTGTATTATTTTCACCCCCATTTTACAAATAAGCAGACTGAGGCTCTGCCCCACGTGCCCAAGACTGGGGATAGGTTTCATCCCTAACTTGTGGGTCGCATTTGAGAACAGGAAACCCACATCATCTGAACCTACAACATCCAGACTCGGTGGTTCTCAAACTTCAGCCTGCCTACAAATCACCTGAGATTCCTATGAATTCTGCTCTTGGGCCCCAAACTGCAGGAATTGATCGAGCAGGTGTGAAGCCGTATTTGGAGATGTGTGTTGTTAACCAGCACCCCAGGTGGTTCCCATGCAGGTGACCGAAGTCCACCCTTGAGGAAGCATTAACCCAACCCTGTGCGGCACAGAGGGTATTTCAGGCACTGGATTGGTCTGGACCCCAAGCAACCGGTTTCTGGCGATCAGTTAGGGCTCTGGCTGCAGCTGGGAGCGGATTGGGGCGGAGGGAGGCAGAGGGCGGTAATAAAGAAACAACAGGAAGCTCTGCTTTTATTAGCCCTGGGTAGTAGCAGCTGCAGGTGAGTAATCTGATTTCTGCGGCGTCCTGTTTTCTCCGCTGCCTGGCGGTTCCTCGACACCCACTCACCTGCCGCCAGCCACGGGAGAGAGGGCAGGGGGGAGGGAGGATGGGCGTGGGGCCCCGCCCGCCCAGGTCCCTCGCCCACGCCCACGCGGGCGCACCCGCCGCGCCGACGCCGCCACCGGCTGCGCACCTGCCGCGCTTGCTGCGGGGAAGCCAGGCTCTGCTGTGGCGGCGGCGGCGGCGGCGGCGGCTGGCGGGGAGGAGACGCGGACTCCCACTCGCGGCCCTATCGCTTGCTCCCCGCCTCCCCGCCAGAGCTGCGCCACCAGGCTCTGGGCGCGCTCCCATGATCGGAAGGCTGAGAGCCGTCTCCCAGCTCCACCCTTGACTTCTGAACCTCAGTTGCTGCTTCTGTCAAATGGGAGCACGTCCACCTACCAGTGCTAGACTGGAGAGATCAGGAAAGGGGTGCTAAAGTTACAAACTGTAAAGGGCTGTAGCGATCACCAAGGCATCGGAAGGAAACTGGCCAAGAAAGGCAAGTCTCTTAGCTTTGCTGGGCCTCGGTTTCCTTATCTGTAACATGGGAATGAGTAACCCTTCCTCATAAGCAGATGATGCTCGTGACGTGGATGGAACGCAGAGCAGGACAAGGGCAGTGGCTGCCGTGGGGTCATTATTACTGTTGCTGTTAGCCCAGGCCAGAATCTGCATTCCCTCTTCTTACTTGGATACCCCGGTTTTCCCTGGTTCTCAGCACACGTTTAGGAAATGGGGGGCTTGGATCACAAAAGGATTTTCAGGGTCAGGGGCTTGCCCAAGACTGGGGATTGGCTCCATCCCTAACTCTCTGAACCAAGCTTTCCATCTGTAAAATGGGGTTGACAACAACTTCCCTGAAACCCACAGACATATAAAGACCAATGAGAAACTCAGAAACACCTGGTAAACTGCGAAGTACTACCCACATGCAAAGACTGTAATTATTTCTTCCAGGTGCCTCTTTGCCCTAAAGAGTCAAGGATGAGTCAAGAACCAAATGAGATGAGCCAGGAGGATCCCTGTGAGAAGGGCCGGATGGCATTCCCCTTTACCCATGGAGCTCACTGCAGTGTGCAGCGATGGCCCAAGGGTGGAGAGGAAGGTCAGGCTGGGTCCTGCCCTTGGGGGCTCATGTCCCAGTTAGCCCACGACGCAAAGGCCCAGGTGTGATGGGAGCACAGAAGAGGGGGGAAGCCGACTCTCTGGGCAAGGGGGATCAGGCTGGTACAGGGGGTACTTCCCAGAGGAGTCAGCCTTGACGGGACTCTCTGAAAAATGGTTGTAGCTCAGGTGGGGAGAGGGGCAAGGCACGTGCTGGACAGAGACGGATTCCAGCAGAAAAGTCCAGAGACAAGAAAGGGGGTAGTGTGCTCAGGAAAAGGGCGTGAAACGTGACTGAAATGCAGGATGGGGAGAGGAAATGGATTCAAGATAAAGTCAAATTGGAGCCGGGCATGGTGGTGCACGCCTGTAATCCCAGCTACTTGGGAGGCTGAGGCAGAAGAATCACTTGAACCCCAGAGGCAGAATTTGCAGTGAGCCAAGATCACACCACTGCACTCCAGCCTGGGTGACAGAGTGAGACTCTGTCTCAAAAAAAAAATTTAAAAAAAAAAAAAGATGAAGTCGAATTGGGAATGGCCTCCAGTTACCACCCTAGGAAGCTCAGACTTTATCCTGAGGTTGACAGGGAGCCACGCAGGGTTTGCAGCAGGAGTGACATGGTCAGTTGTGGGTTCTAGAAAGATCTCTGTGGTAGGCTGGGCATGGTGGCTCACACTTGTAATCCCAGCACCTTGGGAGGCCAAGGCAGGTGGATCACTTGAGGTCAGGAATTCAAGACCAGCCTAGCCAACATAGTGAAACCCCGTCTCTACTAAAAATACAAAAATTAGCCAGGTGTGGGGGTACGTGTCTATAGTCCTAGCTACTTGGGAGGCTGAGGCAGGAGAATTGCTTGGACCCGCGAAGCGGAGGTTGCCGTGAGCCGAGATTGCACCACTACACTCCAGCCTGGCCAACAGAGTGAGACTCCATCTCAAAAAAAAAAAAAATCTCCATAATAGGTATGGAGGATGGACAAAGGGGGAGGAAAGGGAGGACAGATTCAAGTTGTTGTGGTGAGCTGAAGGAGGCCTGAACCAAGGTAATGGCAATGGGGTGGGGTGGGGGGGAGTTGGGCAAGAACTTTCTGAAACTGAACAGCAGTAGATCCAGGAGAACAATTAGAGGGAGAGACACAAAATAAAGGTGACAGAATTTCCTGTATCAGGAGCTGAGGTAGATGATGACAGCATTAACCCAGGAAGGTGGCAGGCAGAGCGAGGTCACCTTTGAGGTACCTCCCAGATGTCCATTTCCTCAAGAACTGACTGCACTACACACCCAGATATAGGACTAGATAAGACCCAAGATCATCGAGGGAGAGGCAAGAGAGAGAGAATATTAGGAATCTTTTGGTCGTAAGTGACAGAAACTCAGTTCAAATTAGGTTATGGAAAACAAAACAAAAAGAAAAACGATACTACAAACGTAGTGGCCCCTTTATCTTAGAGTTTCAAGGGTGAGTCAAACTTCGGGCATTGCTGGATCCAGGGTTTCCAGTGATGACATTGGGTTATCTCCCCATCACACCCATCAGTCAGTTCTGTTTGTCTCTGCCTTTCTTTAAGAATGGGGCTTCTCGGCCGGGCATGGTGGCTCAAGCCTGTAATCCCAGCACTTCGTGAGGCTGAGCCAAGCGGATCACTTGAGGTCAGGAGTTCAAGACCAGCCTGGCCAGCATGGTGAAACCCTGACTCTACTAAAAATACAAAAATTAGCCAGGTGTGGTGGTGAGTGCCTATAATCCCAGCTACTTGGGAGGCTGAGGCAGGAGAATTGCTTGAACCCGGGAGGCGGAGGCTGTAGTGAGCCAAGATCGCACCACCACACTCCAGCATGGGTGACAGAGTGAGACTCTGTCTCAAACAAAAAAAAAAAAAAAAAAAGAATGGGCCTTCTCTCCCATGGCAGATAGGCATTCTCCAGTCCCAGGAAAGATGCTCAAATGTTTACATCCTACCAGCTCTCATTTCAGGAGAGAGCCAAGCTTCGCCACTGGCTCCATCGAAAGTTCCAGGGAGGGCTCTGATTGGCTCAGCTTGTATCACATGCCCAGGCCCAAACCAATCACTGTATATCAAGGAAAATGGGACACTGTAATTGGCCTACTTGCCTTCCCAGTGGGTGGGGCCCTGTGAGGGATACCTGACCAGAGCACATGGACAGGAAATGAGAAGATTGGAAAAATATGCCGGGCAGACAAAAGAGGTTCCAGCCCTGCCTCAGTTTACAATGAGGCTTGAGGGCAGAACCCTGGGGAACACTAATATTCAAGGGTTGGCTGGAACTTGGGAAGGAGACTGAGGGGTATGAGAGAGGTTCTGGGAGAAGCAGCGTCTTCGAGGGAGGAGAGAAGTTCTACAAGGAGGTAATGGTCAAAGGCAAATTCTGGAAGGGGTCACTCACACTCACTGTTCTGGGCTCCAACCACCCACCCTCACCTGACATGGAAAGGCTCTGGGACCCGGTTTCACCAACACTGATTATGCCACCTCCCCCAGCAGAGTCTGTTTGCTTATCTGTGAAATGGGGGCAATGACAGAACACCCACCCCATAGGGTGACAGAGAAGGCTGAGTGAGAGACACTGAGAAATGCTTACCCCGGTGCAATGTAGCACCACTCAGGCACCATTCATTCATTTATTCATTTATTCATTCATTCATTCACTCACTCATTGAACAATCTTTAACTGAGTGCCTCCTTTGTATCAGTCCCTATGCCAAACACAGTGGATGTAAAGAAGACACAGGGATCTGAGGATGCGTGGGATACAGACCTGATGGTGGATGGTTATGATACAGGGTGATAAGTGCTGAAGGGACTGGGTTTTGCAAGCCCAGAGAAATTTGGTCCACATGGAGGCCCCAGGGCAGCCCCCTGAGGAGACAACATTTGAGATGACATTTCATGAGCACTCACCATGGGTCAGGCACTGGGTGTGCCAAGCGTTTCCACGTTGTTCCTGTGACGTCGGGGAGGGGATGGGGCCCAGAGAGGGTGGGAGGCTTACTCAGGGTCACCGTGCTCGTAAGTGGGGACACCAGGGCTGGCCCACCTCCACTGGATGAGTTTGCCAGATGGGGAGAGAGGAGAGACAGGATGTCAGGCAGAGGGCAAAAGACAATGTGACCCAATCCTCTAGGATGGGGAGAGGAAGCTGGGATTCCCATAGGGAAAGCCCATATCTGTAGAAGGGTGGGCCAGAGGCAGTAGGACAAGGGCAAGGTGAGAGCCATGACCTCCAGCAAGTCCTGTGCCTCCTGGAACCTCCGTCTCCTCCTCTATGAACTCAGGATAAGGACATCTATTATATTATCTTCATCTCCATTTTACAGGTGAGAAACAGATTAGATCAAGGCTATCCAGTTGCAGAGCCCACGAGCTGAGCCATGCACTGTGGTTCTGCTGGAGCAGATGAGATGTATGAGTTCCCTGCAAACCCTCCTGTTTGTCTCAAGAGTGGGAGCCATGAAAAGCACCCCAAGAGTAGGGGGGAGACTTCATGGGAGCAGCCCTCAGAGAGACCCAGAAGATGCTCCTGTGCTCCTACCCAGAAATTCAGTCTCTTAAGGACCTTAGAGACAGTTTCATTCATGCATTAGTGAGGAGCGATGCCTACAACTTGCAAATGGAGAAACTGAGTTCAGAAAGGAGGGAGTGACTTGTCCAAGGTCACACCACAAGCTGGTGGTAGAAATCCCTCCAGAATGCAGGCATCCCAACATCTGGTTTTGTCCATTTCTCCATTCCCCTGACTCCTCACAAATGACTTGTCCCCTTGTCCCCAGCATGGTGATCTCTACCGGTCCTGAGCATTTAATATGGGCCAGACTCTTCGCCTTACTCTGACTCTCCAAGCCACCCTATGAAGTGGTATCCAAAGGCAACTTACTTACTTAAATACATGGCTTATTGATAGTATGTTACAAAACACATAAAATAATAATTGATGTATCTGCATTTCATGACCACCCTATAAATTGCACAATTCCTATTTTACAGATGAGAAAATTAAGGCTCAGAGATGGGAAAAGACTGTCTCAGGGACACACAGCGAGCAAGCAACAGGGTGAGGATTAGTATCCAGGCATCTCTGACTCCAAAGCAGGGGTGTCTTGTCCACACCCCAAGCTGCTGTCAGGGAACAGATGGGAGAGCCTGCAAGGGGAGGTGAGAGGAAGGTGCTGAGCCCCAGTCATGAGCGAGGTGACAGTTATTGTAGTGGCTAAACAGGTGGCCCCTGAGATCAGGCTGCCTGGGCTGGAATCCTGGTCTACCACTCCTTAGCACTGTGCGTTCAGGCAAACCATTGGTCCGCTCTGAGCCTTGACTTCCTTATCTGTAAAATGGGCGTGGTAATAATATGCCACCCTCATTAGGTTCCTGGAAGGGTTAAATGAGTGTGTAGCCCATGGTACATGCAATGGAAGTGCTGCCTCTTATTTGTGTGGCATTCTGCAGTGACTGTCTCGTGTACTCTCAATAGTGCTTATAACTCTTACGGGTTCTGGAGCTAGCCACCTGGCCTCTGCTACCACTTCCTAGCAGGGCGGCAGAGCTTAGAGGGAGATTTAAGGTGAGGATGGTGAGGTTTAAGTCCTGGGTCCCTCATTGGCATGGCCTTGTACTTCATTATTTAAAGAGACCCCCCCGCCCTCAGTATTGTATAACCTTTACTGACATCCTGCCAAGCCTGGATCTGCCCCTGTGTGAGGAACTCTACCTCTCTGTGTGCCTCAGTTTTCTCATCTGTTAAGTGGGAAGAATGTTAATTGTGCCAAATAAATGAATTAATACGTGTAGAATGCTTTAAAAGTGCCTGGTGCATAGTAAATGCCCAATACCTATTGGCTTCTTAAGTAAATCTCCAGTGGTAAATGTGCTTAAGTGCTAGTAAACGTGTTAAATGCTTTCCATGTGTCATGTGGTTTCATTATTTTTAATCTTCACAACAAACCATCCCATTTTCAGAGAGGTGAAGTAACTTGCCCGAGGTGACAGACTGTGGAAGCCAAATGGGTCTGACTCCAGAGCCAGGCCCCTGACCACCGTGCCAGCTACTTCCCTGTTGATGAGGGTTCCCTCCCCTCCCCACTGGCAGCTGAACCTGGAGGACTCAGGTCACACCTCCAGCAGGTACTGTCTGCCAGGCCCAGGTCACCTGAAGGTGGCCTATGAGGCCCCTGCAGGAAAGAAGCCCCCATGTCCAGCTGGGCCCAGGCCCTGCCCCACCTCGCACCCTCATCCCTCCTGCCCCCTAGAGCTTCCTCCTGAGCTCCCGTCACCAGAGGCCCTGGCCCAGGTGGGGCGGGGGCTAACGGGTGACAATGACCGATTTAGAAAGTAAAGTTGCTTCTCAAACAAATAAGAAAGAAGAGGAAAGAAATGGCCTGCCCGCTTCCTGCCCCACTCTCTCTTCCAGCACCTGGGGCCCAGCTGCAGGCTTTTCACTGCTTGTTTGTTCATCCTGCCTCGAGAAGCCTCTTCTTGAAGCCCCAGGCCCCCTCCATATGGGCGTTGGGATAATTGTTGAGCCAGTGGAAATAAGCACCCTCCATGATTGTTGTATTGTCATCGTCTCCAGTATTGTTTTGGACAACAATACCAGTAATCATAACAATCTGGGTTTCCTGCGGTTGGGAGGGGGGGACTACCAGCTTCGACTTGGGAGAAGTCCCCCTGGCTCTGCAGTTTCTGAGATGTGGAGGCCTGAGCAGGTCATAACTCCTCTCTGGGCCTCAGTTTCCTTGTCTGCAAAATGGGGACAGGGTGATGGTGAGGGCTGAATGGGGCAAGCATGGCCTGTGAAGCATAGTGCATGGCCCTGGTGGGAACCATTCAGTTGATTACTATGAAAGCCAGGGTCACACAGAAGCAATTTTAAGAGCCTCCTCAGACAAGGTTGGAAAGCTCAGTGGACTCCAGGATACAATGCTTATAAAGCCCTTGGTGTGTTTCTAATAACTGCTCTGAGTGCTTTATGTATTATCATTCATTTCATCCTTACCACAACCAGATGAAGCAGATGCTATTGCTGTTCCTATTTCATAGATGAGGAAACTAAGATGCAGAGAAATGACTTGTCCAAGGTCAGCACAGCTGGTAGGTGCAATTGGGGATGTGGATGCAGCCTTTCCAGGTCCAGGATCGGTGCTCTAAGCTGCATACACTGCCCTGGGGTCAGGGTCTGGCTCTGAAGGGTCTGACTTGCCTCGCGATCGTGGACAAGTCATTTGCCTTCTAAGCCTCAGACTTCTTCTACAAAATGAGCAGCCCATGATACCTGCCTGTAGATGTTGTACAATCCTAAAGGAGAGTTGTGGTCAGATTAGCGACAATGTAGAGAAAGACAATGAATGAGTACACCAGGGGTTCAGGAAGCCATGGCTGACTGCGATCATTATTATTAGTTTTAAAGTCACAGGCAAGAGGCAGCCTAGAGGATGCTGAGGGCCCTGCCCAGCTTTGAAAGTCTAAATCCTGTGGTTGCAGCTGGGGAGTGACTCCGGGAGGCACCTGGTGAGAGGTGGCTCCACCCGTTGGGGCTAAAAAAATCCCTGAGGCTGCCACCGTGCAATCTGCCAGTCACCTGCTCCAACTAATGGCAAACTCTCCAACCCTGCTTCCCTGCCCCTACCCCCACCCCCTATGAGCTGTGTGGCCCTGGAGAAATCATCTGACCTCTCTAAGTTTCTGGAAAAAAACACTGACCTTGTAGAGCTTTGTTGGATTGGAAATAGTGCCTAGCAATAGGTAGTTGCTACCAGGTGATGAGAACCTGCACTTTGAGGCCCACTTGTGTTCCAGTCCTGGCTATGCTACTTCCTGTTGTGTGACCTTGGGCAGGTTGCTTAGCCTCTCTGAGACTCAGTTTCCACAACTGGAAAATGGATTAGCACAGCACCTGACACACAGTAGGTGCTTAAGTGCTAATGATTATTGTTGTGTATGGCCATTTATTGTATTTTTTTTTTTGGTTTTTGAAATGGAGTCTCACTCTGTCTCCCAGGCTGGAGTGCAATGATGCCATCTCAGCTCACTGCAACCTCTGCCTCCTGGGTTCAAGCAATTCTCCTGCCTCAGCCTCCTGAGTAGCTGGGATTACAGGTGTGTGTCACCACAGCCAGCTAATTTTTTTTTTTTTTGGAAATGGAGTCTCACTCTGTTGCCCAGGCTGGATTTGCAGTGGTGCGATCTTGGCTCACTGCAACCTCCACCTCCCAGGTTCAAGCAATTCTCCTACCTCAGCCTCCCGAGTAGCTGGGATTACAGGTGTGTGCCACCACACCTGTGTAATTTTTTGTATTTTTAGTAGAGATGGGGTTTCACCGTGTTAGCCAGGATGGTCTCGATCTCCTGACCTCGTGATCCACCCGCCTTGGCCTCCCAAAGTGCTTGGATTACAGGCATGAGCCACTGCACCCAGCATTTATTGTATTTTATAAGCATATCCAGAAGTCCTTTAAAGATCCTGAGGGTATTATGTTCTTTCTCATGCTGGATCTCTCTGTTTGCCCCTCTAGAACTCTCCTCTGCCCTTCCTCAACCTGTTCTGTACCTTGATTAGGTGACCTTTGTGGGTGACATCAATGGCCCCCATTGCCCTCTGGCTTCTGGCTGGGTGAGGCAAGAGGACAGAGGACAGGTGGCAAGTGGGGACTGGTATTTATTCCCCAGCCCCTTCCTACAGGGTTGCCACCTTGGCTGTGTCCCTCACCCGAAGCCTACAGCTCCTATCAGGCAGCCCTGTGCATACATCTCTGGCCATGGGTCCAGGTGACCTCTCCCTCCCCACCCTTCAGGCCACAGGTGGTAACAGCTCCTCATATTGCCTGCCAGCCCTGGGGTACTGCACCATTCCCCCTGGTTTTCCTAAACCTTGTCCACACCTTTGTTAGTAGTCCCTTCATTAAACTTTTTACAAATTACCCATTTGGTTATACCATCTGTTCCCTGCCAGAGCCTTGATCAGGGTTTATGTGGCATGTATCCTGTTGTTTTCACCTAGAACTCCAGGTATGGAAGAATAATAAAATTCTCACTGCAATTCACACTGCTTTCACATACATGTAGTCATCCACTTTATTAATTACTGCTGAGCATCTGCTGTGTGCCAGGCTGTATGCAAGGAATTAGGAGTAGAGATGACCAAGATATAGTTCCTGCCCTCAAGGAGCTCCTGGGCTAGTCAGAGAGACAGACCCTAAACAGACAACTACAATATAACTTCTAAAAGCTGTAACAGGCCGGGTGTGGTGGCTCATGCCTGTAATCCCAGCACTTTGGGAGGCTGAGATGGGTGGATTGCTTGAGGTCTTGAACCAGCCTGGCCAACATGGTGAAACCCCATCTCCACCAAAAAACACAAAAATTAGTTGGGCATGGTGGCATGTGCCTGTAATCCCAGCTACCCAGGAGGCTGAGGCATGAGAATCGCTTGAACCGAGAGCGGAGGTTGCAGTAAGCCGAGATCACGCCACTACATTCCAGCCTGGGTGACAGAGCTATAAAAAAATAAAAGCTATAATAGAGACACATGCAAACCCTGTGACAAGGCAGGAGAGAAGCCACCAAACTCTGGGAGAGGCTGGGATGGCTGCATAGCAGAAGGATTTTTGAGCAGCATCTTTTTTTAAATTCTATTTTAGTAACATATTTAATCCAATGTCTCAAAATATTATCAATATGAAATATTATCCATTATAATAGATATAAAAATTCTTGAGATTTTAAAAGACATAGAAAAATGTCCAGGAAGCTTTCTGTGACTTTCTTGGGCAGAATTAGGCATTTCCATCATCACACATGGCTAGAGGTTGAGCAGCATCTGGGAGGTGGGAGGTGATGGTATTCTCCCATTTTACGGATGAGGAAGCAGAGACTCAGAAGAGTTAATCACTTGCCTGAGGTCACAGTAACTCCCTGGCAGAGCAGGATTCGAACCTGCTGTTGTGTCATTCCAAAGCCTGTCTCTCCTTGCTGCTCTGTCCACCTCTGGGCCCCTCCTCCCAGAAGGAAGCAGTTGACAAGGGCTGAAAAGTCAAAACTTAAACTGAAGTCTTCTGCCCCCAAGTCCCATAGTGTTCCTGCTATCAACCGACTCTAGGGGACAGACTGAGGGAAAGGCAGCAACCCTCCAAACTGGGTTCCATTTTTATTTTTATTTATTTATTTTGAGACAGAGTCTCGCTCTGTCGCCCAGGCTGGAGTGCAGTGGCACGACTCAGCTCACCGCAACCTCCACCTCCCAGGTTCAAGCGATTCTCCTGCCTCAGCCTCCCAAGTAGCTGGAACTACAGGCGCCTGCCACCACACCCGGTTAATTTTTGTATTTTTAGTAGAGACGGGGTTTCACCATATTGGCCAGGCTGGTCTCGAACTCCTGACCTCAGGTGATCTGCCCTCCTCGGCCTCCCAAAGTGTTGGGATTGTAGGCGTGAGCCACTATGCCCAGGCTTAAATTGGGTTCTGACCCCTATTCTTCTTGGGTCTCTGAGGTGGCATGGAGTAGGTTGCAGAAGATAACTGGCGACTCAAGGTCAGTTGTAAAATTCTCTTTTAGCAGATGAGAGGGTTGTTCATGGGTGAAGGTACAGGCTGTACTGGATGGTGGGGAGAGGAAGGGAAAGTAGACGAGGCAGGAAAAGTGGCCAGTGGGTCATCTTGGCATCTTTGCCAGTGTCATGGTCAGCAATTCCCTCCTCACCAAAACATCCAGAAACACCCACTCCCGAGCCTCGTGTAGTACGCAGAGTTCACAGTGAATTAGTCACCATCATCTTAACCCTGATAGTTGAGAAATTAAAATGTGTTGAGAAAGGTAAGACATTCTAATGGGCAGCTGACCCCAGGCTCTCATGTGGAGAGAGCCATAGGAGGGTTCTCTGGCCAACATCCATGCATTGGAGGGGAAACCAGAGCCCTGGAATCATGGAAGCAAGGAGCATTCGCTGGTATGTCCAGGCGTGTGTTTGGTGACTCCAGTGATGTGTGGTGCCAACAATAATTATCAGTAGCTAATTATTCGCTGACCTCTTCACTTTAACAATTATTCATCCCCCCATCAAATCATCTGTCCATAGCCTACACAGCCATCCACCTCTCAATTCCTTCATTCATCCATTCATTCATTTTCTCCCCATTCCCCCATCCATCCTCCACCATTGACTCTGCACATGGTCCTGTGCTGGATGCCTGACATGCAACTACAAGACTCAGATCTTGCCTTCAAACCTGGTGAGGTATTCAGACACTTAGTCTAAGCAAGAGAGGTAAGTGCGGTGATGGAGTGTTCTAGGAGGGGCAGTGAGAGCTCCAAGGAGGAAATGCCTAATTCTGCTGGAGGGAGTCAGAAAAGGCTTCCCGGAGGAAGGAACACTGCAGCTGGTCTTCATAGAGGAGCAGGGGCTCATGAAGCCAGAAGAAGGAAGCCTGGCTGATGAGATGGGCAGCGATTCAGACCAGCTAGGGACACAAAAGAACTTGTCACAGAAGCCGATGGGAGGAAATCAAGGAGAACTGGCCTCTAGCCAAGATTTCACCCCAGGTTCTCAGCAGGAGTGACTTAGGAATGGTGTCAACTTGGAAGTTTGCACCATTTTTACCTGGCCTTGCCTTCTCTTGGCACAGTGCAGTCTCCAGGACATCAGACCTGAGGAGCATCCAAGTTAGTCCCCTTATTTCAAGTCAGGGAAACTGAGGCCTGAAGTGGCGATGAGACATGCCAAAGTTACACAGAGAGTTAGGGGATCCAAACCCAGGTCTCTTACTCTCAGGCTAGTGTACTGTCCACTGGAGTCTCCCTCCCCCATCCGGAGCACACACTAGATTCTAAACACTCACAACCCCTCAGTGGCTGGCATAGTGCTGGGCCCAGAGAAAGTGACCTCTCCTACTTCCACTGGGTACCTGCCCTGTCCCCACAAATAATCAGATTGATAGAACTCATTCACACTCCCTCTATTCTCCCATTTAATCCCCATAACAGTCCCAGGGGACTGGAATTACTATTCCTTTTTGCAGATGGGGAAAGAGGGCAGAAGGGGCTTGCCCAGAGTCACCCAGCTCAGACTGGGGAACGGGTTTGCCCAGAGTCACACAGTTCAAATGCAGCAGAGCCAAGGTCCTGACTATACCCTGTACTTGATCTAAGACCCTAGGTGGCACTCACATAGCCTTGAATGTTCTGGCCCCCAATGGACCCTGTGCCATTGAAGTCAGGGACTGTGGACAGGTATGTTCTGCAGGGACAGAAACCAAACCAGGGAACAGGGCTGGGAGGTGGGGGAAGGACTCAGGAAAGGAAACCTTGTTTTCACCTGTAACCTGCTCTGCCCCGCCCAGCAGTGGAAAATGTGTGTCAGGGGAAGCTGCTGCCTGGGGACCAGGCAGGTGTGCGTGGGCAACAGTGTGTGGAGGGGGCGCCACGGGAGGGCAGGATGTGCTGGGGTTGGGGGCAAGGTCAGGGGTGCTGGAGCAGGGTTCAAGAACCTAGAGTAAGACTCTCACTTCTGGGCCAGGCGTGGTGGTTCACGCCTGTAATCCTAGCACTTTGGGAGGCCAAGGCGGGTGGATCACGAGGTCAGGAGATCGAGACCATCCTGGCTAACATGGTGAAACCCCATCTCTACTAAAAATACAAAAAAATTAGCCGGGCGTGGTGGCACATGCCTGTAGTCCCAGCTACTCGGGAGGCTGAGGCGGGGGATCGCTTGAATACGGGAGACAGAGGTTGCAGTGAGCCGAGATCATATCACTGCACTCCAGTCTGGGCGACAGAGCGAGACTCTGTCTCAAAAAAAAAAAAAAGACTCTCACTTCTAGAAGGATGGGCACACTGTCCTATGAAAGCTGTCCCCAACCTCTACATCCCAGACCTTCTTGGCCTCAGCCAATTCTCTGCTCAGTGGGTCATTCAACAAGCGTGCATTGAGCACCTGCTGCATGCTAGGACCCAAGGATGCAGAATAGCCCCTTTCCTACCCAGAGAAGAGTACAGTCTGGAAGAGACAGGCAAGGCAGAGAGCTCCAATACCATGTGGGTAACACAATCCAGCGAGAGGCTGAGTCAGTGGTCAGGGAGGCATTCTGGAGGCCAGTAGGCCAAGCAGGTAATAATAACCACTCTAGGCCACTCATGGAGGCCCACACCCGTTATCCTAGCACTTTGGGAGGCTGAGGTGGGAGGATCACTTAAGGCCAAGAGTTTCAGACCAGCCTGGGCAACATTGCGAGACCCCATCTCTACAAAAAATTTAAACATTAGCCAGGTGTGGTGTCATGTGCCTGTAGTCCTAGCTACTGTGGAGTCTGAGATGGGAGGATCACCTGAGCCCAGGAGTTTGAAACTGTAGCGCACAATGATCGTGCTACTGCATTCTAAAATCATCCCTATCTCTAAAATAATATAATAATAATAACCACTTTTGTGTGCTTACTACAAGCCAAATTAAAGAGCTAAGGCCCCGTAAGGCTTTTTAATACCTTTCCATCCTCAAACAACCCTGTGAGCTAGGAACTGCTAGTATTCCCCTTTTACAGTTGAGGAAATTGAGGCATTGAGAAGGGAAGAACTTGCCCAAGTTCTCACTGCTAGATGCTAGGAAATGGCACGGCCAGGACTTGAAACCAGGCGGTCTGCTCTTACCTACTCCACTAAGGAAGGGGAAGTGGGAGCTGGTGTTGGGAGAAAAGGCGGGGGGGAACATGGAGGGAGCAACCGGAGGAAAAGCCCAAACAGAAGATGATGTGCTGGAGCCGAGAGGGGAGGGGAGGGAAGTCGCTGAGTGGAGGGGCCAGGGAGCAGCCAGAGCCCAGGCAAAAAGCCCCTCAAAGCATTGCCGTGGGAATGGGGACCTATACACGGTTGTTCCAGAGAAGAGCCCCCCCTTAGAAGTGGTGATCAGTGGGGGCCCAAACAGACAATTACATGTGATTTAATTTTTTTTTTTTTAGACGGAGTCTCGCTCTGTCCCCCAGGCTGGAGTGCAGTGGCGGCATCTCGGATCACTGCAAGCTCCGCCTTCTGGGTTCACGCCATTCTTCTGCCTCAGCCTCCCGAGTAGCTGGGACTACAGGTGCCCGCTACAATGCCTGGCTATTTTTTTTGTATTTTTAGTAGAGACGGGGTTTCACCGTGTTAGCCAGGATGGTCTAGATCTCCTGACCTCGTGATCCACCCGCCTCGGCCTCCCAAAGTGCTGGGATTACTGGGCGTGAGCCACTGAGCCCGGCCTTTTTTTTTTTTTTTGAGACAGGGTCTCGCTCTGTCACCCAGACTGGAGTGTGGTGGCATGATCTTGTCTCACTGCAACCTCCGCCTCCCGGATTCAAGCGATTCTCCTGCCTCAGCCTCCCAAGTAGTTGGGACTATATGTGTGCACCACCACGCCTGGCTAATTTTTGTATTTTTAGTGGAGATGGAGTTTCACCATATTGGCTAGGCTGGTCTCAAACTCCTGACCTCAGGTGATCCACCCGCCTCGGCCTCCCAAAGTGCTGGGATTACAGGCGTGAGCCACTGCGCCTGGCCTGATTTAGATGCTATTAGTTTCCTAGGCTGCTATAACAAAGTACCACAAGCTGGGAGGCCTAAACCAACAAAAACGTTTTCTCTCCCAGTTCCAAAGACCTGAGATTGAAATCCAGACGTCTTCAGGGCTGTGCTATCCCTAAGAATCTGAGTAGAGTCCTTCCTTGCCCCTTCCTAGCTTCTGGTGGTGGCCGTCAGTTCTTGGCATTCCCTGGTTTTCGACAAACACCCCTCCAGTTTCAGCCTCCGTCATCTTGTGGCATTCTCCCTGTGTGTCTCTCTCCTCTTCGTATAATGACACCAGTCATATGGGATGAAGGGCCCATCCTGCTTCAGTATGACCTCATCTGAACTAATTATACCTGCCACGACCTTATTTCCAAGTAAGGTCACATTCTGAGGTACTACGGGTTAGGACCTCAACATATATTTTGGGGGGACACAATTCAACCCATAAAATGTCATTAAAGGACTTTTCATATAAACAAATGTCAAATCTGAAAAACTTCTATGCAGTTCATGTGTCCCAGTTTGATGTTCAGAAAATATAGCCTCAATATATCTGTCCACTACACTAGAACTTTACCCTAGTGGGTACTAAATGAAGGTTTGAGAAATACTTGACTTGTGGTCCCCTAAGGCCCTGAGGTCTTTCCTTAATAAGCCCAAAGAATAGAATAAACATCTCCAGGGAACAAAGTCAAGCTGCCCTCTGTCCTGTATAGCCGGCAGGCAGTTGCTCCACTGACCCCCAGCCTCACCTTCTGCATGGGCACTAGCTTGGGGAAATAGCCAGTAGTGAAAAGGACAGAGGGACCTCAGCACCCTTGCTCACTGGATTAAGCGAACCCACAGTTCTCAGTCCTCTCCCTCGCTTCCCCATCCAAACAGGCTCAGTCTGCTCCATTCAGACAAATGCCCATCTCCATCCCTGCCATGTAGACCCGGTTCAGGCCTTTGCCTTTACCTCTGGAACTATTGCCTCAGTCTTCAGACTGATTTCCTTGCTACCAGCAGGCAATCAGGTCACCCTAAATATGAATCTGATCACTTCTCTCACTGCCATAAAACTTTCGATGGCTCCCTATTGCTTTCAGAATAAAGTCCGTATTCCTAAGCTTGCCATTTCAGGCTTTACAATTTGGTCCCCAGGCTTGTTTTTCATGATTTCTCTACATGTGCTCTATCTTACAGGTAATGGAGTTTCTGGAATTTCTAATTAAAAGAGACTCCGTTGGTGGTGGGTGAGGGGTGCATTCTGATTAGAAGGGGACACAGTGGGGAGGCATGTCTTTTTTTTTTTTTTTTTTTGAGACCAAGTCTCATTCTGTCACCCAGGCTGGAGTGCAGTGATGTGGTCTTGGCTCACTGCAACCTCCGCCTCCCAGGTTCAAGTGATTCTCCTGCCTCAGCCTCCTGAGTAGCTGGAATTATAGGCATGTGCCACCACACCCAGCTAATTTTTGTATTTTTAATAGAGATGGGGTTTCGCCATGTTGTCCAGGCTGGTCTCAAACTCCTGACCTCAGGTGATCCACCCGCTTCAGCCTCCCAAAGTACTGGGATTACAGGTATGAGCCACCATGCCTGGCCGGCACGTCTTGAAGTTGTCTTTATAAACAACTTCTGAGCTTGGCTGTGCTTTTTTTCTGCGTCTACATCTTAGCATATGCTGGTCCCCCTACATGGAATGGTCTCTCCGCAACTCCATTCTGATTCATCCCCCCAATCACATAACCAAAATAACTCACCTCTCCCTGCTCCAAAGACAGAGTATTTGGGGGCTGGGTGTGGTGGCTCACGCCTGTAACCCTAGCACTCTGGGAAGATTGCTTAAGCCCAGGAGTTTGAGACCAGCCTGGGGAACATAGTGAGACCTCATCTCTACAAACATTTTTTAAACATAGCTGAGTGTGGTGGCACGCACCTATAGTCCCAGCTACTCAGGAGGCTGAGGTGGGAGGATTGCTTGAGCCGGGGAAATGGAGGCTGTAGTGAGCAATGATCACGCCACTGCACTCTGGCTTGGAAACATAGTGATACTGTCAAAAAAAAAAGTATTTTGTTTGAACTTTAGGAAGCTTATCCAAGTTCACTTTGTGTCAACTAGAGGACAAACTTTCCTTAGAGCTAGGTTCCTATCCCCAGGCCTATGGCTAAACGGCAGGAAGATGAGGTAAGGAAAGTGCTAGAAAGGAGACCTGGCTGCTAATTGTACTTTGTCAGTGTCTTGCTGCATGGCCTCAGGCAAGTCACTTTCCCTCCTCAGTTTCCTCTCTGTAGAGTGGGATGTTGGGAAAGACACCAAGCAGTGTTGGAAACATGAACTACATTTCTTCTTTCATCCCAGGTCTGGCCAGACCTTGGTCCTGTGAACGAGAGCCTCTGGGGTTCTTATTTTGTGTTAATTTGCATGCATCTGCACATACACTAAAAAAGGCATCAACTACATTTCATTTCATAGAAAGAACTGGGACTGCCATATAACCGATGCCCAGGAGTGTAAAAGAACCGTTGGCTCATGGTGCCATCCAAATCTTAGCTGTCACAGGCCTTTAGTAATTAATGCTCCAACCCCTTCCTTTTACAGGTGGGTAACTGAGGCTCAGAGAGGGAAAGGTCACACAGCAAATGAGCACAAGGCCTCATCCCAGGCTTCCCACTGTACACCAGGCGCATGCACTAGACACCTCATTTCTTTCTCTGTGCAGGGTGGAAGAAGAGGGGCTTGGCTTTCTTTTGAGGCTCTTTTCTGCACCCCAGAATAACAAAGCTGGCTGGCTCGGCAGTCTCTGCAACCACCACAGGAAACCAAATTGTAGTAGAAAGGCAGATGGGAGTGGAAAATCCTCTCAGAGATGTTAGATCGTTGCTTTCACCTGTTCTAAATATAATCTGGCTTTTATTAGAGATTGATAAATGACAAGATAACCCACAAGTTATTCCACTGAGGCTGGGGAGAGGAGAGAGCGTGATTCTGGGTGAGCAAAAGGGGAGCTGGGAGTCACTGCGGGTGACTGAACAGAGTGGTCTGGACCCATCGAGTCTCAGTATTTGGCAACATGAACAGAGGGCCAGTTCTGGCAGGCACTGGAGGCTGGAGGCTGGAGGCTAGTAGGCTGTCGGCTGTAGGAACCCTAAGGAACAAGACAGGCCTGGATGCTGCATTTAGGCGCTCCTGATCTCTAGAGGGGGTAGACAGACATAAAAGTCAACAAATAAAATAATTACAAAGTGCTATGAAGGAAACAGTGCTGAGAAAGACTGACAGGGAGCCAGGTGTGGTGGCTGATGCCTGTAATCCCAGCACTTTGAAAGACTGAGGCAGGTGGATCATGAGAGGTCAGGAGTTCAAGACCAGCCTGACCAACATGGCAAAACATTGTCTCTACTGAAAATACAAAAATTAGCCAGGCATGGTGGTGCATGCCTGTAATCCCAGCTAATAGGAAGGCTGAGGCAGAAGAATCGCTTGAACCGGGGAGGTGGAGGTTGCAGTGAGCCGAGATTGTGAAACTCTGTCTCAAACAAAAAAAAAAAGCACAAAAAACTGACAGGGGAGATTTACTTTAGCTGGGATGGGCAGGGAAGCCTCTGGAAGGAGGGAAGATATAAGCTGAGACCGGAAGGGTGAGAAGAAGCCAGCCCAGCAAAGAAAGAGCGGAAGAGCATCTCCAGGAGAGTGAGTTTGGTGGCTCAAGAAACTAAAAAGCCAGCGCACATGGGGAAAAGGGTGTAGACGTGCAGGAGGAGGCTGGAAGAGGGCAAGGCCAGATGTGTGCTGGCTTTAAGGATGTGCATAGGCTTCTGGTTTGATTCCAGAGCGGTGGGAAGCTACTGAAGCAAGGTTTTCAGCAGTGAAACTGGGGGATGTGGTTTGCCTTTGAAGAAGCCTGTTCTTTTTTTTTTTTTTTTTTTGAGATGGAGTCTTGCTCTGTCGCCTGGGCTGGAGTGCAGTAGCTCCAACTCTGTTCACTGCAAACCTCCGCCTCCAGGGCTTAGGCAATTCGCCTGCCTCAGCCTCCGGAGTAACTAGGATTACAGGCGCCCGCCACCACGCCCAGCTAATTTTTGTATTTTTAGTAGAGACAGGGTTTCACCATGTTGGCCAGGCTGGTCTCGAACTACTGACCTCAGGTGATCTGCCCGCCTCGGCCTCCCAAAGTGCTGGGATTACAGGCGTGAGCCACTGTGCCTGGCTTGAAGAAGCCTGTTCTTGACTGCTGTGTGGGATAAGGATTAGAGGCAAAGGCCGCAAGAAGGCAAGTTAGGCAACCGACGTGGCATCCAGGCAGGAGTGATGGCAGCCTGGACTAAGATGGGAAAACAGAGAGAACAGAAGATGGATTACAAACATGTCCTTGAAACAAAAGTCACAGGAGCTGCAGATGGATGGGATGAGTGGTGGGTTAGTGTGGAGGGTACTGGAGGGGACACACAGGTTTCTGGCCTGAGCGCCTGCAGGGTGTTGGTGCCATTTCCTAATCAGGGGAACCTGCAAGCAGGAGGGTTGGGTGTGGGAATCTGGTTTGGGGCATGTTCATTTGAGAAGTCTGCAAACCACCGAGAATCTGCCTGGGGGCAGCTCCAGAGGCCGTAGCAGTCTCTGGTCATTTGATGAAACAGGTTATTTCCTCATTTCCTCCCCGTATGAATGGTGAGCTCCAGGGCCAGGGACCAACTCTGCTTTGTTTTATAGCCCCAGCAGAGAGGAACGTGCCTTGCACTATGTAGATGCTCACGGAAGAGTTGGTGGATGAATGAAGCCGGAAGCTAGACCACCAGCTGAATGAATCAGCTCACAGACATGGTGATGTTTCTTCTGTTGTTGTTTGTTTGTTTGTTTTTGAGACAGAGTCTTGCTCCATCACCCAGGCTGGAGTGCCGTGGCACCATCTCGGCTCACTGCAACCTCCGCCTCCTGGGCTCAAGTGATCCTCTCACCTTAGCCTTCCAAGGAGCTGGGACTACAGGCACTCTCCTGACCTCAAGTGATTTGCCCACCTTGGCCTCCCAAAGTGCTGGGATTACAGGTGTAGGCCACCGTGCCTGGCATTTTTTTTTTTTTTTTTGAGAGGAGTCTCGCTCTGTCACCCCAGGCTGGAGTGTAATGGCGTGATCTCGGCTCACTGCAACCACCGCCTCCCGGGTTCAAGCGATTCTCCTGCCTCAACCTCCCGAGTAGCTGGGACCACAGGCAGGTGCCACCACGCCCGGCTAATTTTTGTATTTTTAGTAGAGATGGGATTTCACCATGTTGGCCAGGCTGGTCTCGAACTCCTGACCTCAGGTGGTCGACGTGCCTCGGCCTCCCAAAGTGCTGGGATTAGAGGCGTGAGCCACCGCGTCCTTCCTGTTGCTGATTCATTCACACCTATCATTTAAGACTCAGCTCCTCATAAAGTCTTCCTCATCTATAGTACTGGCTGGCCATGCCCTCCCCACTCCATGTTGACTTCATCAGCACCTATAATAACTTTATTTATTGAGCACTTTCTGTATGACAGGCATAAACTAAATGCTTTACAAGTATTAAATAATTTCGTCCTCACAACAATCTTATGCAGTGGGCAATTATTGCCTCCACTGTACAGACTTTGGAAACTGAGGTGCAGAAAGGTTAAATAATTTGCCTAAGACCACACAACCAGCAAGTGGCAGAGCTGGGAAATGAACCCAGGCAGCCTGGCTCCAGAGCCACATTTTTGGCCACTGTGTCCAAATGCTGCAGTCAATTGCATGCTGCATGTCTGTTCGTTTGTCTGTCTCATTTAAGAGCAAGAACTTGTGTCTCCTTATCCTCAATACCCCAAACAGCAGCTGGCACACAGTAGGTGCTAAATCAAGTCTGCCTTAACAGAAGCCAGCTTATAACCTTCTTCTTTGGATAGAAGGAGAAAGAGCTCCAGGGGAGAAAATGCTCTTCATTTTATGGTATTTTGCAACCATCTATCCTACATGATCATATTCATTTTCACAATAACCTCTGCTAGGCATGGGTTATCAGACCCCCCTGTCCAGTGAGGAAACTGAGGCCCAGAGAGGCTAAGAAACTTTCCTAAGTCACTCAGCTGATAGTTGGTGGAAAGGGTACGGAAACCCAGGTCTCCTGACTCCAAGCCCAGTGCATCCCTTAGCCAGGGAAGATGTAGCTGAACCCAAACCCAGTCCAAGGGGACTGGAGGCCCTGCCAGGTCAGGGGTCATAAATCACCCCCTCCCCCAGCGTGGTCAGGGAGGCTTTGGGGACAGAGGCCTGCTTCCCGTCCTCTCAGCCCTCAGGGTCTAACACCTCTTCAGAGCAGGAAACTCTTCCTTGTCACAGAGCTCTGGTCCTCCTTCCCCCCCTCCCCCTAACACTCCACACCACTCCCCTCCCTATCCCCCTCGAGGGTCCTGGTAAAAGCATCCGCTTGTCAGTGTAAATCTGCAGGGTTCAGACCAGCAGCTGGAGATGGATGGGCAGGAAGCAGTAACAATGGATGAAAGACCCTCTGTGCCCAGGTGGGTGGGGGAGGGAAAGGCAGGAAACAGAGAAACCGCCTGCCTATGGAGGCCTGGAGCCGCCAGCCGGCTGGAGGGAGGCCTGGGATGCCAGAACCCGCAGGGTTTATTTGGATTCCCCAAGGATCCAAGCTGGGGAGCCCTTTGCAAACATCAGACCAGCTCATCTCCATGGGGTGCCAGGCCCAGGACCTGTGCGACAAGAATGTCGCTTTCATTCATCATTGTTTGTCCCCAGGGCCTAAACCAGGGCTGGCTACACAGTAGGGGCTTGTTTTGCTGAATGAAAAAATTAATCTGGCACTACTAATAACTAAATAATTATAGTTTCATATTGATTTGCTTGTTTAGAAAAATAAAAAGGATTCCCAACCATCCCTTTTCCCCCTCACAGCTTTTTGCATATGCTGTTCCTTCCGCCTGCCGTGCTCTTTCCTCTGCTTTTTGCAAGGTCAGCTCCTTCTCATCCTCTAGTTGCAGCTCAAATAAAACTCTTCAGTGAAGCTCTGGGAACCTGCTAAGGTAACCCACTTTCCCTTTCCCCCTCTAACCCAGCACTGGGTGATTTCCTTCATGACACTTATTATCAGAGATCCTCTCATTTAATATGTATCTTTATTTTTGAACTTCCTGTCTCTCCCACCAGAATGTAAGCTCCAAAAGGGCTTCTTGCTCATTGTTGCATCCCCAGGGCCAAGGACTTAGAAAATGCTCCATAAATAGTCGTTAACTAGATAAAGAGACGAACACTTGAATCCCTGTAATAATGTCATTCACACCCTAGGCTCTGCCATCTGCTTCCTTGAGGAGAACAAAAGGAAGTCTTGCTCTTGCACTGAGGATTGTAAGCCCCAACCCACAGTGAGCTGCTATTTCCTGGGTCAACAATTGTGATGGTTGCAAATCATTTTAGGGCTTTGCTTTCCACACAACAATTTTTGAGTTTCATCAAAATCTGGGTGTGTACATGGTGGGGAGGCCAAGCATGGCAATGTTCCCTGTCTGTCCAGCATGCCACTATGGACACGGGTGGATGGGGCTAGTTCTGTTACCAGAAAGGGGTCCCAATCCAGATGCCAAGAGAGGGTTCCTGGATCTTGCACAAGAAAGAATTTGAGGTGAATCCATACAGTAAAGTGAAAGCAAGTTTATTAAGAAAGTAAAGGAATTAAAGAGTGGCTACTCCATACGTAGAGCATCCCTGAGGGCTGCTGGTTGCCCATTTTTATGGTTATTTCTTGATTATATGCTAAACAAGGGATGGATTATTCATGAGTTTTCTGGGAAAGGGGTGGGCAATTCCTGGAACTGAGGATTCCTCCCTTTTTTAGACCATATAGGGTAACTTCCTGACATTGCCATGGCATTTGTGTTTAAATTGTCATGGTGCTGGTGGGAGTGTAGCACTGAGGATGACCAGAGGTCACTCTCATCGCCATCTTGGTTTTGGTGGGTTTTGGCCGGCTTCTTTACTACAACTTGTTTTATCAGCGAGGTCTTTATGACCTGTATCTTCTGCCAACGTCGTATCTCATCCTGTGACTAAGAATGCCTTAACCTCCTGGGAAGGCAGCTCCGTAGATCTCAGCCTTATTTTACCCAGCCCCTATTCAAGATGGAGTTCCTGGTTCAAATGCCTCTGACAGTTCCATCAAACCTATTCATTTCCAAGGTAAACCAGGGCCCAGAAGTGCCAAGGTCACACACACACACATCAATCCAGAGCTTTACCAGCAGAGAGCTCAGTAGAGCTGCAGATTCACTGAGTCCTGATTCACTCTCTCATTCATTCATCATTCGTTTGTTCATTCATTTAACAAATACTTACTGGGCACCTATTATGGGCCCACCACTGTGCTAGCAATAGCCAAAGGCTCAGAGACTCGAAGGAACTAAGTAAAAGGCCCAGCCTACCTGACATAACTACTTCAGTGACTGGGCTTTGCCAAGTGTGAGAGCTGTCATGGGGTGGGGGAAGAAGCATTCCAGTGTCTTAGAAGGCAGAGAGATTCAGTCTGGGAAAGGCTAAGCTTGGGGGCTGGACAGACAGAATCCAAAATGGAGGAAAGTGTTGGCCATGACTAAGAAGCCAGCTTAGCCCTGCTTCTACGCCTGCTGTCGCCAGCCTGGGTTGCACTGGTACCCAGAAACTACCTTTAAGTAAAGTTGTTTGTGCTGTCCCAACAGTGTGGGACCCAGTCAACAGAGAAGGTCAAAGGCTACTCATTCACCCAGGAAACTCATATTAAGCACCTATTATACACTAGACCCTGTGCTTGGCACTGAACTTCCCATGGTGAAGGCGACACAGTCTGAGGCTTTGTCAGTTTGTGCCACATGTGTTATTCCAATTTTTTTTTTTTTTTTTTTTTTGGGATAGGGTCTCCCTGTCACCCAGGCTGGAGTGCAGTGGTGTGATCATAGCTCACTGCAGCCTCAAACTCCTGGGCTCAAGCAATCCTCCCTCCTCAGCCTCCTGAGTATCTGGGACTACAGGCATGTGCCACCATGCCCACCTAACTTTTTTTTTTTTTTTTTTTTGTAGAGAGAGGGTCTCGCTATGTTGCCCAGGCTGGCCTTGAACTCCTGGCCTTAAATGATCCTCCCACTCGGCCTCCCAAAGTGCTGGGTTTACAGGCATGAGCCACTAGGCCCAGCCCCTGTTAGTACATTCTTGTACTGCTATAAAGGAATACCAGGGACTGGGTAATTTATAAAGACAAGAGATTTTTATTTTGTTTTGTAAAATGACGATAGGGACTTTGTTTTGTTCATCTTTTTGTGTTCCTGGTGGCTTGGAACAGAGCCAGGCACCATAGAAACCATTCAACAAATACTTGTTGAGAGAATGAATGAATGAATGAATGAATGCCATTAGGTGAGAACAAGATTGTCAGAGTCACTTTAGGAAATGCAGTCAGAGCCAGGGGGATGATGGCCTGGAGGAAGACGAGCTGAGGACAAGGAGAGGACATTGGGTGGGTGAGAGGGTCAGAGCAGGGGGCAGTGACATTCAGGTAAAGAAAGTTCCGGCCAGGCGCGGTGGCTCACGCTTGTAATCCCAGCACTTTGGGAGGCCGAGGCGGGTGGAACACGAGGTCAGGAGATCGAGACCATCCTGGCTAACATGGTGAAACCCTGTCTCTGCTAAAAATACAAAAAATTAGCCAGGCGCAGTGGCGGGCGCCTGTAGTCCCAGCTATTCGGGAGGCTGAGGCAGGAGAATGGTGTGAACCCGGGAGGCGGAGCTTGCAGTGAGCCGAGATCTCGCCACTGCACTCCAGCCTGGGTGACAGAGCGAGACTCCATCTCAAAAAAAAAAAGAAAACGAAAGTTCCCTGCGAAAGGCCCTAAGTGTAGCAGGAAAGGCCTGGGAGCAGGAGGCCCCAAGTTCAAGTTTTGTCTCCTTGACTTTGCAGTTGAGCGCTGCTGGGCCTGTTTCTGCATTAATAAAATGAGGAACAAGGCCTGCTTCACAGCGTGCCCTGAGGACAGACCAGGATGAGAGGTGCATAAGGGCAGGGTTGGGGGAGGGCAGCCTACGGGAAGCAGTGTGGCGAGCCTTGATCTTGGGGCCAGCCATGCATGGTTCACCTGCCTGCTTGCTCATTAGCTGTGTGCATTGGGCACATCTTCTTTGCCTGCAGAGGCCCCAGGCTCATCCCTGTGGCTTGCTGGGGCCAGGGCCAGGGTGTACTTGACTGACTACCTTCATGGACTCAAGACACATCTGGGACACACCAGGATCTTCCATGTTCTGCTTCTTACTGAGGAGTCAGCTCACAGGGTCTGGCCAAGGTTACCTGCCTCAGCCAGAGTATGCTGAGCCAGAAGGACCCTTGGGCCACGGGATCCAAGCCCTTCATTTTACAGATGTGAGGCTCAGCCCAGAGAAGCTGAAGGACTTGTCCCAGGACTCTCAGCCAGTTGGCTTCAAAGTCAGTTCCAGAGCCCACGTCTCTTCACTGCCAGCCCAAGATCTTTCCATTCACCCAGCCATGAGGGCTGGTCCTTGTTGATCCATTTGAAGCCTGTTCCTATTCCATGATATAGTTGCCTTCAGGTACCAGATACTGGACTGGGTGCTTTGCACAACATGCCTCTTTTAATCCTCACCACGGCCTCTACAGTCACCATTTCTGTTTCATAAATAAACTGAGGCTCAGAGAGGGTGTGTGATTTGTCCAAGGTCACACAGTAAAGTAAAAATAGGTCCAGGATTCAAGTTCATACCTTCCTGTCTCAGAAGCCTCTACTTACTATTGTCCTGACCCAAGGGGAGCTCACCATCCAGAGAGGGGCAAATATGGCAATACATACTTGCAACAAAATGTGATCAATGTTATTATAGATATAGTCTCAGGCACAGTAGACAGTTTCCTGAGGTTGCCCCACTTACACCTCACAACAGTCCTTAATATAAAGTACACATTGTTATCCCCATTTCACTGATGAGCAAACTGAGGCTCAGAGAGGCAAATTCCCCTATCCGGGGTCATATAAACCCTGTCTATCTCTCTGTCTGTCTGTCTGTCTGCAGAGCTCATAGTCTGTTCTCATGAACAAATCCTGCTCCTCTAAAGTCCTGAACAAACATTGCTTCATTCAGTCAACGTGCATTTCTTGCATCCCTATTATGTGCCAAGCCCTGTCTTAGATATTCTTGGAGGTAGAGATGAATAGAACATGGCCTCTGCCCCCACCTCCAGCCAGCAAAGAGGTAGATTGGGGGACCTTGGGTCTCTACCCTGTGTCCTCTATGTGACACTGATGGAGGACCCTTGGGCACTGGCCCAGCCTTCCCCCTTCAAAATGCCCATGGGAAAGGCCGAGGGAGGGAGGCTGAGACAGCTTCAGGCCCCCGGGGCTGCCTTGTCCTCTCAGCCTGGCTCTGACTCACCACCCACACCTGGCAGTGGCCTCAGGCAGCTACGCTGGAAATAGATGGGGAGGGAGGGGACGTGACACCTGCACTCTTGGCTGCCATTCCCACCCTCCCTGCCAGGAAGCAGGGAAACATCAGCTAACAGAGCCCACCTGAAACTGCTGGGCTTGGGAATGCTCCTGGGAGTTGAAGCCCCCAGCCGACTGGAAAGGCTATCCCAAGAGCCATGAGGATTACAATAAAAATCACGATGATGTCTCGCTTTTCACAGTGCTTGGTGGTTCTTGAGCACTTGTTCTATGCCAGGCCCTGGTCCAAGTAAGTGCTTTGCATGTCTTAATTATCTTGCTGAAGTCTCACGGCTCCTCAGGAAGTTATACTGTGATTAAGCCCATTTTACAGATGAGAAACTTGAGATTCAGAGAAGCCAAATAACTTGCCTAAGGCCATGTATTAGGCAACGTGCGCCCATCCCAAGCTTCTCACCCAATCCCAGCTCACATGGCTCATTCCAGTTCACAGGTGTTAGCTGTGTTCCCATCTGCCCTGCCCAATCACCTTCCCTCTTTGACAAGGCAAGCTCACCCTTCTTACAACTCTGGGAAGCAGAAATCAAACTATTACCCTTCTCTTTCCTCCCTACCTATCTCAACCCCACCCAGCCTTCAGCCCAAGTCTGATCATGTTGCCTCCCTGTCTAAAACCTCTCCACTGCCCTTAAGGTAGTGTATTCAGCTGGGCATGGTGGCTCATGCCTGTAATTTCAGCACTCTGGGAGACTGAGGTGGGAGCATCACTTGAGGCCAGGAGTTGGATACCAGCCTAGATAACATAGTGAGGCCCCCATCTCTATAAAAATAATAAAATGATTAAAAAGATAAAATATATTCAGAGCCCTTCAAGAACTGGGCCCTGTCACTTTTCCAGCCTCATCACTCACCAGTCTCTGCCTGGGCAAGTCAGGACACCTCCCAGTCCTTGTTTTTCTGGTGGGGACGATGACACTTCCTCACAGTGAGGAGGATGGAGGGGGCAGATGTATGTGAAGTTCTTAGCAGGGCACTCACCATCTGTTTGGTGTTCAGTAAACCTTCATGTCCTGCTACTAGCTCTGAGCCAGAGGCTGGGGCAGAGTTAGTGATGTGTGAAACAGTCTATTCTCAGCCAGGCTGGGATCAAGGGCTTCATGGTGGGCCGGCCAAGAGCTATCAGTGTTACTGGAATTCATTATTTCAAGAAATGCTGAAAAGCTTCAGAGCAGCAGTAACAAACTAGAAAAAAAAAAAAGGCAAAGGAAACAAACTTTCACAACAGGCTTTTAAAAAAAATCTTTACCACAATGTAGAAGGTAGATATACCCACTCTACAGAAAGGAAAACTGAGGTCAAAAGGGTGACAATAGACGAAAGGTGTCAGGGACAAGGCCGGATCTGGAACCAGCTGTCAGGCTCCAAAGCCCATGTTCCTTCCTCTCCTGCACCCAGCCTCCCCAAGCCTGGAGGGTGGAAAGTGTTTGCTTAGGAGAGGAGGTACTAGTATATTGGGGAACGGGGGAAGAGGAGGATGAAGAGCTTGAATGGGGGCCCAGAGACAGGAACACAAGGCAGATGTGGGTGCAAGGGAGTGGAGATCAATAGCTGGGGTGAGGTCATCTATGACAAACAGAGATGCCTGGATTTGATCCTCTGAGACCTTTGAGCCCAAATCCTTCCTCCCCCTCCACTCCCCTTTCCAGATGGGGAAACCGAGGACCTGTGCCTTGCCCAGGCCTCCATAATGCCGAGGACAGTGAATGGCTGGAGGAGGCCTGAGGGACGAAAGGAGGAGGTCCCGGGTGGGCAGCAGCTGCCACCTCTCTCTGCCCGCCCTATGCCTCTCAGAACAGTGCCCCCACCCCCAGGCTTGGCCTGGTCGCCTGACTTACAGGTGGGAGTGACTCAGGCTGGGGGCCTGCCCTGGTAGCGCTGGCCCCTGGGCCACAACCGAGCTCTGGGCCTCTCAGCTGTGATGTCAGCGGGCTCTTCCTTCCTCCCGCATCTGCTTGAAAAGGTCACCTATTTTAAACTCTTTCTCACCCCACCCTGCCCTTCCCCCAAAAGAGGACGAGTTTTTCTAACCTGTGTCAACAGCTCAGTTCAATATCCAAACATCTGTCCCTCCTGGTGCCCATCACCAGCCCTCCACCATCAGAAAGCCGCAGCCCTGTCAGGCTCTTCCAGGCTGCAGAAACCCACCCTAGCAGCTGTTAGCTTCACAGACTCCTGAGCATCTGCTGAGGGCCGGACACGGCCCTAGGTGCGCAGGGATAGATCCCTGCCTTCTTAGAGCTTACATTTTAATAGAGGCAAACAGACAACAAACAAGCCAACCGGTACTGTACCAAGATCATCTCTAGGGGTGGCCAGTGCCCTAAAGAAAGTAAAACAGGACAAGAAGATAGTGACCAAGTGGCTAATTGAGTGAGTGGTCAAAGAAGGCTTCCTAAGGAGGTGACAAAGATGTGGGGAAGACATTTCAAGGCGAAGGAAAGGCAAGTGCAAAGGCGTTGAGGTTGGCCGGGCGCAGTGGCTCACGCCTGTAATCCCAGCACTTTGGGAGGCCGAGACGGGCGGATCACCTGAAGTCAGGAGTTCGAGACCAGCCTGGCCAACGTGGTGAAACCCCATCTCTACTAAAAATACAAAACTTAGCCGGGTGTGGTGGCACATGCCTGTAATCCCAGCTACTCAGGAGGCTGAGGCAGGAGAATTGCTTGAACCCGGGAGGCGGAGGTTGCAGTGAGGTGAGACCTCCCCACTGCACTCCAGCCTGGGCGACAAGAGTGAAACTCCATCTCAAAAACAAACAAAACAAAACAAACAAACAAAGGCATTGAGGTGGGAAGGGAAAGGTATGTTAGAGCAGTGGTTCTCATAGTAGGGTCCCCCAGCCAGCAGCATCAGCATCACTGGGACCTTGCTAGAAATGTCCACTTTTGGGATACACCCTAGACTTGCTAAAACTCTGAGGGTGAGACCCAGCAAGCTGAGTTTTTAACAAACCCTCCAGGCGGTTCTGATGCACCTGAAAGTTTAGGGTCAGTGAGTTAGAGCTCAGAAAGCAAGCCATGTGGCTGGAGTGTGGGAGGGTGAGGTTGATGGCAGCTGATCTTAGCGTCACTCCAGTCTGTTCATTCACAGCCCCGCCTCCTCCTCCCTGCTTCTCCATCCTGGCCCACTCATGGCAAACCTTAAAGCCCTTCTGAGGCCTCCCCATTGCCTTCTGGGTGAAATTGGAACCTCTCAGCTGGGCTTATGAGGCTCCTCAAGATCTGCTTCCATTCACATCTCCCACTTCATCCCTGGCCCTCCTCTTTCTCACAATCTTATACTCCTAAATATAGCTGCTCCATCACTTCTCCAGACACACCGTCCCCTTTATCTAGAATACTCTTTCTCTACTTCTTCATCTGGCTAATTTTAATCCATCCTTCAAAACATAACCCAGGACTCACCTCCTTCAGGAAGTCCTCCCTGGTTGCCTAATCAGGGTAAGGGACCCTGCCTCTCTGCTTACACACCAGTCAGCCCCTGTACTTCCCCATCACAGTGTTCATCAAATGGGTTTAACATTATCTAGAGGAAAAGGGAGGATTTACTTACTTTATATTAAATTACACAGATAATACATGAACATGTATTTATTGTAAAAACTTCAAACATACAGATGTAGTAAAAGACCTCCTTCTGATCCTTTTCCAATTCCACTCTCCCGCTTTCCAAGAATAACCATTGATGCTAGTTTGGTGTCTATCCACTTACACATTCTTTGGGGCATTGCACACATATACAGAAATACATAGAAATTTAAGGTTTATTTGTTCATTTTTTCCACTTGTAAATGGAATCATATGGGTAAGTATTGTTCCACAACTTCTTTTTTCTACTTAATGTCTTGGCCAGGCACAGTGGCTCACGCCTATAATCCCAGCACTTTGAGAGGCCGAGACAGGCAGATCACTCGAGCCCAGGAGTTTGAGATCAGCCTGGCCAAATAGCGAGATCTTGTCTCTACAAAAAAAGAAAATTAGCCAGGCGTGGTAGCTGAAGCAGGAGGATTGCTTGAGCCTGGGCAGTCAAGCCTGCAGTGAGCTGTGATTGCACTGCTGCACTCCAGCCTGTGTAACAGAGCAAGACCCCCTCTCAGAAACAAACAAACAAACAAACAACAAAAAGCCTTAATGTCTTGGAGGTCATCTGTGTAAGTAAGTAGACCTACCTTACTATTTTTACCTACCTCATAGTATTCCAAAGTATGAACATAATGTCGTTTTCCAATCATTCCCTGAATGTATGAATCATGTTTTTTATTTTCTGTATTTTACAATGCTTTGACATCTGGGGCCTTGCTAATCCTGGAGAGATGGCCTCTCCCAGGCTAGCTAATTCCTAGAGATGGTAAACAACTTGCCTGTGAACATGCCTTTCATATACTAACTAACCACTCTCACACACCAAGCCAATATCTCCCCTGCCCTACATCACCCCAGGGTCAGGTACTAGACAACTAGAGACCATACCTAGAGCCTAGAGCCTGCTAACAGTACTCAAACTGTCCAGTCCTAAACTTGCTCAAACTTGCCTACCCTACCTCGCCCATTCCTTTCCGCAAAAACCGCACTAAAGGCTCTGGGCCATGCTCTCTTTGCATCCCTGCCTTCTGACCGACCCCAGAGATTCCCCATGTGGCCCTGCGTGACACAGTGTGCCTGCCTCGCCCCCGCTTGGGAACTGTAAGGAGTAAAACTTTTTCAATGGCCTTGACCTCGTTGCATCATCATCTCTCTAAATTAAATCCTAGCCACCATTAGAACCCTGAATGATGGGCATGTAGAGGGTCTGAACTTTTCTGTTATAGAAAAGCTGCAGCTGTCATCTTGGTAATGCGTATGCGTATTTCCCTAGGAGAGGAACTGTAAGGTGGTAATTACCTAATTATTTATTCATCTCTATGAGTGCAATGCCCCCTCCCAAGCCCAGCCTCTGCTCCCCCTGCCCTGTCGGTTTCACGGCCATTGAATCACAGAATGATGGAGCCAGCCACAGGGCTGGCCTCTGCTCTGATAAGCACGACAGACACTCCACAGCAAAACACCTTCCCCATCATCAGTCAACCCTGTTCCCCCAGTTTCCTCCCATTTGAGTCTTAGCATCACCTGGTCAAGAGAGATTTCCATTGGAAAGTAGAACATATCAGCCAGAAAGTCAGTGTGAGCTCCATCAGGGGGATACTGCATAGAAAAAACATGGATTTGGGGATCAAAAGACCTGGGGCAGGTGACTTCACCTCTCTGGTTTCTGTGTGACCTGGGGCAAGTGACTTCACCTCTCTGGTTTCCTCACCTCCCAGAGGGACTGTCAGAATATATGTAATACATATAACAATAATATATGTAAATCCTCCCAAGGCACAAAACAAAACAAAACAGAAACAAGGCATGCCGTGTATTCTGCCTTTGCCCCTCCAGAGCAGCCCCTTCTTCTCTACCTGGGGAAGCATCTGGGCTTCCCTGGCCTCTGGCTTTCACTTGGGTCTGGCTTGCACTTGGGTTTGGCCAATGGAAGCAATGGCAAAAAACTGGGGTCTCAAGGAAGAGCAAGTGTTGGGGGAGTGGATTGTCCTGGCTCCTTCTTTCCTGCTGGGCTGGTTGGCTGTGTTGAGTCCCTCTCCACAGCTCCTATCTTGCAGCTACAGCCTTCACCACCCCTTCCCTTCCTGCCTTCAGGATAATGGTGCCAGGACTTCCTGCTGCTACTAGTCCCTGGGTGCCCCCTTACTCCTCCCTTTATAGATAAGTCCCTTCATTCAGCTCTCTCCGGAGGCTCCTTTGAGTGAGCCACCTATTGGATGGCTGGAACCTTGACTGATACAAGGAGCCAGTAGCCAATTTCCCTTTTTTTGGGGTAGAGATGGGATTTCACCATGTCACCATGTTACCTGGCTGGGTCTTGAACTCCTGGGCTCAAGTGAGGCCTCAGCCTCCCAAAGTGCTGGGATTACAGGTGTGAGACACCACGCCCAGCACCGGTTTTCCTATTTTTATCAAAGTGCTTTCTCTGTCCCTCACCGCAGCTGCAAAAGGAAGGTTCCTATACTCCAAAGGCTAGATCACTCATGGAGACCATCTCCAGAGGTATGAAATTGGAAGGAGAGGCCTGAGAGAAGAGTCTTTGAAGAGCTGCCTGTACCAGCTGAGCCCCACAAGCAGCAGCCCTCAGCAAGGCCCTGATGCCCCAATCCTCCTCCTGAACTTTGCAAGATCAAAGTCTTTTTTGCCCAACCTGCTTCCAACAGCCCAGGTGTCCTGACTCTGGGACACCAACTCACACAAGTTAACCCATCCGAGACCAACCAATATACAAGAAACTGGTACATTAATGGATCCTGAGAGAGTTAGAGGCTGAGCAACAGGAATTCTGAGGTCAGCTGATCAGGGGGGTCTCTTTCAGGAATTAGTAGTAATAATAACAGTGATGTGATGGCCGGGTGCGGTGGCTCACACCTGGAATCTCAACACTGAGAGGCCAAGATGAATGAGTTGCTTGTGTCCAAGAGTTTGAGCCCAGCCTGGGAAACATGGTAAAACCCTGTCTCTACAAAAAATACAAAAATTAGCCGGACATGATGGTGCACTCCTGTAGTCCTAGCTACTCAAGAGGCTGAGGCAGGAGGATCGCTTGAACCTGAGAGGTTGAGGCTATAGTGAGCCATGATCACACCACTGTATTCCAGCCTGGCTGACAGAGCGAGATCCTGTCTCAAAAAAAAAGTCCAAGGCGGGTGGATCATCTGAGGTCAGGACTTAGAGACCAGCCTGGCCAACATGATGAAACCCTGTCTCTACTAAAAATAGAAAAATTAGTGATGGCATGCACCTCTAATCCCAGCTACTTGGGAGGCTGAAGCAGGGGAATTGCTTGAGCCTGGGAGGCGGAGGTTGTAGTGAGCTGAGATTGCACCAATGCACTCCAGTCTGGGCGACAGAGTGAGACCCTGTCTCAAAAAAAAAAAAAAGTGATCAGATACTGAGTATCTACTATGTGCCAGACACTGTACTAGGACTTTTATTCATTTGCTTGGCAGTTATTTATTAAGGGTCTACTATTTGCCAAGTACCATTCTAGGCAGGCCCTGGGATATAGCAATGAACACAATAGACAATTCCTTCTTGGAGGATATTGGAGCTGTCATCCTGTGCAAGAGCCCTAGAAGGGCTGGGTGCCGTGGATCACACCTGTAATCTCGCACTTTGGGAGGCCAAGGTGGGTGGATCACGAGGTCAGGTGTTCGAGACCAGCCTGGCCAACATGGTGAAACCCTGTCTCTATTTGTAAAAATACAAAAATTATCTGGGCATGGTGGCGGGCGCCTGTAATCCCAGCTACTCGGGAGGCTGAGGCAGGAGAATCGTTTGAACCCGGGAGGCGGAGGTTGCAGTGAGCTGAGATCACACCATTGGACTCCAGCCTGGCTGACAGGGTGAGACTCCGTCTCAAAAAAAAAAAAAAAAAAAAAAGCCCTAGAAGGTGAGCATCTGCAGCCCTAATTAATCCTTGAATATGGATTTAATATGGAGATCCAGAAAGTGGCCAAGGGTACCAGCCGGTAAGTGACTGAGTCAGGATTTGAACCCAGACCTGCCAGGCTTCTCAGCTGGAGCCATCACCTTAGAGGAACTACAGGAGGATCAGGAGGTAGCTCGGGAAGAGCCAGAGCCAATCCTCAAGAGAGAGAGAACCTGAGAGCCGGGTGCTTTGAGCCAGGGATGGTGGTGCAAGGTTCGCATCTGTATTCCAGACGCCTGCCATGACTAAAATGTAGGATCAAGGGCTCAGGGTGACACAGCCAGAGAAGGACGCTCTGTAAAAGATGCTCCTAGTTATTCCTTTGTAATTTCCTTTTTGACGTAAAATTTGTGAGTCACAGTCTCAGAACTTGTCTAGATTTCACAATCCATGATTGCAGATGCTATCGTGTGTCATGCCAGCATATTTTCAAGTCATTATCCACCTTCCCCCAGCCCCTGGGCCGTCAAGGATTTATTTTGGAAGGTTGGAGAGAGCAAGGCAGGGAAAGCACAAGACTTCATGTGCCACTCAAAGGGCAGTCATGTCAAGGGTCTTGAACACCCTAAATAACCTGGTCAGAGCTCCCTCTCTCCAAACAGAAGCAGACATCCTCTTCATTGTGCACCTACTATGGGCAGACTGTCTAGAGGACCAGGCAAAGCTGCGCAATGGCTAAAACCATGGGTCCCAGATTGACTGAATTCAAGGTGGAGCTCTGCCACTTTCTAGCTGTGTGACCTCAGGCAAGTCAATTCACCTCTCTGCATCTCAATTTCCTTATTTGTAAAACAATAAATCGTGGTTAAAAAAATTGTAAAATTGTCCAGGCGCGGTGGCTTATGCCTGTAATCCCAGCACTTTGGGAGGCTGAGGCAGATGGATCACGAGGTCAAGAGATCGAGACCTTCCTGGCCAACATGGTAAAACCCCCTCTCTACTAAAAATACAAAAATTAGCTGGGCGTGGTGGTGCCCACTGGTAGTCCCAGCTACTCGGGAGGCTGAAGCAGGAGAATTGCTTGAACCCGGGAGGCAGAGGTTGCAGTGAGCCGAGATCACACCACTGCACTCCAGCCTGGTGAAACAGGGAGACTCTGTCTCAAAAAAAAAAAGGGGGGTGTGTGTGGTGGCTCACGCCTGTAATCCCAGCACTTTGGGAGGCCGAGGTAGGTGGATCACGAGGTCAGGAGGTTGAGACCATCCCGGCTAACACGGTGAAACCCTGTCTCTACCAAAAAAATACAAAAAAATTAGCCGGGCATGGTGGCGGGCACCTGTAGTTCCAGCTACTCGGGAGGCTGAGGCAGGAGAATGGCGTGAACCCCGGAGGCAGAGCTTGCAGTGAGCTGAGATCGCGCCACTGGACTCCAGCCTGGGTGACAGAGTGAGACTCCGTCTCAAAAAAAAAAAAAAATTGTAAAATTGAGGCTGGGCACAGTGGCTCATGCCTGTAATCCCAGCACTTTGAGAGGCCAAGGTGGATGGGTCATTTGAGCTCAGGAGTTCAAGACCAGTCTAGGCAACATGGCAAAACCCCATCTCTACCAAAAATACAAAAAAATTAGCCAGGCATGGTGGCACACGCCTGTAGTCCCAGCTACTCGGAGGCTGAGGTGGGAGGATCACTTGAGCCTGAGAGCCAGAGGTTACAGTGAGCCAAGATGGTGCCACTGCACTCCAGCCTGGGTAACAGAGTAAGACCCTGTCTCAAAAGAAAAAAAATCGTAAAATTGAAAAATATCAGTGCCTACCTTACAAGATTGCTGTGAGAATTAAATGAAGCAAAACATCGAAATGCCTAGAAGAGGACACTGCATATTACCAGTGTGCAAAAAATGTTAATAGTTATTACCATCATTAAACTCAAGTGGAGAAACAGACACATGATCCATATACATTACATACATTTCCAAAAATTCAATTGTAATGCAAATAAACACTCATGGTTATCAGTTTTGTCCTTCACATGTTGCTATTTTAGCATTAACATTTAGTATTAATAAGTTAGGTGTTTGCTCATTGAGGTCTCAGTTCAAATATTGCCTATTTTTTTAGAGACAAGGTCTTACTCTGTTGCCCAGGCTGGAGTACAGTGGCACAATCATAGCTCACTGTAACCTCAAACTCCTGGACTCAAGTGATCCTCCTGCCCTAGCCTCCCAAGTAGGTAGAACTACAAGCATGTACCACCACACCTGGCTAATTTTTGTAGAGATGGGGTCTCACTATGTTGCCCAGGCTGGTCTCAAGCTCTTGGCCTCAAGTGATCCTTCCACCTCAGCTCCCACCTAGTAATCCCAACATGCTGTGATTACCAGCATGAGCCACTATGCCTGGCCCCAAATATCACCTCTTTAGAGCATTCTCTCCAACTGCCCAATCTAATCAGAAATATCCTCTGATTACTCTTTTTATTTTAATAATAGAATTTATTCTCTGATATTTTCTTATTGATTTCTTTGATTACTTGTGTATTATTGGTCTTTCCCATAAAAATATAGGTTTCCATGAGAGCAAGAGCCTGACATCCTGATTCTGTTTTGGTTCCCAAAGCCACACACATTGCCTGGGACATAGTAGTTGTTTTCAAAATGTTTGTTGAAAGAACAACTAATAAGTTAGGTCCTCTCAGTACTCCTCTTCAGGCACCAGTTTTTTGTTGTTGTTTTTGAGACAGTCTCTATTACCCGGGCTGGAATGCAGTGGTGCGATCTCAGCTCACTGCTACCTCTGCCTCCCAAATTCAAGCAATTCTCCTGTCTTGGCCTCCCGAGTAGCTGGGGTTACAGGCACATGCTTGTAGCACACCGGCTAATTTTTGTATTTTTATTAGAGACGGGACTTTGCCATGTTAGCCAGGCTGGTCTCAAACTCCTTACCTTGAGTAATCCGCCCACCTCAGCCTCCCAAAGTGCTGCAATTACAGGCGTCAGCCACCACACCAGGCCTATGTACCGGTATTATCTTTTGACAGAGGAAGGTAACTGAGGCTCAGTGAGGTGAGATGATTGCATGTTTAGCTTCAGGCTCAGTTTTCTGTCACTGAGTTGGATTCACTTTGCCTCTGAGCTGTGCCTCCCGGAGTGACAGAAGTAAGGTGGTGATTGCCAGGTGTGAGAATCAGAGTTGTCTGCCCCCCACCCCACACCTGGTACCAAATGATGTAGAAACAGAATCTGGTATAGCAGGAGGCCTGGTTCCTGATTCTGACACTGATTCACTGGGTGGCTGCAAATGAGCCCCCCCTCCTCACTTGGCCTCAGTCTCCCATCTAGAAAATGAAATGAGTAGAATAGTTTGGAGCGTTTTTTTAAACTGGGATTTAATTCCCATATGCATAAGATCAGAGGTTTTTTGAACTTTCTTTTGTCACAGTCTTTTTTTCCCAAATTAAATTTGATATGAAGACTCAATTCATAAACAAGATAAAAAGTGGGGCTGTGGCCGGGCACAGTGGCTCACGCCTGTAATCCCAGCACTTTGGGAGGCCAAGGTGGGCAGATCACAAGGTCAGGAGATCTAGACCATCCTGGCCAACACGGTGAAACCCTGTCTCTATTACAAAAAAAAAAAAAAAAAAAAATAGCCATGCATGGTGGTGGGCACCTGTAGTCCCAGCTACTCAGGAGGCTGAGGCAGGAGAATGGTGTCAACCCGGGAGGCAGAGCTTGCAGTGAGCCAAGATCGTGCTACTGCTCTCTAGCCTGGGTGATAGAGCGAGACTCAGTCTAAAAAAATATAATAATAAGTGGGGCTGTTAGGCAGGTACAGTGGCTTACACCTGTAATTCCAGCATTTTGGGAGGCCCAGGTGGGAAGATCACTGGAGCAAGAGTTCGAGCCCAGCCTGAGCAATATGAGGAGACCCCGTCCATACAAAAATAAAAATAAAAAATTAGCTGATCATTGTGGCATGTACCTGTAGTCCCAGCTACTCAGGAGGCTGAGGTTGGAGGATTGCTTGATCCCAGGAGGTCGAGGCTGCAATAAACCCAGATCATGCCACTGTACTTCAGCCTGAGTGACAGAGTAAGACCCCATCTCAAAAAAAAAAAAAAAAAAAAAAAAAAAAGCTGCTTTGGAGAGTGAAGGGAGTGGCATTAGAATTGAGCCTGCTGCCGGGTATGGTGGCTCACGCCTGTAATCCCAGCACTTTGGGAGGCCGAGGTGGGTGGATCACAAGGTCAGGAGATCGAGACCATCCTGGCTAACATGGTGAAACCCCGTCTCTACTAAAAAATACAAAAAATTAGCCGGGCGTGGTGGCACGCGCCTGTAGTTCCAGCTACTTGGGAGGCTGAGGCAGGAGAATGGCATGAACCCGGGAGGCAGAGCTTGCAGTGAGCTGAGATCACGCCACTGCAATCCAGCCTGGGCGACAGAGACTCCATCTCAAAAAAAAAAAAAAAAAAAAAAGAATTGAGCCTTCTTAGGGTGCCCCTTGCTTCCACCACGCGCCACCTCCTTACCTTCAGGGGTCCCTGGGGCACTAATACCCCAGGGCTTAGAGGAACCCAGTTTGAAAACCACTGGACAAGAGTCACTCTTCACAGTCCCTCCCAAGGTGTGGGAGCCCTGGGGAGGAATGAAGGGCCTCTGCTGTCCCAACTTGCAGATGAGCGTTGCTTTCTGAGCTGCAGCCCAGCTGCCTCCCGAGGGTCATGAGAAAGAAGGCAAGGGCAGGCTCAGGGCGCAGGAAGTGGAGCCGGCCAGCTGGGAGGCAGTAACAGGCGCTGGTACTGTGGCCTCCTGGATGGGCCGGTGACATCACAACCCCAGGAAGCAGCTGCCCAAGAGGCCTGCGCTGTCCCTCATTCCTCCTCTGGGAAAATCAGTCCCCAGCTGTTGCCGTCCTCTGTGTACTGGCTTACTCTTCCTGGATTGTCCCCTCCTGAACCAGCATCTTCAGCAGTAGCATCTTCAGAGAGAAGCCTCCCCTATGTGCTGGAACTGTGCTACCCTCTGTGGCACAGCTCGTAACAGCATGCTTTTAAAATTATCGTTTAATTTAATCATCACATCAACATCAAGTAGGGACCAGTACCATTCCCATTTTGCAAACTATGAGAGGCTCAGAAGTGCAAGACAGATCACACAGTTTCACCCAGCTGGTAAACACCAGAGCCAGGCTTTGAACCTTGTCCTGTCTGACTCCAATATTCATGAGTTTTCTTGAGTTACCACATGGTCAGATTCAAAGCAAAAACACGAGGTGGAGGTTGCTTCTTATGTGGCAATGTGAAGCTGTCAATTTCAAACACAGTTTCTTTGTTAATGGCGTTCCTGGCCTATTATCATCCAAGCGGAGTCTTAGGATGCGATAAAGGGCTTAGCACACTGTCTGGCACTCTACAAATGCAGCTTTACTCTGGCTCTCCCCTTTACAAAGGAAGAAACTGAGGCTCAGGGGAGCAAAGTCAAGACCATAGGACAGGCAGGTGCCAACCCCAGGTCTGTCAGGCCCCAGAGTGGAAGCTGTTTCCCCAAAACCCTGAATTTCATAGGCGGGAAAGTCCTGCTCACCTTCTGTGCTCATCTCGTAGGGTTGCTGTTACAAACTACCACAAACTCAGTGGCTTAAAACAATAGAAATTTGTTCTCTCACAGTTCTAGAGGCCAGCAGTCCAAAAGCAGGTGTCGCCAGGGTGGGGTTACCCTGAAGGCTCTGAGGGGGAATCTGCTCCATGCCCCTCTGCTAGCTTCTACAGGTGGCCTTAACATGCCTTGGTTTGAGGCTTCATAAGTCCAATTTCGGCCTCCATCTTCAATTGTACTTCTTCTCACTGTGTCTCTGTGTCTTAAATCTTACTTTCCTTTCTCTCTCTTTTTTTTTTCTTTTTGAGATGGAATCTCGCTCTGTCACCCAGGCTGGAGTGCAGTGGCACCATCTCGGCTCACTGCAACCTCCACCTCCTGATTTCAAGCAATTCTCCTGCCTCAGCCTCCTGAGTAGCTGGGATTACAGGCTTGCACCACCACGTCCGGCTAATTTTTGTATTTTTAGTAGAGATGGGGTTTCACTATGTTAGCCAGGCTGGTCTCAAACTCCTGACCTCATGATCCGCCCATCTCGGCCTCCCAAAGTGCTGTGATTACAGATGTGAGCCACCGTGCCTGGTCTCCTTTCTCTTATAAGCACATCAGTCCTTGGATTTAGGTCCCACCAAAAATACAGGATATCATTTCAAGATCCTTAATTCTATCTTTAGATACCCTATTTCCAAATAAGGTCCCATTCACAGGTACTGGGTATTAAAATTTAACACATATCTGGCCGGGCACAGTGGCTCACGCCTGTAATCCCAACACTTTGGGAAGCCGAGGCAGGTGGATCACATGGTCAGGAGATCTAGACCATCCTGGCTAACACGGTGAAACCCCGTCTCTACTAAAAATACAAAAACTTAGCCAGGCATGGTGGCCGGCGCCTGTAGTCCCAGCTACTCAGGAGGCTGAGGCAGGAGTATGGTGTGAACTCGGGAGTCAGAGCTTGCAGTGAGCCGAGATCGCACCACTGCACTCCAGCCTGGGCAACAGAGCAAGACTCTATCTAAAAAAAAAAAAAAAAAAAAAAAAAAAAATTAACACATATCTTTTGGGGAACATCACTACTCAACCTATTGTTATCACCACCACCACCACCACTACCACCCTGGCTCAGCAAATCTTCACTGAGCATGAGCAGTGTGCCAGCCAGGGGCACAGCAGTCATACTACATTAGTGCTGCCTATGGTCTAGTGGGAAAGGTAGACAAGGCACAGGTAATGGTGGGGTGATGATTTTTTTTATTTGAGATGGGGTCTCACTCTGTCACCCAGGCTGGAGTACAGTGGCACAATCTTCGCTCAATGCAGCCTCCACCTTTTGGGCTCAAATGATCCTCCCACCTCAGCCTCCCCAGTAGCTGAGACCACAGATGTGCACTACCAGGCCTGGCTAATTTTTCATTTTTTTGTAGAGATGGGGTTTTGCCATGTTGCTCAGGCTGATGTCGAACTCCTGAGTTCAAGCAATCTACCCGCCTCAGCCTCCCCAAAGTGTTGGGACTATAGGCGTGAGTCACCACGCCTGATGCAGAGTGGTTTCTAAACTAACTGTAGAAATACAAATATGGGCTCACAACGGAGAGAACAGGTAATATTGCCTGAGATGGGATAAAGCAGGGAGCACAGTATATGTCCTATTAATTAATCAAGACACTTCAGGGAAATCTATTTGCAGAAAAAAGCAACAGAGAAGAAGAGAAAGTCTGAACTTCAACTTTTAAGACAGAAAGCCCTCAAATGCAGACTTTACCTGTCTGTGCCTCAGTTCTCTTATCTGTAAAATGGGAATACTAATAGAATTGGTCTCATAGGGTTATTGTTAGGTTTAAGCCAAATCACTGAAGCATTCGTTGAACAAATATTTATTGAACATCTTCTACATACCAGGCACATTATATACAGTAAAGAGCTAGCAAAATGCCCGTCACCAATAAAACACTTAATAAATGTCAGTGCCTGTCCTCTTTCCCCCAATTCATAAGTTAGATAAAACTTCAGGACAGAAGTACAAGAGAGATCATAAGGCAGGACAGGCTAAAGGCCAAGTCAAGAGCATGAGATATGTGTGTTTAGAGAACAGCGAGGATGTGGCCAGATGGGTCTGCGAATGCTTCCTGGAGGAAGTGGGCTTTGCATCAGAACTTGGAGGATACACAAGGAGAGGAGGGAGGACTCCATGCAGCAATGATGGCATAAACAAAAACTGGGGCAAGGAAATTAGATAAGAAACATGTTTGATCCAGACACTGACCCTTTCTGTAAGATTCTGGATTTTTGGAGGGCAAATGAAGCAACAGTGAAAGTTCAAGATTTTCTAAATCTAAAACAAAATCAAGGGTAAGTACAGATGAAAATGTACTTAACCGTATCACAAGCATTTGCATTTCTTTCAATTTTGCTCCAACTTTGGTATCACTTTTTATGCAGGGCATTTCCCATAGGGAATAGTTCCATGTGTTTCTACTATGTATATTTAGATTGTCTGCTTTTCCTGTTCAATGTGGCTCCTGAAGGCAGGGGCTGTATTTTATCGCCAGTACATTGCTGGTGCTTGGCATATAGTGAGCACTCAGTAAGCATTTCATCGAATGAATTACTTTTATATTTCTATTTTACATAAAAGCATGAAATTTTGAATTTGTGCTAAAATTCTTAATCCTGGCCTAGGGCAAGTATAATATTGATATGTATAAGGAAAGCCAGGCAGGATTGTTTAGCTGGAGACAGCTTCTAGAATGACCAGCCCAGGATCCAGTAGGACTTGCTGGAGCCACACAGAGGCCTTGCTAAACTAAAATTATGAATTCGCAGGCTGTGCTACGAACCCATTAGGCTATGTTGCTTTAAACTCGGGTCAGCCAACCAAAAGGTGGATGCAAAAGACTTTCTTTAAACAAGCCAGCAGCTTGAGGCTTGAAATAGAACAGAAAGGGAATTCACAGGACTCAACCTTGTCTTCTGTCTGGAGCTCTTGAGACCCAAGGATACTGGCCAGGCGAACCACACTGCGATAAGAAACAGCAGCTGAAAGTTTGTTTTTGGAGCCACCAGATCCAGTGGGTGGACTGTGTCTTGAAATAGAAGCATCTCAAAGGCCTGTGAATCATTTCTTAGTGCCGGCCTGCAAGGTTTCATATCCTGTTCTCAGAGCTACCTTGGGTGCTGTATGTATATGTATGTGTGTGTATTGTTTTCAGGGTTGTTTGCCTAGGATTTGGTTTTGAAACTTTTACTTTCTTTTAATAGCTTTTTTTTTTTTTTTTTAAGCTGGAAGAATTTTTCAAATGGTTTTTGCGAGAAAGTTCAAACCCTGGAATGACTAAGTCGCTGGAAGAATTTGGACTTTGTGAGGGGAATTTGCACTTGGTATGAATCACCCAGTCACTGATTCCTGCAGTGAGAAGACCTTTCGGAAAGCTTCTGGGTCAGCCCCCTCGTACACATGGGGAAACCGAGGCTCAAGGAGGGGAAGGACTTCAGCCAAGGTCCCACAGCATGTCTGTGGAAATGACAGGACTGGAATCAGGTCTAGCTCCTGGAACAGCTTTGGATTTGCAAGAAGCTCTCAAGCACCCAGTCTCCATAGGTGGGCACATTTTCCAAACAGTAGAGGAACAGAAAGAACAAGAGGGTTCTGAGGAGTTAGAACTCACCATAGAGTTATGGAAGGAATGGGGAAGGGATTGCCGGAAGGTATTTTATATGAAATAGCTCATTTAATCCTCCCCAGGATCCTATTAGGCAGTGGTTCTAAACTAGGGTTGATTTTGCCCCCAGAGGACATTTGGCAAGATCAGGGGACATTTTAGGTTTGTCACAGCTTGAGTGGGAGTTGCTACTGGCATCTCTTGGCAGTGAATACCCTATGTGGTAGAGGCCAGGGATACCGCTAAACATCCTGCAATGCACAGGACAGCCTCACAACAAAGAATTATCCAGCCCAAAATGTCAATAGTGTTGGGTCTGAGAAGCCCTGCTATGCAGAGGGCGCTTGTATATACATATCAATTTAACAGCCAAGAAAGCCGAGGCTCAGAAAGTGTAGCCACTCGCTAGCCACGTGGTCTTGGGCAAATTAGCCTCTCTGTGTCTCAGTTTCCTTATCTGTAAAATGGAGGCAACAGTACCTCTGTTACCTAAATAAACATTTGTAAAGCACTTAGAATGGTGCCTGGCACATAGTGTTACATGAATGTTTGCTAAAAATATATAAACAAGCTTACCCAGGAAACACGGAAAGTAAAAGAATTGTAATGAAAGCCCAGGTGAAAAAAATCTAAAGAGACTTAAGGACATGGGGGCTGGAATATGAGAGACCTCCTGGGGGTGTACAGCCCTGTGAGCAGGTAAGGCTGTCCACCGTGTGACATCCTATGTTCCCTGCCACCCCCCACCACCAGTAGCCATGAGGTTTTCCTTCTCAGACACTGCTACCTTAAATGCACTTCATCTTTTTAGGTTAAAATGATATGCACTTCAACATGAATCTCCTTGGCAAGTATCTGACACAGTAAGCCACTATCAGTCACTAAGAATAATTCAGGATAAATTAGTTTTTCAGTTGCCTCCCAACAAATAGGCCGAATGCAGGTTATACTGAGAGTGGAAGGTAAACAGAGGCTGACAGCTTAGTGTTCAGAGGCAGGCTTAGGACAGTGCTGGCAGGTGCACAGTTGTCCTCAGCAATCCTAGACCATCAGTCATTCCCCTACCAGCCAGCACCACCTAGAACAGGCCTCAAGTCTGGGCCCTGCCTAGCTTTGCACCCCCTTTCAGAACCTGCTCCTGACCCTCCCCCACCTTCAGCTCTCCTGGTCTTTTTACTCAGTCTGGGGCCTATTCCCTACTTTCCCACTTTGACCTCTAATCCTGTCCTCAGTCAGAGCCCAGATTCCTCCACCAGCTGCTGAGACCTGCCAACTTGCTAAGTGATTGCCCTACTCAATGCTGAAGGCCTGACATATCAGCCCGGCTCTCTCAGCAAGCCCCAGGGCTGTGAAGGAAACTGGGCAGAGGGTGTCACAAGAGTGGAGGGAGAAAAAACCAAAGCAAGGGTCACCCATATCTCTACTCTGCCCAGAACCCGCCTGCTACGCCTATTCATTAGAACATTCATGGCCATTTACCGAGCTCTTTAAGCTATGAGTCTTGCACACTTACAACAGCTCTCACAGCTGTGCCCCACTCCCCCATCCCTGGAGACCTACAAGGGCCCATATTAACTGTATTACTTCTCTATTGCTGCTATAACAAAATGACTACAAACTTAGTCACTTAAAACAACTTAAGTTTATGCTCTCAAACCAACCTGATCTCACTGGGCTAAAATCAGGGTGTTTGCAGGGACTTCCCTTTCGGAGAATCTGGAAGATAATTGATTTCCTTGCCTTTTCCAGCTTCTGGAGGCTGCCAACATTCCTTGGGTTGTGACCCCTTCCTTCATTTTCAAAGCCAGCAACATGGCATCTCTCTGACCCTGTTTTCGTGGTTGCCTCTCTTTCTCTGACTCTTTTCTGCTGCCCTCTCCCACTTTTAAGGACCCTTCTGATTCCATTGGACCCACCTAGATAATCCTGCATAGCAACCTTCATTCCATCTGCAAACTTAATTCCCACTTGCCGTGTAACAGTACATTCACAAATTATAGGGATTAGGACACAGACATCTTTGGAGGTGACTATGATCCTGCCTACCATGTTAACCAACCCAGAGTGGCGGGGACCATACAACCCAGAGAGCTTGTGCTCCTTCTCAAGGGAGCAACTGCTGCTCAGCTCCAGCTGTCATCATCATGCATCAGTATGGGTTCAGTGTGGCTGAGTCTGCCAATATTTCAAGTGAAATCAGAAAATTGGACTTTCAGGTGAAGATTTCCAATTCTGACATCACTGTGCAGACCAAAAAAGAACAAAAAATCTCATAGGCTAGATATAGCCTGAAGCCACCCAGGTGTGACCTCTGGGTCCACCTCTACCACATCAGCTGTGTGAGATGATGAGATTTCTCTGGCATTTACAGGCTCTGCAGGTTCTGGGGGATGGAGAACCAGTCAGGCCTAGAGGCCAGAGAGAATGTGGTCAGGAGCATAGCGGGTACTGAAGGGGGTGCCTCAGGGGAAAGTTCAGAGGGAGAAGGGACTGACCATCTCCCTAAGGGACTAACCATCACCTGCAGGAAGCAGCAGTGCCTCAAAGGGTACAGGAAATCAGGCTGAGGCCGACCTGAAGAAATCAACCAGAGTAAGGTGGGCTTTATGGCTTGTGACCTCAGAACAAATCAAGCACACTCTTTCTACTTTCAAAAAGTATCAGTTCTTCCCCTCCCCACAAAACTAGCAACATTGGCTGACTGTGAGAAGAGGATGGCAGGGGCCGGGGTGAGAAGGAGGCCTTTCACTTTATGCCTCTCGAGCTTTTTGAGTTTTTAACCAGGTGAAAGTATTACCTACTTAAAACATTAAATTCAAAAGCTTTTATTCATTTAAAAATATTTTAAAATACAATCGATTACATTAGAGGTAAAAACACAAAAGTAGTTGTCATGGTGATGCTACTGCACTTCCATGAAGATGGTATGTGTGGTCATATAACAGGATGGTTTAGAAATGGTGAAATCTTCATACATTTGGCTAATTACTCCGGACCCATCGCCTGTCATTCAAACTGATGGCTGCTTTTCCTTATCCTTACATGCCAGCACTTGAATAAACCAGGTTGGTGTCTTTTGGAGTTCTTTTCCATTCTGACTGGCACAAAGCTAAGGCTCTGGAGTCAGTCGGCTTGCCTCTTCCATGCTGTGTGACCTTGAACAACATGCTTAGCCTCTCTGAGCCTGTTTCCTCATCTGTATAATGGCTTCATAGGCTTTTTATGAAGATAAATGAGTTAATGTGTATAAAGCACTTGAAACAGCACAAAATCAGTGCCCATAAATGTTGACACTTATTATTAACTATTTTCATTATTCTTTTAATCTTGTTTATTTTTGAGTGGGGGGATTATTAAAACCATAACTTAAGACATGTAACAAAACATAAGTAACGTAGGTGAACTAAAATGAAGCGAATTTAACCTCTGGTCCCCCAAATCCTTACAAGCGCCCTCTTAACAGGAGTATCATTGTCTATTTCATAGATAGAAAAACTGAAGCTTGGGGAAAGTGAGTGAGTTGCTCTAGGACACTGAGTTTGGAAATAGAAAAGATAGGAGCTTGAACCGCGTTTTCAAGACTCCAGATCCCATGGCTTTCAACTCGAGGCTGTCCTACAGTATGATTATAAAGTAACAGGTGCTCCTTCCTTATTTGGTCCAAAAGAAAAAAAAATTGCAGGGCTCAGAGGGGAACTTGGCTTTTTGATTTGTTCAGTTTGGGGTCAGCCCTTCCTTGCTCCTGGCCCCAGATTCAGTAGATTCCAGGGTGGGGGGGTCAGGTCAGCAGGTCTCTGGCTTATATTCTGGCCTCAGCTTTGGAGCCAAGTTATTCTCTCCCCTGGGAGGGAGTCAGGGTTGGGGAGGGGGTGTCAGAGCCTGGAGACTGCTGTGGATGTCCCTGGCCCAGCTGTGGCCTGAGCTTTCTCACCAGGAGGCTTTCCCAGCATCCCCACTCTTCCCCAGGCCTTCTGCCATCTCTCCCAATTCTCACCATCCAAGAAGTAGTTGTTGCAGCTTGAAAACATGGCTGCTAGCAAACTTGTGGGTTAAATGCCCCAGGAAGATGGAGCGCACTGCCCAAGCAATTTCCAGGAAGCAGGACAGCCCAGAGGTCAGGAACACTTTGCAGTTTTGAAATTTGGCTCTTTTGCTTCTAGCTCTTCGGTCTTAGGCGGGTGGCTTCACCTTTCTGATGCTTCCGCAACTGTGAAATGGGATGATAATAGTATCTGTCACAAAAGTTGTTTGGAAGCCTGGGCAGCATAGAGAGACCCTGTCTCTACAAATAAGTACAAAAAAATTGGGCCGGGCGCAGTGGTCTATAATCCTATAATCACAGCACTTTGGGAGGACCAGGCAGGCAGATCACGAGGTCAGGAAATCGAGACCATCCTAGCTAACATGGTGAAACCCCGTCTCTACTAAAAATACAAAAAAATTAGCTGGGTATGGTGGTGGGCGCCTGTAATCCCAGCTATTCAGGAGGCTGAGGCAGGAGAATGGTGTGAACCCAGGAGGCGGAGCTTGCAGTGAGCCGAGATTGCACCACTGCACTCCAGCCTGGGCGACAGAGTGAGACTTCATCTCAAAAAAAAAAAAAAAAATTTGCCAGCTGTGGTGGCATGTACCTGTGGTTCCAGCTACTCGGGAGGCTGAGGCAGGAGGATTGCCTAAGCATGAAGGTTGAGGCTGCAGTGAGCCATGATCAGGCCACTGCACTCCAGCCTGGGCAACAGAGCAAGACCCTGTCTCCAAAAAAAAAAAAAAAAAAGTTGTTGGGAGAATTTTTAAAAAGAGATTTATTGGTGTTTAATTTACATACTAGAAAATTCACCAATATTTATGTATATAATTCAATGATTTTTAGCACATTTACAGAGTCGTGCAACCATCACATCAATTCCAGAATACTTTCATCACCCCCACATAAAACCCTGTATCCATTAGCAGTCACTCCCCTTCTGTCCCCCAGTCCCAGGCAACCATTAATCTACTTTCTGTCTCTATAAATTTTTAGAAATTTATAGAAATTTCTTTTAGAAATTTCACATAAATGGAACTGCACAGTATGTGGTCCTTTGTGTCTTGCTCCTTTCATGTAAGCATATTTTTTGAGGTCCATCTATTTATTGTGTAGATTAGTAGTTCATTCCTTTTTTATAGCTGAATAATATTCCATTGTATGAATACACCACATTTTGTTGATCCATTCATCAGCTGATGGCCATTTGAGTCATTTCCACTTTTTTGCTATCATGAACAATGCTGCTGTGAACATCCCTGTATGAGTTTCTGGGTAGACTTGTTTTCATTTCTCTTGGGTAGAGATCTAGGAGAAGAACTGCTAGGTCATGTGATAAATTGCTGTTTAACTTTTTTTTTTTTTTTGAGACGGAGTTTTGCTCTTGTTGCTCAGGCTGGAGTGCAACGGAGCGATCTCAGCTCACTGCAACCTCTGCCTCCTGGGTTCAAGTGATTCTCCTGCCTCAGCCTCCCGAGCAGCTGGGATTACAGTGGGATTACAGGCATGTGCCACCATACCCGGCTAATTTTGTATTTTTAGTAGAGACGAGGTTTTTCCATGTTGGTTAGCTGGTCTCGAACTCCTGACCTCAGGTGATCCGCCCGCCTCGGCCTCCCAAAGTGCTGGGATTACAGGCGTGAGCCACCACACCCGGCTGATATTTAACTTTTAAAAATGGCCAAGCTGTTTTCCGAAGTTTTACCTTCCCATCAGCAGCATATGAGGGTTCGCTGAGATAATTAAACAGGATTATTAACACAAAGTGCTTGGCATAGCGCCTGGTCATAGTAAATCCTCAGTAAATGATAGTTAGCACTAACAGGTTTCAATAGAAACAGGAATAGTTACAGTACCCAGAGAACGGCTGCCTTCTTCCCTGAATAAAGTGGATCTCATAACCACAGTCACTCTGAAAAAACTGACCAAATTCTTTTTTTTTTCCCCCTGGAAGTATGCTTACATTATTTGTGCTCTTTAGCCTGGCATTCAAAGCTCTCCAGATACCCCACCTCCATCTACTTCTGCAATCCTGGCCTGCACCTCTCCACCTCCTCGCTCCTGCCCAATCAAGTGATCTGCACCTGAGCAGCTTTGTTCATACCATTCTCTGCCCCCTTCCCTCCAGTCTTTCTCCTGCCCTGTCTTCACGTACCAAAATCTCATCTGGGCTGGGCATGGTGGCTCATGACTGTAATTCCTTTGGGAGGCTGAGATGATAGGACTGCTTGAGGCCAAGAGTTTGAGACCAGCCTGGGCAACATAGCAAGACCTCATCTCTACACAATTTTTTAAAAAAAATTAGCCAGGTGTGGTGGCACACATCTGGAGTACCAGAGTTTTTCAATTGGTAGCCACTAGCTATGTGTGGCTACAGAGCATTTGAAATGTATCTAGTCCAAACTGAGATGTGCTGAATTAAAGACACGAGATTTTGATGACTAAGTATAAAAAATAATGTAGGAATAATAGTTTTTCTGTGTTCATCACATGTTGAAATAATGTTTTGAATATATTGGATTAGGTAAAGTATATTACTGAAATTAATTTTAAGGCCAGATACAGTGGCTCACACCTGTAATCCCAACACTTTGAGAGGTTGAGGTGGGAGGATAGCTTGAGTCCAGGGTTTTGAGACCAGCCTGGGCAACATAGTGAGACCCTGTCTCTACAAATAATTTTAAAATGAGCCGGGCTTGGTGGCACGCATCTGTGGTTCCAGTTACTCAGGAGGCTGAGGTGGGAGGATCACTTGAACCCAGGACATCGAGGCTGCAGTTTGAACATGATCACACCACTGCACTCTAGCCTGGGCAACAGAGCAAGACCCTATCTCAAAAAAAAATTAATTTCACTGTCCTTGCTTTTTTAACTATAGCTGCTGGAAAATTTAAAATTACATTTGTGGCTTGCATTATTGTTCTATTGGACAGCATTCGTATAAAGCATCAACATCCTAACTCTCATTGAGCACCTATTTCTTAAATTTTTGTATCTGTTATCTGATATAATACAATTATGTGGGGGTGGATATCATGAATATTTCTTTTTTCCAGATAAGAAAACTGAGGGAGGGTGTGTGTGACCTCCCCAAGGTCACAGCTGGACACTGGCAGAGTCAGGATTCAAACCCAAGCTGTCTGACTGCAAAGCCTGTGCTCTTCTTCCATGGGATTTTGCTGCACAGACTACTAAAACACCAAGAGCTTTTGGGGTCTGTCTGGGGTGTCTTTAGCTGGAATTGGGGTATCTCTGTTCGAGAGTCTGTCTAGGGTATCTTTGGCTGGGGTGTCTTTGTTCTTTGAATTAGACCAGTTCTGCATGGTAATGAAGCATGCTAATCAGAAAGCCTGACTGAATGCTTGTCTTTCATAAACACAAAATATGAAAGCAGATTCATTAATATAAGCAATGCATTTGGAACAAATCAGACCTTACAATCTGAGGGTGGAAAAAAAGGCTGAAGGCCACTGGTCCAAACATCTCATTTTACAGGTGGGGAAACTGACGCCCAGAGAGGAAGAAGGGATTCGCCCAGGTTGTCAGGGAGTGGCAGAGCCCAGGGGAAAGCTGGGATTCCAAGATCCAGGGCTGAGTTCCCCACTGTACCACGCTGTCTTCACATGGAAGGTCTCCTTCCTCAGCCACCTGGAAGCCCTTTGTCTTGAACCAGCCCCCTTCCTCCCACTAGCCTGTCCCAAGGACTAGAGAGGAGGGGGCCAGGAGACCCAACTCATTTCCCATAAGGGTCCCAAGGCCACCATCCGGTCCTGGGCCAGGAATTCCTTTCAGAGACTGAATTATACCGGGCCAAAAATAATTCCAAACCCTTGGAGGCTTCCACGAGTCCCCCCATCCCTGCTCCATCCTGGTCTAGCTGGCCAGGCCTCCCCACAGCTCCTCCCTGGGTGTTCCTGGGCTCCCCAGACTTCCCTGCCCAGCGCCCACCTGCACTCACACGTGTGTGGCGGGAGAGGGACATTTAAACAAACTGCCCACACCCTGGCCTGCTTTTCCCAGCCCTTCCAGATGGGCAGGAGAAAGGGCGACAGCGACGGTGCTAAATCCACCATCCCTGGGACCCAACCCAGGAAAGCCACCAAGAAATAGCAAGAGACACGGAAACAAAGAGACACAGAGTGTGTCCCAGACAAAGAGAAAAAAAAAAGAATGTATAGATCAAGATAAAGACCCGGGGAGGGAGACGAGGGGAACAGACTTGAGCAAAAGACATAGAGAAAGAGGTGGAGGACGAGAATAGGGGACTCGCGAAAAGGAGAATTGGAAGGGAAAGTGAGAAGAAAGTAAGGAAATTAGAATGTGAGGAAATTGACTAGGGGAGGAAAAGCAGGGGGCGCGGGAGACGCTCAGCTGGCGGGAGGCGGCGTGCAGGGCGCTGGCGGCGTGGGGCGTGGGGACGCCGGGGCCGCAGGGACGCTGGGGCCGCGGGGGTCCGGGAGGTCCCGGGAGTCCCAGCGGGGGAGGTGCGGACCCTCCTCCCGGCGCCTGGCCCCGCCGCGGCGGTCCGAACAGCCACATTCCTTCGGGTTTCCCACACACTCGCTATCAAAGAGTCCCCAAAGTCCCAGCTTTTCCCGCGCCCCTCCCCCGCCAGTGGCCGGAGAAGCTATTTTTCACCCCCTCCTGGTCTTTAATCTGTTGTGGGGAAAGAAAGCGGCTTTTGTTGGACGAGGGGCTGCGCGGGGGGCGGAGAGGGGGCGCCGGCGATTGTGTGTCCCGCAGCTGCGCGTCCGGGACCGCCGGGGGTTGGGGCCGCCGGGCGCGGGGCGCGGGCGGGGAGGGCCGGGTAGGGCCAGGGTGGGGCCGCCGGGGCGCGGGCAGGGAGGGCCGCGGAAGGTCGGGCAGGGCCAGAGAGGGGGCAGTCAGGGCGCGGGGTGCAGGAGGGGAGGGTCGCGGTGGGTGAGGGAGTGGAGGAAAAGGCCACCTGGGCGCTCGAGCCTATTGTCCTCTTGGCCCTGTTCCGCACCTGGCTAGGAGATTGGGGGAAGATGGACATACACTGAAGCACGCACATAGAAAGCCGCACACCCAGGGAAGATCCTATACTAGACCCGGGGACACATCACACACAGCAGGCTGAAACACCCAGGGAGGAAGACACATAGGCGCACCCCGCGCACAGCCCCCAAGGACAGCCCCACACTCAGACAAGGGTGGACAGCATATTCTCAGGTAGGAATACACTCAGAAACTGAGGTCGGGCGCGGTGGCTCACGCCTGTGATCCCAGCACTTTTGGGAGGCTGAGGCGGGCGGATCACTTGAGGTCAGGAGTTTGAGACCAGCCTGGCCAACATGGCGAAACACCGTCTTTACAAAAAATATAAAAATTAGCTGGGCGTGGTGGCGCACGCCTGTAATCCCAGCTACTCAGGAGGCTGAGGTAGGAGAATCCCTTGAATCCGGAAGTTGGAGTCTGCAGTGAGCCAATATTGCGCCACTAAAGTCCAGCCTGGGCAGCAGAGTGGGACTTCCTCTCAAAAAAAGAAAGAAACTGAGACACACACACACACACACACACACACACACACACACTGCCTGACACCATAAAGTTCTGTGAAACAAAATCCATGTCAAATACATACTTCCTTTTTTTGAGACGGAGTCACTCTGTCACCCAGGCTGGAGTGCAGTGGCATGATCTCGGCTCACTGCAACCTCCACTGCCGAGGTTCAAGCGATTCTCCTGCCTCAGTCTACTGAGTAGCTAGGATTTTAGGCATGAGCCACCACGTCCAGCGAACTTATGTTGTTGTTGTTGTTGTTTTGAGACAGAGTCTCGCTCTGTCGCCCAGGCTGGAGTTCAGTGGCTTGCGATCTCGGCTCACTGCAAGCTCCGCCTCCTGGGTTCACACCATTCTCCTGCCTCAGCCTCCCGAGTAGCTGGGACTACAGGCGCCCAGCACCACACACGGCTAATTTTTTGTATTTTTAGTAGAGACGGGGTTTCACAGCGTTAGCCTGGATGGTCTCGATCTCCTGACCTCATGATCCACCCACCTCAGCCTCCCAAAGTGCTGCGATTAGAGGCGTGAGCCACCGCGCCCAGCCGAACTTACGTATTTTTAGTACAGATGGGGTTTCACCATGTTGGCCAGGCTGGTCTCAAACTCCTGACCTCAGGTGATCCGCCCACCTCGGCCTCCCAAAGTGCTAGGATTACAGGTCTGAGCCACCATGCCCAGCCCCCAGTTTCTTATTAAGACAGTTCCCATTCTCCAGCATTTGATTCCTTTCTCCCGCCAATTGGTGGCCTGGCTCATGCTGCAAACCATAAACTCTGGACTCTGTTCTGCCTCCCAGTTGCTGTGTGACCTTGGGCAAGTCACTTCACCTCTCTGAGCCTCAACTGATATGAGAATTGAGGGCGATAATACATGTAAAATGTCTGGTTCATGACTGGCACTTTGCAAAAGATCCTCCTAAGCCTGCTGATGCTTGGGCCACTTGATTACACTCAGGGATAGCTGTGGCCAGCAGGAGGCTCTCTCTGAGCTGCGCCCCTACCTCTGCTTTCTGGCACCCCCGTATCTCTAGCTCACTGCAGAGCTCTGGCCCGGTTAGGGTCAGGGAAGCCCTTTCCTCTCAGGCAGGGTCAGCTCGGTCCCCAGGCCACATCCCTCCCTTCCCGACCTCTCTACTCTCTCAGCCATTGAACTACTGCTGAGACCTAGGCCAACACATTTGGGCAGGTGAATATTGCTTTTCAAGGCCTTTTTTGGACTTCATCTTTTCTTACCTTGGACCCCATCATTCTAAGGCCTTTCCTGAACCCTGATTAGTGGGGTCCCAAATCCAACCATCAGCATCTGTCTACAGCAAAGAACATTATGCCTGGGAGTCATAGAATCAGTCATCCAGCACAGCCTGCATTTGAGTCTCAAATCCCCCCTCTAAGTTGTCTCCCAAAAGCAATTAATGGGGTGGAACTTAATTCAGTACAACTTTATTAAGTGCCTACTTGGTGCCAGGCACCGTGAAGGATACTGACTCCAGGGAGACAAATAAGACTTGATTACGAAGCAGGTGAGCTGTGTGCCCCACAAGGTTGCGGGGAATGTTCAATGAAACTGAATGAAATTGCTTTGGAAGTAGTGAAACTCTGCATTATGAGTTCATAATTCTTTTTCTTTTGCTGTTTGTTAAGTCTGAGTTAAATTCCTACATAACCTACTGATGCTCTCCAAAGTCTAGAAGTTTCAAACTTTTCCCTTAACAGAGAAATGAGGCAAAGGCTGTCTCTGTACTCATTAGCCTAGAAGTGCAAGGATGAGGGAACCAGTCCTTTTGTGTCTGGACACTGAGCAGCTTGAAGATCTCTGTCTTTGTGTGTATCAGTGTTTGAGCCATAGGCCTGGATTCAAATTCTGATTGTTTTCTCCTTTTCCCCGTCAGCTGTGTGGATAAATCTCTTTGAACTTCAGTTTTTGTTTTGTTTCGTTTTTTTGGTTTTTGTTTTTTGTTTTTTTGAGACGGAGTCTCGCTCTGTTGCCCAGGCTGGAGTGCAGCGGTGTGATCTCGGCTCACTGCAACCTCCGCCTCCTGGGTTCAAGCGATTCTCCTGCCTCAGCCTCCTGAGTAGCTGGGATTACAGGCACCCGCCACCACACCCGGCTAAATTTTGTATTTTTAGTAGAGATGGGGTTTCATCATGTTGGCCGGGCTGGTTCCAAACTCCTGACCTCAGGTGATCCGCCCACCTCAGCCTCCCAAAGGGCTGGGATTACGGATGTGAGCCACCATGCCCAGCTGAATTTCAGTATTTTTGTGGAGAAAATGATCATGATAATACCTACCCAAAAAAACTCGAGGGCCAATTATTAAAATAAAATTTATGAAACTTTGAACACATGACAGTTCCTCAGAAAATGAATTCCCTTCCTGCTTCCCTGTGGGTGCTCAGCCCTCAATCCCAGATGGTCCGTGGGCATTCTGTAGTTACTGCCTGCCTGCTGAAGTAAGGGGTTAATTAACTTCAGGGCGTTGTGGCTGACTGAAGCTAGGCTGACTCTGGGTTAGAAGAGGGAGCTCAACTCTAAAGCTGACTCCTAAAAACAGGAATAGTTACTGTGTACTTGCTTTAAGAATAATCTGGCCGGGCACAGTGGCTCACACCTGAAATCCCAGCACTTTGGGACGCCTAGGTGGGTGGATCACTTGAGGTCAGGAATTTGAGACCAGCCTGGAATTAGCCCGGGCGTGGTGGCTCGTGCCTGTAATCCCAGCTACTCCAGAGGCTGAGGCAGGAGAATAGCTTAGAACCCAGGAGGCAGAGATTGCAGTGAGCCGAGATCATGCCATTGCACTCCAGCCTGGGTGACAGAGTGAAACTCTGTCTCCAAAAAAAAAAAAAAGAATAAACATCTCCTAAAACGTAAGTATGGATAGGAAGGTCTTTGAGGGAGGATTTGAGGGAGGAAAAGCTTTAGATTTCCAACAAATTCCAATGCTTTCTGAGTCTCTCTGCACAGAAAACAATGTTTTCCCCTAGTACCCCAACACTTCGGTGTCTGTCTCCCTACCTAATGGATTTACCTTTGCTTTTCCCTATCTGGTAGAATAAAACCCTCTCAAGTCCAAGCTACCTTCCCAGGAGGTCCTTTGTGAGGGCAGAAGGAGAAGCATAGGTGCAGGAGGATACAGGCTTTGGGAGACAGGCAGACCTGGGTGCAAATCTTGGACCTGCCACTTATCTAGCTATGTGACCTTGGGCAAGCACATTCACCTTTCTGAGCCACTGTCTCTCTGTCTATAAAAGGGATCAGCGGGAAAATGTGTAAGAAGGCAAACAGGACTTGGCAAACAGAACTCAATGAATGATGATGGTGGCGGTGGCGCTGAGTGCTTCTGAGTTAGAGAGTAGCCCATCCTGGAGGCCTTTGAAATCCCCACCCCTGTAAGGACTCATGCCTTAGATCCTGATGCTCCTCACATTCCTGACAACAGCCTCAGCAGGGACCACTCAACTCACTTGGTACCACCTATCCCACTCAACAGGGGCTACATCACATTACAGCACATAAAAATAACTGTTTCCCACACCATTTTCCATCCCTTGTCCCCTTTGACTCTCCCAGCTGTGAGGTAGATGGATGGTATTTTCCTCCCAATTTAATAGAAGAGACAGCTGAGACAGAGTGAAGGTAGGAGAAGTCAGGGCAAGGATTGAGCCTGGTCTTGATTCTGAATCCCCTGTGCTTTCCTTGTATCACCTGAATCTCAAGCAATACTTTGGGCTCCAGACTCTCTGAGGGGAGGAGAAGGAGAAGGGATGTTCTATGTGTGTGACTGCAAAGTCCTCACCACACCTTCTAGGCACTTATGAGCAAGGAGATACATATTATGAAATGTGGCATTTGGGAATGTTCTAAGACCACCCTAATGCTATTAAGAGTGCCGGGCGCGGTGGCTCACACCTGTAATCCCAGCACTTTGGGAGACCAAGTCGGGCGGATCATGAGGTCAGGAGTTCGAGACCAGCCTGACCAATATGGTGAAACCCTGTCTCTACTAAAAATACAAAAATTAGCCGGGTGTGGTGGCGTGCGCCTGTAGTCCCAGCTACTCAGGAGACTGAGACAGAAGAATCGTTTGAACCCAGGAGGTGGAGGTTGCGGTGAGCCGAGATCACAACACTGCACTCCACCCTGGGCGACGGAGTGAGACTCCATCCCAAAAAAAAAAAAGAGAGAGAGGGCAGAGTGGACAGAGAGTCAAATGAGAGGAGGTCTGGGTTCTGGCCATAGGCCAGCTACTGACATCCCAAGTAAACGTGAGCAAGTTTCTGAGGTCCCCATGATCCCCATGTCTGGGACATAAATGGGAAAAAGATGATAGATAGATAATAAATAGAGGCTCAGCTTAGACAAAAAGGCATCTGCAATCCTTGTCATCATTACTTTGACTTTGAAATCAACAATTTAGAGAGCCCACTACCACGAAATTAAAAAATTCTAAAATTTTTTAAAAAACAAAACAGTATAACTTAAAGAGTTCTGCCAACTTCTCAAAAAAAAAAAAATCAGAGAGCACAACATTGAATTTTTTTTTCTTTTTTTTATTTTGGCAGAGGAAGATTGAGTTCCTGGAAATGCTTACAAAATGATTCCTGACACTGGGAGGAGATAGTTAGAAAAAAGAAGAAGAAAAATTATACACATATATAGATAAAGGAAGAAGGTGGAAAGAAAGGGAATAGACAAAAGAAAATAAAGAACTAAAAGAGAAAGAAAAAAAAAGACTTTAAAGGGCCCCAATTGAAGCAACATTATCAAGTTCTCAGCATCTGCAATTCACAAGCCGCTCGCGGTTGGGGCGATGCAGACCCCGCCCCTTTCTCGGGTGTCCGGCGCTCATTGGTGGGGGAGGCAGTCGCCGGCCGGTGACTGCCCGAGGAAAGGTTGCCTGGGACACGCATCCCTGTGTGAACGCATGACGTCCCACCCTGGCGCCAGGCTGTCTGGGGCTGAGTCTTAGATCAACACAGCTGTGGGACCGGGACCCACAGCTGGGCAAAGGAGCGGATTCCTCAACAAAAAATAGGATTGTGAGAAAAGTTCTGAAACAAAAACAGCGCAGACAAAAGCCTTAATGACATCCTTTCATAAAAATAAAAAATGCAAGAGGGGGGAAAAAGCTGGTAAAAGGAGCAGAACTGGGAACAGAAAGTTCAGAGGCATTTGGAATAAGAGGCTGAGGCCCCACCACTGCTAAACAAGTTGCAGAAGGCCTGAGCTAGCCTGTCCAGTCTGCTGTGGGGAAAAAGAAGTCTCTTGGGTTTAAACACTATTCAGTGTTCCTAACCATAACCTGCTTCTTTCAGAATTAGAATCTTAGGCTAGAGAGGACCATTAAAGGGCACTTGCTTCCTCCCAACCTACCCACTATCTTTTTTTTTTTTTTTTTTTTAAAGAGAAAATGAAGCCCAGGAAGGGAGGAAATTCGTCCAAGGGCACACTGCAAATTATTGGCATGCACAGAACAGAATTTTGCTTGCTAATTCCACAGCATCCTTCTGCCTTATGTCACACAGCCCATGGGCATTTCAGCCTGGAAGCATCCTGGGAAATAATAAATGCGAAGGTGCTTTGCAAACCTAAATCACTATACAAGCCTGAGGCATCAGCTGCAGTAGTAGAGGAAGGAAAAGAAGGGAGGAGAATCTGGGTAGACTGAGCACCTTCCACACAACTGGCCCATGCTGGGTCCCCCAGGCAGTAAGAAGACTAAGATCAGATGGAGTGAACACATCAAGTGCTTTGCAGAGAAGAGGCATTCAATAATTATCGAATGAATGAATGAGTAGACCCAATTAGTTCCATTTTATAGATGGGAAAATAGAAGCACCCAGGATAACTCAGCCAAAGTCTACACAATTAGTTTAAACAAAAAAAGAAGAAGAAGAAGAAGAATGGGCATTTGCACAGAAATCTGCCTGGCCCGTGATTTTTCTAGAACCCTCTGGACTTGACCGTTTTGCCACAGAAGTCTGCAAGATAGGAAAAGAAGGATCTTCTCTTCGGTTATTCAGGAGTTCCTACAGCCATTATTTTGCCTTTCCTGACCAAATAGCTGGCACTTGACGGCTGTAGCATGTAAAGACTGACTTGCCCACTCACAGGTTTTCTTCCTCTTTTCTTACTGAAGAGCCTGTCCTTGAAAAAAACATTCCAGGAAGAAATCTTTCTTGGGCCACAGAGCCCTGTGGTTTGATGGAAAAGAACGAGGCTTCAAGACTGGCTCTGCTATTACTTGTAGTGTGACATTGGGCATGTCTTAAATGCCTTCCTTGGGCCCCTCAGCATCTTTCACCTACATATCCAAATTTCACACAACCTTGGACTTCTACAATTGGAAAGGATTTTAAATAATCACTTAGTACCATCGTCTATTTTACTCACAAGGCAATTAAAGCCAGAGTACCTGGGCTTGTTCAAGATTACATGACAAATTATTGTCAGGGCTAGCATGATGAACCCAGGGCTCTCAATTCCCAGTCAGTGTCCTTTTCAACCGTTTTGCGACTCTCTTTGGCTCTGAGCCCCCCTTGTCCTGTTAATCAGTGCCACACATTATCGAACTCTTGTTTCCTGTGTTAATCTTGTCTCCCCAAATTGTGAGATTCTTGAAAGCAGGAGCCACTGTTTTATGCGGAGGGACTCCATAAATATTCACCAATGATTCATTAGGAAAGCAACTATTGGGGGAATCCCACTTGGTCATTTCCAAAATGGAAAGCAGCATCTTGGAAGTGCAGGTCCCCAAATGTCTAGGGAGGTGACAAGAAGGCAAGCAAAGAATCAAAGAATACTGAGCACAGTGTCCTGTTGCAATACAGGACTTAGTTTGCCGGCCCTCTGGTTCCTTTCCTGGTCTTTCAGATGGAGCTGGAGCTACTTCAGCAGGGCTAAGAATAATCAAGTCCAGGTGGCCTGCCCTTCCATAGCAGAAAGGGACAGACAATAGAGCAATGAAATTACCACTGTTTTCTACACAGAGGTGTGTGGAAAGTGAAGAGAGGGGAAGTTAAGAAATTTGCTGACCCAATTGGGTGGGGGGGGGCTCTTAAAAAGGTTTATGTAGAAATTGTCCCATCTGTGCCTCCATATTTAAAACCTTGTCCAAAATTCTAATTGAACTCACAAAGCACAACTGTGCATATATTTAGTTCGTTATGGAGTTTATGGGGCAGAGGGTCCAGGCTCCTTTTTTCCCCATGCAAAAAGCATGGGCTCAAGCTTTCTTCTTTTCCCCTGTTGCTCAAATAAATAGTGTTCTTTGCTCAAACCCCCTTTCCCTCCTCCTTCTGCAATCTCAGCGCCTAGCGCAAATCTGTTTTCTTCATTGTAACCTCAGCTTCACCGCAATTAATTTTTTTTCCCTCTGGTCACAAGATAATTCCTGACGCCAGTGAGTCTGGAGGTCAGACGAACAGCAAATTGGGGAACAAGGCGGCACTAATTCCTTACAAGTTTCCCTTGAAAAATCTTTCGCTTAAAAAAAACGGGGGGTGGGGGGAGCTTCTTTGCTGTTCAGGGATTTATGACCTCGGAGGAGCTGTGGCTCGAACCAGTGTTGGGCTAAAGGCGGACTGGCAGGGGGCAGGGAAGCTCAAAGATCTGGGGTGCTGCCAGGAAAAAGCAAATTCTGGAAGTTAATGGTTTTGAGTGATTTTTAAATCCTTGCTGGCGGAGAGGCCCGCCTCTCCCCGGTATCAGCGCTTCCTCATTCTTTGAATCCGCGGCTCCGCGGTCTTCGGCGTCAGACCAGCCGGAGGAAGCCTGTTTGCAATTTAAGCGGGCTGTGAACGCCCAGGGCCGGCGGGGGCAGGGCCGAGGCGGGCCATTTTGAATAAAGAGGCGTGCCTTCCAGGCAGGCTCTATAAGTGACCGCCGCGGCGAGCGTGCGCGCGTTGCAGGTCACTGTAGCGGGACTTCTTTTGGTTTTCTTTCTCTTTGGGGCACCTCTGGACTCACTCCCCAGCATGAAGGCGCTGAGCCCGGTGCGCGGCTGCTACGAGGCGGTGTGCTGCCTGTCGGAACGCAGTCTGGCCATCGCCCGGGGCCGAGGGAAGGGCCCGGCAGCTGAGGAGCCGCTGAGCTTGCTGGACGACATGAACCACTGCTACTCCCGCCTGCGGGAACTGGTACCCGGAGTCCCGAGAGGCACTCAGCTTAGCCAGGTGGAAATCCTACAGCGCGTCATCGACTACATTCTCGACCTGCAGGTAGTCCTGGCCGAGCCAGCCCCTGGACCCCCTGATGGCCCCCACCTTCCCATCCAGGTAAGCCTCGAAGTCGGGACAGGGCTGAACACCCAGGCAAGGATGCTGCGGGACCCTCGGAGCTCCCGATTGCCTCGCGTAACTCTTCCCTCTTTTCCTCTAATCAGACAGCCGAGCTCACTCCGGAACTTGTCATCTCCAACGACAAAAGGAGCTTTTGCCACTGACTCGGCCGTGTCCTGACACCTCCAGGTGAGTATCTCCTCTCTTGGAGAGGGAGGTTTAAACGGCAAGTCCTGGAGTTGGCAGACGTTTTGAAAAATTGCCACTCACTCGGTTTAGGGAAACTGAGGCCAGAGAGGGACAAGTGACTTGCCCATGGTTGCATCAAATGAATGGCAGAGTCAGTTTCCATGTGATGTGCATTTAAGCCTTAAATGCGCCTGGGCCCTGCCCTCCCGCAGTGGCCGAGGGTCTGGCAAAGTAGACATGGGTCCGACTAAATACAAGTCTTTCTGTTCCATGTTGTATAGGGAGCTGTCTTCGGCAGCCCCCTCCCAGCTAGTGTCAATTCCAAGTAGGAGGGGTAGCGCAAGCTCCGCCTGTGGTCTTTGGCGCCAACTGGGTGGGGGCAGCGTGGGGCGCGGAGTTATCAGCTGGAGGTACAGACCAAGTTTCCTCCCTGGCGCCGGCCAGTCTGCGGACGGCCCCCGCCTCGGCACGCTCGGCGGAAACTGACTGCTCCTTGGTCTTCTTTCCTCCCCCGCCCAGAACGCAGGTGCTGGCGCCCGTTCTGCCTGGGACCCCGGGAACCTCTCCTGCCGGAAGCCGGACGGCAGGGATGGGCCCCAACTTCGCCCTGCCCACTTGACTTCACCAAATCCCTTCCTGGAGACTAAACCTGGTGCTCAGGAGCGAAGGACTGTGAACTTGTGGCCTGAAGAGCCAGAGCTAGCTCTGGCCACCAGCTGGGCGACGTCACCCTGCTCCCACCCCACCCCCAAGTTCTAAGGTCTCTTCAGAGCGTGGAGGTGTGGAAGGAGTGGCTGCTCTCCAAACTATGCCAAGGCGGCGGCAGAGCTGGTCTTCTGGTCTCCTTGGAGAAAGGTTCTGTTGCCCTGATTTATGAACTCTATAATAGAGTATATAGGTTTTGTACCTTTTTTACAGGAAGGTGACTTTCTGTAACAATGCGATGTATATTAAACTTTTTATAAAAGTTAACATTTTGCATAATAAACGATTTTTAAACACTTGTGTATATGATGACACCCGTCTCCATTAAGTACTAATGATGCTTTCTCGCACATGGCCGAATTTTGGGAGCTTTGGGAAAGTGAACTTGCTTATTCTACGAGAGGGAAATGAAAAACTGCCTGGTTGAGAGGGGATGGGGTGGAGAGAGAAGGGTTCATGATGGGAGTCTCATGTCCATTGAGGGATGGGTGCAGAGAAAAGTTCTGGGCTCTGCTCATTATTTCAGAGATGAAACCAGAGACTGGTGCAAGCTTGCCCAGCAAGTTGGTGGCTCAGGCAACTTGAAAGTTGGTGGCTCAGGCAACTTGAAAACTGAGTTTTCATGTCCCTTGAGATCTAGCAGTAGCTTTCCTCTTTATTGTTACTATTGACTATGCCTTTCTAGCAGGGGATGTGGTAAGAGGAGAGCCTCAAGTTTGCTTCACCTGGTGCCCAGGCATGGGTGGTGGTTGATAGACCAATTCCAAAAATGAATAAACTGATAACTGGGCCTGGTTTCATTTCCTTCTTGCTCTCTGGGCTGGCTTCCTTGCGGGCTTCCAAAGTTGGAAAAAAGAGGGAGGTCTCCTGAAATGGATAAAGATTTGGATGCTGGTTGGGAAGTACTGATAGTAATCCCTTCTTTAATGCTAGGTGGTTGTGGAGTCCGACCCTGAACAAGGAATGTGAGGCAGAGACTCCACAGTCCTCATTTCTGCTGGTATTTCTACATCACCTCCATTGGGAACCTATTCTGTAAGCATCCCTATCCCTATTTCAGAAATGGGGAAAGGGAACCTCTGTGGGTAATGCTTCTGAACCAGGTTTTCACAGCCTTTGAGAGGTAGAGATGGGATTTGAACCGTGACTTGATTGTGGTGAACAGGAGCAGGGCTGGGGACTGGCCATTCCTTGAGGCCAGGCCTGGCAGTGGGGCAGAGAGCAAGATCCCAACCCATGCCTTCCCCCACACCCCTGGTGGCTCCCCAGGTGGGCTTCACCAGGTGCCTGGCCTTACTAGAGATTCCTGTTTATGGTATGATCTCATCTGTGTGTTGGTCCCTGGCATGAATTACTTCAATATTTCATAACAAACAGGTCACGTCATCACCTTTAGTGCCTTAACCCTGGTGAGCTTGCTGGGGTGAACAGGGGCATGGGGGAGGAGGAGAACCTCTGGCATTGCCAACCAAACTCCCAGCCTGATCAGTGGTTCTTAACCTGTTCTGTGTCCTGGTCACTCTGATCTGAAGGAAGATATGAACACTCTCTTAAAAAAATACACACACAGTGCAGAGCAATAGCAGACTTCAATCCTCATGTGAGGAACCCTTGCCCCAAACCACCTACAAGGCCTGGGTTGGGTCTATCTTGGATTGTTTTTTAGGTGTGCTGTGCTGGCTTTAGAGACGACCATAAAGGGACATAAATCCCTGCTCTGTCACCTCTTACCTGTATAACTTCAGGCTAGGGACTTTGCCTCTCTTGAGCCCCAGTTTCTGCATCTGTAAAGGAAGCTGATTCTAAGGCAGCGGTTCTGAGGTCCTAGGCCCCACATTACACCATGAACTGCAGTAGAGCCAGGCATTGAGCTCAACGTCTTATACCCTTTTCTGCCACAGCATGTTGCCTCCCGTTTGCTCGGAAGTTTCAGTACCGTGGAAGGCTAAAAAGGGCTGCGGTGGTCATCTGCCGAGTGACCTTGAGCAAGCATTCCACCTCTCTGAGCCATGCTCCTTCTGTGCCCTGCTGCCTCCCAGGACAGAAGATAATGGTGGGAAAGTTCTTTGAAATGCATCACACACCTACGAGGTATTATTAAGCTAATTCCAAGGAAATTGCCTGTCAGGACTCCCAGGACTGAGTTGTTCAGGTGGCCAGGACAAAAGAAAGACCAGCATGCCAATCCATTAGTCATTAGAGAGTGAAAGCAATTTGGCCCTAGGTCAGATAACTCCCAGAGAGGATAGTGTCTTCTGTCATAATCACCTATGGAAGTGCCTGCCAGGTTCCAGACTATTTTATCTTCCATTTTTGTTCTAATCCTCACAAACCACCGTGATGGGTAACATTCCTTGGTTTATAGAAAAAAGACTCAGGCTGAATAACTTGATCACCCAGCAAGAAAGTGGCACACAGCAAGAAACAGTTCACACAGCAAGAAAGTAGCAGAGCAGAGTTTAGGAACCCCAGCTTCCTCTAGCTTCAAAGCTCATGTTCTTGCCTTCTCTTCAAATTGGCTCTTTTCCCTCGCCATTCCCAAAGCCTGGCACATGCTTGGTCCCCAGGGGGTGCTTGTCCCAGGGAGCGCTTGTGGAATGAAAGACCTAGGACTCCCCCTCATCTGTGAAAGGGGGATGTCGGTACCTCCCTTCCATGTGTGTTGTTCGGATAAACTATAAGGCGCATAAAGTATCCACGAGGCTTCCTTAACTACAAGATTCACTGCTGAGTGTCTTGTGCAAATTGTCGCATGCGATCGGATTCAGAGCTGATCGCATCGGCTGTGAAATACAGACATTTGGGAGGTGTCTTTATTTTATAAATGAACTAGCTCAGAACAGGCGAAGTAACTTGCCGGTGGCCACACGGCTTCTAAGTAACAAAGCCAGAATTCAAATTCATGTCTGTGACACCAGAAATGGTGCCCTTTTCAGAAAGCCAGTTATAGCTCTCTAGCTGTGGACGCGCCGGACAACCTTCAATTATCTGTCTTCCCGGCCTCATCACCCCTCGTGGCCACGACTCTTCCCCATGCCCCAGGCTAAACCTGAGAACCTCCTGCCGCGCTCTTTCCCGCAGCGCTGCTTCCAAGGGCTCCACTCTGCCCACTCCCAGACCTCCCCGGAGACAGCCGCTCCCCACCGGCGGCGCTGCGGCGCCCGGGCTGGGGCAGAGCCTCGGCCCACGTGGCCTGGAGCCCGGCAGGGCGGAGCCGAGCCGGCCCCGCCTCCTCCCCGCCCCGCCCCTCCCGGCGCCCCACGCTCCCCCCGCGGGCCCTGGGGGCCGCTCGCAGGTGTTCGCTGGCGCCCGGATGTCTGAGCTCTGGCTCCGCTCTGGCTCCGGCTCCCTCCGCAGCCTGCGGGCGGGGCTCGCAGCCCATCCGGAGCCTCGCGGCGCCCCCGCCGCTCCGCCAGCAGCGCGGCCTCCCGGTTCCCAGCCTCGCGGCCTGGGGGGCCCCCCACCCAGCGGAGTCGCTGACCCCACTCCTCTCCCGCTGCCCCCAGCTGCGCTCGGGCCGCTGCAGCCTCTGCGCACCCCCACCCGCTTCCTGCCCCGTCCGCGAGGCCGCCCTGGATCGCACCCGGTTCCTTCCTTCCTTCGTTCTTTCAGGCAACTCGCATTCCTCGAGCGCCTGCGACGTGCCCTGCACAGGGCCTTCCCGGCCTTCCGAGTGTGGCCCCAGGCCCGCTGGGCTCCTCCGGGAAGCCTCTGCCCTCTCGAAGTCCTTCCCCACCTCCGCCCCTCTGTTCCATGAGGTGCTTCGCTGAGAGTCGAGCAATTTAATTGTTCTCTGATTAGTTCTCCTCTTAGGGGTCAGTCAGTGGCAAGGTCACGGAGTCTCTTTGTGGCTGAGATCGGGGGTCAGAGCGTGGCCGGATTTGGGGTTTCGCCAGCCTGGGGCAGGCTTTAGGGATAAATGTGGGTAGTCAGGCTGTGGGGGTCCGTCTGTGGGCAGTGTCAAAAGCCAAGGTTAGTGAGTCCGTGTTTGGGTAGGGTCGGTGGGCAGTCGGGATCAGGGTAGTGAGACACCTTGAGACCGGGACTTTGGGGGTTGCCTTTGACAAACCAGATTAAGGAGGGAGGAGTTCTCTGAAGTCCCCTGAACTCATATTCACCTCTCGCCGTCGTTGGGGGCTGACCATAGGCGCCCCCCCGCCTCCGCCTTCTGAGCTGTGGAGCTGTGCTTCCATCGGGGGACGCCTCTCCTCACTGCTACCCTGCTTCTACTTTGTGCCCGATGCTGCAGGCAGAAGCTCTCACCCGGCCAGACTTGTCAAAGGGAGCCTGGGCTTAGAGTGAGGGTGGCCAGGGTAGGGAGGCCTTAGGCTTCCTGGGGACCCCTACCCTGAAGCCACCCAGGAAAGCAGATGTTCTTCCTTGCTGTTTAAGTCATTTGTTGTAATTCTGAAGCTTGTCAGGGATGGAAGGGCGGGCCCTTAGAGGTCACAAATGTAGCCCAGAGAGGGGCAGGAACCTGCTCAGGGACACACAGCAAGTTAGTGTTCACGTTGGGATTGGAACACCAGCCTCCCACTTTACTATCCAGGGCTCTTTTCGTGATGCTCTCCCTACCCTGAGTAAGGGTTGTTTTTCCCACTATAGAGATGGGGCAGCGGAAGCCTGGAGAGGCCGAGAGACTGCCTCTTAGCTTGAGGATCTGCAAAAATGAAGTCAGGGAAGGGTGACTTCCCAAAGCATTGTCTCTTGGCATTGCCCACCTAGCCCCCTCCCTGCCACCCTCGTTAGGAGCAAATAGAACAAGGGTGGCCAAGCATCGAGATGAGGCAGGGAGGGAGAGAACACTGTAAGAACTGCTGGGGAAAAGCTTAGCTGGGCTCTTATGGAAACATATGGAACTCATTACCCGGAGTTGAGGTGGTCGCTGGCCAGCTGGCAGTTGGTCCCTTTGGGGCTAAAAATGTGCCTTGTGTGGCAATGAGGGTACCCAAGGCACGGCAGACTCCCCAGAATAACCTCCCCACTCACCGATCCAAGTTATTTCTGAATACTGGTTTGTTTCCTATGCCTGTGCCATTTCTTTTTTTCGTCTTTTTTTTTTTTTTTAACCGAGTCTCGTACTGTCGCCCAGGCTGTAGTGCAGTGGCGCGATCTCAGCTCACTGCAACCTCCGCCTCCCTGGTTCACGCCATTCTCCTGCCTCAGCCTCCCGAGTAGCTGAGACCACAGGCACCCACCACCACGCCTGGCTATTTTTTTTGTATTTTTAGTAGAGACGGGGTTTTGCCATGTTAGCCAGGATGGTCTCGATCTCCTGACCTCGTGATCCGCCCTCCTCGGCCTCCCAAAGAGCTGGGATTACAGGCGTGAGCCACCGCGCCCGGCCTCCTATACCTATGCCATTTCTAGCATCAAAAAAAGGGTTTCAAGGCCGGGCCGGTGGCTCACACCTGTAATTCCAGCACTTTGGGAGGCCAAGGGGGGCACATCACCTGAGGGGAGGAGTTCAAGACGAGCCTGGCCAACATGATAAACCTCGTCTCTACTAAAAATACAAACATTAGCTGGACATGGTGCCACGTGCCTGTAATCCCAGCTACTGGGAAGGGAAGGTTGAGGCAGGAGAATCACTTGAACCCAGGAGGCAGAGGTTACAGTGAGCTGAGCATCTGGGCAACAGAGTGAGATTCCATCTCCAAAAAAAAAAGGGGGTTTCAAGACATGCCACTGTAGGTTATGCAGGGAAGAGATGAGAGATTCAGGACCATCAGGACAGACAACCATATTGCTCCATTCCCCACCCCACATACACCCTGACTCTCTTCATCAGGGCCAGGGGCCACCTGGTCTTACAGTGGTTCCATATCCATTGTTCATGATCCCAGCTTCCACTGAGGGTTCATCCAGGTGGGCCCCAAGGGGCCTAGATGTTAATCCCTGTCAATCACATTTTCCACTGCAGGTTCAACTCCATATACAAAGAGAACAGCAAGAAAGTGTTTCAAAAGAGGCCATTCACTAGTGGGCGGCATTTTACAGTCTATGTGGTAACGTGGACTGGTTGGGGGGTGCTTCCATTTCACCCCCCTCAGGGCTCATAGGTGTTAGGGGACCTGCTAAAGGTCACCCTGGAGTAACTGTCAGAGCCACAGTCTACAGGATGGCCTCCTTACCCAGTGCTTTGGATGTCTGCAGCTGTTTTGAAACTTCATGCAAACCGGTGGGTGCTGCAGAATTGGCCTCTTCCAGCCACAGCAGTAATCCTGTTACGTTCTCTCTGTGAGTCTGGGAAACATACAGACACTGGTTGAAACTTCAGCTTTGTCATTTACCAGCTGTGCTATCACAGGTAAGTTTTTTGTTTTCTTTTTGTTTTTTTGAGACAGGGTCTCAATCTGTTACCCATGCAGGACTGCAGTGACATGATCGCTGCTCTTACTGCAGCCCTGACCTCCCGGGCTCGAGTGATCCTTCCACCTCAGCCTTCTAAGTAATTGGGACTACAGGTGTGCGCCAGCATGCCTGGCTAATTTTTTTTTTTTGTATGTTGCTTAGGCTGGTCTGAAACTCCTGGGCTCAAGCAGTTCTCCCACATTGGCTTCCCAAAGTGCTGGGATTACAGGTCTGAACCACCGAACCGGGCCACAGGTAAGTTATTTGTCGTCTCTGAGCCTCACATGGTTGAATTGATGATTAAATTAGATGACATATGTAAAGCATCTGGTACTTGGTAGGCTCCAGATGACCCCCACCACAGAGTTTGCTGGGCTTGGTGTCAGATTCCTAGCCTTATTCCTTCTTCTTCTTTCCAGAGTGGCAATGTGGTTGGCATGACCCAGTCACAGCACCCCGGGACTCTTGTCCAGCATTGGCGCTCTATATGCAGAGCCCTTTCACTCAGCCTGGCAGCATCTGATCAGCGTCGAAGCCCAGTGGCTTGAGGAATAAATATAAACAGTGCAGAGACTAAAAGCAGAGCTCTGGTCCAGCACATCTACTCCCAAGCTCTGCCACCCTGGACAAGCTCCTTCCCCTCTCTGAGCCTCAGTCTCCTCCCTGTAATACTGTAAGAACCCTGTCCACAGTTGTGTGCCGATATACTGAATGTAAAGCACCTAAAAGCCTGCCAGGACGTGGCAGGCACTCAAGAAGCATTACTAGATTCATTTCACACATGGAGAAACTGAGTCCCAGAGTGGGAAAGTGACTCAGGCAAAGATTCCCTCACAGAACTGGGGATAAAAATCCAGATCTTCAAGCTCCCAGTCAGTGCCTAATTACTACTTTCTCATTCTTGGAATTTGTAATTATTTCATGACAAGTGTGCTTTTGGCTGCTGGAGGGACAGAGCTTCAGAGGTTGTGAGCCTCCCCTGGCTCAGCCTGACCCAGAACCAGCTCACTCATGAAACTACCCTCTCTTGAAGAGAATAGGAGTTGTGGGGAGGAAGAACATAACCCAGAGGCCAGAGAACGTGGAGGCCAGGGTTGGTGTAACTGTGTAGGTAAGAGCAGCAGCTTCGTGATCAGCCAGACCTGCATTTAAATCCTTCTCTGCCACTTCTTAGCTGTGTGACCAGCTACATGACACCACCTCCCTGAGCCTCAGGTTTTCATCTGTAAACTTTCAATGCTACCTCTCCCATAGGGTTGTTGTAGGAATTAAATAAGACAACAGAGGTAGAGTACCTGCTCCCAACTGGCAGCCCTTATAATTTCATGAAGAGGAAGCAAAAGGGGAGCCAGCTACCTTTTTTTTTTTTTTTTTGAGACAGAGCCTCTTTCTGTCACTCAGGCTGGAGGGTGGTAGTGTGATCTCGGCTTGCTGCAACCTCTGCCTCCTGGGTTCCAGCGATTCTTGTGCTTCAGCCTCCTGAATAGCTGGGATTACAGGTGGACACCACCATGCCAGGCTAATTTTTGTATTTTTAGTAGAGACGGGGTTTCACCATGTTGGCCAGGCTGGTCTTGAACTCCTGACCTCAAGTGATCCACCTGCCTCGGCCTCCCAAAGTGCTGGGATTATGGGTGTGAGCCACCGTGCCTGGCCGGAGCCAGCTACTTCTTATCCTCATTCTTGTGTATAAATCTTGTTGTAAACTTTTAAACAATTTTTTGTTTTATTTTTATTGTTTATATTTGAGACAGGGTCTCTCTCTGTCATCCAGGCTAGAATGCAGTGGCATGATCACAACTCACTGTGACCTCGGCCTTCCAGGCTCAAGTGATCCTCCCACCTCAGCCTCCCAAGTAGCTGGGACTACAGGTACCCATCATCACACCTGGCTAATTTTTATATTTTTAATGGAGACAAGGTTTTGCCATATTGCCCAGGCTGGTCTCTAACTCCTGGGCTGAAGCAATCCACTTGCCTTGGCCTCCCAAAGTGCTAGGATTACAGGTATGAGCCACCTCACCCGTCCTTGTAAACTTTTTTTTTTTTTGAGGTGGTGTCTTGCTCTGTCGTCCAGGCTGAAGTGCAGTGGCGCGATCTCGGCTCACTGCAACCTCCACCTCTGAGGTTCAAGCAATTCTCCTGCCTCAGCCTCCCAAGTAGCTGGGATTACAGGCACCCATCACCATGATTTGTATTTTTAGTAGAGATGGGGTTTTGTATTTTTAATAGAGACAGGGTTTCTCCATGTTGTCCAGGCTGGTCTTGAACTCCTGACCTCAAGTGATCCACCCACCTTGGTCTCCCAAAGTGCTGGGATTACAGGAGTATGAGCCACTGCGCCTGACCCTTGTTACAAACTTTTAATTGAACAAACAATGGATAATAGAGATGTTCTAAGATTTGTCTAATGAAATGCTTTGTGTTCCCAGGCTCTTCCACATACTAGCTGTGTGAACTTGGACAAGTGACTTAACTTCTCTTCTCCGTGTCTGCTAACAGTCCCTACACAGATGGTTGTTGTGAGGCTTAGTTACCATACAAAATTCTTAGATTAGTGCCTGGCACATAATAATAACCACAGCCCCCAAATGCTAGTTGTCATTCATTATCTTAACATACCATGTGAAGGTTGTGTTCTCTTACATTCTATAGCCCTCTGTGTTTTAATATAAAATTGTGATGTCTCTCTTTCTTTTATTTGTATTTTTTGAGTAAAACGGACATTTCAGAAAGATGTACCAGATTTTTATCACATGGCTTTGTGAGACCCGACAGCCAGCCAACATCACACACAGTCACATGTGTGCATGCATGAGCACACATGCATGCAGACACACACACTTTGAGAAGGCCATGCTACGCCGGGCTGCTTCCCAAATGGGCTGAAACAAGTCCTCTTGCCCTGAAGAACCGCCTGTCCCCTCTCCCGCCCACTCATCGCGCTCCGTGGAGTGAGGCAGGAAAGGGTGATTGGCTCACAGCAGCAGCATAGCTCTTAGTAAACCTGACTTGGGAGAAAGGCCTGGCTCCAGCTCCTAGCCCAAGTGTCAGAGCCTGGGTCCCAGCACTGGCTCGATGCCCTCTTTTGCTGTGCAACCCTGGCCATGTAACTTCACCTCTCTGAGCCCCAGCTTTGTCATTTGTGAAAGGGAGCTAACTGTTCCTACCTCTCAGGGTTATGAGGATTTGACAGACACATGGAAAGTGCCTGGCACTTCGTTGTTGCTCCATAAATGAGAGCTCTCAAAAGTCTGGCTCATTTTTTAGCTCAGTAAAAGCTATCTTTCATAGTCTTTAATAAAATGGGGCTGGCCGGGCGTGGTGGCTCACGCCTGTAATCCCAGCACTTTGGGAGGCTGAGGTGGGTGGATCACGAGGTCAGGAGATCGAGACCATCCTGGATAACATGGTGAAACCCCATCTCTACTAAAAAAAATACAAAAAAATTAGCCGGGTGTGGTGGCAGGCGCCTGTAGTCCCAGCTACTCAGGAAGCTGAAGCAGGAGAATGGCGTGAGCCCAGGAGGCGGAGATTGCAGTGAGCCAAGATCACACCACTGCACTCCAGCCTGGGCGACAGAGTGAGACTCTTGTCTCAAAAAATAATAATAATAATAAATAAAATGGGCTATGGTCTATGTGCCTTACGTAATTAATAGACTTTATTGCTTTTTGATGTATCTGTTAATCCAATAAAGGTGTTTGTCTTCTAACACTATTTTATTTCATATTTTATTCATATTTTACAATGTCTGGGCAAGTCAATGAAGCCCACTGAACCTCAGTTTCCTTATTTCTAAAATGAGAGAAAGAAAAAACCTTCCTCACAAGGTTGTTTGGAGAATTTAACGAGATGGTATATGTGTGTCCAGGAAGTAAGAGATCATTTTTTTTGCAGCCCGTTTTCTCTCACTAGGCTGAATTTCTCAAAGACAGAAGGGAGTTATTTTTATTATTATTATCATTATTTTTAAGACAGGGTCTCTCTCTGTCATCCAGGCTGTAGTGCAGTGACACCATCTCGGCTCACTGCAACCTCCACCAACAGGGCTCAGTCGATCCTCTCATGTCAGCCTCCAGAGTAGCTGGGACTACAGGGAGAGAGTTTTATTGACCTCTGTATCCCCAGCATTGAATATGTAGTAATACATTTAATAATAGCAGTGACAGTGACAACAACTTTCATTTACTTAACACTTACCATGTTCGAGGCTCTGTGCTAAGTGCCTCTTAATAGAAGGACAAGTAATAGACATGTAAACGATTTGATTTTCTCTGCTGATGATTTAAACATGAAGGAATTGTTTTACATTTCCCTTGGGGAAGTTTTGTATTCCATACTGGAGACAAAGTTTATTCTTGGGCCATGTACGTTGTTTCGCCAAATCAGTTGGATAAAAATTAGAGCAATCCTTAGTTTACTTATCTATAAAATGGGGCTAATGATTAACTTGACTCATGTAAAGGTGTCCCATAAATTGGACATAAATGACAATGGTTTTTGCTTACTCCTTCCTTTCCTCCCCACGTACACACACCCTTCCTTGGGGAAAAGGCAGTGACTAGGAAGGATTTGAAACTGAGTGGCAGAGAACTGAGTCCCTTCGCCCTTCTGGGATTCTGTTTCTCCTTGGCATAGCGTGGGAGATTTTTCTGGAATATTTTCCTGATTCTGAGACTCTCGAAGGCCTAACTTAAGTCCTGCCTCCCTCAGAAAAATCTCCCTTAATTGCCACAGCACAGAGTCTACTTACACAAATACCACATGCCCCTGTGATCACATGTTGCATATTCCAACTGGATTTAAGTCCTGGAAGATGGGGTTGTTGTGTTAGTGTTTTGATTTCTGTTTTCCCAAGCTCGCACTTTTCTTTTCTCCCCTCACCTCCCGTTCCCTCCCCTCTTTTCTTTCTGAGACAGGGTCTCAATCTGTCACCCAGGCTGGAGTGCAGTGGTGCAGTCATAGCTTACTGTAGCTTCAAACCCCTGGGCTCAAGAGATCCTCCCACCTCAGCCTCCTAAGTCTGAGACTGCAGGTGCACACCACCATACCCAGCTACTTTAAAAAAAAAAATGTGTAGAGATTGGGAGGTCTTGCTGTGTTACCCAGGCTGGTCTTGAGCTCCTGACCTTGTGATCCTCCTGCCTCAGCCTCCTACAGTGCTTGGATTACAGGTATGAGCCACTGTGCTCGGCCAAGTACTTTTCTTTTCTTTTTTTTTTTTTTTGAGACAGAGTCTTGCTCTGTCACCAGGCTAGACTGCAGTGGCGTGATCTCAGCTCACTCCAACCTCTACCTCCCAGGTTCAAGCAATTCTCCTGCCTCAGCATCCGGAGTAGCTGGGACTATAGGCACCCGCCACCACGCCCAGGAAATTTATTTATTTATTTTTTAAACGGAGTCTCTCTCTGTTGCCTAGGCTGGAGTGTAGTGGCGGAATCTCAACTCACTGCAAGCTCTGCCTCCCGGGTTCACACCATTCTCCTGCCTCAGCCTCCCGAGTAGCTGGGACTACAGGCACCTGCCACCACGCCTGGCTATTTTTTTTTGTATTTTTAGTACAGACGGGATTTCACCGTGTTAGCCAGGATGGTCTCGATCTCCTGACCTTGTGATCTGCCTGCCTTGGCCTCCCAAGGTGCTGGGATTACAGGTGTGAGCCACCACGCCTGGCCATGCCCGGTAATGTTTTTTGTATTTTTAGTTAGGGTTTCACCACATTGGCCAGGCTAGTCTCAAACTCTTGACCTCGTGATCTGCCCACCTCGGTCTCCCAAAGTGCTGGGATTACAGACATGAGCCACCGCGCCTGGCCAGGTACTTCCTTTTCTTTCGAGGCAGGGCGGGTCTCACTATGTTGCCCAAGCGGGTCTTGGATCCAGGACTCAAGGGATCCTCCCACCTCAGCCTCCTGAGTAGCTTTCATCCTTTATAAGCCTTTCAAAGTCTCCAAGTCATAGATGGAGCAGCTGAGACCCAGAAATAAGAAGGGCCTTGTCTAAGGCCACAGAGTGGGTACAGAGCCAGTCCCACATCCCAGGACCCCATCAACCCACCTGAGCTTAGGAACTCTCTGAGCATTTTCTTGGCACTAGGCTTTGTGCTTATTGCTTCCTCACACCAATTTTATAAAGTGGGTGTTGTCCCACTTTCGCGATAAGGACACGGGGACTCAGGAAGGTAAAATAACTTGCCCAAGTCACACAGCTAGCAAGGGACAGAATCATGACATGACTATCTGACTCCAAAATGCATGCTTTTTAAATACCTGGAGGCCTCTGCAGTTTGGCTGTTTTGGAGCCTCAGATTTGCTTGAGTGGCTCAGCGGACAGCCTCTCTTGAGTTGCTGTAGCAGTAGTGTTGTACCCCAAAGCAAGCAGTCGGTTACCAAGGCTGATCCCTGTGCCCAACTCCCTCTGTCCCAGCAGCTGGGGTCCAGGGGTTCACAGAGCAGGCACTCATGGTCCCTGCTCTAGAAATGATCTGCGTGGCATGCCGCCCCATCCCCAAAGCCCATTGTCTCCCCAGGAGACAATATGGAGAAAGGACCCAGCCTAGTGGGCTGCCTGTATCCATCTGTAACCATGGAAACCCCTTAGGGAGACAATTCCAAAATCCTCCTTGCCACCTCCCACCTTGCAGCTGTGGCTCCAGGAGCCCAGCCTCCAGCAGGAGAGGAATTACTGATAATTGCTGCTCCCCCAGCACTGCCACCACCAAATGGGACACAGCTGGGCCTCCCTCCACAGGGATCTCCCCCACCCTCCCAGTCCTAGAATTGGTGTTGGTAAAGGGGCCTTAGATGGGTTTTAAGGCCTAAGCTGTATTTCTTTTGCAAGAGTCAAAAGATCCTTGTAGTTCCGTACTGGTGAGATCTGTCCTTGATCCCACATTTGGGCACAGAGATAAAAGGGCCCAGCACAATTCTTAACCGTTGAATGGTCAACCAGTCACCTGGGAAGGGCTTAGGTCTTCAGTGCATGACTCCCCTCTGGCGGCCAGTTGCTGCAATTGTCAGAGAGGAACAAAAATGATGACCTCTTTTCCTGGGTATTTACTGTGATCCAGATACACACACATATTAGATCTAATCCTTACTACCTCTTGGTGAGGGGGGTGTCGTCCTACTTGCACATGCTAAAGCCAAGGTGTCCAGAGAATATCCAGAGGAAGGATGACAAAGTGGTTGAGAGGGTGTACCTGGACAGCCCTGGCTCAAAACCACCTCTACTGTCACCAGCCCTGTGGCCTTGGGTAAGTTACGTAAATGCTCAGAGTCTCAGTTTCTTCATCTATAAAATGGGGGTGATGATATTACACATCTCATGGGGATGATATGAGGATCATATGCGTGGAAGTTTATGAGCCTTCAGAAAGGTGACCCACACATAGTAAATAAAATTCAGGGCCCTGACACACAAGCTGTCCTTCAGGCATAATCATCGAACTACTCCTGGGCTCAGTTCCTTCATCTGTTCTGTGGGGCTAATGGTGGCTTCCTCATAGGGCTGTTGTGATAATTAAGCAGATCGGGCATGAATGTGCTTGCTTTGCAACTATTAGCTTTTTTTTTTTTTTTTTTAGACAGGGTTTCCCTCTGTCATCCAGGCTGGAATGCAGTGACACAATCACAGCTCATTGCAGCCATGACCTCCTGGGCTCAAGAGATCCTCCAGTCTCAGCCTCTTGAGGAGCTGTGACTACAGGCATATACCACTACGCCCAGCTAATTTTTAAATATTTTTGTAAAGACAGAGTCTCGCCAGGTAGCCTAGACTGGCCTTGAACTCCTGGACTCAAGCCATCCTCCCGCCTTGGCCTCTCAAAGTGCAGGGATTATAGGAGTGAGCCACTGTGCCCGACTTCTTAGCATCACTTTTGATCTGCTTGTTTGGGGAGGAATAATCACAGGGGTGGGGCAGTGTATAGGGCAGGGCGTGGGGGAGAGCAGTGGGCGGGGAGGTGGGTTAGAAAGTGAATTATAGGCTAGGTATGGTGGCTCACTCTTGTAATCCCAGCATTTTGGGAGGCTGAGGTGGGAGGATTGCTTGAATATAGGAGTTCAAGACCAGCCTGGGCAACATAGCAAGACTCTTATCTCTAAAAAAAGAGAAATAAAGGAAAGAGAGAGAATAGGGAGAGATGGAGGGGAGGGAGTGGGAGGAAAAAAGTGAGTTGTGCCTCTCTTCATGAGCCTGGAGGAGGTACGTGAGAATTCTGGCTCCTGTGACTACCTCTTTGGCCTCATAAGGCCCCCAACTCACCATTTCCCCCCAAGCAGAGTTACAGAGGGACTCTGACAGTGGCCAGAGACTTTCTTGGAAAGTCTCTTGGAAGGGGATTGTGAGTGATCTTGCACCTATTCCAAAAAACCTTTCATTGGCCAGGCCGCATGGCTCACGCCTGTAATCCCAGCACTTTGGAAGGCCGAGGCAGGCGGATCACCTGAGGTCAGGAGTTGGAGACCAGCCTGGCCAATGTGGTGAAACTGTCTCTACTAAAAATACAAATTAGCCAGGCGCAGTGGCTCATGCCTGTAATCCCAGCACTTTGGGAGGCCGAGGTGGGCAGATCACCTGAGATTGGGAGTTTGAGACCAGCCTGACCAACATGGAGAAACCCCATCTCTACTAAAAATACAAAATTAGCCAGGTGTGGTGGTGCGTGACTGTAATCCCAGCTACTCGGGAGGCTGCAGCAGGAGAATCACTTGAACCTGTGGGAGGCGGAGGTTGCAGTGAGCCAAGATTGGGCCACTGCATTCCAGTGGGCGACAGAGCAAGACTCCATCTCAAAACAAACAAACAAACCTTTTGTTGAGTTTAGTTCAATAAGCAATTCTTGTGCTTGTACTCTGCAGTGGGTACTATGCTGGATATTGGGGTGTGAAAATTAAAAAGACAAGGAGAAGCTTAAATCTGGGGGTGGGGTGGGGAGGAAGAACATTAAAACAACTGTAATTACAATTGCAAAACGATTATAGAGGGCCGGTGTGGTTGCTCACCCCTGTGATCCCAGCGCCTTGGGAGGCCAAGGCAGATCACTTGATTCCAGTTCAAGACCAGTCTGGGCAACATGGTGAAACCCCTTCTCTACAAAAACAAACAAACGGGCCGGGCGCGGTGTCTCACGCCTGTAATCCCAGCACTTTGGGAGGCTGAGGCGGGCAGATCACGAGTCAGGAGATCGAGACCATCCTGGCTAACACGGTGAAACCCCGTCTCTACTAAAAATACAAAAAATTAGCTGGGCATGGTGGCGGGCACCTGTAGTTCCAGCTACTCGGGAGGCTGAGGCAGGAGAATGGCGTGAACCTGGGAGGCGGAGCTTGCAGTGAGCTGAGATCGCGCCACTGAACTCAAGCCTGGGTGACAGAGCAAGACTCCGCCTCAAACAAACATACAAACAAAAACAATGATAGATTGAGATTCCTAACAAGAGGTGGGGTGCAGGGCTCAGGGTCAGCTTCCAAAAGATGGCTGGCATAATCTACCACCACCCCAACTGTGGCCAACACCAAAACCACCTCGATTTCAAAACTGAATGTCTTGCTTATTTCAAAAGAGATCTGGGCTGGGTGTGGTGGCTCACGCCTGTAATCTCAGCATGTTGGGAGGTTGAGGCAGGTGGATCACTTAAGGTCAGGAGTTCAAGACCAGCCTGGCCAACATGGTGAAACCCTGTTTCTACTAAAAAGAAAGAAAAAAAAAAAACCACAAAAATTAGCTGGGCGTGGCGGTGGATGCCTGTAGTCCCAGCTACTCGGGAGGCTGAAGCACGAGAATTGCTTGAACCCAGCAGGTGGAGGTTGCAGTGAGCCAAGATCACTCCACTGCATTCCAGCCTGGGGGACAGAGCGAGACCCTGTCTCAAAAAAAAAAAAAAAAAAAAGTTCTGGCCGGGCACGGTGGCTCACGCCTGTAATCCCAGCACTTCAGGAGGCCGAGGCGGGTGGATCATTTGAGGTCAGGAGTTCGAGACCAGCCTGGCTAACACGGTGAAACCCCGTCACTACTAAAAAATACAAAAAAAAAAAATTAGCCAGGCGTGGTGGCAGGCACCTGTAGTCCCAGCTACTCGGGAGGCTGAGGCAGGAGAATGGCGTGAACCCGGGAGGCAGAGCTTGCATCGAGCTGGGATTGCGCCACTGCACTCCAGCCTGGGCTGCAGAGTGAGACTCCATCTCAAAAAAAAAAAAGAGTTCTGAGTCATTTTTCAATGTTAGCAATTGAGCTGGCTTCATTTTTTTTTTTTTTTTTTTGAGACAGAGTCTCGCTCTGTCGCCCAGGCTGGAGTGCAGTGGCACGATCTCGGCTCACTGCAAGCTCCGCCTCCCGGGTTCACGCCATTCTCCTGCCTCAGCCTCCTGAGTAGTTGGGACTACATGCGCCCGCTACCACGCCCAGCTAATTTTTTGTAATTTTAGTAGAGACGGGGTTTCACCATGTTAGCCAGGATGGTCTCCATCTCCTGACCTCGTGATCCGCCCGCCTTGGCCTCCCAAAGTGCTAGGATTACAGGCATGTGAGCTGGATTCCTAATTTTGTCCCAGGTTTCTGTTCTCTTAGCCTGAGGAGTTAAAAATGCACCCTTTTAAAATTGAGTGCTGTTTAAGATCACGTGGGGGATATGGGGGTACACAGCATTCTCAATGATTTATTTATCTGGTTTAAGAAAGAAAAGAAGGAAGAAACTTCTATCTGAGAGCAGAACAGTTTTTTCTGGTGGAAGAGATGGAGAGAGACATGTGAAGCAGGGAGAACAGCATGGGCAATAGAGAGAGCTGAGAGGTCAGAGGGGAGTTAGGAAGAGTGTGTTGGATTAGAACGTAAGGGGGCCGGGTGCAGTGGCTCACACCTGTAATCCTAGCACTTTGAGAGGCCAAGGCAGGTGGATCATTTGAGGTCAGGAGTTCGAGACCAGCCTGGCCAACATGGTAAAAACTCGTCTCTACTAAGAATATAAAATTAGCTGGGCAGTAGTGGTGCGTGCCTGTAATCCCAGCTACTTGGGAGGCTGAGGCAGGAGAATCGCTTGAGCCTGGGAGGCAGAGGTTGCAATAAGCAGAGACTGTGCCACTGCACTTCAGCCAGGGTGAGAGGGTGAGAGCCTGTCTCAAAAAAAAAAAAAAAAAAAAAAAAAAACCTAAGGCCCATGTGTGAAGGGTCTGAAGATCGGAGGGACCTGGTGGTGGGGGTGGCTGGGCCGTGGTGGGGAGCTAGTTGCCAGACCTTGAACTAGAGAGAGACAAGGTCAGGTGTGTGTGTTAAAGAGATCCCTCAGGAAAACGAGGGAATAAACTGACAATTACAGGAATTATAGGGGCGGATCACGAGGTCAGGAGATCGAGACCATCCTGGCTAACATGGTGAAACCCCGTCTCTACTAAAAATGCAAAAGAAATTAGCCGGGTGTGGTGGCGGGCGCCTGTAGTCCCAGCTACACGGGAGGCTGAGGCAGGAGAATGGCGTGAACCCGGGAGGCGGAGCTTGCAGTGAGCCGAGATCGCGCCACGGGACTCCAGCCTGGGCGACAGAACGAGACTCCATCTCAAAAAAAAAAAAAAAAAAAGAAGAAGAAGGAATTATAGGTGGCATTTCCCCAAGAGACGCTAAGCAGCTCTGCTGGGACCTGACTCCCGCATGGGATGTCCCTCTTCCCGCATGGGATCACCTCCACGGGACCCAACATCTGTGAAAAGCATTCCCAGGGCCTACAAACATCTGGAAAGAATCTGGCCAGTCTAGTAGCCCTGTCCTCAGCGGGGCTGCTTCTTTCACATCCTGTTTCTCCTCCCCAAGCCCATAGCGGGTGAGTTACCTTGATGAGAAGATAAGACGCCTCGCAGGCTTTGGCAGGTGCCAGAGTTCACCTCTAGGTGGCAGCCTTCACCTTTCAGCCCCACCAGCTTCCAGCCAAAGGTCTGAGAGAAGGAAAAGGAACTAACGAAGACGCAGGGGGACCCACCAGGCGCCGCAGGCACATTTACTGAGCTGCAGAGCCACCATCTCAGGCGCACGTCATTCTCTCCACGTCACAACTGAGAGACGTGAAGTCACTGGTCCAAAGTCACACAGATGGGTGGCAATTGGCTTCTCTGAGCCTCATGTTCTTCATCTGTACAGAGACTGACCCATTCCCAGCAATCACTAATCTACTTTTTTTTTTTCCTGAGACAGAGTCTTGCTCTGTCACCCAGGCTGGAGTGCAGTGGCGTGATCTCGGCTCACTGCAGCCTCTACCTCCCGGGTTCATACAATTCTCCTGCCTCAGCCTCCCAAGTAGCTGGGATTACAGGCATGCGCTACCATGCCTGGCTAATTATTGTATTTTTAGTAGAGACATGGTTTCACCATGTTGGCCAGGCTGGTCTCGAACTCTTGACCTCAAGTGATCCACCCACCTCAGCCTTCCAAGGTGCTGGGATTACAGGTGCTGGGATTGAGCCACTGTGCCTGGCCTTTTTTTTTTCCGAGGCAAAGTCTCACTCTCGCCCAGGCTGGAGTGCAGTAGCACGATCTTGGCTCACTGCAACCTCCACCTCCCGGTTCAAGCGATTCTCCTGCCTCAGCCTCCCAAAGTGCTGGGATTACAGGTGCCTGCCACCACGCCCAGCTAATTTTTGTATTTTTAGTAGGGACGGAGTTTCACCATGTTGGCCAGGCTAGTCTCAAACTCCTGACCTTAGGTGATCTGCCCACCTCAGCCTCCCAAAGGGCTGGGATTACAGGCGTGAACCACCACGCCCAGCCCCACTAATCTACTTTTTGTTTCTATAGATTTATCTATTCTAGTCTGTAATCCCAGTACTTTGGGAGGCCGAGGTGGGCGGATCACCTGAGGTCAAGAGTTCAAGACCAGCCTGGCCAACAGGGTGAAACCCCATCTCTACTAAAAATACAAAAATTAGCCAGGCGTGGTAGTGCACAACTGTAGTCCCAGCTACTTGGGAGGCTGAGGCAGGAGAATCCCTTGAACCTGGGAGGTGAAGGTTGCAGTGAGCCAAGATCATGCCACTGCACTCCAGCCTGGGTGACAGAGCAAGACTCTGTCTCAAAAAAAAAAAAAAAAAAAAAAAGATTTATCTATTCTAGACATTTCACTAAATGGGATCATACAAACATAGCCTTTTGTGTCTGGTTTCTTTCACTTAGCATAATGTCTTGAAGAGTCTTCCATGTCATAGCATGTATCAGTACCTCATTCCTTTTTATGGGGCCAGGCGTGGTGGCTCATGCCTATAATCCCAACACTTTGGGAGCCGAGGCAGGAGGATTACTTGAGCCCAGGAGTCCAAGACCAGACCACGGGATATAGTGAGACCCCCGTCACTATTAAGAAAAAAAAGGCTGGGCACGGTGGCTCACACCTGTAATCCCAGCACTTTGGGAGGCTGAGGTGGTGGATCACCATCACCTGAGGTCAGGAGTTTGAGGCCAGCCTGGCCAGCACGGTGAAACCCTGTCTCTACTAAAAATACAAAAATTCACCGGGCGTGGTGGCATGCACCTGTAGTCCCAGCTACTCGGGAGGCTGAGGCGGGAGAATGGTGTGAACCCAGGAGGCAGAGCTTGCAGTGAGCCGAGATCGCACCACTGCACTCCAGCCTGGATGACAGAGCGAGACTCCATCTCAAAAAAAAAAAAATTTTTTTTTCCTTTTTTTGGCTGAATAATATTCTATTATATAAATATACCACTTTTTTTTTGAGGCAGGGTCTTGCTCTGTCATCCAGGCTGGGATGCAGTGGCATGACTTCTGCCTCCCAGGTTCAAGCAATTCTCCCACCTCAGCCTCCCAAGTAGCTGGAACTACAGGTGCACGCCACCACACCCAGCTGATTTTTGTATTTTTTTTGTAGAGATGGGGTCTCACTGTGCTACCCAAGCTGGTCTCAAACTTCTGGGCTCAATTGATGCACCCGCCTTGGTCTCCCAAAGTGCTGGGATTACAGGCATGTGCCACTGTGCCTGGACTCCACATTTTGCTTATCCAATCATCAGTTAATGGGCATTTGGGTTGTTTCTACTTTCTGGTTATTATGGATAATGCTGCTATGAACATCTGTGTACACATTTTTGTGTGAACATATGTTTTCAATTCTCTTGGGTATATGGGAGTAGAATTGCTGAGTCATGTGGTTAACTCTGTATAACTTTTTTAAAAACTGCTGAACTATTTTCCAAAGCAGTTATACCCATTTACAATCCCACCAGCAATGAATGAGGGTTCCAATGTATGAGGGTTCTCCACATCCTGGACGACACTAGTTATTGTCTCTCTTTTCTATTATAACCATTCTAGTGGGTTAGTGAAGTGTCATCTCATTGTAGTTTTGATTTGCATTTCCCTAATGACTAATGATGTTGAGCATCTTTTCACGTGCTTATTGGCCTCTGTATATTTCCTGTTTTTTTTGAGACGGACTTTGGCTCTTGTCTCCCAGGCTGGAGTGCAATAGCACAATCTCGGCCCACTGCAACCTTTGCCTCCTGGGTTCAAGCGATTCTCCTGCATCAGCCTCCTGAGTAGCTGGTACTACAGGCGCCCGCCATCACGCCCAGCTAATTTTTGTATTTTTAGTAGAGTCAGGGTTTCACCATGTTAGCCAGGCTGGTCTCGAACGCCTGACCTCAGGTGATCCACCTGCCTCAGGCTCCCAAAGTGCTGGGATTACAAGTGTGTGAGCCACTGCGTCCGGCCTGGCCTCTGTATATTTTCTTTGAAGAGTTGTCCAACCAAATTGTTTGCCTTCTTAATAAATTTTGGTACACACACACACACACACACACACACACAGCACATTCACATCCCATCCCAGATTCACTTCAACGCAATAAACCCGAGACAGCTGTGATTAGCCCTGTTTATCAGATGAAGGAACAGAGGCCCAGAGTAATGCAATGATATGTCCAAGAGCACATAGCTTATGGAGTGCCAAGATTTAGAATTTTATGTTTTTTTCTTTATTTTTCTTTATTTTTATTTTTTTGAGACGGGTTCTCACTCTGTCTCCCAAGCTGGAGTGCAGTGGTGCAATCTTGGCTCACTGCAACCTCCGCTTCCTGGGTTCAAGCGATTCTCCTGCCTTAGCCTTCCGAGTAGCTGGAATTACAGGTGTGCACCACCACACCTAGCTAATTTTTATATTTTCAGTAGAGACAGGGTTTTTCCATGTTGGCCAGGCTGGTGTCGAACTCCTGGCCTCAACTGATCCACCCACCTCGGGCTCCCAAAGTGTTGGGATTACAGGCACGAACCACTGCACCTAGATTTTTTTTTTTTTTTTTTTTTTGAGACAGAGTCACTGTCGCCCAGGCTGGAGTGCAGTGTCGAGATCTCGGCTCACTGCAGGCTCCGCCCCTGGGTTCACGCCATTCTCCTGCCTCAGCCTCCCGAGTAGCTGGGACTACAGGCGCCTGCCATCTCGCCCGGCTAATTTTTTGTATTTTTAGTAGAGACGGGGTTTCACCGTGTTAGCCAGGATGGTCTCAATCTCCTGACCTCATGATCCGCCCGCCTCAGCCTCCCAAAGTGCTGAGATTACAGGCGTGAGCCACCGCGCCCGGCCTGCACCTAGAATTTTATGTATTTAACAAACATTCATATAGTGTTTACTACATGCCAGTCACTGTTAGAAAAGCCCACGAACCCATCTTCCAACAATGTTCCAGTAAAAAGGTTACCACTAGCAGAACTTCCTTAAAGCAATACCTTGTTTCTCTTTTTAAAAAACAACTTTTTTTTCTCCAATCACCAAAGTAATACATGTTTATTGTAGAATAGGAAAAGCACAAAGAAGATGGAGCAGGGATTTTTCTCCCTTGTTTCCCATAGCTCTGATCTGGTTTCTCTGTGATTTGGGATTCGTGTGAACAGGTGATGTGCTGAGGAGCCCGGGACAGGGAATATGTACCTTCAGGAAGTGTCTGTCAAGCAGTTTGTATTCTGATTAACAGGACTTTGAGCACAGGGAATCTGTGGAATTTTTCAGGAGAAGATACACCAGCTGGAATGGAAGTTTGCTTTAGTTTGGGGATTTTTCCAGGACTATCTGGGGTTGCCTGGAACAGGAACTTCCTCACTTACCTGCTCTGTGGCCTCAGGCAAGTCATGGCTTCCTCATCTGGAAAATAGTACTAAGCATCCCCAACTCATCCAGTTGTGGGACACAGTCTTTCCACTTCCAGCAATGTGTGCAGCACTGGAACCCCTGGTTCATTAGCAGAATGTACCCTCCTTCACATGGGGTTTTGGGGCTGAGTTCACTGTTCACAACAGCGCAGTGCCTTGGGAGAGATCTGAGTTCAGATCCTGATTTCATCTTCAAACAGTTGTCAAGTTCCTTTACATATTTCAGCTTCAATTTCTTCATCTGTCCAAAATGTACCTGTGTTACAGGGTAGTTGGGAGGTTTCGACAAAATAATGTATGTAAAATACCTAGCTGGGTGTTTACGCCTAGGAAGTTCTCAGGAAATGTGAACTATTATCATTTATTTCAGGCCTACTTTGTGCCTGGCATCTCAGGGGAGGAAGGCGCAAAAGTGAAAACAAAGCCTGGGTCCTGCCCCCAAGGAGTCTGAAGATTTGTTGATAGGTAGATTAAAGTAAAAGGGTCTTATGCACTGGAGATAGGATCAGAGACGTAAGAAAACTGCCAATTCTTGAGGCTCCTTATAAACCAGGTTCCATGCTGAAAGCTTTATATGCATTATCTATGAGATTTCTTCACAATCCTATGAGGTAAGTGCTATTAGGATTAGAAAATCAAGGATCAAAGATCAGAGAATTTAGGAAATTTTGCCTGGGTCACACAGCTAATAAAGTGTCAGGGCCTGGGTTTGAACCCTGGGATGTCTGACTTCAGATTCTTTGCTCCTTCCACTCCATTTGAGTTGGACCTTGAAGGATGAGTCAGATTTGGGCACATGGGGATGGAGGGGAGGAGGGGCCTGGAGGGGAGGCGGGGCCTGAAGAATAGGAGGATATGGAGCCAGGTAAGCAAAGCCTGGGAGATGGGAAAGTGTAGGGCGTGTACGGCAGAAACTCTGAGGGTTTTGTGTGTGTGTGTGTGTGTGTGTGTGTGTGTGTATGTGTGTGTGTGTGTTTGAGACAGGGTCTCGCTCTGTGACCCAGGCTGGAGTGCAGTGGCACGATCTTGGCTCATTGCAACCTCCACCTCCTGGGTTCAAGCGATTCTCCTGCCTCAGCCTCCCGAGTAGCTGGGATTACAAGCACACACCACCACGCCTGGCTAATTTTTTTTTTTTTTGTATTTTTAGTAGAGACAGGTTTTTGCCATGTTGACCATGCTGATCTCAAGCTCCTGGTCTCAAGTGATCCACCCACCTCGGCCTCCCAAAGTGCTGGGATTACAGGCATGAGCCACCGTGCCCGGCCTGTTTGTTTATTTTGAGACAGTCTTACTGTGTCACCCAGGCTGGAGTGCAGTGACATGATCATGGCTCACTGCAGCCTTGACCTCCCTGGGCTCAGGTGATCCTCCCACCTCAGCCTCCCGAGCAGCTGGGATTACAGGCGTGTGCCACCACGCCCAGCTAATTTTTCTGTATTTTGGAGAGACAGAGTTTTGCCATGTTGCCCAGGCTGGTCTCAAACTCCTGGGCTCAACAGATCTGTCCACCTTGGCCTCCCAAAGTGCTGGGTTCACAGGCATGAACCAATGTGCCCGGCCTGAAACTGCAAGTATTTAGTCTGGTTCCATGTGAGGGCCTCTTCGGGTCCATTTCACATAAACCTTAGCCAAAATATATTAAGTACCTACCATGCACCTGACATTTCTCTAAGGACTTTATAACCAACACCTTACTAAGGCCTCACAGTAAATGGAGAGGTCACTTGTGCCGCCTCCATTTCAAAGATGAGGAAATTGAGACTCAGAATGGTCCAGCAACCTGACCATGATCACAATGCTAGGAATGAATGGGGCAGGAATTCAAGCTCAGGGAGGCAGATTTCAGATCTGTGCCCCACACCTATTGCAAGAATTAGTCAGTTCCCAGGCAGTGAAACTCTAAAGCCAGCCCCAGCTGCCCGAAACTCAACCACAGAGAGCTGGCTCTCAGCCCCTCACTGGCTCCCTTCTTTTCTCCCAGCTCCACCCTGCCACCCCCATTTCCCTCCCTGGCCCTGGGGCCCTGCTGCTTCCCCAAACCTGCTCTGCCACAATTCCTTCCAGGTTCCCTCATCTGTAAAATGGGGATAATAATAGTGTCCGTCTCAGAGCAGTGTTGTGAGGATCAGAGGAGGGGCTCAAGGTGCTTAGAGCCCAGTGTATAGTAGGTTCTCAATAAAAATCAGTGATCATCGCCACCACTGTCATTTAAGTAGTGTCTCTGAAGTAATGTGAAATTGACTGAGTGATAGCATTATCCACATTTGATGGTTGAGGAAATTGTGGTTAAGAGAAGTGAAGCAGCGGCTGTCCAGTGTCACTTAACTAGGAAGTAGAGAGCGGGACTTACTTAATCTGGGCCTCCTGACTTTCTGACTTCAGATCTCATTAACTTCTCCTATTCTTTGCAGCCAGGCAGATGAGTGAATCATAATCAGTATTTATTACCTGCCTTCTGCACTCCAAGCCAGGCCCTAGATGCTAAGGGGCATTCTAGAGAGATCTGACCTAGATTCTTGAAGGAGCATAGAACCTAACTGATAAACAAGGTATGAAAACGAAGCCTTGTTTTGTTGAGGTAGAACACACTAAGGGTCCCAAGAGGGTAAGAGCCATTCTGGCTGAGAGGAAGCAGGCAGGGGAGGCTTCTTGGAGGAGGTGAGATTTAAGCTGGCCCTCAAAGGACCAAAAAGGACCAATGAGATACGTAGACTAGAGTAAAAGGGTCTTATGCACTGGAGATAAGGTCAGAGATGTGACCGGGAGCGGTGACTCACACCTGTAATCCCAGCACTTTGGGAGGCCAAGTAGGGCGGATTGCCTGAGGTCAGGAGTCCGAGACCAGCGTGGCCAACATGGTGAAACCCTGCCTCTACTGAAAATACAAAAATTAGCCAGGCATGGTGGCTGGCGCCTGTAATCCCAGCTACTCGGGAGGCTGAGGCAGGAGACTCACTTGAACCTGAGGCAGGAGAATTGCACCGCTGCACTCCAACCTGGTGACAGAGTGAGACTCTGTCTAAAAAAAAAAAGTCAGAGATATAACAACAGCTGCCAATTCTTGAGGCTCCTTATGATCCAGGTTCTGTGATGAAAGCTTTATATGCATTATCTCATGAGATTTCCTCATGATCATATGAGGTAAGTGCTATTAGGAGGAGAAAATCAAGGATCAAGGATCAGAGAATTTACAAAATTTGCCTTGGTCACACAATGAATAATAAAGTGTCTGGGCCTGGGTTTGAATTCGGGGCTGTTGGCTACAAAGCCTGGGCTCTTAATCATCATGGGTTATTGCCACCTTGGCCTCAACCATCTAATGAGGAATTAAGCTGTGGACTGTCTCTGGAGGGCTTTGAATGCCAAGGCTCAGACTTGCATAAAAATCACACAGCACCAGGCAAGAAATCAGACCTGAAATCTAGCAGCAGCTTCTAGCAACTTTTTACCACTCACTACCCAAGTTTGCTTCTCTGAGCCTCTCTAAACCGGAGTGATGAGGAATGTATTATCAGCAATGAAGGTTTTTGAATGAGGCAGAGAGGCTCTTGTGACAAAAGGATTGTTTAAAAGAAACCTAGAGATGTTCAAACATTTACTGAGTATTGGGTCCTAATAATACAACTGTGAACAAGACAAAGCTCTGCAGTGGGACTCTGACCCTGCTGTGCCCCCAGGCAGCTTGGGAGAGTAGAAGAACCCCTTAACTGGAAAAACAAGGGCTCCAGAGCTGGGACCTGTCCCAGATTCTGTTGCCAGCTCTCAAATCAGGGAATCTCTCTGTATGACCTTGGGCAAGTTACCCAGCCTTTCAGACTGTCAGTCTTTATCATGGGGATCATCATTCCTCTTCCCAGGATTGTTGGAATAAATTAACTAAAACAACGCTTGTAAGGATCTAGCATGGTGCCTGGCATCCTGTAGGCGCTGAATAGATGTTAGTTTTCCCTACAAAGAAGTAGACTAGTTTGCCTCCGTCCCTCACCCCTCTGCCATTAAAGGGAACAGGTTCCTGGCCTTCATTTTAGCAGGAAAGGGGATATGAATGCACATGTGCTAGCTAAGCAACAATGCAAACTAACAAAAGGGCCTGTGGCCTGGGGAATACACTGCTGGGTCTGGGCTCAGGCTGGGACCCCGCGCCAAAATGTTTCCCTTCAATCCCAGGGAATCCGGGCCCATTTCTCGGGGCGCTGTGCACTGCTCTGGCCGCCTCTGCACTGTGAATCCCGGAACCACCCTCTGTCTCCGTCTCGCCGGCTGCTAACTAGCGCGGCCGGCGGCTGGCGGCACCAACAGCAGGTGTGGCTGCCCCTTTAAGCAGCGAAGCTAGTGTTGCAATCGCCGCCTCGAGGACGCGTTCTTTCCGGGGGGGGGGGGGGGGGTGGAGCCTGTACTGTCGCAGCAGCCAACCGGAGCGCGGCATTTTCCGCGGGAGATCCGAATTTCGCGGCACGACGTTTGGCGCTAAAAAAAAAAAAAAAAGAAGAAAAAAAAGAGGCAGAGAAAGACTCAAGGACTAGAGAGCGAGCCGCAAGGAAGTCGGTGCAGTCGAGACCCCCCTCCCCATCCCAGCGCATCGCGTCTCCGCCGAGCTTGAGGGCACGCCGGGGACCCCTCCCCAGAGCCGGCCGGACCCCAGGTGCCGAGGCCTTGGGGAGCGCGGGGCGTCCCGGGTCGCGGTGCCCTCGGGACGAGACAGCCCCTGGCAGTGCCACCACCGCAGCCGCCGGGCGATCTCCAAGCGGCGATCTCTAAGCGCTGCTCTCTGCTCGGCCGCGGGCCAGGAGGGGAGGGTCCGGCCTTGCCCCGCAGGCGTCCATTGGCGGCTTCCCCCGGCCTCCGCGCCATGCCGCGGGCCGTGTGAAAGGCGGCAGCACCGGAACCCGCAGGTGTCCGCGGGCGCGCCAAGCCCTTTTGGGTAGGGGGCGCCTTACTCGCTATGCTGCAAGGGCCCCGGGCCTTGGCTTCGGCCGCTGGGCAGACCCCGAAGGTGGTGCCCGCGATGAGCCCCACAGAGCTGTGGCCATCCGGCCTCAGCAGCCCCCAGCTCTGCCCAGCTACTGCTACCTACTACACACCGCTGTACCCGCAGACGGCGCCTCCCGCAGCGGCGCCAGGCACCTGCCTCGACGCCACTCCCCACGGACCCGAGGGCCAAGTTGTGCGATGCCTGCCGGCAGGCCGGCTGCCGGTAATGCTGGGGGCCCCCACCGCTTCCCCCTATGCTTTTCCAGGTGTGGGAAAGGAGGGAGGGGTGCCTGAGATCCAGTTTGAGTGGAGCAGGTAGAGTTTTGGGAAGAGGGAAGATGAGCTTTCAGTTTCCAGGACCCAGTGCCCCCAATATCTGAGTAGAAGACCCCTTCATTTTCAGACTTTGGATGAAATAATCTCATCCATTCTAGTGGAGTGGAATGAGCACTGGATTGCGAGTCTGGAGGGAGACCCAACTCACTACTCCCAGTGCACTGTGTGACCTTGGGGAAGTCCATGCAGCCAGCGTTGCCGCCATTCATTCATTACTTCATTGTTTGGCCAGAAACCAGTACTGGGTGCCTGCTATTGTCCAGGCAAAGAGTATGGCCTGGGGACACTGTGGGACTTTGGTAAGACAGAGGGATAGGTCTAGTGGGTCTCTCACATCCAATCTGCCATGGACAGACTCCAAATTGTCCAGCCAGCTCCTGAGATAGCCCCAAGTATCTGCCCTAGGTCCTCCCCCAGGCCCAGTCTTCCCTCCCAGACAGCCATGTAGCAGATACAAATGTGGGCAGCCCCCTTGGGTTCTGTTCAGATTGGCTGCTCTCTCCTCAAGCTCCCAGGCTCGTTGCCAGAGAGGGCCCAAAGTGTAGTGGCACCAGGCTGCCTGCTGACCTGGGCTCAGGGTGTGTTTTGTGGGAGTGGAATTCCTGGAGCCCGTGTGAATCAAAACAACTTTAGGGTGGGGGGTGGAGTGGGAAAAGCCTGGGGGAGTGGAGGTGGTGGTGGTTGAGGAGCCTGGTTTCTGGTGTGACTCTGCCACTAATTCTCTGTGTGTCCTTGGACAAGTCTTGGACCCAGTCTGGGCTTCAGTGTTCTCTCCTTCACAATGCGTGTGTGCACAGGGTGGCTGTGGGGCTAGCTCTTCTCAGCCACATTCAGCTCCAGGTCCTGGGTTTTGGAAGCAGGCTCCAGGGAGAGGAAGGGGGTGTTGTAGGTTTGCTTAGTTGTGAGTTTGGTGAATAAGTTCGGGTACAGGGATAAGACCACCCCCCACTGCCCCAGAGGCATCTGGTCAGACCTGTGCTAGTCAGCAAGCACGGATGCCCAGCCAGCTCTGGATGCAGGCAGAGCCACCACTCCCTGCCAGTGGACTCAGGCTTTGCCCATGTTCAAAACGTTAACCTTCCTGGAGACCCTTCCTGCACATGATTTCTAACTAGGAGGGCAGTGGGCAGGAATGGTATTATCCCCATTTTACAGGTTAAGCAACCGAGGATAACTGGGATTGGGTATCTTGTGTTCAGTGTTTTATAGCCTAAAACATCTTTGTAGTTCGTGAAATAGATGGCATTAATAGCTCCATGTTACAGGGGGAAACTGAGGCTCAGAGAGGGGATGTGACCTAAGGTCAGAGATGGGGATGGGGTAGAGTGATGGGACTCACAAGGCAGTCAGCTCTTCTGTCTTTTATTTTTTATTTTTTGTAGAGACAGGGGTCTCCCTATGTTCCCCAGGCTGGTCTCAAACTCCTGGGCTCAAGCAATCCTCTTGCCTCAGCCTCCCAAAGTGCTGGGATTACAGGCATGAGCTAGCTACTCTAATGCACCTGGTCAGGCAGCAGGCTCTTCTCTATGTAGCCTTGACTTTTTTTAATACTGCCTAACTTAGGAGCTGAGCTCCCCCCAGGGAAGGGAGCTTTGCGGCAGGCCCACTCTCCTCTGGCCAGCTGCTTTCAGACTGGAAGTTTCAGTAACAGCTGTGGTTTTACACTGCTTTGAACCCTCCCAGAGGAGCCCAAGTACATCTGTCTGTACCTCCCTCCCAGAAGGGCTCAGTGATCTTAGCAAGAAGGTCTCTCTTTTACTGAGTGCCTCTCGTGTGCCAGACACTGCTTGGCACTCTTCACGTTCATTATCTTGGTCAGGATGTCCAGAATGAGGCACCTTGCAGATAAGGAAACTGAGCAAAGAAAGGAAGTCACTTGCCTGGGTCACAAGTGAAGAAGCAGGGGAGTCTCCTTGCAGCAGACCACCCTAAAGCCCTGCCAGGCCCAGAGCTCCCGCTCCTGTCAATCCCCAGATGCCCGGGGCCCAGCCCCGTGGGCAGGCCTGCCCTCTGCTTACTCATTTTACAAGGGCGTGACCTGGAACAGCTCCAAACCCAACCCTGGGTGTGGCCGCTTGCTTTGTGGCCGGGCTGCAAAGTGCAGGGTGAGCAGGATTTGTTGTGGAGCTTCTGTTTAAAGGGACCTCAGGCACTGTCCAAGGATGGCAACCAAGTTCAATGGCAGAATGAAGGCCACAACCCAGATCTCCTGGCTCCCTGTCCAGAGCTCTTTCCAAGTCCTCTGAGGAAGGCTCAGGGAATGCCCCTTTATCGCATGCCTCCTCTGGCCAGGCGCATGGCATCATTCTCTTTCACGCCTGCAGGAAGCTCTGCCCAGGCTGGCTTGCAATAGCGCCATCTCTGCTCACTGCAAACTCCACCTCCCAGGTTCAAATGATTCTCCTGTCTCAGCCTCCCAAGTAGCTGGGATTACTTTTTGTATTTTTAGTAGAGATGGGGTTTCACCATGTTGGCCAGGCTAGCTTCGAACTCCTGACCTCAGGTGATCCACCCGCCTTGGCCTCCCAAAGTGCTGGGATTACAAGCGTGAGCCACCACGCCCGGTCCTCCTTTTCTTTCAATTTGTCTACATTTTCCAGATTTCCTCTTGTGAGGCATGAAAGAAAATAAACATTTTAACACACAACTCTACAAGGCAGGTCAGGTGAGGAGGTGTAGGCTCAGAGAGGCAAGACAGTGAATCCCAGGCTGTTCAGCTACGAAGTGGCAGAGCTGGGATCTGAAAGCAAGGTTCGACCCCTTACATTTGCTCCTACCCCCACCATCTGACTTAGGGCTTAGGAGAGACCAGGCTCCACTCTGCGTGACCTTGGGCAAGTCAATTCCTCTTCCCCAAGTCCCAGTTTCCTCACCGTGGTGCCCGTAAGGGGGTTGTGCCTGGTGATCTCTGACCCTCTGCACTTCTGCAGCTGCCTGAGGAAGGAGCTGTACTCTTCTCCATAGGGGTTGGCAGGGTGGGCTTGCGTCCTGACCAGGCCTTGAAGATCCAGCCAAAGGGGCTGCCTAAGAGCGTCCAGGATAGGGCTAAGCTGGCCTCTGGCTGTGGCCATAGCCTTTGCTCTCCTCCCCTCATCGCAGTCTCTTTTCAGCTCACCCTTGAACTTTCCCCTTTTCCCACTGGTGCTCCCCATACATCAGTGCTAGCAGCTCCCTGGTGGGGGCACTCCCTATGGGCAAAGCGCTTTGCTGCACTATCTCACTGAATCCTCAGCATAGGTGGAGACAATGATGCCCATTTTATAGGTGACTTGACGTCAACTGATTTCCCAGCTAAGAAGGGGAAGGCCTAGATGCAAAGCCAGGCCAGTCTGACTCCAAGACCTGTGCTCAGCCTCACCTTGATGCTGATCCTCCTGGGCTTGTCCTCTGCCACCTGTGTTCTGCAGGTTCAGCCCAAGCCATAGGCTGACTTTCCTCTGGGCACTGTCCAAAGGTGTCAGGGAGGTATCCTTAGGGGGACACTTGCCGCATTGGGACCCTGGGAGTGCAGAATAAGGGTGAAGGAGAGTGAGAAAAGAGAGAAGGCTGTGTGTGTGTGTGTGTGTGTGTGTGTGTGCAAGTACATGCAGTGATGGGGGCAGGTGGGCGTAGCCCAGGCCTTGGCCCAAATTCTAGCAAATCCTGGGGCAGCGTGTGTGGGATGCAGCTGAGGCAGCCTGGTACATGGCTTTGCAGTCAGACAGGCCTGGGTTCAAACCCTGGCTCCGGCCTTTGTGTGACCTTGGGCATGTGCTTACTCTCTGTAAGTCTCCATTTTTTGGCTTCCGAGAGCCAGTGCCAATACTGATGTGGTAGGACTGTTACGAGCATGTAACAGGCTCAGCATAGATATTCTGTTCAAGGTCTTCCTGGGATTCTTTCTGGTTTGTTCTGGCGGGGGAGACAGGTGTGGCTGGGGAGGCTCTGGGCTGCCCCACCTCTGCCTCAGGTAGAACTCCACCTGAGCTTCCCTTCCTCTCCCTGCCCTTGGTGCTCCTGCTGGGGGATATATGAAGAATACTAGGATGTGCAGCCTTGGTCAGGATTGATGGAGGCCTCGGAGCTCCCCAAGCCTCAATTACTTCAGCTGTACAATGGGGATTAGTGGTATGGGAAGATTCAGTGAAGTGATGAATGTTGGGGCGTGGTTCAGGGCATGTGGAAGGTCTCAGCCAGTGACTGGCCCTTTCTCTAGTGACAGCATGGGGCTAAATCTCTAGAATATAGGATTTCACCAGTTAGGAAGGTAGAAAAGGAATATTCAAGAGACTCATTCAAGAATGAGCAGTAAAGTGTTTGGATGGTTTCCAGGTCTCGGTAGTGGTGGAAAGCAAGAGTGTTATATCCAGGCTCCTCAAACCAAGGAGCAGGGCTCCTCACATCAGCCCAGGAAGACTTCCTGGAGGGGGCAGGAGTGGGGGAAGGGGAACTGACAGCAGGAAGAGCTGTCACCACCTCCAACACCTGTCAGCCCAGCTGTGCTCAGCAGCAGTTAGAAGTCTCAGCCCTGCTGAGCATGACCTCACCACTAAATGTTAAAATAGGCCTCTCTGTCCAAGCCAGGGTAGGGGTGTCTGGGGGATCCAGAGTTGGAAAGAGGAAAGAAATGGGCTCGATGACCCCCAGAAGGATGTATGAAGGAAGAGGTCGAGATTAGATTTTAGGGAAGGGACTCTGTGTTTCCTGAACACCTACTGTGTGCTGAGACACAGGCTGAGAACTTTACAGAAGTTAAAGGAGCAGGAGCTAACCAGGGTCTTTCTCCCACATGCAGACAGGGAGCTAAATAAGTGCTTCAAAGGGAAGCCACGCGGGGATTAATTCAGCCTGTTCCAGGGTTTTTAAGATGCAGAGGCTGCCCAGGTAGTGCCTTCCTTGAATCCTTACAATAGCCCCTTGAGGTAGGCATTTTTACCCCATTTACAGAGGAAGAAACTGAGGCTCCTTAGATGTGTAACATTTCCCCCAACTTGTACCGTGAGCCTGCGAAGGAGCTGGAGATTCAAGCATGGGTCTCTGACCTATGTCCCAGTGTCCCAGTGCCCCAGCTCTGCCCCTGCCCTGCCCCTGCCCAGCCCTAACCAGGAGAGAGGCCCTTTCCGGGCCAGTGCAGCTCTGGGCCTAATTGGGGCCCGGGTGGCAACAGGGTGGAGAGGAGCAGATGGGTCTGTGGTTTGATTTCCCCAGCAGGTGTTTCCCAAGCTTGGCGGGAACAGAAAGGGGGAGCTGGAGGGGGGGGGTGGCCTCAGCTGCTTGTCCTTAAGACACGGGAAGGATTCATTGTCTGCCCCTCTCGGCAAAGAAAGAATGGCAAATGCAGTCTATTCAGGAGGCCCTGGGGCCCTCAAGCTGGAGCCCAAACATGGGGGTGGGGATGTTTGCACTGCTTCCCACTGTGGGCACCTCCCTGGGTTGTGGCACTGAGCCAGGAAGTCCCCTGGGTCTGGGCGGATGCCCAGCCCCGCCCTGATAAGGACCAGCTGTGGGACTGTGATGGGCACTCAGTCTAGCTGGGCCAGCTGCTTCTGTAGGGGGGCCCTTTCCCCACCCTGATGTGGTTTAGGCCCCACCCACTGCTTCCTCCTGGTATCATCCTCTGGGTGTGGTGGGGTGAGGAGCAGGTATAGGAGCCGGCTTAGGGCCCGTGGTTAAGGAGCTCTGAGCCCTTGGCCAGACTGGCTTTGGTAGGGTCTCAAGTGCCTGGGCCTCAGAGGATGGGAGTTTTATTTGCCCTTCAGAAAACAAGATTTCCCCTGAAAGCTCACTTCTCAGGTCACTGATGTTTTCCTATCAAGTACAGCAGTGCTTCACCAGGACTGGCGGTAAACTGAGGCACAGAGGTGGCTGCTAAGTGGCTTCATTGCTTTGGCCCCACATCAGGGAAAGGCTAAAGGAGGAATGATTCTCAAACTCTGCCTCTCTCTCCCCCTTTTCTCCAAGGCCAAAAGGAAGCTGGATCTGGAGGGGATTGGGAGGCCCGTCGTCCCTGAGTTCCCAACCCCCAAGGGGAAGTGCATCAGAGTGGATGGCCTCCCCAGCCCCAAAAGTAAGCAGTGCTGATGGGGCCTCTGGGGTGGGGTGGGGCAGGGGCAGAGGGCAGTGCCCTGCCCAATCACTGGTAGTCATATTTGGATCACTTTCCAGTTTACAAAAGCTTCCTGCGTATTTTATTATTTGATCCTGCCAGGTAGGTAGGCTTGTCTGTCTTTACTAATCAGGCAACTTGAGACTCAGAGAGCTTGAGTGACTTGCCCATAGTCTCAGAGTGGAGTCAGGACTAGAGCCTGGACATGTAAATCTTGCATTACTTCTGTGTTTTTTTTTGTTGTTGTTGTTGTTGTTGTTGTTGTTGTTGTGAGACAGGTCTCGCTCTGTCACCAAATGTGGATTGCAGTGGTGCCATCTTGGCTCCCTGCAACCTCCACCTCTGGGGTTCAAGCAACTCTCTCACCTCAGCCTCCCAGGTAGCTGGGACTACAGGTACATGCCACCATCCCTGCCTAATTTTTGTATTTTTAGTAGAGACACAGTTTCACCATGTTGGCCAGGCTGGTCTTAAACTCCTGACCTCAAATGATCCACCCGCCTCGGCCTCCCAAAGTGGTGGGATTACAGGCGTGAGCCACCATGCCTGGCCAGTCTCGCACTACTTCTACCATACCATGTACTGCTCTCATGATCTAAACTCAATGACCAGTGTTTTATTTGGGAATTTATTATTTTTAAAACGTTTTAATGTTTAGGTCAAGGTAAATTTTTCTAAATCAGAAGAGCAGGGGCTAACCAGGGTCTTTCTCCCACATGCAGACAAGGAGCTGAATAAGTGATTCAAAGGGAAGGGAAGCACAGATTAATCCAGTCTCTGCCACCCCAAAGGTTTTTAAGATCCAGAGGCTGCCCAGGTGGTGCCTTCCTAAAGCTAAGTTGGAGGGGGTTGCTGCCTCTTGATATTTTCAGTCAATATCCTGGATAGGCTGAGCGTGGTGGCTCACACCTATAATCCCAGCACTTTGGGAGGCCAAGGTGGGCAGATAACCTGAGGTCAGGAGTTCCAGACCAGCCTGGCCAACGTGGTGAAACCCCGTCTATACTAAAAATACAAAAATTAGCCGGGTGTGGTGGCGCATGCCTGTAATCCCAGCTACTCAGGAGGCCAAGGCAGGAGAATCACTTGAACCTGGGAGGCAGGTTGCAGTGAGCCAAGATCGCACCACTGCACTCCACTCCAGCCTGGGAGAGAGAGTGAGACTCCATCTCCAAAAAAAAAAAAAAATCCTGGTTAGAGCAGGAGTTAAAGCAACTGTGTTTGGGAGGAACACTAGTTTTGGGGGTCCAGGTAGGATTCTGCTCCGACCTGACAGGTCACTCCTGTGAACCTTAGTTGTTGTGAACCTTAGTTGTCTTGTGTAAAAGAAGACACAGCTAGATCAGGAATGGCAAGAAAGTTTCCTCTACATTTGATTGGTCAAGGCTGCCCAGAGCACTGTCTTGAAGGATCCTGAGGCTCATGATAACTGGTCCTCCTCCAGAGGAACCTAAGACTCTAAAATTCAGGTTCCAGAATTACTGGATTGGCCACTAACTTGCTATATGACTTGGAAGTCACTCGATTACAAAAGTCCCCTCGTGGTTTAAGATGCTGCAGCTGAGATGTGGTCTTGCAACATCAACCTCATTGAGAAAGGGACCTTTCTCATGAACCTCCCCGACTTGATGTTACAGGACCGATTTTTCTCAGATAATCATTGTGATTCACATGGGAAGAAAAAGCAAGTGTGTGTCTATAAAAATGCTCTTAAATCCAGGCTTATCATTTCTACCCTATTCTAATTCCAAACTCCGGACATTTAAGTGGCAGGATAGGGTAATGGTTAAGGAAAACTCTGGAGTCAGACTGCCTGGATTTGAATTCCAGCTTTGCCACTTTCTAGCTGAGTGAGCTGAGCAAATTACTTAAACTGTGCCTCAGTATTCTCATCTATAAAATGGGGATGATTGTACAGCAACCCTTACAGGGTGTTGTAGGGCTTAAATGTGTTCGTACATGGAAAGCACTTAGAACAGTGACAGTAGTTGTGGGTGGTGGTCTGGCAGCCCTAAGCTGTGGTGGAAATGTGCATTTAACCAGGAGTCAGGACACTAGGCTTCCAACACTGCCCATTGGCCGTGAGACCTTAAGCAAGTCACCTTCCCTCTTAGGTATCAGGTTCCCTGTCTGGACAGTGGTGGTGATGGATGCCCTGGCTCACACTGCTTTGTAAACTGGAAAGTGGGTGGTGAAAGGTGGTACTTAATGAGCCTAGGTCAATGGACGAGGGTCCTGGGCGGGCCCTCCCCTCCCTGAGCTGTGACTGGGTCCCTTTCTTCTTCAGCCCCCAAATCCCCCGGGGAGAAGACTCGGTATGACACTTCGCTGGGGCTGCTCACCAAGAAGTTCATTTACCTCCTGAGCGAGTCAGAGGATGGGGTCCTGGACCTGAACTGGGCCGCTGAGGTGCTGGACGTGCAGAAGCGGCGCATCTATGACATCACCAACGTGCTGGAAGGCATCCAGCTCATCCGCAAGAAGGCCAAGAACAACATCCAGTGGGTGTGAGTGCCTGGGCGGCCAGTGGTACCCTCCAATGGGTACTTGTGCTGTGGGCGGAGCCAGAGGCAATAGCCAGTGGGTGTGAGTGGCAGGGGCGGGGCTGAGAGCAACATCCAATGGGCACAAGGGCTGAGGCGGACCAAGAGCAACATCCAATAGGCTTATTGCTGGGGGTAGAGCCAATGTATGGTGAGGAAGAGCGCCGTGTACCTGCTGAAGTAATCGGAGAACGTGATGCGGGGCAGAGTGGAGAATGACATCTGGGAGGTGTAAAGGCCAAAGGGAACCTCAGATTCTTCCTCTTGAGTCAGAGATCCCAATATCCACTTCTTCTAGCTTAGGGCAGTCCCCTGGGAGCTAAGTAGGGGGATCCCGGACTCCTTCCAGATCTGAGATAGGAGTACTCCAGCCTCCTCTCTCCATTTCTACAGGGTTTAAAGAGCTGACCTATAGCCCTTGGCATAAATCCTAAGAGAAACCAGGCAGGGGAGGGAGTCAGGACTGAGGCTACTCCAGTTGGAGGAGGCTGGGGCATAGGGATGAACAGAGTCGAGAGCCCCTCAGAAATGGGGTTCAGGTCTTGACTTGTTTTTTCTCCCAAGCCCAACCCCCAAACCTCTGGTTCCAATCCCTGGTAGCTCCCTGAGAGACAGGCATGACCACTGATTTCCACAACCCAGGGAAGCACCCTCATAGACTATTTTTTGAATGACCTTGTTCTGGAGTTTCACCCACAGACTGACACTGGGGGGCTGCTCTGTTCCCAGAGGCAGGGGAATGTTTGAAGACCCCACCAGACCTGGGAAGCAGCAACAGCTGGGGCAGGAGCTGAAGGAGCTGATGAACACGGAGCAGGCCTTGGACCAGCTCATCCAGAGCTGCTCTCTGAGCTTCAAGCACCTGACTGAGGACAAGGCCAACAAGAGATATCCTCCTTGGTTGGGGGAAGGTGTCAGGGAGCAGGAACCTGTTGCATGTTTATATCTATCCTGAGTTGATTCAGTAACTTACCCTAAGGGTCTGGCATCTGTTTCTTCCTTCCTGGGTGGCTTTTCTTCTCAAGTCTATTTTTAAAATTATTTATTTATTTTTTTTAGAGACAAGGACTCATTCCGTCATCCAGGCTGTAGTACAATGGCATGATCATAGCTCGCTATAGCCTCGCCCTCCTGGGTTCAAGTGATCCTCCCACCGCAGCCTCCTGAATAGCTGGAACTACAGTCATGTGCCACCATGCCTGGCTAATTCTTTATTTTTTGTATAGACAGGGTCTCGCTTTGTTGCCCAGGCTGGTCTCTAACTCTTGGCTTCAGTCGATCCTCCTGCCTCAGTCTCCCAAAGTGCTGAGATTACAGGCATGAGTCACTGTGCCTGGCCTCAAGTTTATTAAAGGTATTTTTTCATTATTGAAAATAAGCCAAGTAAATTTCTTTAAATCTGGAAAACGGAGAAAAAGAATGATGAGCTGCCACCTTAACATAGCCATTGTTCTTGAACTGCACACAGAATGTGTTTTATTTCAATATAGTTGTAATGTAGTTGTGTGCCTGCTGAACATAGCTTTTTTTTTTTTTTTTTTTTTTTTTTTTTTTTTTGAGACAGAGTCTCACTCTTGCCCAGGATGGAGTGCAGTGGCACAATCTCGGCTCGCTGCAACCTCCACCTCCTGGGTTCTAGTGACTCTCCTGCCTCAGCCTCCTAAGTAGCTGGGATTACAGGTGCCCGCCACCATGCCTGGCTAATTTTTTTTTTTTTTTTTTGAGATGGAGTCTTACTATTGCTGCCCAGGCTGGAGTGCAGTGCCATGATCTTGGCTCACTGCAACCTCTGCCCCCTGGGTTCAAGCGATTCTCCTGCCTCAGCCTTCCAAGTAGCTGAGATTACAGGCGCCTGCCACCACACCCGGCTAATTTTTGTATTTTATGTAGAGACGGGGTTTCACCATGTTGGTCAGGCTGGTCTCGAACTCCTGACCTCAGGTGATCCACCCACCTCAGCCTTCGTAAGTGCTAGGGTTACAGGAGTGAGATACCGCACCCGGCCTTCACACCCAGCTGATTTTTGTATTTTTAGTGGAGATGGAGTTTCACCATGTTGGCCAGGCTGGTCTTGAATTCCTGACCTCAAGTTATCCACCCGCCTCAGCCTCCCAAAGTGCTAGGATTACAGGCATGAGCCGCCGCGTTCGGCCGAATATCTTTATACATAGAATGCTTTCCCATATTTTTACTTGTTTCCTAGGTCAGATCCCTAGGATTGAAATGATGAGGTCAAAGAGCATGGACTTTGCTAAGGCTCTTTCATACATTTTCCAAAATCATTTCATATCTAATTGGTTTTGGATCTGACCTTGTATTTTTGGAAGGATGCTAGGCATTGTGAGAAATATAAAGAAATAAAACACATCTTCCTGCCTTCTCAGAGCTAATGATCTAGTTTGAGAGATGAAGCCTTTACATAAGGCAACATTTTTTATGATTTATAATGTAAGGCAACATTTTTTATGATTTATATTCCCATTTGCTTTCCAAAGGGATCTAAGGTAGCTTATGAGATTAACAGGTTACAGATTGTATTATTTCTAAGTTGTACAAGGAGTGAGAAAGTAATGTTCAGAGGCTTAGGAGAGGTGGGTGAAGGTGCTCCCTGGCAGGTTTGGGGTTTGAATTTTGACCAGACAGTCACTTTTCTTGACTCTCCTGCCCTACGCTGGCCTATGTGACTTACCAGGATATCCGTGCTGTTGGCAACTTTAAGGAGCAGACAGTGATTGCCGTCAAGGCCCCTCCGCAGACGAGACTGGAAGTGCCCGACAGGACTGAGGTGAGAGGGGAAATATTTGGTGGAGAGCAGGGTTGAGACCCTGCCAGGGAGCGTTCCAGGCGGCTCTGCAGACTCTGTCCCTGGCACTGCCTAGCCCCATGCTTTGCAGGCCCATTGTGGTGTCCATGGCAATATTGGTGGCCTTCAAGCTTGGGCAGAAATGGCAGAAGCTGGAAAGGGCAACGGAGACTGAGTAGTGGCCTGAGAAAATCTCTGTTCCTGGTTTCTTTCTGCATCCCACCAGCCCTGGGTTCCTGCGCACATGCACACTCATGCCCACGTATGACGGTGTCAATACTCATGAAAATCCTTTCATGCTGACCGTGCTTTCCCAGGTTAAAGACCAAAATTCCTGACACTCCCTATGAGGCTTCGGTGCTCTGAGACCCCAGCTGACGTTGCCAACCTCCTTTTCCCCGCTGCCCCATCTGTCTTTGTTTTGGCCACACTGACCTGTCTGCAGTTTCCCCATTGCACTAAGCTCATTCCTAGTATGAGATCTTCTGTTTTGTTTGATTTATTTATTTATTTATTTATTTATTTTTGAGACAGAGTCTCACTCTGTTGCCCAGGCTGGAGTGCAGTGACACAATCTTGGCTGACTGCAATCTCCGCCTCCTGGGTTGAAGCGATTCTCCTGCCTCAGCCTCCCAAGTAGCTGAGATTACAGATGCCCGCCACTACTCCCGGCTAAGTTTTGTATTTTTTTTTTAGTAGAGATGGGGTTTCACCATGTTGGTCAGGCTGGTCTTGAACTCCTGACCTCATGATCCACCTGCCTCGGCCTCCCAAAGTGCTGGGATTACAGGCATGAGCCACCACACTCAACCTATTTGATTTTTTTTAAGACAGCGTCTTGCTCTGTCACCCAGGCTGGAGTGCAGTGGCATGATCTCAGCTCACTGCAACCTCTGCCTCCCGGGTTCAAGCCATCCTCCCACCTCACCCTCCTGAGTAGCTGGGACCACAGGTGCATGCCACCATGCCTAGCACATTTTTTGTTTTTTTTGTAGAGACGAGGTTTTGCCACGTTGTCCAGGCTGGTCTTGAACTTCGGCATAGAAGTGATTTGCCCGCCTTGGCCTCCCAAAGTGCTGGGATTATAGGCGTGAACCACCGCACCTAGCCGTGCAAGACCCTCATACATGCTCTTCCCCTCGAGCTGAAATGTTCTTCCCTCTCTGCCTGATTTACCGCTATTCATCCTACAGGTCTCAACTCAAATGTCACTTCCTCAAGGAAGCCTTCTCTGATTACCTCCAGACTTCATAAACACCTGTGCTTTTCCGCTGCCTTTAATTTAATCTCCATTTGCTGAGGTATATTTGGCATGATTACACGATTGCATTCTGCTTCATCTATTAGGGTGTAAGCTTCACAAGAGAATGTTCTACTCACCTTGTATCCCTTGCCCAGAGCCTGGCATATTATAAGGACTCAAGAAATAATTTATTTAAAGGAAGAACTGGGGCTGCAGAGACAATTAAGGTCCTGCCCCCACCCTTGGAGGAGTTCACGACTTAGTGGGAAAAAGACGCTGTCATTTATAGACTGAAGATGTGCTTTGCAAGCATAGAGAAAGGGTAGTTAGAGGAGGTATCCCAGGTGGGGACAGTTAAACTAGGTCTTAAAGAATGAATAGGGTTTTTGCTAGGTGCAGTTCTGTGTGAGTACAGGCATGGAGACCTGGACATGTGCCTGGATGGCATGCATGTCATCAGTTGTGGCTTAAGTTGCGGTTATGTGGTAGGGAAGGGACAGGGTGGGAAGACCAAATACTAGGACTCTTGGTTACAGGTAACAGAAAGCCAAGTCCAACTGGCTTCAGCGGGAGGTATGGGTAGGGGTGGTGGGAACCAAATGACAAGTCCTGGGGGAGATTCAGAGATTGCTGGCAAGGTTGGATGTAGATGCTCAAACTATGACTTCAGGTCTGTCTCACGCTTTTCATCTCTCTGCTTTTCTCTGTGCTGACTCCATTCCCAGGTGGGCTCTCTCCTTGTGGTGGTAGAGGTAGCTTTTATGATACCAGCTCAGCAACCCCAGTGGGAAGGGGGCTTCCATTTCCCACAAGTCCAGCAAAAGTCCTGGGCCTAGTGCTGGTTGGATCCACCTGAGCCATGGGCCATCCTGAACCAATCATGTCACACTAACTTTCCTGGCTGCGTCACAAGCTCACCCACTGGCATTGGGGAAGGGTGCTGCCCCCCCCCCCCCGCCCCAAAACTAGATGACCTGAGAGTGGGGGGAAGAGTGATTTCCCACAGGAAAATCAAGGTGTTCCCCCTAAAAGAAGTGGGCTTCAGGGCCAGACAGCAGAAACAGCGGAAGTCCACCTTAGTTAGGCCAGATGGAGTTGGTCTCAGTGCCAGCCCAGGGTTTGAGCTTGCACCCATGGATGGCAGCAGCCACGTGCGTCTGTCCATACACACTAAGTGTAAGTGTCCAGCTGCCCAGAGCAATGACCTGGCTTCTCTTCCTCCTCCAGGACAACCTGCAGATATATCTCAAGAGCACCCAAGGGCCCATCGAAGTCTACCTGTGCCCAGAGGAGGTGCAGGAGCCGGACAGTCCTTCCGAGGAGCCTCTCCCCTCTACCTCCACCCTCTGCCCCAGCCCTGACTCTGCCCAGCCCAGCAGCAGCACCGACCCTAGCATCATGGAGCCCACAGCATCCTCAGGTAGGTCCCTTGTCCAGAGGGACAGGAGGTGGGGGGAGAGACCGGCCTTAGTTTTCTCTTCTATATCAATGTTTGTTGAAAACCTCCTGTTTTATCCAGCAGCTGGGGATGTAGTCATCCTACCCCACACATGTGCATTGTACTTAATGCTTTATAAAGCCTCACTAGGAAGGCTGGTGCTGCTCCAGGGCAGAGGAAGGCCTGGATTTGAATCCCAGCCCATCCACTTACCAGCTATGTGACCTTAGACAAGTTACTTAACCTCTCTTGGCCTCAATTTTTCTCATCTGTGAGTTGGGCGCAGTAATTAATACTGTCTAACTCATAGGTTGTTGTGAGATTATATAGCTCACGCCTATAATCCCAGCAGTTTGGGAGACTGAGGCAGGAGAATCATTTGAGACCAGGAGTTCAAGAGCAGCCCGGGCAACATAGGGATACCCTGTCTCTATAAAAAAATTTACAAATTAGCCGAGTGTGGTGGCACACGCCTGTAGTCCAGCTACTCGGGAAGCTGAGGTGGGAGGAACACTTGAGCCATGGAGGTTGAGGCTACAGTGAGCTCTGATCATGCCACTGCACTCCAGCGTGGGCAACAGAGGGAGACCCTGTCTCAAAAATAAAAATAAGAATAAAATTTTAAAAAATAGGCCAGGCGCTGTGGTCCCCACCTATAATCCCAGCACTCTGGGAAGCTGAGGTGGGAGGATCACTTGAGCCCAGGAGTTCAAGACCAGCCTGGGCAACATAATGAGACTCCATCTCTAATAAAAATAAAATAATAAAATTTGCCCATTAAAAAAAAAATAAGACATAGAGGTGATGTGTCTTACCTAAGGTCTCCCAGCTGGGAGGCAACAGAGCTGTGTCTTGAACCTTGGTCTACATACTCCCAGCCCAGTGCTCTCTCCACAAGGCATAGATCAAATCGAAGAAGGGGCTTCTGGCTGGGAGGTGGACGGTATGGTTAAGAGCTGGCTACCCCTGATGGAAGGTAGTACAGGTAAGTTGCCAGGGAGCAAAGTTCCTGAGAGCTTCCCAAGGAGGGTGGGAGTCCAGAAGGAGTACAAATGGAAGCCTGTAAAGGCCCCTCTCCAGAACAGTTTTTGCCTTTTCCTGGATCACACATCCGGCTAGACTGGCAGGATTCTTCAAGGCTATGTAGGCCAGTGTTCCACTTTTTGTCTTCTTAGCAGCAGAATTCTCTTAAGTAGAACCCTAGCGTTTAGACCAAGGTAGAGGTAGAGCTGGGCTGATGGAAGAGGCTTGCTGGAAGGGCTCTGCAGTACACTGGTTGTGTCCATTTCTCTAACTCAGAGGTTAATAAACTATTGCCTGCAGGTCAAATCTGACCTGCTTTTAATGACCCATGAGCTAAGAATGGTTTTACATTTTTAAAGAGTTGTGGGAGAAAGAAAAAGAAGGCAACTATGTGACAGAGACCACAAGTGTCCCACAAAGCCTAAAATACTCTCCAGCTTTTTTTTTTTTTTTTTTTTTTGAGACAGTCTCGCTCCGTCACCAGGCTGGAGTGCAATGGTATGATCTTGGCTCACAGCAACCTCTGCCTCCTGGGTTCAATCAATTCTCCTGCCTCAGCCTCCCAAGTAGCTGGGATTACAGGTGCCCGCCATCACACCCAGCTAATTTTTTTTTTTTTTGTATTTTTAGTAGAGACAGGGTTTCCCCATGTTGGCCAGCCTGGTCTTGAACCCTTGACCTCAGGTGATCCACCTGCCTTGGCTTCCCAAAGTGCTGGGATTACAGGCTCCAGCTCTTTATAGAAGTTTGCTGTCCCCAACTAACTCAACCCTTCTTTTAACACATGAATGAACACAGGCCCAGAGAGGGCAAGTGGCTTCCCTAAGGTCACACAGCAAGTTGATGGCAGAGCTGGGACCAGAGCCCAGCCTCCCAACTCTTCTCTAATGATCTCTCCTGTGTCTGTCAGGCCTCATCAGGGACCAGAGCTTCTCCCTGTGCTAGCCATCTGTCCCTTGGGACACCTCCCCAGTGCCTATCTCCCATCCCAGACCTCTGCCCCACCCTCTGGTCCATCCTCCTCCTGCTGTGCCTCCTCACTCAAGTGTCAGCATGCGCATAGCCCTCCGAAGCTGGAACCACCTTCGCTTCAGTTGTCCTCTGAGACCTTGGGTGGAGGTGGCAGATCCCAAAGCATAAACAAGGGTGTGAAGTTGTTTTTTTTTTTTTAAGACAGAGTCTCACTCTATCACCCAGGCTGGAGTGCAGTGGCACAATCTTGGCTCACTGCAACCTCCGCCTCCCAAGTTCAAGCAATTCTCCTGCCTCAGCCTCCCGAGTAGCTAGGAGTACAGGTACATGCCACCATGCCCGGCTAATTTTTGTATTTTCAGTAGAGACAGGGTTTCACCATGTTGGCCAGGCTGGTCTCGAACTCCTGATCTCAGGTGATCCACCCACCTCAGCTTCCCAAAGTGCTGGGATTACAGGTGTGAGCCACCGAGCCCAGCCGGGTGTGAAGTTTTTACCTGAGTTTTACAAATCAAGATCCTGAAGCCCAGAGAGGAGCAGAGGCTTACACAGCAGTCTGGTGGGGCCAGCTCTCATGTCATGGCTGTCCCCACGACCCTTGTCACATGGCCTCATAGTATTATCCCTGCTGAAGGGAGGAGGAGGAAGTTTTCCTGGTCTTGGCTCACTGCAACCTCCGCCTCCCAGGTTCAAGGGATTCTCCTGCACAGACACACACACACACACACACACACACACACACACACACACACACACACATGTTCCGTGCTGTGTTCTGAAATAGTATCATTTTGAGGTCTGAGTGCCAGAAGCCATGTAAGAGAGGAAGCCACTACAGTCTTGGGACCTGGGTCCTGGCCCTGGTTCTGCATTACCAGGGGAAGTGTTCTCTGCAGCCTCAGTTTCCCTCATCTGTAATGGAAGGGGTTTCAACAACATCATCTCTGACATTTCTCCAGGCTCTGACATTCTGAGATACACCTAAATGTAGCTGATGGCACAGGATTTGAAATTGGGAGACCTGTGTTCAAGCCTGTATCTCACTTCTTAGTGACTTGGTGACTGTGAGTGAATCACTTTAACCCCCCAAAGCCCCAGTTCCCACATCTCTCAAATGGGGACACTTGAAATTTCCTCATGAATATTGAATGGGTTATAGAAGATGACATGGCATAAATGTGATTTAAAAAAAAAAAAAAAAAACTTATGTGGCCAGCCGCGGTGGCACACACCTGTAATCCAGCACTTGGAGAGGCCGAGGGAGGTGGATCACTTGAGGCCAGAAGTTCCAGACCAGCCTGGCCAACACGATGAAACCCCGTCTCTACTACAAATACAAAAATTAGCCGGAGGTGGTGGTGCATGCCTATAATCCCAGTTACTCAGGAGGCTGAGGCACAATAGTCACTTGAACCAGGAAAGCAGACGTTGCAGTGAGCTGAGATTACACCACTGCACTCCAGCCTGACCGACAGAGTGGGACTCTGTCTCAAAAAAAAAAAAAAGCTTGTGTGAAGAGCATCTACTGAGCTGGGCCTGGTGCTGTTTTAGAGACAGAAAAGCAGTAAGAGCCATTCAGAGTGTGGTGGAGAGACACATATTACAAAAGGCGATTCTATTTCTGGACGTGATCAACAGCAGGAGACAGCAAGGTCTGACCTATAATAGAGATTTTCACATGTGTTTTATCAGTTACTGCTTCTAATACTCATCCCTGTTTTTCCACATGAGGAAACAGAGTTCTGGGGTTCCATGGCTGGTGAGAGGAGGCGCTAGAGTCTGAGCCCACATGCTCCCCGCTCCCAAGCCAGGCCTCTGACTGTAACATCAGCAGCGTGCCAAACAAACCTTAGATTTTTTTTTTTAATTAATATACATTTAATGGACTTCTTTGGGCCCTAGTTTTCTCATCTGTAAATAGGGGTAACAGCATGGACTCCCTCAGGGCCATTTGAGTGTGCAAGGAGGCTGAACCACGCCTCGCCTCAAGGGCAGTGCCACCACCTCCCCCATTAGCCTTGGTAAATGGGAGCAATTTTTAACAGGAGCAAGGGCAGCATGCAGACCCGACAAACCAGTGCTTATTTATTTATTTGTTTGTTTATTTATTTATTTTTATTTTGAGACACGAGTCTCGCTCTTGTTGCCCAGGCTGGAGTGCAGTGGCGTGATCTTGCCTCACTACAACCTCCACCTCCTGGGTTCCAATGATTCTCCTTCCTCAGCCTCCCTATTAACTGGGATTACAGATGCCTGCCACCATACCCAGCGAATTTCTGTATTTTTAGTAGAGACGGTGTTTCACCATGTTGGCCAGGCTGGTCTCGAACTCCTGACCTCAGGTGATCTGCCTGCCTCGCCCTCCCAAAGTGCTGGTATTATAGGCATGAGCCACCGCACCAGGCCAAACCAGTGCTTCATATGCACTTACCATGCGGTCCTCTGAGCAACCCTTTGAGGTAGGTAGTGCTATGCTGCCCCATGCAGAGGGGAGAAAATGGATGCTCTAAAACGTGAAGTCCAGAGCAAGACTCCATCTCAAAATAAATTAAATAAATAAATAAAATGTGAAATCACATGCCTATGGGTGCACCACCAGTCTCAACAGGCAGCCTAGCATCCCAGCGCAGTTGTATCTTCAGAATAATACTTGGCTGGGGCTTAAGGAGTGACTGCAATGTGGGGGATTCTGAGCATCAGGATATATGTGGCAGGCAATTTCCAGTGCTTCATTGCATGTCCCTGTATGGGAAATCACCGTCTTAACATCTAAGTGGAAATGAGCAGGTTGGGTGTGGTGGCTCATGTCTGTAATCCCAGCACTTTGGGAGGCTGAGGCAGGAGGATTGCTCGAGCCTGGGAGTTCGAGACCAGCCTGGGCAACAGAGTGAGACCCTGTCTCTACAAAAAAGTTTAAAAATTGGATGGGCATGGTGGCACGCACCAGTGGTCCCAGCTACTCAGGAGGCTGAGGCGAGAGGATTGCTTGAGCCCAGAAGGTTGAGGCTGCAGTGAGCCGTGTTCACCCTACTGCACTCTGTACTCTAGCTTGGGCAAGACCCTGTTTCAAAAAAAAAAAAAGAAGGCGGCGAGAAAGAAATGAGCATAGAGTGCTGGAGAATGGCTACTGAAAGGTCAAATAAGATGAAGCCAGAGAAATGACCATTGGGTTTAGCAGCATGGATGTCACTGGCTCAGGGACATGGTGGGGAGAGACCCCAGACTGGAGTGAGTTGAAGAGAGAATAGTAATAGGGAAGTGGAGACAAGCTGAGGCTACTCTGGAGAAAGTTTACTGTGCAAAGGAGCAGAAAAATGGGCCAGTAATTGGAGAGGGTGATGAGGTCAGGTATAGTTGTGTGTGGTGGAGAGTAGAGGCAACATAACAAAAATTTACCATCATAACTATTTTTAAATGTACAGTTCAGTGGTAATTAATACATTCATAATGTTGTGTAACCATCACCATTCATCTCCATAACTCCTTTCACCTTGTAAAACTGAAACTCTGTACCTATTCCCCATTCCCCTCTCTGCCCAGCCCCTGACAACCACCCTTCTACTCTCTGTCCCTGCGATTTTGACTAAGTATCTAATGTAAGTGGAATCACACAGTATTTGTTTTTTTGTGATTGGCTTATTTCACATAGTTTAATGTCCTCAGGGTTCATCTATGTTGTAGCATGTGTCAGAATTTCTTTCCTTTTTGGCCGGGCACAGTGGCTCAGGCCTGTAATCCCAACACTTTGGAAGGCCGATCACTTGAGGTCAGGAGTTCGAGACCAGCCTGGCCAACATGGTGAAACCCCATCTCTACTAAAAATACACAAATTAGCTGGGTGTGGTGGTGCATGCCTGTAGTCCAGCTACTCGGGAGGCTCAGGTGGGAGAATCGCTTGAACCTGGGAGGCAGAGGTTGCAGTGAACCAAGATCACAACACTGCACTCTAGCCTGGGTGATAGAGTGAGACCCGGTCTCAAAAAAATAAAAAATACATGAAAAGTTGTAGGGTTGGGTGTAGACTCTGGAAGGTGGATTTTGAGAGCACGACAGTCCACCCAGGCTAAGGAGAGAGAAGAAGGGTGCAGTCATCCAGAGAACCGGAAGTCTGTCCTCGCGTGCTGAGGAGTTGGATGCTAGGGCCAGGCGTAACCTTTGTCTGTTTGTCTCCAGTGCCAGCACCAGCGCCAACCCCCCAGCAGGCCCCACCGCCTCCATCCCTGGTCCCCTTGGAGGCTACTGACAGCCTGCTGGAGCTGCCGCACCCACTCCTGCAGCAGACTGAGGACCAGTTCCTGTCCCCGACCCTGGCGTGCAGCTCCCCTCTGATCAGCTTCTCCCCATCCTTGGACCAGGACGACTACCTGTGGGGCTTGGAGGCGGGTGAGGGCATCAGCGATCTCTTCGACTCCTACGACCTTGGGGACCTGTTGATTAATTGAGTGGCCCTGCCTGCCCCCAGCAGCCTGCCCCCGACTCTACCTCCTCACAGACAGGCTGACAGCCCCTCTGCCTGCACAGGGACATTGGACACTAGGTGCTGCCCTCAGGGCATGGGGTCTCCTCGCCTTTCCTGCCCCAGCCGGCAGAAGCTGTGTGGGGAGATATGAATGGTACGGGTGAGGAGTGGATAAGGGGTGGTCCTCACCTTCCTAATGGAAGCTGGGCCTAGGGAGGCCCATCCAGTCTTCTGACTTCTGACCTCTCACAAGAAGGCTGCAGGTGAGGTGGCCAAGTCCAGGGAAAGGCCCTGCTACCTCCTTTTGAGGGGTAATTAGGACCCTCGACGTACCAAGAAGCACATAATGCCTTTGTATTTATTTCAGGTTGAGTTGTTTGTTTGTCCTCCCTGAGTTTTAGCAGGGAGGTTGTTCTAGTTTTTAGTGAGACCTCTGCAGACAGGCCCATCACTGTCCATGTTCCAGGGCAGGTCTGGGTTTCCAAGGGAGGGGCCCAGGCTACATCCTTGGTTTCCCCACTGTGGTGGGGGCTGGGACTCTGAGGGGCTGTCCAGTCTGCTAGAATGCTAATTGCACTTAGGCCTCATGGTTCTAGTAAACGGCAGCTGTGGGCCCTTTTGCCTCTTCCCCTGTTCTTGGCCTCACATCTCCAGCTGAGCTGCCGGTCTTGGCTTCCTGGTCGCCTCTGTCCCAGAGATGGTCCCAGGGAGCCATCCTAGGGCAGGTAGCACTGAGGCTCCTGTGGAAACAGGAGCCACCTGCTCAGGAGACCCCTTTCCTGAGGAAGTCCTTACCTCTCCCCTTGAGATGTAAAAATGGTCCAGCAGAGACAAGCTCCCGTGGAAAACAGACAGGAGCATGGGGGCAGCTGTCATGGCTGTGGCGGGCACTTTTCCTCAGAGTTTCTGCCTTGCGCTGGTCCAGGAGCCATTTTGCACCAAGGACTTGGTAGGCAGAGGCAGCCCCACTGTAAAGAAGGGTCAGATTAAAACAAAAAACTGCCAAAAGCATCCCCTCTGCCCCCCATGTGGCACTGGCATCATTCTCTGCTTCCCTGGGAGGAATTTTTTCACCATGTTATTGAAGGGGATGGTTCATTAAGGACTCCACCCCTCAGAGCTCACTCAGACCCCAAGGACAGAGGTGACTGGGGCTTGGTGACTTGTTCACTCCTTTTTTCCCAGGTATACTGAAGGGGTGACAGAGAGAGGTCTTCATGGCAGACCAGGCCTTCACAGCTAATGGGGAGAGGAACTCATGTTACCTCTGCAGGCCTGGGGTCCTGAGGGGGTCTTTTGGCTTCAGCCTGTTCCCCCAGAGGCTTGATCATCCCACATTGTCCCTTCAGCTCAGCTGCTCTTCTCCCCCACCCACCCTGGGATGTGGGTGCTCTGGGCTGAACCAAGGCTATGACTTCTGGAGAGAGGCTCAGGGGTTGGTCTGAGAGGCCTGCCATCCACCCCTCAGGGAGCTAGGTTTTCTCAGAGGCTCAGCTGGACAGCACTTTTTAGAAAAGTTTGTAGCATTAAGCTGGTTTAAAATATGAAGTTGGTTTTGTTGGATGGCTCCTGAGCTGACTGACTGATGTCTGAAGTTTGAGACGAGGGATTATTTCAGGGTGGGGCCCAATGTGATCTAATGCCCAGCTGGGGACAATTGTGCCTCATCATTTGCTCAAATTCCTGGGCCCCCAAGTTAGCCCCCTCCCAGGAGTGGTCAGCGGGTCACAGCTGCCCCCACTCTATAAGCAGGGCTAATTGTGTACCCTTTGCAGAAATGCTTTTGGTCTCCTACCCAAATACTCACAAGGGTCTTATCAGACGCCCGTCTTAAAGTCCAGCATGCTCAGGGACCCTGTGTAGGATCTCGTTTGTGGTGAGTGGGCTGCTCTGAGGTCTCCACTGGGCTGCCATTTAGCCATGTGCCATCTCTGAAGTCAGAGGTGTTTGACTCCCATTCCTTGGGCTCTGGAGCTTTCCCCAAGAATTACATCAGAGAAAAGGAAGAAGGGGCCTGCAGGACCCATTGGGAATGAGTTTAATACTGAAGTCTGGAATGTAAGCTCATGCCCTAGAGGCCTCTCCATATGGCTGGTCAGGGGAGCTGCCTTCAGGCTTGTGCCCCGTGTGCTCAGCAGCTGCCTCTGTCCCCCTCTACTGTCCCTTTCACACCTTGCCTGGCCAAGGGGCTAGACCTCCCAGGCTAAGCCTCAGATTCAGTGCAGGACACAAGCTCATGCCCCCGTCTTGCCAGTGACACTTGAAGCCTCCCGACTTCCACAGAGTGCTTCAGGACACATTTTGAGTGGTATTTTCTTTTCTTTTTTTCTTCTTTTTTTTTTTTTTTGAGATGGAGTCTCGCTCTGTTGCCCAGGCTGGAGTGCAGTGGCCTGATCTCGGCTCACTGCAACCTCTGCCTCCCAGGTTCAAGCGATTCTTCTGCCTCAGCCTCCAGAGTAGCTGGGACTATAGACATGCACCACCACGCCCGGCTAATTTTGTATTTTTGGTCGAGACGGGGTTTTGCCATGTTAGTCAGGCTGGTCTTGAACTCCTGACCTCAAGTGATCCACCACCTCGGCCTCCCAAAGTGTTGAGATGACAGGCACGAGCCACCAGGCCCAGCCTGAGTGGTATTTTCTTTAGGGACCAGGTAGACTTTAAAACGAGGGTAAGAGAAAAGCCAGTGTCTTTCTGAGGTAAATAATTTCTGCCAGGAAACTTCCCAGCCCCACCAGCAGCCCCCCTAAAAAAATCACTCGTGTCCCCAGGGACTTCTAAAGCTTGGGGCTCCAGGAAATCATCCAGTAGAGTTGGAGATTCAGAGATTTCTTGAAGCCAGGGACATGCTCCTAACTCCTTTCCCATTAAAGGTGTTAGAATAGACCAGAGGGTGTCCCTTTTCCACAGTAATGGGATCGGCTGGTGTGCCTTCAGGGAGGAAGAGGGAGGTGGTCAAGCTTGAAAAACTGGCTTTAGGATGGTTCTGACTTTGTTCTCCCTCCCCAAGTGTTCTCAACCTCCATTCTGCAGTGTTCAGAGTTTTAGGGAAAGGGTTTGGGTGCCCCAGCATCCAGGTGTTGTGTGGCTTAGCGCATGTGAAGTGAAAACCTTCTGGGGTTGTTTGGAAGCAGCTTTCTGGTTCTTGTGATTGTATCCTGAGGTCCCAGAACCCTATTCTCCCACGAGGATCCTCAGTGACCATGGTGGCCACACGCCTGGCCAGCCTGCTGGCTCCTGGGTGAGCTGAAGAACCTTGCCTGTGGCACTTTTCGAGGGTGAGCTGGAACCGAGAGAACATGGTCCCCGTGCTGGGACTCATGCGGGTCATTTCCTGCCGGCCTGGTTTCGCCTGGTCGTGTCTTTATGAGCACCATGTAAGCCTCCTTGTATTGAGATAATTGGGCATTAAACATTAAACTGCAGCTCTGGGCATCTTGTCTTTGTCGTGCTTTCTGAAGCTCATTACCAACTGTGGATCTGGTCCCCGCAGGCTGGGTGTTGGGGGCTGTCCTGGCCAATGCTGGGGGCACATGATTGCCCAGTGGATTTCCCTCCAAGATACAGTCTCTTATCACCATGCCTGCAATCTCACCATTAAGGCACTGAAAAGTTCGCAGCACCCAGATCTAAAATGTGATCAGCCCTGACTCTGTCTCCCCCATCTATTTCCACAGCTTCCTGAAAGGTCTTGCTGCCCACACTCTCCCTCCCACCCTCTACATCAGTGGGTCCAACTGTAGTCCTCAGACCAGCAGCAGCAGTATCACCTGGAAATGTGAGACATGCATATTCAAGACCATGCCTCACGCTGGGTGCGGTGGATCACTTGAAGTTAGGAGTTCAAGACCAGTCTGGCCAGCATGGTGAAACCCCATCTCTGCTAAAAATATAAAAAAATTAGCCGGGCTTGGTGGCGGGTGCCTGTAATCCAAGCTACTGAAGAGGCTGAGGCAGGAGAATCGCTTGAACCCAGGAGGCAGAGGATGCAGTGAGATCACACCACTGCACTCCAGCCTGGGCTACATAGTGAGACTCTGCAAAAAAAAAGGCCAGGTGCAGTGGCTCACGCCTGTAATCCCAACACTTCGAGAGTCCAAGGCGGGCGGATCGCAAGGTCAGGAGATTGAGATCATCCTGGCTAACACAGTGAAACCCCGTCTCTACTAAAAAAATAAAATAAATTAGCGGGCATGGTTGCAGGCGCCTGTAACTCCAGCTACTCAGGAGGCTGAGTCAGGAGAATCACTTTAACCCAGGAGGCAGAGGTTGCAGTGAGCCGAGATGGCGCCATTGCATTCCAGCCTGGGCAACAGAGCGAGACTCCGTCTCAAAAAAAAAAAGAGACCTTGCCTCAGACCTGCTGAATAAGAAACTCATGGGGCGGGACTCAGTATTCTGAGGCTCCATGAACCTCCCAGGTGAGTCTAATGCAGCTGAAGTTTGAGAATGCATGCCTTCTGCTGCCCCAGAGAGATCTTTCTACACTTGATCTTAGCCAAAAGGCTGAGAAGCGATCCCCAGAAAGATCTTTCTAAAATGTAGTTCTAATCGCGTTACTCTCCTGCTTAATGCCCATCCATGGCTCCTCTCTGCCCTCGGGATGAAGTTCTAACCCTTTTGCATGGTATAAATGGCTATTTACAACTTCCAACTGGCTTCCTCTACCTTACCTGTGGCCTCCCTGGCCACCCTTTCCCAGCACCATTGCCACACTGGGCTTCCTTGTCATTTCCTGAAATCGACACGTCTTCCCTCTTCTGGGCCTGTCCACATGCTGTTCCTTCCACCTAGGATGCCCTGTGCTCCATTTGAGCTGAGTGGGTGCCTACTTATTCTTGAAGGCCCAGTTCAAGAATCTTTTTTTGTAGTTTTCTTTCTTTTTTTTTTTTTTTAATTGATCATTCTTGGGTGTTTCTCGCAGAGGGGTATTTGGCAGGGTCATAGGACAATAGTGGAGGGAAGGTCAGCAGATAAACAAGTGAACAAAGGTCTCTGGTTTTCCTAGGCAGAGGACCTGCGGCCTTCCGAAGTGTTTGTGTCCCTGGGTACTTGAGATTAGGGAGTGGTGATGACTCTTAAAGAGCATGCTGCCTTCAAGCATCTGTTTAACAAAGCACATCTTGCACCGCCCTTAATCCATTTAACCCTGAGTGGACGCAGCACATGTTTCAGAGAGCACAGGGTTGGGGGTAAGGTCACAGATCAACAGGATCACAAGGCAGAAGAATTTTTCTTAGTACAGAACAAAATGAAAAGTCTCCCATGTCTACCTCTTTCTACACAGACACGGCAACCATCCGATTTCTCAATCTTTTCCCCACCTTTCCCCTCTTTCTATTCCACAAAACCGCCATTGTCATCATGGCCCGTTCTCAATGAGCTGTTGGGTACACCTCCCAGACCGGGTGGTGGCCGGGCAGAGGGGCTCCTCACTTCCCAGTAGGGGCGGCTGGCCGGGCGGGGAGCTGACCCCCCCACCTCCCTCCGGGACGGGGCTGCTGGCTGGGCAGAGGAGCTCCTCACTTCCCAGTAGGGGCGGCTGGGCAGAGGTGCCCCTCACCTCCCGGACGGGGCGGCTCCCGGGCGGGGGGCTGACCCCCCCACCTCCCTCCCGGACGGGGTGGCTGCCGGGCAGAGGGGCTCCTCACTTCTCAGACGGGGCGGCTGCCGGGCGGAGAGGCTCCTCACTTCTCAGACGGGGCGGCTGCCGGGCGGAGGGGCTCCTCACTTCTCAGACGGGGCGGCTGCCGGGCGGAGAGGCTCCTCACTTCTCAGACGGGGCGGCTGCCGGGCGGAGAGGCTCCTCACTTCTCAGACGGGGCGGTTGCCGGGCGGAGGGTCTCATCGCTTCTCAGACGGGGCGGCCGGGCAGAGACGCTCCTCACCTCCCAGACGGGGTCGCGGCCGGGTAGAGGCGCTCCTCACATCCCAGACGGGGCGGCGGGGCAAAGGCGCTCCCCACATCTCAGACGATGGGCGGCCGGGCAGAGACGCTCCTCACTTCCTAGATGGGATGGCGGCCGGGAAGAGGCGCTCCTCACTTCCTAGATGGGATGGCGGCCGGCCAGAGACGCTCCTCACTTTCCAGACTGGGCAGCCAGGCAGAGGGGCTCCTCACGTCCCAGACGATGGGCGGCCAGGCAGAGACGCTCCTCACTTCCCAGACGGGGTGGCGGCCGGGCAGAGGCTGCAATCTCGGCACTTTGGGAGGCCAAGGCAGGCGGGTGGGAGGTGGAGGTTTTAGCCAGCCGAGATCACGCCACTGCGCTCCAGCCTGGGCACCATTGAGCACTGAGTGAAGGAGACTCCGTCTGCAATCCCGGCACCTCAGGAGGCCAAGGCTGGCGGATCACTTGCTGTTAGGAGCTGGAGACCAGCCCGGCCAACACAGCGAAACCCCGTCTCCACCAAAAAAATACGAAAACCAGTCAGGCGTGGCGGCGCGCGCCTGCAATCGCAGGCACTAGGCAGGCTGAGGCAGGAGAATCAGGCAGGGAGGTTGCAGTGAGCCGAGATGGCAGCAGTACAGTCCAGCTTCGGCTCGGCATCAGAGGGAGACCGTGGAAAGAGGGGACGGGGAGAGGGAGGGGGAGGGGGAGGGGGAGGGAGAGGGAGAGGGAGAGCTTTTTGTAGTTTTCTTGACATTAACGTGTAATCATTAATACTTTGTACATGGATATTGTTATAGCTTACTGAATATTACATGTTGGGCACTGAGAAGATAAATATGAATAAGACCTAGTTCCCATTTTCAGGATGCTCACAAAACACAAACACATAAAAATATAATTATAAATAATGTAACAATTGTAGTGACTGGTATACATTACAGGAGTTGGTGGGAGGGGGTTGGTCATTTTGGAAGGTTTCCTGGCCTTCATACACCATAATCTCATTTAATGCTCACAACAACCTCAGGAAATCAGAGTTACTCTTATTCCCACTTTATAGATGAGGAAACACTCAGAAGTTCCCAATACATTGTTGAAGTTCCTCATACATTGTTGGGGATGTAAAATTTGTAGCCACTTTGGAAAAGTTTGGCAGCTCCTCAAAAAGATAAACATAAAACTACCATAAGACCCAGTAATTTTACTCCTAGGTATAGAATTATTCTACTTGCAGTAGGATCATTTCTGCTTCAAGATAAATGAAAACATATGTCTATGCAAAGACAAGACTTGGACACAAATGGTTCTAGCAGCATTATTCGTAATAGCCCCAAACTGGAAATACCTAAATATCCATCAACTGGTGAACAGAAAGACAAAATGTATTAGATTCATACAATGGAATACTATTCAACTATATAGAGGAATGAGGTACTGATACATTCTACAATATGATCCTCAAAAACATGGTGCTAAATGACAGAAGCGAGTCACAAAAAATCACATATGATTCCATGTACATGAGACATGAAGAATAGAAAAACCTACAAAGACAAAAAGTAGGCCAGGCGCGGTGGCTCACGCGTGTAATCCCAGCACTTGGAGAGGCCAAGGCGGGTGGATTACCTGAGCTCAGGAGTTCAAGACCAGCCTGGGCAACATAGTGAGACCTAGTCTCTACAAAAAACAAACAAAACTAGCTGGGTATGGTGGTGCATGCCTGTGGTTCCAGCTACTTTGGCCGCTGAGGCAGGAGAATCACTTGAACCCAGGAAGCAGAGGTTGCAATGAGCTAAGATGGAGCTGCACTCCAGCCTGAGTGACAGAGTGACACCCTGCCTCAGAAAGAGAGAGAAGAAGAAGAAAGAAGAAGGAGGAGACCTGAGGTCAGGAGTTCAAGACAAGCCTGGCCAACATGGTGAAACCCCATCTCTACTAAAAATACAAAAATCAGCCAGGCATGGTGGTGCATGCCTGTAATCCCAGCTACTCGGGAGGCTGAGGCAGGAGAATTGCTTGAACCCGGGAGGTGGAGGTTGCAGTGAGCAGAGATGGCGCCACTGCACTCCAGCCTGGGTGACAGAGCGAGACTCCATCTCAAAAAAAAAAAAAAAAAGGAATGAAGTTGGACCCCTAACTCACAACATATACAAAATTTGACTCAGAAATGAATCAAAGATCTAAATATATGAGCTAAAACTATACAACTTTTAGGAAAAAGCATAGACATAAGTCTTTGTGACCTTATATTAGGCAACAATTTCTTACTTTTTTTTTTTTTTTTTTTTTGAGACAAGGTCTCATCTGTCGCCCAGGCTGGAGTGCAGTGGTGTGAACAAAACTCACGGCAGCCTCGACCTCCTGGGATCAAGCAATCCTCCTGCCTCAGCCTCCTGTGTAGCTGGGACTACAGGCACTTGCCTGCCACCATGCTTAGTTAATTTTTAAATTTCTTATAGAGACAGGTTCTTCCTGTGTTGCTCAGGCTGGTCTTGAACTCCTGGCCTCAAGTGATCCTCCTGCCTCACCTCTCAAAGTAATAATTTCTTAAATATGACACCAGAAGCACAAGTAACAAAAGGAAGAAAATAGATAAATTGGACTTCATTAAAATCAAAAGCTTTTTTTTTTTTTTTTTTTGAGATGGAGTCTCTCTCTGCTGCCAGGCTGGAGTGCGGTGGCACAATCTCGGCTCACTGCAACCTCCACTTCCCAGGTTCAAGTGGTTCTGCTGCCTCAGCCTCCCAAGTAGCTGGGACTACAGGCGCTTGCCACCACGCCAGGCTACTTTTTGTATTTGGAGTTTCACCATGTTGGCCAGGATGGTCTCGATCTCTTGACCTCATAATCCACCCGCCTCAGCCTCCCAAAGTGCTGGGATTACAGGCGTGAGCCACCACACCCAGCCTAAAATTAAAAACTTCTTTGTTGCAAAGGACATCATCAAGAAAGTAAAAAACCAACCTACAGCTAATTGTTTGATTTTTTTTATAGAGACGAAGTCTCACTATGTTCCCCAGGTTGATCTTAAACTCCTGGGTTCAAGTGATCCTCCTGGCTTGGCCTCCCAAAGTACTGAGATTATAAGTGTGAGCCACCATGCCCAACCTATATGATCTCACTTACATAAAATATCCAGAATAGGCAAATTTATAGAGATTCATGGTTATTTAAGGTTGTTGGGGAGGGGAGAAGACTGCTAATGGACACAGAGTCTTATGGGGGTGTGATTAAAATATTCTAAAAGTGATATGGTGATGGTTCCCGGGTATTCTTATTTAGCAATCAGTTCAACCCTTCACATTAACAAGTTAAAGGAAAAACCCATGTGACCATCTCCATAGATACAGGAAAAACACTTGAAAAATTCAACACTCATTCACGGTTTTTAGAAACCTGATAGCTAAATAAGAATACACAGGAATTACTTTCCACAGCAAATATCAAACTTAATGGTGAAACTTTAGAAATGAGAGAAGGACATCCAGTATCATTCCTACAAATCAACATCGTATTAGTGATCCCGGACAAAGCAATAAAACAAGGAATAAGAAAAAAGCCCCTGCCAGTCTGTTTCGAACTTATGCAATTAACTACAATGCTGTCCTGAACAAGTGCCATTTATTTATCAGACATTTATTGGGCATCTACCCTGTTCCAAGGTGGGGTCATAACTACTGCTCCCTCCTTGTCAAGGGTGTTTACCTGCCTTAAGAAATTGCTTCCTCTTTCCCTGGGTGGCCAAGGCCTGGCAGGTGTGCGTCTGCAGCAGGATTCTTTTTTTTTTTTTTTTTTTTTGAGACAAGGTCTCACTCTGTCACCCAGGCTGGAGTGCAGTGGCACAATCTCGGCTCACTGCAAACTCTGCCTCCCAGGTTCACGCCATTCTCCTGCCTCAGCCTCAGCTACTGCCTCAGCCTCCCGAGTAGCTGGGACTACAGGCGCCCACCACCACGCCTGGCTAATTTTTTGTATTTTTAGTAGAGACGGGGTTTCACCGTGTTAGTCAGGATGGTCTCGAACTCCTGACCTTGTGATCCGCCTGCCTTGGCCTCCCAAAGTGCTGGGATTACAGGTGTGAGCCACTGTGCCCGGCCGCAGCAGGATTCTTGAGGTGCCTCAAGCTCTGAGTTGCAGCAGGGATAGAAAACCAGACCTTTCGGGGGTTCTAACTGAGAGTTTCAAAGTGCTCAACAGTGTGACAATACTTTTTTGTTTTGTATATTAAGCTGTTTACTTTGCTTGTAGATCCTTCCACAGATCCTGGAAGAGAGAACAGGTAATGAAACTGAACTTTGGAAAATCTAAGATACTGAGAACCATAAAAAGAACCAAAAGGGCTCTTCACTCATTTGTTCATTTGTTTCACAAAACTTTTCCTTTTTTTTTTTTTTTTTTTTTTGAGACAGAGTCTTGCTATGTTGCTCAGGCTAGAGTGCAGTGGCACGATCTTGGCTCACTGCAACCTCCACCTCCAGGGTTCAAGAAATTCTCGTGCCTCAGCCTCCTGAGTAGCTGGGACTACAGGCGCCCACCACCACACCCGGCTAATTTTTGTATTTTTAGTAGAGGTGGGGTTTTGCCATGTTGGACAGGTTGGTCTCAAACTCCTGACCTCAAGTGATCTGCTTGCCTCTGCCTCCCAAGCAGGAGGGATTACAGGCATGAGCCACTGAGCCCGGCCCACAAACCTTTTTTGAGCATCTACTATGCGCCTGCCTCTACCTGGTGCTAGGGAAACCATGCCCCCTCATTTTATGGAGCTTACAGCCAATTCTAATTCAAACCACATAAAGCTTATGGATTTGAACATATATTTAGACAAACACCTTTGAGCCTCTATGTGCTGGCTGGGTAGATCCCAAACTTTAGCGCTCATCAGAATCAGAGGGCTTGTTAGAGTACAGCTTGCTGGGCTCCATCCCTAGAATTTCTGATTCAGTAGGTCACAGGTGGGACCTAAAAATGGACATTTCTGGGCTGGGCGTGGTGGCTCATGCCTGTAATCCCAGCACTTTGGGAGGCCAAGGCAGGCAGCTCACCTGAAGTGGGGAGTTCGAGACCAGTCTGACCAACATGGAGAAACCCTGTCTCTACTAAAAATACAAAATTAGCCGGGTGTGGTGGCGTATGCCTGTAATCCCAGCTACTTGAGAGGCTGAGGCCAGAGAATTGCTTGAACCTGGGAGGCGGCGGTTGCGGTGAGCTGAGATTGTGTCATTGCACTCCAGCCTGGGCAACAAGAGTGAAACTCCATCTGAAAAAAAAAAAAAAAAAAAAAAAAAAAAAAAAAGGGCATCTCTAACAAGCTCCAAGGTGATGTTGAGAATACTGGTCAGGAGGACCACCGCACCAGATAACATGCAATGCCCACACTGGGATTCAGACATTGCAAAATGTAAAAAAGAAAGAAAACAATCCTTATTCTTGAGGAGCTCACAGCCCAGTGGATTCACTCACTTGCTCATTCATTTATTCAACAAATTAGGGCCTCGTGTGCATAACATCATTTAGCTTCCGGCCAAGCGTGGTAGCTCACACCTGTAATCCCAGCACTTTGGGAGGCAGATGGATCACTTAAGCCCATGTGTTTGAGACCAGCCTGGACAACATAGTGAAACCCCATCTCTACAAAAAATACAAAAAATTAGCCAGGCATGGTGGTGGCCTGTAGTCCCAGCCCTTTGAGAGGCTGAGCTGGAAGGATCACCTGAGCCCAGAAGGTCTAGGGTGCAGTGAGTCATAAGCATGCCACTGTACTCCAGCCTGGGCAACAGAGTGAGACCCCATCTCAAACAACCAAAAAAAAAAAACCACAAACAAACAAACAACAACAACAAAATCATTTATTAGGTTGGTGCAAAAGTAATTGCGGTTTTTGCCATTAAAAGTTATGGCTAAATGGTTTCTGGCAAAACCCTATAAAGTAGGTATTGTTATTAGCCCCATGTTTACAAATGAGGAAATTGAGACTCAGAGAGGTTGGGCAATGTGTACAAAGTCACACAACATGTGATAGAGCCCAGGCCATGCAGCCCCAGGAAACCCTACTCTTAACCTCTAGCCAAACTTCATGTCTTATAAATATGTCGTTTAATAAAGTGTTATAAATGCCACCATCAAGGAAGAATAGAATGCTCTGGGAGCTCGGATGGGCTCCATCTATGGAAAGATGGACTCAGAGAGGGTTGGGGATGGGGCCTGAAGGAGATGCTTGCCTAAGGAAAGAAGGGGAGAAGGCTGCACAGCAGGCAGAAGGAGCTGTTTGGGAAAAGGCCAGGTGGCTCCATGGTTAAAATATGTAGAACAGGGCCAAGTGTGGTGGCTCACGCCTACAATCCCAGCACTTTGGGAGGCTGAGGCGGGAGGATTGCCTGAGCTCAGGAGTTCACCACCAGCCTGGGCAACACGGTGAAACCCCGTCTCTACTAAAATACAAAAAATTAGCCAGGCGTGGCGGCGTGTGCCTGTAGTCCCAGCTACTCAGGAGGCTGAGGCAAGAGAATCGCTTGAAACAAGTGACCACAGCAAAGGGTGACCAGCAGGATGCCCAGTGTATCTGTTGGCTAGTGGTTGTGTTGACCCAGTTATGGCCACACACCCCTTCCTGGAGCGTGTAGTCCCTCAATTAAAGGGATCCCTGACCACTCGAACTGTTTGCCCCGTCAGCGCTAGCTAGGCCTCTGCCCAGGCAGGTTATTTTCCCAGCATGGGGACCACTGCCCTCTGCTGGCCACTCTGCCAAATGCAGAAATTGGGAAAAGCTACCTTTTATTGAGATCTCTTTAGTGACCAGGTTTTATTCTATGCAATCTTTTCAAAAACCTTATAGAATAGGCATTATTATTGCCAGTGAGGCTCAAAGAGGTGAATTTACTTATGTGAGGTCACACAGCTAGTAAGGGTGAGCAAGAGAGGCACTTCACCTGCCTCACCCTAGTCCCGGTCCTGGTGATACAACCAGACTGCAACGTGGCCATCTAAGCTCCAAGGGCCATGCTTGTGACTTCCATGTGGTCCAGCCTCCTAACTGGCATTATGGGGGCTCCATTCTGACCTTTAAGATTTTCTGTGTGTGTACACTGCCAGATTCTGGGGAAACAAAGACACAGTCTTTTGCCCACAAACAGTTTGACTAGTGGTCCCTCAAATATAAACTGTGAGAAGACACCTGGCTTCAGGAGCAGCAAAGAAAGCACGATTTGCATGTGTGTGTATTTGGTATTCTAAGGAAACAGGCCCTTGGGGAAGCCTGTAGGCAGTGTCCCAGCCACAGGGAATCCTCTTCCCAGACAATGCGTGCCCTAAGGCCAGCAATCCCCTATCCCACCACCACTACTAGGCTGTACTTTCAGGTCCCTGGGACAAGCCTGATCCTGTTATTTCTTTCTTTTCTTCTTCTTTTTTTTGAGATGGAGACTCGTTCTGTCGCCCAGGCTGGAGTGCAATGGCACGACCTGGGCTCACTGCAACCTCTGCCTCCCGGGTTCAAGCGATTCTCCTGCCTCAGCCTCCCAAGTAGCTGGGACTACAGGTGCCCGCCACACGCCCAGCTAAGTTTTGTATTTTTAGTAGAGACAGGGTTTCACCATATTGGCCAGGCTGGTCTCGAACTCCTGACCTTGTGATCTGTCCGCCTCAGCCTCCCAAAGTGCTGGGATTACAGGCGTGAGCTACTGCTCCTGGCCCCTTTTTTTTTTCTTTTCTTTTTCTTTTTTTTGAGATAGGGTCTACCTCTGTTGCCCAGACTGAAGTGCAGTGGCACAATCACAGCTCACTGCAGCATCGACTTCCCGGGTCCAGGTCATCCTCCTATCTCAGCCTCTCAAGTAGCTGGGACTATAGATGCACACCACCATGCCTGGCTAATTTTTGTATTTTTTTTAAGAGATGGGGTCTCGCTAAGTTGCCCAGGCTGCTCTCAAACTCCTGGGCTCAAGCCATCCTCCTGCCTCAGCTTCCCAAAGTTTTGGGATTACAGGTATGAGCCTGGCCTCATTATTTCTCTACTTACACAAATCTTCCTCATGGTCTGAGCCCTTTGAGGACCACCACCTTCCCTTGAGCTCTGTAACCCTGGCAGGGCCACCAGCCACCAGGTTCCTTGGAGGTACTAGGGAAGCTTTTGTGGATAAATAACCATGAACTTGCAATACAGTTGATCTGCTGTCACTTCTGACGTGATTGTTATTGTCAGGAAAATGCTCACCAGTGTGAAGTTCATTCATTCCTTTGACCCAGACATACCCACCACTTCTCATGTTGCCAGCTTTTTTTTTGAGACAGAGTCTTGCTCTGTTGCCCAGACTGGAGTGCAGTGGCACAATCTTGGCTCACTGCAACCTCCACCTCCTGGGTTCAAGCGATTCTCATGCCTCAGCCTCTCGAGTAGCCAGGACTATAGGCACACGCCACCAAGCCCAGCTAATTTTTTTTTTTTTTTTAAGTAGAGATGGGGTTTCACCAGGCTGGTCTTGAACTCCTGACCTCAAGTGAACCGCTGTCCTCTGCCTCCCAAAGTGCTGGGATTATAGGCGTGAGCCACCGCGCCCGGCTGCCAGCACCTTTTTTCCAAGTGTCCAAGGCAGTAGTTTCCCCTAAAACCAATTCACAAGTTTTTATTGAGCACCTACTAGGAAGCCAAAACACAGGGGGAGGAAAATTTTAGAGGTAGAGCTTCAGGCCTTTTATTAAGAACCTGCAATTGTCCTAATTGGAATTGTCCTAAGCCTGTTACTCTTCACATCACCCCAGTGGGGAGGGGAAGATGAATCCTTTTATAGATGAGAAAGCAGCTCGGAGAGGGATAGGGACATATCCAGAATCACAGAGTAAGAGGCAGAGCTGAGATTTGAAGCCAGGTCTAGCCTGATGACAACATCTCAGCTTCTGTGCCTGTGGTTCTCAAAGTGTACTCCCCAGACCAGCAGCATCAGAATTACCTGGGTAGTTGTTAGAAATGCAGATGACTGGCCAGGCATGGTGGCTCACGCCTGTAATCCCAGCAATTCAGGAGGCCGAGATGGGCGGATCACCTGAGGTCAGGAATTCGAGACAAGCCTGGCCAACATGGTGAAACCCTGTCTCTACTAAAAATACCAAAAATTAGCCAGGTGCAGTGGCGGGCACCTGTAATCCCAGCTACTCAGGAGGCTGAGACAGGAGAGAATCACTTGAACTCGGGAGGTGGAGGTTGCAGTGAGCCGAGATCGCACCATTGCACCCCAGCCTGGGCGACAGAGCTAGGCTCTGTCTTAAAAAAAAAAAAAAGAAATGCAGATGACCAGGTCCCATCCCACATCAACTGAATCTGAAATTCTGGATGTTGGCCCCAGGAGTCTGCATTTTAATAAGTCCTCCAGGTGATTCAGATGCACACTCAAGTGTGAGAACTGCTGACCTATGCTGAGGTGGACTCCATGGTCCAGGTGCCCACGCTTAGATGGGAACGACCCCCAACTGGTACATACACAAATGACTCCCATCAAGACAAATTCCACAGTAGCAACAGTGGAGGGAGACTCATTCTGGGGGTTCTGAAAAGGTTTCATGGAAGAGGCAACATTTGAACTTGACCATAATCAATGGAAGGACTTTCAAGATCATAAATGGAAGAAAAGGGCTTTCAGGTAGAGTGGAAGCAAGGAAGCCAGAAAGTACCTGTTCATAAAATGGGAATATAGGTCAATTCATGACATGCTTTGCCTGCTAGGCTGAGAGATCTTGCCCTTATCCTGGAAGCAGTGGGGATCCCTGATCCCTGGTAGCTTTTTTTTTTTTTTTTTTTTTTGAGACAGAGTCTCGCTCTGTCTCCCAGGCTGGAGTGCAGTGGCGCGATCTTGGCTCACTGCAAGCTCCACCTCCCGGGTTCACGCCATTCTCCTGCCTCAGCCTCCCGAGTAGCTGGGACTACAGGCTCCCGCCATCAGGCCCGGCTAATTTTTTTTTTATTTTTAGTAGAGATGGGGTTTCACCATGTTAGCCAGGATGGTCTTGATCTCCTGACCTCGTGATCTGCCCGCCTCGGCCTCCCAAAGTGCTGGGATTACAGGTGTAAGCCACTGCGCCCGGCCCCCTGGTAGCTTTTTGAGCACAGGTATACTCATAGCTCAAAGTCCCTATATGTCATTGCCCAACAACAGTGTTTTTTTTGTTGTCGTTTTTTTGGGTTTTGTGTTTTTTTGAGATGGAGTCTCGTTCTGTCGTCCAGGCTGGAGTGCAGTGGCACGATCTCAGCTCACTGCAACTTCTGCCTCCTTGGTTCAAACAATTCTCTGCCTCAGCCTCCTGAGTAGCTGGAATTACAGCTACTCAGCCGAGCTGCCATCACGCTCGGCTAATTTTTTTGTATTTTTAATAGAGACGGGTCTTCACCATCTTGGCCAGGCTGGTCTTGAACTCCTGACCTCATGATCCACCCGCCTCAGCCTCCCAAAGTGCTGGGATTACAGGCATGAGCCACTGCACCTGGCCAACAGTGTTTTCTTACTTACCCATCACAGTAGGCAGAATAATGCCCCACTCCCAAAAGATATCCAATGTCCTAATCCCCCGAACCTGTGAATATGTGATATTACATGGCAAGGGAAAATTAAGATTACAGGTGATAAGATAGCTAATCAGCTGACCCTGAAATGGGTGATTATCTTGGATTATCTAGGTAGACCTAACATAATCATCATCCTGACTGGTCACAGTGGCTCATGCCTGTAATCTTAGCATTTTGGGAGGCTGAGGCAGGTGGATCATCTGAGGCTAGGAGTTCGAGACCAGCCTGACCAACATGGTGAAACCTGGTCCCTACTAAAAATACAAAAAAATTTAGCCGAGCATGGTGGTGTGCGCTTGTAATCCCAGCGACTCAGGAGGCTGAGGCACGAGAATTGCTTCAGCCTGGGAGGTGGAGGTTGCAGTGAGCCAAGATCACACCACTGCACTCCAGCCTGGGTGACAATTTGAGACTCTGTCTCAAATAATCATCATCATCATCATCATCATCATCATCATCATCATAGTCTTTTTGTTTTTTGAGACAGGATCTCATTCTGTCGCCCAGGCTGGAGTGCAGTGGTGCAGTCACAGTTCATTGCAGCCTCAACCTCCCTTGGCCCAGGTGATCCTCCTGCCTCAGCCTCCCGAGTAGTTGGGACTACAGGTGTGTGCCACCACACCCAGCAAATTTTTTGTAGAGATGGAGTTTTGCCATGTTGCCCAGGCTGATCTTGAACTCCTGGGCTCAGGTGATTTGCCTACCTCAGTATCCCAAAGTTCTGGGATTACAAGCGTGAGCTACCACACCTGGCCAATAGCAGTTTAAATTGGGTGGTCAGGATAAGCCTCCCTGAGATGGTAGCATTTGGGCTAAGACTTGGCAGAAAGAAGTGAGAACACTGGCCATGTGGATATCTGTGGGAAGACCATGCCAGGCAGGAGGAGCAGCCAGTGCAAAGGTCCTGGGGCACAAGTGTGCCAAGTATATTCAAGGAACACTAAGGAAGTCAATGTGACTGGAGCAGGGGAGGAGAGGGAGAGTGAGAAGGGATGAGGTCAGAGGAAGGCAGATTAGGTAAGACCTTCAGGCCATGCAAGGCTTGGCTTTTGGCTTGAGTGAGAGGCATTAGAGGGTTTTGCAGAGTGCAATGACATGATCTGGTATCAGAGTCACTTGCTGCTCAGTTGAGAATAGGCTGTAGGCCGGGCATGGTGGCTCACACCTGTAATCCTAGCACTCTGAAAGGCCAAGATGGGTGGATCACTTGAGGTCAGGAGTTCAAGACCAGCCTGGCCAACATGGCGAAGCCCCATCTCTACTAAAAATAGAAAAATTAGCTGGGCATGGTGGCACATGCCTGTAATTCCAGCTACTTGGAAGGATGAGGCATGAGAATTGCTTGAAGTTGGGAGGTTGCAGTGAGCCAAGATTTTGCCACTGCACTACAACTTGGGCAACAGAGCGAGACCCTCTCTCTCAAAAAAAAAAAAAAAAAAGAAAAAAGAAAAAAGAATAGGCTGTAGAGCAGCCAGGGTGGAAGCAGAGAGCACAATGAAGGCTCCTGCAGTGATCCGGGCAAGAGATCACAATGGCTTGGACCAGGCCACTAGCGGTGCAGTGATGAGGAGTGGCGTTCTAGATATATTTTAGGGATAGAGCCAATGGATTTCATGATGTGGGGTGTGAGAGAAAGAGAAGAGTCAAGAATGTTCATCCTGAACGCTAGAAAATGGAAGTTGTGGGCTGGGCGCAGTGGCTCATACCTGTAATCCCAGCACTTTGGGAGGCTGAGGCTGGCGGATCACGAGGTCAGGAGTTCAAGACCAGCATGACCAACATGGTGAAACACTGTCTCTACTAAAAAATACAAAAATTAGCCGGGCATGGTGGCGCACACCTGTAATCCCAGATATTCGGGAGGCTAAGGCAGGAGAATTGCTTGAACCCGGGAGGCGGAGGTTGCAGTGAGCCGAGATTATGCCATTGCACTCCAGCCTGGGCAGCACAGTGAGACTCTGTCTCAAAAAAAAAAAAAAAAGAAGAAGAAGAAAATGGAAGTTGCCACCAGTTTAGATGAGGAAGAGGTGTGTGCATGTGCATGTGCGTGCGTGTGTGCATGTGTGTATGCATAGGTACTTTGGGTAGGGAAGCCAGGAATTCAGCTTTGCATAGGTTAAGTTCAAGATGGCCCCTTAGACTTCCAGGCAGACGTGTCTGGAGGCAGTTGGATATAGTAATCTGCAGGTCAAGGGAGAGGGTCCAGGCTGGAGTTACAAGTTGGGAATCACCAGGATCTAGATGATATTTAAAGCCATGGGACTGGGTGGAATCCCAAGGGAGTGAGCATGGAGAGTGGAGAGGAGTCCTCAGTGCTGAGAAATCAGAAAGAAGAGGAGGAACAAACCAAGGAGTTCAAGAAGGAGCCACCAGTACGAGAGGAAGAAAATCAAAGCAGTGTGGTGTCTTGAGGCCAAGTAAAGAAATGGGGGAGACATTAGGCAGCTGCTGGAGGGGCTGCAGGATGAGGACTGAGCACTGACCTCTGGGTTCAGCAGGTGGGGGGGTCATGGTGGCCTTGATGAGAGCAGTTCAGTGGCTGGTGGGAGCAAAATTCTGATCAGGCAGAGTTTAAGAGAATATAGCAAGGCCAGGCATGGTGGCATGCACCTGTAGTCGCAATGAATCTGGAGGTTGAGGCAGGAGGATTGGTCAAGGTTACAGAGCCATGATCATGCCACTGTGCTCCAGCCTGGGTGACAGAGCGAGACCCTGTCTCTAACCAGTGGCGTGATCAAAGCTGTGTATAGCCTCACACTCCTGGGCTCAAGCAATCCTCCCACCTCAGCCTCCCAAGTAGCAGAACGTAGCAGGACTACAGACACGTGCCATCACACCTGACTAATTTTTAAATTTTTTGTAGAAGTGAAGTCTCACTATGTTGCCCATTGTGCCCAACCCCTTGATGGTTTGATTTTATCTGGAAAAAAACTTGCTCCAGAGAGCAAGCATCCCAGGACCTCTCTGAGCTCATTTCTTACCCTCCCAACTGCTTCACCCCAGAGGACTCTCCTCTTGGCACATGGCAGTTTGCCAGTGAACCAAAATCAAGCACAAGAATCTAATAATACCATCAGAGGTGTTTAAACTAGAGTGACTCCATCTTGAATAGGGTCTGGGTAAAATAAGGCTGAGACCTACTGGCCTGCACTCCCAGAAAGCAGGACATTCTAAGTCACAGGATGAGATACAGGTCACAAAGACGTTGCTGATAAAACAGGCTGTGGTAAAGAAGCCAGCCAAAATCCACCAAAACCAAGATTGCTGCAAAGTGACCTCTGGTCATCCTCACTGCTCATTATATGCTAATTATAATACAGTAGCATGCTAAGAGACACTCCCACCAGTGCCCCGACAGCTTACAAATGCCATGGCAACGTCAGGAAGTCACCCTATAGGGTCTAAAAAGGGGAGGAACCCTCAGTTCTGAGCACCCCTTTCCGGGAAAACTCATGAATAATCCACCCCTTGTTTAGCATATAATCAATAAATGACCATAAAAATGCGCAACCAGCAGCCCCTGGGGGCAGCTTTGCCTGTAGGTTATCCATTCTGTATTCCTTCACTTTCCTAATAAACTTGCTTTCGCTTTATGGACTTTGTGTGAGATCCAAGAACCCTCTCTTGGGGTCTGGACCCCTTTCCGGTAACGGTACCAGCAGAGGACTGTTCAAGCAGTTGCTCCTGAGTCTCTATTTATTGATTGTATGCAGAAATGAGGATAAGCTATCTTGAGAGGTTCTATTTTAAAAATTATGGCACTGAAAGTACAGTATTTGCATTAGGTATATCAAACACTTGGAATCCTTACAGTTTTCTCTCCTTCTCTATTTTGATCCAATATAAACATAGTCGGGCATGACATAATATCAAATACCTATAGATTACTTAAAGATTACCCTAAACCTGGAGGTTCAGAAAAAATTTCACTGTAATTGAATTGTTCACATATTTAAGTAAAAACAAAAAGTTATTTTACTTAAAAAGAGAGAGAGAGAGAATGGCCAGGCTCAGTGGCTTAGACCTATAATTCCAGCACTTTGGGAGGCTGAGGAGGGAGGATCACTTGAGCTCAAGAGTTCGAGACCAGCCTGGGCAAAGTGAGACCCCTGCCCCCCGACCTCCATATAAAAATTAAAAGTGGCAGGCGCGGTGGCTCACGCCTGTAATCCCAGCACTTTGGGAGGCCAAGGCGGGCGGATCACGAGATCGGGAGGGAGATCGAGACCATCCTGGCTAACAGGGTGAAACCCCATCTCTACTAAAAATACAAAAAATTAGCTGGGCATGGTGGTGGGCACCTGTAGTCCCAGCAACTTGGGAGGCTGAGGCAGGAGAATGCTGTGAACCCGGGAGGCGGAGCTTGCAGTGAGCCGAGATTGAGCCACTGCACTCCAGCCTGGGTGACAGAGCAAGACTCCATCTCAAAAATAAATAAATAAATAAATAAAAATTAAAAGTTAGCCCAGTGTGGTGGCACACATCTGTGGTCCCAGGTACTTGGGAGGATGAGATGGGAGGATCCCTTGAGCCCAGGAGGTTTAGACTATAGTGAGCCATGATCATGCCACTGCACTCCAGCCCGGGTGACAAAGTGAGACCCTGTCTCAAAATAATAACAATAAAACAAAACAAAGAAGGCTTTAAAGTCTTGCAGACCTGGGTTGGAATCCTGGTTATATTACTTGTTCATTCTGACTTTATACAAATTAATCTCTCTAAGCTTTAATTTCAGTGAGATGGGAAGCATAACGTCACCTACCTCATAGGGTTGCTGTGAGTATTGAGTGGGTATTGAGTGAGCTATTGCTTGTATAGCCCTTGGCCCTGTGACTAGTACGTAGTAAATAAATAAATAAATAAATAGGTGGGCCAGAGCCCCAGACCAGAAAACTGATTATTACAGTCCACAGTGGTAATTGCTGTGGTGGGAGATACTGGATCCCGTAGGAGTCCAGAGTAAGTACATCAAGGAAGGGTTCTTGGAGGAATTGACATCTAAGTTGGCCTGCTGAAAGGACGTGGGAGAGCATTACAGACGGAGGGGAGAACAGTGAAGGGGCTCAATCACAGTGGGGACAGAGAGGCAAGAGATCAGCCTGTGAATGGCAGGAGCAGCAAGACCATGCAGGGCTAGACATCCATGAAAACAAGTTTGGCTTTTATTCAGAGAGCAATGCGGGGGGCACTGAAGAGTTCTAAGTAGAGGAGCAACAGAACAGATATGCAAGATTAGGGGCAGGGAGACCAGCGAGGAAGTGAGAGGTGGCAGTGGTCTGGACTGGGGTTGGCCTGCAGATGGAGAAGGTGGTCTCACTGGTGAGACTAGTGACAAGACTTGTTTGAGGGGAGGTTGGTAGAAGAAGGGAGGAGAGGATGACTCCGAGGGGGTGCATGGTAATGCCTTCCATCAAGACAGGGACAGAAAACAATCTGGTGCAAGGAGTGGGCGTACGAGATGGTGAGTTCAGTTTTGGACCTGTAGAGTTTAAGGTGTCTGTCTGTGAGCCAGTGAAATGAAACTGTCTCATAGGTGGCTGGATACATAGATCTTGAACTAGAGAAGAGTCCAGGCTGGAAATACAGCCTTGGAAGATGTGATTGGCTCAGTAATGGCTCCCAAAGATATCCAGGTCCTAATCCATGGAACCTGTAAATGGCACTTATATAGCAAAAGAGATTTTGCAGGTGTGATTAAATTAAGGATTTTGAGATGGGGAGATTATCCTGGATTATCTGGATAGGCCCTAAATGTAATCACAAATGTCCTTATAAGAGGGAGGCTGAGCACTTTGAGAGGTCCAGGTGGGTGGACCACTTGAGGTCAGGAGTTGGAGACCAGTCTGGCCAACATGATGAAACCCTGTCTGTACTAAAAATACAAAAAATAAAAATATAAGTAAATAAAAAATAAAAATAAAAAATTAGCTGGGTGTGGTGGCATGGGCCTGTAATTCTAGCTACTCAGGAGGCTGAGGCACAAAAATCCCTTGAACCTGTGAAGCAGAGGTTGCAGTGAGCTGAGATCACACCACTGCACTCCAGCCTGGGCGACAGAGAGGCATCACGTCTCAAAAAAAAAAAAAAAAAAAAGAGAGAGGTTGAACTAGCTGGGCGTGGTGTCATGCACCTGCAGTCCCAGCTACTTGGGAGGCTGAGGTGGGAGGATCGCAAAAGCCCAGGAGGTTGAGACTTCAGGGAGCTGTGATCACTCCACTGCTTGGAGTGACAGAATGAGACCCTGCCTCAAAAAAAAAAAAAAAAAAAAAAAAAAAGAGGGGGCCGGGCGCCGTGGCTCATGCCTGTAATCCCAGAACTTTCGGAGGCCGACGCGGGTGGATCTCCTAAGGTCAGGAGTTCGAGGACCAACATTGAGAAACCCCATCTCTACTAAACATACAAAATTAGCCGGGCATAGTGGCGCATGCCTGTAATCCCAGCTACTCTGGAGGCTGAGGCAGGAGAATCGCTGGAACCCGGGAGGCGGAGGTTGTGGTGAGCTGAGATCGCACCATTGCACTTCAGCCTGGGCAACAAGAGTGAAACTCCGTCTCAAAAAAAACAAAAAAAAAACAAAAAGAAGAGGGGTGGGGAGGCTGGGAGAAATTTGATCACAGGGAAGAAGGCAAGTAAGATGCTTGAAGATGCTGCTGCCCTTGAAGGTGGAAGGTGCCATAAGCCAAAGAATGCAAAAACTACAGCTCTCGAAGCTGCAAAAGCAAGAAAACAGATGCTCCCTTATAGCATCCAGAGGAAGTACAGCCCCACTGATACCTTGATTTTAGCCCAGTGAAAGTTATTGCAGACTTGTGACCTCCAGACATGTAAAAGAATAAATGTGGCCAGGCGCAGTGGCTCATGCCTGTAATCCCAGCACTCTGGGAGGCCGAGGTGGGCGGATCACCTGAGGTCAGAAGTTCAAGACCAGCCTGGCCAACACGGCGAAACCCCGTCTCTACTAAAAAATACAAAAATTAGCTGGGTGTGGTGGCACGTGCCTGTAATCCCAGCTACTCGGGAGGCTGAGGGAAGTTATTGGTGATTTGTTATAGTAGCAACAGGAAACTAGTACAGAAGACATCAACATTACCGTTGGGATTGGATGAAGAAATCCAGGAAGGCTGATAGAGTGAGACATGCAGAGGATTTAGCAGAGAGCTCCCAACAACTCCAGCATTTAAGATCCCTGCGGAGGAAGTGCATCTCAGAAAGGGCTCTTGGAACAGCCAGAGGGAGAGGGCCACCAAAGAAAATAGTTCTCCTAGGATTCAGGGGCAAGGGTGTTTCAAGGAGAAGGGAGTGGTTAACATTGTCAGATGCTCCTAAAAGTCAAGCAAGAAAAGTGCCTAAGCTCAGGAGTTTGAGGCTGCCTTGAGCTATGATCATTGCACTGCACTTCAGCCTGGGCGACAGAGTGAGACCTTGTCTCTAAAAATAAATAACAAGAAAAGTGCCTATTTGGTTTCAACAGGAGAAGTTGACCTTGAAAGAACTCTTGGAATAGTTGTCGTCTCTATCAGATGGTACACATTTTTTTCAACTTTTAATTCTTTTTTCTTTCTTTTCTTTTTCTTTTTCTTTTTTTTTTTTTTTGAGACAGGGTCTCACTTTGTCACCCAGGCTGGAGTGCAATGGCAGGATCTCAGCTCACTGCAAACTTGACCTCCCAGGTTTAAGCCATTTTCCTGCCTCAGCCCACCAAGTAGCTGGGACTACAGGCAAGAGCCACCACGCCGGGCTAATTTTTGTATATTTTGTAGAGACAAGGTTTCGCCATGTTGCTCAGGTTGGCCTTGAACTCCTGAACAATCCGCTCACCTCGGCTTCCCAAAGTGCTAAGATTACAGGCATGAGCCATCGCTCCCGTCAACTTTTAATTCTATTACACAGTAGTATATGGTCATTGTATAAAAGTTAGGATATACAGATTCACCAAAAGAAAAGAAAGTTACTCATAATGTCTTCAGCTAGTGCATATCTGTCTTCAGCTAGTGCATAAAATGTTGCTGGTGCAACATTTTAGTGCATATCTTTCCGGATTTTTTCTTTTCTTTTCTTTTCTGTGCGAGAAAAGAAAAGATTCTCTCAATCGCCGCCCTGTGGGGTAAAATACCATGAGGCCATTTTAAGAGGGGGAAATGCAGGCTTAGAGAAGCAAGCAATTTATCCAAAGTAACCAAGATTGGAATCTAGGTTCCTCTGACTCCAAAACCAATGTTCCTTGCTGCGGTGCTTTCCTAGCTTTTTACTTGGAGAACTTTTCCCCAGAGGACCTCAGGCTTCAGAACTAAACCTAAGTGGATTTCTATCCTGAACCCCATCCCTCATCCGCCCCAAAGGATGGTGAGCCAGATTAAGGGGTGAAAGGCAGGAGCAGGAAGAGTAAAGGCGTGGGTGCGATCTATGGTCGGGTAAGAGGGAACTAGTACACGCACGTGTTCGGTTCTTCGCAACATCACAATCAAGCGGGCATCAGGCTTCCCATTGTACAGATAAGGAAACTGAGGTTCCAGAAGAGAAGTAATTTTCCCCAAGTCACACAGCTAGCCAGGGGCCCCGATCCACACATCCCCGGGGCGGCGGGGGTTATCAGGAGGGAGTCTCCGGATGCCTGCAAAGCTGAGGCTGAGAGCTGGGCGTACGCAGCAAAGGAGGGGTGGGGCGATTCGGGGCGGAGCGAGGCAAGGAGATTGGGCGGGACTGGGGAGAGAGGAGGGAAGGGTGGCGGGGGGGTGGTAGGGCAGAAGGGGCGAGGTCATGGGGAACTCGGAACGAATCAGCAGAGGAGGGAGGAAGAGGGAGGGGGCTCTAAGACTCGACGCGGAGATGGAACAGCCTGGGCCGTGCAAGGGAGGAGGATTTGGAAGACCCAGAGCGGGATGAAACGGGACAGAGCCCTGAAGGGGCAGGGATGGGGGAAGGCGGAGGAGTTTCTACTGAGGCCAGGGGTGGGGCATCGCGCCAGGGGGCGGGGTCTGAGGCGGTGAGGGGCTGGGGGCGTGGCCTAGGGGGCCGGCGAGGGGCCGGGGAAGCGGCCTGACGCGGTGCGGGGCCGGGACCGGGGCCGGAGCCTGGACCTTGGCGGTGGAGGAAGGCGAGGAGCCGGGGGCGGGGCCGTCCCAGCTGAGGAGCGGAGAGCGGCTGGAGGGTCGGGGGCGGGGCGTGCGGAGGGGCGGGGCGTGTGGAGGCCGGGACGGCGCCCCCGGCCGGCGGTGAGGCCGGCTCAGCGCGGAGCAGCTCAGTGCCCCCCGCGCCCCGCTCCGGCAGCTCCACGCTCGCGCCCGCCATGCCGGAGCAGTTCAGCGTCGCCGAGTTCCTGGCCGTCACCGCGGAGGACCTCAGCTCCCCGGCTGGGGCCGCCGCCTTCGCCGCCAAGATGCCCCGGTACCGAGGGGCGGCGCTGGCGCGGGAGGAGGTGAGGGGGCCGAGGCGGGAGGGGTCGGGGGTCGGCGCCGGGCCTGGCCTTGACCTCCACAGGCGTGTCGCACCCGAGCTGCGATGGCCCTTCACCGCGCCCCGAAACCTGCCCCCTCCCTAGGTCTGGGAGGACCGAGCGCATCTCCAACAGCTGCGTCCTCACCGTCGAGGCGGGGGAAGGCCCGAGGGACCGTTTTGGGGGGCCTCGAGGTCTCTTCGATGACAAACTCCACAGGTCGGGGGACGTACCCCAAGTGCCCCGCGTGACCGCCTCATCACATATGTGTTTGCCTAGCGCCTTCCAGCCTCAGTTTGCGTTTTCATCTTCGGAGCCCCACAAGTGTGCCCCCCGAGTCACTCCCCTTCTGAGAGGCAGGCTTCCCGCCTCAGTCCTGAACTTTCTTCCCCCCGGCTGCAGAGAGGCCCCCTCCCGCTTGCGGCTGGTTCGGAGATTTGGCCCGCGTTTGTGGAATGAATGCGGATGGGAAGGCGCCAGGAGCCGGGGTTCACCTTGGCCGGGCTGTTGGCAAGTTTATCGTCTCCTCTCCCCTCCCCTCTCCTCTTTGTCTTTCCCAGCAAAGCGTCCCAGGCCTTTTCTTTCGGTCTTGCAGGCTGCCCCACCCCATTCCCATGCTCTTCGGAGTTCCTTCCATTCCTCTTCTCTGAACCTGCTGCAGCTTTCCGCAGCTCCTCTGCAAAGAATATTCTAGGACAGACACCCCGTGGCCTTGGTCCAACGGAGAATAATGTGTTTTTGCAGCTCCCCATCCAAAGGATGCCCTCAATTTGGGTGGCATTTTGGACCTCAGCAACGGCTCTAGCCTTCCACCCTTCACCTTAAGTGTACTAGGCACCCACTGCGTGGCAGATACAAAGCTCAGTAGTTCATAACACCCTGCGCCAGTGTCAGGAAATCTGTCCTCTTCTCTCTTGTCAGGGTGACCCTCCATCTCGGAGTCTGTTTGTATCACTTTGTAAGGGTGATAGAGGATTGTGGAAGGAGCATCGACTTTGGGGAAGGCAGACCTTTTTTCTTTCCTTTTTTTTTTTTGAGACGGAGTCTCGCTGTGTCGCCCAGGCTGGAGTGCAGTGACGCGATCTTGGCTCAATGCAAACTCCGCCTCCCAGGTTCACACCATTCTCCTGCCTCAGCCTCCCGAGTAGCTGGGACTACAGGCTCCCGCCACTACGCCTGGCTAATTTTTTTTTTGTATTTTTAGTAGAGACGGGGTTTCACCGTGTTAGCCAGGATGGTCTCGATCTCCTGACCTCATGATCCGCCCGTCTCGGCCTCCCAAAGTGCTGGGATTACAGGCGTGAGCCACCGCGCCGGCCAAGGCAGACCTTTTTTCAAACGCTGGCTCTGCAGTTTGCCATTTGGGTGAACGTGGGCATGTGACCTGTCCTGTCATCTGTGGAATGGGGGTAATAATGTGTACCTCACATGAGACAATGCATATAAAGCATGCATCTTTTTTTTGGAGACAGAGTCTTGCTCTGTCTCCCAGGCTGGAGTACAGTGGTGCGATCTCAGCTGACTGCAATCTCTGCCTCCCGGGTTCAAGCAATTCTCATTCCTCAGCCTCCCAAGCAGCTGGAATTACAGGCATGCTCCACCACACCCGGCTAATATTTGTATTTTTAGTAGAGACAGGGTTTCACCATGTTGGTCAGGCTGTTCTTGAACTCCTGAGCTCAGGCAGTCTATCCGCCTTGGCCTCTCAAAGTACTAGGATTATAGGTGTGAGCCGCTGCACTGGCCCATGCCTCTTGATAAATGGAATGATTATCGTCAGATTAATCGGCAGATCTCTTTAGACAGTGATTGGGTCTCTTTTGTCTTCATTTGTCTCACAGAGCCTCACCTTGTCTCATTTGTCTCACGGAGCCTAGCCTACTACTTTGCACATAGTAGGGGTACATGTTTTATTAAAATAAGAAGCAGCCGGTCAGATTTGGCTTCCTTCCTTGGGCAGAGTCCACTGCCTGTGGATGTGGGTTATATTTTACTGTGGGGCTCACAGGGAAACACTGCTGTCCAGCCCATCCTTTGGAGAGCTTCCTGAGATTTGTCTTCATAGCCTCACATTTCATGACCCAGAATAGCTCAGTGCCATCCACATTCTTAGGGATTTCATGGTTCATCCTCCTCCCCAGGTTGTTCATTAGAATCTTAGAGCAGGAGAAGGGGCTCCAATATGAACCTTATCCATGGACAGAAATGCCCATTTATGCCCATACATCTGGCCTTGCCTGGCTGTGTAAGTGTAAGCACTGTGTGTTGGGGGAGGGACCCTTAGAATGGGTCTGGAGGCCACAGCAGGCTCTGTTCAGGGCTCAGCTTTGCCCCAGTTCAGGCAAGACAAAACCCATCCTCCTTTGCCTTCAGATTTTTGGTTTGGTGCACGTAGAGGTTCATTGTTACAACAGAAAGGCTTGCGGCACCCAAACACAGCTTTTCTCTTCAGCATCTCAGGGCCCAAAAAGTTAGAGTCTGAACTTTGGATTAGACTTCCCTGAGGTTTCCTGTTTGGTTTTGCATTTGCATTTATATTTTGCGATTATATTGTGTTTACATATAGTTTGATGCTGCAATTTTTTCCCCCAGTTCTGGGCTTGACTAACCCACCCCCAGGCTTGTAGCTCTATTTGACTGAATCAAAATGCAACTGATTCTTAAGTCAAGTCTTCCAGTTCTGACTGGTTTCCTGGGAGTAACTAGGGACCCTGTCCTGGGACTCGCAGCCCTTTTGTACAGTCCTGCTGGGAAGGACCCTGGGCAGATCACAGGAAACTAGAATGTCAGGGCTGAGGGACCCTTTTAAGATAGAGACCAGCTAGAAACTCTCTCAGATAAGATGGAGTAACTGATGTCCAGAGAGGCCAAGAGACTTGGCCAAGCTCCTGCGGCTGGATAGTGGGAAAGTTAGCATTTCTACCCACGTGTTCTACCCCCGGTCCTGTTCTCTTTCCTTTTAAAGTCCATCTGTCTGTCCTCCCTACGTAACTTCTCTGAACCTTGTTATTTTATCCTTAAAATGGATCTCTTAATCACTCCCTGCTTACCTTACTGGGTTGTTAAAGTTTTTTGTGTTCAATTATGAAGCACCATGCAAATGTGAGGGAGTATATTAAGATAGTCATTACGTCAACCAGCCTCTTCCTGTCTTGGGCCCCTTTATGCCCATCATCTCATTGATATTCACAACAACAGGTGAAACCGGGCCTAGGGCAGTGGAGGCAGCTGCCCTGTGTCACACAGTGGGTCTCTCTGACTCTGCTGTGCTCTGCCTGGGCTCTGTCCAGCTCTCTGTGCCATCTCTATGGACATAAAGGACACTAAGGACATAAAGATGCTACTTTGATTTGCTGACTGACTAGGGAGAAGTAGCCTGTTACAGGGAGATCAGTAAGAACCCCAGGAGTTTGTCCTGAGTCCCCAGAGAAAGGTACAGTCAATGCCATAAGAGGCAAGTGGAGCAGGAGAGGGAGAGAGCAGTAAGGACTGGTGCAATGAGGGAGAAGTTCCTGGAGGAGGTGACACTTCCAGGTGGAAGGATAGATGAACCCCATTTATCGGAGAGGACAAGGGAGTGAATTCAGAGACTGGTGGGAAGAGAGCATATTGGGAACCAAGTAAGCCATTTTGACCAGAGCTAAGAATTCATACTATATTGTGTGCCTCAAACTGCTAGTGGACACACCCCCTCCAGTAGGTCTCAGATGAAGCAGTCTGCCACAAATAGGAGATCTTCAAAGGCTTGTTTTGTATATATTTTTGAAATTTTAAAAGAAAGTTTTAATTGGACAAGTGGCATAATTTATTATTATTTTATTTTTTGAGACAGGGTCTCACTCTGTCACCCAGGCTAGAGTACAGTGGCACAATCATGGCTCACCACAGCCTCAACCTCCTGGGCTCAGGTGATTTTCCCACCTCAGCCTCCTGAGTAGCTAGGATTACTGGCGCCGGCTTAATTTTTGTATTTTTTGTAGGGTTGGGGTTTCACTATGTTGCCCGGCTGGTCTTGAACTCCTGGGCTCAAGTGATCTGCCCACCTCAGCCTCCAAAAATGTTAGGATTACAGGCGTGAGCCACTATGCTCGGCCAGGGCATAATTTGTAATAAGTAATTTAAAACATAACAGAAAAGGCCTATGAACAACTATCTCAATCCCTGTATTCTCCCCAGAGGTAATTGCTATGGAAATGTACATGCTTCCCAATGTATCTCCTCATGGAAAATATATTATCAGTGGGGGAATGGGAGTGGCTGGGGGAATGTTTACCTAAATTGGTATCAGGTCTTATAATGCACAGTTTAAATTGTTTTGGAGTTACATTTTTCTTTTCCTTTGTGACTTTTGCTTTTTTGAATCTTGTTTTAGAAAGGATTTCCTTCTTAATTTTTAATATTCTTGTGAATTTTACAGTTTGCTTTGTAAAATGTATTTTAGTGTAAAAATTGTGTAATCTTAGAGATTGTTTGCAAGAAACATAAACCCTGTCAAGCTTGTTTCTGTTGGAGGGAAATTTGTTTGTTTGTTTTTTGATCGTCAGAGAAGAATATTGAGGGAAATTGGCTTTAAAGAATTAGAGGTGCCTCATGAGACTGAAGAGCCGGAGGTAAAAGTACACCTCTCCAGGGCCTGGAACTGGAGGCTGGGAAGTTGTCAGGAACTAAGGCAGCTGCTTCGTCATTCTTGTTCTCTCCTGCCTCTGCTTCCCTCTGCACATCTGATCAGTGCTTTCGCTCATTCATCATCACATAGGCCCCAAAGCACAGCCCCCATGCTCACATGACCTCACTGGGCCAGTGTCTAAAGGTAACCGGACACTAGATTGAGCCAGTCTCATGTCCCACTTCCAAGTTCCTGGCAGAGGTTGACAGCCCGGCCCAGTTTCTGGATTGGGTCCAGTGGCTGGGTCTCCACCCCTGGTTTCATCAGCAGAGGTCATGGAGGGAAAGTGACCGGCAGGGTAAACATGGCCATTGAGACCTATGGTGTGGGAGGGGGCGCTTCTCAGAGAAGAGGGGCAGGGCCTGGAAAATCCCCTCAGAAGTATCTATGGCGATTCCTCTTTATTTCACACAGTCCAGGTTCCAGGGAGAGGTGCTGTGTCCATCCTGTTCTGTACCTCCCTGGTTTAGATCATTTATGCATACTCTCAGGTATAGAAGAACCCCTTTAGAAAACTCAGGTATAGGAGTTTTTTCATTTTTTATTTTTTATTTTTTTTTTGAGACAGAGTCTCACTCTGTCATGCAGGCTGGAGTGCAGTGGCACGATCTCAGCTCACTGTGACCTCCACCTCCCAGGTTCACGCCATTCTTCTGCCTCAACTTCCCGAGTAGCTGGGACTACAGGTGCCCACCACCACGCCCGGATAATTTTTTGTATTTCTAGTAGAGACAGGGTTTCACCGTGTTAGCCAGGATGGTCTTGTTCTCCTGACCTCGTGATCCACCCGCCTCGTCCTCTCAAAGTGCTGGCATTACAGGCATGAGCCACTGCACCTGGCTGGAGTTTTTTTTTAAGATAGAGTTTCACTCTTGTCACCCAGGCTGGAGTGCAACGGCACGATCTGGGCTCACTGCAACCTCCACTTCCCAGGTTCAAGCGATTCTCCTGCCTCAGCCTCCCGAGTAGCTGGGATTACAGGCGCCCGCCACCATGCCTGGCTAATTTTTGTATTTTCAGTAGAGATGGGGTTTTGCCATGTTGGCCAGGCTTGTCTCAAACTCCTGACCTCAGGTGATCCACCCACCTCGGCTTCCCAAAGTGCTGGGATTACAGGCGTGAGCCACTGTGCCCAGCAGTTTAAAAGATTTAAAAGATGAGATTAGAATGCTAAGGGGGTGCAGCAAGACTTGGAGGGTTTTGAATGCCAATTGAGCATTCTGACTTTTTGTTGGGCGGTGTGGACCAGTGGACCCAATCATGTTGCTCAAGGAATGGATGGGGTTGGCCCTGCCAGCATAGTGCCTGGGGGACTGCTCCATGCCAGGCCCTGTATGAGGCACTGGGCAGATGCATCGCTCAGTTAGAGATGCAGTCCCTGCCCTGTGGACCTTACAGTCTTCTGGCAAAGCCCAACAGTAAGCAGGTAAACAAATAAGTCACAGCCGGGTGCAGTGGCTTATGCCTGAATGCCAGCACTTTGGGAGGCCGAGGTGAGAGGATCACTTGAGCCCAGGAGATTGAGGCTGCAGTGAACTCCGATGGTGCCACTGCATGCTAGCCTAGGTGATAGAGCAAGACCCTGTCTCCAAAACAAAACAAAACAAACAGAAAGAACAAATAAGTCAGAAGTTGCTCATTGTACTAAGTGGCACGAAGACTCATCCTCCTCGTCAAGGCCTTCTTTGAGGTTTGTTCTGGGTCCTCATCTCTTCAGGGAATCTTGTCCACACGTGTGGCCTTAGTTACCTCCCATCTCCAGGTGACTCACACATTTGTACCTGTAGCCTAGATCCTCATGTCCCAGTGCATACTTGACCACACTCCTAACTTCCCTCAGGCTCCCTTCCAGAGCTGTTTTCACAATGAGTGGTGCGACCTCTCACCTCCACGTGTGCCCCTCATCACCAAGGAACATCTTCTTTTTTTTTTTTTTTTTTTTTTGAGATGGAGTCTCACTCTGTTGCTCAGGCTGGAGTGCAGTGGCGTGATCTCGGCTCACTGCAACCTCTGTCTCCTGGGTTCAAGTGATTCTCCTGCCTCAGCCTCCCCAAGGCAGATGGATCACTGGAGGTCAGGAGTTCGAGACCAGCCTGGCCAACGTGGCGAAACCCTGTCTCTCCTAAAAATACAAAAATTAGCTGGGTATGGTGGCACGTGCCTGTAATCCCAGCTACTTGGGAGGCTGAGGCACGAGAATTGCTTGAACCCGGGAGGTGGAGGTTGCAGTGAGCCCAGGTCACGCCATTGTACTCCAGCCTGGGCGACAGAGCAAGACTCTGTCCCCCGACAAAATATTATTTTATTAAGATCTAATTTGTCAATAGATTTTGACTTCTATGAGAATAGAAACTAATCTCACTGTTGTGTCCCTAGTATTTACCATAGAACCATAGTGTGTTTTCAGAAAATGTTGGTTGAATAACAAATAAATGAAAGAAAAAAAAAAACTAAAAAGGAGCATTCATAGAGAATAATGGTATGGGGGTGCTCCAGATGGAGGGGACCTCTTAGGCAAAGGTCCTGAGGCAGTAAAGAAGCTGAAATATATGTGACCCTGAAAGGGGGCCCAAGGGGCAAAAGCACTGAGATGGGCAAAGGGAAGAGTGGCACCTGCTGAGTTTGGGTGGTGGTGGCAAGGCCATATTCAAGTTTGATGGCCCTGGTAGTGAGTTTAAGTTTTATTTAGTACACAGGCAAGCAGCATAATCCAGTTTGTATTTTAGAAAGATCATATCAGTTGCTGTATGGAAACTAGATTGGAAGGGCCAGGAGAGGACCCAAGGAGGCCATTCTGTTATTTAGGGAAGAGATGATGGTGGTGTGGATCGGGTTGTGGTTGGTGGAGGAGGAGAGAAGTGCACAGATTGTAGAAGTGTTTTATAAGCAGTCAAGATTTGTCGATGGAGTACATGTGGGCAGTGCTCAAGATTGTGTCCCACATTTCTTTTTTTCTTTTTTTTTTTTGTTTGATTGGGATGGAGTCTCACTGTATTGCCCAGGCTGGAGTTCAGTGGCACCATCTCGGCTTACTGCAACCTCCACCTCCCGGGTTCAAGCGATTCTCCTGCCTCAGCCTCCCAAGTACCTGGGGCTACAGGCGCCCGCTACCACACCCAGCTAATTTTTGTATTTTTAATAGACATGAGGTTTCACCATGTTGGCCAGGCTGTTCTCAAACTCCTGACCTCAAATGATCTGCCCGCCTCAGCCTCCCAAAGTGCTGAGATTACAAGTGTGAGCCACTGTGCCCGGCCTTAAATTTCTGATGGAAGGGTGCCATATACCGAGAAGGGGAAATCTGGCAGGGGAACAGGTTTGGGGAGAAATCAAGAATTCTATTTTTTTTTTTAATTTTTTGTTTTTTAGAGACAGGGTCTCCTTCTTTTGCCCAGGCTGGAATGCAGTGGTGCAGTCATAGCTCACCACAGCCTTGAATTCCTGGGCTTAAGCAATCCTCGTGCTTCCACAGGCACATGCCACCACATCCATGCTAATTTGTTTCTTCTCTTGGTAAAGATGAGGTCTCGCTGTGTTGCCTAGGCTGGTTTCAAACTCTTGGGCTTAAGTGATCCTCTTGCCTTGGCCTCCCAAAATGTTAGGGTTACAAGCATGAGCCACTTGTGCCTGGCCAAGAATTCTATCTGTATATCTTTATAGGTCTTGAGACATCCAAGTGGAGATGTCAAGAAGGCAGTATGTGAGTTTGGAATTCAAAGGAGCGGGCTGGAGATACACATTTGAGAGCTGTTAGCATCGAGACCGTGGGTTTCAAACCTGCATCTGTGTCAGAATCACTTGGCGTCATTCCCAGAGAGTATGATTCAGTGGTGGTATCTTAGGCTTTTTATGGCAAGCAAGAGAAACCATCCTGAGCTGATTTAAGCAGAAAAGGGCTGCACTGAAAGGGAATGTTCAGTAGTTCACAGAATTTCTGGGAAGTTGGAAAACTGGGGCTGGGCAGCAGGCAGGATCTCAGCCAAAATCATGCCACCGAGCCAGTTTGGCAGGACACTGCTGCCACACACTAAATGCCATCGCTGTGTCACTGTTCCCTGAACACTAGACACCATTGCTGTGGTTGCCACCAGCATTGGAATGGATCTTCCACTGTGCTCCTGATTCAAAGTCTGTAGTGAGGGCTTCTGATTGGTTGAGCTTAGGTGTAAGGGAGGCTGGAAAAGCAAGAATTTGTTGTTTTCAGCTTTCACAGGAGGTGAACTCTGCCAAGACCTGTGCAGTGAGGAAGTCCCCAGACATAGGAAGGAGGTCAGATGCCAGACTGGCACACAATGACAGATGTACTTGACAGCAAGTTTGCCAGCTTGTGGGATTGTCTGGGAATCTGCATTTAAACCAGCACCCTGGAAATTCCCATGCAGGTGCTGCCTGAACCACATTTGCATCCATTGCTTGAACTGGTACTTAAAGCTGTGGGGGCTGGGCGCGGTGGCCCACACCCGTAATCCCAGCACTTTGGGAGGCTGAGGCAGGGGGACCACTTGAGGTCAGGAGTTTGAGACCAGCCTGGCCAACATGGCGAAACCCCGTCTCACTAAAAATGCAAAAAATTAGCCGGGCGTGGTGGCACGCACCTGTAGTCCCAGCTATTCGGAGGCTGAGGCAGGAGAATCGCTTGAACCCGGGAGGTGGAGGTTGCAGTGAGCCGAGATTGCGCCACTGCACTCCAGCCTGGGTGAAAGGGCAAGACTATGTCTCAAAAAAATAAAAATAAATAAATAAATAAAGCTGTGGAATGGACAAGATCACCTAGAGAGAGGAACGAAGAAGGCCCAGACCCAAGCCCTGGGGACCCTCGGTATCAAGAGATTGGGATAGGAAGAGGAATTAATAAAGGAGACCAAGAACGGGCTGTCAGTGGGGAAGGAAGGAAATAAGACAGTGTTGTGCCTCAGAAGCCAGGAGAGAAGTGTTCCGAGGAGAAGGGGTGCTCGGCTCTGTTAGATGCTGCCCAGATGCCCAGAGGTAAAATAAGACAATGACAGAGACACAGCCTCTGGCTTTGGCAACACGGAGGTCATTGGGAACCTTAAGAGCAGATTTATGGCTCACGCCTGTAATCCCAGCAGTTTGGGGGACTAAGGCGGGTGGATCACCTGAGGTCAGGAGTTCGAGACCAGCCTGGCCAACATGGCAAAACCCCATCTCTACTAAAAATACAAAAATTAGCCAGCCATGGTGGCAGGCACCTGTAATCCCAGCTACTCAGGAGGCTGAGGCAGGAGAATTGCTTGAACCCGGGAGGTGGATGTTTCAGTGAGCCGAGATTGTGCCACTGCAGACACAGCAAGGCTCCATCTCAAAAAAAAAAAAAAAAAAAAAAAAGAGCAGATTTAATGCCATTTTCGCCTCCACACCATCCTGGACTGATTTGAGGAGGGGGCAGATGAGAAGTTCTCCCTAGAAGGGGAGCAGAGACATAGGGTGTGGCTAGGGCCCTGGGATCAGCAGGGTTTTCTAGGATGGACTGGGGACCCAACTCCACTGAACCAGCCTCCTCCCTACCAACAGCCTCTGCACAGGGGGCCGAGGGTCTTCCCAGAGTTGTCAACCTTGAGCCTGTCTCTCAAAGTCTCCTTCTCTCCCCAAATTTGTCTTTTTTTGTGCTCACTTCCTTGCCTAGTGTTCAGCTGTTTCTGGCCACTGAGGTACAAGGAGACAGATGACTCAGGCAGATTTGGAGGCAGAAACTGTAACTTTAGGTCAGAGCAGAAGGAACATGCTTTCCCTGAAGGCAATTTGATCATATCATTCTCAGACAAGATGCTGCTAGAAGGTCCCTTCGATGGGCCTAGAACTTGGGCCCAGGGCAGATGAGGGAGTGAGACCCACAGGGGAACAGTGAGTGGCTTCTGTGACTCTAGGTCAGGGCCCTGGAAAAACTGATTCCACCTCACCAACGTCACAGGAGGTGCTTTGGAGGGCATGGGAGGCTGAGCTGGGAACAGCTGCTGAAGGTTCTCTAACTTGACTGGTTTTAGACCTTGAAAGAGCTTTTAAGAATCTCAGCTGCTGCGGGCTACACCCAGACCCACTGAATCAGAATCTCCCAGGGGCGAGGCCTGGGCAAGTGTGCAGTTCAGAAGTTCCCAGGTAACTGATGAGCAGTTGGGGTGAAAACTATTGTGGTAAGCTATTGCATGCCCACTGAAGGTTAGTAATCCATTAAGCCATATTTACTGAATGCCTGTGGTGTACAAAGGCAGGCTCTGAGGGCACGGAGAGAACTAGACAAGGTCTCCTTCTGGGTGGGAGGACTCTGCCAGTGAAAAGTTGATTGACAACCTGTAGCATACAGGGATGTGGCTGAGGTCTGTGGCGAGAGTCCAGTAACTAAAGTCAGACAGACTTGGGTTTGAATTCCTATTGGCTGTGTGACTTTGGGCAAATGACTTAACCTTTCTGAATCTCAGTTTTCTGATCTGTGAATTAGGGATGAAGATAATTGTCTTATGGGTTTGTTTGAGGGGATAACACATAGAAAATCTAGCAAGCATGAACCTAGCACGTAACAGGTACTTAGTAATTTTTTAAAATTCCCTCTTACTGTAAACACAAGTACACCTGCACATAGGGTAGTTAAAAAGATCAGGAAACATACAGAGAAAAGAGGAAAGTAATTGCAATAGGGATGAGGTAATTACCATGAGTGAGTGTTGAGATTATCTGTGCGGTCCTGGCACCAGAGCAAAAAGAGAAACCTTATGTACCTTGGAGGTTTTGGGGAATGAACAGCTAAGCCTGATTTTGGACAAGGCAGGGTCTTCCCTCAGCTCTGCCCTTTGCTCTCTGCCTCCTGTTCATTTCTTTGTCAAACATTTGCTGAGGCCAGTGTGGTGGCTCATACCCGTAATCCCAGCACTGTGGGACGCCAAGGTGGGAGGATCACTTGAAGCCAGGAGTTTGAGACCACCCTGGTCTCAAACAACAAAGCAAGACCCTGTCTCTACGAAAACAAAACAAAACATTTGCTGAGAGGCTACCTAGCAGTTCTCAGTCCTGGCTGCACCCTACAATCCCTTAGGTTGCTTTTAGGTAGATTTCCTCTCATTCAGGTAAAATTCACATAACATAAAACTCACCATTTTAAAATGTACAATTCAGTGGCCTTAAGTATATTCACAGTGTTGTGTAGTCATCACCACTATGTAATTCCAGAACATTTCCATCATCCCAAAAAGAAACCCTGTATTGATTAGTAGTTACTCTCCACTCCTTTTCCCCGGCCCCCGACAACTTTCCATCTCTATGGCTTTACCTATTCTGGACAGTTCATGTGAATGAAATCCTACTATATGTGGCCTTTTTTGTCTGATCTCTTTCAGTTGCACAGTGTTTTCAAGGTTCATCCGTGTTGTCTGGGTTGTGTTAAAAAGCAATAAAAATAGGAAAAACAAACACACCAGGCAGTGTTGTAAGCACTTTTCAGATATTAGCACATCATAACACAGGGCCTGTCCAGTTATTTGGATACAGAGAAGGTGTCTGCTGGGCAGGAATAGCTACCATGAAGCCCTTTCTGTGTGTATTATGCTGGGCCACGTGCTTAAATGCCTGACTGAGTTCAGTCTGATTAGATAGATGCTGTTATTATGCCATTTGACAGATGGGGAACATCTATCAGAGAAGCTGTGTCACTTGCCTCAGGTCACACAGCTAAGAGGACTGGAACCAGAATTTGGACTTTAGGACAGTATGACTTGAAAGCCGGAGTCCTTAACCCTTGCTGTCTTTTCTATATTGCCACTGGGCCTTGCTAGTATGTATTCATACATTTAATCATTCATTCATTCCACACATGCTTATTAACACCCACATCCTGAGTTTTGTGTTGAGTGCTGCAGATACAAAGGTAAATGAGCCATTCCCTGCCTTTCTGGAGTTTTCAGCCCCGTAGAGATCAGACATGTATGGCAAATAAGGGCCAGGATACTCTAATGAAAGCCTGTAGTGGGCATAGGATGGAATAAAGGTAGGCAGGATCAGTTCTGTTGTGGTGGGGAGGGGGTGACCTGTAAGTTGAGTCGGGAAAGATGAAGTGTTTACTAGACAGAATGGGGCAAGGGCCCTCCAGGCAGAGGGAGCAGCATGAGCAAAGGTCTGATGGCTGGAAACAGTTTGGCATATTTAGGAAATTGCCAAGAGTTCAATAGGGATGGTTTTAAGGGACCAGTGATGGATAGCAAGCCCAAGTGGGGGGCAGGGAGGGATTCATCCTGGCCAACAAGGGAACCCAGAAGGTGGGAAGTACTGTTTGCTGCTCTGTCCAAGAGGGCAGGCCAGGTTCTTCCCCAGGATTGGGTGGAATTCAGGGCTTGAGGCCAGGGGTCGGGTAGGAGGAACCTTCCGCGGTTAGTCCAGCAAAGTTCTTGTTCTCTTAGCTCATCACCGCCAAGCAATCTCCTGAGGAAAATCCCAGCCAGGAAACTTGGGGTTTGCAGAGGCCTCAGCATACATCGAGGGTGTGGCTCCCTTCTTGCAACCCCTCTTCCTCCCTGCTTCCCACCACCCCACAAGGGACAGCCGGTAAGGCTGAGCTGGTGAGGCTGGACAAGTGCCCAGGCTGGGAAGACGTCTGCAGAGGCCTGACCAAGGGGCGCACGGCCAGTCACAGGCCCCAGCAGTGCAGGAAGGAAAACAGCAAGAGGCCAGGGGATCCTGAAATAATAAATGTCAGAGCATACAGGAGCCTTCCCTGTCACCACCCAAACCCTTCATTCCAGAAGAGGAGTCAGAGGCTCAGGGTGGGAAGGAGACTGGCCAGGTCACACCGCGAGACAGGGGCAGGGCTGGGGCTGGCCCTGGGTCCTGGCTCCCAGGCCTTGCAGTGTAGCCACCGTAGGGGCTGTGGGGTGGCAAGCAGGGCCAAGGGCCACCTTGGTATGGATGAGGCAGAGGGGTAGCTGGGAAGAGCACTGCCCTCCTCTGGCACCCCCTTCTGCCCCAGCCTGGACTCTCAGGTGCTGGGGGTGGGGGCTGATCCAGAGGAAAACCATTTGGAGTCTTTGGCTCACTCTTGCTGGTGGCTGAGGTTGGAGCAGCCTTGTAGGGTATGACTAACCTCAACTGTGTCCTAGCGCTTTGGCCTGGAAGGGGATTTAGAGCTCGTGTCTGTTAGCTCAAAATTGGACAGATGAGGAAACTGAGGCATAGAAGGAGGAAGGAACTCGCTCAGAGGCACACTGAGGGCTTAATGGCAGAGACAGCCCTAAAATTCAGCACTTTCCAGTTCAGGGCTCTTGGTCTCATGGCCTTGTTCTATATGCAGTAGAAGGCCATTCTCTCAGAATGTTTCTGCAGCACCTCTGAAGATGCCTGGCTTCCACCATTAGAAAAAACATTACCTCAATTTCTTTTCACAGCAATCCTTACAGAGATAACTGGGGCTCAGAGAGAGAAGATTTAGCTCGTAGTTTGCTTTAGTGTGATAGCAAGAAAGGGCTCTGGAGGCAGAGGTCTCTGCGTTTCTTAGAACTTCCTACATGACCTTGAGCAAACTGCCTAACCTACCCCAGCCTCAGTTTCTTCATCTGTAAGATGGGGAGGATAATAACTACCTCACAGAGTTGTTGGGAGGAATAGGCCAGGTAACAAACATAAAATGCCTGCCCCAAAGTGAGCAGTCAGTTAGTGGGGCGATAGGTAGTTGAATTCATGCTAATAATAGACTCAAGCTGGGAGCTTGGAATGGGAGTCCTTCCTGTTGGGTGATCTGCTCCGGGCCAGGGCCTGGCTGTGTTCCTATCACCCTGTCATGCCTGGGGGACAAGGCTGAACCCTCTTTGTCCCGCTTGAACATGGATCTGCAGCCCAGCCCTGGAGTTAAACTTTCTATGTTGAGAATTACCAAGTAACTGCCCTGTTCAGAACCCTTCAGGAGCACCCCATCACTTATAGAATAAAACCTAGAGGTTTGGTTAAAAGCATGGACTCTGGAGCCCAACTGCCTGGGTTTGAGTTTATTTTATTTATTATTATTGTTATTATTATTTTTGAGATAGGGTCTCGCTCTGTTGCTCAGGCTGGAGTGCAGTGGTGCAATCAGAGCTCACTGCAGCCTTGGACTCCTGGGCTCAAGTGATACCCTACCTTAGCTTCCCAAGTGGCTGGGACTACAGGTGTGTGCCACCATGCCTGGAAAATTGTTTTGTATTTTTTGTAGAGACAGGGTTTCGCCATGTTGCCCAGGCTGGTCTCAAACTTCTGGGCTCAAGCAATCCACCCACTTGGGCCTCCCAAAGTGCTGGGATTACAGGCAGGAGCCACAACACCTGACCTGCATTTTCTGTAAATTGGTAATTGGATCTAGAAGTGAGAAGCCCTGGGTTTTTTTTGTTTTTTTTTTTGTACTTTATCATTTTGTTAAATATTTTAAGTGTAACTTGGTTTGCTCATTCAGGTATTGTACTTTTTTTTTTTTTTTTTTTTTGAGATGGAGTCTCACTCTGTCACCCAGGCTGGAGTGCAGTGGTGTGATCTCGGCTCACTACAACCCCCACCTCCTGGATTCAAGTGATTCGCCTCAGCCTCCCAAGTAGCTGGGACTACAAAAATTAGCCACCACACCCGGCTAATTTTTGTATTTTTAGTAGAGATAGGGTTTCACCCTATCTCAACTAAAGGATGGTCTCAAACTCCTGACCTCGTGATCCTCCCACCTCAGCCTCCCAAAGTGCTGGGATTACAGGCGTGAGCCACCGCACCCTGCCAAACGTTGTATTTTTAGCATCATGTTTAATATGTAGTACATATAATTTAATCATCTTTGTGGACACTGGCGTCAGAGACCAAAGAGCCAGGATTCAGCCATCCCACAGGAAAACTCCTTTTTAGCGTTGGAGTTTCATTGATCTTCCCACATCACGTATACTGTTAGTATTGATTGATTGAAAAATATGGGAAAGAACAAATGAATTCAAGAATGCTTTTAAAGGGTTCTGTGTCTTATTGATCATAGAGTTGCACATATTTGGAATGTGGTCAGACTAATTTGTGAAACATTTTTATACTCGTCAGTAGTGCTCATGATGAGTGTGGCTTCACAGTGTCCTGCTAGTAACACCATGGACCTTCAGGGTCTGGGTCCATTGCCTGGAAATGAACAAGGGAGTTAGAGTCTTAACGGTTTAGTTCCCAGGTCCACATTTTGGCTGTGTGAGCTCAGGCAATGATCTTCACTGTTCTGTGCCTCGCTGACTCATCAGCCAGATGGGAACAAAAATGATGACTGCCCCATTAAGATGCTGTGTGTCTGAAATGGTGGGTGTCAAACTCCCTTACAAACTGTAAAGCTCTATACAAGTTTTAGGTTGTATTTTTTTTTTCTTTTTCTTTTTTTTTTTTTTTTTGAGACGGAGTCTCACTCTGTCACCCAGGCTAGAGTGCAGTGGCGTGATCTCGGCTCACTGCAACCTCTGCCTCCCGGGTTCAAGCAGTTCTCTGCCTCAGCCTCCTGAGTAGCCGGGACTACAGGCACCTGCCACCACACCCAGCTAATTTTTTTTGTATTTTTAGTAGAGACGGAGTTTCACCCTCTTGACCAGGGTGGTCTTGAACTCCTGACCTCGTGATCCACCTCCCTCTGCCTCCCAAAGTGCTGGGATTACAGGCGTGAGCCACCACGCCGACCTAGTTTGTATTTGTTTCTTAGTTTGTTTGCATTTCCAGTGAAACCTGGGGCAAGAAACTCACCTGAGCCTTTATTTTGCAGTCTGTAAAATGAGGAGGTAATGTTAGATAATCTCTAATATTCTGTGACTTCGTCTCTTAAGGAACAACACCATAGTCCAAAGCAAAGATAGAAAATGTTTTTCATCTCCTCTGCCAACTCTAGTTTAATTGGTAGAGGCTACCATCATATCTTAACAGAATGATGAACCAAATCCACAGTCAGTGGGGAAAACACTGTGATCGATTAATAATGGCTATAATGGGCCAGGCGTGGTGGCTCACGCCTGTAGTCCCAGCTACTTGGGAGGCTGAGGCAGGAGAATGGCATGAACCCAGGAGGTGGAGCTTGCAGTGAGCCGAGATCACGCCACTGCACTTCAGCACTTCAGCCTAGGCAACAGAGCAAGACTCCATTTCAAAAATAGTAATAATAATAATAATAATAATAATAATAATGGCTGTAATGGGCCGGGTGAGGTGGCTCACGCCTGTAGTCCTAGCACTTTGGGAGGCTGAGGCGGGCGGATTACCTGAGGTCAGGAGTTCAAGACCAGCCTGGCCAACATGGTGAAACCCCTGTCTCTACTACAGAAAATTAGCCAGGTGCAGTGGCGCATGCCTGTAATCCCAGCTACTCTGGAGGCTGAGGCAGGATAATTGCTTGAACCTGGGAGGCGGAGGTTGCGGTGAACTGAGATCACACCACTGCACTCCAGCCTGGGCTACAGAGCGAGATTTCATCTCAAAATAATAATAATAATAATAATGGCTGTAATGGTCATGGGATGACACAGAAGTGATAACTATGTACTATATTATAATGGTCCAAAGGAATGAATGTCTAATGGTGAAATGTAATCTGTATCTCCCAAGGCCTTAGCTCTAGCAGCTCTGCCCCCTTGGCTTGAGTTGCCTTGGTAACCACAGCTGGCTCTGAGAAACCATGGGAATGAAGAATGGGTCCTATTGATGAATCCTGACCCAGAAGGGGGCATGCAGAAGGCCCTTCTAGGCAGGGCAGCTGGGCATGGCCTAGTGCTGCCATCTGTGGTCTTTTGCCTGCAGAGAACACAAACCAGAGAGCCAGAGCATGGTGTGTGTGTATGTTGGGATCAGGGTAGGGGACACAAAGGGCAGTGCCAGCAGCTGGAATTTAGGCCTTGTTTAGGGCCAGCCAGGGTAGGCTGCCCAAAGGACTCCAGTGGGCTTTCCAAGCTCAGACGTGTCTCTTACACTAAGATGTGTTTCAGCCACCTTTGCCCAGTGCCTGCCAGGCTCTTGCATGGATCCATTGACTCTTAGCTTTGAATGAAATCTAAATAGCTGTCCATTCTAATCCAAAATCCAGTGTCTGAATCACTCTCTAGCACCTAAAGTATTTGAATACTTCAAGTGACAGGGAGCTCACTGCCTTCAGGGGTGGCCTGTTCTTCCTTAGAAATGTCCCCTGTTTGAGCTGAAGTCTGTTTCTGCCTCCCTAACTTCCACCTCTCAGTCCTGGGAATCCTCTCTGAGGCCAGCCTGAACAAATCCGTTTTCTTTTCAGTAGGACATCCTTTACAGTGTTTGTATTCGGGGCCTCACCATTGCTGTCAACCTTGTTTTCCTTGGACAGATCTCCCTCTGTGCCCTGCCTTCTCCCTTTCCTAAGCCTGAGGGGATGGTGAGGGAATATGGTAGAGGTGGTAGAATTGGGATTTAGGTTTGGAGGCAGATCCAGTCCCAAGATCAAATAAGCTGTGCCCCCTAACTTTGTGGGGCAGCTTAGAGATGGGGAAAGAACATTGGCCCTGGATTTGGCTAGTCCTGGATTTAAATTGTAACTCTGGGCCAGGTGCAGTGGCTCATGTCTGTAATCCCAGCACTTTGGGAGGCCGAGGTGGGCAGATCATCTGAGGTCGGGAGTTCGAGACCAGCCTGGTCAAGATGGCGAAACCCTGTCTCTACTAAAAATACAAAAATTAGCTGGGCATGGTGGCACACGCCTGTAAACCCAGCTACTCAGGAGGCTGAGGCAGGAGGATCGCTTGAACCCAGGAGGCAGAGGTGGCAGTGAGCTGAGATTGTGTGTCTGCACTCTAGCCTGGGCGAGAGTGAGAGTCTATCCCCCCCCCAAAAAAAAAGAAAGAAAAAAAAGAAAAAAAGTTACAGCTCTGCCACTGTTCATCACTGTGTGACTTGGACATGTTCCTCCTCCTGACAGCTTCATCTTTAAAATGGGAATGGCAATGCCTTCCTCAAAGAGTGGCCAGGATAGTGACAAGTAATGAGGCTGCACAGAGCAGGCACTTGGGACATGCTGCTTGCACTCTCCCTGCCCGGCGGCAGAGGTCTGCTGTGGTCCCTCTCCACCTGTGCTTCCCCACAGCTTGCTGACGAGGATCAACATGGAGTTGGGGGTGTGGGGAGATATGTTTAATTAATTCAATGAAAGTTGAGAAATTCCTAAACCAAATTCAATTTAATTTTGAAGTAGATAACATTTTTAGTTATCAAATAGTGGACAGTATTCTAAGCACTTTACCTATAGAATTTACTTAATCTCCCCAGTAACCTTATGTGGTACGCAATATTATCATCTTCATTTTATGAATGGGGAAATTGAGGGACTGAGAGATCACATCAGGTACCTGGTGGAGCTGGAATTCAAATCCAGGTAGTTTGGGGACAGCCCCATACTTTTAGCAATGATGATGTACTGCATCTCTGAAGAGAATTAGAACAGTAATTCCCAAACTTTAGCATGCATTAGAATCACCTGGAGGGCTTGTTAAACCACAGATTGCTGGACCTCACCCCCAGATTTTCTGATTCAGCTGGAGAATTTGCTTTTCTAACAAGTTCCTGGATGATGCCTGCTGCTGGTTGAGGGCCCCCACCTTGAGAATCTCTGACTATCAGGGATTAAATGGGCCCACCTGAACCCAGAAGCTGATTTTTTTTTTTTTTTTTTTTTTTTTTTTTTTTTTTAAGACAGTGTCTCATTCTGTCACTCAGGCTGGAGTGCAGTGGCATGATTATAGCTTACTGCAACCTCGAACTCCTGGGCTCAAGGGCTCCTCTCATCCCAGCCTCCCAAATAGCTGGGACTACAGGTGTGTGTCACAGCACTTGGCTAACTTTTTTAAAAAATTTTTTGTAATGGTCGGGTGCAGTGCCTCATGCCTGTAATCCCAGCACTTTGGGAGGCCAAGACAGGAGGATCAGTTGAGGTCAGGAGTTTGAAACCAGCTTGGCCAACATGGCGAAACCCCATCTCTACTAAAAATACAAAAATTAGCCGGGCATGGTGGCGGGCACCTGTAGTCCCAACTACTTAGGAGCCTGAGGCAGGAGAATCGATTGAACCTGGGAAGTGGAGGTTGCAGTGAGCCGAGATCACACCACTGCACTCCAACCTGGGCAACAGAGAGAGACTGTGTCTCAAAAAAAAAAATTTTTTTTTTTTTTGGTATAGATCGGGGTGGGGGTCTCACTTTGTTGCCGAGGCTGGTCTTGAACTCCTGGGCTCAAGCGATCCTCTCACCTTGGCCTCCCAAAGTGCTGGGATGATAGGAGGGAGCCGCCACACCTGGCTTTTCCTTCATCTATCCAGTTTCATGGGAAACGAGGGCTGATCTCACACAGAGGCAGAAAACAAACCACAGTAAGAACCATACTCATGTTTTCCAAATGCCTCAAGCCTTGCCATGTTTGTGATCTCATTAAGCCTCACAGTAATTCTGTGAGTTAAGCAGAGAATGGATTTTTCTGCCTGTAATCCCAGCACTTTGGGAGGCCGAGGCAGGCGGATCACGAGGTCAGGAGTTTGAGACCAGCCTGGCCAACATGGTGAAACCCCGTCTCTACTAAAGATAAAAATTAGCCAGGCATGGTGGCGGGCACCTGTAATCCTAGCTACTCGGGAGGCTGAGGCAGGAGAATCATTTGAACCTGGGAGACGGAGGTTGCAGTGAGCCGAGATTGTGCCATTGCACTCCAGGCTGGGCAACAGGGCGAGATTCCATCTCAAAAATAAAAAAATAAAAAAATAAAAATCTATTTTAAAGGAGAGGAAGTTTAGAAAACTAGCTGGGCTAGTATCACCCAAGGAGATAATTTTGGAGATGCTGGGGCTAGAATCTTAGTTACTGACTCATCATAGCACTCTGGAAACCTCTGCCTTTCCTCAAAATACCTTCCTTTCCCCAGGCTACTATCAGAATCGTCTCCTTAAAACTAAATTTTTTTATGAGTGTGTGGATGAGTGGATTAAAAAAAAAAACCTGCATTTCTTTAGCTTAAATCTTTGAGCCCTATTATACCACAGGATAGGTGTTATCAACCAGTGTAAATGATTTTCAGATATTTTCTTGAGAAAGGAGTAATTAGAACTTTTCCCTTTTCATGCTCCCTATGGGCACTTGCATGTTCTTAAGTCTGTGGTTCTCTTGAAGGAAGGGGCCATGTCTTATGTGTCCCCACCATCTGGCACCATGCCTGGCTGAAACAGTCACCAAGAAATGCTTGTTGAAATGAATGAATGAATGGAGGAACTATGTTCCTGTCCTTGTCCATTCTTCCCAGAGCACGCCTCCCTTCCTGGCAGTCCTACCATTTTTTACCAAGCATTCCCTCCCCTCTACCTCATAGTGTAGTCTCTTTAGTCTCTTTTCTGCCTGTCCAGGGGCCAGAGTTAAGCAACACAGCTTAAGGGACGCCTTCCCCATTCCTTCAAAGCAGACATGGCTCTGTTTTCCCTGGACTCCCAGGAACCTTCCATCATAGCCCTCATCACATTGCATGATAAGTGTCTGCTTATAATGGCTTTTTCTTCCCTTCAATGATGATGTCCTTGAGAGCTGAGATTGTGTCTTTTTTGTTTGTTTTTTGAGACGGAGTCTCACACTGCCCTCCTGGCTGGGGTGCAATGGCGTGATCTCAGCTCACTGCAGCCTCCGCCTCCCAGGTTCAAGCGATTCTCCTGCCTCCGCCTCCCTAGTAGCTGGGACTACAGGCACATGCCACCATGCCCGGCTAATTTTTTGTATTTTTAGTAGAGACGTGTTAGCCAGGATGGTCTCGATCTTGACTTCGTGATCTGCCAGCCTCAGCCTCCCAAAGTGCTGGGATTACAGGTGTGAGCCACTGTGCCCGGCTGAGATTGTGTCTTTTTTACACAGGGTGTAGTGGGCACTCAATAACTAATTGAATGAATAAACAGCCATGTGAACTTGGCTGCCAAGAGCAGTAGGGACGGGAATGGTATCTGGCTGGGAAGCTGTTTCCTGATAGATGTCTGACAAGGGCATCGAAAAACAGTTTGTGGCCGGGCGCGGTGGCTCACGCCTGTAATCCCAGCACTTTGGGAGGCCGAGGCAGGCGGATCATGAGGTCAGGAGATCGAGACCATCCTGGCTAACACGGTGAAACCCCGTCTCTACTAAAAAATACAAAAAATTAGCCGGGCGTGGTGGCGGGCGCCTATAGTCCCAGCTACTCGGGAGGCTGAGTCAGGAGAATGGCGTGAACCCGGGAGGCAGAGCTTGCAGTGAGCCGAGATTGTGCCACTGCACTCCAGCCTGGGCTACAAAGCGAGACTCCATCTCAAAAAAAAAAAAAGAAAAGAAAAACAGTCTGTGAGTGATTCGGGTGACTTGTCTCCCTTTACCAGTTAGAGCTAGTTTCAGCCACAAGTGGCAGAATACCCAGTATAACAGTGGCTCAAATAAGAGATTTCTCTTTCATATTAAAGAATTCCACAGATAAGTAGACTGGGGCTGCTAGGGTAGTTTCCTAATCACTAGGGACAAGGCTGATATCTTGTTGCTCCGCCATCCATAACAAATGGCTTCTACTTCATGGTCCAGGATTGCTGCCTGAGCTCTAGACATCGCCAGCACATTGTAGCCAGAAGAAAGGGGTGACAGAGGGTACCCTTGCATTCCCCTTTTTTCTTTTGTTTTTTTTTTTTGTGGGGGGGTGCGTTTGAGACAGGGTCTTGCTCTGTTGCCCAGGCTGGAGTGCAGTGGCACGATCACAGCTCACTATAGCCTCAACTCCCTGGGGTCAAACAGTCCTCCCACCTCAGCCTCCTGAGTAGCTGGAATTATAGGCCCATGCCCCATGCCTGGTTTTTAATTTTTTGTAGAGACAGACTCTCACTATGTTGCCCAGGCTGGCCTCGAACTAGGCTCAAGCAATCCTCCCGCCCCAGCTTCCCAAAGTGTGAGATTACAGCCGTGAGCCACCCCACCCCAGGCCCTTTTTTTCTAAATTAAAAAAAATCGACTTTATTTTTTAGAGCAGTTTTAGGTTCACAGCAAAATTGGGCAGGAAGTACATAGAGTTACCATATACACACAGCCTCCCCCTCTGTCAACAGCTCTTACCAGAGTGGTACATTTGTTTCAATGACCATACATTGACACATCATCACCAAAAGTCCATAGTTTACATTAGGGTTCACTCTTAGTGTTGTACATTCTGTGGGATTGGACAAGTGTATAATTCCATGTATCCACCATTATAGCATCATACAGAAATGTTTCCCTGCCCTAAAAACCCTCTGTGCTTCACCTGTTCCTCCTCACTACCCCCATCCCTGGCCACCACTGATCTTTTTACTGTCTCCATAGTTTTGCCTTTTCCAGAATATCGTATAGTTGAAATCATGTAGTAGCCTTTTCAAATTGGCTTCTTTCACTTAGTGATGTGCATGTAACTTTCCTCTGCATCTTTTCATGGTTTGATAGCTCATTTCTTTTCAGTGATGAATAATATTTCACTCTCTGGATGCATGACAATTTCTTTATCCATTCACCTACTGAAGGACATCTTGGTTGTTTCCAAATTTTGGTAATTATGAATAAAGCTGATGTAAACATCCGTGTGCAGGTATGTATACGTTTTCAACTCATTGAGAAAATATGAAGGAGTATGATTGCTGACTCATTTGGCAAGAGTACGTTTAGTTAAGAAACTGTCAAACTGTCTTCCGAAGTGGCTGTACCATTTTGCATTCCCACCAACAATGGGAGTTTCTGTTGCTCCACATCTTTGTCAGTATTTGTGTTTTGGGGTTATTTATTTATTTATTTGTGTGTGTGTGTGTTTTTGTTTGGTTTTTTTTTTTTTTTTTTTTGAGATGGAGTCTCACTCTGTCACCTGGGCTGGAGTGCAGTGGCACTGTCTCAGCTCACTGCAACCTCCGCCTCCTAGGTTCAAATGATTCTCCTGCCTTAGCCTCCCGAGTAGCTGGGACTACAGCGGTGTGCCACCACGCCTGGCTAATTTTTGTATTTTTAGTAGAGACAGGGTTTCACCATGTTTGCCAGGCTGGTCTTGAACTCCTGGCCTCAAGTGATCCACCAGCCTCAGCCTCCCAAAGTGCTGGGATTATAGGCGTGAACCACCGTGCCCGGCCTCCCTTTGCCAGTATTTGGTGTTGTCAGTGTTTTGGATTTTGGCCATTCTAACAGGTGTGTAGTCCCTCCCTTCCTTTTTATTTTTCAATTTTTTAAAGCCACTTTATTGAGGTAGGATTGACATGTAAAAAGCTATACATAGTCAGTGTATACAACTTGATGAGTTTGGGGGTTATCTCCCTTCTTTGTAAGATACTTTTTGGAAGTTAACAATTAAAATATTATATTCCATGGCCAGGACTTAGTCCCATGACCACAGTTAGCTGCAAGGTAGGAAATGTAGTCTTTATTCTAGGTCGCCAAGTGGCCATCTGAAAAGTCAGGTTTCTTGTGAAGGAAGAAGAGAGAATGGACACTGGGAGCCACCCAGTGATCTCTGCCACACTGCAGGGAAGGGAAATCTTCTCAAACTTGCTTAAAGGAACTTCGTTGGGTGGATTCAGGGGTATTTCATGGAATTTCACCAAAGACATAATGTGTGGAGGTTGCCTCTGAAGAGGTAGCATCTGGAAAGTTGCCAGAAACCAGCACCACTCTTCCTCTTCTGCCTTGCTGTGGCGGTGTGGGGCTTGTTCATGTCTTTCTACACATCTGCTCTGTTCTTTTCTCTCTGCATGTGGCAGGAAGGACATCCCAGCTTTAGCATTTCAGTCAGTCAACTAGCTTTCCAGAGCCCAATTCCAAAGTCCTTGGAGAGAGAATCTGATTGGTCCAGCTTGGGTCAGGTGGGAGAGAGAATCTGATTGGTTTAGCTTGAACCAGGTGTCTGTCGACTCTGGCTAGAACAAACAAGGCTGCAGGGGCCCACCTCCAGAGGAAGGGAGGGCAGTTTTCAGAAAATGGGTGTCATGGGATGGGAAGACTCCTCAGAATGTATCTAGAGCATGAACATACTCCTCTCAGGTCCATGTCCCAGGACTTTGCAAACCATCATTCATTTAGGTAAACATTTATTGGGCACCTTCTGTGTGCTAGGTACATGGATCTGCCCTCTAGGGATTTTGGAAATTTTTTTGGAAATTGTTCATATCTTTTTTTTTTTTTTTTTTTTTTGAGATGGAGTCTCGCTCCCATTGTGCAGGCTGGAGTGCAGTGGTACCATCTCAGCTCACTGCAACCTCCACCTCTCGGGTTCAAGAGATTCTCCTTCCTCAGCCTCCTGAGTAGCTGGGATTACAGGTGTGCACCACCACGCCCAGCTAATTTTTGTATTTTTAGTAGAGACAGTGTTTCGCCATGTTGGTCAGGCTGGTCTTGAACTCCTGACCTCAGGTGATCCACTGCCTTGGCCTCCCAGAGTGCTAGGATTACAGGCGTGAGCCACTGTGCTGGCCCAGTTGTTCATATCTTTAACCTGAATTGTCTTTTAGAGCGAAATCATAGCTCCTTAAATTACTCACCTTTTAGCTTTCCAGGTTTCAAGATGGGGATCAAGGGATTTGGTAAACACATGCTTCTGTTTCCCCATCTGGATTTTGGGGAACCATAGAAGTGGCCATGTTCTTGCCTCTTTTTTTTTTTCTTTTTCTGTTGGCCAGTTTAGAAAGAAACGTTCTCCCCTCCACCTCTTTGTCTCTTTAGTAAGAAACATTTTGGTTGTTTTTTGTTTGTTTGCTTTGCTTTTTGAGACAGGGCTCTCTCTGTCACCCATGCTGGAGTGCAGTGGCGCAATCAGGGCTCACTGCAGTTTTGACCTCCCCAGGCTCAGGTGATCCTCCCACCTCAGCCTCCCAAGTAGCTGGGACTATAGGTGCATGCCACCACATGGAGATGGGGTTTCGCCAAGCTGTCCAGGCTGGTCTTGAACTCCTTGGCTCAAGTGATCCTCCTGCTTTGGCCTCCCCAAGTGCTGGAATTACAGGTGCACCCCACCACACCCAGCTAATTTATTTATTTTTTCTTTTCGGTAGAGACAAGGTCTCACTATATTGCCTAGGCTGGTCTTGAACTCCTGGCCTCAAGTGATCCTCCTGTTTCTGCCTCCCAAAGTGCTGGGATTATAGGCATGAGCCACCATGCCCAGCCTCATGTTTTAACCAACTCAAATATGATGCCGTCTCCTTAATCTTCCTGATTCTTTTGTTTTCTTTCTTCAGCCCTGGGATGGGCCTCCACGGATCTCAAATATGAAAGTGTCTCAAGTTCACACCCGAGGAGGAGAATGTTAGATTTCTAGCCCCTGTAGGAAAAGCACCTGGAACTTGGCAGACCTTCCTAGCATCAGCAGCAGCTGATGATAACGATCACAGGTGCTGTTCATTTTGAACATACTCCATGCCTAGCACCAAGCTAAATCCTGTATTTGCATCCTCTCATACATATAGCCCTCATACCAACCCTGAGAGGTAGGCATCGATTTCCCCATTTTACACATGGCTAATCAGGAAGCTCAGAAAGAATAGGCAACTTGTGCCCGGGCACGGTGGCTCATGCCTGTAATCGCAGCACCTTGGGAGGCCGAAGCGGGTGGATCACTTGAGGTCAGGAGTTTGAGACCAACCTGGCCAACACAATGAAACCCCGTCTCTACTAAAAATACAAAAAATTAGCCAGGTGGTGGGCACCTGTAATCCCAGCTAGTCAGAAGGCTGAGGCAGGAGAATTGCTTGAACCTGGCAGGCAGAGGTTGCAGTGAGCCAAGATTGTGCAACTGCACTCCAGCCTGAGCAACAAGAGCAAAACTTGGTCTCAAAAAAAATAGGCAACTTGTTCAAGGTCACATAGCCCCCGAGTAGTGGAGCTGAGCTTCGTAACTAGACCCCCCTTCCTCCAGAGGCTTCCCACATGCCACCGGCCTCTGAGAACACTCCACATTGCCTCTGAGTTCTGCCCTATGCATGTTCTCCTGTGGGTATCATTTTGAATCTTTGGCAGTACCATTTCCAATGTGTTTACTAACTCTTGTCATGTAACTCTGGAAATCAGACTCTGATCCCATTTTATTTTTGTCACTGGGAAGAACAGCTGGGCTGGGGTCAGGGTGGGGCTGTGGTACATGGATGGAACACTGTTCTGTTGCACCCGGGAAGTCCAGCTCTGTGGCTTCCCCACCATGTGTCTCTCGGTAAGGGCCTCCCATCTCTTGGCTTCAGTTTTCTCATCTGTGGGCCCCTTCCAGCTCGACATTCTGTGTTTTCCAAGTTAACTGTGCATTTCGCAAGGATTTCATGAGGTTGTCAACTTCCATGCCCCACTGAAAGGGGGAGTGTTTCCCATCTAGGCTGAGCCTGCTTGGGGCATGTGAGACTTGCTTCTTGCCATCACATCTCTGGCCTTTCCCACATTCTGATGTTTGTTCTGCAGCCTCTGGGCTTTGGGGTTATCTGGTGTTGTCTCTCCAGTTCTCCCCAGTGGTGATGGAGTGTGCTCCCGCCACCCTCTGCCATCTCCCCAGACTCAGGTAACTGAATGCCTCCAACCCCTCTCTGCTCACCCATAGCATCCTGGCCTCTTCCTCCTTGTCCTGACATAACTGTTTATTGAGCCTGGGGTTTGGTGAACAAGTGTACCCTGCTTTGTATCTTAAGGGAAGATAGAGATGTGTGTGTTCTCCCCTCTGGCCTTTTGCTCAGCATTTTGTACATATTTACAAATCATTCATCTTCTCAGCAACTCCACAAGTCCCCTAGTATCATCCCCATTTTGTAGACAAGGCACTCAAGGCTCAGAGAAGTTAACAGATTTGTCTAACGGACACACCAGCTACTGCCAGAGGCAAGATTCAAACCCAGGCCTGGCACACCCTGTCATGCCACGTACCTTTGACTCACTACATTTACGCTGCATTGGATTCAGGGAGAAAAGTCTGTGGTCTTCTTGGAGTGGTGTGACTGGTCTGTGGTTTCTGTGTGGTTTTTTGTTTGGTGGGGTAAACAGGAAGACCCTAGGGATAAGTTCCAGAGGACAGCAAAACTCAATGTATTTGTTTGGAGGGCGGTTGGGGGGTGGAAATCATAGATACAGCGTTCCTGAAGGAAGCACCCTATTCCAGCTTGGCATCCCTGAACCTCTGTCCACATTTGCTTCCAGATCTTGGAAGGAGACCAAGCCATCCTGCAGAGAATAAAGAAGGCTGTGCGGGCAATCCATAGCTCCGGCCTTGGTAAGTGAGCCTCCTGGGTGCCCCGCCTGGTCAGGAAGCCCCTCTCCCAGCCCCAGCCTGGAGCTAACTCCAAGCTCCCGTCTGTACCTCCACAGGCCATGTGGAGAATGAAGAGCAGTACCGAGAGGCCGTGGAATCCTTAGGCAACAGCCACCTGTCCCAGAACAGCCATGAGCTGTCCACAGGCTTCCTAAACTTGGCCGTGTTCACCCGCGAGGTTGCTGCGCTCTTCAAGAACCTGGTGAGGCCCCTGTCTCTTCCTTGCCCAGACTCAGGGTAAATCTAGTGGTCTTAAGAACCTGACTGGGAAAGGGTCCGTTTCCTTCCTTCTCCCAATTTGCCCTTGATCTCTGACCTGAGTTCAGACCTGAGGTCCCTTTCCAGCCCTGACCCTTCTTTTGGATAATCCTCCTTTCTCTCTGGCTTCTTACCCAACTAACTCTTCTCTCTGTTCTCCTCCTTCTCTTCACCCAGGAGCAGAGGGGGTCTCACAGCAGGGAAGAGCCCCGTGCAAGGGAGGGTTCCCTGGAGGAGCTTTGGGATAAAGGAGAGACAGGCTCGGGGGTTCCTACCTTTATACCACTACTGCTGCCACTGCCACCACCACCGCTGCCACCGCCTCCTCCTCTCCTCACTCCCTCTTTGTCCTCTGCTTTCCCAATCCACATCTGCTTCGTACTTAAATCCCAGGACCTGTCCCTGCCTCCACAAGCGTCTCAGCCCCTGTACATGGCCCAGTGGCCTCGGGTTGCTTCCCGATGGCCTCCTTGGTGACTGCCTCCTCTCTGGTCCTTCAAGTCCTTTCCTCAAGGCCACCCTGTGACAGCAGCTCTTCCCATGTGCAGGCACAGTTCTCACTAGTTCATGTGTTCACTCATTCGATCCGGATGCACAGCTCTGTGGGGCTGGTGTGACTGTTGTCTCCACCTTACAGGCTAGGAAACTAGGACCTCAAGGTTAAGCAGCTTGCCCGAGGTCACACGGTTCGGTTTGAACCCAGGTTGTCTGGCTCCAGAGTCCAAGCATAAGCCTGGCTACACTGCCTCCCAGGAAAGCCTCTCATCTCCCTCCAGGCTCCATGGCACTGGACCAGCTCTTGTGGCTCCAGTCCTACCCAGCATCCTCCCTGGTTGGCAGGGGCCACATCATCCTTGAGAGGCAGTGTGCTCAGTGGTTAAGCACCCAACCTTGGACCTAGACTCCAGCTTGGAATCTTCACTCTGCTGCTTACTAGGTCAAGTCACTCAGTCTGCCCAAGCCCCAGGTCTCTCATCTGTGAAACTGGGATAATAATGCTGCCTACCTCACAGAGCGGTAATGAGGATTAAGCAAGTTAGTGCCTACTTTATGGTAAGCGCTCAGTAAATGTTGGCTAATATTATATTAATGGCAAAACAGCAATTACTTTTGCACCAACCTAATAAAATCTATCATTGTTATAGCTCTTGGCATAGCTGTGCCTCGTACACTGTCCTGCATGTAAAAAGCCTTTAACAGTGTTTGAGGCTGGGTGCAACATTTCAAACCTTAATCCCAGTGGTTTAGGAGCCTGAGGTGTGTGGATCGCTTGAGCCCAGAAGCTCTAGACCAGCCTGGGCAATGTAGTGAGACCCTGACTCTACAAAAGTATGAAAATTGCCGGGTGCGGTGGCTCACGCCTGTAATCCCAGCACTTTGGGAGGCCAAGGTGGGCGGATCACTTGAGGTCAGAGATTCGAGACCAGCCTGGCCAACATGGTGAAACTGTCTTTGCGAAAAAATACAAAAATTAGTTGGGTGTGGTATCAGGTGCCTGTAATCCCAGCTACTCAGGAGGCTGAGGCAGGAGAATCACTTGAACCCGGGAGGCGGAGGTGGCAGTGAGCTGAGATCATGCCACTGCACTCCAGCCTGGGTGACAGAGCGAGATTCCATCTCAAAAAAAAAAAAAAAAAAATGCCAGGTGTGGGGGCGTATGCCTGTGGTCCCAGCTACTCGGGATGCTGAAGTAGGAAGATCAGTTTAGCCTGGGGGAAGTTGAGGCTGTAGTGAGTGTGATCACACCACTGTGCTCCAGCCTGGGTGACAAAGCAAGACCCTGTCTCAAAAAAAAAAATAGTGTTTGAGTTCAATTGAATTAGTGTCCTTCTTTGTCTTCACCTCTTCTCTCCCTGTTTCAGTCAAACTAGTGTTTCCTGGGGGTCTGCTGTCTAGTGGACATTGTACCAGGGGTTGGTGACACAGGAAAGTGTCAGACTGCCTCAGAGAGCCACAGTCTAGTGGGGGAGAGAAAAACTAGGGTGTGGACTAGTGTCAAGAAATACCAGCAGCATGGCACAAACTCAAGGACCCAGCAGCTGGTGTCAGAGGCCTAGTGCTGCCATGGTTCAGAAAAGGGGAGATCAGCATAGACCAGGCGGGAGGAGTAGCCAGGAGAGACTTCCTGGAGGAGGAGAGACCCAAGCTGTACCTTGGAAGCTGGTTGAAATATTAGGCCTCTTTAGGTTGCGAAATCACAGAAACCCAACTCAAACTAGGTTAAATTTTTAAAAGGGAATTCATTAGCCCCTGTAATGAGAAGTCCAGGGGCGCAGCTGGCTTAGGCTCTATCCTTTCCTCTTAAGGTAGTTTCTCTGTCTCTGCTCAGTGGACAGGATAGCCCAGCAGGCCCAGATGCCCATCTTACCAAAATAAAGATGGTCTTTCTCCCACAACTTAGGCAGAAAAATCCCAGCGAGGATTGTGATTGGCTGGCTTGGGTGCGTGCCTGTTCCCTATCCAGTCCCTCTATCCTGGGGCTGGGGTGCCCTGCTCAGATCTGACTTCTGCGTTTACCCCATCTGACCACAGAGGAGGAGTTCCCCACAGGAAAGGGGGTTCTATGACCATTAATAGGGGAGGCTCTGAAGCGTTAGCCAGCCCAGAACAACAGACGTGCACTACAGGTCAACTTGAGAGAGTCAGAGAGGAGAAGGGAGGCTGCTCCTGGCGAGGAACAGGGGAGAGATTGACTGTGGGATGCTGCTGGAGCAGTGCAGCGATGAGGCTGGAGCCATCAGGGAAGGGGCTCACTCTGACACACCTCGGCCTCCCCTCCTGCCCCCTTTCACACAGGAAGCCTGGCGGGCAGCAGGTCAGCCATCCTAAGCAGACCCCAGAGCTGGATCCTCTAGTCCCCCCCCGCAGGCTCAGCACTCCTGCCATGACGGTCCCCCTTACTTGGCTGTCATCTCTTTGATAACATCTTTTCCTCTCCCCTACTTCCCTTCCCCGCTGCTCTCTTTGCCAAGTGATGCTTCACTGTACACCGAATCCCTAGGGGCTGGATGCCGGTCACCTGAGGCGGGAATGAGCGTCTCTGTTTTTTCCAGATTCAGAACTTGAACAACATTGTCTCTTTCCCCCTGGACAGTCTGATGAAGGGGCAGCTGAGGGACGGTCGACAGGTGAGTCTCCATGCTGGGAGTGGTGGTGGGACAGAGTAAAAGAGGGGTGGGCAGGAGACTGTTGGGGGGCAGGGCTGGACTGAGGGTGGAGGCCAGGTGAAGGGGCTGTCTTAGCGGGAGTGATGAGCCTGGGGAGGTCTGGAGGACCTGGCTCGGGTCAGCCTAGGATGGCTGACCTGCTGTCTGCCAGGCCCCTTGTGTGAAACATGTCATGTAAATCTTACAACCATCCTATGAGGTAGGCTTTGTGGGTACACTCATCCCCATTTTGCAGTTGAAATTCGAGGCCAAGGGAGTTAGGTAACCTGCTGATGGTTTACATAACTAGGAAGTAGAGAGCCCATGTGGGAATCCAGGGATCCTGAATCCCATACTCGAGCTGCTTTCTCTGTGCCTGGCAGCCCTTGGCTGGATGCAGAGTGGAGCTCAAAGAAGGTGACAGAATAATCTCTCTGGGCAATCTGCCCCAGACGGCCCAGGGGAGGAGCCGTGCTCCCCCAAGAGGGTTCCCTCCCTGCCCTAGGCTGCCAGCGTGGCACCAGCCTGCTAACCACACAAACCAGACAGGCAGCTTTTTCACCTTGGGAGTCTCGGGGTTGTTCAGAAGGGTGTGAGCAGCCTGGCTGGATGAGGCTTAGGCAAGCTAGGCAGGGGGTAGTCAGGTCTCCCTGGTTTGCTGTATGGCCTGGGGTAGACTTCTCAACCTCTCTGTGCATGTTCCTTGACCTGTACCCTTGCTCTAAGAGGATGATCTAGCACCAGGCAGGAGAAAATGCTGGGCTAAAGTTAGGCAGGGGGAATTTGGCCTTCATCCTCCCATCCTCATGGTCATGACTGATCTCTCTTCTGAGCAAGAGGACTCAGGGTAGAGCCCAAAGATCTCTTCACACCCCAAGCCATGGCCCACCAAACCTGACTGATTCTTGGCATCTCTGGGGAGGAGAAGGTCTGCTGGGAGGAGGGCCTTAGCTCTGAGAAATGGGGTCAGCTGAGCCTGTTTGGTGGGGGCAGGTTTGCAGCAGGACTGTGGGGGCAGGGGCTGGTTAGAGAAGGGCTCTGAGCAGCTCAGGGGAGCACACTAGCAGGTCCTCCTACAGGCAGCAGAGCATACTGTTTATTCCAGTGCTCCAGCTTCCCTCTGGGCAAATTGTCCTTTTTTAACCCACAGGATTCCAAAAAACAGCTGGAGAAGGCATGGAAGGACTATGAAGCCAAAATGTAAGTGGCCACAGCCAGGGTCGTTTGTCTGGGAGAGTAGCACTTAGGCTGGATAGGGAAGAACCTAAATGCTGCCGAGACATGTCATCCAGAATTGGGTGACATCTGGCTCTGTAGAGGCATTTACAGCAGATTGTTTATACCCAGACCTGACTGGATTCTGGGGACTGGGCCACGAGACCACCAAAGGAGCTATTGTGAAGGGACCTCAGGATGCTGCTCTCAGAGTCCCATCTGCTCAGTGGTGCCAGACATGGGCAGGGATGGGAAGGAGCTAGCACTGACCAAACACCTCCGCGTGCTGGCCATTTAATCTTCACAGTCACCCTGTCATGTGTGAGAGAGGTATTAGTATCACAATTACCACAGGAGGACTCAGAGAGGTTAAGTCACTTGCCCAAGGCCCCACAGCTTGGCAGAGGCAGAACTGGGGTTTATGCCCCTTGCTCCTCGTTCCTCAGTGTCAGTTGGTATATCTAGAGAAGGAAATGGCTTTCTGTGTCCTGTGCACACCACACGATACTCCAGATCTCTCACCAGCTACTGGGACATCATGGGGAAAGAAGGAGCCTCAGTCAACCAGTGGCCAATTCCTCCTGGGCAGAGACTCCTTGGGCTCTGTCTTATGAGGAGTCTGTCCAGATCCCAGCCTTTGCCCTCTGCCCAGCCAGGCCCATACTGTAGAGCATTGTTTGTGCTTTTTTGTAAAATTTTGTTTTCTCTTGCATTTTGCCAAAGCAATTTATGCTTATTATGAATAATTTTGAAAATATGGAGAAGTAAAAGAAGAAAAAAAATTAATCATCCTTAGCAGAGGCTTAGGGTTATGGCAGGCGGATAATACTCTCTGTTGTTTGAATTTTTTTTTTTACAAGGTCTGGGTAACATTGCAGTTTTCATCATTAAAAAAAAAAGGTTGGATGGGGAGAAACTACCCAAAAATAGGAGAAAAATTCTTAATTTTCAAGCCTAAAATATTAACATTTTAACATTTATTTTTCTATGTATGAAGAAATGTTTTTATAAAAATGAGATCATAACAACATACTGTTTTGTAATCTGCTTTTTTCATTCAAAAAATACATTGTGGCCATCTTTGTACACCATTACATATTCTTCCACATCAATCAAACGGGTGTGCCAAAACCTGCATAAGCCATTATGTATTTAATCTGTTCCTGTCATTGGAGAAGCATCCTTGGATTTAAATATTTGTCCCTACTCATAATTATTTTTGCAGGATCAATTTCAAGAAGTAGATCCTGGAGCTTTTTATTGTTCCCTCAGCTCCCAGAGCCATGGCACCGCTCCAAGTCTGAGGCAAGGTCACATCTTGTCCCTGCACAAGCATCTCCAGCCCCAGCTGTGGGCATAGATCCTGTGATGAAGGGTGTAGACACTGTGTGGCCATCCCTGTGGGGCCCTATCCCTGCCTGTGATGGGGCACGGCCATCTGCTCTCACTGGAGGCCCAGGGACGGGTAGTGAGGGCACAGGCTGACCTTGTCTTCATGATTTGCTGTGGGGCCACATGGCCCTCTTCTTCCTGAGTTACCTTAACTAAGCCGTTAGACTTTCGGGGATCGTCTACCAAATAGAAATAATAAGCTCTACTCTGCTGACCTTCCCAAAGCAGGTCTGCTTTTCCTAGGTTTCTATATTGAGCCTTCCTGTAGCATTTCATTTACAGGCCAGACTCCATTTAGTTGATGGGAAAGGGGGCTTGGCTGAGGTTATTCGGTGAGTTATCGATAGGACCTGGACTAGAACCCAGGGCTTCTGAGTCTAGTGCTATTTCTGCCATGTGGTCTCCTGGCTCCCACCATGGAGCCACATAGTTTGAGCTAATGTCTTGGCACGGGTGACTGTACACTCCTTTTCATACGGGCTCCAGGTGTAGCCAGATATGCGTGAGCCGTAAGTTCCTATGTAATTTCACCACATTCCTACCAAACAAGTCTGAGCCCCAGCTGGAAGGGCCCAGGGCCCTGATAGCATCTGTCAAATACCACTGGGAGCTTCACCCCTGGCTGTTCATATAGGAGGAGGATTACCTCTCCACGTGGGGCTGCTGAGAAAGGCATCCCGGGCCCTGTACAGAGGCCAAATTTATCTAGGCAGTTCCATGTACAGGTCTGTTTCCTCATCTGTACAATAGGGACAGTAATACCTTTCAGGGTCAATGCGGCGATGAATAAGCACGGTGCATATAAAGCACTCAGCACTTCAGTTCAGCAAGTATTTATTGACCACCTATATGAGCCAGAACTAGGACCAGAATAACACAGGAAGAGATTGACAGGCAGAAACCCACACATCTGCTGGTAGCATTTACCCTAGCCAGCTTTTAATCTTGTGCAAGCCATTTTCCTTCTCTGGATCTCAGCTTCATCATCTGTAAAATGGTCCCTGTTCTGAGAGAGACTGTTATCTCTCAGAAAATAAACAGTGTGACTGTCAGCAGCTCGCAGGAATGAGGCAGGGAAGGAGGAATGGAACAAACCTGAGTCACAGTGTTGGTTGCTTGGGCTGCCCCTAAGGCTTAGGCACCAGCCAGTCCTGGGTTCAACTCCTGGCCCCACCACTTAACAGCTGTGTGACTTGGACAAATGACTTATCTCAGCCATAGGCTCCTCTTCTATAAAATGGGATAATGATCCTGCCTTATGGGGCTATAATTTTAACATATGAAGGGCCTAGCAGAGTGCCTGGGCCTAAAAATTATAACTAGGAGCCTGTAATCCTAGCACTTTGGGAGGCCAAGACAGGAGGATCACTTGGGCTCAGGAGTTCGAAACCAGCCTGGGCAACATAGTGAGACCTTGCCTCTATTTAAAAAATTGATAATAATAATACATATATAATAAATATAATACATATATTTAGAAGCCACACATGGTGGCTAATGACTGTAATCTCAGCTACTTGGGAGGCTGAGGCAGGAGGATTGCTTAAGGCCAGGAAATTTGAGACCAGCTTGGGAGACAGAGCTAGACCTTGTCTCTAAAAAAGAATAATAATAATAATTAGTAATAATAGCAGCTTCTACTTTAGAGTTTCCTTTGTGCCAGGCAGTGGAGTAAGGTCTTTGCATCTATTACCAGATTTATTCTCCCTGGCAGGGAAAGCTGCTATTGTTATTCCCAATTTATAGGTAAGTAGTGAGGAATCCCTGCCACCTAAGCGTGGCTCAAGGTTTCAAGGTTGGTGGGTGTGTGGTATTTAAATACTTTCCTGCCTGCACCAGGAGTACCTGTACCCATCCCATGAATAACACTGGACTGTTGCTGTAGTCTCCTTCTGCAATGATCTCGGTCTTAGTAACTAGCATTTAAGTACTTTCACCCACTATTTCATTTCATTCCTTCTATTGCAATTCCACTCATAAGACAGAAAAATGTTTCTAACATTTGAAATGTTTTAGAAATGTTTTAAAAATGTTGGTGATCCTTTGAGGATAGGGAAGGAATGGGACTTGTTATTTTATAGGGGAAGAAAAGCACTCCCCAGCTATTAGGTCATCTCAGAATGACTATGTCAGACTTTGTAGGGAAAATCTCTATGAATTATCTTAGCTGAGGCTGAGGGACAGAACTGTGATAATTGACAAAGCCATTTTGTCACAGCTGTGTACATTTTGTCAAAGCTGAAGTACATTGACAAAGTTGTGTACTTCACGGCTTATCTACACCTTGAGTTAAGTAGCATCTTTTAATCTCTACTAGCATTCAAAAAATAAAAGAAAGAAAGAAGAAAGTACCATATGCTGAAAAAAATTATCTAAAAGGGATCACCAGTATTTACTACTCTGTCATCATTGCCATCACTTGAATCATCATAATCCTACCATTCATTGAGGGCTTGCCATATGCCAGGAACTGTACTGTTTCCTATGCATTATATTATCCAAGGACTAGGTGTCATTACAGTGGTTCCCCCTTATCCTTGGGGGATACGTTCCGAGACCCCCAGTGGATGCTTGAAACTGAAGATGATACTGAACCTTACATTAGGTTGGTGCAAAAGTAATTCCGGCAGTTTTTGGCATTAAAATGTAATCTGTGCTTTTTCCTATATATACGTACCTATGATAAAAATTAAGCACAGTAAGAGATGAACAATAATAGTAATAAAACAGAACATAGTAGCATCACTACTCTTGCACTCTGGGGCCATTATGAAGTAAACTAAGGGTTACTTGAACACAAGCACTGCAATAGTAAAACAGCTAATCTGATAACCAAGAAGGCTACTGAATGACTAATGGCAGGTGGTATAGACCAGGGGTCCTCAACCCCTGGGCCATGGACTGGTACAGGTCCAAGGCCTGTTAGGAACCTGGACTGAACAGCAGGAGGTGAGCGTTGGCAGGCGAGCGAGATTACCGCCTGAGTTCCGCCTCCTGTCAGATCAGCATGGCATTAGATTTTCATAGAAGCACGAACCCTATTGTGAGCTTCACATGCCAGGGATCTAGGTTGCATGCTCCTTATGAGAATCTAAGCCTGATGATCTGAGCTGGAACAGTTCCATCCCAAAACCACCCTCCCCCACCCTGCTATCCGTGGAAATATTGTCTTCCATGAAACCAGTCCCTGGTGCCAAGATGTTGGAGACTGCTGGATAGACAGTGTAAATACACTGAACAAAAGGATGATTGATGTTCCAGGCAGGATGGAGCAGAAGGATGCAGGATTTCACATGCCACTCATAATGATGCATAATTTAAAACTTACAAATTGGGCTGGGCATGGTGGCTCATGCCTGTAATTCCAGCACTTTGGGAGGCCGAGGCAGGCAGATCACCTGAGGTCAGGAGTTCGAGACCAGCCTGAAACACATTGTGAAACCCCGGCTCTACTAAAAATACGAAAATTAGCTGGGTGTGGTTGTGGGCGCCTGTAATCCCAGCTACTTGGGAGGCTGAGGCAGGAGAATCGCTTGAACCTGGGAGGCAGAGGTTGCAGTGAGCTGAGATGGCGCCATGGCACTCTAGCCTGGGTGACAAGCAAAACTCCATCTCAAAAAAAAAAAAAAAAAGACAAAAAAACTTATGAATTGTTTATTTCTGGAATTTTCCATTTAATATTTTTGGACAGGGGTTGACCATGAATAACTGAAACCACAGAAAGCAAAACTACAGAGAAGGGGGGACTACAGTATTATTCTCATTTTCCAAATGGGGAAACAAGCTCAGAAAGTTTTATAAAGGTTAAGTAAGTGAAGGAGCTGCCATTCAAATCCAGAATCTACATTTCTAACCACTGTACTGTATTGTGGTTTGCTTTTTGTCCATTTACTCTGGAGCAGATATATTTCCATGTCAGTACAGTCATCCCTCATTATCCATGGGGGATTGGTTCCAGGACCCCCGCAGATACCAAAATCTGAGGATGCTAAAGCCCCTTAGTCAGCTGCCTATATCCTCAGGCTTTACACCCACAGATATGGAGGGCCAATCACATGTACAGATATTCCTTCTTCTTTTTTTTTTTTCTTGAGACAGAGTCTACTCTGTTGCCCAGGCTGGGGTGCAGTGGTGCAATCATGGCTCACTGCAGCCTTGAACTCCTGGGCTCAAGTGATCCTCCTACCTCAGCCTCCCATGTCGCTGGGACTTACAGGACCATGCTACCATGCCTGGATAATGGTTTAAAATTTTGTTTTAAAGTAGAAACGGGGTCTTGCTATGTTGCCTAGGCTGGTCTTGAACTCCTGGCCTCAAATGATCCTCCCACCTCAGCCTCCCAAAGCACTTGGATTACAGGCATGAGCCACTGCACCTGGCCAATCTTCATTCTAACAGCTGCATGATATTTCTATATATCGCCATACTATTATTTGTCTAACTACTTCCTACTGATGGACATTTAGCTTATTTTCCATTTTTGACTATTGAAAGATATGGTAACAGTGTACACTGGGAGACTTCCCCTACGCCAGCCCACCTGATGTCACTTGGTCTCCCTCATTCCTTTTTTTTTTTGGAGAGACAGGGTCTTGCTCTGTCACCCAGGCTGGAGTGCAGTGGCACAATCACAGCTCACTGCAGCCTTGACTTCTTGGGCTCAAGGGATCCTCCTACCTCAACCTTTTGAGTAGCTGGGACTATAGGCACACACCACCATGCCTGGATCATTTTTAAATTTTTCTGTAGAGACAGGGTTTCACCATGATGCCCGAGCTGGTTTCGAACTTCTGGGCTCAAGCAATCCTCTCACCTTGGCCTCACAAAGTGCTGGGATTACAAGCATAAGCTTCCACGCCCAGCCCTCCCTAATTCCATAGCAAGCTGCCAGGCACTGCTGCTGAGATGCTGCAGGCCCAGCCATCACCTCCCCTCTCTGCTGCTTTTTTTCAGATTCACAAAGAAGTCTGTCCTGACCCTCAGGCCTGGTTCACAGGATCAGTTCCTACCCTACTTCTACCACTCTTTACAAACTCTTGCTTGGGGTATCAGAAAGCTTAAGGAAATAAAAAATAACCCCCTCTTTAAAATTAAAAAAAAAAAAAAAAGCCTACAGAGCCTGCAATGTCTGGAGACATTTCTGGTTGTCACAGCTGGGGGGATGCTACTGGCAGCTAGTGGGTGGAGGTCAGGGAGGCTGCTAAACATACAAACCACCAGGCAGCCCCCCATAACAAAGAATCATCTGGCCAAAAATGTTATCAGTTCCATGGTTGAGAAACTGCTCTACAGGTCCCCAGGGACAGATTCTGTATATGAACACTATCCCAGAGGTCTTACCTACTCAGGAGGGCCCAGAACTTTAGAGTCAGAAGGGACCTGAGAACTTACCGTAGACCATTGCTTCCTCCATTTACAGATGGGAAAACAGAGGCCTTGAGGGGCCTACAGTAAAAGCTGCCATGTGTCTTCTATGTGCTGAGTCTTTTCCATGCTGTGCCTCATCTGGGTACAGATAAGAATCTCCGTTTTCCAGATGAGGAGACCAAGGCTCAGAGAGGGGAATAAATGCAGCCAGCAAGCAGCAGAGTTTGTATTAATCCCACTCTGTCTTTGTCTTCTCTGCTCAGGGCTGGCCCCCACTTGAGAGCAGAACTATTAAGCAAGCCCTTTCCTTTACATGGGATTTGGAGTCACATGCACCCAGCCTGAGATGTGGAAATACTCTCCTGGCTGTGAGTGGGTAGTCTGCTGGGCGTGGGATTTCCAGGAAACCATTTACACACAGATCCACCCATCCCCAAAGAGGGAAAACAGCCAACCTCTGAGGGGGAAGGCCCCAGTTACTCTTAGCTACAAGGATGGGAAGCGCTTTCTGTCTCCACTTAAAAAGAGAAGAGCACGGTGGGGCGTGGTGGCTCATGCCTGTAATTTCAGCACTTTCAGAGGCTGAGGTGGACAGATCACTTGAGGCCCGAGTTCAAAGACCAGCCTGGCCAACATGGTGAAACTCCGTCTCTACTAAAAATACAAAAGTTAGCTGGGTGTTGGCCAGGCACGGTGGCTCATGCCTGTAATCCCAGCACTTTGGGAGGCTGAGGTGGGTGGATCACCTGAGGTCAGGAGATCAAGACCATCCTGGCTAACACGGTGAAACCCCATCTCTACTAAAAATACAAAAAAATTAGCCAGGCATGGTGACACCCACCTGTACTCCCACCTACTCGGGAGGCTGAGGCAGGAGAATCGCTTGAACCCAGGAGGCCGAGGTTGCAGTGAGCCAAGATCATGCCGTTGCAGTGAGCCAAGATCGTACCACTGCACTCCAGCCTGGGCAACAGAGCGAGACTCCGTCTGAAAAAAAAAAAAAAAGATTAGCTGGGCATGGAGGTGGGCACCTGTAATCCCAGCTACTCAGGAGGCTGAGGCATGAGAATGGCTTGAACCTGGGAGGTGGAGGTTGCAGTGAGCTGAGATCGCACCACTGCACTAAAAAAAAGAAAAAGAAAGAAAAAGAAAATAAAAGAACAAAGGTTTTCTGAGCTTTAAGTATGAAGCTCCATGGGCTCAGAAGAATGAAAGCACTTTGAAATAACTCAGAAACAGAAAGTCAAACACTGCATGTTCTTTCTCCCTTATAAGTAGGGGGGTAAGCAATGGGTACATGTGGACAGACAGAGCAGAATAGTAGACATTGGAGACTTCAAAAGGTGGGAGGATAGGTGAGAGATGAAAAATTACCTATTGGGTACCATGTACACTATTCGGGTGATGGGTACTCTAAAAGCCCAGGCTTCACCACTGCACAGTATATCCACGAAACAAAACTGCACTTGTACCCCCTGAATCTATAAAATTAATACAAATAAAAAAGATTGAAGGCACCTGTGTTCTTAAATCCTTTCCAGGAAAATCAGAACTGTTTGCCCCAAATCTCACTTGGCCCTTGTTTGAGTCCTTCATCCCCCTGAATAAACACCTTCAAATCCTTCCCATTACTCTTGGGATAAAGACCAAGAATATATTAACATGGTGTGAATTAGACCCTGCATGGTCTGGCACCTCCTTACCTTAGCTGGCACCAGCCCTCTCCATCTTGGCACTCGCTCCTGCCTTGGGGCCATCACATGGTCCATCCCTCTTGCCCAGCAGTAGCTTCCTCCAAGCTTCTCAGGCTTCAGATCCCAGCTCAGACATCACTTCCCAACTAGCCCCAACGAGGTTGGATCCCCATTTTCTCTCCCATAGTTCTCTGCGTGGCTGTGATTTGATTCATGTCTTTCTCCCCCACCACTCTGTGGATTCCCTAAACTGTCTTGTTCATTGTACCCAGCCCCACCACACAGCTGGCACAGGAGGGCCTCCTGCACCATGTGGCCCCTTTGCTCATGCATCCTTGGCAGAAGAGGATATAGGGGCTGGTGAGACTTGTTCAGGCTTCTCTTTCCTTGGGGTCTAGGGCCAAGCTGGAGAAGGAGCGCGATCGGGCCAGGGTGACAGGAGGGATCCCTGGGGAGGTGGCCCAGGACATGCAGAGAGAGCGGCGCATCTTCCAGCTGCACATGTGTGAGGTAAGGGGTGCTCTGGATGAGGGAGGGGGGGCGTGGGATGTGTCTTCCTGTCTGCCTCTCCAGGGGACCAGTCACAGCCTCAGCTCAGGTCCTGGCCACATGGCCCTGTGGGATGTCACCAAGGCCCAGTCGCAGCCAGGAGGATTAGCCTGGGATGGGGACTGCAGCCCCTCGTTCCCAGGATTCTGCTTCAGCTCACATCACGTATCTTGCCCTGCCCTCCTCCTAGTATCTGCTCAAAGCCGGGGAGAGCCAGATGAAGCAAGGTCCTGACTTCCTTCAGAGCCTCATCAAGTTCTTCCACGCCCAGCACAAGTAGGTATCTTCCCGCGTCCCTGCCACTAACCCTTCCAGTGTCACAGAACAAGGCCCCTCTCAAGGTGTGATAGACCTGAGAGTCTCTTTGGAGGCCTGCATCTTTTTGGCAGAACTTTCATAGTTCCTCATTGAGTGCTCACCGGGTGTCAGGCATGAGTACTTTACAAACATCAATTCGCTCAATTCCCCAACACTTCTGGGAGCAGGTACTCTATTATCCCCATTTTATAGATGAGAAAACTGAGGCTTATTTTCCAAGATTACATAGCTAGTAAGTGGGATTTGAACCTAGTCAAGAGAGACTCTTGTCTATGGAGTGTCTGTTCTTGACCGTCAGACTACAATTCCCTGAGGTGCCCTGTGATCCTTACGGCAGCTTCTCCCACACTTCTGGCTTCATCTCTCATTTCCATCTTTATCTGGACCCTTGTTTGGCCTCTGACACCTCTTAGCTTTTTCCAAGATGGCTGGAAGGCTGCCCAGAGCCTGTTCCCCTTCATCGAGAAGCTGGCGGCCTCAGTACATGCAGTAAGTTGGGTCTCACCCTTGGGCACGTGATCAAGCCCCCTGTCCTTCCAGGAAAATCTGTGGGTGTGGAAGAGCTGGCTTCTGCCCACAGAGTGAGGCTACTGCTCTGCTCTTCTGGGTCTGGGCTCTGTGCCTGACATATTTGTTGGCTGGTGATGGGATCCCATCCTCTGTCCCATAGCTCCATCAGGCCCAGGAGGACGAGCTACAGAAGCTGACCCAGCTCCGGGACTCCCTCCGAGGGACACTGCAGCTTGAGAGCAGAGAGGTCAGCCCCTGAACTATCCCAAAAGGAATGCCCTCCCCCAAGGCCCACCGTGGAGGGAGGGAGAGAAGGAAGACCCACAGGGTCCCCTGGAGAAGTCTCCCTGAGTGAGCCCCCGCAGAATGGGGCTCTTCCCACTGAGATGCCCTGAGGTCTCCTTTGCATGTCCGAGGGACAGGAACACCTGAGCCGGAAGAACTCAGGATGTGGCTATAGCATCCACCAGCACCAAGGCAACAAGCAGTTTGGGACGGAGAAAGTGGGCTTTCTATACAAGAAAAGTGACGGGTAAGTGATTCAGAGCTTACATAATTTGCCCAATGTCACACTGCAAGTAAATGACAGGGTTGGGGAAGCTGCCCAAAGGAACTGTTCTAATCATTTGTGTAGACACCGAGGGTTGCAATGTAAAATCCTCAATTCCTGGGTTGTCCAGGACACCTGGGCATGTGAACTTCTGCTAAAGGTGACTGGTTATTTTAAGTTAAAGAAGAAGAATAGCAGTAGCTAACACTTTTTTTTTTTTTTTTTTTTGAGATAGAGTCTCACTCTGTCGCCCAGGCTGGAGTGCAGTGCCATGATCTCGGCTCACTGTAAGCTCCGCCTTCCGGGTCATGTCATTCTCCTGCCTCAGCCTCCCGAGTAGCTGGGACTACAGGCACTCGCCACCACACTCGGCTAATTTTTTTGTATTTTTAGTAGAGACGGGGTTTCACTATGTTAGCCAGGATGGTCTCGATCTCCTGACCTTGTGATCCGCCCGCCTCAGCCTCCCAAAGTGCTGGGATTACAGGCATGAGCCACCGCGCCCGGCTGGCAGTAGCTAACACTTATTGCAACACTTACTATGCCCTCATTCTTTTTTTTTTTTTTTTTTTTTTTTTTTTTTGAGATGGAGTCTCCCTCCGTCACCCAGGCTGGAGTGCAGTGACGTGATCTCAGCTCACTGCAACCTCCGCCTCCTGGGTTCAAGCGATTCTCCTGCCTCAGCCTCCCGAGTAGCTGGGACTACAGGTGCCCGCCACTACGCCCAGCTAATTTTTTGTATTTTTAGTAGAGACGGGGTTTCACCGTGTTAGCCAGGATGGTCTCAATCTTCTGACCTTGTGATCTGCCAGCCTCAGCCTCCCAAAGTGCTGGGATTACAGGCGTGAGCCACTGCGCCCAGCCTATGCCCTAATTAATCTCTGCAATATACTGAATATGCCTAGAAATGAAAGTATTGGCTGTGCCTTGCTTCCTAGTGTAAAAAAAAAAAAAAAAATCAGTCTGTGGGCCAGGTGCAGTGGCTCACACCTGTAATCCCAGCACTTTGGGAGGCCAAGGCAGGCAGATCACTTGAGGCCAGGAGTTCAAGACCAGCCCAGCCAACATAGTGAAACCCCATCTCTACTAAAAATACAAAAAATTAGCTGGGTATGGTGGCGTGAGCCTGTAGTCCCAGCTGCTTGGGAGGCTGAGGCATGAGAATTGCTTGAACCTGGGAGGCAGGGATTGCAATGAGCCGAGATCGTGCCACTGTATTCCAGCCTGGGTGACAGAGAAAGATCCTGTCTCAAAACAAAACAAAACAAAAAAACAAAACTGCTGTGAAATGCAAAGGCCCTTGTGGGATATATTCATGTTTCTACCTACCAATCAGTTTAATCGGAGAAGAATAACTTTGAAGAAGAAACCAATGAATATTTACCTGTTACAGGAGAAGTGTTACGGAGTTTTGGATCATGGACTTGCTAATTTTATTTTGGGGATATTAATATTGATCTTGCTTAGTTGAACCACAATTTATTTGTTGTTGTCAAGAGCCTGTGCCTCTCAGACTAGGAGCTCCCTAATGATATAAGCTATGTCTCCCCCATCAGACTGGGAGCTCTCAGAGGGCCAAAGTCACATCATCCCCTTAGAATAAGGATTCCCAGGGAGTGAGGCTGTGTTTCTCCATCAGACTGGCATCTTCCTAAGAGCAGAACTGTGTCTCCTCCATCAGAAGGGAGCCCCAGAGAGTCAGGGGTCAGGGGTGGGGGTGTAGGGTTAGGAGAAGAAAGAGGTAAAGGGATGTGGCTAGAGATCATACAGGTGGGGGCAAATTTCTGTTCTCTGACACCTGCGAACTAGGTGTGAGCCTTGGGTCACTGTCCTTCTATCCCTCTGGGCTTTAGAATTCGAAGAGTCTGGCAGAAAAGGAAGTGTGGAGTCAAGTATGGCTGCCTGACCATCTCACACAGCACGGTGAGGCCTAGAGGTGGTGGGAGTCTCAGGGCACGATGGACCCTCTTCTTCTGGTGTTCTGAGCAAATAATGTCAAGCCCTCCCTCTAAGACTGGCCCCCAAACCTAGGTCCAGGGAGCTGGAGACCCGTTTGGGAGGACAGATGGGACCTGAAGGCCCCAATCTAGTCTTAGTCTACACTTCACATCCTTGAGGTGCTGCTGGGTGAGGAGAAACACAAATGGAACAGGATGATTATGCCCATTTAACAGAGTGGGAAATGGAGGCCTAAAGAATGTGGAGGGCCAGAGGTAATGCATACATCCTCCGCCCCTAAATTCCCACAGATAAACCGGCCCCCGGTGAAGCTGACCCTGCTGACGTGCCAAGTGAGGCCAAACCCTGAGGAGAAAAAGTGCTTCGACCTGGTGACCCGTGAGTGGTCCCTGTGCCTCTCCCCCACCCACAGCTGCTCAGGGCTTCTCTAAGACACCTGTCAGCTCCCGGGGGGCTTCAGTGAGGGGTCTGTGTCCAGTTCCACACATGGTGTCGAATTGCTGCTACTGCAGACATAAGAATCCTTAGGTCTAGGATACCCACATCACATTAAATGTCAAAATGCACCCACTTTACATAATAAATGTGGCTATTTATACAGAGCATATTTGAGTGGATTTGGGTCATCTGGGTTTTGAAATTATTTCTTTTTTTAAAATTTTACCTTTTTTTCCCAAATACCCAGACTTGAAGGAGATGAAATTATTGTTTCTTTACATTTTCTACTTTTCGTTCTTCAGAGCCTTTGGTGCAGGCTTTGTGTGAGAGCAGACACAGGCTGAGAAAGACCTAGATCTTGTCCTCAGGAAACTCTCTGGCAGGGGTGTGGGGTGGGTACCCAGGACTGTAAGATGAGGGGGCTGTCCAGAAGATGGGTGCAGATATAGCCCCATAGAAGATTAGGGAGCAGGAAGGCCTGCACTGCTGTGGGGAATCAGGAAAGGCTCCTGGAGGAGACAGTATTTGAGTTTAGCCTTGAAGGACATGTAGAATGAAGAGTTTGTGGGGTGGGGGCTTTTGAGGAGACAGGATTAGCATGATGAAAGGCATGGAAGCAGGAGAGTGGGTCTGGCCGGTTTGGCCAGAGTGGAGGGTTCATGTAGCAGAGTGAGAGATGAGGCCTGGAAATCCCTCTTAAAAGTTTGGACCTTATTTCCTGGCAATAGAGAGCCATGGGAGATCTTGGGGCAGGGCAGTGGTGTAATTAGAGCAGAGCCTTGGGCACAACAGTTGGGAGCTGGTACAGGCTAGGGGAAAGGGGAAATGGGAAGCAGGGAGACCAGACAGGAGGCCTGGTCGCCCAGGAGGAGACCAGGAAGGGCCCAGTGGGGTGGTGACAGTTGGTTCAGAGGATGCCCTGCCTCAGAGCTGGGTTCTCTGGGGTTCCAAGCCCTTTGAGACCTCGTCTGAGCCTGGAACCAGGGCTTCACGCAGAGGGAGCTTTGTTGGGATCCTACTTCGGAGGCCAGTTCTGAGAAACTGCCCCTGGTGCTGGCCACTGTCATTCCACTCCCTTCCCACTCCTAGCTTGAGAGTCCGACTTGTCAGGGACACATCTCCATGTGGCCCCAGCGGCTTTGGTGGGGGCTCCCTGGGCTCCGGGAAGGCCAGCAGCATTTCTGTGGGTCAGAAGCCCCCTTCTCTCCCGACAGACAACCGGACGTACCACTTTCAGGCAGAGGACGAGCACGAGTGTGAGGCGTGAGTGCCCCCTCGGCCAGCCCGGCCAGCCTTGTGGGTGGGGGCCGGCGGCCCTATCTCTTCCCACTTGACATCCCCATCCCACCCCGTTCAATCTCCGCAGGTGGGTGTCAGTGTTGCAGAACAGCAAGGACGAAGCCCTGAGCAGCGCCTTCCTCGGGGAGCCCAGCGCTGGCCCGGGGTCCTGGGGGTCCGCCGGCCATGATGGGGAGCCGCACGACCTCACAAAGCTGCTCATCGCGGAGGTGAAGAGCAGGCCTGGGAATAGCCAGTGCTGCGACTGCGGGGCTGCAGGTCGGTCCCCGGGGCCGGGGCAGGAGGGAGGCTTAAGTGGAGGGGAGGGGCTGCACCTCCAGGCTCCAGCTGCTTTCCTCTGCAGACCCCACGTGGCTCAGCACCAACCTGGGCGTGCTCACCTGCATCCAGTGCTCGGGCGTCCACCGCGAACTGGGCGTGCGCTTTTCGCGCATGCAGTCACTCACCTTGGACCTGCTGGGCCCCTCCGAGTTGTTGGTGAGGGCGGGGCGGGGCCTGGAAGGGGCCAGAAGCGGAGTTAGGGGTGTAGTTTCATCCGGGGGCGGGGCTTGCAGGTTGTGGGTGGGACCTGGCCGAGGTGGGCTGGGACAAGCCAGGTAGCGGGTGGTCAGGGGCGGGGCCTGAACCGGGAGGGCGGCCGAGGGGCGGGACTCTGGGGGCTTGGAGCTCCACCCTATGCAGGCTTAACCGCCCGGTCTTACTCCGCCCCACGTCTATTTTCCTACGACTCCAGCTGGCCTTGAACATGGGAAACACGAGCTTCAATGAGGTCATGGAGGCCCAGCTACCCTCACACGGCGGCCCTAAACCCTCAGCTGAGAGTGACATGTAAGGGGATTCTCAGAGAGAGGGGCACCCTGCCTAGGGGATTCTGCCTCCGCAGTGTCCAGGGTCGTAGAAAAGTCTTGGATCAGAAGTCTGGGGAGGCTGGGCGCAGTGGCTCACGCCTGTAATCCCAGCACTTTGGGAGGCCAAGGCGGGCGGATCACTTGAGGTCAGGAATTTGAGACCAGCCCGGCTAAGATGGCAAAACCCCGCCTGTACTCAAAATACAAGAATTAGCTGGGCGTGGTGGCACACGCCTGTAATTCCAGCTACTCAGGAGGTTGAGGCACTAGAATTGCTTGAACCCTGGAAGCAGAGGTTGTAGTGAAACGAGATTGCGCCACTGCACTCCCTCCTGGGCAATAGAGTGAGACTGTCTAAAAAAAAAGCCTGGGGAGAGGGGAGCCTCAGATCTAGACGTCTTCAGGACATGGTTCTGGAGAAAAAGAGAGCTGTATCTCCTGTGGGAGGGCCCCAGGGATCAGCTGGGCAGACACGGTCCATGCTCTGAGATCCTGTGGTTGTTTTTGGTAGGGGCACCCGCAGGGACTACATTATGGCCAAGTATGTGGAGCATAGGTTTGCACGCCGGTGCACACCTGAGCCTCAGCGACTCTGGACAGCCATTTGCAACAGGGACCTCCTGTCGGTACTGGAGGCCTTTGCCAATGGGCAGGACTTTGGACAGCCGCTGCCAGGGCCTGATGCACAGGTGAGAACCCCTCCAAGGGCCACTTATAACCCACCTGTCTAACATATTCCCCAGTTCTTCTCCAGGACCAGCTGTTACTCCCCTCCACCCCACCTCTGACATCTGCTCAGATCTCACCCATCAGAGTGGTAAGTGGGAAAGAGCACAGCTTCAGTCAGGCAGACCTGGGTGGGAATCCTGGCTCTGTTTTTTCCTAGCTGTGTGATCTAGGGCAGGTTACTTCTCTGAGTCTCATTTCCTCATCTATAAAAGGGGTTAATAATAGCACCCACGGTGATGAAGTGAGAAGTCATGTATATAAAGGGCTTAGTGTACAATGGGCATGCAATAAACGTTAATATCTTTTTCTTTCACCTAAATAGCCCTGAAATATAAGGGCATGTCAGTTTAGAGCCAGGAAGGCCACATTGCTTTGGCTATTCCAAGAACAAACACATGAGCATGGAGAAAGGATATCAGAGACATTTGAAAAAGTAAATCAACAGGAGTTGCTGACTGATTCGACATCAAAAATTGGATGTTGGCTGGGTGTGGTGGCTCACGCCTGTAATCCCAACACTTTGGGAGGCCAAAGTGAAAGGATCACTTGAGCCCAGGAGTTCAGAATCAGCTTGGGCAAAATAAGGAAACCCCCATCTCTACAACAACAACTAAAATTAGCTGGGTATGGTGGCACACACCTGTGGTCCCAGCTACTCAGAAGGCTGAGGTGGGAGGGTGGCTTGAGCCCAGGAGGTTGAGGCTACAGAGAGCTGTGATTGCGCCACTGCTCTCCAGCTTGGGTGACAAAGCGAGACCCTGTCTCAGAAAAACTAAAAACGGGTATCTTTGAACTGTCTGTCTGATATCTTGGTGGGCTATCCAATGGGCAGTGCAGCACTTAGGTGAGGTAAGAATTTGGAACAGCCTGCACATGTGTGATAGTTGAAAATGTGAGGTTGCTGAGGTCTTGGTGGGGAAGTGCGATCAGGGAGAGGAGCCGAGAGCTGAGAAAGAAGTTTGGGAAACACTTGTTGGGGGCAGAGGAGGAAGAGCCGTGAATGGGAACAATGGGAGAATGGCCCTTCACCTTCCTCCCAGACATGAGGCTCTGCCCTTGCAGTCTCATCTCTCCAGGGTTCTGGCAGCTTCCTATGGGGGGATAAGGGGTTAGCAAGAGTTCAAGAGGGAAATACTGGGTTGGAGGCAGGTGCACTGGGGGGGGAATCTCAGAGGTGTGGATGTGTTTTCAGGCACCTGAAGAACTCGTCTTGCATTTGGCTGTCAAAGTCGCCAACCAGGCTTCCCTGCCTCTGGTGGATTTCATCATCCAGAACGGGTGAGAGCCTCCCTGCCTGTCTGTCTGGCTCCTCACACTCCCTCTCCTTTCCTTCCTCTTCTCCCATTCTCTTCCCTCCTTTCCCCTCCCACTTTTTCCCCTGACTTTGATCCCCTCATTGATCTGTTCCCCTTCCTTTCTCCCTGAACCCTCCTCTCCCCAGTGGTCACCTGGATGCCAAGGCTGCTGACGGGAACACGGCTCTGCACTACGCAGCACTCTACAACCAGCCCGACTGCCTCAAGCTGCTGCTGAAGGGGAGAGCTTTGGTTGGCACAGGTGGGGCTTGAATACCTCCTCCGTCAGACTCCTATTCCTGACTACCCCTTATGTGGACTTCCGATGGTCTCGGGCTCTAATCCTGGCTTGCTTCTGACCACCTCTGTGATCTTAGGGGTTTGTCATTCAGCTCTTGAATTTCAGCTTCCTCATCTGTAAAATGGGAATAATACCACTGACCTAGCAGGACTGCTAAAGAAAAAAGAAAATAATATTTCTGGGAGTACTTAGGCAAATAAATATTAGCTAGATCTGAATGATAATGATTGTAATAGCTAATATGTATTGTTTAACATATGCCTGGCAATGGGACAAGTGCTTTTTGTATGTTAATTAATTGAATCCTCACAACCACTTCATCAGGTAGTTCCAAGTATTATACTCATTTCATAAACAATTTTGTCCCAAAAGGTTATATAACTTGCCTATGGTCACATAGCCAGAAAATGGCAGAGCCAGGATTCAAACCCATACATTCTGATTCCAGAGGCCCGTCTTAATCTCTAAGCTGTAATGTTTCTTTGACTATGACCATGAACCCTGACTTTCCCCGCTCACAGTAAATGAAGCAGGCGAGACAGCTCTGGACATAGCCAGGAAGAAGCACCACAAGGAGTGTGAGGAGCTGGTGAGGACTCGGGGAGGCAAGGGGCCCCTGACTCTTTCTCTCTCCCTGCTGAGCCCCCAACCCTCTGAACCACCAAGCCTTTGTTTTTGGCAGCTGGAGCAGGCCCAGGCGGGGACCTTTGCCTTCCCTCTACATGTGGACTACTCCTGGGTAATTTCCACAGAGCCTGGCTCTGACAGTGAGGAGGATGAGGAAGAGAAGGTGGGTCCCAGCCCTGTCCCTCAGGCCTCTGGATGGCAGAAGGAAAGAGCCAGATTGGGCCTGGTGTGTGTTGGCGGGGGCGGTGAGGCGGGGGGACAGGGCTACACCGGAGGAACCAGGCTGTCCTCATCCTCAATCTTTTGCTCTGGCAGCGCTGCTTGCTGAAGCTCCCGGCCCAGGCTCACTGGGCCAGTGGGAGGCTGGACATCAGCAACAAGACCTATGAGACTGTCGCCAGCCTGGGAGCAGCCACCCCTCAGGGCGAGAGTGAGGACTGTCCCCCGCCCTTGCCAGTCAAAAACTCTTCTCGGACTTTGGTCCAAGGGTGTGCAAGACATGCCAGTGGAGGTACAGTTGGATGCCCAGATAAATGCTCACCATGCCATTCACAGAGGACCTGTATATGCTGGGGCACTGAGCTGAGTGCATATGTTAGTCCGTACTATCCTTATGATGACCTCCCAGGAAGGGGTTCTCATCTTCCCCTTACAGATAAAAGAACAGAGGTGTTAAGTCACATGTTTAAGATCCCACAGCTAATAAGTCTCTGATGTAGGATTCAAATCTCAGCCCATCTTATTCCAAATTCCTCAATGCTCCACTTAACAAGAGAGAAACGAGTTTATTGAGCATCCCCTTCATCCTGAGTCCTTTGAGGGCTACCAAGACACAGTCTAGTAGGGGAGATAAAAACTGGAATGCAATTCATTATAATACAAGGCACAATGTGATATAGAATGTAAATCCCAAAAGGACAAGGACTTTGAGTGTTTCATTGAATACTATTTGTCCAGTGCCTAGCGCAGAGCCTGGCTGTTCTCAAGAACTATTTGTCGAATGAAGGAACAGACTTGTTGTGGGAGGTTGGGGCAGTTGGAGAGGGAGCATGTCCTGCTGGGATTGGGGGTTGGTTTAAGAAGGCTTCCTGGTGAGGATAGCATATGAGTGAACCTGAGGGATGAGCAGGAGAATCCAAACTGGGACAGGGTATGAGCACAAGCAAAAAAGTGAGTCAGCATGGCCCTGGCCACCGCGAACAAAGGCTTCATCAGTTGAAGGAGAATACTGGACAGGTAGATGGGGAATGGACTATTGGCAGAGAACCAGAAGAGATCCTAGGCCAGATGTGGTGGCTCGTGCCTGTAATCTCTGCACTTTGGGAGGCCGAAGCAGGCGGATCACCCCAGGTAAGGATTTTGAGACCAGCCCAGCCAACATGGTGAAACCCCATCTCTACTAAAAATGCAAAAATTAGCCAGGTGTGGTGGCATGCACCTGTAATCCCAGCTACTCTGGAGGCTGAGGCAGGAGAATCTCTTGAACCTGGGAGGCGGAGGTTGCAATGAGCCGAGATTGCACCACTGCACTCCAGCCTGGGTGACAGAGTGAGACTCTGTCTCAAAAAAAAAAAAAAAAAAAATCCTAGAGGCCAGAGACTGCTTTGAGGTTGGGCACAGAGCAAGTGATAAAGAAAAGCTTTATCATTTCTGATGTTTCTGATTCCAGATCGTTCTGAAGTCTCCAGCCTGAGTTCAGAGGCCCCTGAGACCCCTGAGAGCCTGGGCAGTCCAGCCTCCTCCTCCAGTCTGATGAGCCCCTTGGAACCTGGGGATCCCAGCCAAGCCCCACCCAACTCTGAAGAGGGCCTCCGAGAGCCCCCAGGCACCTCCAGACCCAGCCTGACATCCGGGACCACCCCTTCGGAGATGTACCTCCCCGTCAGATTCAGGTTGGTGAGGGCCCAGCTGTGCAACCAGGGCAAATCCCCTGACTTCTCTGAGCATCCATTGATTTCCACACCTCTAAATAGTACCTGCCTAAAGACTGGGTCACACGCCATCTCTGGGCCCATCACTTATGCAGAAATGCTGAACCCTGGGACCCCTTCCCCCTTCACACACTTGCTCCCAAATCCTGCATGGAGAGCTGAGGAGGAGCCAGGGATCCTCCCTGCTGATGTTGGAGTAAAGTAGGCTTAGCCCCCTGTGTGGCTTATTCTAGAGGCTCTCAGTGGGGTCTTCACTCTGTCCCCACCTCCAACCCAGGATCCAGTCTTCTCCCTTCCATACAAACCCATTCAGTCTGGAGTTTGGGGAGAAGTAGACCTGCAGATATCCACAGAGTCTTCTGGAGGTCAGTTCCAGCCTTCTTGGGCCTGTGATGGACCTGGCCTGGGGGCCTTGTGGACTCTACCCACCCATCCTAAGCCCCCAGACTGGCTCTGTTCCTGAGCCCTTTCTCCCCACTCTGAGGGGCTCTCTGGACATGAGGGTCATGTTGGCCTTTCCCTGCCTTCCAGCTCCGAGAGCACTCGCTCCTATCGGCGGGGGGCGCGGAGCCCTGAAGATGGTCCCTCAGCCAGGCAGCCTCTGCCCAGAAGGAACGTGCCGGTAGGAACTCTGGGACCATGGTTTGAGGGGCGGTGGCAGGGTGCCTGGGAGGCAGAGTTAGTCAAGAGTAGGCGTATTGGGGTGGGAGACCTCCCCATGGTTGGGGTACAGATGGGCCCAGGCAGCCACAGTTTGGACAGTCCCTGTCCTGGTGCCCAGGTGGGCACGGTTTGGCCAGTCCCTGTCCTGGTGCCCAGGTGGCCACGGTTTGGCCAGTCCCTGTCCTGGTGCCCAGGTGGCTGCAGTTTGGCCAGTCCCTGTCCTGGTGCTCCTCTTTCCATGCTCCAGCCCAGGGCTGGGTGAAGCTGAGGAGAGCCCAGGCCTTGAGGGATGGCAGTGATCATGAGGCCCAAGCTCTGGCTTCTCCCCAGGGGAGGATGAGGAAAGTTGTGTTAGCCAGGCCAGTCGCTCAGAGAAGGCATCACTTCCCTGCAGAAGAGGCAGGATTAGGTGGCCGTGTACCAGCCCTTGTTTGCCTAACTCTCCCCTTGTTCATGAGTCTCCTGGAATCCACAGGGACTTTCAGATCCCAGGCATAGAGGGATGTGACAGGGACAGGGCAAGAGCTGTCATCCTTAATCCAGCTTCTCCCTGCTGAATCACCAAGTCTCCAACAATGGCATATATTAGTTGAACCTAGGAGTGGGCACAGATCAGAGCCAGTTGTGTTGGGAAAGAAGCCTCTTCTGTCCCTTGTTCCTCTGGGAATTCCTCAGAATGGCATTGGTTGTGTTGGGAGTCAGGATGGCAGGGGCAAAAGCTGGTTCTGTCTGGGGAATCGTCATCTTTAGTCCACCAGAGTTAGTCAGCAGACACAAATCTATGTCCATATTCTGGTTCCACTATTGCCCTGAAAACCAAGTATCCATCAGATGGCATTTAATTGATGCCTGTGATTGTGGTGTGTATGATAGCAAGAGCTTGGGCTTTAGAGTAAGGAGACTTTGGATAAGTGGCTTCACTTCCTCAAGCCTCAGTTTCTTTGTCTGTAAAATGAGAATAATTTAATTTATCTACAATAGGACAGATGTGAAACTGAGTGAGATGAACACCTGGTATGTTACAGGTGCTTTGAAAATGTCAGTTTCATCCTTCTTTCTGCAGGTTGGCATCACTGAAGGAGATGGCTCAAGGACTGGGAGTCTCCCAGCAAGTTCTGTGCAACTTTTGCAAGACTAGCTCCTTGCTGGCCCCCACATGCCCCATGCTAGGCCCCAATGTTCAGAGCTGGGACTTGAGCTCACAAAACTGGGGAGCTGAGACATTTGTTCTCTTGGATCTCACTCTCTCTGTCCCTTGTGCCTCTGTAGCTGGCCTTCTTCCTGCCACAGGCCATGCCTCTACCAAGGACACATGGCCTTTCCCTGTTAGGACTGATGGCGGTTCTTTCCTATCTCATTACCCGCTAGGGGCCTGGGAGCCCTGTGGCTGGATCTGAGTGCTCCTGAGCTGGCTTCAGCTGCAGAACTCTCAGTCCCTCATCAGATCGAGACTCTATTTCCCCCGTCAGTCTGGGGGCTTCACAAGGGCAGGAGAGCCCTCCATCACTGACTTCCAGATCAGGGACCCTGCCAAGTAGGGACTGTCTTCTCAGCCAGCCATTTATTAGTCTAATATTCCTTCACTAAATTCCAACTCTATGTCTGGACCTGTGTTAGGCACTTCAGATACCACACGAGTAAGACAAGGGCCCTGCAGGGGTGGTCCTTTGGTGGAAAGCTGGTCTTAAGGGTTGGGCTTGGGAATAGGCAGGGTCAGATTCCAGGGCATGGCTCTGGACTCAGCTGGTTTATACCTATATGACCATTACAATTGTCTACAGATCACATCCATTCTGGCTGGTCAACATGCATGCTGTACTGGCTGTTAAATAAAAATATTCTGAATGTCACTCCTTTTGAGGGACAGCACAGCCTTCCCTAGGCATTCTCCTATATTCCCCAGCCAAATTGTAGAGTCAGATGCACCCACATTTGCCTGTGTCCTTGATTTAGCAGGAAGGAAAGGAATAGTCAGGGTTGATGGATGCCCACTTCTCTTCTCTTTCTCTTGGTCAACTCAGGAGCCTTTTAGTCTGAGGGAATGGAGAGGCAAAGAAAGAAGGGAGAGTAATAGAATTGGGAGGGCAGAGACTTAAGGGTTCTGCTTCCCAGCCCTAGAAATTCTATCATTGCTCAGCCCCAATGAGAAAGCAGATACACCTAAGCCATCATCAACCACTAACATCTCAACTTGCCAGTTGCTGGGTGCTGGGCCCTGGCAGGAATGGGCCAAGCCAAGCAGGGGAGACTAGAGAGCACCAATGGCCAACACAGCTGCCTGGCTGGGGAGGCTGTGCTGTTTCCCCTGGAGACCTGACTGGTCTGTGGTTCCCACAGGAACAGGGTTGTCTTTTGAGCCCCCAGTGTCTGGTTTCATTCATCTCAGACTTGTTATTTCACTCATCTCTAATAAAGGATTGGGGGGTCAGTTTCCAGTGGTTTCATTTATGTGATCTAAAGAGCAACAGGGAGGGGAAAGGAATCTTGGGGCTTGAAATTCTTTCTCTGGACCTGGCAAGGGAGATGGCCTGATGTGGAATAGTGGTTTGCAACCACAGTGTTTTGCCCCGGGGAACTTCTGATAAAGCAGAAAACAGTTTTGACTGTTCCCAACTGGAGGATGCTAGTGGCATTTAGTGGACAAAGGTCAGGGATGCTACTAAACATCCTACGGTGCATAGGTCAACCCTCCCTAGCAATGCATTATCCAGTCCAAAATGTTAATAGTGCCAAGGTTGAGAAACCCTGGAAAGAGCACTGGACTAGGAGTCTGGAGACCTGAAATTCTAGCTCTCCCATGGTCCTCTGCCACTGTCTCTGTTGACTGCCCCTGAGACAAGGATTTGGGAGCAAGTAGCTTATCTGTGAAATGATCCCAGGAAGCATAATGAGGGAATAGAGAAATGAAACAGAAAGTCAAAGATAAAGAGCTGTGCGTGTTGGTGAGAACCTATACTCCAGCTACTCGGGTGGGAGAATTGCTTGAGCCCAGGAGTTCAAGGCTGCAGTGAGCCATGATGGCGCCACTGCACTCCAGCCTGAACAACAGAGCGAGACTCTGTCTCTAACTCTTGTTGGGGACCTGTGAGAAGGAGTATTGACTAGAACATGCCTTCAGGTTGTCCCATCGAGAGTGAAGAAATGATGTTTTCCACCAACTCTGGTTTCTTGCTGGTTGGGGGTGTCCTTTCTGAGGGCATCAATTTCCTACCACCCCAAAGCTCCAAATAGAGAAATGTGGGGAGCTGTCCAAGGTGTGTCCAGGAATTATCTTCCAGTGACCTGTAGGGTGGACAGGTAGGCAGAGGGGATATGATGGTATCAACAGGGTCCAACCCTGAGAGAATCATCACCCTCTTTAGGCCTCGGTCTTCCCATCTATACAATAAAGAGGTTGGACTCCATGTTTTCTTAGGGGCCTTCATACCCTGACATTCTAGGAGTCTTAACTTTTTTTTGATGTCGCGCATCTCAGGGTGGTGACTGGGTGGAAGTTTGAGAAAAATCTCTCTCTCTCTCTTTTTTTTTTTTTTTTGATGGCTCTGTCTCCCATACTGGAGTACAGTGGCACAATCAGAGCTCACTGTAACCTTGAACTCCTGGGCTCAGGCAAGCCTCCTGCCTCAGCCTTCCGAGTAGCTGGGACTATAGGCCCACGCCACCATGCCCAGCTTTTTAAAATATTTTGTAGAGACGAGGTCTCTCTCTGTTGCCCAGGCTAGTCTTGAACTCCTGGCTTCAAGCAATCCTCCTGCTTTGGCCTCCCAAAGTGCTAGGATTACAGGCATGAGCCACTGCTCCTGGCCTTTTTTTTAATAAGGCAATCCTAAGTAGCCTCAGGCTGCTGAGGTTGAGTCTCTTCAACCCAGAAGGGCTTGGCTGGGATTGGCCAAAAGGCCTCCCAGAGAATCCCAAACCATTAGAGTCTAACTTCCCAAATGTGACCGGCAGGCACTGCATGCTCAGGTCCCACCCACTGCCTCTCCCCACACTCCTCACCTCTGTGCTGCAGCCACGCCAATTTTTCAGTTCCTCCAACACTGTCAGGCAGGCCAGGCACCCTCCCATCCCTAAGCTTTGCACATTTGGAACTCCAAGAGGGGAGGACTGTTTTGTTCCTCTCTGGATGTCCAGAACAAGAACTACCTGGCACATATTAGGTGCTCCATAAATATATGTTGAATGCCTCTTCCTTTCTTCCGTGAACACTCTTCCTCCTCCCCTCAACGGCCACTGTGTACTTCAGCCCAAAGTTTAAACTTCGTTTCTTCAGAGAAGTTGACACCCTAAATAGTGCAGGTCCCCTCAAATGTGTCCTTAAGCTATCCTCCACTGCTTCCTGCCCTTCACCCCAGCTATGATAAATGCATTAATTGACTATGTCTGTTTTTGTTTAAGGTTTCTCTTGCCCATAGACTGAGTCTCAAGCTTTCTGGGACTGGGTCTGTCTTGTTCATTGCTTGGACACTCAATACGTATTTGTTGAATGGATGAAAAAAACCCACTCTGTCCTACCTTGATCCCCGTCACATAGCAATTAGAAGATAGGTGTCCACACCAAGCTGCCTCTGCGACCCAAGCTGAAATGCGGTTCTCTCAGGAAAATCAGGAGATTTCACTCGACACCCCAACCCCAGCTCCCACACACTGTGGACCACTTTTCATGCCTTCCCTCCAGGTTCCTGAGCCCCACCCCCATCACAGGAAGATCATTTTCTGTCCATTAAACTCACTTATTTAGCAAGAGAACTGGGTCTGCAGGAGATACTTGAAGATCATTGGAGATCATTCCACAGGAAGGCAGATCCCTGCATGGCTGGGGAAGATAGGCACAATTGTGTTTCCACCCCTCCACTAAGATGACTTCCAAACCCAACCCCACTGAGGGGATACTGGCCTGACCTGGCAGCCTTGCACCTGGATCAATATTTCTCAAAATTTGGTGCACTTAAGAATGAATCTCGGCGGGGTGCGGTGGCTCACGCCTGTAATCCCAGCACTTTGGGAGGCCGAGGCAGGCAGATCACGGGGTCAGGAGATCGAGACTATTCCGGATAACATGGTGAAACCCCATCTCTACTAAAAATACAAAAAAATTGGCCGGGCGTGGTGGCGGGCGCCTGTAGTCCCAGCTACTCAGGAGGCTGAGGCAGGAGAATGGTGTGAACCCGGGAGGCAGAGCTTGCAGTGAGCCGAGATCGTGGCACTGCACTCCAGCCTGGGCGACAGTGCGAGACTGCGTCTCAAAAAAAAAAAAAAAGAATCTCATCTGTAATTACAGCACTTTGGGAGGCCAAGGCAGGCGGATCGCTTGAGACCAGGAGTTCCAGACCAGCCTGGGCAACGTAGTAAGACCTAGTCTTTACAAAAAATTAAAAAATTAGCTGGGCATGATGGATGGCTCACGCCTGTAGTCCTAGCTACTCAGGAGGCTGAGGCAGAAAGGATCACTTGAGCTGGGGAAGTCGAGGCAGTGAGCCTGATTGCTCCACTCCACTCTGGCCTCAGCCACAGAGGGAGACCCTGTCTCAAAAAAATAAAAAGAATCTCCCCGATAAGCTCTCACTACTCGAGAGTGTAGTTCTGGGACCAGCAGCACCCCCAGCACATAGGAGCTTGTTAAAAATGCAAAGCCTTACTAACAAAACAGCCAGCAAAGGAAGTTTTAGGTAGACAGAGGCAAACAGGAGCCTGGATACACGTGGCATGCACAGGCCGTGTGCACGATGGAGTGAGTGCAGGTTAAAGCAGAGCTGGATTTAGTGATCTACACACACACACACACACACACACACACACACACACACACACACACACGGGATTCGAGCGCACCGAGTTGCCTCCACTTGGGCATAGGCGCGGAACTGTGTCCTCCCGCTTTGAGATGCAACGGTGCAGAGACGCGGGAGCCCAGAACGCTTCCCAGGGCCCCTGGGACACCCTCGGGCGCCCTCCGCGCCGCGACCGCCGCCTGTGGCCAGGTCACAGCCTCCCAGCTCGCCAGAGAGCCCTCCTTCCCAAATCTCTCTTCGGTCCCCCGGCGCCCCTGGAAGGGCCGGAGTTGGAGGGTCCCCTCTCTCAGCCTCGTCCCTCCCCTGAGGCCCGATCGGCCGGCGCGGGCAATCAGTGCCCGGGCAAGTCCTTGAAGTCTATATTTAGTGCCCGCCACCCCTCCCCCGCACAGTTGGGAGGCGGGCGGTGGGGGGGTGGGGGTGGGGAGAGCCCCGCCCCCGCCGGGCGTGTGTGTCGTGTGTGTTTGGGGCCCGCGCGGGTTGCGCGCCCTCCGCCTTCGCGCCTCCTGCCCCCGAGGCCCTACTGCTGCCCCTGTGCCCCTCGCCCCGCCGGGCGTCGCGGGCCAACATGGGCCAGGAAGAGGAGCTGCTGAGGATCGCCAAAAAGCTGGAGAAGATGGTGGCCAGGAAGAACACGGTGAGGCTGCAGAGTTTGGGCCACGGCCCCCGCCCCCGGGAGGCGCGGGCAAGCCCCGGATTCCGGGGTGGGGACGTACTGGCGGGGCGCCATGGGGGCGCGTACGGGACTCGGGGACCCGAGGGAGGAGCGGCTGGTGCAGGGCCCAAGGCCCCTTGGGGACCCTTGCTGAGCACCTCGAGGTGGGCGTGTGCGTGGCCCAGGACGCCAGGGGGATCGTGCGGGTCCCGGAGGCGCGACTTGTGCACGTCCCTTTGGACGTGTAGGGTTCACCCTGGGCAGCTAGTGCAGGGCCCAGGAAAGCGGGCGAAGAGAGCTGGACGTGGGAAAGGACTTTGGGAGTCCCAGGGCTTGGCGTGTGCAAAGCCCGGGGAGCGGCGGCGATGGCGGGGGCGGGGCGGGGGGCAAATCCGGGTGGCCCGAGAAGTGGCAGAGAAACTTGGGCTGACGGGGGTACTGAGCTGCATCCCTGCACCCCGGAGTGGGTCTGCGGGAGAGAAGTAAAAGGCCGTGGATCCTGCGACCCCACCGCTTGGTGCGTCAGGAGCGGTTCTTTTGGCAATTTTCCCTTTCCTTGGCCTTGGGGTGCGGCCCGGACGGGCGGGGGCCGAACAGGTGCGGGGGCCCGCGGGGCGGGGGAAGGGGGCCGGGCTGGAGGCCTGTGCAGCGAGGGCGAGGGCGGAGGGAGGAGCGGGCTCGGCGGGAGGTTGGGAGCAGGGCTGACAGCCCTACCGGAGGGTCCTGGCCAGAGCGCAGACCCAGCTGGAAGTTAATGTTTGATCTTCCCCGTGATCTTTGCCTGGGGCTGGCGGCCGACTGGTCGCCTGGCCAGAGCAAATTTGGCCTTGGGTCCTGGAGGGCCTGCGCTCACCCTGGGAGGGAAAAAAAGGGAGCCTGGTGAGCATGCCCTTCCCACCTCCCGTTCCTGTTCCAGGGTCCTCTTCCTCCCACCATCCGTAGCCATGTGCTGCAGCCACCTGCATTTCCAGGACACTTAGGAGCCTGGGAAAGGAAGAGACACTAAGGGAAGTTTTAGAGCCAGGAAGAGTAGCCAAGGCCCAGGGAAGGGTCACTGGAACCATGAAGTGGCAGGGAGCCCTAGAGTGGACACTGGGCAGTCATGAGTTGGTGTCCATATAAAGGCCAGAGCCTCAGTTTCTTCATCTGTAAGAAAGAGATGAGATTATCTGCCTCTGGAGAAGGGATGTCACTGGATTCTTGTCTCTGCTGGCAGCGGTGAGGATTGGAGAGATGAGACAGAGATGTAAAGCCCTTAGTAGGACTCAGACCTGTGCTTGCTAAGAACTGGCGAACAAGACCTGCTTCTACGCAGCCAGGTCCAACACAGAAAGATACAGCACAAACCTGCAGAGTGCTGGGAGCTTCTCACCTGACACTCCCAACCTCCATGCACTCCCCGTTCCAGACTCCTCCACAATCCTCAGTACAACTGAGCCACAAGTCTTGGGGGAGCATTTTCTCAGCTGGGGTTGGCAGAGCGCAGCCAGGGATTCTGAGCCAAATTCCAGTTCAAATAGACGGGTTATCCCAGCCCAGCTCCTTACTGACCCCCAAGCTTGGGCCAGGAAAGAAATTCTGGGCCCCTGGGTAAGAGGGGTAGGGTGGGGACGCCTAGAGACCGGAGGAGAGGCAGGCTGCTTGGGATAGAGCTCTGGCTGAAGAGGACGGGACCTGCCCTGGCCTCCCCCTCACTCCTTTTATGGCCCTAGGCAAAAGCCACTCAACCTTCCCTTTCTGGACCTCGAGTTTCCTCTTCTGTGAAATGGGAAGAGGAAATGGTGTCTTTTGGAGATGGATTCCTGTGGAAGTGCCCAGAGCTGTCCCCTGAAAAGATGCAAGTCTGGCCGCAGGGTCCCTGCAGCATGGAGCCAGTTTACAGCCACGTCTGCGCCTGGGCTCTCGGCAGTGTCTGGGTGGGCATGGAGCTCTGGGCGTCTGGCCGAGAAAGGTGGGGCCTGCTCTGGGAGTGAAAGTGGACCCGCCCAGCAGTGGTTAGGCAGAGGAGGACATACTTCCTGTAATAAGACGGATCCTCCACGTTGCAGCTCAGGCCCGGGGTTTACTGCCGGTTGCTGAAGTCTCAGCCACTTAAGGCTTTGTCACATCCTCTGAGCATGCACTAACAGAAGCAACTTCAAACATGCAACCAAGTGCCTACGGTCACAGCTACATACACACACATAGCTATAACATGTGGCCACAACACAGTAGTTAAACAAGCAACTGAACCTAACTGCGTATGAGACACGGCTACTGACACCAACATGACAAGCATACTGACCCATATGACCCACATTGACCATTATAGTTATAGAATGATACACAAAGACAGCCACACACGTATGCACGCAGCACAGCTACACCCAGACATGCAATGCTACAGACTTAGCAAACAGCCACATTTATACATTCAGATCTTATAACACAGGCGTCATCCCACAAAGCCAAATAGACACAGCTGTGCCCGGAGCTGCATATTCACAGCTGCACACTTAGACCAGAGATACTACTGGCTACAGAACCCATTTGTATGTTCAGAGAGATACACCCAGCAACATTTGCACAAGGCTTTGTTTATCCAGCTACAATCCAGGCTCATGGCTATTCTCCTCCAATATGACCCAGTTATACAGCTGTGACACACGAGGCATACACCCAGTGGAGAGCTGGAACTGGCTTAACACAGATTGTTGCGTTTTCAGGAATTTTGCAACCTGGTGGTTAAACACAGCAATTGTTTCAAAAAACTACATTATCTGCTTACAATAAATAAATTATATTAAAAACAAAGGTAAGGAATCCTCCAAAATAATCACTTCCTGATTGTTTTACTACATTGTACTGTCATGTATGGTCAGAGATAATTTACTTCTATTGTTATCTGTACAGTGGAAATATTATATAATGGTATGGTAGTGTACGTCTCCTCCCAAAACTTCCTTCAGTTCAGTGACAGCATGTTGGTAGCTTGAAATTGGCCATGGGATGAGTGTTTACACCACAGAAATTGGCAAACACTACAGGTCAGTTTTTTTTTTTTCCTTGAGAACTGGTTGTTAAACGTTGGCCAGCACACCACTGCACTTACCCATGTTGATATTCCATGATTGTGTATGTCTAGACAGATCTGCGCCCATGCTAACACAATTTGTATAGTGGTTAGAGCCCAAAAGGACTGAGTTTGAATCCCAACTTGGCTCCTTATAAAGCATGTGACCTTGAGAAAATTATTTAACCTCTCTCTTTCTTGGATTGCTCTTTGGTGAACACAGGATAATAATTCTGTAAGAATGGGAATAATACACAGGACCTACCCGATAGGGCCATTGTGAATGTTAAATGAGATAATACAGGTAAAAAACTTAGAAGAGTGCCTAGTACATAGCAAGCCTTTAATTAATGTTACACTTGGAGTTGTGTACCCCCAAGTTCACATACACACACATCTGCAGGTCACGCTTCTGAAAACCTACTGTGAACCCAAGTTCTCAGGGAGGCTAAGGACTGACAGAGGGCAGCTCTTAGGACATGGTCCAGGTCCTGCCAGGGTGGGGATTGGCAGCTGGAACCATGAACTGTGGGCCAAGGATAGGAACATACAGGACACCGTCCCCTGGTGCTCCCCAGGGAACTGATCTCAGGACAGCAGGCAGGTATGGCTTCTAGGAAGGGGCTGGGGGAAAGGAGAAGGCTGAAATGGGTCGGAGGGTGTCCAGGGCCTGGCAGCTCACAGATTTTCAAACCTAAGCCTTTTTCTGCCTCCTGCCTTCTTTCTGCTTTAGTTCTGCACAAGTTCATCCACTCAGGGAGCACTGGACTCTCTGCTGAGCCCTAAGTTCTCAGAGATTAGAACGGTTCTCTTTACCCGAGAGAAGTTAAAGTACCTGTTCACACAAAGACTTGAAATGAATGTACCTAGAAGCTTTATTTCTAGCAGCCCCAAACTGGAACCTATCCATAAGTCCCATCAACCGGTGAATGAATTTAAAACATTGTGGTAGACTGGGTGTGGTGGCTCACGCCTGTAATCCCAGCACTTTGGGAGGCCGAGGCAGGAGGATCACTTGAGGCCAGAAGTTTGAGACCAGCTTGGGCAACATGGCAAAACCCTATCTCTACGAAACAATGCAAAAAATTAGCCAGATGTGGTGGTGCATACCTGTGGTCCCAGCTATTCGGGAGGCTGAGGTGGGAGGATCACCTGAGCCTGGAAAGTCGAAGCTGCAGTGAACTGTGATTGTGCCACTGCGCTCCAGCCTGGGCAACAGAGTGAGATCTTGTCTCAAAAAATGCCAGGCAAACTGTGGTACATACATACAGTGGAAACCACTCAGTAATAAAAAGGAACTACTGATCCACGAGACAACATGGATGAGTCTCCAAAATCATTATGCCGAAATAAGCCAGATAAAAAAGGGTTTTTGCCCTACATACTCTTTACATAAAATCCTTAAAGATACAAGGTCAACTATAGTAACAGAAGGCAGAATTGTGGTTGTTTAGGATTGGGGATGGGGAGGGATGGATTAGAAAGGGGACAGGAAGAAGCTTTTGGGGCTGGTGGCTGTGCTTTTATCTTGATTGTGGTGAGGGTTCCATGGGTGTACACGTATGTTGAAACTTATCAAATTTTACACTGCAAAGTGTGCAGTTATTGTATGTGAATTATACCTCAAAAAAGCTGTTTTTTGTTTGTTTTGTTTTGTTCGAGTTGGAGTCTCGCTCTGTCACCCAGGCTGGAGTGCAGTGGTGTGATCTTGGCTCACTGTAACCTCCATCTCCTGGGCTCAAGCGATTTTCCTGCCTCAGCCTCCTGAGTAACTGGGATTACAGGCATGCGCCACCACGCCTGGCTAATTTTTGTATTTTAATAGAGATGGGGCTTCACCATGTTGGCCAGGCTGGTCTTGAACTCCTGGCCTCAAGTGACCCGCCCACCTCAGCCTCCCAAAGTGCCGGAATTATAGGTGTGAGCCACCATGCTGGCCAAACTGTTCTGTTTTGTTTTTTAAAAGGCTCCCAGTCCTCACCCTGCGAAGTTCACAGTGGGGAGGTAAGGGAAGGACGCTACAGGCACACGAGCAACAATAAGCCAGGAAGGAATTCATTTGGGAGGAAAGATGGGGAAGGGGGAGGGCATTCCTGGGGAGAGGCACAGCAGAACCAAAGGCTGGAGGTCAGGAGCCTGGCTCAGAGGGTTTGAACCCAGCAGGTGGCGGGGGATGAAGTTAGAGCACCACCTAGGACAGATTGTTTCTCGTCTCTCTCCTTCCTTCTGCCCCTTGCCTGTCCTTCGGCCACATGTCTGTCTGTATCCTCCTGCTCTCTGTACCAAGACCACACAATAGTCAGAGAAGCCTGGTCAGGACCCAGGCCCCAGTCCTCACCTTGTGGCCTCCCACAGGAAGGGGCCCTGGACCTTCTGAAGAAGCTGCACAGCTGCCAGATGTCCATCCAGCTACTACAGGTGGGGCGGGGGTGGGAAGCCTTGGGACAGTGCCTGGGGGGAGAGCTGGTGGGGGAGGGAAAGACCCCTGGTGGGGGAAGGTGGAGTCTGGGAGGAATTTCTGAGGGGGGCCTGTGGGGAGGGGATCTTGAGGTGGAGACCTCCCAGGGAGGGACTGAGGGGGACACAGGGGCATCTCGGGGGCGGAGAGGGTATCTTCTAGGTGTAGGGGACCTCTGGGCCTTGGAGCAAGACTGGTTCGCTTTTCTTGAATACCCCAATTCCCAAGGCCCTGGGCCTGTGGGATCCAAGAGGCCAATGATCCAGGGAGAGGGAAAAGCCCCCATTTAAAATCCCTGTGTAGCCCTTAAAGTCCCCAGATTTACCAAAAGCTCCTGGCCCTGAAAAATCAGCACAGACAGATGCAAGGTCTCATAGCCGGAGCTGCTGTCTCAGTTGAAACTGGAGCTCAAAGACACTAGAGTGAGCTGGCCACGGTGGCTCATACCTGTAATCCCATCACTTTGGGAGGCCGAGGCAGGCAGATCACCTGAGGTCAGGAGTTCGAGACCAGCCTGGCCAACATGGTGAAACCCCGTTTCTACTAAAGATACAAAAATTAGCTGGGCACGATGATGCACACCTATAATCCCAGCTACTCAGGAGGCTGAGGCACGAGAATCGCTTGAACCTGGGAGGTGGAGGTTGCAGTGAGCTGAGATTGCACCACTGCACTCCAGCCTGGGCAACATAGCGAGACTCCATCTCAAAAAAATAGACACTAGAGGGTTGGGAATGGGAGGGGTCCTGACAGTCAGCCAAGTGCCACCCCCAACCCTAGGTTCAGGTTTCACCAAAGCTACAGATATCCTCCATGTCAGGCTTAGCCCTGGGCCCTCGGCCTCGTGCAGAGCAGGGCCTTAGTTACAGTAGTGGGGTTCTGACCTCAGCCAGGAGTCAGGGCTAGGACTCTGGGGGTCCAGGTTGGAAGGGGAGGTGGTGGTAGAGCTGGGGCAGGATCTGCCAATGATGGCAGCCATTCCTGTGTATCCATTCCCAGATTATGCCTTAACCCTCTCACTTTGCAGACAACCAGGATTGGAGTTGCTGTTAATGGGGTCCGCAAGCACTGCTCAGACAAGGAGGTGGTGTCCTTGGCCAAAGTCCTTATCAAAAACTGGAAGCGGCTGCTAGGTGAGAGAGGACAAGGTTGTCTTGAGCCCTGTTTTTCTCCTAGCACTTGGGACAGGACTGGGCCTGGCTCATAGCCAGCACTCAGTGTATGTCTGTTGAGTGACTTAATCAGTGACAGATGGCCTCTGGATCCGGGAGGTAGCTAGTGGGGGACTGCCAATGTTTGTGTACACAAGTGCAAGATTTGTAGACTTGTGAGTTTTGTGTACATGTGCCACTTACGTGTTTGTGCTCTCATGCATTTGTCTATATAGTACATGTCTACATGCACACATTTGTCTTAATATGTGCAGAGATGTGTTTGCCAATGTATTAATGTCCCCATGTGAGACTGTGTATTTGTACACACGTTCCTGTTGTTTGTGCATTTGTGTGTAAATGTGTTTGTGTGTGTGTTGGGAGTGTGTGTGCAGCTGTCCTCGTCCCTGCCCTTTGCTCTCTCCCCACTAAGTCATGCTGGGTTCTGCTGAGACAGAGCTTAGCTGAGGGACAATGCCACCCTTTTGTTTTCAGACTCCCCTGGACCCCCAAAAGGAGAAAAAGGAGAGGAAAGAGAAAAGGCAAAGAAGAAGGAAAAAGGGCTTGAGTGTTCAGACTGGAAGCCAGAAGCAGGCCTTTCTCCACCAAGGAAAAAACGAGAAGACCCCAAAACCAGGTATTCTTTTTTGGGATGGAGAGAAGGGAGCTGACACTTGTCACGTCCTCTGACAGCAACTCAGTGTATATTATCTCATTTAAACCTTTCATCCTGGGGAGGAAGATATTGGTATTATCTCCTGCAGTGCCCCCTCTGGGGGTCTTCTTTGGCTCAACCAGATGTTAGACTCACAAGACCCAAATAGGACATAAATGGCACTGGCTTTGCCTAGAAGGATGCAGGGACAGGAAAGAGTGCGTCTGCGGGAGGGCCTCCAGCATTTCTCTACAGAGAGTTCCCATAGGAGACCGCACGGCAGTCTAGAGCTCTTCTCTGGCCCACCCAGGCAACAGCCTAGGTGCGGGGAAACAAGACCACAGCGGGTATAAGCCTCACATCCCGAATCTTGTAACAGTCCCAAAGACAAAGATTCCAAGATGCTAGCAAAGGCAATAGCCACTTATAAGATTCATTGCACCTGGCGCAGTGGCTCACACATGTAATCCCAGCACTTTGGGAGGCTGAGGCGGGAGGATCACTTGAGCCCACGAGTTTGAGACAAGCCTGGGCAACATGGCAAAACTCCGCCTCTACAAAAAATACAAAAATTAGCCAGGCATGGTAGCGCACACCTGTAATCCTAACTACTCTGGAGGCTGAGGTGGGAGAATCGCTTGTGCCCGGGAGATGGAGGTTGCAGTGAGCTGAGATTGCGCCACTGCACTCCAGCCTGAGCAACAGAGCAAGAACCTGTCTCAAAAACAAACAAACAAAAACCAAGACATATATTATAAATTAAAAGGATCTCTACTTTCTGTATTATACAATAAAAATTTTAAATCTGAATTGTTGGGTTTTTTCACAATGATCCTGTACTGCTTTTGAAACAAAAAATAATAATAGTGCTTTTAAAAACTAAACAAATAAGAGTGATAAAAATCTGTTGTAGAAAATAATGGAAGGCCGGGTACGGTATCTCACCCCTGTAATCCCAGCACTTTGGGAGGCCGAGGTGGGCGGATCACTTGAGGTTGGGAGTTCGAGACCAGCCTGACCAACATGGAGAAATCCCATCTCTACTAAAAATACAAAATTAGCTGGGTGTGGTGGCACATGCCTGTAATCCCAGCTACTCGGGAGGCTGAGGCAGGAGAATCACTTGAACCTGGAAGTCGGAGGTTGCAGTGAGCCAAGATTGCACCATTGCACTCCAGCCTGGGCAATAAGAGCGAAACTCCGTCTCACAAAAAAAAAAAAAAAAAAAAAGGAAAATGTAGAAAAGTAGAAAAAAAAATCACCCACATTCCCACCACCCAAAGACAATCACTCTTGATGAGTTAGTGTATGGCTTTTCTTTCTGTTCTCTGACTTGTTTTCTATAGTCATCCCCAATTTTAATAGCCTGCTTTTTAAAAGGTAATGCCTGTGAAATGGTTTTGTCACATTTTCTATGTTCTGTTCCTTTCCATTGCTCATTTTGCAAGTGTATCCTACTTGGAAAAACCCTAATTGGCATCTAACTTTTCACACGAGTGTGTTTTCTTTTCCCAAAGGGGTTAGAAGTTTGGCTCGGGGAATCCCTGACCATCTCCACAGTGCCTAGCACGGAGTGAACATTTACTGAATACTGCTAGCCCATTTGTAGCAGCATGGTCCCCTGCCCTGTGGATTACCTCCTGTTCATGCCCTGGCTGGTCTGGCCATGTCTGGAGCACCTGTGTGGTTATGAGAACCTTGGCAAATGAAGGACCAGGAGCAGGAGAGCTCTTATGAGATGAAGTTGAAGGACTAGAGGCTGAACTACTGGGGAGGGACCAAATGGGATTTGGGACTAATCTGTCACATGGGGAGTGTAGGCATCCAGGTAAAAGTGGCAGCCTGAACACATGCAGTTTTTGTTTTTGTTTGCTCCATCCCCAAGCCCCACTGAATGAACAGTAAAGAGGCTGGGCGCAGTGGCCCATGCCTGTAATCCCAGCGCTTTGGGAGGCCGAGGTGGGTGGATCACCTGAGGTCAGGAGTTCGAGACCAGCCTGGCCAAGATGGTGAAACCCCGTCTCTACTAAAAATACAAAAATTAACCAGGGGTAGTGGTGCACGCCTGTAGTCCCAGCCACTCAGGAGGCTGAGGCGGGAGAATCACTTGAACCCGGGAGCAGAGGTTGCAGTGAGCTGAGATCCCGCCACTGCACTCAAGCGTGGACAACAGAGTGAGACTCTGTTTAAAAAAAAAAAAAAAAAAAAAAAAAAAAGAACAGTAAAGGGATTTCTTTTAAAGGCCTGTATGAGAACAACAGGTGTAGGAGAGGTAACAATGAAAAAGCAGAAAGCCAGGTTCTGGGCTGAACTTGTCACTTATGGCCTTCTTCTCTGAGACTCAGTATTATGGCCTGAAACACAGACATCATTTTCTCCGTTCTTTCTTCTTAAAAATAAAATGTTTTATTTGTAATAGTCTTTAATTATATTTTAGTTGTCTTAGTTTAGCGATTTTGTATTTTTTATAATACAGATAATTACTTGCTCATTGTAGAAAGTTTTAAAAATACAAATAAATAAGAAAATAGGCCGGGTGCAGTGTCTCATGCTTGTAATTTCAGCACTTTGGGAGGCTGAGGCAGGTGGATCACAAGGTCAGGAGTTCAAGACAAGCCTGGCCAACCCAGTGAAACCCTGTCTCTACTAAAAATACAAAAATTAGCTGGGCCTGTTGGCGGGTGCCCCGTAATCCCAGCTACTCAGGAGACTGAGGCAGGAAATCACTTGAACCCAGGAGGCAGAAGTGTCAGTGAGCCAAGATCGTGCCACTGCACTCCAGCCTGGGCGACAGAACTAGACTCCGTCTTAAAAACAAAACAAAACAAAACAAAAGATAAGGGCCAGGCACGGTGGCTCATGCCTATAATCCTAGCACTTTGGGAGGCTGAGGCGGGCAGATCATGAGGTCAGGAGTTCGAGACCAGCCTGGCCAACATGGTGAAACCCCATCTCTACCAAATATACAAAAATTAGCTGGGCATGGTGGTACATGCCTGTAATTCCAGCTACTTGGGAGGCTGAGGAGGAGAATTGTTTGAACCGGGACCCAGGAGGCGGAGGTTTCAGTGAGCTGAGAGCGTGCCACTGCACGCCAGCCTGTGCTACAGAATGAGACTCTGTCTCAAAAAATAAAATAAAATAAAGTAAAATAAAATATCATTTATTATCTAGAAACAAGCACTCACATATAATTGTGTGTATATATACATATAAAATTTATATATATATATATATATATATACATCCTGCTAGACTATTCCTATGCATTACTACCTATAAATAGGTATAAAATACCTATTTGTTTTAATAAAATTGAATTACACTCTGTATACTATTTTGTAACCTTTTCATGTACATAAATGTATTCATTTCAGTAGCAAGGTGTGTTTAGTGTAAAAAGTTTAGAAAATCAAGCACAAGAAGAAAATAACAGAAATAACCATTGTTAACATTTTAATGTATATCTTTGTAGTTTTTTAAGAACATACAGGCCAGGCCAGGCTCAGTGGCTCACGCCCTTAATCCCAGCACTTTGGGAGGCCAAGGCGGGCAGATCACTTGAGGTCAGGAGTTCAAGACCAGCCTGGCCTACATGGTGAAACCCTGTCTCTACTAAAAATACAAATATTAGCTGGGCATGGTAGTGGGTACCTGTAATCCCAGCTACTTGGGAGGCTGAGGCAGGAGGATCGCTTGAATTTGGGAGGCTGAGGTTGCAGTGAGCCAAGATCACCCCACTGCACTCCAGCCTGGATGACAGAGCGAGATTCTGTCTTTAAAACAAAAAGAACATACATATGGGCTGGGCAAAGTGGCTCATGCTTGTAATCCCAGCACTTTGGGAGGTGGAGGCAGGTGGATTACTTGAGCTCAGGAGTTAGAGACCAATGGCGAAACCCTATCTCTATTAAAAGTAAAAAAAAATTAGCCGGGCGTGGTGGCGTGCACCTGTGTTCTCAGCCACTTGGGAGGCTGAGGTGGGAGGATCACTTGAGCCTGGGAGGAGGAGGTTGCAGTGAGCCGAGATCGCACTACTGCACTCCAGCCTGGGTGAGGAGTGAGACTCAGTCTAAAAAAAAAGAAAAAAAGAACATTCATATGTACATTTATATTTATATTTTGTTAATAAAATTTGAAATGCACTATACATTTTCCTGGGACACTAAATTGTTATGCCCACTCACTTTTCACAGCCATGGGGCTCAGAAATGAAGCTGTCGCTGGTGCTGAGCAGAAAATGGAGAGGTATCTCCTCATTCTGCTGGGAGAAGCCAGTTGTCGGGGGTCCTATTTCAGCTCAGTTAATTAATTTCCTTCCTTTTTAGTTTTCTTAATGATAATTCATTATACAAACACTGTAACCACATTAGTGAAACTTAGAATAAGCATGGGAAATATTTGTGCACATCAGACAAATTAAGCAGCTTTTATTTTTCTTCCTCTCCTCTCCCAGGCCTGGTTTAACTACATACATAATTTTTCCATTCCTTTAGGCAGACTGTACAATTTTTTTTTTTTTGAGATGGAGTTTCACTCTTGTTGCCCAGGCTGGAGTGCAATGGCACGATCTCAGCTCACAGCAACCTCCGCCTCCCAGGTTCAAGTGATTCTTCTGCCTCAGCCTCCCGAGTAGCTGGGATTACAGGCATGTGCCTCCATGCCCAGCTAATTTTTGTATTTTTTTTTTAGTAGAGAAGGGGTTTCTCCATGTTGCTCAGGCTGGTCTCGAACTCCTGACCTCAAGTGATCCGCCCACCTCAGCCTCCCAAAGTGCTGGGATTACAGGTGTGAGCCACCATGCCCGGCCATTTTTTTTTTTTTTTTTTTTGAGACAGAGTCTCACCATGTTGCCCAGGCTGGAGTGCAGTGGCGCAATCACAGCTCACTGCAGCCTGCAACTCCTAGGCTCAAGTGATCCTCTCACCTCAGCCTCCTGAGTAGCTGGGACTATGGGTGCAAATTATTTTTTTAAATATAAAACAGTATTTGAATTTTTGTCCTTAGGAACTATAAAGATTATACGTGATTTGGAAATGAGACTGTAGCAAACAATGGCCGAAGAAGAATCACCCATTCTATGCCTTCTCCTTTGTCTGGTCACTCAGAAATATCCTACTATCAGCTATCATTGCAGGAAACTGAGGACCAGAGAGACCAATAGGAGAGCAGGAGGGTTGTTTATTTAAGGTATGCACCGGCTCAGTGGATTCGTATCTAAACAGCTGAGCATTTTAGCAAAGACAGAGCGGGGTTTTTACAAGCAGGCTTACAGAAGCAAAACAAAAGCAGTTAATCATATGATAGGTCACATAATCTATAGCATAGCATAACTTGTGGCCTTGCATAGCTGGCAGCCTTGTAGCTGCATTGAAAGAAAAACAAGAACTGGCTAAATACAGACATTTGTAAAACATAGTCATGCTTAAGAAGTCAGGGAAAGGAGTAATAGTAAAGGAATTTGTCTTTCTCTCTTTTTTTCCTTCAACCTTGCTCTGGAGGGGAGGGGTGTCTGGAGCCCATTCCTTTGGCCTTGGTTTCCCAAACAGCATTATCTTATAACTGTCCTTGAAGTGAGCTTGCTAGGCAGAGGAAAACCTGTTCTTTTCTTTTTAACCCTTGCCTTGCCTGTTACTTTTCTTGGGGTGAATGAATGCATATTTATTTTTAAATTTCTGCCTCACTATGATTGTTGTTGCTTGTCGCCTCCCATTATTTTTATCCGTGTATTCACCATAGTCTACTTTTTCTTCTGCATAAATTCGAGACCTCTGGCTGGGTGCAGTGACTCATGCTTGTAATCCCAGCACTTTGGGAGGCCAAGGCAGGCAGATCACTTGAGGTCAGAAGTTCGAGACCAGCCTGGCCAACATGGCAAAACCCCATCTCTACTAAAAATACAAAAAATTAGCCGGGAATGGTGGCGCGTGCCTGTAATCCCAGCTACTCGGGAGGCTGAGGCATGGGAATCTCTTGAACCCAGGGGATGGAGGTTGCAGTGAGCCAAGATGGTGCCCCTGCACTCCAGCCTGGGTGACAGATTGAGACTCCATCTCAAAATAAATAAATAAAAATAAACATAAATTCCAGACCCCTTTTTCACTGATGTGCCACATCTCCAGGGCCTGGCTAGAATGCTGATATTCTGTGCCATGTCATCTTGACAGACATCACCCATTTGGTACACTTTCCTGTCCCCTGATCACCACATCTCATTTGTTGCTAGAGAAAATATTGTGCTGGAGTATTTCCTTCCATCTGTCTCATGATAAGGTCCTAACCCACTTGTCCAAGTAACTGCATACAATTCAGGGATCTTTCAAGAACCAAACTGCTAGCTGTTTTGGACTCATGCCTTACAAACTGATGAAGTACCTGTAATACAGGTCTTTGAAACATGGTTTCTATTTTCTTTCTTTTCTTTTCTTTTGAGATGGAGTCTCCCTCTGTTGCCTAGGCTGGAGTGCAGTGGCACAATCTCAGCTCACTGGAACCACCATCTCCCAGGTTCAAGTGATTCCTCTGCCTCAGCCTCCGAGTAGCTGGGATTACACGTGCACACCACCATGCCCGGCTAATTTTTGTATTTTTAGTAGAGATGGGGTTTCACCATGTTGGCCAGGCTGGTTTTGAACTCCTGACTCAAGTGATCTGCCCACTTTGGCCTCCCAAAGTGCTGGGATTACAGGTGTGAGCCACTGCGCCCAGCTGGTTTCTATTTTCTTACGGTCTAATCTTTAGACTTTTCCTGATGCTCTAGCTCTAGTATCGACTAATATGTCACCTTTTTATTTATCTTGCTATTGTATTCTAAGCATTTTTTTATGTTCCTGAACAGTTTTCATAACAGTCATTTGCAATAACTGCGGAGTATTTCTGATTTATTCTAAAAAGAAAAGCAATGAGGAAGAGTCAGAAAGTGGTTCTCCAGGGTGGAGTCTCGTGTCTTCTCTCCCCTCTCCCACTGTAGGAATTCCAGCTTATGGTTCCTGCTTGCATTGTCTATCCCCAAGGTGCACTAGGGAGAAGCCCCACAGAAGAACTCCCAGGGCCTGTTGTGGGAGTGCAGGGGCATGTGAATGAGGACCTCTCTTCCCCTCTCCCATGTGTCTGGTGGAGGGCTGTTCCTGGGGTCATTAATTAGTGACCAGCACTTCCAGCCAGCCTAGCTGTGGGGAAGAACTCCCTCAGACAGAGGCCCTGGGGAGCTTGCAGGAGGCAGCTCTTGGGTCCAGAGGCACTGAGAGAGTGAGCACCCAAGGGAAACTGGGCTGAGCACAGACAATGTTCACCACAGTGACCAAAACCCACCAAATGCTGCTCTTGTGGAATTTACATGGGGTGTCGGACAATAAATATAATTAAATATAAATAAGTAAATTGGCCAGACACAGTGGCTCACACCTGTAATCCCAACACTTTGGGAGGCCGAGGTGGGCAGATCACCTGATGTCAGGAGTTTGAGACCAGCCTGGCCAACATGGTGAAACCCCCTCTCTACTAAGAATATAAAAATTAGCTAGGCATGGTGGCACACGCCTGTAAGTCCCAGCTACCCAGGAGGCTGAGGCAGGAGAGTCACTTGAACCCAGGAGGTGGAGGTCGCAGTGAGCCGCCGAGATAGCACCACTGCACTCCAGCCTGGGTGACAGAGTGAGACTCTGTCTCAAAGAAAAAAAGTCAATTATGTAGTATGCTAGAAGGTGACACGTGCTATGGAATTAAAAGGAAGGCAGGGTAAGTGAGATGGGGAGTGGGGTTTGCAATTAACAAACAGATTGATTTTTTAAAACCAGTAAAAGGAATAACTATATTATATATCATAAAAATAATGTAGCTGAATGCATTTTGGAAAAATTGGGAAAAAATCACCTTTAATCCCATCACCCTAGCTGTAACAGTGGTTAGCATTTGAGTATATTTTCTTTAGATCTGCTTTTCCTCCTATGCATTGGTTTTCTTGCGTGACTTTAGGCACAGTCCGCATCTAATTTTGTCTCCTGCTTTTTTGATTGCTATTTTAACTCAGCTCTTCTATCCCCAAGGCCCATGTGTTTCTCCTCTCCTCCTCCTAAAGTGCCTGCCGGGGAGGCTGAAGCTGATTTCTCTGTTTCTCTGGTTCCAGATGAGTACAGACAACTCCAGGAATCCAGTCTCTGTGGACTCCAGTTAGCTAAGGCCTGCCTGACAGCCAGGAGGACAGGGACCTGCTGAGAATAGTTGTAAATAATGAGCAACACAACCCATGTCACATACATGGCATGTGTTAGGCCCTTGGCAGATATCGACTTCCTTCCCTTGTATTGGTTCACTTGATGGAGGGTAGGTGAAGGTCATGACCAGCCGGCACCGCCTGGAGCTCCCTCTCCCAAGTAGCTGTGGCCCGGGTGGGCTTCCTTAGCCTCAAGCCAGCTGGCCTTTTCCCAGGATGCTTTCTCCCCACCTTCCTGTCAGTACTGATGCTAGTCTACAAAGCAGTCTCCTTGCCAATTTTCTTCTTTCAGGAGAGACTCTGTGGACTCCAAGTCTTCTGCCTCCTCCTCTCCAAAAAGACCATCGGTGGAAAGGTAAAGGAAACCACAGCTTTCTCCATCCCAGTGTCCTATTCAGCCTGTGTCCCCTTCTCTGTTTTTATGGAGGAAGCCCAAGGCAGAGGAAAGGAGGGAAGGAAGAAACCTCCTACATTATGTTGCCCCCGTATTCTAAGACCCACACAGTCTTTCCACATTTCAGCCCTGGGGGACCCTCTGGATGTGCCTTTGATCTCTCTGTGGTCAATTCTTCAATTCATCATGTATTCATTCATTTATTCATTCATCCATCCATTTAGCAAGTGTGCCCCCGAATCAGGGGTGTGGCTCCTTCCCTGGGGTGGCTGACTGGTTGCTGTTGCCCCATCACTGTCAGGGGACCAGTCTCAAGGTCCGATTGAACCCAGTGGGGACAGAGGTCTTGAAAGCCGATACCTAGGCTGGGCACAGTGGCTCATGCCTGTAATCCCAGCACTTTGGAAGGCCGAGGCAGGCGGATCACTTGAGGTCAGGAGTTTGAGACCAGCCTGGCCAACATGGCAAAACCCCGCCTCTACTAAAAATACAAAAATTAGCCAGGCATGGTGGTGGGCACCTGTAATCCCAGCTACTCGGGAGGCTGAGGCAGGAGAATCGCTTGAACCCAGGAGGCAGAGGTTGCAGTGAGCCGAGATCGCGCCACTGCAATCCAACCTGGGCAACAGAGTGAGACCCCATCTCAAAAACAAAACAAACAAAACAAAACAAAAAAGAAAAGAAAAGAAAGAAAAAGAAAGAAAGCCTATACCTGGAATGGGCTCTCTCTGGATTTGGGCTGAACTGGCTAGGATGTCTACCCAAAATTAGCATAAATCATCAAGTCATTTAGTCATCAAATATTTATTGAGGGCCTATTATGTGTCAAGAACTATCCTAGGTGCCAGGGATACAGACATGCACAAAAGAGACAAAAATCCCTGCAGTGATGGGGGCCTTTATTCTAAGTAGGGGGAGACAGGTAAAGTTCAGAAGGTGACAAGTCCTGTGGAAATCAAAAGAGGAGAGGGAAGAGGATCGGGGAAGGATATTCATGGAGTTGTCAGAAAAGTCCTCATCGAGGAAGTGATCGTTAGGCAAAAGCTTGAAAGAGGGATTTAGCCAAGCAGATACTGGGGTCATTCCAAGCCAAGTGCCCTGAGGTGGGGGTGTGCCTGGCAGAGTCAAGGAACAGTGAAGTGGCTGAGGGCTGGAGCAGTTTAAGCGAAGGGGAGGGTTGGGGGAATGAGTAAAGCTGGAGCTATTGGAGGGTACTGAGGGCGGGAATGATGTCACCAAATTTATCAGGATGGCTCTGGCTGCTGTGCCAGGAATGAAGGAACAGCAACACCAGCCAGGAGGCTGTTGCGGTAATTCAGGCAAGATATCATGGTGGCTTGGATCAGGGAGGTAATGGTGGAAGTGGGGTGAAGGGGTGGTTTCCGGATATATCTTGACAGGAAAGCTGACAGAACTTCCTGACAGATTGGATGTGAGGAATGAGAGAAACAGAGGAGTCAGGGATGAGTCCAAGATTTTTCACTTGAGCATCTGCAAGGATGGAGTTGCCATGAATTGGCATGGGGAAGACTGTGCTTATGCAAATCAGGCTTGGGGTGGAAAATCCAGAGTTCAGGTCTCGATGTGTTGGATTTGAGGCGTGTGTTAGTCATTCAGTTGGAGAAGTCAAATATGCAGTTGGATTATATGAGGCTACAACTCAGGAAGAAAGTCTCAGCTGGAAATATAAATTGCAGAGTCAAGGCCAGGTGCGGTGGCTCATGCCGGTAATCCCAGCACTTTAGGAGGCCGAGGCGGGCAGATCACTTGAAGCCAGGAGTTCGAGACCAGCCTGGCCAACATGGCAAAACCCCGTCTGCACTAAAAATACAACAGTTAGTGGGCGTGGTGGCAGGAGGCTGAGGCAAAAGAATCACTTGAACCCGGGAGGCGGAGGTTGCCATGAGCTGAGATTGCGCCATTGCACTCCAGTCTGGGGGATGGAACGAGACTCCATCTCAAAACAAAACAAAACACAACACAACAAAACAAAACAAAACAAAAATTGTAGAGTCATTAGTGTGTAACTGACATCTGAAGAACCTGGATGAGGGCACCAAGGAAAGATTGTGGATAAAGGAGTGGGTGTGAAGTGTGGTCCAAGAGAGTGGTCAGAGGTCAGAGCAGGAGAAACAGGGCCAAGGAGAGCAGGCCAGGCCAGGAAGTGGCCAAGCAGCAGATCAAGGAGAACGATTAGGGTCCATGGGCCACATTGGGTTTTGGGGCACCTTGGTGGGATGATAAGGGTGTTGGCCTCTGGGAGAGTAGGTGTGAGAGCTGCAGAATTATTTTAAGCCTAATGTATCAGTAAGATTGCCATTGGAAAGAAAATTAGAGACACAAAAATTAGGTTGTTTAAGGTTTTATGAAGATTCAACGGGCCTAGGCTGTATTGCACACCTCCAACATGGCAGCCAGCTCCAGCTGATGCATGGAAGCTATCTGGAGTGCTGATTGGAGAGGGAGTCTGAGGCTGTAGAAAAAGTTCTGTAGTCAATTAGCAATGTCTGATGTGGGTCAGGCCTAGAAATGGTGGTTCCAGTGTCATCCTGGTTCTAGACCAGTGGATCTCAGCAGGGGTCATTTAGAAATGTGTGGAGGCGTTTATGGTTGTCACTATGACTTGGGCCAAAGTAGGGGTAAGGTGAGAAGGAGGGGGATACTCCTGACATTTCGTGGCAGGAACCAGAGATGCCAAGTGCCCCGGAGAGTGAAGGACTTTCCTGGATAATGAAGCGTCATCCTATCCCCAGATGAAACACTGGTCACTAATGACATTCTAGGTTTGATGCTGTAATCAAAACACTCGACATTCATGTAAGGATTTGAGCCTCCAGACTCCTCTCCTGACTTTGTCTTCATGGTCTTGAAATCTCCTGGCTCCCTCCCCTAATGCATTCTTTCTCTGAAGGTCAGTCAAACAGAATCTGTTTGTCCTTCCAGAAGCTGTGCCATTTCCTGCTGGTTCAGTACTGAGGGTAGGAAACCAAAAGGGACACAAGGAAGTCTCATTAATTTTTTTTTTTTTTTGAGATGAAGTCTCGCTCTGTTGCCAGGCTGGAGTGCAGTGGCACGATCTCGGCTCAGTGCAACTTCCATCTCCCGGATTCAAGTGATTCTCCTGCCTCAGCCTCCAAAGTAGCTGGGACTACAGGCATGTGCCACCATGCCCACCTAATTTTTTGTATTTTTAGTAGAGACGGGGTTTTACCATGTTGGCCAGGATGGTCTCGATCTCTTGACCTTGTGATCCACCCTCTTCGGCCCCCCAAAGTGCTGGTATTACAGGTGTGAGCCACCGTGCCAGGCAGCAAATCTCATTAATTTGTCTCCTACCCAGACTGTTTCCTGCATGATTTACTTCTCTATTTCATTTTTCTCTTCCGTTCTTTCATCCATTCATTGATTTGGCAAGCACATCTATTGAGCACTTCCTTGCAAATTCAACATTCTCTGGGGATCAAGAGCACATGCATACACGGGGTGACTAGTGGAGATCATGGCAAACTAGAAAGTATGTGCCTGTCTGAAGGGGGCAGCCACTACCCCACTGCAGCTGATTGTTGCTTTGGGGAAATGCAGGTCCAGGGTGCCATGTCTTCCAATTTTTTAAAGAAAAGCCAGACACCTAGATTTTCATATGGAACTCCCCGACACCACCTTTTCTGAGACAGGATCTCACCCAGGCTGGAGTGCAGTGGTATAAACAGGGCTCACTGCAGCCTCAACCTCCTGGGCTCAAGCAATCCTCCTGCTCCAGCCTCCCGTGTAGCTAGGACCACAGGTGCACACCACCACACCCAGCTAACTTAAAAAAAATTTTTTTTTTGTAGAGACAGAGTCTCACTTTGTTGCCCAGGCTGGTCTCGAACTCCTGGGCTCAAGAAATCCTCCTGCCTCAACCACCCAAAGTGCTGGGATTACAGGTGTGAGCCACCGCGCCTGGCCAAAACTCCCAGTTTTCAGTATCAGCAACATATTCACATTTTTCTAAGACACAATAGGGAGACAAAACATATTTGTAGCTCACCCATTTTTGACCTGTAAGGCCAGGCAAAGGTTGAAACTCATCACCTCTCCCTTCTTAGGGCTAACCATGAGTGCAGAGGCAGACACCAAAATGCATGTTTTTAGAAAGGGGTAGGTATAAAACACCGTGGGAACATAGGAAGCATGTCTCAATATGACTATAAAAGTCAAAGGAGGCTTCGTGGAAGAGAAAGTATTTGAGCTGAGAATGGAAAGTCAATAGGAGGAGTTTGGGAGGCGAGTCAGGAGAGTCATTTCAAGCAGAAAGAAATGGCACACCCAAAGGTGTGGAAGTGGGAGTGAGCACGATGCTCTGGGAACTGTAGCTGGAGTACCAGGAAGCAGACCACGGAGGATACCATGTTGACAGGGGAGAAAGTTGACTGTTCTCAGTTGTCCTTTTACCTGGCTATCAGAATGATTTGCCATTTGCAGAGCATGCTCGCTGATGCAGTAACTGAAATGCCCTCGAGGTGGCGCACAGAAGCAGCGGGCCCGGCCTCCAGATGCCTCTACTCAGACCTGGGGCAGGAGGATTTTCTAAGGACTGGTGCGGTGCGGGCACATCCGGGGAGCAGAAGGAAGCTGTTGATAAATCCAACCTCCCACCCCGGCCGATGATGCCCTCTCTGCAGTTTGGCTCAGTTCCCAGGCGTGTGCATTGAAAGCAAAATGAGTGTGGCTGCCTGAAATGCTGCCCAGACACGAATTCCAGCCAGCCAGCCAGCTCCTAACCGGGGAGGCGGGACCAGGGCTGGGTGTGCCCTGCCAGGAAGGTGGGAAGAAATGCTCCAAACAGCCTAGTCTTGCTCAGGTAGGAGGACTCTGGAAACCTCTCTTTTAAAGACACAGTTGATGTGTTGAAAAGAATTTGGAAGGGCGACAGGCAGGTTCGTGGTCTGACTATACCCTTTGCTAGTTGGATGGATAACTTGGGGCAGTAACTTGGATGGATAATTCAGTTCAGCTCTCTGAGCTTCAGTCTACTGATCTGTAAAATGGAGACAATTATGAACCCCTTTCAAGGTCATTGTGAGGATTAAATGAGGTAATGAAATACCCAGCACTGTTCCCAAACCATGTAAATGCTCAATAAATACATAATACTTTGTAATAATACTCATATGAAACCTGGTTATCTATGTAAACTGCCTAATACTTTGTCACTTAGTTGCTTTCATCTGCCCCATAAGATGGGTACTATTATTATTCCGATTTTACGTGTGAAAAAAACTGAGGCACCTAGGGGTTAAGGAACTCACCCAAGGTCACATAGCTACAAAGTGTTGGTCTCAGGCTGTGAACCTGGGAGTTTGGCTCCAGAGACTAGGTTCTTAATAAGTAAACCAACTCAGTGCAGTCGTTTCAAAAACGACCACCATTATTACTGTCATTCGTTGGGGCTCCTTCAAAGCAGCATGCTGCAGGCTCCCCTGACAGTTTTCCTGTGGTGAGTCATAGCTGTTGAGAATGTGCAATGGCACGCACAGGTCAGCGAGACACCATCCCAGCTGCAGGAGATGGCGTTGCCTGGGTCCTGGGAGTTGACAGAGGCTGGCTTTGAGAGAGATCCCTCTCGTACTCCCAGAGAGAGAGATCCCTCTCTTAGGCCCAGAGAGTGGGGCCACTGTCCTTCCAAAGAGGACCTTCCTCTTTCCACATTTCAGCCCTGGGGGACCCTCTGGGTGTGCCTTTCATCTCTCTGTGGTCAGTTCCTCAATTCATCATGTATTCATTCATTTATTCATTTATCCATCCATTTAGCAATGATGTATCAAGTGTCCACCTAGAGCACTGTTACAGGAGCTGGAATGCAGTGGTGAACCCGTGACAGGGTCCCAATACTCTGGAGCCTGTAATCTGGAGATGGAGGCAGACGATGTTTATAAACACATAAACAAGCTAATCATACACTTGGATAAGTGCTGTAAAAGCGAGAAATCAGGTGATGTGCTAGAGAATTACAGGGCGGGGACCATCAGCCTCAGCTGAGGTGGTGAGGGAAGGCCTCCCTCATGCGAGCTGAGACCTGGAGGAGGAAGAGCATTCCAGGAAGGAAGACCAGCCTGTGCAAAGGCCCGGCAGTGGGAGGGATGGGTATGTTTAAGGAACAGAAAGAAGCAGTGCTGTGGAGGCCTTCCGTAAACCATGCGGAGAGCATGGCATGAGATTACATCAGAAAGTGGGTAGGGGCAGGACGTGCAGGGGCTGGGAGGCTGTGGTGAGCTTTTGGTTTTGTTTTTGTTTGTTTTTTTGGAAACACAGTCTCACTCGGTCACTCAGGCTGATGTGCAATGGCATGATCTCAGCTCACTACAGCCTCCACCTCCCGGGTTCAAGCGATTCTTGTGCCTCAGCCTTTTGAGTAGCTGGGATTACAGGCATGCGCCACCATACCCAGCTAATTTTTATATGTTTAGTACAGACAGTGTTTCGCCATGTTGGCCAGGCTGGTCTCAAACTCCTGACCAAAGTGATCCTCCCACCTCGATCTGCCAAAGTGCTGGGACTTTAGGCATGAGCCACTGCACCCGGCCAGGAGTTTTACTTTATGCTAAAAATAATTGGAAGCTGTTACACCACCAGTCCCCAACCTTTTTGGCACCAGGGACTGGTTTCATAGAAGACGGTTTTTCCATGGACCAGGGTTTGTAGGGGATGGTTTCAAGACGAAACTGTTCCACCTCTGATCATCAGGCATTAGATTCTCGTAAGGAGCGTGCAACCTAGATCCCTCACATGCGCAGTTCACAACAGGGCCCACCTCCTGATGTGTGGCCCGGTTCCTAACAGGCCACAGACTGGTACCAGTCCGTGGCCCCAGGGGGTGGGAACCCCTGTGTTGGAGGGTTAGAGGCAGGGGAGTGACTTGATCCGCTGTGAATTTTTGAAAAGTCCCTCTGGCGGCTCTTTGGCAAATGGATTATAGTGGGGGAAGAGGACACAGGGAAACCAGTTTTGGGGCTATTGTGACTGTTCAGGTGGGAACCCTGTGACCAGGATCAGGCTTGGGGGCAGGAACATCCGTTTTGGATGCCAACAGCCCCGCGAGTTCACGCCCTGTCCAGCCTTTCCTCACCCAAACCTCCTGCTGCAATCTGACTCCAGGAGAAATCTGCTTGGATCTCAGCTTCCCTGTCCCTCCACCATGCTGCCAGGCAACCCAGTTGTCAGGCAGGGTCGGGTAGAATTAAGGCTAGATTAATCTAGGACAGTAAGTTTCAAACTGCATTAAAAATAAATAAAAGCTAGGAAATGAATCCCTTTGGACAAAATTTTTAGAAATTCAAAATGTAAACCTTACAAGAACAGAGTTTACCATCCCCAGCCCACCTCACCGGTATGCATGGAGGCACTTTTGAGGAACCTCAAGTCTCTAGAGAATGCAAAAATCCCAAAGGTCCAGGGGTCTGGGGTGAAAGAGGAGATCCAAGGTCAGGCCAAACAGCAAGAGGTGGGGGACAGGGAGGTCACCAGCAGAGTCCACACTGAGCTGTGCCCAGCAGGATGTTGGATGGGATTCTCTGGTAACTCCAGGTTGTTGATCCTGAGAAGCCTGGGCTACTCAGTTAGCCTCACTCTCAGACACAACTCCCTGGGCCTGAGAGACTTTGTCAGAAGTCCAGAATCCTCTTCTTCCTGAAAGGAAGTAGCATGTCCACAGCCTGAAAGTGAACATGAGAAGCAGCTGTGGATCCAGGCCCCAAGGCTGCCTGGCGCAGCTGCCCAGGCTGTGCACTGTATAATTACAGGAGGTACCAAGCTACTAATGTAAATGGTGCCTCCTGGAGTGAGGAAATGCAGCAGCTCTCTGGGCGCTTCCACAAGGGCTCAGTTTGGTAAGACCCTCGAGTGGGTCTTAATTTCACTCCAGGAGGGGACCTTAATTTTTTCAACTCTGATGAGTCCACTTTTTTCTCAACAGAGATATAGGGGCTGGCTGGCAGATTCTGATGGGTTATTGAAAAAGGAGGTGAGAAGAGCAGAGGAATGAAGACAGAGACTTCCTGACTTCCTGGCTCCTACCCTAAAGAATAGTGCAAAAACATCTTGGGAGGGAGGGAGTTGTGCAACTATCACAAAGTCTTGCCAGGCACAGTGGCTCATGCCTGTAATCTCAGCACATTGGGAGGCCAAGGCGAATGGATCACTTGAGGCCAGGAGTTTGAGTCCAGCCTGAGCAACATATTGAGACCCCCATTTCTACAAAAAAAAAAAAAAAGCCTGGTGTGGCGGCATCTGCCTGTAGTCAGTCCTAGCTACTTGGGAGGCTGAGGCAGGAGGATTGTTTGAGCCCAGGAGTTCGAGATTGCAGTGAGCTATGATTGACACACTTCACTTCTTCAAGGCTCCATTCCATCATCTGTAAAATGGGCCCAGTAATTTGTGACTTTTAGGGTTACCAAAAAGAATAAACAGCAGAGCAGTGGTAAATGGTGGCTTTTGTTTTACCATCCTTAACAAACCCCAGAGTCTGGTTAGATCCTTTCTCTCCAACTCCCTCTCCTTCTTACAAGCTCCCTCACCCTCACGCTCCAGCTGCATTGAGCCCTTTGACATTGCCCATGCAAACCTTGGCCTTCTACACTTCCATCATTTCTGCCAAGAATGCATTTTTTTGGCCGGGCACAGTAGCTCATGCCTGTAATCCCAACACTTTGGGAGGCCAAGGCAGGTGGATCACCTGAAGTCAGGGGTTCAAGACCAGCCTGGCCAACATGGCAAAACCCCATCTCTACTAAAAATACAAAAATTAGCTGGGCGTGGTGGTGCATGCCTGTAATCCCAGCTTCTAGGTAGGCTGAGGCAGGAGAATCACTTGAATCCGGGAGGTGGAGGTTACAGTGAGCCAAGATTGTGCCACTGCACTCCAGCCTGGCAGCCTGGATGACAGAGTGAGACACCCTCTCAAAAAAAAAAAAAAAAGGTTTCTCACATCGCAAAAGTAGATAAATTCTGTATAGAAGATTTAGCAAATAGGCATAAGCAAACGAAGAAAATGAAAATCTCCTATCATTCCACCTCAGAGAGATAATTGCTATTAACATGGTATTATGGGCTGAATGTTTGTGACCCCCTAAAATTCATATGTTGAAATCCCAAACCCCATTGTGACTGTATTTGGGGATAGGGCCTTCATTAAGGTTAAATGAGGTCATAAGGGTGGAGCCCTGATCCAATAGGATTAGTGTCCCTATGAGAAGAGACACCATGTGAATACAATGAGAAGACTGCCATTCACAAGCAAAGAGAGAGCCCTCATGAGAAAGCAAATTGGCCAGCAACTTGATCTTGGGCTTCCCAGCCTCCAGAACCATGAGAAATAAATTTCTGCTAGTGAAGCCTCCCAGTCTGATATTTTGTTATGACAGATTGAGCCACATAGTTAGCCTTCTAAATGTCTGTGCACATATGGATATATATATATATATATATATATATATATATATACATATATACATATATATAAACAAAACCTGAATGAGATAATTCTTAGATAGTACATCATAGATTATAGCATAGGTGTTGGCTGGGTGTGGTGGCTCACACCTGTAATCCCAGCACTTTGGGAGGCCAAGGCAGATGGATTGCTTGAGTCCAGGAGTTTTAGATCAGCCTGGGAAACATGGTGAGATCCCATCTCTGCAAAAAAAGGTAAAAATTAGCCAGGCATGATGGCGTGCTCCTGTGGTCCCAGCTCCTTGGAGGCTAAGGTGGGAGGATTGCCTGAGCCCAGGAGGTCAAGGCTGTAGTGAGCCATGACTGCACCACTGCACTCCAGCCTGGGTGACAGAGAGAGAGAGAGAGACCCTGTCTCAAAAAATAAAATAAATTAATAAAAAGAGCATAGATGTTGGAATTAGACAGATGTGGATTCAAATCCTGGTGGTGTATAGCCTTAGGCAAATCTCAGTGGTGTACCTCTCTGGGTTTATTTCCTCGTCTTAAAATAGAGATGATGAGAGTATACCTCCTGGGACTGCTATGAAGATTAAATTGGAAAATTCTTTTAAAGTGCCTGGCACAGTTCTGGCATCTAGCAAAGCCAGCCCTTTTAAATGGTGGTAGATAGTCACTATTCACTAGACTGTAAGCCCCTTAAGGGAAGGAGCTTTGCTGACTTATCTGCATTATCCTTTGTTCTTGACAAGCGCCTGGAGAATAGGTTTGTAATAAATATTTAGTGAATGAGTGAATAAACAGTTCATACATTTAGGAGAGCATAGATAGAGAGCAGCTAGCACAGTGCCTAATCAATTGCATATAATTATTGGTGGTGTTACACTGTTCTATAATGAGTAACGCACAGTGGCTGGTTAAGAGCCGACTGCCTGGGTTTGAATTCTGTTTCTACTGGTTCGTCGATGTGTTATCTGAGCCAAGTGCACCTTTAGATACATCTTTCTCTACCATGCACTTTAAAATGCATCTCTCGAATGGGGATGAGAATAGTATCAACCTCATGGGGTTGTCACGAGGATTAAATGAGATGATCCATGTCAAGTGCCTAAAATAGTACCTACCTCATGAGGTTGTTATGAGGATTATAGGAGATCATCCATCAAGACATCTAGAATGCTGCTCAATAAATGCTTTACTCTCTTAATGTCAAATGTCTGTTACTTATTGTCATCCTCAGATCAAACAGCAGCAAATCAAAAGCGGAGAGCCCCAAAACACCTAGCAGCCCCTTGACCCCCACGTTTGCCTCTTCCATGTGTCTCCTGGCCCCCTGCTATCTCACAGGGGACTCTGTCCGGGACAAGTGTGTGGAGATGCTGTCAGCAGCCCTGAAGGCGGACGGTGAGAGAGCCTGGGCTAGGGATGAGGGAGGGAAGGAGTCCCTTTTCCCAATCTCACTGAGGGCAGATGAAATTCAGTCTTTCTCAGCACCCCAAGGGATGGTACAGGAACACTCTAGTCCCAGGTACAAGCAGGCTTCACTGCCTACGTTGTGTCTGGCTGATACCTGTATTTCTCGAATCTCTTTTAGATGATTACAAGGACTATGGAGTCAACTGTGACAAGATGGCATCAGAAATCGAAGATCATATCCTTGAACTGTGCCGGGGCTGTGGGTGTCTGCACCGTCTAGCAGCACCCATCCAAGGTGCAAGCGAGCTGGGAGAGTGAGGAAGGAGAGGAAGGGCTCCGGGAACAGCCCCTGCTCTGCCCCTGAACCAGAGTTCTTAATTCTATCTAACATTCATTATTATTTTACACCTGCCAGCAAAACTTGAAAATGAGCAGTACCTCATTCAGTGTTGATAACAACCCCACAGTAGGTTCCCTGATTTATCCAGTTTCATGGGTGAAGTCACTAAGACTCAGAGAGGTCAAATCATTTCCCAAAGCCCATACAGCTAACAGTAGTAGCAGAGATGGGATCTGAATCCAGAAATTGTGACCCTGGAACCTGGAGGCTCAGCGGCTGTGCCAGCTAGGCTGTGTAATAGCGTGCCTCAGTTGGCCAAGTCGTTACTTCCAGGAACAGACTAGATTGAGAGGTCAGCATTTCCCATGCTCAGCCTTTTCCCTTCTCCCATCCTCTGATGTTAACAGCGCCCTTTTTTTTTTTTTTTTTTTTTTGAGACGGAGTTTCACTCCTGTTGCCCAGGCTGGAGTGCGATGGCGCAATCTCGCCTCACTGCAACCTACAACTTCTGGGTTCAAGCGATTCTCCTGCCTCAGCCTCTCAAGTAGCTGGAATTACAGGCATGCACCATCACACCTGGTTAATTTTGTACTTTTAGTAGGGATGGGGTTTCACGATGTTGGTCAGGCTGGTCTTGAACTCCTGACCTCAGGTGATGCACCACCCACCTTTGCATCCCAAAGTGCTGGGATTACAGGTGTGAGCCATCACACCCAGCGCCCTGCCCTCTGTTTTTTTACTCCCAAATATATATCAAGCACTGCAATGGCCAATTGACACTTCCTACCTCTGTTAGCTCTCACAGCATTCTCTGTGAGGCAGGGACTGTTCCCATTTTACAGATGAGGAGTCTGAGGCTCAGAACTGTCAAAGCGGGACTGGAGACTTTGTCTTTGGATTCCATGTATTGAATCCTTTCCATGTGCCCCCTGCTCCCCAACTTCTCACCTGAAAGGGGCCTTGTGTAGACAGGAGAGGTGGCCACCACTGGGATGTATTCATAGATCTGTTGCACCAAAAGGTGTTTGGCTTGGGAGAAAAAAAATCCCACCCCACTTGGCCCCCACTGAATGAAAACATGGAGCTTCTTTTACTAGAGACAAAGGTTTGCATGGTATTGGAGCGGGGAGACAGTCAGGGGACAGGAAGTCTAAGTGTCACACCGAGGTGTGAGCGACCCTTTTGAGGGCTCCTGGGTTCTACCTGCGGAGTTCAGCAGGGTCTGTTGAGGAGAGCCAGGGGCCAATCTGCAGACGACAAATTTGCGTTTCCATCTTCTTCCTGTGGCCTACCCTGATTCCCTCCAACTTATTTTCTGGTGGTTTCTCTCTACTCTCATTTAATGATTAATCAGCAATACCTCAACAAGTCTGGAGCCATTCAGCACCTCAAAAAGTACATTTTCATCATTTCCTGTTAATTCAAGAAGGCAGAACACAAGGTATGAGAACTATCACGAGTTTCATCTTCATTTTCTCCTGAACAGTCATCCCTCCAAGCAGGTCCTTTCCACCTTTAAGCCCAGTTTGAAACAACAGCAGATGGTCCAGTACAAAGTTCCACTCCCAGCCTTTCCTCCATCCACTGAAAGTTCCTTTTTTTTTTTTTTTTTGAGATGGAATCTTGCTCTGTTGCCCAGGCTGGAGTGCAGTGGCATGATCTCAGCTCACTGCAACCTCTGCCTTCTGGGTTCAAGTGATTCTGCTGCCTCAGCCTCCCAAGTAGCTGGGATTACAGGTGCCCGCCACCACACCTGGCTAATTTTGTTGTATTTTTTGTAGACATGGGGTTTCACCATGTTGGCCAGGCTGGTCTTGAACTCCTGACCTCAGGTGATCCTCCCTCCTCAGCCTCGTAAAATGCTGGGATTACAGGCGTGAGCCACCACCCCCAGCCTGAATGTCCCTCTTCTAAAGGAGAGGAAATCAAAGCTGCATCAAACACTTTAGCTCTTTGTTTTTAGCCAGCTGGAGGTCAGGGGGAGGGTACATTTGGGGGCTTGACTGCTCTATGTCCTAAAATAGATCTGTCCTCTTTGGAGTGGCCCTGTGCTAACAATGCAGCCAAAAGTTCCTCTGAGGGGCCGGTGCCCCCGGTCTGCTCTCTGCCTCGTCCCCTCTGTGGCCTTGGGACATGGAGACAGAGTCAGAAAGAGGCTGGTGAAAGTATCGCCAGCCCTGCTGGCTCCGCATATCAATACACCCCAGGAATCCCAAGTGGTACATTTTAAAACACATTTTTTGGCTTTCACATGCATTGTGGCATATTCTTTGCTTTTCACACTTTTATTGTACAAACAACATTAAAACAATAACAGAAAAAAGAAAGAATACCACCTCCCCTCCCACCACTTCTAGCAAGTCATCTGTTTTCATTTTTCCACATTCTCCGCAGTCTCTTTATTGTATATGGCTCTTCCCAGCAACAGCTTTGTCTTCCTGATCTTCTTTGGCTCAGGAGACCAAGAAAATGAGGCTGTGTTCCCCGAGCTCCTCCAGAGGGTGGAGGGAGTGGGAGGCTCGGAAGCCTGCCTAGGATGCAGTGTTTGGACAGAAACTCTGTGGTTGGTGGCCAGGGATGACTTCCTGCCGGGTGAGTGGAGAGAGTTACCGTCAGGAGGGGTCTGGCTTCCAGCCCTGTCTCTGCCGGGAATTTGCCTGGTGGCCTTGAGCAAGGTCCTACACCCTTTCTAAGCCCCAGCTTCCTCATCTGTTAATGGGAGAAGTAACTCTGACCAGCAATTCCCAGCGTGGGTTCCATGGGATGGTAACAGGTCTTGTAGGGGAAAGGACAGAGGGGAAGGGGACTCTATAATCAAATTTATTGGGAACACCAGATTAAACAAAGCTCAGTGGTTTCTTTTTTGCAATACTTCGTAGAGCCTTAAACATGTGGCTCTTAATCTTTTCCTCTGACAGCTGGACTCACAACCTCCAGGGGCCCTTCCAAACTAGAAGTTATCCGCATCCTTGTCATCATCTTAGCAGCCCATACATGTTGAGCATTTGATATATCCCAGACACCACACTAGTGCATCACGTGGCTTAGCTCACAGAATCCTTGTATTTTATAAATAAGGAAACTCAGGCGTGTAGAGGTTGTGTGACTCACCTGAGGTCACACAAGAGGCTCAGACAAACCCAGGGTCCTGGTGTCCCTGACACTATAGTGCTTGCTATGATCTGATCTTACCCCAGAAGCTATTTTCTTTCTCTGCTACTTGGCTGACCACAAATGCCCAAGAGACATCACCACTTGGAGAGTCAGAGGTCACAAAAGAGGGGCCCAACTCCTGTAGAAGTCCGAGGAGAGGAAGAAAGGGTTCTGGAGCTCTCAGGCGTCAGGGCCAGGCCTGCACCCTTCTGTGCCCCTCCATGAATGGCTGGCCGGCCCTTGACTGTGTCACATATCTACCAAGAGCTCAAGAGCACGGACATGAAGTACCGGAACCGCGTGCGCAGCCGCATAAGCAACCTCAAGGACCCCAGGAACCCCGGCCTGCGGCGGAACGTGCTCAGTGGGGCCATCTCCGCAGGGCTTATAGCCAAGATGACGGCAGAGGTGAGAGCAGGGCATCTGCATGGTGAGGCAGGAAGCCAGGTCCCCCTAGCCCTGCCTAGTGCAGAGGGTCAGTGGCTCGTGACTCATCAGCAGTGAGCCAGGGAGCTTTTCAAACCAGCCTCATCTCAGCCTCCCCCCTGGGCTCTGGACTAGCAGGATACTGAACACAGCTAATAGGTTCTAAGTGCTGTGCTAAGTGTGTTCAGCGAATTGGCCAAGTTTATGTTCACACCAACTGAGATAGAAAGGTGTATTATCCCCATTCTACAGATGAGGATCCTGAGGCTCAGAGGAGTAAACGAATTTGCCCATGCACACAGCTAGAAAGAGTCGGAGCCAGGAGGCAAGCTGTCTGGCCCCAGCGCTAGGTTGTGTGGCATGTGTGGGGGCTGTACGTGTGGAGTGCGTGTCTATGTGGTACGTATGATGTGTGAGGTGTGTAGAGGGTATATGTGGGGTGTGTGTGTGGTGTGTATATGTGGAGTGCATGTGTGGTATGTATGTGTGTGTATGTATGGAGCATGTGCGTATGGTATATATTAGGGATCCCTAACCCTCAGGCCACCAGCTGGTACCTGTTGGGAACCAGGCCACACAACAGGAGGTGAGCAGTGGGCAAGTGAGCGAAGCTTCATCTGTATTTACAGCCTCTCCCCATCACTCGCATTACTGCCTGAGCTCCGCCTCCTGTCAGATCAGTGACGGCATTAGATTCTCATAGGAGCACGAACCCTATTGTGAACTGTGCATTCGAGGAAACCAAGTTGCATGCTTCTCATGAGAATCTAATGCCTGATGATCTGTCACTGTCTCCCAGCACCCCAAGTGGGAACCATCTAGTTGCAGGAAAACAAGGGATCTCAGGGCTCCCACTAATTCTACATTATGGTGAGTTGGATAATTATTTCATTATATATATCACACTGTAATAATAATAGAAATAAAGTGCACAATAAATGTAATGTACTTGAATCATCCTGAAACCATCCCCCACCCTGTCCATGGAAAAACTGTCTTCCAGGAAACCAGTCCCTGGCGCCAAAAATGTTGGGGACCACTGGTATATATGATGTGTGGAGTGTGGGGGCTGTGTATGTGTGGAGTGGGTGTGTGTGTGGTGTGTATGATGTGTGAGGTGTGTTTGGTGTATAGTATATGTGTGTGGCATGTATGATATGTGGAGTGTGTGTGTGTGATGTGTGGAGTGTGTGTGGTGTGTATGATGTGTGGAGTGTGTGTGTATGATGTGTGGAGTGTGTGTGTGTGTGTATGATGTGTGGAGTGTGTGTGTATGATGTGTGGAGTGTGTGTGTCTGATGTGTGGAGTGTATGTGGCGTGTATGATGTGTGGAATATGTGTGTATGATGTATGGAGTGTGAGTGTGTGATGTGTGGAGTGTGTGGTGTGTATGATGTGTGGAGTGTGTGTGTATTGTGCATGATGTGTGGAGTGTGTGTGTATTGTGCATGATGATGTGTGGAGTGTGTTTTGTGTATGATGTGTGGAGTGTGTGTGTATGATGTGTGGAGTGTGTGTGTATGATGTCATGTGAAGTATGTGTGTGGTGTGTGATTAGCATATGTGTGGCATGTGTGGTTTGTGTATGTGTGGCATGTGGAAGTGTGTGTCTGTGTTATGTAGTGTGTGTATGTACATTCTTCTGAGGAGAGGGTTCACTGCTTTCCTCAAACACCCAAAACAAACAGCAAAGAGCCTTGGCTTTAGGATGAAATGGGGAACTTGGCACAGGTAGACCAGGGTTATCTTTCTGCCTAATTTAAAATATCTGATCTTTTTGGGTAAATAGCAACATATGCCTGGAGTTATAAATTGCAACTTGGCTTTACAGTGTGTCTTTCGTCAGTTCAGACTGCTATAACGAACATCGCCTGGGTAGTTTATAAACAACAGGCATTTATTCCTCACATTTCTTTTTTTTTGTTTGCTTGTTTTTTTGAGATGGAGTCCACTCTTTTGCCCAGGCTGGAGTGTAGTGGCACAATCTGGGCTCACTGCAGCCTCCACCTCCCAGGTTCAAGCGATTCTACTGCCTCAGCCTCCCGAGTAGCTGGGATTACAGGGGTGTGCCACCATGCCCGGCTAATTTTTGTATTTTTAGTAGAGATGGGATTTCACCATGTTGGCCAGGCTGGTCTCAAACTCCTGACCTCAGATAATCCACCTGCCTCAGCCTCCCAAAGTGCTGGGATTACAGGCGTGAACCATGACACCTGGCCTAGTTCTCACATTTCTAGAGATTGGACAGTCCAACATCAGGGCAGCAGCAGATTCAGTGTCTAGTGAGGGCCTGCTTCCTCATAGACAGCCATCTTCTCACTGTAACCTCACATGGTGGAGGGGTCTTTCTCAGGCCCCTATTAGAGGAGCACTAATCCCCTGCACCAGAGCTCTGCCCTTGAGAGCTAATCACCTCCCAAAGACCCCCTAATAACCATTGCCTTGGGGTTAGGATTTCAACAGGCCACGTGAGGTGGCTCATGCCTGTAATCCCAGCACTTTGGGAGGCCGAGGTGGGCAGAACTCCTGAGCTCAGGAGTTCAAGATGGCAAAACCCTGTCTCTACTAAAAATACAAAAATTAGCCGGGCGTGGTGGCACACACCTGTAGTCCCAGCTACTCGGGAGGCTGAGGCAGGAGAATCGCTTGAACCCAGGAGGCAGAGGTTGCAGTGAGCTGAGATCCTCCATCTCAAAAAAAAAAAAAAAAAAGAAAGAAAGAAAGAAAAAAAGAAAAAAAAACAGAAAAATCTTAGCTTGGGCTTGGGCTGCCTGCTGTGAGGGGAAGCGCCCATCAGGAACCCATGTGGACGGTGTCTCTCTCAGAACTCCCTTCCCTGACTCCCTTTTTATGCCTCTTTCCTTGTTTACCTGACTCCCTCATTCTTTCTTCTTCTCTTTTCTTCCCTACTCAGACATAGCAAAGAATGGAGTAGGCTCTGAGATACCCATGAGCGCTGCTGAGTGGACATAGCATCCTGTCAGTCCCCTGAGAACCGGCATTCACAGTCCACCCAGCACTGACAACAGTGTCTGGTACATCACAGGGCTCAACAAATAGGGATAGAATTGTGGTCTCTGACTCTCATTTCCTTCATTTTCCACCTTATTTTCTACAGTGTTGTATTTATTCTCCGTGTCTCTGATGCTGCCTCATTCTAATGAGGCAGGGCAGAGAAGTCAATGAATTGGCGTGTGGCTGGATAGATTTTTCTGTTCTCTATTTCTTAGCTGGCACACAAGACCTTCCTTCCACAATCTGACCTCCAGCCACATCTCCCATGCTTGACTTGAACCTACCCCAAATACTTTTCCCCAAACATGCTATTCTTGTCCTCTGATCTTTTGTGCCTGCTGTTTTTTGTTTTTTGTTTTTTCTTTTGAGATGGAGTCTGGCTGTCACCCAGGCTGGAGTGCAATGGCATAATCTCAGCTCACTGCAACCTCCACCTCCCAGGTTCAAGAGATTCTCCTGCCTCAGCCTCCCAAGTAGTTAGGACTGCAGGCATGCACCTGTAACCATGTAACCATGCCTGGCTAATTTTTCTATTTTTAGTAGAGACGAAGTTTCGCCATGTTGGCCAGGTTGGTCTCAAACTCCTGACCTCAGGTGATCTGCCCGCCTCGGCTTCCTGAAGTGCTGGGATTACATGTGTGAGCCACTGCGCCCGGCCCTGCTGTTTTATTTGTCTGGAATGTGCCACCACCCACCCCAGGAACTCCTATCTTTCAAGACTGGTTAAAGTACTAGCTTCTTCATGACCCACCAGACCCCAAACAGTTAACCACCATACCCTGTTGCTTTCCCCTGCACCTTATATGCCTTCACTTTAGTACTTCCTTCCCTCTCTTGCAATCTCGTGTAAATGCTTGGCTACCCTATCAGATTAGCACTACTTGGGAGGAGGAACCAGATCTTCCTTTCTGAATCCGTTGGACTCAGAGGCAGTAGCATGCTTGAGCTAGCTCCTACCAGCTCAAGGGAGCTGGTGATGTGTAGCTCTTCCCAACTCTGCGTTCAGTTATATCACATTAGCAGCTTGAAATTGGCCATGGAATTTTGTCCCATTGACCATAGCATTTTGTCCCATGGAAGCTGACAAACACTACAAATCAAGGCATCCCCACAACCAAAGCTGGTTTACCTGCAAACTGATACAGTTAAAGGCATTCAGTAAATTGGCATCCAATAGATTTTGTTTTTGTTTTTTGAGACGGAGTCTCACTCTGTCACCCAGGCTGGAGTGCAGTGACGTGATCTCGGCTCACTGCACCCTCCACCTCCCAGGTTCAAGCGATTCTCCTGCCTCAGCCTCCTAAATAGCTGAGATTACAGGCATGCACCACCAATGCCTGGCTTTTTTTTTTTTTTTGATGGAATCTCGCTGTTGTTGCCCAGGCGGGAGTGCAATGGTGCAGTCTCAGCTCACTGCAACTTAAACCTCCCAGGTTCAAGCAATTGTCCTGCTTCAGCCTTCCAAGTAGCTGGGATTACAGGTGCCCGCCACCACACCCAGCTAATTTTTTGTATTTTTAGTACAGATGGGGTTTCACCATGTTGACCTGGCTGGTCTCCAACTCCTGACCTCAGGTGATCCACCTGTCCCAGCCTCCCAAAGTGCTGAGATTACAGGTGTAAGCCACTGCACCTGGCCACATCCAATAAATTTTGAATGGGCAAATGCTTTATGCTCTGGAAAATCCCCTCAAATTAAAGTCAGCTACTTTTTACTCATATGGGTAAATGGCTTTCATTGACTTGTTTTTCTATATTCTCCTGCCATTGGTTAGGGCCTAGCCTTTGAATTTAACACACTAGGACTTAAACATTAATACGTACCAGAATAACTTGAGGACACTAGTGAAAATGCATATTCTGGCCAGGCGCAGTGGCTCATGCCTGTAATCCCGGCACTTCGGGAGTCCAAAGTAGGCAGATCACTTGAGCTCAGGAGACCAGCCTAGGCAACATGGGAAAACCCCATCTCTACAAAAATATACAAAAAATAATTAACCAGGTTTGGTGGTGCATGCTGGGTGTAGTCCCAGCTACTTGGGAGGCTGAGGTGGGAGAATCGTTTGAGCCTGGGGAGGTTGAGGCTGCCATGAGTCACGATCGCACCACTGCACTCCAGCCTAGGTGACAGCAAGATCCTGTCCCAAAAATAACCAAATAAAGAACTTTAAAAAATGCATATTCCTGGGCCTGCCCTTAGCAATTCAGATTCATAGGAATCTGCATTTTATCAAGAAGCCTAAGTGGTTATAATGAAAGGTGAGCACACTAAAATGCTTTGACCTTTATGCCAGCATTCTTCTCCATGGTTTAAGGACTCAGGACAGACAGCAACAATTAAAATGTTTAAGCCAGGCATAGTGGTTCATACCTGTAATCCCAGCACTTTGGAAGGATGAGGTGGGTGGATCACAAGGTCAGGAGATCGAGACCATCCTGGCCAATATGGTGAAACCCCGTCTCTACTAAAAATACAAAAATTAGCTGGGTGTGGTGGCATGAGCCTGTAGTCCCAGCTACTCGGGAGGCTGAGGCAGGAGAATCGCTTGAACCCAGGAGGTGGAGGTTGCAGTGAGCCGAGATCGCACCACTGCACTTCAGCCTGGTGACAGAGCGAGACTCCATCTCAAAAAAAAAAAAAAAAAGTTTAAAATCCTCATTTTGAGATTCGCGTCAGCCACCCTCCTTCCCCTTCCACCAACCCTTAACTGGAGCTCCCTCTCTGCTGTCCTCTGGCAGAGGCTTAAGGGGAGACAAGTGGCCAGGGAGATGGACAGAGAAAGCAAAGGTGTGGGTGATGCAGACCCGGAGTGTCTACTGTGAGCTGGTGGGAGACTGGAGACTCTTCTGTAGAAACTCTCAGAAAAAGATGATCTTGGATGCATGCTCATCAGATGAACAGTTAGTTGTGTGAGCCCAGGAGCTTCAGGATGGGGGTAGCAGCAGCAAGTCATGGGTAGTTGCGCCAAGGTTCCCACTAAGCAGAACAGCAGGGCAGTGATCACAGCGTAAAAGAGCACTGGGTCAAGTCTAGAGAGGAAGGCTAAGGGGAACATCATAGACCAGGTGGCAGTGATCAAGTCAGCTCAAGCAGGAAGGTTCAGGCCAAGGCCAAGGTCCTGGCAGGCAGGATGAGCCCCAGATCTGAAGAAATGTACACAGGAGTGCTCGTCCTCGGGCAGAGGCTGTTTGCCTGCTGCTCACCTGAATGTGCATTATGACCTTCCAGCCGTGGGCGGCAGGAGGACTCTGCGGGGACAGCTTTCTCCCAGCTGGGGCAGGACCCGGAATCCAGGCCTCCTTCCAGCTCCTTGCAGTCAATAAAGCATGTTACCTCCTTTTCTGTTCAGGCTTTCTAGAAACCGGGTGTAGGGCAGGGCCCCTGAAACTCCTCAGCCCTGAAGGGTAGACTCTTTTTTCTCCAGGAAATGGCCAGTGATGAACTGAGGGAGTTGAGGAATGCCATGACCCAGGAGGCCATCCGTGAGCACCAGATGGCCAAGACTGGCGGCACCACCACTGACCTCTTCCAGTGCAGCAAATGCAAGAAGAAGAACTGCACCTATAACCAGGTAAGGACAGTGAGGGGACGGGCCGGAGGTGCAGGAGGCCGCAGGGGCATAGAGGTGGAAAATCAGAGAGAAGCTTAGGGAAGAGCCAGAGGGGAGAAAGCGTTAAAACTCTCTAGGCTTTGCCGGGTGCGGTGGCTCATGTCTGTAATCACAGCACTTTGGGAGGCCAAGGCGAGTGGATCACCTGAGGCCAGGAGTTTGAGACCAGCCTGGCCAACACAGTGAAACCCCATCTCTACTAAAAATACAAAAATGCCGGGCGCGGTGGCTCACGCCTATAATCCCAGCACTTTGGGAGGCCAAGACGGGCGGATCACGAGGTCAGGAGATTGAGACCATCCTGGCAAACACGGTGAAACCCCGTCTCTGCTAAAAATTCAAAAAATTAGCAGGGTGTGGTGGCGGGCACCTGTAGTCCCAGCTACTCAGGAGGCTGAGGCAGGAGAATGGCGTGAACCCGGGAGGTGGAGCTTGCAGTGAACCGAGATCATGCCACTGCACTCCAGCTTGGGCGACAGAGTGAGACTCCATCTGAAAGAAAAAAAAAATTAGCCAGGCATGGTGGCACGTGCCTGTAATCCCAGCTACCCTGGAGGCTGAGGCAGGAGAATCACTGGAACCTGGGAGGTGGAGGCTGCAGTGAGCCGAGATTGCACCACTGTACTCCAGCCTGGGCGACAGAGGGAGACTCTGTCTCAAACCAAACAAACAACAAAAAGAAAACCTCTCTAGGCTGGGCCAGCTCAGTGGCTCACGCCTGTAATCCCAGCACTTTGGGAGGCCGAGGCAGGCAGATTGCTTGAGCCTAGGAGTTTGAGAGCAGCCTGGGCAACGTGGTGAAACGTCATCTCTGCTAAAAATACAAAAATTAGCCAGGCTTGGTAGTGTGTGCCTGTAGTCCCAGCTACTGGATGCGGGGGAAATGGGTGGCGATGAGGCAGGAGAATCACTGGAGCCCAGGAGGTTGAGGCTACAGTGAATTGAGGCTGCAATGAGCTATGATTGCACCACTGCACTCCAGCCTGGGTGACAGAATGAGACCCTGACTCAACAAAACAAAGAAAACCTTAAAAACTCTCCAGGCTGCAGAGAGAAGGGCAAGCCTTGGTACACTAATGTGGTGCACCTGTGGCTTCTAGACAATGTTCCTCTGAGTTTAGAATCATCCCTGCTATGTGTCTACGAGGCTTGGTCAGTGTGTTCTGGTCTGCCCTGACGTGACAATAAGAAGAATCAGACTCATGGCGGCTGAAGAGTCATAGACAGTTGGAAGGGAACTTGGCAATGTGAAACCCAGCTCCCTCATTACACACCCAGGGAAACTGAGGCCCACACAGGCCACAGATGGGCTTTTTAGCCTTGCCCAAGAAAGGAGGCCAATGTCAGAGGTAGTAATAAACAAGATCCACACCATTCTGCCTGCAATCCAGCTAACTTGGTCAATAAAGCCTAAGGGCTTTAGCTCTGAGTCCTAAAGTTGAAGACCATTGCCCTGGCATGGGGAACTTGGGAAGGCTGTGGAGGCCCCTTCTCTTAAAACCAGAGAATGGCCTCCTCTTTCTGGGTTGCACATGGTATGCCCTTAGAGCACAAATATCCTTGGATTCTAACTGGTGTCTAGTCATTCTAGAACTCTATTCAGAGTTCTCCGTCTGTTCGGCACACACCATTTATCAAGAGCACCTTGCCTGCGGCATTCTGTGGCCAGGGCAGAAATGCAGTCAGCCTTGCCATTCCGGAGGAGTCCCTTGGAGAATTCCAGTTCTGGAATCCGGAGATGTTTGTGCAAGCTTCTGCTCTCTCCCAAGCACCTTTCCGTGTGGAGTGATGCGCTTCCTGTGCCTCACTTCTTTCTAGAAGTAAACTGCCCACTAGCAAAGTTTTCTCTCTGCTCGTCACTGCTTTCCAGTGACCAGGCTGCGCTAAGCTGTGTCCGCCTGGCAGACTGCTGGGCTGCTGGGGCTCACCCAAGGAGGGTGGCGGGCATAACTCGTCCCACACCACAGATTCCCAGCTGACATCATTCGTAGCTGATTGTCAGCAAAGTAATGACTTGCTACATGTCGTGGCCAGCCAAGGACAGCCTTAGAAAACCAGAACAGGAGCTGTTAAACCTGGAAATGCCAGGGCTTTACTGTGGGATACCCGGTTCCTGCACCTGAATGATGAGGCTAAGAGGATGAGAAAATGTAACATTAAATAGTCCCAATGATATTTAGGACTTTCCCTCTCTGGGCCTCAGGTCTTCCACCAGTAAAATAAGGAAGATGAACTAGACCGCTAAGCCTGCTTGCAGCTCACTCCTGTGAACTTGTCCAGTAGGATGTGTTCAGGGGTGAGTCAGGGAATACTTCCTGTAGGAGATAAGTCTTGAGGCAAGAGAAGAGAGGTCTGTTACAAAAGATCAACAAGAGTGACCAACAAGAGTGAAAGTCCAAATTAGCCGGGCGTGGTGGCGGGCGCCTGTAATCCCAGCTATTCAGGAGGCTGAGGCAGGAGAATTGCTTGAACCCAGGAGGTGGAGGTTGCAGTGAGCCGAGATGGCACCACTGCACTCCAGTCTGGGCAACAGAGCGAGACTCCACTGTCAAAAAAAAAAAAAAAAAAAAAGCGGAAGTGCAAAAGGCCAGGTTAAGCCAGTAAGATACTGGGAGTGAGCTGATGGACTGCCTGCCAGAGGAGAGGAAAGCATAATACTAATATTATGGAGTTGTCAGTGATAAGGAAATTGCCAGCGGGGGGTGGGAATCTCAGTGCCAACCTCTGGGATTTGGACCTACTCCTAAAGACAGTGGGAGCCATGGCAGGTCCTAGAACAGGGGAGTGACTTCATGAGTGGTTCTTCTCTCTCTCAGGTGCAGACACGCAGTGCTGATGAGCCCATGACTACCTTTGTCTTATGCAATGAATGTGGCAATCGCTGGAAGGTCTGTATGTTTATGTATTTCCCCCTTCCCTGTTATCCACATACCTCGCCCGCATAAGGCGTAGTGTACCCACAACCCAGAAGGGGCCTTGTGCATGGCAGCACTTGCCAGCCTGCACAGAGTAGGTCTGCAGAGCCAGAGATAGTGGCGGATTGCTGTTGGGGAGGTGGGGAGAGAACACACATGCATGTTTTCATTTTAGAAGGGCACCAAGCTGGGGTGGGGGCAGCAGCCCACATTTTATCACAGGATGAGCAAGTCTGTCATTTGAGCACAGATGGAATCGGCTTCCTGAGATCCACAGAGGAGAGGAAAAACATTCTGCACTTGGACCACGCCTCTTTGGAAAGTGCTTCCACAGATGGTATTTCCTTTGAACCTGGCCACAGCCAAGGATGGGAAACAGGAAGGCTGAGCCCTGTCAGAAAGGAGTTGAACCTAAATGCCACCAGGCCATCCTTCCCTCCTAAGGAAGCTCTGAAAGTCTTACCCAAGTCTGTAACTCAGACTGCCCCAGCTCCTGCAAAGGCAGAAGTTTTGTTTTCACGCATGGGAGCCAAACAAAGACTCCTCCCAGAGTGCTCCTTCCTGCCAAGTCTCCTGAAGGAACAGAGTGTGGTCACGTGCCTATTGTCAGTTTCCAACTGCTCTCTGACTTGCATGTGCACCATGTGATGTCTGGGCCACCAGGCAGGCTGCAGGTGCTCCAAAAGTTCTAAGGTACTTAGCAAGAAGTACAAGATAAGTCAGGATCCCTGGTTTCAGGTCCCATTCTGCCCTACTCATGCTGAGCATGTTACTCACCTCATTGAGCAAAAGAGTAATAATAATGCCTTTCTCCCAGGTTTGATGATGTGAGGATCATTTTGATATGAGGGTTATCATGTATGCATAAACACTTTGCAAACAACTACAAGAATTGTTCCTTTATAATGTTATTCTTACTTTCAGACAAGGAAATTGAAATACAGAAATAGTTAATAAGCATAAAGCCACAGTTTGGAGCACTGAAAGCCGATGCTCCGACTTCCTGATCAATTCTTTTACTTTTTTTTTTTTTTTTTTTGAGATGGAGTCTCGCTCTGTTGCCCAGGCTGGAGTGCAGTGGTGTGATCTCTGCTCACTGCAAGCTCCACCCCCCAGGTTCACACCATTCTCCTGCCTCAGCCTCCTGAGTAGCTGGGACTAAAGGCGCCGGCCACCACACCCGGCTAATTTTTTTGTATTTTTAGTAGAGACGGGGTTTCACCGTGTTAGCCAGGATGGTCTTGATCTCCTGACCTCGTGATCCGCCCGCCTCGGCCTCCCAAAGTGCTGGGATTACAGGCGTGAGCCGCCGCGCCCGGCCTCTAATTATTTTTCTTACTAAGGACCTCAGTAGCCCTTACTGGGGCCTCATTAGAACTGCCATATTTTTTAAGGTAAAAACCAGATGATTATGTATTTTTTCCTTTTTTCACTTATTGAGCACTTAGGGATGGGGCCAGTATAGTGGCCTACTGGTTTAGAGCATGGGCTTTGGCATCAGGCTCAAATCCTAGCTTTATCCCTTACCAAGTGACTTAACTCAGTGACCTGAACTCACTAAGCCTGGATTTCCTCATCTATAAAATGAGGGTATTCATATCTAGCCCACAGAGCTGTTTTGAGGAGTAGAGAAGGTAACACACATAAAGCATTAACAGAGCCTCTGAGAGCTCATATGGCATCTTTGTCAAATTAGAAAAAGGTGTCCCTTCCTCCAGGCGGCACAGCCTCATGCCAGGGTACGGAGCAAACAGAGCAGGGGCTACGTTTCAGCCTCAGCTTGCCCCTTTGGCCAGGCTCTTTTGTGCAGTCAACAAATTATACAACCATACAAAAAAAGCCCTGAGTACAGACATGCCTGGTACATAAAACCACTATTCTTACTATTTTGGGTATGTCATCTACTAGTATTACGGGAGTTTGGGCAAGTCACTTAACCTCTCTGATCTGCTTCCTTACCTGTAAAAATAGGAGTGATAGGCCAGGCGCAGTGGCTCGTGCCTGTAATTCCAGCACTTTGGGAGGCCGGTGGATCACCTGAGGTCGGGAGTTTGAGACCAGCCTGACCAACATGGAGAAACCCCGTCTCTACTAAAAATACAAAATTAGCCAGGCGTGGTGACACATGCCTGTAATCCCAGCTACTCGGGAGGCTGAGGCAGGAGACTCGCTTGAACTCAGGAGGCGGAGATTGCGGTGAGCCAAGATCATGCCATTGCACTCCAGCCTGGGTGACAAGTGAAACTCCGTTTCAAAAAAAAAAAAAAAATTGGGAGTGATATTAGTGCCTATCTCAGAGTGATTGTAAGGGTGAAATGAGTTAATACATGTTAATACTGCCTAGCACAGAATAAATGCTCAATAAATGTAGCTCTTGTGATTTTGTTACTGTTAGAGAAAGGACATTCTGAATGCTTTAAATCCAGCTCCTCTTCCTTGACTCTTACTAGTTGGAGGGACAGGATCCACTAGAGGTAACAACTACAGACTTCTGAACACATTTTCAGTTGGTCTCCGTTGCCATGTGGGAGACCAAAAGTCTAACCAAGTGATTAGTAGCCATCCCAGTGATGTTCTTGACCATAAATTGAGAGCTCAGCACATTCCTGGCACCGAATTGCCATTCATTTATTACCTGATATCATTCTCACATTCACAAGCTTTATGAGCTCATTTTACAGGTGAGTGATTTGTTCAAGATCACACAGCTAATAATGGCAGAGCTGGGCTTTGGACTCTGGTCTGTGTGGCTCCAGACACCACCTTCTTTTTCATATTCCCCCACAGCCTCCTTGGAGGATGCCGAGAAACCTTTCAAATTTTGTTGCCTTTCTGGTTTTGTAGTTCTGCTGATGGAACAGCCAGCCATGAACAAGGTGAGGAAGAAGAAAGAGGAAGCGCTGAATTATCTGAACTGGAGAAGCAATAAAAATTAAAGTGAAGGAAAATACTGAACTCTGTCTGAGTGGGATGGTATGAGTTAGAGGAAGAATTCTCTTGCAAATTAATAATCGGTCATTAGAAACAATTGGTTAATGGGGGAGCCTAATTGGAGAATGATGCTGAGAATTTGTATTGATGAACCTCTTTTAGAAACTGCAGAGGGCTGGGCACGGTGGTTTATGGCTGTAATCTGCAAACTCTGGGAGGCTGAGGTGGGAGAATCGCTTAACCCCAGAAGTTTGAGTCCAGCCCAGGCAACACAGCAAGACCCCATCTCTATAAAAAGAAAAAATAAAGAAACTGCAGCGCCTTAGACCTGAGGTGTCATATCTTTGACAGTGGGCTGGCAGACGTTTGCTTTGAGTTCCTTCTCTCCCATCTGGATCTCCCAGCCTTTTCCAAATTGAAAAATGCCAGATCAACACAAACCTTACCCCACCCCCACCTCCGAGTCACACGTGCAGAACTGTTGATACACCATTTGGCTTCAGCAGATATTACTTCCATACTACGTATTAGGTTGCTGCAAAAGTAATTGTGGTTTTTGCAGTTACTTTTGCAGTGGCCTAATAGAAATATTTCTTCCCTACTCTTTCCTCATCTCTTCCCAAACTCTCTGCTATTCCCTGTTCACAGCTGGCTGTGGGGGCCTTTGAGGACTCCAGATCATATCCCTCTAGGCAGGGAACAGATCCTCTTGAGCTGGGCTTTCTGAGTGGGCTTTCTTGAGTGGGCTTTCTGAAGATTACAGCAGCACTCTGACTTCCATGGCCCTTTGAAAGTCCTGAGCCTCAGAACCTGCCCAGGCCCTAGCAATGTGTCCCTCACAGCTCCATCTGTGACCTGAGCTTCAGAACACATCTGCAGAGCACAGAGACCTTGCCGTGCTTCTCCCATGATAATTATTGGCTTGCTTTTTTTGTTTGTTTGTTTTGTTTTGTTTTGTTTTTTTAGAGGCTGGAATGCAGTGGTGTGATCTTGGCTCACTGCAATTTCCACCTCCCAGGTTCAAGCAATTCTCCTGCCTCAGCCTCCTAAGTAGCTGGGACTACAGGCATAAGCCACCAAACCCGGCTAATTTTTTGTATTTTTAGTAGAGACGGGTTTTCGCCCTGTTGGCCAGGCTAGTCTCAAATTCCTGGGCTCAAGTGATCCACCCTCCTCGGCCTCCCAGAGTGCTGGGATTATAGGTGTGAGCCACTGCACCTGGCCTCGGCTTGCTTTTGATGCTGACAGGAACTTTCAGCAAAGCTGGAAACTTCTAGAAAAGCCTTGGGGAAGCTGTTGGGGCAACTATAACCCAAGTTCCTCATATACCCTGGATATCATTTACTCTAGAATTGGTTACTGTCTTCTTCCTTCCATCCATAAGTGCCTTCTCCTGTAGATGAAGCCCGGAAATAAACTAGGTACAGGAGTCTTCCACCTTCTTTGACTTTTATTTATTTTTATTTATTTATTTATTTTTGAGACAGGGTCTCTCTCTGTCACCCAGACTGGAGTGCAGCGGTGCAATCTTGGCTCACCGCAACCTCTGCCTCCCAGGCTCAAGTGATCCTCCTGCCTCAGCCTCTTGAGTAGCTGGGATTACAGGCACGCACAACTACCACCTGGCTAGTTTTTGTATTTTTATTAGAGACAGGGTTTCACCATGTTGGCCAGGCTAGTCTTGAATTCCTGACCTCAAATGATCCGCCCACTTTGGCCTCCCAAAGTGCTGGGATTACAAGCATAAGCCACTGTGCCCGGCCCCATCTTTGACTTTTTTTTTTTTTTTCTGAGACAGAGTTTCACTCTTGTTGCCCAGGGTGGAGTGAAATGGCACGATTTTGGCTCACTGCAACCTCCACCTCCTGAGTTCAAGAGATTCTCCTGCCTCAGCCTCCTGAGTAGCTGGGATTACAGGTGCCCACCACCACACCCGGCTAATTTTTTTTGTATTTTTAGTAGAAATGGGGTTTCACCATGTCGGCCAGGCTGGTCTCGAACTCCTGATCTCAGGTGATCCACCCACCTTGGCCTCCCAAAATGCTGGGATTGCAGGCGTGAGCCACCGCGCCTGGCCTGTCTCTGACTTTTAAACAGTTAGATTTGGGGTGAATCCCTTTCTTGGAAAGATCGAAAATCCTCTCACAGATGATACAACACAAAGAGCTCATAAATGGCAGAGCCAGGACAGAAACCCAGGTCTTCTGCTTCCTGTCATTGTGCTATAAGAGATCCAGAGCTATACACAGCGCTCAGCCCTTACCTTCCAGGAAGTCACAGCCTGGCAGGGAAAGAAACCATAGGCACAGATTTCCACACCAGACGGGATGCGATAAATGCCACATACATCTGAGGGACCAACATTATCCACAGACGTGCAGGGGGATGTTGCTGAGAAACCCAGATGTTTCTTAAACTTTAATATAGGTGAGAATTCACTGGGCATTGTGCTGAAATGCAGATTCCAATTCAATGGGTCTGGGGTGGGCCTTGAGATTGTTCAATTCTTTCTTTCTTTTTTTCTTTTTCTTTTTTTTTTTTTTTAAGACAGGGTCTCACTCTGTTGCCCAGACTGGAGTGCAGTAATGCCATCATGGCTCACTGCAGACTTGACCTTCTAGGCTCAGGCGATCCTTCCACCTCAGCTGCTGGAGTAGCTGAGACTATAGGCATGCACCACCACGCCTGGCTAATTTTTTATTTTTTATAGAGATGGGGTCTCCCTATGTAGTCGAGGCTGGTCTCAAACTCCTGGGCTCAAGCAATCCTCCTGCCTCAGCCTCCCAAAGCGCTGGGATTATAGGCATGAGCCACCGCACCCAGCTGATTTTTCATTTCTAACCCCAATGCAGCTGGTCCACAGACCACACTTTGAGTAGGAAGGCCTTAGATGTCCAGATTTTTCTCTGTATTATGTAATCCTCCATCCAAATGTCTAGAAACCAAAAGCAGAACAAAAAGCAACCACTGTCAATTTAATAAGGCCAATAAAGGTTACTTTCGGGTGAGTTTTTTGTTTTGTTTGGTTTTGTTTTGAGACAGAGTCTTGCTCTGTCGCCCAGGCTGGCGCAATCTCGGCTCACTGCAACCTCCACCTCCCGGGTTCAAGACATTCTCCTGCCTCAGCCTCCCAAGTACTAGAACCCCAGTACTGGAACCACCACACCCGGCTAATTTTTGTGCTTTTAATAGAGATGGGGTTTCACCATGTTGGCCAGGCTGGTCTCAAACTCCTGACCTCAGGTGATCCGCCCGTCTCAGCCTCCCAAAGTGCTAGGATTACAGGTGTGAACCACCACGCCTGGCCTTGAGTGAGGTTTTTTTTTTTGAGACAGAGTCTTGCACTGTCGCCCAGGCTGGAGTACAGCGGTGTGATCTCGGCTCACTGTAACCTCCACCTCCCGGGTTCAAGCAATTCTCCTGCCTCAGCCTCCTGGGTAGTTGAGATTACAGGCACCTGCCACCACGCCTGGTTAATTTTTTTTTTTTTTTGTATTTTTGTATTTTTAGTAGAGACGGGGTTTCACCATGTTGGTCAGGCTGGTCTCGAACTCCTGACCTCATGATCCGCCCGCCTCAGCCTCCCAAAGTGCTGGGATTACAGGCGTAAGCCACTGCGTCCGGCCAACCTTGGGTGAGTTTTATAAACGCGGCACCTTGGGGCAATTTTCAGTAGTCACAATCTAAATAACTGTTGTGTTTCCTGTGTCATAGCATAGGGATTTAGAGCATAGAAAAAAAAAAAAGAAAACTAATCTTCACCCTCAATAACCTTACTGTTTACAAAGGAGATGAGTCAGATTAAACAGCAAAAGAACAAGTCAGCTCAAGTCCACACATCTATACAGTATACATCCACATTCACAAAAGGACACAAAAGAGTATGAATAGGCCACAGACTGTCATCAGCAGGCGGCAAAACCCTCACTGCGGGCCTTCCCGTGTCCACTCCGGATCCAACTGACCAGAACAGGCTTTTCCACATTGTAAAACTGATCCTTAGAATCCTCCACTCTACACCCCCATTTAAAACCTTTCCTTTTTTCCCCCCTACTGCTCTTGGCAAGGTCTACAGGGCCCTGCAGCGCGGGCCTGTACCTCGCCCCCGCACTTTGTGCTGCAATCACACTGGCCTTCTCTCAGTTCTTCACGACATGCTGTGCTCCTCCTTGTCACAGAGTCTTTCCACATGCTGTTGGCTGGAACAAGTGGTTTAACCCCATCTCCTTCATAACCAAAGATGAAGAAGGTGCGAGCTACAAGGAGTTAGCATTCACCTCTGCCACCCAGGAGGGCTTCCTAGGGGAGGGGAGGTGGTTACCATACTGGAGGAAAAAGACAAGGTCAAATGAGGTAAAACAGGCAACACGCTTGGAATGAAAGAGCTCACCAGAATGTTATGGCCAAAAGAACTTGAAAATAGGCTGGCTGCGGTGGCTCACGCCTGTAATCCCAGCACTTTAGGAGGCCAAGGTGGGCGGATCACTTGAGGTCAGGAGTTCGAGACCAGCCTGGCCAACATGGTGAAAACCCATCCCTATTAAAAATACAAAAAAAAAAAAAAAAAAATAGCTGGGCATGGTGGCACACGCCTGTAATCCCAGCTACTCTGGAGGCTGAGGCAGAAGAATCACTTGAACCCAGAAAGCAGAGGTTGCAGTGAGCCGAGATTGCCACTGCACTCCAGCCTGGACGACAAGAGTGAGACTCTACCTCAAAAAAAAAAAAAAAAAAAAAACTTGAAAATGGAAGAATGGAGGGTCGTTGAAGATCCTATGGCCAATTTGGGTGTTTTAAAAAGGTTCCAGGAACCTAAAATACTGTATAGGATGAGAAGTCTTTCTTAGTATTTTCATCCAGACTACCAAATCTCTTATTAGCCTCGTTTTTTCTTTAGCTCAAGACTTACATTGCCAAGTGCCTATTTGGATATCTCCTCGCAAGCACCCCACTGACCCTCTCAATGCTATAATACAGTTAATCTGAAATTGAACTCACATCTCTGTTTTTTAATTTAAAAATATTTTTTTGAGATAGGGTCTCATCCCGTCACCTAGGCTGGAAAGCAGTGGTGCAATCACAGTTCACCGAAGTCTTGATGTTTCAGGATCAAGTGATCCTCCCGCCTTTGCCTCCCAAGTAGCTAGAACCACAGGTGTGCACCACCACCCCCCACTAATTTTTTTTATTTGTAGAGATGAGATCTCGCTGTGTTTTCCAGGCTGGTCTTGAACTCTTGTGCTCAAGTGATCCTCCCACCTCAGCCTCCCAAAGTGCTGGGATTACAGGTGTGAGCCACCATACCCCGACATTGTTTGTTTGTTTGTTTTTTGAGAGACAGGGTCTGACTCTGTTGCCTGGGCTAGAGTGCAGTGGTGTGATCATAGCTCACTGCAGTCTTGAACTCCTAGGCTTAAGTGATCCTCCCACCTCAGCTTCCTGAGTAGCTGGGACTACAGGCACATGCCACCACATCTGGCTAATTTTTTTTTTTTTTGTCAGGCACAGTGGCTCATGCCTGTAATCCCAGCATTTTGGGAGGCCAAGGCGGGCAGATCACCTGAGATCAGAAGTTCGAGACCAGCCTGGCCAACATGTACTAAACATCTACTAAACATACAAAAATTATCCAGACGCAGTGTCGCATGCCTGTAATCCCAGCTACTCAGAAGGCTGAGGCACAAGAATCGCTTGAACCTGGGAGGTGGAGGTTGCAGTACAGCGCCACTGCACTTCAATCTGGGTGACAGAGTAAGAATCCGTCTCAAAAAAAAAATTTTTTTTGTAGAGATGGGCATGCGAGGGGGGTCTCCCTATGTTACCAAGCCTGGTCTCCAACTCCTGACTGACCTCAAGCGATCCTCCCACCTGGGCCTCCCAAAGTGTTGAGATTACAGGCGTGAGCCACTGCACCCCATGCATCTTTTCTTTCTTTGGTCCCCTCTTCTGTCTTTCCTATTTGTCAGATAATTCATTCCTTAAAACCATCTGTGACTCTTTCCCCTTGTCCTCTTCTCTTATTTCCCAATTCTATAGTCTCTCCCTTGACCAACCCTTATCTCCATTCCCATCACTGTCAACATGGCCTTTCAGGTTTCCTTTTTTCTTTTTCTTTTTTCTTTTCTTTTTTTTTTTCTTTTTTGAGATGGAGTCTCTCTCTGTCACCCAGGCTGGAGTGCAGTGGCGCGATCTCTGCTCACTGCAAGCTCTGCCTCCTGGGTTCATGCCATTATCCTGCCTCAGCCTCCTGAGTAGCTGGGACTACAGGCACCCTCCATCACGCCTGGCTAATTTTTTGTATTTTTAGTAGAGACGGGGTTTCACCGTGTTAGCCAGGATGGTCTTGATCTCCTGACCTTGTGATCCGCCTGCCTTGGCCTTCCAAAGTGCTGGGATTACAGGCATGAGCCACTGCACCCGGCCCAGGTTTTTTTTTTTTCTAGGACTGGTGCAAAGGTCTTCTACTGATCCTCCAACTCAGAGCACTATCTTCCCTGCATCTACCCTGCCTGACTCTGAGCATCATTCCTTGTCTTCAGCAGGTTCCACCAGCTATCAAAATTCAACTATTTGGTTTGATTTTCAAAGCTCTATCTGCCCTCTGCCTTTTCTGGGGGTGGCGAGGGGGCCTAGAGGCTTTTATGTCTGACTGTGCCGATGGGCCCTGTCACGCGCGTCCGTCTGAAGAGACTACCAAACAGGCTTTGTGTGAGCAACAAGTCTGTTTATTTCACCTGGGTGCAGGCGGGCTGAGTCCGAAAAGAGAGTCAGTGAAGGGAGATAGGGGTGGGGCCGTTGTATAGGATTTGGGTAGGTAATGGAAAATTACAGTCAAAGGGGGTTGTTCTCTGCAGGGGGAAGGGTGGGGGACACAAGGTGCTCAGTGGGGGAGCTTCTGAGCCAGGAGAAGGAATTTCACAAGGTAATGTCATTAGTTAAGGCAGGAACCAGCCATTTTCACTTCTTTTGTGATTCTTCAGTTACTTCAGGCCATCTGGATGTATACGTGCAGGCTTGGGCTCAGAGGCCTGACAGGCCCTTGCCCTCTGCTTGGCTTTGGTGGTTCATCGTCCACCTCTGCTGTCCCTTATGCTCCAGGCTAAAGGAGATATTTGCCCTGTGTTTGAATACCCAATGGGCCTTCCCATTTGTGAATACCTATACTGCTTCCTTCTCCTCAGCCAGATCCAAATCTTATCCATTCTTCAAGGCTCACCTCAGATGCACATCTTCTTATGAGGTCTCCGATCCCCTAGCAACATGAGATGGTTCCTCAGAACTCCCATAGCATCGTGAAATTCTCTTAGCACACATTGCATTCAACCTTCATGATGATGATTCCTTTAAAATTTCTTTGTATGACAGTGTCAGTAATATCTATTAATCATTGAGCATTTACTAGCTGGATATCTTGGGCACATTATACAACTTCTGCATGCTTCTGGTTTCATCGGTTAAACAGTGGTAATAACAGCTCCTAGCTCAAAGGGTTGTTGTGAGGATTCATTTAGTTAATACAAAGAGAGCAGCAGAATCAGGCCTGACACATAGTGACTGATTAGTAAATATTAGCTATTGTTACTATGAGTGCAGGGTAGCACATTACATTGATTGCCTCAGTGAGCCCTCTGACCTCATGAACTAGGTTACTATTATTATACTGTTTTTTAAAAATTGTAGTAAACTACACATGACATAAACCACCTTAGCAGTTTTTTAAAAATCTATTTTGAGACAGTCTCTCTCTGTTGCCCAGACTGGAGAGCAGTGGCGCGATCTCGGCTCATTACAACCTCTGCCTCGTGGGTTCAAGTGATTCTTGTGCCTTAGCCTTCTAAGCAGCTGAGATTACAGGTGCATACCACCAGACCTAGCTAACTTTCATATTTTTAGTAGAGACGGGGTTTCAACACCTTGGCCAGGCTGGTCTGGAACTCCTGGCTTCATGTGACCCACCCGCCTCAGCCCCCCAAAGTGCTCGGATTACAGGCATAAGCCACCGCGCCCAGCCCATCTTAAAAATGTTTAAGTATATAGTTCAGTAAGGTTAAGTACATTCATACTGTTGTACAACCAGTCTCTAGAACTCTTCATCTTGCAAACTGAACCTTTATACTCCTTAAATAACTCATTTCCTCCTCCCCTCAAGCCCTGGAAAGCACTATTCTACTTTCTATGAATTTGTATTATTATAGTCTTTGCAGACTGAGAAAACTAAGGTTCTGAGAGTAATTTTTTTTTTTTTTTTTTGAGACAGAATCTCACTCTGTCGTCCAGGCTGGACTGCGTGGCACAATCTTGGCTCACTGCAACCTCCGCCTCCCAGGTTCAAGCAATTCTCCTGCATCAGCCTCCTGAGTAGCTGGGATTACAGGCCCATGCCACCATACCAAGCTAATTTTTGTATTTTTAGTAGATACGGCTTTCACCATGTTGATCAGGCTTGTCTCAAACTCCTGACTTCATGATCCGCCCACCTCAGCCTCCCAAAGTGCTAGGATTACAGGCGTGAGCCAAGTCATTTGTTTTTGGAGAAAGAACCTGGATTTGAACCCAGAGCCCAGGTCATGCTCTGAGCCACTTTGCAATATGTTCACCTCACAGAACATCTGTGATGTGTTTTTCCTCCCCCCATAATAGTGATGGCCATGGTATGCCAAGGCCATCCTCTGTACCATTCTCACATTTAATCCACGCAGCAGCCCTGCAGTCGTGAGGGGTGGTGTCCTATTTCCCAGCTCAGCAGCTGCTACAGAATAGGGTTCAGTGAGTATGGGTCTGTTTGATATCTTTAAGTAGGCCAAATAATACTAAATAAGTTTGTATTGCATTTTTAATGCAATTGTCTACATTTTTAGAAAATATTGATTCTTTTTGGAGAAAACCAGCTGAAATGCATGAGGTCATAAGAGCTTCCCAATCATCTCCACTTCCCCCTCCTCTGCAGAGTCAATCTGCTGCCTCACCCCAGGCCAGTCCCTGGGCAGCCCCGCATCTTTACCTCATCATTAGCATTGCGATTCACAGCCAAAGGCAGAGACAAACAGGGAGACAGGCAAGGGGACATAGGAGACTCTCCGTGCTCTGCTTCCTCCCCCTGCTGCTCCACCCCCACACTATTCCCTCTAGCCATAACCAATCCTGACCAGCCTGGAACATGCTCTGGCCTTTCACGCCTCCGTGCCTTCGCACATGCTGTTCTTGAAGACTGGAATGCTTTCCCTCCCACCTTCTCCACCTCCAAACTCCTACAGTCTTACCAGCTCAGACGTCACCTCCTCCGTGAAGCCTCCCCCCTTCCCCGCCAGCTAGGAGTCCACCCACTCCTGGGTGCAGACGAGCTCACCCCTTATTATAGCACTTGGACTGCAATGACTGTTTGCAAGTCAGTGTGTCCCCCACGTCCCCAACTCCTTGTGCAGTGATGAGCCTTTATCACCCCTCCTAGCAGGGCTCACGAGAAGCCCAGGTCATTTTGATTTTTTGAGGTGCCCCATCTGTTTGAAAATGAAGAGATGACAAAACAGGATTACACACATCAAGGCATGTTTTAAAATGTTTAACAAATTAATGTTTCTGATACAAAAAACTATGACAATTGTGCTGCTCACAAGATAATTATAAAATTTATTAAAAGGTAGGAACTTACAGTGCTCCACAGGCACAGTGGCCTGGTAATAGAGTACAGGTTTAAGGATATACAAGGAGGGTCTTTGATCCCATCAGCCAGTGGAGCCGACATAATGTATAACCTTCTTTAGAGATAATGTTGAAAGCCTAAATTGGAGACCCTGGCCAAACGGCTCTTCTGGCCTCTTTCCCAGTGATGACAGGCTGTCCTGCTGCTTCTACACACAGTAGGTACTCATTGTTTGCTGAATCATGGGAACAAATACAGCTTTCCAAGTTGGTTACTGAAAATCCACATACAGTAAGTATTCCCAAGAAACACTGCAGTCCAGAACAATGGGGCAGGAAGCCACCTCCTCCTCCAGTGACCCCAACCCTGAGTCCAGCTGAAGGCTGCAACAGGAAGCCCCTCAGCCACTGTCCTTCCACTCCCTCTTCCCCACTCCCCCCAGGGGCTCCAGATGCAGTCATGCTTTCCATCCGCTCCCAGCCTCTCTTCTCTTTCCAACCTCTAGAGGGTCCCAGGTGAAGAAAAAAAAAGCACTTACAGAAGGAGGCAGGCAGCCAAGCTGAGCCCGGGGAGTCGTCCTGGGCGCCACCCCGCCCCCGCCCCGCAGGCCTGAGGAATAAAAGAAACAGCAAGAAGACAAAGAAGGGCTTAAAGCACTGGGGCAAAGGGGTGGGGGGAAGGCCTAAGAAAGTTTACAAAGCAATCTGTCAGAGAAGGGATGAAAAGGGACCCCCGCTGGGCTGAGGGGCTCAAGCCCTCAGCTCACCTTAGGCCCAGTTAGAAACCTGCAATTACTTCAGCTAGTCAGAAAGGCTCCCCTCCTCCTTGCTCCAAGGAGCGTGGTTATTAACCTCTGACCCAGAAGTTTCCCTGAGCGTGAAGCCTCAACTTGCTGGGGTTTTGGCAACCCCAAGTACCTATGCTCTACTAGGCTCAACACACCGCTCACTGGAACCCACCAAACTGGCCTAACCTCTGTTGCGTCTGAATTTCTGGAAGAAACACGATGTGAGGATAAAGTCACCCACAGTTCCTCACAGCTATTGAGCCACTTTGATTTCCCAGATTTTCTGAGCTATCCAATATACCCACAAGCATTTCTGGAAGTTTCCCTTACCACCAAAGCCAGGGTTAATAAAAAGTAACGGCTATCATCCAAGAGCGCACTCTCTGGAACGCTTTAATCATCTCACTCACGCCTCACAACATCCTTAGGTATGATGACCCTCATTTTAGAGAAAAGGAAATGGGCCTGGATTCAATGACTTTCCAAAGGATACACAGCCTGGATTCCAAACCAGGCTTGTCTGACCTTGAGGCCCACGCTCTTTCCACTGGGGATACTGCCTCTAGGGGACCCTCCAGGATTCCATTTTATATGGTGCTCAGATCAATTTTATTTTTATAGCCAAATTTAGCAGTGGGGGGTTGTATACTAACTTTAGAGTTATTAATGTTATTAAGTTCTGGTAACCCACTACCATCGGACCAGCCTCGGATCGACTTTAGATGAGGTAGGATGGTATAATTCTGTGACATCTTAAGAATTCTTAGCCCCACAGTTGCGGGTGGAAAGAGAAGGAATGGGAAAGTCTGCATTATGGCTGGGGTGGGTCCTTCTGTTCTTTTTAGACACTTCAGTAATTTAATCATAAATAACCGGGCACTGGGAACAGGACACTCACTAATAAAAGCAAGGCCTGGAGTTATGTTTGAAAAAAATTTTCAAGTTCCTCAGTGGGTGGATCTATCTGCAAAACAAAAGAAAGGCCCCTTTCCCAGCCCAGGCAGAGAAGTCTCCTGTACAGTTAGAGACAACAGGCTTCCGGGCACGTAGCCAAGGTTCTGGGGATATTTATAACTTGAAGAGGGTGGGAGTCCCTAATAAGCTGCTATATTCTTTTTCCATCACTTCCCTCTCCAAGGCTACAGCGAGCTGGGAGCTCTTCCCCACGCAGAATGCCTGCTTTCCCCAGTGCTCGACTTCCATTGTCTAATTCCCTCATCCTGGCTGGGGAAAGGGAGAGCTGCGAGTCCTCCCGTTCCGAGGAACTCCAGCTGAATGCAGCTTAGTTGCTGGTGGTTTCTCGGCCAGCCTCTGTGGTCTCAGGGATCTGCCTATGAGCCTGTGGTTTCTGAGCTGCCTGCGAGTCTGAGGCCTCGGGAATCTGAGTCTTTAGGATCAGCCTACGATATCTGGGCTTCGCCTGCAAGTCTACGAATTCGAGATCTACCTGCGGGTCTGAGACCTCCGGGACCTGCCCGTGCTCTCTAGAATCTTCCTGAACGCCAGGTCTGAGAGAACGCTGCGGCTCTGGAACCCGTTCGCGGTCTCTCAGGTTTTGGAGACGACGATCTAGTGGATCTTTTGCGGGACAGGAGGTAAGTCTGTTCGTCCCCCACTCGGGTTTTCGGCTTCCTACCTTCAACCGGACAGGGACTGCTAACATCCTGAAGGCCCGCCCGGATCAGGGCCTCAGACGCCCAGGGTCCCTTCGGTGCGGGAGGCCGCTGGGAGCCCCTGTAGCAGACAAGCCCTCTGGGACGCTAAGGAGGGCCCGCCCCCCCCGCAGGGGCCTGGCTATCTCCTCCTTACACGCCCTACACCGCCACCCGCTTCTGAGTCCCCCAGGGTTTTCGCCTCCCCGCCGCTGGACGCCACTCAGCCCGCCGCTCGAGGGGCGCCCCCTTGAGAAGGACGCAGTCGCACGCCCCTACAGGGTTAAAGCGCCGAAGCCAAGACACCGCCAGGCTCTACTGCCGACCGCACTCCCGAGTCGCCCCGGCGCGGGGCGGCGCGGGGCCTCTCGGGAGTTGTATTGCGTACAGAGCCGCGCCGCCGCAGGCGCTGTTGGGAGATGTAGTGCGTGGGCGGGGCTCAAAGTTCCAGCGCGGCCTCCGAGTCTCCCCTGGGGAGTGGGCGGCTGCCGCTTCCCTCTCCAGCCTGTGCTGTCAAGCAGGGGCTCATTCTAGCTCAGCTCAACACAGGCCAGCGCCTAAATTGGCCTGACTTCGCAGATAATAAGGCCCGACTCAAGAGAAGCTTCTAGGGACGTGAGGCGAAGCAGGGCAGCCTCTAGCTTAATCGTGCTGCAGTCTCCATAAGAAAAAAGCGAGAATACTCCGCCCTGACTGGGAGGACGCGCTTACTTTTTCACCCTTTTGTTCTTTTCCCTCCTTGGCTTTTGGCCTCTGGCTAGCTTTTGTACGCGGGAGTGGAACTCCAACTCCCGGCAGGCCATGGGGGCAGGCACAGGCGCACTAGAGGCTCTTGGCCAGGCTGTGGGAGGCGGGCATAGTGTTCCGCCTCTGATTGGCAGAGTGGTTCACGAACTTCGCTCGCTGATTGGCTGAGGCAGCTGCCGGAAAGGACCCGGCCTCGAGATGGCAGAGCGGAGGCGTTCCCTGGGCTGAGCTGAGCACCTCCTCCCTGAGACAGCAGCGGTCTAACCCCCGGCGCGGGAGGGACCCAGCCAGGGGGCTGTCCTAGTAGATTCCGGCATTGCCTCCACCCCGCTGTGGCGGAGACGCAGAGGGCGGGTCGCGCTCGAGGGTCAGGGAGGAGAGTGACCCGGCCCTGGTCCAGGGCCCTCCCTGCCCGCCTTGGGGCCAGAACTCCAGCCCTGGGGAGTGGGCAGGGCCTGTTTTCCGTGCCTCACGCCCTGCTTTTCGCCTCCTTCAGCGCTGTCTGCTAGCTGCTTTTCCTGCTCTCTCTCCCTGGAGGCGAACCCTTGTGCTCGAGATGGCAGCCACCCTGCTCATGGCTGGGTCCCAGGTAAGCCGGAGGTGGCTTCTCAGACCTTGTCTCTGCTTACCCACCTCGTCCGGCGTTTCTCTGCTCTGCAAGTCCCTGTGGGAAATTCCCTGGGATTAGTAATTCGCTGGCTTCGATATTCTGCCTCCAGGGGCCTAGTACCAGGCCAGTATAGTCACAAACAAACATATATCGAACACCTGCTGTATGCCTTTAAATACTGGGGAGATAAAAGATGGACGAGATGGGCGCTACCTTCTAGCTCACAGCTCACAGTTCACAATCTGTAGGGAGAAAGGCGCATCCACTTAAGCGTGGCACAACGTAGTAAGTGCTCTACTTGCTGTAGGAACAAAGTGCTGTAGTGTGGGAATCACTCCCAAGAAGTCGGCGTGATTAAGTCTATCTGGGGCATCCAAGGGGAGTGGAGCCGTGCAGAGGGGTAGGGGGCATTGAAGAACAGTTAGTACTGCAGCGGGACCTTAAAGAGTAGTAGAATTTCTCTAGTGTGAGAAGAATATTCCAGGAAAAGAGGAACATTATGAGTAAAGGTATGGAGCGATGCAAGTGCCAGATATGTCCTGAGAAAGTCACAGCCAGAGGATAAAGTTCCTGAGTGGGGCAGGGATAGCTGGCCATGGGACCAGAGCAATCAGCTCATAAATTGCTGCCTTCTTTACCACATCTCTTTTTTGCTTGTTTATTTCTTATTTGGACTCTATAGGTCACATTTAATATATTTTTCCTCCTGAATATTTCTAATCATGTTTCTAATTTCAAGAAGTCCTAAATACAGAATAGTAGGGAAGTATCGTGTGATTTCAGGCACCTGTGACGTTTGAAGATATGGCCATGTATCTCACCCGGGAAGAATGGAGACCTCTGGACGCTGCACAGAGGGACCTTTACCGGGATGTTATGCAGGAGAATTATGGAAATGTTGTCTCACTAGGTAAGTAAGGATTCTACCTTTCTTTGCCTCCACGTTTTTGAGATCGTGTCAAAATGACTTAGTTCTTTCAACACAGCCTAGTGGTTTGATTTTTTAAAGCACTTAATTGGATATTGGCTTGACTTGAGTCCTCAGGCAGATCTTTGAATATGGGAACATCCAGGTCATATTGTCTAAAAAGAAAAAAACTGCTTCTGCACGTCTTAGACGTTCAGATTTCTTGTGCCCTGAGTCATTTTCCAATCTCCAGCCTGTTTGTACAGATCACTGACCAAACAGGTCTGGCATAATAGTGCTTGCCAGAATATAAATGCCCCGTAACTAGTGCTTTTACTCTAGGGTGCTAAAAGATGAGGGGATTCTAACCCAGGTTCATGGGAGGGCGAAAGCCACCTTTTTGTGTTTGTTTTGGCTTCAGAGCCCTAGCTTTGCCTCAAGTTCCTTAGCTGAGTAGATTCTCATCTAGAGATGTTTCAGTGTTGATGATGATAGATTTGTAGTGTGTCAAATGCTGTTCCAGAAGAATGCTGAAATAGATCACAAATTCTATTAGAGAGGGCAGCTGATTTTTTTTTCATGGTCTGCAAGCCTGTCTTCTCTCTTTGCTGTACTTTGGTCTGGGTGTAACTAGAATAAAGAGTATATTCTTGAGCTGAACGGTCTTTTGACTCACTTTGCCTCACTTTGCCTCCTGTCAAGACTTGACAGACATTAGCAAGCGTGTATGGGTCACTAGGTCATTTGCCATTCATTAGGATTAATCCTGTTTTTGAAATCTTTATTCCCATAGCCTTTTTCAGAACAAAAGGCAACTCTGAGGGCTTTCCTTTTTAACTTGAGCTTTCTCTGATGTCCCTAGTTTCTTGAATCCTTTCTTTATAAAAGTAACCATAAATAGTTATCTATCCAGATCTATTGCAGTCTGTAACCCAAATATTCCACTGAATCCAACAAAAGCAAAAAATGACAATCTTTAAAAAATGTGAATTTACAATTCTACAGTTTAGCCCCAAAAGCACTTGTTAGAAGGATGAAAGCGCCAAAAAACTGGTTTCTTGCCCAAATAAGTTTGGGAATGGGAATGGGTTTAAAAATGATTACAAGGCTTTTTTTTTTTTTTTTTTGAGACAGGATCTTGTTCTGTTGCCCAGGCTGGAGTGCAGTGGCACGATCACAACTCATTGCAGCCTTGACTTCCCAGGCCCAGGTCATCCTCCCATCTCAGCTTCCTGAGTAGCTGGGATCACAGATGCGTACCACCTTGCCCGGCTAATTCTTTTTATTTTTTAAAAAATTTTAAATTAATTAATTAATTAATTAATTTTTTTGAAACAGAGTCTCAGTCTGTTGCCCAGACTGGAGTGCAGTGGCCCAATCTTGGCTCACTGCAACCTCTGCCTCCTGAGTTCAAGCAATTCTCCTGCCTCAGCCTCCCGACTAGCTGTGATTACAGGTGCATGCCACCACGCTCAGCTAATTTTTGTATTTTTAGTGGAGACGGGGTTTCACCATGTTGGTCAGGCTGGTCTTGAACTCCTGACCTCAAGTGATCCGCCCACCTCGGCCTCCCAAAGTGCTAGGAATACAGGTGTCAGGCACCATGCTCAGCTTCTTTTTATTTTTTTATTATTTATTTATTTTTTTGTGAGATGGAGTCTTGCTCTGTTGCCCAGGCTGGAGTGCAGTGGCGCGATCTCAGCTCACTGCAAGCTCTGCCTCCCAGGTTCACGCCATTCTCCTGCCTTAGCCTCCTGAGTAGCTGGGACTACAGGTGCCCGCCACCACACTCGGCTAGTTTTTGCGTTTTTTTTTTTTAGAGATGGGGTTTCACCGTGTTAGCCAGGATGGTCTCGATCTCCTGACCTCGTGATCTGCCCACCTCGGCCTCCCAAAGTGCTGGGATTATAGACGTGAGCCACCGCGCCCGGCCTGCCTCTTTTTATTTTTAATAGAAGTGAGACCTCCCTATGTTGCACAGGCTGGTCTCAAACTCCTAGGCTCAAGTGATCCTCCTGCATCAGCCTCCCAAAGTGCTGGGATTAGAGGCCTGAGCTACTGCATCTGGCCTTATAAGGCCTTTTTACCTCAGGATTCCTTAGAACCTTTAATGTGTTATTAGGCATTGTGAATTTTGAAGGAAATGATATTGTATGTACCATTTACCAACCCAGTTTATCCATGAACCCTTTTCTCCCAAAATACATACTTTCTTTCTGAAGAGTGTACTAAGAAACCCAATTTGGAGAATGCAGTGTCTGGTATAAAACTCCTTGTAGACAGTGGTTGTGTATTTTGATTTTCATTTGAAGACTGCATGTGAAATATACTTAGACAATGCCAAGAATGTTCTCAGCCAGACATCTTTTTTGCCTTCTTCAACTTTCCCACTCCTATTTTCATTAAAAGGTCACTGAAAAGTAGGAAGTGACATTTGTCAGTCACTTTTCTGTCAACTATGACATAGGTAAAGATTCATTTTTCTCCATATTAACATAGTTGGTTCTGGCCAGGCACGGTGGCTCACGCCTGTAATCCTAGCAGTTTGGGAGGCTGAGGCGGGCAGATCACCTGAGATCAGGAGTTCAAGACCCGCCTGGCCAACATGGTAAAACCTGTCTCTACTAAAAATACAAGAAAATAGCTGGATGTGGTGGCGGGCACCTGTAATCCCAGCTACTCGGAAAGATGAGGCAGGAGAATCGCTTGAACCCAGGAGGCAGAGGTTACAGTGAGCGGAGATTGCGCCATTGCACTCCGGCCTGGGCAACAAGAGTGAAATTCCATCTCAAAAAACAAAACAAAACAAACAAACAAACAAAAACATAGTGGCTTCTTAGTAAATATTTTATGATGCTACTAATGATGAAGGCTTGGCAAGTTAAAAAATACATACTCACAAAATACCTAGAATCTTGCCTTTTAGATATTCTAATTTAGAGTCTCATATTTTCTGCTTCCAGTGTTCTTTCAAAACACGAATATATATAGTTTTTTTTTTAAGAGACAGGGTCTCGTTCTGTCACCCATATTGGTGTGCGGTGGCACAATCACAGCTTATTGCAGCCTTGAACTCCTGGGCTCAAGTGATCCTCTTACCTCAGCCTCCTGAGTAGCTGGGACTACAGTTGCATGCCACCACATCCACCTAATTTTTTAAATTTTTTTGTAGAGATGGGTTCTCCCTATATTGCCCAGGCTGGTCTTGAACTCCTGGCCTTAAGTGTTCCTCCTGACTTGGCCTCCTAAAGTGTTAGGATTACATGCGTGAGCCACGGCACCTGGCCTGTATAGTTTTCTTAATGAATCATTAATTACAGCGATACAGAATGTGAATTTTGACAGACCTGAGTTTGAATACTGGCTCTACCATTTACTATGGCCTTGAGCAAGTCAATTCACTTGTCTGGGTCTTGGATTTCTCATTAATGAAGTAGAAATAATCACAATTCCTGACTCTCAGAATAGCTGTGATAAAGAATATATGTGACGAAGAATATAAATAATTTAGGCTGGCCACAGTGGCTCAGAAGTTCAATACCAGCCTGACCAATATAGTGAAACCCTGTGTCTACTAAAAATAAAAAAATTAGCCGGGCATGGTGGCGTGCACCTGTAGTCCCAGCTACTCAGGAGGCTGAGACAGGAGAATTGCTTGAACCCAGGAGGCAGAGGTTGCAGTGAGCCAAGATCACACCACTGCACTCCAGCCAAGGCAACACAGTGAGACTCTGTCTAAAAAAAAAAAAAATTTAGTATAGTGCCTGGCACACAATAGGTAATTTTTGTACTTACTAGTCTTATTGTTTACTTTTTATTACAGATTTTGAGATCAGGAGTGAGAACGAGGTAAATCCCAAGCAAGAGATTAGTGAAGATGTACAATTTGGGACTACATCTGAAAGACCTGCTGAGAATGCTGAGGAAAATCCTGAAAGTGAAGAGGGCTTTGAAAGCGGAGATAGGTCAGAAAGACAATGGGGAGATTTAACAGCAGAAGAGTGGGTAAGCTATCCTCTCCAACCAGTCACTGATCTACTTGTCCACAAAGAAGTCCACACAGGCATCCGCTATCATATATGTTCTCATTGTGGAAAGGCCTTCAGTCAGATCTCAGACCTTAATCGACATCAGAAGACCCACACTGGAGACAGACCCTATAAATGTTATGAATGTGGAAAAGGCTTCAGTCGCAGCTCACACCTTATTCAGCATCAAAGAACACATACTGGGGAGAGGCCTTATGACTGTAACGAGTGTGGGAAAAGTTTTGGAAGAAGTTCTCACCTGATTCAGCATCAGACAATCCACACTGGAGAGAAGCCTCACAAATGTAATGAGTGTGGAAAAAGTTTCTGCCGTCTCTCTCACCTAATCCAACACCAAAGGACCCACAGTGGTGAGAAACCCTATGAGTGTGAGGAGTGTGGGAAAAGCTTCAGCCGGAGCTCTCACCTAGCTCAGCACCAGAGGACCCACACGGGTGAGAAACCTTATGAATGTAACGAATGTGGCCGAGGCTTCAGTGAGAGATCTGATCTCATCAAACACTATCGAGTCCACACAGGGGAGAGGCCCTACAAGTGTGATGAGTGTGGGAAGAATTTCAGTCAGAACTCCGACCTTGTGCGTCATCGCAGAGCCCACACGGGAGAGAAGCCATACCACTGTAACGAATGTGGGGAAAATTTCAGCCGCATCTCACACTTGGTTCAGCACCAGAGAACTCACACTGGAGAGAAGCCATATGAATGCAATGCTTGTGGGAAAAGCTTCAGCCGGAGCTCTCATCTCATCACACACCAGAAAATTCACACTGGAGAGAAGCCTTATGAGTGTAATGAGTGTTGGCGAAGCTTTGGTGAAAGGTCAGATCTAATTAAACATCAGAGAACCCACACAGGGGAGAAGCCCTACGAGTGTGTGCAGTGTGGGAAAGGTTTCACCCAGAGCTCCAACCTCATCACACATCAAAGAGTTCACACGGGAGAGAAACCTTATGAATGTACCGAATGTGAGAAGAGTTTCAGCAGGAGCTCAGCTCTTATTAAACATAAGAGAGTTCATACGGACTAAGCTGTAATTATGATGGCTGAGAAATGATTCATTTGAAGATACAATTTTATTTGATATCAATGAACGCCCTCAAGACTGAGCTGCTTTTATCATACTCTCCTAGTTGTGGGCCACGATTTAAACCATCAGAGATGACAAGCCATTTGAAATTCTGACCCTCAGCTTTGGGAATGTTATCTCCTCCAAAATGGTGATTTTTATTCACTCAATGGGTTACTTCATTAAAAGCAGCCCCACAAGTAACTGGAAATCTGAAGACCAGGGGACAAATGCTGGTGAATGCTTAGGCCTGGAAATGGAGTAAATCTTTCAATGTTATTTTCTCCCATCCTTGGCCCAAGGAACTATGCTAAGTGAAACGTGGGACTGTAATAGGGTGGTAATGGCTGCTTTGGAAAAAGGCAACTAGAGACTCTGCCTAAATTGCCACACCTATTCACACACCATAGTAGTTGGGCACACACATCTTCCCTTCCAAAGGGCTTTTTCCTTGAGTTGCTCATGCATTTGTATCTTTTCCATCTTCCTGAGGGCAAGATTTTGCACGATGAAGGCAATGATTGTAACTTTTCTCCTTCTCATTGTTTCTAATTAGCTCCTTTAAAGCTTGCATCTTTGTGAAGGCTAACTGAAGATACGGTTGGAAAGGAAAAATGAGACACAGGTTTGGGGACCAAGGACCCATCAATGATGGTGACTTTAGCAGAAGATGCCCACAGTTATTACTGCCATTAATCAGATTTATGAATTTTCTTTGGGGATCACTATAGGGAATATTGTATAGAAAATATCTTCAAGAAAAGATAGGACCATCAGTGACAGTTAAGTGTAAGGAGCAAGTGGAATTGAGTCCTTCAGGGAAGGAACCACAGAGTCCCTTCCCAAGGAATGTAGGTCGTTTCTGTGTTCTTTCCCTTCTAATCTTTAAGATCAACTCTTCCTATCCTGCTAACTCTAAGATTTGATAAGGGCCACATCCCAGTGTTTATCTTAGCTTGCATCAGGGCATGTGTATGTACAGTAATGTGTATTCCTGTGGTTTTTCTAATAGAAACTGAATTTACAGAGACTTAGCATGTTCTTGGGTGATGTGAGTCATGTGACAGAAGTACAGACATAACTCCAATGTGAGAAATGTCCTTTTTTCATTATGGAAAATAATTTAAACACTAGTGCTTTAGTGTGCACTCTCCTGTAAGGTCTGTCTTTGTACAGAGCTAAGCACTTGTTTGTATGTGTTTGTCAATTGTGGAAGATAATGACCAGACAAATAGGTCGATTGTCCTATTCTCAGAATGAATTATCTTCTATGGTAATGAAGAACTCTTTGGCTTAGTCAGAAGGAATTAACGAACCTCGGTAGGAATGTATTTCCATCCTCCCACCCTACAGATATAAGAGGTTAAAATAACAGTTCGCCCAATTTAAGCCCAGTAGTGTCAGTTTTCCTAATCTCAGTCCAGGTAGGAATTAAGAAATATCTCAAGTGTTGATGCTATCCAAGCATGTTGGGGTGGAAGGGAATTGGTGCCCAGAAAATGGGACTGGAGTGAGGAATATCTTTTCTTTTGAGAGTACCCCCAGTTTATTTCTACTGTGCTTTATTGCTACTGTTCTTTATTGTGAATGTTGTAACATTTTAAAAATGTTTTGCCATAGCTTTTTAGGACTTGGTGTTAAAGGAGCCAGTGGTCTCTCTGGGTGGGTACTATAATGAGTTATTGTGACCCACAGCTGTGTGGGACCACATCACTTGTTAATAACACAACCTTTAAAGTAACCCATCTTCCAGGGGGGTTCCTTCATGTTGCCACTCCTTTTTAAGGACAAACTCAGGCAAGGAGCATGTTTTTTTGTTATTTACAAAATCTAGCAGACTGTGGGTATCCATATTTTAATTGTCGGGTGACACATGTTCTTGGTAACTAAACTCAAATATGTCTTTTCTCATATATGTTGCTGATGGTTTTAATAAATGTCAAAGTTCTCCTGTTGCTTCTGTGAGCCACTATGGGTATCAGCTTGGGAGTGGCCATAGATGACCGCATTTCCATGACCTAACTGTATTTCACCCCCTTTTCCTTCCCTACTGTTCTTGCCCCACCCCAACCAGTTCCTGCTGCTGCTTTTGGCTTCTTGGAGGTGAAGGGCTTAAAACAAGGCTTCTAAGCACCCAGCTATCTCCATACATGAACAATCTAGCTGGGAAACTTAAGGGACAAGGGCCACACCAGCTGTCTCCTCTTTCTGCCAATTGTTGCCCGTTTGCTGTGTTGAACTTTGTATAGAACTCATGCATCAGACTCCCTTCACTAATGCTTTTTGCATGCCTTCTGCTCCCAAGTCCCTGGCTGCCTCTGCACATCCCGTGAACACTTTGTGCCTGTTTTCTATGGTTGTGGAGAATTAATGAACAAATCAATATGTAGAACAGTTTTCCTTATGGTATTGGTCACAGTTATCCTAGTGTTTGTATTATTCTAACAATATTCTATAATTAAAAATATAATTTTTAAAGTCAGCAAACCTGAGAATTATTTTAGTAACCCAGCACTGATTCATTTAATGGCTTTTCATCAGAGTCATTAAAATTGGGCATGATTGTCTTTACACTGATGCATTCCGTACAGATGTACAGATATATTACACAGATGTTCTGTAGGAATTTGGGAGTACAGTATCTTGAGCCCTTTGGTTATTGCCATATCTTGGGAAGATGAAAAAACCTGAGTAGTTTTCTACGAAGGTTATGCTGGTGACAGAAGCCACATAGGAATATTTGGTATGGGTGACTCATTAGCTTTGGGGAAGGAAAAAAAATCCAAAAAGAAAAATGAGAGAAGGCCTTGTTGCTTTAAGGAGATATTTTGGAGTATTCATTAAGAATACTAAGTCTGGGTGCGGTGGCTCACGCCTGTAATCCCAGCACTTTGGGAGGCTGATGCGGGTGGATCACCTAAGGTCTGTATTTCGAGACCAGTGTGGCCAATATAGTGAAACCCCATCTCCAGTAAAAATACAAAAATTAGCTGGGCGTGGTGGCATGCGCCTGTAATCCCCATTACTCGGGAGGCTGAGGCAGGAGAGTAGCTTGAACCTGGGAGGCAGAGGTTGCAGTGAGCCGAGATCACACCACTGTACTCCAGCCTAGGCAGCAGAGCGAGACTCTATCTCAAAAGAACAAAACAAAACAAAAATACAACTAAAACAGTTTCTACCACACTAGGATTGGGTTCCTAGAACAGATACTTCTTAGAAGCAAAGGTTCTCTATTCGTAACAGTTGTACAGTCTGCCTAAGGCTGTAATTAGGTATTACCAGGGTGTGGCCACAATTTTCAAATTACTTACAAGTAATTTTCTCTCAAATCTTTTTTTAAATGGACAGCCAGCCTTGGCAAAGGTAGGGATGGAAGTGTTTTACATTGGGGGAGAATATAAATATCAAAGAAATGTTTTTAATTTTGTAGCCAAGACTTGCAATAGGAGAAACTTTATCAAAAAAAAAACACAACACTTTTTTTTTTTTTTTTTTTTGGGACAGAGTTTTGCTCTGTCACCCAGGCTGGAATGCAGTGACATGATCACAGCTCATTGCAGCCTGGACCTCCCCAGGCCCAAGTGATCCTCCCCACCTCAGCCTCCTGAGTAGCTGGGACCACAGGTGTGTGCCACTACACCTAGCTAATTCTTTTTATTATTTTTTTAGAGATGGGGTCTCCATATTTCGCCGAGGCTGGTCTCAAACTCTGCAGCTCAAGTGCTCCGAGTCAGCCTCCTAAAATGATGGCTTGCAGGTGTGAGCCACCAGGCCTGGCCCCAGAATATTATTTAGGCTACTCTAGGCCACTCTGCCTGTGGGTGAACCCTACTCTATCTATAGAGCAGCCAAAAGTATATATACATGTAAACTCTTAGCCGGGCGTGGTAGCAAGCGCCTGTAGTCCCAACTACTTGGGAGGCTGAGGCTGAGTTCGAGGCTGCAGAGCAAGACCTCATACCTTAAAAACAAAAGCAAAAAACAAACAAAAAACTCTTCTTACTGCATGTTGAGCATTTTTCATTGCTGGGAAGGAAAGTTAAGGGAAGATGCTAATTCACCTGGAGAAGTGTAGCTCAAGAGCCTCCCTCTAAGACTATTTGATATGTTAGTATCTTGACATTGTTATTATTATTGAGCAAATTTCCTTCTGTGTGAACTGTTCTCTAAGACCCTAGAGGTAGGTTAGGACTGTGTTTCCAGGCCGTTAGGATATCACTGAGTGCACTGAAATGATAATTTGTTAAGTGGTTCCCTGGTGTTTTAGAAGTTAGTGTAGCTCCCAAAGGAGTTCCCAAGCCCTGGGAGAAACTGACTCTTTGGAAGCAGTTGTTAGATACCCACCTCTGCAGTAGAGTAGCAGATGTAGGCCCTGCTTATCAATAGGAGACTTCAAGAACTGAAAGACTGTTAAGATCGTTAGTGAAAAACAGCTGAATTAATGGGAGACAATTACCCTGTAATGACCTAAAATGGGTCCGTGGGAAATCCCATTGCATGATCTGTTTTTCTAAATGCTTCATTCCCAAAGTTTATATCATTTTCAGCTTCTCTAAAAGTGGTTTTGTTTTATTTTTTCCTTTTGGGAAAGATTGAGGCTGATGACACCAAAATCTGGCAGAGTTTCACACCAGCCCCTGCAGCTGCTTTCTGGACAGCTCTGCTTGGAAATTATCCATCAAAGCATGAACAAAATAACAAAACTAAGTTAAAAAATTATAATAGGAAATTACCCAGACATCTTGAAATCAAACCCTGAACTCAACTTGCCACATTTTCCCCTACTCCCTGCCTGCTTCTCCTGTTCCTAACTCAGTCATTGCCCACTTATCCAAGCTAGAAACTTGCACATCATACTTAACTCCCGTTCCTTTAGCCACCCTCCCCAAATCAGTAACAAATACTGTGTAACTATGTATCCAGTCATGCCCATACCACCTCCTAAATAGTTCTCAGATCCTTCTGCCTGGTTCTCTCTACTGCCACCACTTACCATGTGACTTTGGGCAATTATTTAGCTTTTCTGTTCCTTGGATTCCCCATCCGCAAATGGGAGTAATTATGTCTACCTCATAGAGTTGCAAAGATTAAATGAGATCACGGGGCTCAAATTATTAGCAGCAATTATTCAGACCATCACTGGGCCATATCTCGCTTACTGAAACGACCTCCTAATGAGTCTCCTCTTTTCTATTTTGATTCCCGTCAGTCTTTTCTCCCTTTCTGCTAGAACAATCTTTCTGAAAGGCAAATCCTTTCATGCCGCTCTTCTGTGTAAAGCCCTGTCATGCTTCCCATTGCCAGCAGCAAACAGTGAACCTCCTTTGGTGTGATTTCTGAGGAGGTCATTCATGATCTGGCCTCTGCCGCTCTCCCCAGCTCTGGTTCCCTCCTCTTTTCCTGCACTTGCTCTTTCCTGCACACTCCAAGCTGCATCTCTCTCTCCACTCTTCTGGCCAACTCCTACTCAGCCTTCAGGTCAAATACCTGACTTGCTCTAGGAAACCTTTCCCAATCCCATAAGACTGGATCAGGTGTTCCTTTTCTGTTTTTCCTGGGTTTATCCCAATCAAAGCACTTTATCCCTGTTTTGTAATTGCCTGCTTACTTTTTTGTCTCCTCCATTAAACTTTGATATCTTTGAAGAAGTCACTGTCTTGCTCACCATTGTGTCTTCAACCCCCAGCAAATGTTTGGCGTAGAATAAGCAGGCAACAATAAAATAAGGAGAATATACATAAACTTTATTCCCTTCATATTTCTGATTGTCACCACACCAAGCTACTCTTTTTTGGTAGGCAGAGTCTCACTCTGTCACCCAGGGTGGAGTGCAGTGGTGTGATCTCGGCTCACTGCAACTTCCACCTCCCAGGTTCAAGCTGATTCTTGTGCCTCAGCCTCCCGAGTAACTGGGATTACAGGTGCCTGCTGTCACGCCCAGCTGTTTCAGTATTTTTAGTAGAGACGGGGTTTCGCCATGTTGGCCAGGCTGCTCTCGAACTCCTGGCCTCAAGTGATCAGCTCACCTCGGCCTCCCAAAGTGCTGGGATTACAGGCTGTGAGCCACTGCGCCCGGCCGGTACTCATTAAAAGAACTGTAGAAATTCTGTCATTAGTGCATCTGATGAGGCCTTCTGGAAAGAGGAAGAAGGCTTCCAGAAGTAATGTGACCCATCTAAGATCCTCCAGGTAAAGCTGAGGTAAAGACTCTCACTCTGTCACCCAGGCTGGAGTGCAGTGGCACGAACACAGCTCACTGCAGCCTCAACCTTCTGGGCTAAAGGGATCCTCTTACCTCAGCCTTCCCAGTAGCTAGGACCACGGGCATGCACCACCATGCCCAGCTAATTTTGTTTTTCATTATTTGTAGGGGTGGGGTCTCCCTATGTTGCCCAGGCTGGTGTTGAACTCCTGGGCTCTAGGGATCCTCCTGCATCAGCCTCCCAAAGTGCTGGGATTGCAGGAATGAACCAATGCACTCAGCAGAGTATGCTATTAAAGGAACCAGAACATGCAAAGAGGAGGAGTCTGGGATTAGGGATAAAGATTACAAGTAAATGAAGTCACTTAACAAAAATTCATTGAGCACCGCCGGGCGTTCTGGCTCATGCCTGTAATCCCATCACTTTGGGAGGCTGAGGCAGGTGGATCACCTGAAGTCAGGAGTTCGAGACCAGCCTGGCCATCATGGTGAAACCCCATCTCTACTAAAAATACAAAAATTAGCTGGGTGCGGTGGTGGGCATCTATAATCCCAGCTACTCGGGAGGCTGAGGCCGGAGAATCGCTTGAACCTGGGGGGCGGAGGTTGCAGTGAGCCAAGATTGGGCCACTGTACTCCAGCCTGGGTGACAGGGCGAGACTCCGTCTCAAAAAAAAAAAAAAAAAAAGCCGGGCGCAGTGGCTCATGCCCGTAATCCCAGCACTTTGGGAGGCCAAGGTGGGCAAATCACGAGGTCAAGAGTTTGGGACCAGCCTGACAAACATGGTGAAACCCCGTCTCTACTAAAACTACAAAAAAATTAGCTGGGCGTGGTGGCACATGCCTGTAGTCCCAGCTACTCGGGAGGCTGAGGTGGGAGGGTCACTTGAACCCAGGAGGTGGAGACTGCAGTGAGCCGAGATTGCACCACTGCCCTCCAGCCTGGGCAACAGAGGGAGACTCCGTCTCAAAAAAATAAATACAAATAAAAATAAAAAAATAATAAAAAAAATTCATTGAGCACCAACTTATGTGCCTGGTATAAAACCGAATGAGACAAAGATTCTGCCCTTGTTGAATTTCTATTTTCTGGGGAGAGGGACAATAAACAAAGACATGTATAATGTTAGCTGGTAACAAGCATAATGAAGACAAATAAAAGAGACTGCTTTTAGAGGAAGTGGTCATGGAAAACCTCTCTAAAGAGGTGGCGTTTGAGCATATCTCTGACTAAGACATCAGGATATCTGGGGTAAGTGTTCTAACTACTCAGTTTATTGAAGAGCAAATGTGAAGATGCTGAAGCAGCAGTTGGTATGCTGGAGAAACCACCACCAGGGGGTCGCTATGAGTGGGGCTCAGTGAGGAAGGGATCACACGGTAGGAGATAAAAATCATCTTATAGTCATTTAGTTTGAGGAAACTGTTACATCCAAGCATATATTCATATGCCCAGCAGGCAGTTGGAAATATGAATCCAGAGCTCAGGACCAAACGTGGTACTATAAATAAATGGGAGGCCGGGAGCAGTGGCTCACGCCTGTAATCCCAGCACTTTGGGAGGCCGAGGCAGGCGGATCACTTGAGGTCGGGAGTTTAGACCAGTCTGACCAACATGAAGAAACCCCGTCTCTACTAAGAATACAAAATTAGCTGGGCATGGTGGCACATGCCTGTAATCCCAGCTACTCGGGAGGCTAAGGCAGGAGAATCGCTTGAACCTGGGAGGCGAAGGTTGCAGTGAACCGAGATCAGGTCATTGCACATTGCACTCCAGCCTGGGCAGCAAGAGCGAAACTTCGCTAAAAAAAAAAAAAAAATAGGGAATAGGCCGGGCACAGTGGCTCACACCGGTAATCTCAGCACTTTGGAAGGCCAAGGAGGGTGGGTTGCTCGAGCCCAGGAGTTTGAAACCACCCCAGACAACATGGTAAAACCCCATCTCTACAAAAAAAATTTTTTTGAAAAAATTGGCTGGGCATGGTGGCACACGCCTGTAATCCCAGCTACTTGAGAGGCTGAGGTGAGAGGATCACTTGAGCCTGGGAGACAGGTTGCAGTGAGCAGAGATCGTGCTATTGCACTCCAGCCTGGGTGACAAGACCCTGTATTAAAAATAAATACATACAAGGAAAAAAAAAAGAGAGATGGGAATAGCTAGTATCTGCACGGAGATGGTAGTAGTAGTGAAACCATGCAAGTGAATGAGATGACCGTGGCACAATGTGAGAACAGTTGTCAGGGATGAAGTCCTGGGAACACCAACAGATAATGATGGGCAGAGGAGAGGACCTACAAGGACGTATTACAGGGTCCGGAGAAGAACCAGGAGAGGAGAGTCACAAGCCAAGGTCATGGCACATTTTAAGATGTTCAACTGCAGCAGAGATATCTCATGAGATACAGTACTTGAAACTCATTTACAGGGGAAAACTGTTAAGTGCAAGGTGTTGTTATCATTAATGATAATTAGAGAGCACTTGCCCCCTCCTCGAATGGATTTTTTTTTTTTTTTTTTTTTTTTGAGATGGAGTGTTGCTCTGTCGCCCAGGCTGGAGTGCAGTGGCGTGAGGCGTGATCTTGGCTCACTGCAAGCTCTGCCTCCCGGGTTCTCGCCATTCTCCTGCCTCAGCCTCCCGAGTAGCTGGGACTACAGGCGCCCGCCACAACGCCCGGCTAATTTTTTGTATTTTTAGTAGAGACGGGGTTTCACCGTATTAGCCAGGATGGTCTGGATCTCCTGACCTTGTGATCCGCCCGCCTTGGCCTCCCAAAGTGCTGGGATTACAGGCGTGAGCCACCCAGCCTCTAATGGATATTTTAACTTTAGGGTAGTGAGAATTTAGTTATATCCACAATCTATTTATAACCAATTCTTATTGTTTTATTGAATTTTCAAAACATATGCAAGTTATACTGAATGCTATAATTACTCCATGACACTACACTGATATTGGGAACAGGACTCACAATCCCTGCAGAATCTGAATTGTGGAACTGTATATTCAACTTGTATATTTGAATATGAGTAATAATACTTATCTTAGATTTCTACCAGATTTTAGTGAAAACCTCACAGCAACACCTCCACCAAAGATTTGCAGCATGTGGCTCTTCTGTCTGTCTATAGGGAAGCCTGATAATAATGAGAACTCAATGGAGTTATGTACAAGTCTCCTAGAATTCAACTGATGGAATTAGGCTGCAGCTGTTGCTGTTGCCTCTTTCTCCCTTCCCCCCTCCCCCCCTTCTTTTGAAACAGGGACTCACTCTGTCATCCAGGCTGCAGTGGTACAATCAAGGCTTATTGCAGCCTTGAACTCCTGGGCTCAAGTGATCTTCCCACCTCAGCCTCCCAAAGTGCTGGGATTACAGGCATGAGTCACCACGCCCAGCCACCTGCAGACTTTTTAAAGGCTCAGGCCTGTAATCCTAGCACTTTGGGAGGCCAAGGCAGGAGGATCACTTGAGCCCAGGAGGTAAAGGCTGCAGTGAGCCATGATGGTGCCACTGCACTCCAGTCTGGGCAACAGACTAGAGTGAGAACCTGGCTTAAAAGGAAAAGGCTGCAGAGTTTACTGTCAGTGAGTGGGTGCACCAAAGTCCTGGTGAAGAGTTGCCAGGGAATTCCACTGTTGTGGAGTGAGAGAATGTTGTGACTGAGTGTTCAGCACTCTTAAATTGGATTTAACAATCCTAAGAGGACTTATTTTTATTTGCTTATTTATTTTTGAGACAGAGTTTTGCTCTATCACTGGATTACAGGTGGGATTACAGGCAGGCACCACCACTCCCAGCTAATTTTTGCATTTTTAGTAGAGACAGGGTCTCACCATGTTGGCCAGGCTGGTCTCTAACTCCTGGCCTCATGAGATCCATCTTCCTAGGCCTCTTGAAGTGTTGGGATTACAGCAGTGAGCCACTGCGCCTGGCCAAGACATGTTCTTTTCTAACAAATCTACCCAAACGGGTGTTGCTTTCCAAAGTTGAGACCTTGTGAGGCTACAATTTTATTCTTGCACTGTTCATTTCTCAGAACAAGTTTAAATTGTGTTATAAGGCCAATTTGCAAACCACACAAGGTAAATGTGAGAACTCATTATATAATATCACAGTTGGCTTTGGTCCCTAACTAGTGTTTTCTAACTTATTCATCAGATCAAACAGACGATTTTTTTTTTTTTTTTGAGACAGGGCCAATTGCAGTGGTGCAAACGCGACTTGCTGAAGCCTTGACCTCCCCAGGCTAGGTGATCCTCCCACCTCAGCCTCCCAGGTAGCTAGAGCTACAGTTGTGTGCCACCACACCCAGCTAATTTTTTGTAGTTTTTGTAGAGATGGCATTTCACTATGTTGCCCAGGCTGGTCTCAAACTCCTGCACTCAAGCGATCCACCTGCCTCAGCCTCCCAAAGTGCTGGGATTATAGATGTGAGCCACCACTCCTGGCCACCTATATGATTACTTGACTGGTCCCTTCAAGAGAAGAATCTGCCAACACTGAGACAATAATTGAAAAGTTGCTCGGTAAAGTAGCTTTGGAGTTACACAGACGACATGTGTTTGAGTCTTGGTTCAGGAGTGTGGTGTGCCTTTAAGCGAACATTTCAATCTCTGTAAGCCTATTTCCTCAAAAAAATGGGATAATATTACTGAGGTTGCAGGTTCCATATAAGGATCAGCGATAGCATATGTGGAACACTCGACACACAGTAGGAGCTCAAAAATGGTAGCAATAGTGCCACTAAAATGGAAATACACTTTCTTTTCATTTTAAAATGGCTTTGATACATTTGAGAACTAGAAGGGCATTCAATAGACCAGTTCAAGGATAATCTTCAAAAGAAAAAATGCTGTAAAAATGATGATAAAGCTGGGCATGGTGGCTCACGCCTGTAATCCCAGCACTTTGGGAGGCCAAGGAGGGCAGATCACCTGAGGTCAGGAGTTCAAGACCAGCCGGGCCAACATGGTGAAACCCCATCTCTACAAAAATACAAAAATTAGCTGGGCATGATGGTGGGTGCCTGTAATCCCAGCTACTCAGGAGGCTGAGGCAAGAGAATCGCTTGAACCTGGGAGGTGGAGGTTGTAGTGAGCCTAGATTGTGCCACTGCACTCCAGCGTAGGTGACAGAGCAAGACTCCGTCTCAAAAAAAAAAAAAAATTATTAAAAAAATAATGATAAGGCAGGCACTGCAATAAGATCTTGAGGTAAGCTAACTATAAGCCATTTGCAAGTCATCCACATGGCATTTTATTTTTGTAAAAGAAGCATCATCTTAGGAGGTATAAATGAAAGACAAACAGCTTAAGTGCTGATCAATCTTAGTTGGAACTCCACCATTTTGCAAAGTGTTTTAAAATAATAAAAATGATTCTAGTTTTTTTTGTTTCTTCGTTTTTTGTTTGTTTTGTTTTGTTTTAGGTAGAGTCTTGCTCTGTTGCCCAAGCTGGAGTGTAGTGACACAATCTCGGCTCACTGCAATCTCCACCTCCCAGGTTCAAGTGATTCTCGCGCCGCAGCCTCCCGAGTGTCTGGAACTACAGGTGTGAGCCACCATGCCCAGCTAATTTTTTGTAGAGACAAGGTTTTACCATGTTGGCTAAGCTGGTCTCGAACTCCTGACTTCAGGTGATCCACCTGACTCAGCCTCCCAAAGTGCTGGGATTACAGGTGTGAGCCATAATTTTTGTATTTTTTGTAGAAATGGGGTTTCACCATGTTGCCCACGCTGGTCTTAAACTCCTAAACTCAGGACATCTGCCCACCTCGGCCTCCCAAAGTGCTGGGATTACAGGCATAAGCCACCATGCCTGGCCCCTATAATTGTTATAAGAAGCAAAAGTATATTCATTGATATACCAGCTCAGACAACAGGTTTGGTCTGTAACAGGGAAGAGATGCAGAAGGGCCTGGCTGCACTATGTTACCTAATTTCAGAAATTATGGGTATAGCTGGAGCTTCCCTTAGCAACCCATTTTTTTTTTCTTGAGATGGAGCCTCACTCTGTTGCCCAGGCTCGAGTGCAGTGACGCGATCTCAGCTCACTGCAACCTCTACCCCCCTGCTTCAAGCAATTCCCCTGCCTCAGCCTCATGAGTAGCTGGGATTACAGGTGCATGCCACCGCACCCAGTTAATTTTTTTTTTGTATTTTTTGTATTTTTAGTAGAGACAGAGTTTCACCATGTTGGCCAGACTGGTCTCAAACTCCTGACCTCAGGCAATCTACCTGCCTCGGCCTCCCAAAGTGCTGGGATTACAGGTATGAGCCACTGCACCCAGCCCCCATTTTTTTTTAAATGTTTATACTTGTCCTACCTCTCACCTAGGATGGAGGACAGGGATTGTGTTTTATTCATTTTATATTCCCTAGGTTATTTGTTTGTTTGTTTATTTATTTATTTATTTATTTATTTATTTTTAAGACAGGATCTCATTCTGTTGCCCAGGCTGGAGTGCAGTGGTGCATTCACTTGCTCACTGCAACCTCCACCTCCCAGTCTCAAGTGATCCTCCTACCTCAGCCTCCTGGGTAGCTGGTACTACAGGCATGTGCCACCACAGCCGGCTAATTTTTGCAACTTTTGTTGAGACGGGGTTTCAGCATGTTGCCTGGGCTGGTCTTGAACACCTGAACACAAACAATCCTCCCGCCTCAGCCTCCCAAAGTGGTGGGATTACAGGCATGAGCCACCGTGCCTGGCTTTTTTTTTTTTTTTTTTTTGAGATGGAGTCTTGCTCTGTCGCCAGGCTGGAATGCAGTGGCGTGATCTTGGCTCACTGCAACCTCTGCCTCCTGGGTTCAAGCGATTCTACTGCCTCAGCCTCCTAAGTAGCTGGGACTACAGACGTGCGCCACCATGCCCAGCTAATTTTTGTATTTTCAGTAGAGATGGGGTTTCACCATACTGGCTAGAATTGTCTAGATCTCTTGACCACATGATCCACCTGCCTCGGCCTCCCAAAGTGCTGGAATTACAGGCATGAGCCACTGTGCCTGGCTTTCTCTACTCTTAACTCCATGATTTTTCTTTCTTTCTTTTTTTTTTTTGAGTTGGAGTTTCACTCTTGTTGCCCAGGCTGGAGTGCAATGGCGCGATCTCAGCTCACCACAACCTCTGACTCCCGGGTTCAAGTGATTCTCCTGCCTCAGCCTCCTGAGTAGCTGGGATTACAGGCATGCGCCACCATGCCCAGCTAATTTTTGTATTTGTAGTAGAGACCGGGTTTCTCCATGTTGGTCAGGCTGGTCTTGAACTTCCGACCTCAGGTGATCTGCCTGCCTTGGCCTCCCAAAGTGTTGGGACCACAGGCATGAGCCACCATGCTGGCCAACTCCATGATTTTTATATAGAGGCATGCAATACATATTTGTGGAATATTGAATTCATGAATATCTGTATCTATACAATAATTTTCTTTCCAAGTAAAAAAATCAAGACATATGGTCTGAAATGTGGAGTATACCTTTGATGACTACATAGCAGAACATTTGAAATATTATCCCAGAAAATACTGGGTGATAGAATCGTTTTAAATTACATATCTAGGCCAGGTGCGGTGGCTCACACCTGTAATCCCAACACTTTGGGAGGCCGAGGTGGGCGGATCATTTGAGGTCAGGAGTTTGAGACCAGCCTGGACAACATGGTGAAACCCTGCCTCTACTAAAAATACAAAAATTAGCCAGATGTCATGCATGGCAGGCATCTGTAATCCCAGCTACTTGGGAGGCTGAGGCAGGAGAATCGCTTGAATCCGGGAGGTGGAAGTTGCATTGAGCTGAGATTGCACCACTGCACTCCAGTATGGGCCACAGAGTGAGACTGTCTCAAAAAAAAAAAAATTACATATCTGACCCACGGGTTCTCATCAATGGACTTGAAGGAGTCTCTGAATGCAAGTAAGGAGTACTTAAACTTGGATGGGGAAAAAAATTACATCTTTGTTTTCTCTAACATCTAACTGAAATTTAGCATTTTTCCCCATTGTGAATGTAGACAACATATCACAGTAGAATTAGTAACAGCTTTCCCTCTGTCACCAATAGAAATCATTTTCATATCACTTTACTACTCATGGATTTCTTGAAATATCACTCTACAATTTCTGTAGTTATTAGATCTGCTCTAAGATCTTAATAGTTATTGTGTTAATAAAGAAAAAGTTCCTGCCTGGGTAACATGGTGAAACCCCGTCTCTGAAAAAAAGAAAAAAAAAAAAAACACAAAAAAACAAAAACAACAATTAGCCCAGAGCGGTGGCCAGCGCTTGTAGTTCCTACAAGCCACTGGGGAAGCTGAGGTCAGAGGATCGCTTGAGCCCTGGAGGCAGAGGTTGCCGTGAGCCCAGATTGCACCATTGCACTCCAGCCTGGGTGATAAAGTGAGCACATGTTTAAAAAAAAAAAAAAAAATTAAAAAGTAAAAGCTGGGCTGGGTGCGGTGGCTCACGCCTGTAATCCCAGCACTTTGGGAGGCTGAGGCGGACGAATCACGAGGTCAGGAGATCGAGACCATCCTGGCTAACACGGTTAAACCCCGTCTCTACTAAAAATACAAAAAATTAGCTGGGCGTGGTGGCTGGCGCCTGTAGTCCCAGCTACTCGGGAGGCTGAGGCAGAAGAATGGCGTGAACCCGGGAGGCGGAGCTTGCAGTGAGCCGAGATTGCGCCACTGCACTCCAGCCTGGGCGACACAGCGAGACTCTGTCTCAAAAAAAAATAAAAAAATAAGCTGGGCGCGGTGGCTCATGCCTGTAATCCCAGCACTTTGGGAGGCCGAGGCGGGCGGATCATGAGGTCAGGAGATCAAGACCATCCTGGCTAACACGGTGAAAACCCCGTCTCAACTAAAAAAAAAAAAAAAAAAAAATTAGCTGGGCATGATGGCAGGCTATATAGTCCCAGCTACTCGAGAGGCTGAGGCGGGAGAATGGCATGAACCCGGGAGGCGGAGCTTGCAGTGAGCCGAGTTCGCGCCACTGCACTCCAGCCTGGGCGACAGAGCGAGACTCCATCTCAAAAAAAAAAAAATAAAAATAAAATAAATAAAAAATAAAAAAGTAAAACCTTACTATATCACGAATGTGTTTTAAAATATATTTCCTAATTGTATTTCAATATAAATGGTTTCTTTCGTATTGCTCTGTATTTTGTTTCATGCATTTAAAAACTGAGAAGAGATTCATAGCTTTTACCAGACTTCCAAATGGCACAAAATAGGTTAAGAATTATGGCGCTAGAGGCAGATTTATGTGAAGCTAGTAAAATTTAAGCTTCAGGCTGGGCGCCTGTAATCTCAGCACTTTGGGAGGCCGAAGCAGAAGGATCATTTGAGGCCAGGAATTCAAGACCGGCCAAGACCGGCCTGGGCAACATAGCGAGATTCCCTCCGCACCTCCCGTGTCTCTATTAAAAAAAAAAAGTTAAGCTTCGGGGTCCTCCCTCACTTTTACAATGCCCTTCCAAGACTCTGTTCCTAAATTTGTATTCGTCATTTAATATGATTTTTCTTAAAGACTCCCAACATTTCTTTCTTTCCTTCTTCCTTTCTTTTCCTTTTCTTTCCTTTTCTTCTCTCTCTCTGTCTTTCTCTCTTTCTTTCTAGAAGGAGTTTCACTCTTGTCGCCCAGGTTGGAGTGCAATGGCGCAATCCCGGCTACTGCAACCTCCGCCTCCCGGGTTCAAGCGATACTCCTGCCTCAGCCTCTCAAGTAGCTGGAATTACATGCACGCGCCACCACGCTCGGCTAATTTGTGTATTTTTAGTAGAGACGGGGTTTCACTATGTTGGCCAGGCTGGTCTCGAACTCCTGTGCTCAAGTGATCGTCCACTTCGGCCTCCCTAAGTGCTGGAATTACAGGCGTGAGCCACCGCGCCCGGCCTAAGACTCCCAGCATTTCTGTAAATCTCACACCCCATAACACAAAACTTGGATCTACCCAGAGATTTAACTTGGTACTGGGCACATAGTAGTCGTTTTCAATATTTCTTTTTCTTTTTTTTTTTTTTTAAGACGGAGTTTCGCTGTTGTTCCCTAGGGTGGAGTGCAGTGGTGCGATATTGGCTCACTGCAACCTCCGCCTCCCGGGTTCAAGCGATTTTTCTGCCTCAGCCTCCGGAGTAGGTGGGTTTACAGGCACGTGCCACCACACCGGGCTAATTTTTGTATTTTTAGTAGAGGCAGGGTTTCACCATGTTGATCAGGCTGGTCTCGAACTTCTGACCGATACACCCGCCTCGGCCTCCCAAAGTGCTGGGATTACAGGCATGAGCTACCACGCCCCGCCCGTTTTCAATAATTAAATATAGGTTTGTAGGTTCTGAGAAATTTAATCATCCTTGAGTGCATCTGGAAATCTGCAGACCACTGCTTGACTTCCTCCACTTCCTAAGGGTGGGGCATTGGAGTTTGGGGTTGGGAAAAAAGCGCTTGCACCACAGAAGTGAGTTCGGAAGGTTTCTATGAGACGAGACAGGTTTGGACTAAGGACAGGGAACAAATCAGTAGGAATGGCAGGTGAGAAATAGGTTTAGGACTAACACGAATTATAGTGTCCTTTGGGAATTACCCCTTTCCCCTGCATGGCTCTTTTGGCTTCAGAGATGTATATAGCTGCTTTATTTTATGAATATCAAGTAGCTCCAAACCCTGTGGGGAAAAGCTCCCTGCTCTATCACTTGTGTTACACATTGCTTTTGAGTCATTTTAACGATTTCCCTCACAGTCTGCCACCAACGATGTGTGGACGGCAGCCAGGGAGGGAAAGAGGCATTTCTCCGATCGTTCCAAGGAATGATTATCTAGACAAAATCCTCAGCAAAATGACGAGCCAAATCATCCTTAAATCGTGTGCTCACTAGAGGCGAAAAGATGACCGAAAGAGGCCCGAACGCGTGGCTATGGGCGTGTCTGGGGGGAACGCCGGCCGCGGGGGTGCGAGGGAGGACTCGGGGGCTAAGGGCGGCCGGTGGCGGGACGCAAGCGCCATGGCGGAGCTGGGCCAGTGCTGACCATAGGGGGCGGGGCTCCGGAGGCGGCCACGCGGCGCGAGGCCTAGATTTTCGGCCTCGCATCGGCGGCAGACGAAGAGGGAGGAGCTTCGTCCACCCAGGACCCAGCGCCCCCAAGCCTTGCAGCCACCAAGGGCTTCCACCACAGACCCCTTTGTGTGCCTGCCCCCGCCCCGGAGGCGCCCCAGCCAGGGGCGCTGAGCACCCTCATTGGTTCAGCCGGCAGCTTCATCGATTGGCTCTCGAGTCGTCCGGCGTGGTCCGTTTTGCCTGGATACTACTGGTCGTCTGAGCTGCCTGTCAGGCCGCCTCGCCAAGCGATTGCCCCGTAGCTCGGAGTCCCTGGAAGCAGTTCCGGGAAACCCCGCGTGCTGCCGGGATCGCGTCTCAGTCCATCAGGGGGGGGAGGGGGTGGCGCGCGCGCCATTTCTAGTCGTTTTCAAAGCGCCTCGCGCTGATTCTCACGGGCCCGGCTGCCGGCCCCCGCTCTGCCCTGGTGAGTCTCGCGCCGGCCCGTGGGGGGAGGGGCCGGGAGCCCCGATGCGACCCGACTCAGCCCGGGCTCCGTGCCTGGTCCCGTTTCGTTTGCGCTCCGAGGCCCCGGGGTGGGGGTGGGGACGGGCTGGGGGCGGCTTCGGTCTAGTCCGCCCGCGCGGCTGTGGGCCTAGCCCGGCCGAAACGCTTCTCGCCCTCGCTCTTCCTCCCCCCGCCCCTTTAGCCCGCGGTCCGGCCCGCTGGGCGCTCTCCGCGCGGCCTGCTGGGGCCGGCCGTGCTTTTCCCGCCTCCGCTCGCTGCTCCATGCGGCCGGATCCCGCGAAGGGCCTGAGGCGCCCGCGGCCCTGCCGCTTCTCCCCGCCGGAGCCGCTTCGCTCCCGCCGCGGCCGGCCTAGCCCGAGAGGGATGTGCTGATGATCCGGACGGGCCTGAGGGGATGGGGGTGGGGGGCGGAAGGCGGGGTGCAGATCCCAGGGTTATCTGAGCCGGGAGAAAAGTTTTGTGTGAGCAGAAACCGAAAGGCCGATTTGTGTGGGAAGCCTCCCTCCCCTCCCACATTCTGCATGCCGCGGGCTGAGATTTGAAGGAAAAAATGACTACTAGAGGCCGTAGAACTTAGGCTCCAAGCGGCGCCTGAAATGGATAATTCTGAGACTGTCAGAGGCGCACCAAATTGGAAAGGCGATCCTTTTTCTTACACGGTAGTGGCCGTATTGCCAAATTTTTAAAAAAGCCCAGGGCTTCTTGGAAGGTTCAGTCCTTTCACACTACCTGTTTGAGATTTTTGCAGTCCTCAAGTGGCTGAATTGATGTCTCATGAGTCAGTCGTAGGATGAGAGCTCGACACTCCTAAGCCATGAGATAACCGTTAGTCTCATTTCGTTGGTTCTTTTAAAGCCCGTCTCTTAATATGAAGAATTTGCACAGAGAGGTTCAGAAAAAGTCAGGGAGGAGTTAGTGCTGACATCCCGAATCTCCCAGCAGCCCTTTTAAATCTTTAAATGTCTCCTTTTTTTTTGCAAAAATGTTTAGATCAAATGACTCCAGTCACGTTAGTATATTTGCTGCATCCAGAAATATGGTTTGGCTGTGTGGCATTGTGTTGAATGCCACATTTGAATGAGTTTCAAATGGTCTCATATGACATAAAAAGTCTTTTCAAAATGAGCATTTTGTATTTGGCTTGAAGAGAGAGGGCTTTCCTTGATCCGAAGGTTTTATTTTCTGGAATCTAATTATTTTACGGTTTTTTTGTTAAAATTTACAAACTTTTTTTGAAAATTTTAACCAATTTCAGTATCAACTTGTAGAGCCTTTGCAATGAAATGGTAGGCATAAATATTTCTGTCTTGTACTTAATACACAACTTGTCTTTTTGCTTTACACATACTTAAAAACCCCACCTTAACAGATGTTCATTGAACTTTTCTGTTAAAAATTTGCCTCTTTTCTGTGACTGATAGTATTCCTAGGTACAATGCTGTAAGGGTCTTGTGATACTGAGAACTTTTGAGTTCTGATGATCTTAAGGTAGTATGTGGGGATGGGGGAGCATGGGAAAACAGAACCTTATGTTCGCAAGGAGATTTTGTGTTTTAGGATGCATCTTTATAGAAATAGGTCGTGTTAATCAGTAAACGTATTCATCTCACACAATACAGTTTCTTGATCAAAAGTGTGACATTTCGAATGTTTCCGTTTTTGCTAGTTCATCAGAATTTGAAGCTTGTCTTGAGAAACATCCACCCAGAATTTAACCACAGTCTGCGTCTATTAAGGGCTATCGAGTCTTAATAGTGTTTTGTAATTGTGAGGAGTCATGTTTATCTCATTTTCAGAGTAATCCTTTGCATTTTCTTCTTCTTCCTACTCTCTATTACCTCCTTCCCCTCTTGGTCTTCCTCCCTCTTTCGTTAACTTCAACTAAGTATCAGTGGACTTTGAAATGAAAAGAAGTTGTTTTAAGCCAGAAAACTGCACCTGGTGCATTTGCACAATGTTCGATAAGCTGTCGGGAAGTGTGGTTATCTTATGTGTCTTAGTACTTTGTAGGAGACTTGTATTTTCTTTATAGATGACTAGGTATCTTGAGTTTCATCAAGAAAAGTAGGCTTTTTCTTGAGATCCACCTTTATGTCTTTTATTTAGTATGTGTTGCAATGTCTTGTTCTGCTGCCTATTATCTTCATCACATTGTAATTTCACCACAGACAAATGCACTTTAATTCCCTGTCTTTTGAGGCAGTACACAGACTGGCCTTGTATGGTTTATTGTTTACTCTCTCTCTTCAGGGAGTCAGTCCATTTCAGCATTACCTACAGGCTGAATGTACAAAATTATTTTTGATAGGTTAATCTGAGAAATCTGGCTGAAGTTTAGCCTAATTAGGTAACGGTTTTTGAAATATTTGGAAGAAGTTGTCCATTCTTCAGTATGTTTTTACATCTTTATTTTACTGATATGAAAATTTCAACATGTACTCTTTTTTTTTAAGAAGCAACCTAAACTATAGCTCACTTAGTATTTTATTTGGACTGAAAACAATTGTTTCGCTTTTAAACTTGGTCATTTTTTCTTTTAAATCTGTGGGAATAGCGAATTAATCTTAGAACAAAAATTAATGTCAAGTTGGTTTTTTTTTGTTTTCGTTTTGTATTGTTAGGTGGAGAAAACCCAAACCACCAGCATGTTGAACTAGAGAAAACAGGGCACTTATTTCACACCGATACTGTATTTGAAGCAGAGCCAGGAAAATTTGAAAGTCCTTAAATCTTGATTAAGTGGTCTGTGGGTGTTCATTCTGTTTTTAAAACAAAACTTTTTAAAACTGTGTAAGACCCGAGAGCTGAGGGGCTTTTTAGTAAAGGATTTTGTAGTGATTTTGATCTTTTCACCAGGACAGAACAGCTGCTTTTGTTAATCAGCAATTCTACCTTCAGTAAATTAAAGCCTTTATCTTACCCGGTGTACATGAAGTTCCTTAAAGATCTAATGCTTCCATGTACATTTTCTATGGTTTTACAGGATTATTATTGCCAATTTAGGTCAGATACATCACAGGAGGAATAAATTATTATTTTGATAGAGGTTATTAGCAGCATGTATACAAATTAGTTTAGATAAATCATGCATTGTCCTACAAACTAGTTATTTCTGGCTTAATGTAATATAGCTCCTGAATTTTTTCCAGCAGCATAATAAAATGGCTAATCAGGTGAATGGTAATGCGGTACAGTTAAAAGAAGAGGAAGAACCAATGGATACTTCCAGTGTAACTCACACAGAACACTACAAGACACTGATAGAGGCAGGCCTCCCACAGAAGGTGGCAGAAAGACTTGATGAAATATTTCAGACAGGTATAATATGCATTTCTTGTTTCTGACTGGTTATGAAAGTGAGGGCAAACCACTTTGAATTTTATAGTTTTTTAAGGTTAAATAATACTTATTGTTTCTGATCTGTAGAGCTGAATGTTTGTTACTTTCCCTTCATTGAAGGCATATTGGGTTTGACTTTGATACTCTTATTTCATTATTTTGAAGCCTTCTTAGTGTTGAATATGCAGTCTTAGTTGTTTCAGAACAGCACATCGATTTGTCTTAGATTTACCACCCATAAAAATGTATGTTTCTGCATACCAAATTTTACATTTTTTTCTTAATCAAAATCAGTCATCATTTTGCTTTTGCTTTTCTACTTTTACCTTCTTAAAGTGATTGTTAAATCAGCTTAGGTCTGATTAGGTGGCATAACAAGAGGATAGCTGTATCGTCTGAAACCATAATAAATGTCAGACTCCTTGAGAGTTTGTGGCTTGTCTAGTTTCTAATAGAAATCCACATCTCTCCGTAATTTGGAAGTGTTTGGTTGTAACAGCTGCTTCTTTTTTTTTTTTTTAATCCAGAAGTGCCATGGTTAAGTGCTTAAGCAAATTTGAACATCTTAATATAGTTGGTTGTAAGTGGTTTGAAGTTTTAAAGAGGGAGAGAAATATTTACCCTTAGGGAGCGTTGTTCATAAATGAATGTGTCCTCCTCCTTTGGGGACATAGATGGAAACTTTCTTCCTCTGTGTTGTGTGTGCCTATTCAGATTCTGAGAGAGAATTGAATTGTCTCACTCACAAATGTGTCTTAAGTACAGTAGTAGCAAATAGCTGTTTTTTTTTTTTTGTCCTTAAAAAATTTTTAAATCTGGGAAGCTTAGCATAATTTTAGACATTAAAATGACTTATAAAAATGACTCCTGGGTCATGGTCGCATTTGAAAATCAGTCCTCAGGAACTTTCTGTGACATTCTGCCATAGAGAATTGGCAGTGATCTGCTTAGAGATGCTCTCTTGTAGAGTGTTTTGTTATTGATAAGAGGCTGATGGTTTGGGCGTAGACTTGGTTTGACAAAATGGATTGATGGGTGTCCTGAGTTGTGGCTTCGGGTGGTGGTATGGAATATTCAAGTGAGGCAGCTCCAGTTATTTACACATGCTCATTTCGAGCTTTTGAAACAAATCATGGCAACTTTTTTAAAAAGTAACTTTGGAAGTGGCATTACATTTATTTAAAATTTACTATATGGAATAAAGTTCTTTTTAGCTTTATCAAAATGGAGTCACTTTTCATGTTCATATGAACTTGGGGGTTTTAATCTACGAAATACTTGCATTTTACGTTGGATCAATTCTGAAATATATTCCATATGTAAATATGACACAAACTTAACAGACTTAAGAAATTATATTTTAAACTTAGTAGATGTTCTGTGTGCAGTTGAATATACTTACATATATGAAATGCAGTGTATATATTTTCTGTCAAGTTTACTTGTAAGACCATAAAGTCTTTATTGCCATTTGAAAATGATTGTCGTTCTTGACAGTCAATGTGAATGCCACAGCATCTTTTAAATCTCAGCTTGTCACTTCAGAAGAACAAAGAATGCCTTAAAGTATGACTTTCAGAATTGATTAATCAAGCTGCACTTGCATTTGTAGAAGTTTAAAATTATGCCTTTCCACATTCTGACTGCAGCAAAGTGGATGCTCAGATAAACAAATGCATTTCAGTTTATCTTTGGTGTTCAGGAGGGAAAGCCTTTTGACACTTTTTGGAGAGTGGAAAGAATTACTTAGTAAAATTTGTTTTCAGATTTTCCTCCACCTCTTAGGTGGTTAGCATCAACTGTAACCGTCTGTAATTTGAAGGTTTATCCTTGGAAAACGCAATGTATTCTTATCACTCTAATATAAACCAAAATTTGTTGTATTAATGCATAATCTGTAATACAGTATGTACATCAGATTTAACTTTCAAGACTTATACCTTTGGGGGAGTGGGAAATGGATGTTAGGATTTGGCGGGGGAGGTTTGTGGATATGGAGATTGAAATTCATGTTTTTGGTTGTTGACATTTTATCTTTATTTTCATATTTGTCCTGGACCTTTCTATGTAGTATTTGGATAGCTGCGTATATGCATATAGTTAAATGAAAATACAGTTTGTTAGTGATCATATTGAATGTAACAATTCTTGATTAAACGTCAGTAGAGCTTAGATTACCCCTTTTGTTGCAATAACGTTACCCCTTTCAATTTAATTTTTAGGATTGGTAGCTTATGTCGATCTTGATGAAAGAGCAATTGATGCTCTCAGGGAATTTAATGAAGAAGGAGCTCTGTCTGTACTACAGCAGTTCAAGGAAAGTGACTTATCACATGTTCAGGTAAGGTCGTTACTCAGAAATGTCTTTGAACAATTAGTAATCTGAAATTATTTTACTATTACTTTTTTTCCTATGGAGAAGTGGTATTTTTTGTTTGTGACTACCTCTTCTTTTAAAAAATTAGTTTAAAGGAAAAAAACTGCTTGTGGCAGAGTTTCAGAAGCCCAAGTATAAAGCAAAAGTTTTCTCCCACCCCCTTGTGCAGTAAGTTATTTTAAAAACTTAAAATTAAAGCCAAGTTTTGATGGTTGTTACTATAGGTTTTTACATGTTACTCAGCTTTTTAACATTTGGGGGTTATTTGATCCTGTTTTATTATCTTGGAGGAAAATGTAGGTGGGAGGAATAGTTTCCGACATCTGGCAAAGACAGTCTAGATACAGTCACATATCAACAAGTGGAAGACTGTGTTTTCCCAGGGTAGAAGGTAAGCTCCCTGAGGTCTATACTGCCTTACTGCTGTCTGCTCCAATCTCTGGCACATAGTAACCACTCGGCAAATACTTGTTGAATGAATCAGTAAATCTTTTGTTAAAATCCTGGTTTTCTGAAATTTAAATTTAATTATGTATCTGACCCTTCAGATATTTTTGGTGATTCTTTTTATTGAATTACTTGTCTGTTCTAGAACAAAAGTGCATTTTTATGTGGAGTTATGAAGACCTACAGGCAGAGAGAGAAACAGGGGAGCAAGGTGCAAGAGTCCACAAAGGGACCTGATGAAGCGAAGATCAAGGTAAAACTTGACTTGGGTAGTTGTAATGAAATTGCATTTAATGATGAGGTCAAATGCCTCTTTCCATGTTTCCTAGAAAGTTTCACTTTTTTTTTTTTTGAGACGGAGTCTTGCTCTGTCGCCCAGGCTGGAGTAGCGGCGCAGTCTTGGATCACTGCAAGCTCCACCTCCCAAGTTCATGCCATTCTCCTGCCTCAGCCTCCCAAGTAGCTGGGATTACAGCCATGCACCACCACACCCAGCTAATTATTTGTATTTTTAGGAAAGATAGGGTTTCACTGTGTTGGCCAGATTGGTCTCGATCTCCTGACCTTGTGATCCGCCCACCTCGGCCTTCAAAGTGCTGGGATTACAGACGTGAGCCACCACGCCCAGCTGAAAGTTTCACTTTTCAAAACTAGTGTTTAGAAATGAAATAATTTAGAGGAATTACATAAGAAGGATAATTTTGGGGATCGACACTCAATTGCATGTTTAATGAAAAGCCCTAATTCATACTCTTCCTCATTCCCTCTTTTGTGGCCATGAATGACGTATATTTATTGATGCTTCGCTGGTAGTTTCTTGGATTGATCCAGTAATGTCTCTTGGTTCAGTTATTTTCCAGCCACTTTGTTTCTTTTCTCTTGATAAAAAGGTTATAACTTGATAAAAAGTTGTTATAACTGCTTTCCTCCTTTTGAATATTCAGTTACCTCAGTTTCTTTATTTATAAAATGGGGATAGTAATAGTGACTACCTTACAGAGTTATTGTAAGGAGTAAATGAATTAACATATATAAAGCACTTAGAATAATGCCTGGAATGTAGCAAGAACTATATAACCATGAACCATTATTATTATTACCATTTTATTACTTAGATAAACAGCTTTGAAAAGGTAAATATACAGCTTTTAATGAAAGACCAGTGAACCTAATTCCTTAGTTAAATGGATACTCGTGTCTTGCTGTAGTGACATACTTTTCTTTTTTTTTTTTTTTTTTGAGACAGAGTCTCACTCTGTGGCCCAGGCTGGAGTGCTGGAGTGCAGTAGCGCCATCTCAGCTCATCTCAGCTCACTTCAACCTCTGTCTCCTGGGTTCAAGCGATTCTCCTGCCTCAGCCTCCTGAGTAGCTGGGACTACAGGCGTGCGCCACCACATCCAGCTAATTTTTTTTTTTTTTTTTTTTTTTTTTTTTGAGACGGAGTCTCCCTCTGTCGCCCAGGCTGGAGTGCAGTGGCGCGATCTCAGCTCATTGCAAGGTCTGCCTCCTGGGTTCACGCCATTCTCCTGCCTCAGCCTCCTGAGCAGCTGGGACCACAGGTGCCTGCTACCATGCCCGGCTAATTTTTTTTTTCTTGTATTTTTAGTAGAGACAGGGTTTCACTATGTTAGCCAGGATGGTCTCAATCTCCTGACCTCATGATCCGCCCGCCTCGGCCTCCCAAAGTGCTGGGATTACAGGCGTGAGCCACCGTGCCTGGCTGCTAATTTTTTTTGTTTTTTGGTAGAGTCGGGGTTTCACTGTGTTAGCCAGGCTGGTCTCAAACTCCTGACCTTGGGGGATCTGCCTACCTCACCCTCCCCAAAGTGCTGGGATTACAGGTGTGAGCCACCATATCCGGCCTGTGATAGACTTTTTTTTTTTTTTTTGAGACGGAGTCTCGCTCTGTCGCCCAGGCTGGAGTGCAGTGGCGGGATCTCGGCTCACTGCAAGCTCCGCCTCCCGGGTTCACGCCATTCTCCTCCCTCAGCCTCCCGAGTAGCTGGGACTACAGGCGCCCGCCACTACGCCCGGCTAATTTTTTGTATTTTTAGTAGAGACGGGGTTTCACCATTTTAGCCGGGATGGTCTCGATCTCCTGACCTCGTGATCCGCCCGCCTCAGCCTCCCAAAGTGCTGGGATTACAGGCGTGAGCCACCGCGCCCGGCTGTGATAGACTTTTTAATTAGAAATAGTTATTGTATGTTGAAGTTATTTCTATTATTATTACATTGTAATATGTAATGAAATAATTATACAACTCACCATAATGTAGAATCAGTGGGATCCCTGAGCTTGTTTTCCTGCAACTAGATGGTGCCATCTGGGCATACTGGTAGATGGTGACAGATCTTCAAGCATTAGATTCTCATAAGGAGCATGCAACCTAGATCCCTTGTATGCACACTTCACAATAGGATTCACCCTCCTGTGAGAACCTAATGCGGCTGCTGATCTGACAGGAGGTGGAGCTCACAGCTCAGGCAGTAATGCCAATGATAGGGAGGATGAGGAGCGGCTGTAAATACAGATGAAGCTTTGTTCTCACTTGCCCGCTATTTACCTCCTGCTATGCAGCCCGGTTCCTAACAGGCCATGGACCAGTACGGGTCTGTGGCCCAGGGGTGTGGGGACCCCTGTTTTATATTACATTTATGGCTCTGTTTCAGTCAAAGGTAGAAGAATGGAAGGCCGAAGGCATGCATCCCTGTGAAATCCTAGTGTTCACTGAACTTGATGATATCTAAAGTCTCTTATTGTTCTGACATTGTGTAATTTTAAAAACCTGGCTGGGCTCTGTGGCTCACGCCTGTAATCCCAGCACTTTGGGAGGCTGAGGCGGGTGGATCACGAGGTCAGGAGATCGAGACCATCCTGGCTAACAACGGTGAGGCCACCTGTCTACTAAAAATACAAAAAATTAGCCGGGTGTGGTGGCAGGCGCCTGTAGTCCCAGCTACTTGGGAGGCTGAGGCAGGAGAATGGCGTGAACCCGGGAGGCGGAGCTTGCAGTGAGCCAAGATCGCGCCACTGCACTCCAGCCTGAGCGACAGAGCGAGACTCCGTCTCAAAAAAAAAAAACCAAAAAAACTGAAGTGTAAATTTCTCTTTTCTAGGTAGATTGTGTTTCTTTGTTTACCATTGTATCTTTTCTTCTCTAAGCTCTTTATATAGATGTTGCCTCAATTATAACATAAATTCCTGAGAGCAAGGAGATTATCTTCTTTTCTATGATTGCTCTTAATACCTAATAGAATGTAAGGAAGGTTGGTAATCAGGAAACACAAGATTTTACTTATTTTTCGGAACCTGACTATACTTATTTGGTAATTGCCAAATATTTTTAGTCTGTACTGTATGATTCTTGTCTGATTACCTGATTCTTGTGGAGCTTATGATATGGCAGGAGTACAAACCAGAAGGATCAAACAAAATCAAGCTTAAATGATGGAACTTTAAGTACACTAGAGGCTGGGTATGGTGGCTCATTCCTGTAATCCCAGCACTTTGGGAGGCCAAGTCGGGTGGATCACGAGATCAGGAGATTGAGACCATCCTGGCTAACACGGTGAAACCCTGTCTTTACTAAAAATACAAAAAATTAGCCGGGCGTTGTGGCGGGTGCCTGTAGTCCCAGCTGCTCGGGAGGCTGAGGCAGGAAAAGGGCGTGAACCTGGGAGGCGGAGCTTGCAGTGAGCCGAGATCGCGCTACTGCACTCCAGCCTGGGTGACACAGCGAGACTCCGTCTCAAAAAAAAAAAAAAAAAAAAGTACACTAGAAAGACAGTGGGGGCTGGGCACAGTGGCTCACACCTGTACTCCTAGCACTTTGGGAGGCCAAGACAGGCGGATCTCATGAGGCCAGGAGTTCCTGACCAGCCTGGCCAACATGGTGAAACCCCATCTCTACTAAAAATACAAAAATTAGCTGGGCGTGGTGGCACATGCCTGTAATCCCAGCTACTTGGGAGGCTGAGACAAGAGAATCTCTTAGACCCGGGAGGCAGAGGTTGCAGTGAGCCGAGACGATGCCACTGCACTCCAGCCTGGGCAACAGAGCAAGACTCCATCTCAAAAAAAAAGAAGAAAAGACAGTAGGGAGAAATGGATGTGAGTAATAGTAAATGAGAGAAGCTGCATGAAGGAGGTAAGACTTGTGCTAATTTTTTTAAGGATAGAGAACATTTTATTTGAAAAGACTCACCAGTAGAAACATGTATGGGGAACCAGTGCGAATTTTGACTTTTTTTTTTACCTAACCATAAAAATATATCTCCTAGGAAGTTGGAGTCCTTTTTGGAAAAGATTAATACACTGATGCTTGTGTGTGAGATTTAGTACTCAAGTATAAAGAGATGTATAATTATCTCTAGGCCTTGCTTGAGAGAACTGGTTATACTCTGGATGTAACCACAGGACAGAGGAAGTATGGTGGTCCTCCACCAGACAGTGTGTACTCTGGCGTGCAACCTGGAATTGGAACGGAGGTAAGTGTTCTTTAGCAGTTTACCAAGATCTTTCCAGTTTGGAAAGTGTTTTATCTACTATGCAGATACTGTACAGACGGGGGAAAATTCTTGATCCCTTTCAAAGTGTAGCTGTTGTTAGTTTTTAGATATCCATTTGTATTTTGCTGCCATCATGAGGATGGATAATCTTGTGACTGGTAGATACCCGAACACTTTATATAGGAATATAATATAGAGTTTTTGGAACAGGTTGCTAAAACCATGCTACTAGCAGCACACCATTTTAGATACTTGGAGTAAAGTTATTTGGAAGACGCAATTGCTTTATTCTGTCTTTTTTTTTCCCCTCCCCTGAGATGGAGTTTCGCTCTTGTTGTCCAGGCTGGAGTGCAGTGACACGGTCTCAGCAAACTGCAACCTCGGCCTCCTGGGTTCAAGTGATTCTCCTGCCTCAGCCTCCTGAGTAGCTGGGATTACAGGTGCGTGCCACCACACCTGGCTAATTTTGTATTTTAGTGGAGACGGGGTTTCACCATGTTGGTCAGGCTGGTCTCGAACTCCTGACCTCAAGTTATCCACCCACCTTGGTCTCCCAAAGTGCTGGGATTACAGGCGTTAGCCTCCACACCCGGCTGCTTTTTTTGGTTTTTGCTTTTTGGGGATTGTTTTTGTTTCTGTAGAGACCAGGTCTCACTGTGTTGCCCAGGCTGGTCTTGAACTGCTGGCCTTGGCTTCCCAAAGTGCTGGGATTACAGGCATGAGCCACAGTGCCCAACCAAGTTTTTTTGTTTTTGTTTTGTTTTTTTTTTGGTTTGGTTTTGTTTTTTTTTTTTTGAGATGGAATTTTTGCTCTTGTTGCCTAGGCTGGAGTGCAATGGTGCAATCTCGGCTCACTGCAACCTCCACCTCCTAAGTTCAAGCGATTCTCCTGCCTCAGCCTCCCAAGTAACTGGGATTACTGGCATGCACCACCACACCTGGCTAATTTTTTGTATTTACTAAAGAGGATTTCACCATGTTGGTCAGGCTGGTCTTGAACTCATGACCTCAGGTGATCCACCTGCCTTGACTTCCCAAAGTGCTGGGATTACAGGCGTGAGCCACCGCGCCTGGCCAAGTTTTTTTTTTTTTAATATCAATAATTTAGAACTGTGCTTGTCCTCTCCCTTGCCTCACCTATCACTCAGAAGGGACTTAGTATTTATGGAGAGATATTATTGATGGGCGTGGATTGCACAAGGGAAGGATGTGGAATCAGATAAAAGATTGAGTATGTTAGTCCATACTTGAACAAAGAAGCAATTCTTTCCCCATCTGTCTTCTTAAAGCTTTTTCCATTTGCCTTATTGCTAGCCTGTTCTATTCCTTCCTTCTCTTCTCCTCCCCTCTCCCCTCTCCCCTCTCTCCATTCAGTCTCGCTCTGTCGCCCAGGCTGGAGTGCAGTGGTGGGATCTCAGCCCACTGCAACCTCTGCCTCGCAGGTTCAAGCGATTCTCCTGCCTTAACCTCCCGAGTAGCTGGGACTACAGATGCCTGCCACCACGCCTGGCTAATTTTTCTATTTGTAGTGGAGACGGGGTTGCGCCAAGTTGGCCAGGCGGGTCATGAACTCCTGCTCATCCTTCAAATGGAGAAAACTGTGTGCTGAAAAGTAACCTGTTACACCAGGGACCTTTTTTTTTTTTTTTTTTTTTTTTTTTTAAAGAAACAGTCTCACTGTCACCCAGACTGGAGTTTAGTGGTGTGATCATAGCACACTGCAGCCTCAGACTCCTCCTGGCTCAAGCAGCCCTCCTGCCTCAGCCTCCCCAGTAGCTGGGACTATGGACTCATGCCACCAAACCCAGCTATTTTGTGTTTTGCTCTTGTTGCCCAGGCTGGAGTGTAATGGTGCAATTTCGTCTCACTGCAACCTCTGCCTCCCGGGTTCAAGCGATTCTCCTACCTCAGCCTCAGTAGCTGGGATTACAGGCATCCGCCGCCACACCTGGCTAATTTTGTAGTTTTGGTATTTTTAGTAGAGGAGGGGTTTCTCCATGTTGGTCAGGCTGGTCTCGAACTCCTGACATCAGGTGATCTGCCTGCCTCGGCCTCCCAAAGTGAAGCCCAGCTATTTTTTTTTTTTTTTTTAATTTTTTGTGGAGATGGAGTCTCCCTGTGTTGCCCAACTGGTCTCCAACTCATGGGCTGAAGTGATCTTCCCACTTTGGTCTCCCAAAATGCTGGGATTACAGGCGTGAGTCACCATGTCTGGCCTAATAAACTCGGAGATAACCAATTCGAAACAAATAGTTGATATGTTAATTGTAAAACACATACGCATTCTCTTAGATTGCATTGTTCCTTTAGGAGAAAGATGCATTCTTCTGTATGTTAAATGTTGTTGTATACAGCAAATATGATTCCAGCAAAATCCCTATATGTGATCACTAGCCTAAAACCACTCCTGTCAAGCAATCACTTTCAGCAAAGTCCTAATGGAAAGTTTCAGATTTCTCTCATAAAGTTAAAGTTCATGAGATTGTGCAAGTACTTGTTGACAAAGTTTTGAAAACTCAGGAAAAGTAGGTTTTTAATGTGTTGCTAGTAGATATAATAAATTGGTTTTAATTGTGATTTTTGATGTTGTGAGGTTTGGATTTTGTTCTTTTATATGTTCTTTCAGTCATCATTAAACATTTTTAGGTCTTGATTGAGGAGGTTGAAGTTAGAGTCAGTGCCTGAGACTGTGCAGTATTAAAATTATGAGAGGACTATGATATCTCATTTTTGGGTAAAATCTGTAAATTAACCCATTAGATGAGCACTCATTAACAGACATTGTTGCTAAGTATTGTTCTGAGATGAGAAATATGCAAGGATGATAGGTAGTAATTTTGAAATATATTTTTTAGTGTGTCTGAGCTCTCAGACCTACTCTAGTTGTAGTATTTTTGTATTCTTCAGCTAGTATTGTTAAGCTGCTTTGGGAAGCAAGTTCTGTTTTTGTTTTTGTTTTTTTGAGATGGAGTCTCACTCTGTCGCCCAGGCTGGAGTGTAATGGCACGATCTCGGCTCACTGCAACCTCCGCCTCCCAGGTTCAAGCGATCCTCCTGCCTGAGCCTCCCAAGTAGCTGGGACTGCAAGCATGCACCACCATGCTCAGCTAATTTTTGTATTTTTAGGAGAGACGGGGTTTCACCATGTTGGCCAGGCTGGTCTCAAACTCTTGACCTCATGATCCACCCGCCTCGGCCTCCCAAAGTGCTGGGATTACAGGAGTGAGCAACCTCGCCTGGCCAAGTTCTGTTTGTACTCGTTTCCATTAATGTAAGCAGTATTCTTGGAGGTCATGACTGTGTATAATAAATTCTTATCTGTTTGCAGAGCCTACCACTGATGTTTTGCAGAGTAATGAAAAGAAATGGTAGATTGAGATCTCATTCTTTGGTTTATTCATGGTGGTGTCACAGAACCCCAGTGTATTTAACAGAGCCCTAAAGTATATGACTTTGTGGCACCTGAATTGTATTATGTATGAGAAACTGATATATTTGCAAGATAGCAAATGTAAATAGGAGCTAGATAATATAAGAATCCTAATAGATACCCAAAAGACTCTGTTGGCTGGGTGTGGTGGCTCATGCTTGTAATCCTAGCATTTCAGGAGGCTGAGGCAGGAGAATCATTTGAACCCAGGTGTTTGAGACCAACCTGGCTAACATAAGGAGACCCTGTCTCTATAAAAAATAAAAAATTAGCCAGGCATGGTGGCATGCGCACAGCTATGGCCCTAGCTACTTGGGAGGCTGAGGTGGAAAGATCAGTTGAGTCTGGAGGTCACTACAGTGAGCTGTTATTGTGCCACTGTATTCCAGCCTGGGTGACGGAGCAAGTACCTTGTCTCAAAAAAAGAAAAGACTGTTGAATGACTTGGTTACTTCCTTTATTACTGTTGAAGTACTTGATGGATAAATTGTAGACAGCTAAAACTTTTTCTGGGTCTTCATGGCCAGTGAGTGAAGAAAGAAATGTTACTGTGGTATTCAGTAGATTCTGTTGGTTCTGAAAAGGGAGGAGGGTTACCTGAAGATGACTGAGTGCTTGCTCTGAAAGGGCTCACATGGATCCAGAATGACTCAGAGACTAAAAAGTTAATAAAAGGAAAGTATTCCTATTTCATTTTAGTTAATTAAAAATTGAGCTTAAAAACTTTAAAAGGAACAGTGCTGAATTAGTTTTTGAAAACTTTAGCCTTTTAAATTCTTTTTAGGTCCTAAGTTAAATTGATCTTGAAATGAAGATATTTCCTGTTTCTTAGATAAACCAGTGTTTTCGATTCGTGGTCTGTTTCTTCATGGACTCACGTGACTATAGTATTGGGGACTTTATTGGCCACAGATTTGTTGATGTTTCTTCTATATTTATTTATTTATAAAAACAAGATCTCACTCTTGCCCAGGCTGGAGTACAGTGGCACAATCGTAGCTCACTGCAACCTCAAACTCCTGGGTTTAGGGGAACCTCCTGCCTTAGCTTCCCAAGTAACTGGGATTACAGGTACATGGCACCACACTGAGCCAATTTTTTAAATTTTTTTATAGAGGCAGGGTCTCGCTTTGTTGCTCAGCCTGGTCTCAAACTCCTGGGCTCAAGCAATCCTCCTGCCTTGGCCTCCTCGAGAGTTGGGTTTACAAGTGTGAGTCACCATGCCCAACCCACACTAGGAAGTTGAGACTCATTGCTTAAGAAACTTGGCCGGGTGCGGTGGCTCACGCCTGTAATCCCAAAACTTTGGAAGGCTGAGGCTGGCAGATCACTTGAGGTCAGGAGTTCGAGACCAGCCTGGCCAACATGTTGAAACCCCATCTCTCCTAAAAATACAAAAATTAGTCAGGCGTGGTGGCACATGCCTGTAGTCCCAGCTACTCAGGAAGCCAACACAGGAGAATTGCTTGAATCTGGGAGGTGGAGGTTGCAGTAAGCCGAGATGGCGCCACTGCACTCCGGCCTGGGCGACAGAGCAAGACTCCATCTCAAAAACAGCAACAACAACAACAACAAAAAACGAAACTTGCTCAAGGTAACTAAAATGTAGATTTGAATCCAGTATAACCGAAAACTCACTGTTGCTCACATTCTTACCACCTTCATAGCTATCACCCTACTATACCAAGCCACTTTTCATCTCTTTCCCAGATTGCCCTGTTCACCTGACCAGTCAGCCTATTTCTCCATACAATCCATTTTCTACCCAATCGCTGAAATGTACCTTTTAGAACATAAGTCATACCCAGTCATTTTTCTGCTCTAAACTCTCTGATGGCTTCCCAACACATCTGGGAGCAGAAATGCCTAACCATGGTTTAACTTACTCTGGCCCCGTTCTCTGTTTTCCCACCACTGTCACTTTCATTCTAGCCATTGGCCTGTGTGCTGTTCTTCAGATATGTTGAGTGTACTCCCATCTCACATCTCATGGCCTTTTGTACCTGTTCCATCAACTTGGAATGCTCTTTCTTCAGACTTCTTTTTTCTTTTCTTTTTTTTTTTTTTTTTTGAGACAGAGTCTTGCTGTGTTTCTCAGGCTGGTCTAGAACTCCTGGCTGGCCTCAAGTGATACTTCTGCCTTGGCCTCCCAAAATGCTGGGATTATAGGCATGAGACACTGCCCCCTCACCTTCCTCAGGTTTTTACTTAATTTTCTCTTAGATCTCAGCTCAAATTTACCCCTGTAGGGAAGCCCTCCTAGTGAAAACTCAGCCCCATCATTTAGCCCCTTTTTCTGTTTTTTCCTTCTTCTTAACATTTAATACCTCTTAAAATCATATAATCACTATTTATTTATTTATTTATTTATTTATTTAAGACAGAGTCTCACTCTGTTGCATAGGCTGGAGTGCAGTGGCGTGATCTCCGCTCACTGCAACCTCCACCTTCCTGGTTCAAGTGATTCTTCTGCCTAAGCCTCCAGAGTAGCTGGGATTACAGGCTTGTGCCACCATGCCTGACTAATTTTTTGTATTTTTAGTTACAGACAGGGTTTCACCATATTGGCCAGGCTGGTCTCAAACTCCTGACTTAAAGTGATCTGCCCACCTTGGCCTCCCAAAGTGCTAGGATTGCACACATGAGCCACTGCGCATGACCCATATTGTTTACTTTTGTCTGTCTCTCTCAGTAGAATATAAACTTCATGAATGCCTAGACCTTGTCTGTGGTAGTCACTATATTTCTAGAATCTAGAAAAATATATGGCACATGAGTCCAAGGTATATCTAATTACTTGTCTCTTGAAAGATTTGTATTATACAAGTTCTGAGTAGGGTGGGAGCCATGTGTTTGTATAGGCTAGGCATTTACGTGGAGCAACTTCAAGCAGATACTTTAAAGATTAATTGGATATGGGTGGTAATGGGAGGAATTGAAAACATCTGAGATGTCTGTTTATGGAAGTAGTTCCTCAGTCACCTGGAGGTGGGGGCTAGGAGGGGAGAGAAACAGAAATTATATTCTTCTAAAGGTAGACGGGGGCAATCAGAGGAGCCAGTTGACAAGGCTGGGTTTTAATCATTTTGATTTTTAGAAAAAATCATTTGTTACAAACATGTCTTCATCATAGATTTCAAGGTATAAAGATGAGATTGGTATTCTGAATACTTCAGGTAAGAAAAGGTTTTGACGGTGGTAGTTGCATCACCAGTGTTAATACTTGTAGAGAAGGCAAGGATGATGAGAACTGAGGGGGAAAAATACTTTTATTTTTCTTCCTGAGACAGTTTCACTCTTGTCACCCAGGCTGGGGTGCAATGGCGCGATCTCAGCTCGCTGCAACCTCCGCCTCTCAGGTTCAAGCAATTATCCTGCCTCAGCCTCCCGAGTGGCTGGAATTACAGGTGCCTGCCACCATGCCTGGCCAATTTTTGTATTTTTAGTAGAGATGGGGTTTCACCATGTTGGCCAGGCTGGTCTTGAACTCCTGACCTCAAGTATTCCGCCCGTCTCAGCCTCCCAAAGTGCTGGGATTACAGGCATAAGTCACTGTGCCCGGCCTGGAAAAAGACTTGAATTTGGTTATTAGAAGTTTATTAGTGACATCTGGGTATACAGCTCGAGTTAGAGGAAGAAGCCAATTATAGAGGGTTAAAGAGAACATAGATGCTGTGTGCTTTTCTCAGTATGTTTTTGTTACAAAGATTGTTCTGCAGGGACATCACTTAAATCACATATAACAGTATCTTGTATCCCTAGTTGTGATGATGCCATAGATGTCTTGTTTCTACTTCTCTTTGGCTTCACGGTATTAAGCATGTAGTAGATGTGTTGAAAATAATAACTGTGTGAGTAAAAAAAAAAACGTACGGATGGCGTGTTCAAAACAGGCCGGGCGCAGTGGCTCACACCTGTAATCCCAGTACTTTGGAGGGCCAAGAAAGGAACAGGAAGATCACTTGAGTCCAGGAGTTTGAGACCACCCTGAGCATCATAGTGAGAGCCTCTCTCTTCCCCCAACCGCCACCCCCAGATATTAGCTGGGCATAGTGGCAAGAGCCTCTGGTCCCAGCTACTTGAGAGGCTGAGGTGGGAGGATTACTTGAGTCTGGGAGTGTGAGGATATAGTGAGCCATGATCATGCCACTGCGCTGCAGCCTGGGCGACAAGGTGAGACCCTGTCTCAAAAACAAACCAAACATTTATCAGTGAAAGGAAATAAATATAATACAATCTAAAGTAAGGGGTGTTTTGTTGTGTTTTGTTTTTGGATTGTTTGGAGACAGGAAGGAGCCAGTGGGAAGGGAAGGATGGTACTGAGCAAAATATGAGAGTTGAAGGAATAACGATTTGCAGTTATTTCCAGAAAGTGGTAAGAAGAAATGGGCTTATTTATTGTGGCTAAGGAGTTAACCTTAGAAAGGAGGTAGATCTCTTTCTCTGAGGTGCGATAGAAGTGAAAGTAGACATTGTGAGAGGTAAGAATATGAAGAAACCAATGACTTTCTCAGGTGATATCCTTAGAATGAGGTTTAGTGAATGAGGATTGGGGACCTTAAGGAGGTAGAAGAATTGCAATAACTATTGTGTGAGAATCATGCCAAGGAGTCAAAAGAATACCTCAAGTTTTACCAGATAGCAGTGAAAGTGAGTCTTGATTATTTTGGAAAGGATTATCTCTAGATAGTACATCTGTTGTAGAGCTTAACTTCAGAAACTTAATGTCCATAATAATGTCGGCATATTTTGGATTGGATTGCTATTATTACTTCTATATTTACCTATTATTCCAGCTATTTTTCAGACTGTGAAATGGTGATGTAGATGAGTTTCACTAGAAAATTTGTCATGCAAATACTAATTTTACTCATTCAGACTTTGTGGATTACAAATGTTTTAATATAAAATTTTTTGTTTTTTTTTTGAGATGGAGTCTCCCTCTGTTGCCCAGGCTGGAGTGTAGTGGCGCGATCTCGGCTCCCTGCAAGCTCCGCCTCCCGGGTTCATGCCATTCTCCTGCCTCAGCCTCCTGAGTAGCTGGGGCTACAGGCGCCGGCCACCACGCCCGGCTAATTTTTTGTATTTTTAGTAGAGACAGGGTTTCACCATGTTAGCCAGGATGGTCTCGGTCTCCTGACTTCGTGATCCGCCCGCCTCAGCCTCCCAAAGTGCTGGGATTACAGGCGTGAGCCACCGCGCCCGGCCAACATAAAACATTTTTAATGTTGCTTACATTGGAAAAACTTGAAGAAAATTGTAATCTGGTATCAAATGAGGGTTTTTGACTGTATAATTTTTAATTTATCATTGTATATTATAATTTAATCGTATATAATTTTGTAATTAAAGATCACAAATTCTTCAAATGGTGAAGAGGTTTTTTTTCATACCTTAAAATTTAATATTTAATATCTGGATAGAGAGAGGAATAGATTGAAGCACTGGAGTTTCTGAAAAATATTGAGATTGCTTTTTATTTATTTATTTATTTATTTAGAGATGGAGTCTTGCTCTGTTGCCCAGGCTGGAGTGCAGTGGCACGATCTCGGCTCGCTGCAAGCTCCACCTCCCGGGCTCACGCCATTCTCCTGCCTCAGCCTCCCAAGTAGCTGGGAGTACAGGCGCCTGCCACCATGCCCGGAGAATTTTTTGTATTTTTAGTGGAGACGGGGTTTCACCATGTTAGCCAGGATAGTCTCGATCTCCTGACCTTGTGATCCACCCACCTCGGCCTCCCAAAGTGCTGGGATTACAGGCGTGAGCTGCCGCGCCCGGCCGAGGTTGCTTTTTAAGTAGTAAAGATTTTAGAGTTGAGGAGATAACTTGAGGAGAGCTATGTCAATCTTTTATTCAATTATTTTATTTTTATTCATTTTTATTTTTAATTTATAAATTAATTTTTTAATTTTAAATAATAGAAATGGGGTTTTGCCATGTTGCCTAGGCTAGTTTTGAACTCCTAGACTCAAGTGATCCGCCTTCCTTGGCCTCTCAAAGTGCTAGGATTACAGGCGTGAGCTGCTGCGTCCAGCCTCCTTTATTCTGTTTTTATGAGAAAAAGTCAAGTTATAAAAATTTAAAATTTAGAGTAAATACAAATTTTACACTCTTATTAGTTTCCATTTTTCAAGAGACTTGTTCTTTGATAACCCTAAGGTCATTATAATAAAAATTAGGATTAGCTCTGCAAGTCAACTGTAAGTTTCAGATTGTTTCCATTCTTTCTTAACCATCTTCTTCTGCCCCCATCTTTAAAAAAAAAAGGCAGTAGGCTTTATGGCTCTAAAATCAAATGCTTATGTTGGATTCTAATAAGGGGGTTTTATTTCAGGTATTTGTAGGCAAAATACCAAGGGATTTATATGAGGATGAGTTGGTGCCCCTTTTTGAGAAGGCCGGACCCATTTGGGATCTACGTCTTATGATGGATCCACTGTCCGGTCAGAATAGAGGGTATGCATTTATCACCTTCTGTGGAAAGGAAGCTGCACAGGAAGCCGTGAAACTGGTATGTGATAATTATCCACTGTCTTAGCAAGTCACTATTTGAGGAAATAAACTTTAATTCAAAAATGTTTGTAGTTAACATTATTTTGATTTCTTCAGTTGTTGCTTGGAATGTTTTTATACTGACCAAGTTGGTATGTGACGTTTATTTTTCTCTGACTATAAAAGTAAAAAAGAACTGAAAATACCCAAAAAGTAATGTTTTATAGAAAGTCTCCCATTGATTTAAGAAGTTATCTATTAGATTGATATCAGAAGTTTCATATGAGTATTTGGCTTATGCATTTCTGTCTTTTGGTTTTAGGCAAAAGGATGTCAATTCTTGATGTTAAACTTTAGGATTCTTAAAGTATAATGAAGACTGGAATGGGCTGTGGGGAACATAATAGTGGATGACAGTGACTTAGGATTCAATTCAGAAAATAGTTGTGAATCTGTTTTATTTTGGTTACAGCCTACTCATACGATTTATTTCATATTTTCTAAGTGTATTTTTGTTCTTCCTGTATGTTTCTTGGCCCTTGAGTCTTCTCTGTCTTTAATCTTTCTCTCCTCTCCTACTATTTATAGCCAGTCTCATATTAATTTCCTTTCTCTAGGGCCTTTAACCACTTGGTGCTCATTTCAGACCAGTAGTAGTAGCAACAAAGTTCTGCAAATCAAATGTATCTTCACTCCTGCTGTATTTAAGACACAGCTATCTCAGTATCTTAAAATAACAATGTAATTATTTTTTGGCATACCCTTGCCTGACTTCTGAGGACCTCACTAAGTCTAGTTCTAGCCTTTGTAGAATGGTCAACTTCTTTCATCAAGGCTTTGGTTTCATTACTGGTGTCTGAATTAGTTCCACTCCTAGCTTGACCCAGATTTTAGTTTTTATTATGGATTTTTTCTTCAAACTTGTTTATTTAATATTAAGTTTTCATTTTTGGCAGCATATGGATGATTTTATTTTTAATAATCATATCTCTTAGTAAACTAATGGTTAAATAATATTAAAGTATAAGAAGCTAAAATTGGCCAGGTGTGGTGGCTCACGCCTGTAATCCCAGCACTTTGGGAGGCTGAGGCAGGCAGATCACCTGAGGTCAGGAGTTCAAGATCAGCCTGGCCAACGTGGTGAAACCCTGTCTTTACTAAAAATACAAAAATTAGCTGGGCGTGGTGGCGCACGCCTGTAGTCCCAGCTACTTGGGAGGCTGAGGCAGGAGAATCACTTCAACCCAGGAGGTGGAGGTTGCAGTGAGCAAAGATCATGCTACTGCCCTCCAGCTTGGATGACAGAGCGAGACTCCATCTTAAGAAAAAAAAAAAAGGGCTACAATTTATCAAGAAAATCCACTATAGTGATTTAAATAAAACATTTTTCAAAATTTTATAAAATTTTGAAAGTATTGTGTTTGGTAGACAATTTAAAACTATATATTTAGAATTCTGTGACTTCTGTAGAATTTGAAATTTTTCTAATATCTTTGCATTGATTAAACATAGTTGTTACCCTTTACATATTGTTATTTTGAGTATGGCTTACCTATATGCAATTACATTTCCAAGGACCCTGAATGATCAGTCTCAGGTATTTTTTTCTGAAAAATCTGTGGAAAAACATTTTCAGATAGATAAAATTAAAATATGAAATAAGATATTTTAAACAATAAAGTGAGTCCTTTTTATATGGAAGAGTAGTGAAGGTTAACAAAACCAAACTAAAACAAGAGACTGTAACAATGAAGTTTAAAATATACATTCATATTATGGAAAGCATGAGGGAACTTGGTGAGTTGATGAAGCAGGGAGCGTTTGGCCTTAAATTGTTGAATTTTTTAGATTAAGATCAATTGTCCTGAGTTTGGGGTGGTTTTGGGGTCTCTGGTTCTTTTCTTATTGCAGTGTGACAGCTATGAAATTCGCCCTGGTAAACACCTTGGAGTGTGCATTTCTGTGGCAAACAACAGACTTTTTGTTGGATCCATTCCGAAGAATAAGACTAAAGAAAACATTTTGGAAGAATTCAGTAAAGTCACAGGTAAAACAAAAATGTATTTAGAAATTACTTTTGCGAAATATGTTGTACTACTTACAAGTGCTCAAAAAAACTGAGGGGTTGTATGTATTAAATTAAGAATTCAGGTCTGAAGTATCTAAATTGCTTCCTTTCTGCTTTATAGTGGTTTGGGTTTAAGCAAGTTCCCTTATATCCTTCATTTCTTGGAATGTCCCCTTCACTTCTTTGTCTTAATTGAACCTTGGCTTTTGCTGGAGCTTTTGCTCTATAGCCCTCAAGTGAATGCTTTTTTTCCCCTTGACAATTAGTGTATTTTAGGACCAAGAGGATGAAAGTTTTTACTCTCTCCCTGCTGCCTTGTCTAGATCAGATTTTTTTTTTTTTTGAGACGGAGTTTCGCTCTTGTTGCCTAGGCTGGAGTGCAATGGTACGATCTCGGCTCACTGCAACCTCCGCCTCCTTGGTTCAAGCAATTCTCCTGCCTCAGCCTCCCGAGTAGCTGGGACTAGCATGTGCCACCACGCCTGGCTAATTTTGTATTTTTAGTAGAGACGGGGTTTCTCTATGTTGGTCAGGCTAGTCTAGAACTCCCGACCTCTGGTGATCCTCCCGCCTCGGCCTCCCAAAGTGCTGGGATTACAGGCGTGAGCCACAGTGCCTGGCTGATCAGATTTTTTTAAATATCCAATTCTAAATCCATGGAATTGATTGAGAAGTAGATTTTATATCACAGTTCTATACACATTTATATATAACTGAAACAATTTAACAAAACTGTACTTTTATTTATTATACATGATTTATTTTGATATTTCTTATTCTATTTCATTTTTTAAAATGCCAATTGTGATCTAATACTACCTATGATTTAAAAACACTGCGTTAGACCGCTGCCTCCCCTTGTAAAAACCACTGTTTCTTTACATTTTTATCATCCAGACATATCCTTTCCCTTTTGTTGAAGCTGTCATTCGTTGCTCTTGTGGTTTCAGCCTTTCATTAATCTAAAGATTGCTTCTGGCTCACTGTCTTCCTCTTCTGCCCTAAATTGGCTTCTTTCTAATACCTTTAACATCTACATTGGTGAACCATCCAGGGCTTTAGACTCCTACCTACTTCTATGTCTACCTCATCTTTAGTCCTTTACTTCAGCTCCACCATATCCAGATTACATTCTGGATCTAGTCACCAGAAATTCTATGCACTCTGAACTCTTGATTTCTAGCGTCCCACTTTGTAACCACTGCTACCACCCGCTATATTGTGTTGTCAAGTATTGTGTTGTCAACTGCTGGCACAGTTCTTTGACCTCATCACTTTATTATCTATAGCTCCTTCTGGCTTCATGATCATTTATTCATTCTTTCAGCAGGTGTTTATTAAAGTTCCTGTTAAGTGCTGGCATTGTGCTATGTGCCTGGGATACACTGATGGCTAAGAGACATATTCTCTGCTTTCATAGATCCTATATCCTGAGAAAGGAGATAAGACCAAGAATATAAAAAATAAAAATTAAAGGAATATTTAGACATTGTGATAAGACACTGAAGCAGGAAATACAGGATATTTAGCTAGAGAATAGCTACTATCCCTGTTTCCATGGTTTTGGAAGACTTTTCTGATAAGATGACATGTCAACCAGCACCTGAAGGATGAAGAGGTTGTAGCATACAAAGAGCAAAAGGAAGTGCATTCCAAGACAGCAACACGTGCCAAGGTTCCAAGGCAAGAAAGAAGTCAGTATATTACAGTAACTGAGGAGGCCAGTATTATTAAAAGGTAGAATTAGGAGTAGAGTTGTATGAAATGAAGTAGGCAGGGCTTCTGTAGGCCATGTAAGGAGTTGGGTTTTTATTGTATATATAATGAGAAGGTATTTAAAGGTTTTAAGCAGGAAATAACACCTATTTCTTGTTTATGGGATATTATTCCTAGCGCTCTGTGGATAGGGGCTTGGAGAGAAGGGGTGTGAGTGGAAGCTGATAAATTAGTTGAAGCTGTCATACTAGTACAGATACAGGATTAGACTAGGGTAATAGCAGTGGAGATAGAAAGAAGTAAATGAGTTTGGAATTGGATAGGAGAGATGAAGGAAGAAATCAAGAATGGCTAACCAATTTCTGGCTTCAGAACCAGGTGGATGGCACTGTTTATTAGATAGGAAGTCTAGGGAAGGCAGATTTTGGCCATGGTGGTTCAGTTTTGGAAAAGTTAAATTTGCAATGTCTAAGACATCAAAGAGGATACATCGGGTAAGAACGTAGGCACATCTAGAGCTTAGAGAAGTCTGGGGTAGGAAAAAAATCTAAGTATTTATAAGGGTATAGGTAACATTTAAAAGTAGGGCTAGCTGACATTATTTAGAAAGAACACATACGGAGAGATAAGGGCAAAGGACTAAGACCAGAGGAACACTAATATTTAGTGATCACTTCCATTCTTGGTAAAAATAGTAACTTTTAAGTTAGCTTCAAGGAAGATTTTTGGCCATGATTAGTTGTCAAAAGTTAGTTCTCTTGGGTTTATATTACTAATTTTGTTTTTAAGATCCTTGTTAGTGCTTTAATAAAGTCATGTTATATCAAACGCTCTAAAACATTGTAGCATGTTAAATGTCAGAATATAGTAGATTTGTTGTATATGGCTGTACCTTCAGAACCCCTAAAATTAAAAAGGAACATCAAATACTGTCCCAAACCCCATATCTAATTATGTTGATCTAATTGTCTACAAAATTAGTGACTCATGTTGAGGCTGCTTCACTTATATTTTGCTCATCGTCAAGTGGATTTAGGTCTGCCTAATCGCTAGATGTGTGGTGGATGCTTTTGGCTTATATATCTGGCTGTTGGTTTAACAGAGGGTTTGGTGGACGTTATTCTCTATCATCAACCCGATGACAAAAAGAAGAATCGGGGGTTCTGCTTCCTTGAATATGAGGATCACAAGTCAGCAGCACAAGCCAGACGCCGGCTGATGAGTGGAAAAGTAAAAGTGTGGGGAAATGTAGTTACAGTTGAATGGGCTGACCCTGTGGAAGAACCAGATCCAGAAGTCATGGCTAAGGTAAATACAGTTGCTTGGAATGGGCATAGGGTCATCATTTAAATTTTGTACTCAGAATAAAGCTCAAATATTTTGAGTTTTATGATAAATAGAAATTGTAGCTTTAGACTTCAACTGTTTGGCAAGGAGCGGCTTTAACACTAAAGTTAACAGCCTGTCTTGGTATCCAGGAATTTCCATTAACAATCCCTTTTCCTGCAGATTAAATGTGCAAAAGGAACTGAAATGAAATTCCTTCAATTAAGTAGTCCCATACACACTGGGTGTTTGTTTAGTGCTAGGCACTGTGAGGGATAGAGGTTTTTTTTTTTTTTAAAAGTCCTGAGTAAAGAGAGAAGTAATGTTTTGGAGATTATAAGTTATAATCTTCATTGACTATATTATGACTTTATTACTTGGCCATGAATTATGTTTTATTTAGATTTATAGCTAATTTTTCTTTTTTTAAGCTTTTTTTGTAGTTTTTATTTTTAAAAATATTTTATTTATTATTATTATTTTTTGAGACAGAGTCTTGCTGTGTTGCCCAGGCTGGAGTGCAGTGGTACGATCTCGGCTCACTGCAACCTCCACCTCCCAGGTTCAAGCGATTCTCCTTCCTCAGCCTCCCAAGTAGCTGGGACTACAGGCGCCTGCCACCATGCCCGGCTAAATTTTGTATTTTTAGTAGAGACAGCATTTCACCATATTGCAGGCTGGTCTCGAACTCCTAAGCTCATGATCTACCCGCCTTGGCCTCCCAAAGTGCTGGGATTAAGGCATGAGCCACCGTGCCCCGCCTCTTGTTTTTAAATGATCAGATTCCCTTAGTGTATTGTCCCCATGAAGAAAGGCAAAAGATTGTCATGTTTGCTCTTATTTGTTAGTGGCAAAATATGCATGGCAAGTCCTGTAAAGGGCCCTCAATTCCCTCCTGATTCCTGTACTTGCGTTGCCAGGATCTTAATAGTGGTGCCTTGAGTACTGGTTCTTAAGTTTTCCTTTGGGCGACTCCTGGGACACATCAGAGTTGCATTTCTTTTTTTTTGAGATGGAGTCTTGCTTTGTCCCAGGCTGGAGTGCAGTGGCGCGATCTCCACTCACGGCAAGCTCTGCCTCCTGGGTTCACGCCATTCTCCTGCCTCAGCCTCCCAAGTAGCTGGGACTACAGGTGCCCGCCACCACAGCTGGCTAATTTTTTGTATTTTTAGTAGAGACGGGGTTTCACCATGTTAGCCAGGGTGGTGTCCATCTCCTGACCCTGTGAACCGCCCGCCTCGGCCTCCCAAAGTGCTGGGGTTACAGGTGTGAGCCACTGCGCCCGGCCTCAGAGTTGCATTTCTGCTGCTTGCAATGAGCTCTTGAGCATTTTAGTTGTCTCTTCCCTTCACAGGGAGGCAGCAACTCTGAATGGCCATGAGTTAATGGTTGGATTCTTCTTGATAAGTCAGAAGTCAAGGTTTTTATTCCAGAATTTGAGGAGGCAAACCCTCGTTCTAAGTAGTTTGGAGGAGAACTCTGGTTTATACTTGTATAAAGTCTGGGTTGGCAGTGACATCTTTGGGTTAATCAGATAAGTTCTATTCAGAATGAACCAGAGAGGCTCTCAGAAGTGCTACTCAGTATCTTTTATCTCATATTCCTTGAGTAGATGGGTGTCTAGGAAAGGGATAGAGAATTTAAATAGCTCTGAGTTTTTATTTTGATTTTTTACTAGCTTGATTTTAATTCCTATTGTTTCTTCTCCTAATACAACTATGACTTTGGGTAAACTACTGAACATGAATGTCATCTATTTTATTGAGCCTGGATCAATCTCTAAGATCCACCACAACTTTGAATCTACCTGTAGTAACTAAGTATAGCCTGTATTACTTTTTCTGTAAAAATATTTTAAAATAGTATTATAGATGTATTATAATAGAGGAATAAAATATTATAAAAGAGGAATAAAATCCCATGAAAACCAAAAGTATAGCTTGTAATTTGCTTACCAGCCACTTCTCACATAACCTTTAGTAACTGCTCAGATGGAAGTTCATCCTAATCTTTTTTTAGGGTTAGAAAACTTCAAGATTTCATTCTGGTAACTCCTTTTTCCTAGATCTAAAACAGGTTTCAGAATGAAAAGGAGGTCTCTATAAACTTAGGATTAAATATTATGGAGCCCTTTATTGTTTCTTTTTTTTAAAAGATGGGGTCTCATGTTGCCCAGGCTGGAGTGCAGTAGCTGCCCACATGTGCAGTCATAGCACACTGCAGCCTTGAACTCCTGGGCTTAAGCGTCCCTCCTGCTTCAGCCTCCCGGGTGCTTGCAACCCCATCCAGCTCCTTTATTGTTTCCTAATTGAAAAGAAAAGTTTATCCATTTGAGTAAAGCTTCTGTTATTCACACTATCAATTTACAATTCACTGAAGATTTTTTTTGCCAAGTTGGGTCAGTTTTACAATGTACCATAACCTAAAAGCCTAAATATATGTCTCTTAAAGGGACCCTTTTTCCTGTTGAACATTTTAAACACAATTTCAGTAAGTAATTTTCACATAGTATGTTATCGTTTCATCATAGAAAAGTCCATGTTGAATTTTTTTTAAAAAGCAACTAAACCAGTGGGAGTCTGTGTAACATAGAGGCTGGACCTTAGTATGACAAATTGAGAATAATAAAGGGGATGGAGCGTTTGTGGAAAATGTTAGTTTTTTTCCTCCTTAAATTAGTATCTTCTTATTAGATAGCCCTTTATCTGAAGCAACAATTTGTTCAATATGTTAGTTTTTTATTTGGATAGGTACTATGTTTTCTTAGTTCAAAAGTTATATAGAAAAGTATAGACAAAGAAATTTCCTTTCTACCCCTATCCCTGTGTCTACCAAATCCCCTTTGTCTCCTATAAGGCATCCAGTTTTAATAGTTGCTGGTTTCCTTTTAGTATTTCCTTCGGCAAATATGGATATACTTCCTTAATTCTTAGATGAGTGGTAGTAATGTTGGTAGCCTACCATATCCACTGATCTACCTTTTGTTTATTCACCATCCTGTTTCATCAGCTCTGAGGAAATACATCATTACTATATGTACTACTAAATAGTTAAAAAACACTGCCAACTAAACTATGGCACAGTACTTGCTTATCACATTGACTGTAAGTTGTCCTATCCTACAACTCATAGAGCTCCTCTTCATTTTTTGGGTTTTTGTTTTTTTTTTTTTTTTTTTTTTTTTTGAGACGGAGCCTTGCTCTGTCACCCAGGCTGGAGTGCAGTGGTGTAATCTTGGCTCACTGCAGCCTCTGCCTCCCGGGTTCAAGTGATTCTCCTGCCTCAGCTTCCCGAGTAGCTGGGGTTATAGGTGCCTCCTACCACGCCCGGCTAATTTTTGTATTTTTAGTAGAGACAGGGTTTCACCATGCTGGCCAGGCTGGTCTTGAACTCCCAACCTCAGGTGATCTGCCCACCTCGGCCTCCCAAAGTGCTGGGATTACAGGCGTGAGCCACCGCGCCCAGCCCTCTTCTTCATTTTTTATGACTACATAGTAGTCTATTCTGTGGAGGTACTATAGTGTATTTAACCAGCTGGATATTGTTTCTAATCTTTTGCTCTTACAGTGCTGGAAGGAATAAGCTTATGTTAGTTGATACAAGTGGAGATATATCTGTAGGATAGATTCTTAGGGGTAGAATTGTGGGCCAAAGGGTAGATATATCTGTAATTGTTAAGATACTGCCATATTCCTTTCTGTAGGAGATACACTATTTTACATTCCTACCAGCAAAATACAAGAGAATTATTTTCCTCATTCTTGACAAAATAGTGTATAATCAAACTTTTGAATTTTGCCAGCCTGATAACAAATGTCTCAGTGCCATTAATGATTAATGATTTGCTTCTCTTACTATGAATGGTTTGAACTTTAAATATATTTTAAGAGCCATATGTGTTTCTGTGTATGAACCATGTATTCAGGAATTTTGCCTATTTTTCTATTCAGTTGTTGAGCTTTTTGTTATTTTCTGGTGCTCTGATATAAAAGAGAGATTAGCTGTTTGTGATACATGTTGCAAATTTTTCATCCATATTTATTGTCTTTGCTTATAGTATTTTTTTGCCATATAGAAGTCATTTATTTTTAGTAGTTGAGTATAACATTCTTATGGCTCCTAGATTTTAAGTCATAAGGTCATCCCCACTCCAGTGTTATATAAAGGAATCATTCTTGTTCTAAAATTTCACAGTCCTCCCTCCACCCTTTTATTATTTAAATTTTCAATCTATTTGGAGTTTATCCTTGTGTATAGTGTAAGGCATGGACCAGCTTTTCTCCTTTTTTTCTAATTTAACACTACCTGATTTAATGATTTAAGCATTATAGTTTGTTTATATTTGGTAGGGCCAGCCTCTAAATTTCACTCTTTTTTTTCCTGGTTATTCTTGCTTATTTATTTTTTCATATGAACTTTTGAAAGTTACTCAGTTTTAGAGGAAAGAAACAGAAAAACTTGTTTTGAAAGGGACTTTTTGTTGATTAACTTGGTAATAATAATTATGTGTTGGTTCCTTGAAGGTTCTACTCAGTGTTAGGTGCTTTAATGACAACATAGGAGAAGGCAGGAACCAATAATTTTTGTAAATTGGTGACTGATATCAGTGTCATTTTCCTAGCAATTTCTCTTACTACCTGTAACAACACTTTTAGCACTTAATGTTTTAGAGGAGAAAAGCTATGCTATGAAGACAGGAAGAAACACTTTTCAGGTAAAATTAAGTAGCCAATGACGGTTTTGTTTATTTGTTGCTTACTAGGTAAAAGTTTTGTTTGTGAGAAACTTGGCTACTACGGTGACAGAAGAAATATTGGAAAAGTCATTTTCTGAATTTGGAAAACTCGAAAGAGTAAAGAAGTTGAAAGATTATGCATTTGTTCATTTTGAAGACAGAGGAGCAGCTGTTAAGGTAGGAATTTTGAAATTTTGGTTCTTGATATTTGAATTTTGTTTTTGAAACTTGCCAAACACAAAGTAACTTTAAAAACTGAAACAATATTGGTTGTCAGCTTTTGCTGAACTCTTTCTATTTAATCTCTGTAAAGTGGTAATAGTATGTAACAGATAAGACTCCATATTTCAAAGCCAGGTTATTACTGAGTTTGTGATCTTAGGCAAGTTATTTTTAATCTCTGTATTGTTTTGTAAGATTCGATAGCATGATGCCTTGGAAGTATTACAAGGTATAAAAATTAGCTGCTGTAAACACTGAATAGGTAATGAATGCATTATAACTACTTAGTTGACCTCAGTTTGTGTACCTATGAAGGAAACTGAGTGGTGTACATGACTCATACAGTATACCATGTTTAATTGAGTAGATAGATTTTGAGGGTATGATTAGTTTTACCTTTATTTAATCATTTTAGAGTTAAAATAGCATTCACTATGTTTTACTGATTTCGGTAATTGTTAGAGATATCACTTGTGTATAATAGTTGATTTAGTCTTTGATGATAATGAAAAGTTTGAAGAAAGTATTTTCATATGGTATCTGGAACACAAAACCTGCTTTCTATCGACAATGGTTTAGGACTATCTTTAATGGGTGAAATTTTCAGTTTCTTTTTTTTATTCATCTCTCCTTCCTTGGGGGGGTGGGAGCAAGACAAAACACTACTAAAATCTTATTTATGTTATTAGGAAGATAGATCCAGAATGCTTAGTGACACAGGCATGGTTCTTTTTCTGCATGTTTGGTCGGTGGGATACTGCCATCTCTAATCTGAGCATTTTTTGGTTTTGTTTTTTGCCCAGGCTACTGCTTTTAAAACAGGCTTTATAGAATCCCTGATTGGTTTATAATTAATTGGCTTGCTCATTGATGGTAGCTAATTAATGAGGCAGTATTGTTCATAAAATTCATAACTTGTCCAAGATCACAAACTCAGTAATAATCTGGCTTTGAAGTATGGAGTCTTATCTGTTATGCTGTTATACTCTTATCCGTTCATTTGTGGCTTCTGAAATTTCACTGGTATAGAATGCAGATAACTAATAATTTTATGCTGTCTAAATATTCCTCCTGACTCGACTGGTTTCAAATAACTGGTTGTCCTGATTGAAAATATTTATAGGATGGTTTGCCAAAGAAGCCTATGAAATTATAAAATATCTAGTCCAGGAACTGGGAGTCACCAGGATGGTCAGGGCAGAGGGTAGATGTTTCATTTTTTAATTTATGCCAGGAAGCTTTTGTAAACTTGTTTAGTTGCTTTAACTGAAGCAACGCAAAGCTGAGGTGGTAAAAGGGAAAATTGCAGTCTTGAGGACTAGTTTCGTTTTTGTCTAGATACTTATAAATCACTGATAGCTCCAATAGAACATTTTTTTATGTGTGCCCAGAGTGGGGAAAGGTATAGGGAAACAAAAAATAAAATATCATGAGGAGGTGACATTTTGTTACTGAGTACCTGAACCTTTTGATGTATGGCAGAGGTTGTTAGGTGGAACAACGTGAACAAAGGGCTAGAACATGGAATGTTTGATTACTGCTTTCTACATAATTGCTTGAGTCTTCATTAGTCCAGGCCTTTTCTGGCTCTGTACTTTTAACTGTTCAAGCAAAGTACATTTTGGGTTAAGCATTGTGAGGGAAACCTAGGCTTTTTTGTGTTAGTATCTTCTTGAATTTTACAGATAATCTCACTCAGTAACCTCATTTGTGCTTCAAATCCTTGAAATTGTCGTATAAGAACAGTGGAAGACCTGTATGTTGTATGCTACATGTTTATTTTAAAATTCTAATCCTGAGAAGTTAATCTTTGTCTGGCTCGTATTAATACTGGCATTTTTCCCCGGTATGGATTTGCTTCTTTGGTATGGCTTATCTTTTAAGGAGTTATTTGGAATTAAGGAGCAGCAATAGGTGGCAGCCCTTTTACCTTTTAAAATATAATATCAGGTGGTCGGTTTTGTTCTAAATGTAATTTATGTATAAAAAGATAAGGTCAAGGGAAACGTATTTTCTTTGTGTGTTTGTGTTTAACTTTCTGGCTAGATTCACCTTTTGCCATTTAAAATAATTGTGAAGTAAATTGTTAAGTGTATTAAATTACACAAGTATAATAGCTTACATACTATATAAAACAAAATACAGTTTTATATCGTTGTAAAATAATTTTTCTAATTTTTTATAGGCTATGGATGAAATGAATGGCAAAGAAATAGAAGGGGAAGAAATTGAAATAGTCTTAGCCAAGCCACCAGACAAGAAAAGGAAAGAGCGCCAAGCTGCTAGACAGGCCTCCAGAAGCACTGCGTGAGTCTACATTTTAGTAGATATATCTTTGGACAAGGAATAACGTGATAATGGAGATCAGATTAATAAAACAAAATCAGAGTCTTGAAGCAAACTGATTTGTTTTTTCTTTTCTCCCTTCTCTACTTTGCTAGGTATGAAGATTATTACTACCACCCTCCTCCTCGCATGCCACCTCCAATTAGAGGTCGGGGTCGTGGTGGGGGGAGAGGTGGATATGGCTACCCTCCAGATTACTACGGCTATGAAGATTACTATGATGATTACTATGGTTATGATTATCACGACTATCGTGGAGGCTATGAAGATCCCTACTACGGCTATGATGATGGCTATGCAGTAAGAGGAAGAGGAGGAGGAAGGGGAGGGCGAGGTGCTCCACCACCACCAAGGGGGAGGGGAGCACCACCTCCAAGAGGTAGAGCTGGCTATTCACAGAGGGGGGCACCTTTGGGACCACCAAGAGGCTCTAGGGGTGGCAGAGGGGGTCCTGCTCAACAGCAGAGAGGCCGTGGTTCCCGTGGATCTCGGGGCAATCGTGGGGGCAATGTAGGAGGCAAGAGAAAGGCAGATGGGTACAACCAGCCTGATTCCAAGCGTCGTCAGACCAACAACCAACAGAACTGGGGTTCCCAACCCATCGCTCAGCAGCCGCTTCAGCAAGGTGGTGACTATTCTGGTAACTATGGTTACAATAATGACAACCAGGAATTTTATCAGGATACTTATGGGCAACAGTGGAAGTAGACAAGTAAGGGCTTGAAAATGATACTGGCAAGATACGATTGGCTCTAGATCTACATTCTTCAAAAAAAAAAATTGGCTTAACTGTTTCATCTTTAAGTAGCATTTTGCTGCCATTTGTATTGGGCTGAAGAAATCACTATTGTGTATATACTCAAGTCTTTTTATTTTTCCTCTTTTCATAAATGCTCTTGGACATTATTGGGCTTGCAGAGTTCCCTTATTCTGGGGATTACAATGCTTTTATCGTTTCAGGCTTCATTTTAGCTTCAAAACAAGCTGGGCACACTGTTAAATCATGATTTTGCAGAACCTTTGGTTTTGGACAGTTTCATTTTTTTGGATTTGGGATAGATTACATAGGAGTATGGAGTATGCTGTAAATAAAAATACAAGCTAGTGCTTTGTCTTAGTAGTTTTAAGAAATTAAAGCAAACAAATTTAAGTTTTCTTGTATTGAAAATAACCTATGATTGTATGTTTTGCATTCCTAGAAGTAGGTTAACTGTGTTTTTAAATTGTTATAACTTCACACCTTTTTGAAATCTGCCCTACAAAATTTGTTTGGCTTAAACGTCAAAAGCCGTGACAATTTGTTCTTTGATGTGATTGTATTTCCAATTTCTTGTTCATGTAAGATTTCAATAAAACTAAAAAATCTATTCAAAACATTACCTATTTCAAATTCAATTGTGTCCTAAAACATTATTTTATTCGTAATCCTTGCAAGGAATATTGTTTTCAAAGTATAACTGCCTATGTGAGTGATCAAATTCATGCAAAATTTCTTGTTTATTCCAACATGTGTTGTGGATATTAGACTGAGGATTAGTCTAAATTCAAGTATTTATTCCAATTAGCACTTTCATTGATTGGTGTTCTCTCATAGTCTCTTCTAATTTTGAAATTTTATCTTTTATTAAAAAAAAAAAAACAGGTTCATAGACTTTTGAGCATTCTTGCAGGCATTGGATAATTTGCATTAAAACAAATAAAATGTGGCTGGGAAAGCAGACTGCAATTTATTTTGACCCACATTCTTTATAAGGGATAATTTGTGACTGAAGACCTTATTTGCTGGATAAGTGAATGTACATACAGGGAAAATTGTTAGTACTGTGGCGTCAATTGCACTGCGGACTTTAGTTTTAGTGAAAATGATCGTGACTACCATTTCAGTTACTGGTTTAGGAATATAATTTCCTATTACTATGTAAATTTGCTTTGAGAAACATTCATGCCTTGTAAGAGAGGCTTAAAAATATCCAGTAGTAATACCTTTGACTTTCTGTTAACACTTCGTTTATTTTTATTTATCTGCTATCCCTGATGCCCAAATTTTTTGTTGGCCAAGACATAACATCTATTTCCCTATTTCCTTTAGAAATTCTGATTTATTCTAATGACTTTTTTGCTTGAGAATGAGAGGAACAAAAGAATCTAAGCTTTACGGTACAGAAAAGTGAATCACTTTCAAATTACTATTAAGTTTTCCCCTCCATCTTATTCTTACGTGGTTCTCAAATGTTTTTATAATGATAAAAATATCAGAAGCCATTGGGGAATAATTAAAATGGATACACCATTATTCTGTGTTTTGTTCCTGTTTGGTGTCTTTGTGATAGGAATATTAGATTTCAAAATCATAAGCCACTTAATTCCGTGTAATCTTGGCTAGATCATATTGGGTTTCATGGCTTCTTTTCATTTCAATTTAAGATTACTATTTACTGATGAAAGTCAATATATTTCATTTCTTTTTCAAAGTACACTCATTACACAGTATAGTCATTTAACAGACCTTATTGATATTTTAGTTTTTTGGAAACTGATAAAGGAATTATGGTCTGTTGTATGATAGTTTTGAGTTAACATGGGTATTTCTTTGGTAAGACAGATCCAGTTGTTTTTCTTATGCCCATGTATGCAAGTAAAGACACCAAACATTCTTTAAATGCTGCTTTTAAACTTTGAAAGTACAATTTGAAGTTGTAACTATACATCTAATTAGACTTAAGTAAAACCCTGATTTTTTTCCTGGAAAGAACAAAATCTACAAATAAAATTTGAGTTGTTTGTATTTCTTAATTAGGTGTTACAAGCTACAAAGTTGTCATAAAGAATGCTAAGAATGGGGATAGAAATGATTCTGAGAAAACAAACCCTCGCAAAAACATAAGATTAAAACTTGGGTTCCATGTCAAAATCCTTTCCTTTAATTGCAAATTATATTTTGAATTTTAAAGTGGCCACCTCCTCCTCTGTCCTTTTCACTAATTAAAAATATATTTGCAGAGGTACCCTCTAATATTTGGTTTATAGGTTTTGTGGCTATTTTAAATTGTAAAGCATAATCCTATAAACATTAAAACTCAAGAGCTTTTCTTCTTTCATGTCTTGTAAATTAACACTGTAGCAGCATTCAGAGAAAATAGATTCAGAGCTCAACTTTTCACATAAATAAATCTAACAGTGTAATATATAAACCTGAAAAATGTCAGTTGAGGGAGGTCTTTATTCTAGATTGGCATTTTTTTTTTTTTAAATTAGGTACAAATTATGAGTGTAAGGAATTTGGTTTCCTGCTCTCCTGTCTTTCCATCTTTTTTGTTCCCCAAGCTAATTGATTTGGCTTTATTTATGAGCCTGTTACAGTAAAGTGTGTGTTGGGAAATATATTGAGGTATAGAGCTATTCTTTGTAGGTACCCTGGTGAGACCGATACAAATATGCCCCTCCCCATAATGGAATACTAATTTTTATTTGATCACTCATTTATAGCAGTTGCTTAAATGTATGTATTTATATGAAGGTATTTTAATTTTTAAGAGCAAAAAAGTTCTAATAAGTTGCCAGATTTCTAATAAATGCAGGTTTATTTGGTGAAAAGATAAGGAAAATGAGTTATGATTCTGTAGTTTTTTTAAAATGAGTTCAGCATAATTGTTTTTCAGGTTTTTTTAGTTACTGGGGTTATTCTGCATAAGAAAGCCCAATGCTTTCTGATAGTAGGAGATAATTTTTCTCTCTTTTGACTTTGAAATCTGACTTAGGAGATGAATTCTTTTTAAAAAGGTCAGCATGCAAAAAAATAAATTATATATTTTAAATTCTAAAAGAGAAGGGACATAAAATTTCACTCCTAGCATAAAGCCATATAATATTATTCTTGAAACTCATTACATCATTTGCCTCCTGCCCATTTGAATATAATCATACCTACGTTTTATTAATTGTGCATTTGTAAAACCAAACCCTTCCAGTAAATACTTGCTATAAGGCTATTGCTTGTCAATTATCAAGGCTTCTAAATATGTTAAAACTTGTCATTTTGATTTTTCAAAGATAATTTTATTATACTGAGCTACCAATATTCTTAAAGAAAACTAACCAAAGTTAATATTAGTGTAGTCCATTATTATGTGGACAATTATTATGTGGAATCTCTTAAGTGAGCAACTAAGAAAAAGCCTTATAGAAAGACTACACTGGATTTATAAGTGTGTTTATGTTTCTCTAAGAATGGGAGCTTCTGTTAACTTAGGGGTGGAGTTGTTCTGAGGAAACCAGTAGATTGGATGACTGACTGGAGAATCCAGAATAACAAATCCATTAGCCAGACATGTTTACTTTTATATTAGAAGTTTGTTGATTAGGTCTTAATTTTCAAACGCAAACACCAAGCTTTAAAAATATTGCATATACAATGTATTGGTCAGCAATTTAATAATATTTAATTTGAAGTTAATTATTGTTAATCCTTCTAGAAAAGTTTTTTTTCTTTAAATAAAAGTACATATATATACTTTTTTATTTAGAGGTTACCAGAAGCTCTGGTTTTGTTTTGTTTTGTTTTGTTTTTTTGTTTTTTTAATCATTTTCAGATGTTATCCAGAAATCTGCAAGTGTACTTTTCCTGTTTTAACTCCTTCCTTTTATCACCTGACTATCAGGGAAGCGAGGTTGAGGCTGCCCTGACCTGACATGTCATGATGTCGACTTGCTAGGTGGGGTTCGCTGGGGACGATAACCAGTGGAATTGTTGGTAAGAACTTTTTTTTCCTATTTTTTTTTTTATCAGTAGTGGGGCATTAAGTGTGGGAGAATGCCCATATCCTATAAGTGGGCAATTATGTCAGCCTTGTAGAAAAATAGGACTTTAATATTAAATTATTTTGTTCTTAATAGGAACATATAATAACACTTCACTTACTTTTAAATTGGTAGCAGATCAGCAGGAAAGGCCTGCAAGTATGAAGTAATGAAATACTCAGGGTATATTTTAAGTGAGCAAAATAGACACCTTATAATCTTAAAAAGTCTCTTGGAGAGACAATAAATTTGCTTTAACTGTCATTTCAGTCTAGTATTATATTTTCTATATTTTGTTGGATAGATTAACATATAATGCATCTTAAAGAGATATTTATTGCACACTAATTTTAGTGAAAACAAGAAGACATTGATAGAATGGAGGGCTTAAACACCAAAGATACTATTTTTAAAAATCTTCCAAAGTAATCTTAACACTGTAAAATGAAACTTTAAAAAGTTTTAGCAGTTTGACAATAATGGCCTCAATTTAGAGATATGTTGAGACAATGACTTTGGGTCAAGAGGAAATTACATAGCTGAAATATTAAGACCTTGAACATAGCAGAAACATAAACCTATGAACAACTTGTGTTTTGTGTGAAAGCTAGGGTAGCTGATAGGATTAGCAGATATTGGTAGAATTAAGAGTCAATATTTAAATTATTGCTAAAGATTAAAATCCCTCATCTTATAGTTTGTAGGGGATTCCATGATGGTAAGGTATAGATTGAAATTAAATTTAGTAACTAGGCATTTCTGACCATACCATATAAAAAATAATTGTAATATGGTATAAACACTGATTAAAAGTAATTATGGATTTTCATGCCTGAAGAACCTTCTCAGTATTCTTACAGCACTGTATCTTCTTTATTGGTTGAGAATATCAGTCTAGAAAGACTTTCCTAGATGTTAAATGTGCTAGTCAGTGTCATGAATATAAACCCTTACTTGTAAGTTTGCTATAGACTAGTTGTACAACACTAGAATGAAATTATGTAATACTTTTAAGAATTGTAGTGATTGCAGGGTTGTGTTAAGGTAACATTTTATGCATGTGTCAGTGACAGAAAGGATCAGGGTATAAAACTTAGCACTAAATAGCATGCTCCTTAGGAAGTTTTAAGGTAAGCAGTAGGAATATTCATGTAATTCTGATGAGTTTATGTAAGTTAAGGAAAATGCAATGCCAGTTTGTTGACTTTAAACACTAAAAACAAAATACATTTTGTGGAACCAACAAAGGAGACATTCTGGGGAAAAACTTAAATTGCTCAAATTTAAATAAGGGCTCTCACTTTATATAGTAGATTTGTCAGGATCCCATGAACATTGCTTTTCTTGATTTCTCACATATGAGGGTTGGGCAAAAGGGACTTCTCTAGCCTCTTCGATAATGTAGGTAGACTTGTACTTAGTGAATCCCATTATAATGTTAGGTACTATGTTCTAAGACTATTTCTATAATTGGACTGAAGGCTCCTGCAAACATAAATTGCTGATATGGATATAGTAACATAAGAAATACCAAAATAGGGACATTTGCAAGACCTTTTCCATTTAATCATCAGTTTAATAAAAATCATGCTTTTGGTACAGTGTTCATGTACCATAACTGTATTGGAATATTTGTACGATGTTAAATATTTTTAATAAAATTTAACATGTTCAAAATGTTGTGTTGGTGATTTTGGGTGGGGTGTGATGGGTTTGATTGTGCAAAACAGATTTAGTAGTTATGTGATTTAGGCTTTTGTAGTTAAATGGAGTTTCTGTCTTCAAATTTAGTACTAGATACTGTACCTGTTCTAAGGAAGGTAGTGAAGGAGTAGGATAGTAAAAATGAAAAGGCTGAACTCCCCAGAGATTTATTAAATTGCCAGGAAGCTTGACTGAGGTTAGAACTAGATCTACAGGTGGCAGATAGGAATATTGGCTGTGGCATAACAGGCTGCCAATAGCGTTTTTGTGAGGAAATTGTGGCATTTTGGAAATGATCCTAGAGAATCTACAGAGGTGGGCAAACGTAAACACTTGTACAGTGCTTTCAGTAGGCTTTTTATTGCCCCAGTGCCCTTGTGCCCTCGATGTGACATGCCACAAGTGAAGGAGAAGTGGTGAGGGGATTATTTGAGGAAAGCTTTGTTGGACAGTTTGGATGCATCATCGGGAGATACTGCCAATTTACAGGAAGTACTGTATAAAGAGTTCTCTCTTTGTGTCTTAATTTTATAAGATTTCCTCTTCTCTTGCAGGTAGCCCTAATACAGTGGTTTTTCTTATGACTTATTTTTCTTGAGGGTGTACTTCGTTTCTCACCAGTCAAAAACATAGAAGTTCTGCAACTCAGAATGGAAATTCACTTGAAGTAATGTGTGATTCCTCTGTAATCAGTGCCATTAATAGCAAAAAATATTTAAAAGGAAGATGATTGGGACCTAATAGTCTATAAACAAATTGAGTAAGAAAGCATTAAGAAGGACTAGTAATGTATTCTGCCTTGTTTCTTTCAAATGAAGACTGTTAAACTGAGTTACGGGGAAGAAAAAGTGAATACCCTATTGTTTCAAGGTAATAAAGAGTAAACAGTATACTTCCTTTTGGTTAGTGTTTTCCAGAATTTACTGTTCTTGTTGTGTTATGTTCTTTTTGTTCCAAGATCAAAAGATCACTCACTGAAACAGGAAGGAATGTTCTAACAGCAGAAATATCTAAACTTGGGCATCTTTAGATGTTTGCAGAATGGGAGGTGGAATGAAAGGTGGGGCAGCTCACTGATTTGCGATGTATTTCTTCCAAAAATAAAGGGTTGCTTAAGCTTTAGCTGTACCAAAAGCCCCGAATTTATTTAGTTTAGTTTTAGAAATAACAAGATTTTGTTAGGTATTTTCCTGTGGAGTATATTATATTCACCTAGGGAGATATCTTCTGTCTATAGCTATGAAAAGAAATTAAATTTCTATTTCCTTGTAATTGAAAGTTGTGACCAAAATCAAGACCATGTGTAGACATTTCCTCTAGCTCATAAGCAAGAGTAGTGTTTTATTCAGCTGTTTACTTAAAATTCCAAATGGTGACTTTTAGGCCTAGATGTCTATTTGTTAAGAGGCAGGAGGGGCTCTGTGTGGTGGTGGTTCTTGCTGGTAATCCTAGCACTTTGGGAGGCCCAGGTGGGAGGATTGCTTGAGCCCCGGAGTTCAAGATCAGCCTGGGCAACATAGGGAGACCCCATCTCTACAAAAAATCAGAAACTTAGCTGAGCATGGTGGCACACACCTGTAGTCCCAGCCACCGTGGAGGCTGAGGTGGGAGTATTGTTTGGGCCTGGGAGGTAGATGCTGTAGTGAGCTGTGATCCTGCCACTGCACTCTAGCCTGGGTGACAGAGTGAGACGCTGTCTCCAAAAAAAAAAGAGGCAAGAGATTAAATTAGACACAGTTTAGTCATGCCTTTTAAAATAACAAGGAGTTTGATCATTTTAAGATTCTTTCCCATGGGGTAAAGGTGAGAATCAGTATTGTCAAGTATGGTAACGGTGGTGAGAAAAGGAGCTCAGTTTTTAAGTATGTTAAGGGGTAATATTTCCTTAGTTACAAAAATACTGCGTTATTGCAGATCTCAATACTGTTTAATAGAATTTGGAAACATTCCTGTACGCGTGTTCTTGGGAGATTATTCTGTACTTCAGTTAGGAATCCTTTAAGTCTGTAAACTTCAGTTTCAGCCTAGGTTTTTAAGTAGATTAAGCAAAGTTAATACTTTTCTTTTCTTTTCTTTTCTTTTTGAGACAGAGTCTCCCTGTGTCGCCCAGGCTGGAGTGCAGTGGCGCGATCTTGGCTCAGTGCAAGCTCCGCCTCCCGGGTTCACGCCATTCTCCTGCCTCAGCCTCCCGAGTAGCTGGGACTACAGGCGCCCGCCACCACACCTGGCTAATTTTGTTTTTGTATTTTTAGTAGAGACAGGGTTTCACTGTGTTAGCCAGGATGGTCTTGATCTCCTGACCTCGTGATCTGCCTGCCTCAGCCTCCCAAAGTGCTGGGATTACAGGCGTGAGCCGCCACACCCAGCCATTAATACGTTTTAAAAGGCCACTATTTTTATCAGCTAAATCACTTTTGAAAATTTTGTGTGTTATGTGTTATACTCAAAATATTATCAAAACATTCTGTTTTCATTTGAACCTATTGATTAGAATGGTGCTTATTTATTTGGCTGTTGTTCAAGTACCTGAATTGGCTTGGTCAGAAGGACTTGGGTGTTCTAGCTAGCTGTCGTATAACTAAATATTTTTGGTTAAGTGGTACATGTTTAGCATTGGCTTGTCATTTTGAAATTTTTCCATGCTTCCTGTTAAGAAATAGAACCTTACCAAATTAGTCATATTTAAATATAATCTGTATAGAGTTGGTATGGAAAACGATTTGATCTAAATACAACCAACAATAAATATTTTTATTGAAACTTCCTTTTAATTGATGAGTAGTAATATGGATGTCTTCATTAGTTGTAATGTCATTTCTATTTTACTTTCCTAAATGTGAAAGAAAAGATGAAAGACCATTTCTTGGACATATCAAATGATTTTTAAGGAATTTCTGGTGATTATTTAAATTTTCTAGTTAAGCTGTCTAGGTCAGAATTCATCATTCAAAAATGCTGCTCAAACTTGAAGTGGGTAGGAATTTCTGGGGATTTTGATTAAGATGCAGATTCTGACTCATTAAATCTGAGATGGGCAAGAGTCTGCATTTCTGACAAGCTCATAGGTGATGCCAGTGTTCCTGACTACACTTTCAGTAGCAGAGTTACAGATTATCCCACATTTTGGGGGATTTTGGAGAATGATCTTAGTAGAAAAGATAACAACAGATGTTTGCAGTGATTTGCCTGGATGTAGTTGGTCTGAGATTTAAAACTATGATAAATGTTGCCACAAATGTTTAATAGTGTTTGGGACCCCAAGGAAAGATTAGGAACATTGTCTGCAAAAAAATGAAATGAATTTAGAAAAACAGGCTTTAATAGTTTCAAGGAATTGCTAGAAAATAATGGGAAGGCATATGCAGAAAAGATCAGGATGCTGAGAAAATGTCATGGCATGTTTATTTAGGAATTAGATCTGAAAACAGTTACATGAGTTATAGAAAAAATAAAGCTCAGAAAGGAAGGATTGATAGGTTACTAAAAATGCCTATGTGGTTTTATTTTTGGAATCTGTAACTTTGTCTCCCCAGGAAGGTTTTCACTAACTAGTTCAAAGTAAATCTTGGGCCAAGTGTGGTGGCTCATTCCTGTAATCCCAGCACTTTTGGAGGCCAGGGCAGGTGGATCACTTGAGGTCAGGCGGGCGTGCACCTGTACCTAGCTACTTGGGAGGCTGAGACAGGAGAATCACTTAAAACCGGGAGGCAGAGGTTGCACTGAGGCGAGATCGCACCACTGCCCTCCAGCCTGGGCGAGAGAGTGAGTCTCTGTCTCAAAAAAACAACCAACTAACCAACACCCCCGCCACCAAAAAAAAAAAAATCAAAGTAAATCTTGGGTAGTAAGTGAAAGCAGACTAATGAAGAAAATTGTTAAAGGTGACTTTTTTTTTTTTTTTGAGATGGAGTCTCGCTCTGTCACCGAGGCTGGAGTGCGATGGTGCGATCTTGGCTCACTACAACGTCCGCTTCCCGGGTTCAAGTGATTCTACTGCCTCAGCCTCCTGAGTAGCTGGGATTACAGGCACATGCCACCATGCCCGGCTAATTTTTGTATTTTTAGTAAGAGATGGGGTTTTGCCATGTTGGTCAGACTGATCTTGAGCTCCTGACCTCGTGAACCCCTCACCTCGGCCTTCCAAAGTGCTGGGATTACAGGCATGAGCCACTGTGCCAGGCCTAACTTTTTTTTTTTTTTTTTTTTTTTGAGACAGAGCCTAGCTCTGTCGCCCAGGCTGGAGTGTGGTGGCGCGATCTCAGCTAACTGCAACTTCTGCCTCCTGGGTTCAAGCGATTCTCTCCCTGCCTCAGCCTCCCGAGTAGCTGGGATTACAGGCACCTGCCACCACGCCCCAACAATTTTTGTATTTTTAGTAGAGATAGGGTTTCACCATGTTGGCCAGGCTGCTCTGAAACTCCTGACCTCAAGTAATCTCGGCCTCCCAAAGTGCTGGGATTACAGGCATGAGCCACCATGCCCAGCCCTAAAGGTGACTTTTTAAAAACAACTTTCAGCCGGGCACTGTCACTCACACCTGTAATCTCAGCACTTTGGGAAGCCGAGGCTGGCGGATCGCCTGAGCTCAGGAGTTCTGGACCACCCTGGGCAACATGGTGAAACTCCATCTCTACTAAAATACAAAAATTTAGCCAGGCATGGTGGTGCACGCCTGTAGTCCCAGCTGCTCAGGAGGCTGAGGCTTGAGAATCGCTTGAGCCTTGGAGGCGGCGGTTGCAGTGAGCTGAGATCACGCCACTGTACTACAGCTTGGGCTACAGAGTGAGACCCTGTCTCAAAAAATAAAATAAAAACAATTTTCATAGATCAACAGCTGGGAAATTCTCATGAAGAATAGAGACGACAAATGTATCCATCTTTATATAAAGTTAGGAGCTAGACGGTGATCCCTGAAAACAGTGATTTTTTTTTAAAGTCTGATTTTCACTCTAGAATTTTATCTTGAAAAATAAAAATAGTGTAGATGAAGTATGGGTGGAAAACATTCTGCTGTTTCTTTTTTCATGGTGAGCTTTTTTTAAAATGATAGATTAATAACACCTACTATGGTGTAAGTGCTATGTACCATGCTCTGTACTAAGGAGGCATTTTATATTCTGTGTATATCATGTAGTTTACAACCCTGCAAGGTAGGTGGTATTTTTCCTACCTACTTTACATATAAGGAACTCAAAGATTGAGATTAGGTAATTTCATATTTGTGGCTATTGACCACCTGTCTATGAAGTGGCAAGGCCAGGATTCAAACCCTCTTCTGCCTGACTTAAAGTGTACATTCTTTACTGCTAGATTAGAAAGACCTAATGTGAGGTTAGAACTAAGTGGTAAAGTTTATGTGTACTTAAAAGCTCTTTATGTCTAAAATAAAGCTAACCTAATTAGAATTTAATATAGTTTTGTCTGAAATTAAGGATTACTTAGGCTTTTTTGTTTGTTTTATGTTGATAGTTGTCATTTGTTTTGCTCTTTTTTCATCATTTATAAAAATTTAAGCCAAAACGTACTGGATTTTGGTCTTTAGGAAGCCACTTTTGGGCTGGGCATGGTAGCTCACGCCTGTAATCCCAGCACTTTGGGAGGCCAAGGTGGGAGGATTGCTTGAGCCTAGAAGTTCAAGACTGTCCTGGGCAACATGGCGAAACCCCATCTCTACAAAAAATTTAAAAAACTAGCTGGGCATGGTGACACACCTCTGTAGACCCAGACCTGGGAGGCTGAGGTAGGAGGATCACTTGAGGCCGGGAAGTCGAGGTTGTAGTGAGCTGCGATCAGGCCCCTGTACTCCAACTTGGGTGACAGAGTGAGACCCTGTCTCAAAAAAAAAAAAAGTTTTTAACCTAGGTAAACTTAATACTTGTTTGGAAAAGATTGCAGGAGGATCCCTGGAGACCAGCCTTGGCAATACAGTGAGACATCATCTCAAAAAACAAAAACAAAAAGCAAATATTTTAAGCTATCCCATCGCCTAATTTTTAGTTTCAGTCCTATACATTTTTTTTTTTTTTGAGACAGGGTCTCACTCTGTTGCCCAGGCTGGAGTGCAGTGGCATGATCTCAGCCCACTGCAACCTCTGCCTTCCAGGTTCAATCGATTATCTTGCCTCAGCCTCCTGAGTAGCTGGGATTCCAGGCGCGTACCACCACACCTGGCTAATTTTTTAATTTATAGTAGAGACAGGTTTCCCCACTTCAGGCAGGCTGGTCTTGAACTCCTTACCTCAGGTGATCCGCCTGCCTCGACCTCCCAAAGTACTGGGATTACAGGCGTGAGCCAGCGCGCTGGGACTTAGTCCTATATTTTTCAAGGCCATTATAGAAGAGTTTGTTAAAAGGTTTACTTATCAGACCTGAGTGTGTGTGTGCATTTGTATGCAAGATACAGAATTACACATAACGGAAGCCACTATGCTGGGCCGTAAAATTGGTGGGTGTAGAGAACCTGCTTTCCATATGTATTCTTACAGGAAATGTTATCTTCTCTGATACAGAAAGAAAGATGGTTTTAAAAACTCTTTTTTTTTTTTTTTTTTTTTAAGACGGAGTCTTGCTCTTTCGCCAGGCTGGAGTGCAGTGGCATGATCTCGGCTCACTGCAACCTCTGCCTCCGTGGTTCAAGCGATTCTCCTGCCTGGCCTCCCGAGTAGCTGGGATTACAGGTGCGCACCACCATGCCCAGCTAATTTTTGTGTTTTTAGTAGAGATGGGGTTTCACCATGTTGGCTAGGCTGGTCACGAACTCCTGGTCTCAAGTGATCTGCCCGCCTTAGCCTCCCAAAGTGCTGGGATTATACAGGTGTGAGCCACTGTGCCTGCTTATCTTTTAATCTGGAAAGTAAGTCAAAACAAGGATAAATGTTTCATAAAATTTTTTCAAAAGATTGTAATTGGGCCAGGCATGGTGGCTCATGCCTGTAATCCCAGCACTTTGAGAGGCTGAGGCAGGCAGGTCACTTGAGGTCAGGAGTTTAAGACCAGCCTGGCCAACATGGTGAAACCCCATCTCTACCAAAAAACACAAAAGTTAGCCGAGTGTGGTGGAGTGCACCTGTAGCACCAGCTACTCAGGAGGCTGAGGTGGGAGAATCACTTGAATCTGGGAGGCAGAGGCTGCAGTGAGCTGAGATTATGCCATTGCCCTCCAGCCTGGATGACAGAGTGAGACCCTGTTTCAAAAAAAAAAAAAAAAAAGATTCTGGCTGTGGCAGATTGCTTAAGTGTATATAAATATATGTAGCCTTGAATAAAGAAGTGTGAGTACTCCACTAGCTGAACACTCAACATGTTATTCTCAGTATATAACTTATGTGATCTTGCCTACCAATAAACATTTGAGAAAAATGTTTAATTCTAATAAGATAACAGAACCCAAATTGAGTTCTGTTGAAACCTTTATCATGGCTTGCAATATTGTTGGAAATTCTTAATTCTAATCTTGTTTTTATTGATGTAACATGGGGTTTTTTGTCTTGAAAATGAGGATTGCAAGACCTATATGACAATTGCTAGTTTATTTCTTCATAGTGTGATACGATAATAGGAATTTCCAGAAATTCCCCTCCTGGCTTTTGTCCTTAAGAAGTATTATAAAAGTATTTAACTTTTCTTTTCAGAAAGTGCAGTAACATCTCGAGCAACCTGTTAATGCTTAGGAAGGGATATCATTAAATGGATTGATCTTAAACATCATCAATCAAATGTAGATAACTAGTTCAAAGTCAGCCATATATTGAAAATGTTAAGTCTAGTTTATACCTAACATTGATAATTGATATGATATTCATTCTAAATTTCATGGCCATTGGGTATTTGTTTCAGGAGTTAGGAATACAAAATTAGTAAGTTATGGTCATTGTCTTCAAATAATTTAGAGAAGATTGTAGGAGATAATAAAAGGTTTATAAATAGTAGTGATAATCATCAAACCAAATGTTCCAGAAACACCACTGGAAGTTTGAAAGGTGTCCTGTGCTCCTAATAAAATATTCAGATTGTAATTGCAATACATGAATAATGTATATAATTTAGATTAGGACAGCAGAAGAGTTTGTAAAATGTATATTCTGATTTTTTTTTAGCTGACTAAAAAAAATTAAGCTTAATGTTCACTGGATATGATCAAGTAACTTGATTTTTAAGAATTTTCACCTATCTAGTTCAAATTTTATTTAAAGAAAATATTAAAATGTAAAGGTGGAGTGATTGTGTGAATCTGAAGGAACAAAGGTGAAGGTAGGTTTCCTAATATTTTTCCATTGCTGAAAACTTAAAGCTTCATGTGAGAAATCCTTGGTCAGAACTGAAGTAATGATCACTTTTCTGAACCATTTCTCCCTCCCTGAAGAAAAACAGACATACAGATGTTGCTTGGTTAAAATGGAATAGATTTACCAAAAATAACAGTTTAATCCATTTCCTGTAACTCATAAGGTTCCCGATGAAATCAAGCTTTTCCATTCCTCACTATGACTTATGAAACTGGTTAATCTAGTGTCTGATATACATTTTTTATATTATAGAACATTAGTACATTTGACAGAAGTGACTGCTGAGGTGATTTCTTTAGAAAGAAAACATAGATGATAATAGCTCCTATTTAAAAACAAAACAAAAAACTCAGGACTACATGTCTCCTAAGAATACATAGTTTAGCCTAGTGGCTAAACCAGCCTTTTCAGCTCTTCATTCTCTATTTATTATTTTTCACCCATAAACATTTTCTTTTTTAAGGAGTTCTAAGACCAGCCAGGCGCAATGGCTCGTACCTGTAATCCCCACACTTTGTGAGGCCAATGCAGGCAGATTGCTTGAGCCCAGGAGTTCGAGACTAGCCTAGGCGACGTGGCGAAACCCCATCTCTACAAAAAATACAAAAATTAGCTGGGTGTGGTAGATCATGCCTATAGTCCCAGCTGAGGTGGGAGGATCACTTGAGCTGGGGAGGTTGAGGCTCCAGTGAGCCATAATGGTGCCACTTGCTGCTGCACTCCAGCCTGGATGACAGAACGAGACCCTATCTTTAACAAAAAGAGTTCTAAGACCCATAAACTGCCATCTGGAACTTCTAGCATGAGAGAACTGAGGTTAACACATTGAAATGGTTATAATTTCATTCAAAAGCAAACTAATACTGAGTATTTCCAGCATGCTGCCATTGTCTTAAATACCTTATGTTAACTTACTGAACTTCATACTAACCCTGTAAAGTAAGTATAAATGTGGATACTAGACACACATATTTTAGTCTAAGGCGTGCCAACTAGAAGTCGCCCATCTAGTATTGAACCCAGGTAGATCTGATACCAGAACTCATTTTTTGTTTGTTTTACGAGATGGGGTCTTACTTCGTCGCCCAGGCTGGAGTGCAGTGGCACGAATTCCTGGGCTCAAAGCGATCCTCCTGCCTCAGCCTCCCAAAGTGCTGGGATTATAGATTTGAGCCACTGCACCTGGCCCAGAACTCATATATAACACCACTGTGTACTGCCTTCTGGATTTTACTTGTTCTGTGCAGTCATGTTAGGTAAATGTCATTAGGCTTCTTTGAAAAACTGGGATACTACTCACTAGCTGGTTATGCTAATAGTTTCTCCAGCCCGGGACTATAGGTGGGGCCAACAACTGGTATTCCAGAAAAAAGAACAAAAATTATTTTCTGTTGTGATATTAAGATTAATGATAGCCTCTCAATAGCTCAGAAACTTCCGTTTTGTAAATTGTGTGCTGTCAGTAAGCCTTCACTAATTGAACAATGCCCTTTTTGAGACTTTACTAATTTCTCAAACTGCTTTTTTCGTGCTTGTGACTTTTGTCACACATTTACTAAACATTTTGTGATTCAACACTTTCGCCAGTTTCCAATTATCTCCTAGTTAGAGTGTTTCAGAATTTGTTTCAAATTGTTTTTAATAAGATTGAGCCAGGCTGTGGTATTTTATCTGCAACTTACTACAATTTTACGTGTAATTCAATTTTATCCTTAACTTCTTCTCTCCAGATTGGAGTTCTTATTCTTTGAAGTCAAAAGCCACTTTATTTCTGTGAATACTTCCTTTTCACTGTTTTGTACCTTCCCTGGCTTTCTATTACGTCTTTGAAGTGGCTACTGGAAGGTAATGAAGTATGCTGGATGCATATGTATTAACCATGGTTTTGTGTCGTGTTAATCATCCTTAAAAAAAAAAATCCTTCCAAATTATCCCCAGTTGTTATCTTTCTGTTTGTGTGTGTGTGTGTTTTAGAAGTGAGGCATTAGGCTGGGTGCGGTGGCTCATGCCTATAATCCCAGCATTTTTGGAGGCTGAAGTGGGTGGATTACCTGAGGTCAGGAGTTCAAGACCAGCCTGGCCAACATGGTGAAACCCCGTCTCTACTAAAAATACAAAAAAATAGCTGGGCGTGGTGGCAGACACCTGTAATCCCAGCTACTCGGGAGGCTGAGGCAGGAGAATTGCTTGAGCCTGGGAGGTGGAGGTTGCAGTGAGCCGAGATCACACCATTGCACTCCAACCTGGGCGACAGAGCAAGACTCCATCTCCAAAAAAAAAAAAAAAGAAATGGGGCATTATTCCCATTTCACTTCATGATTTGCCTAGGCATGCATCATAGAAGAAAGATAAAACAGGGCCAGATGCGGTGGCTCACGCCTATAATCCCAGCACTTTGGGAGGCCGAGGTGGGTGGATTATGAGGTCAGGAGTTCAAGACCAGCCTGGACAACATAGTGAAACTCCATCTCTACTAAAAATACAAAAAATTAGCCGGGCATGATGGTGCATGCCTCGAATCCCAGCTACTCGGGAGGCTGAGGCAAGAGAATCACTTGAACCTGGGAGGCAGAGGTTGCAGTGAGCCGAGATCATGCCACTGCACTCCAGCCTGGGCGACAGAGCAAGACTGTCCCAAAAAAAAAAAAAGAACCAGAATTTATTTCCTGGTAGTTTTTCACTAACTTTGATTCCTGGAGAAAGGCTGTAGTGGAATTCATAAGCAAAGCTAAATGGCATCCTGATCTCCTGTTAACTTTGAGAAAACCTATTGGCTTTTTTTTTTCTTTTCTTTTTTTTTTTTTGAGACAGAATCTTGCTCTGTCGCCAAGGCTGGAGTGCAGTGGCTTGATCTCAGCTCACTGCAGCGTCCGCCTCCTGGGTTCAAGCAGTTCTCCCACCTCAGCCTCCCGAGAAGCTGGGACTATAGGTGTGCACCACCACACACGGCTAATTTTTGCGTTTTTAATAGAGATGGAGTTTCACCATGTTGACCAGGCGGGTCTCAGAACTGCTGACTTCAAGTGATCCGCCCACCTTGGCCTCCCAAAGTGCTGGGATTCCAGGCATGAGCCACCTCATCCAGCCAAGAAAATTTGTTCTCTAATAGTAACAGGTCATATGTATATCTTGTTGATTGAATAAATAGCCAGCAATATCAGAACTGGGACTTACTTAATGACCTGGAAGGTATTAATGAAAGCCAGACTGGCTGTAGTTATATTTAGCACCAAGACCAACTTCAGAATTTCAAATGGGTATCTATCTGACTTACAAGGTGCCCTCAGTTGCTTTGGGGTTCTATCTAGCTGTGTTCTGCCTGGGATTAGTTACAGAATTTAGTTGCTGTTCAGTCAAAGCCAGTGGGTGATAGCAGCAGTAATCTTCAGGTCATTTCAGCTGCCTTTTTCCTCCCGGTTGTTATTCTTGATCCTTTATTTTTGACACAGTTGGATAAACTTCCAAACTGTTCTAGCTTTTGCTGGTTCTGTTTGATCCATAATTCCGTGTATTTTGTTGGCCCTATAACACCTCTTCCCATGTCTTTTTATCCCTCATTAGGGGCTTCATCCATTGGTTGGGGCTCTACTGGATTTTAATATACTCTCAAGTCATATCTCTAACCCCAGTCTTTCAGTCTACAATCTCGTATGTGCCTCCAGATCACATGAAACTTGATAATGTTAAAAGACAGTTACAAGCATTTGTTCACTTAGAAACATGTAGTGAATATCAGTGTTCCAGGCACTGGCACTGTGCAGTCACGGGTATACAGGGGGAACATTTGGCAAAGGAAAGAAAACCTTATAGGCTTAGCCATGAAAATTGTGAGTTTGAGAAACACCTTTTGATCCCACCAATTGAAATCTTAATAGTTCTTTTTGTTGAATTTTCTGTTAAGTCGTGGTGATTCTTCTCTATGATGTCTTTTTCTTAATATCTCTAGTCATTAATCCAATATCCTAAGGTGGTGTTTTTTAACCTTTCTTTTAGGATAATGACTTGGAACCAATGTAGAAAAAAATACCAGACCAGCCATAAGAAATAACAGCTATAGTTTAGTACTTGATTGGAGTTGTAATCAGTTGATTAGAAAACTTACATTAAAAAGATTCTAGGAATTCAGCAATATTTTGTAAGTGAATTATCTTTTATTAATTACAACAGCTTTTATATCAGATTCAGACTATTTTGAATGTTAGAAGGTCATTTTTATGTTAGATATTCTAGGTACTGAAAATACGACAGTGAGTAAGACAGGCTCTCTCCTATGGAGCTAATGTTCTGTTAAAGGAGACAAAATTAATTCATATTTAGTCTAATATATTCCAAAATCCAAGACTTAATAGGGTAGGAAGCACTGCTGTGGGCCTTAAAAGTTGGTTGCTAGATTATTATTCCTCTTCCTCGTCATCCTGCCCAATCCCTCATACTACCCTATTTGTCCTACGCAGTTGTCATAATCATCACACAGACACCCACATGCCTACTATGTCATGGTGTCAAGTTTAAATTCTTGAAGTTTGAGAACTTTCATATACTTCCTTGGCATCTTATGTTTCCTTTAAACCTTTTATTAATTTCCCAATCTGTCTGCAATTCTGCCTAAGACTTTTCTGTCATCCTTAGGAAGGTGATGCTGATTTTTTTCCCCATACTTTGGTCCACCTTTCTTTAACCCATTACTTTCTAGCAATTATTTTGGCAGTTATTTCATTTTCCTAAGACAAAGATTGGAATGTGTTGTCACTGATGAAATAATAGAAATATATGGTTGAGTCATGTACAAAATAACTTACAGGCCCCAACCAGTGGCCCTCTTCAGGGGGTATTTGGAATTATTTAAGTGACAGACAACAAATTTGGACTGAATCTTAATATCTAGATTCTGTGGGTAACAAAATCTGTAAATAGAAAATAATAAAATGGTTAGGATTAGTCCATATGAGAGTTTGCGTTCAGAGGTTTGGAGGGCAAAACTGACGATTTCCTGCTCTTGACTATTATAGAGCAGTCTCTTGCTTCACAGTTGTCAAAATCCCACTTCATGAACGATCACAGACCAAATGGCAGAAAACAACCCAGTTGTTTTCCCAGTTGTTTCTATTCCTAAAAATTGCATAGGTGGGTACATATCGTATTCTGTTGTGTTTTCTGAAAGCAAAGGTACTGTCATGTTATTGTGGTCTATGTGCATATCGCTGTAGTTATCCATGCTATAGGTAAAACTGTTGAAAAGAATTATTTAATTGTGGTGATAAACTGCCTTAGACGGAGTCTGTTAGACGTGCCTTCTTATGGTGTTTATGCCTTAGCTGTCTCTTCCTGAGGAAATGTATGAATAAGAAAGGCTTCTTGATATTTTGACCTTAGACTTGATATCTAATGCAACACCCTTCCTCCCCCATTTATAGGAATAGTACTCATTCATTGAGTACTATTATATGCCAGACACACGACGCTAGGTGGTTTGTATTATCTTTATATCCACAATAACCTTGATTTAGGTAGTAGTATCCCTGTTTTACTGTGAGAAAACTGAGGCCCAGAAAGGTTAAGTGATAATTGTATGGCTAGTTTGTGATAACTATAGATACTACAACTAAAAATTTACCTTTCTGGTTCTTTTTTTTCATTCTTACCTTTCTCTAGCAATACATATTTAGCTCTTTAGAGCTAGTTACAATATATTTTTTATGTTAGACTTACTGTGTGGGGAGTTTTGAATTTAAAAACTAAAAAAAAAAAACACCAGAAGGTTTATTCTAAAGGTTTAAATTTTTAAAATTTAATCTGCTGTTGTGTGCTTCTGTTACCCCTGACCTTAGTTAGCATTGCAGGATACTTTCTTTTCCATATTTTGTGATTGATATATGTGTGATTCTTTGTATGTACAAAAGCTTGAGCTTGAGTTTTTTAGAGGAAAGGAATAAAATAAATTAAGTTGGTTGAATTAAGTATGTCTTGGTGGATTTGGTTATCCCCACAGCAAACTTGAGCATTCAGTTTACCCATGATTAAGGGTGCTGATACTATATTTAAGGGCGTTCTGCCTTCCATCTCTTTTCTAATATCAATAGTATTAATTGATGCCAGGCAAGAGGAGTGCTGCCATATTTGGGTCAGCTACTTCGTCAAGAGTATTTTGCAGAATGTACCTGAAGCTATTCTGAAAGTTAAATATCATTAGATACATTGTCAAACCCTGAAGCTGAAATTCCAGCCATTCAGGGAGCCCCTCAGGGAGATCACTGCTTTTCCCTTGCAAAAATAAAAATAGTGTATAAAATACTATTTAAATATATACTCTTATCTAATTCTAATAGCTAGTATTTGTTAAGTGCTTAGTAAGTGCCAAGTGCTGTTCAAATTGCTTTTTAGGCTCACACCTGTATAATCCCAGCACTTTCTGAGGCCAAGGTGAGAGGACTGCCATCTTGAAATTTTTTTTTTAAAGTACTTTTTAGGTGTTCTTTAAAATAATAATTCCACTTTACAGATGAAGACACTGAGGTGCAGGGAGGTTTAATTCACCTTTTTTTTTTTTTTCAAGTTTACAGCAAGTATTTAGTCATTGAGCTATCATTCAAATCATAATAACTAGTCTTTACAAAATAGAGCCCCAAAGTGCTATAGATAAAAGGTTTTCATTTTGCTTTGCTTTTTAACTTTGGTGTTGTCTCTTTTCCTTTCTTTCTTCTCCCCTCATCTTCTCTCTACCCTATGGTCTGTTTTGGATTTTTCTCGTTATATATAAGCTTTAACTTTTGCTTTTCTTCTTTTTTTCTCCCCCTTTCTTTTTGAATGGTTTTAGCATCCTTGGGCGCAGAAAACTCTGGAAATGTATTCATAAGTTTAGAAATTATATAAGACACTTCAGAATGATAATACTTAATTATTTTAGAAATTTCCATTTTGAATTATATTGTTTAGGGGGAGGGCTATTAAAGTGTTCTCTGCCAATTTATGATACATTTTAGATTTCCCAGTTTTTTTCTGGATATCTGTCAGGAGATGGTGTAGAGGTTTGGTAAGTAATACAGTTTGATTTTGTATGTCTCAAGGGTTACTCATTCAGTCACATATTTGAGTTTATTTTATTCTGGCCTTTTTCCCCTCTGGGGATTCTATTTATAGTATTAATTGAAAATCTTTATGTTAATGCTAATTTTGATTTTTTTTTCCACTAGCATGTATTGGAGCACTCAGGCTTGAAGAAGGACATAGGTAAAAAGTATAAAATGGAACATTTTCTAACATTAGGGTTGTGAAAATTTTCTTATTGTTTAGTTGCATACTTGGCATGTTCAATCTGAAAAAAAATTGTTTATGAAACAATTTAAATGATATTGTTTAAGCCAAAACAGTTACTTATATTTCATTTCTCTTTTATTTTTATAAATAGAGCATCAATTCCCTTAATCACAAAGGTCAAGAAAGGTTATCTCATGTTACATTAGGACATACTTAGGACTTCGTAGTATTTCCCTTCTGTGTGAAATTTTATCCAGAAGACTTGAATTACTTAATCGTAAAGTGAATAGCAAACGTGAATCTAAAACATGGTTTCAGTTTTTCAGAATCAGGCCTGCTTTGTCCCTAAATGCTTTCTTATTTCCCCAGAGCCCTTATTGGATTTAAGCCCCATATCATATCTCACATACCTGAGACAGACATACCACAGTGAACCCTGCATGTCCTTGTAAGTTCTTTTCCGTGCCTAGAAGTTGCAGAAGACCAAGGAACCTTGGAAGTGACTTACTCTTTTGCTTCATAAAGTTGCTTTAAAACAGCCTTTATTTTAATTATTAACAAGGTATGTCACACATTTTTAAATTTTAAGGTTAATTTAGTCATTAATTCTGTCAAACAAGTGTTCTTTGGAAACTAGTTGTCTTCAATGTCTTTTACTTGGAGTTACTTGAAGTTTGCTTAAACTTTATTCACTTGGAGTAGAACTTCCTAGTTAAATGATTGAAAAGGACTAGTTCTGCAAAATCTATGAGAACAAGAGCTTCTGCAAATGCATAATATAAATTCTCTTCCTTTTTTTTTTAAACTGTATTTTTACAAACCTAGATCTCTTCCTGCTTTGATTTGTCTTTATCATATCTTTCAGAACAAACCTTTGATGGAATTCTAGGAAAGGTTGAGATTAAGAATATATTAAAAATATTCCACTTTGTACATTCTGTTTATATTATAGTAAACTAAGTTATTTAGCAAGATAAAATTAGGAATTTCACCCAAGGTATCAATCAGATGGAACCATTAGTCCACTGAAGAATTTACTTTTTAAAAAAGTTAGTGGAGGAAAGGAGAAGATGCTGCTTAAGAGTAATCAGAAATAAAGATGGTAAGCATCATATGGTAAATATATACAAGTTTCGTCAATTTTGTAAAAAAAAAATACAAAGATGGTAAGGCATCTTTGAAATTGTTGTCAGTAGGAAATTTCATCTGATATATATATATATAAATTTGTTTCATAAAGCAAGGAGAAATGGTGTAAATAATACAAGTGTGGCTATTGACATATGAAAATGTCCATTTATTTTGAAAGTGACTACCCCCACAGATTATATAACTGTAGAATCGAATACAAATTTTCTCACTTTTCTTCCTTGCTTTGGCATTTTTTTAAAAGTTACTTGAAAGTTCAGTTTAGATTGAAAAATAAGGGCCTGATTAATAGCGCTGTATCATGGTATTAGAGTACATATGTTAGTATTTTCATGAAAGAGGAAGAGGGTAATAACTGATTTACCTATGATTAAAAGATAGTGGTGACATTTTCCTTTGAAAGTTTGGGCTAGAAATTTATAACCTTTGGCCAATGAAACTACAGTAGCTTCAGTCACTGCTTCCATGCCACATCTCTACCTAAAGGGAAGATGGAATCCGCCTTCTCTTTTTTTTTTTTTTTTTTTTTTCTGAGACTGAATCTCACTCTGTCGCCCGGGCTAGAGTGCAGTGGCATAATCTTGGCTCACTGCAACTTCCACCTTTCAGGTTCAAGCAGTTCTCCTGCCTCAGCTTCCTGAGTAGCTGGGACTACAGGTGCCTGCCACCACACCTGGCTGATTTTTGTCTTTTTGGTAGAGATGGGGTTTCACTGCGTTGGTCACGCTGGTCTCGAACTTTTGACCTCAGGTCATCCACCCGTCTCAGCCTCCCAAAGTTCTGGGAGTACAGGCGTGAGCCACCATGCCCAGCCTGAATCCCCCTTCTCAAAAGTAACTTCCATTCACTTTGTCCCTGGCAGTCTGCTGGTGACCATGATTTCTAAGGCTCACTCATGGGACCAAAGGCAAGAAGAAAGGGAGGAGGGTGGTAACCAGATAAACTTTGCAACCCCTTTGATAGGACTTTTTGGGTGAGAATTTTTATGAAAAGTAATATATACTTCTACTATAGATCTGCCTCTAGTTTCAACCTCTAGTTTTAGCACTGATTTTTTCCCCTTAATTTCCAGAAGCATGATATAATATCTTTTTCAAAGAAAGTGGGAAGAATGTCCACAGATGTTAGGAGAAGACAATTATGTAGGAAAAATATTTTCTCAAATTAAAATTTAAAACAAAAGTTTGCAGGGAATGGAGTGGGGTTCAGCATTAGGGAGGTAGGAGATGATAAAAATACATATTAAGTAATTTGTACCCTGATATGCTTTGTATGTAGATTGCTTACAACTAACATGAAATGAGCATTTCATTCCTTAAGCATGCTGTTGGGGGAAAATGGGAGCCAGGCTGGATGCACAAATTTACACCAGATGCTCTGTATCCAGGTAGCAGAAATGACTAACAGCACTGGTATCCATCAGTCCCAGAGCAAAAGCGTCTCCAGAGGAGGACATCTGTAAATCCCAAATCTGATCTCCTTCATCATCATTAGGCAACAGATAGGATAAGACTTCATGAAGAGAATTTTGGTGGCTTTAGATTGTTGAGAAAGTATATATAGGAAAAAACTGGAAATTATGTCCAAGATTTTTTGTCTAACTCCTTATCCTGATATTGTTAACATTTCACAACTAAAATAATTTTAACAGACAATTAGTTTTTAAAAATGTATTTTCATGACCTGAGACTACAGAAATTGCCATTTTCTTAGGACGTAGTTTACATTTGACTCTGCTTACTGTGTCCAGGGCATCCCCAAATTGGGAGAGATTGCCAAGTCAGTTGCCATTTTGCCTTACTTTTACCAAGGACTAGCCTACAGGTTCAGTTTTGCTCTTGACTTTGGCCCTGAATTGAGAACTGAGTCAAGAGAACAGAGTGGAAGTATGGAGACAAAGCCAGCAGCTTTACTCAAAAAATATATATGAGTCTAGTATTTTTTTTGTTTTTGAAAGACATGTTACTGAGCCCAACCCAGTCAGGGATCACTGAATATTGGGTTAAATAAAACAATAATGTTATTCATGTGTTTGAAATTAATGTTTTAAAGAACCACGCACACACTTTAAAATGTAACTGGATTTGCTATATAGGCCAGAGAAATATGGCTGTTACGATGAAGGCGTAACTTCTCTGGTTCTTGATTATTTACACCATTAGAGAAGAATGCAAATATGAATAGCTCAGAGTAGTTTAACTTTGAAGTGAGAGTTTATATGCACCTTTATATGTGGGATAACTGATGTCTTTGGAATAGACTTCAAATGAATGATAAAAACACCTGTAAAGTGATAGGACCTCTACTTTTTCTCATGTCCAATGTTCAGTTTCTTATAAACCAGGCATGAAGAGAAACAAAAAGTAATTAATTCTCCAGATCATGAAGTTGTCTTCAACCTAAGCACAGAGGTATAATAATTACATTTCTCAGAAGTTCCCCCTCTGTTTTGAGTCTCAAGGGCAATTGAGATGTCAGTGAGGCTGTGATTAAATGTATTGGATATTAGAGGATTTTAAATACAAACAAGTATTATAGGTGTTACCACTGACCCCGAAGGTAAGATTTACTGTGAAAATTTATAATGCAAGGAAGAATGATCAAGTTGGCTGTCAGAACAACAAAATATTACAAACCAGGATGTCTAAGAGCAGAAGTCCGTGGTTGCCACCTCTCAAGCCTCTTAGCTTAATCCAATCTAGGATGCATTTCCACTCTGCAACAAACAGTATTTATTTTTGCCTTATTTGCAGATAACAGTTTTAATGCAGGTACTGCCCATGGATTAGCTTTGAGCAGTGTCTTTTTGCTTTGGTTTTTTTATTTGTTTGGTTTGTTTTGAGACTGAGTCTCAGTCCTCCAGGCTGGAGTGCAGTGGTGTGACTTTGGCTCACTGCAACCTCTGCCTCCCGGGTTCAAGCGAGTCTCCTGCCTCAGCCTCCCAAGTAGCTGAGTCTACAGGCGTGAGCCACCATCCCCGGCCAAGCAGTATCTTTTTGCTTTGAAAGTGACTTACATGTACATTTGTTTTCCTTGTGAATGTTTCTTTTTAACTGCAAACTAAGAAACATTGAGCCCAGCATTCATATATTTGCAAACTCTGTCTTACTTAATTTCTCAGTTTTTTTCCTCAGAAAAAATGAAATTCCTTTTCTTTTTTAAATTTATTTTTTCTTTATTTTTCTTTATAAAGTGAAGAGTAGGTAGCATGAATTCCTCTTGCCCTTTGCTATTTCAGTCTGGCATCAGTAGCAATTGTTGCTATGTCCAGTTTTCATTCATGGATTTTTCTGGGATTGAAGATGAGTTCAATGTTGATTATTTAATTGGGCAGTATAAGTAAATTCATTGGCTCTCCTTCCAGTTTAGTGAATACTAAATATCATCCATGATATTTTATACTTCTTACACTTCTGGAATCTAACCTGAAAATAGAAGTTGTAAGTCAGGGACGGTGGTATGTGCCTCTAGTCTCAGCTAGTTGGGAGGCTGAGGCTTGAGCCCAGGCCTTCAAGGCTGTAGTGCACAATGACTGTACTTGTGAATAGCCACTGCACTCCAGCCTGGGCAACATAGCAAGACTCCCACCCCTTAAGAAAAAAGAAGAGAGAAAAAAATAGAAGTTGTGGAGAGGGAGGAGGATGCTTGAATACTTTGACCGTACTTGGCATAATAGACATTTTGAGGGTTTTTTTGTTTTCTTAAAATTCCTCTGGATCAGTTTTCATTGTTTCTAGTAATTATATTTATCGTTAATGAATTCATATTCTGCTCTAGCCCCTAAAGATAGTTTGATATGCTAACTTTTGTTTTGCCTTTCTAGCTGCTAAGATAGATAATGGTTATTGCAAAATGCACGTTTTTAAATGGTCTCCAGTGTGGATTGCTTCTGAGCTGCTGATGGATTGAATACATTGAGAAGGAATGTGTCATTTGGAATCCAGGACCAGTCAGCAAGGATAACTGCCTGATTTTATGGTCAGAATGCTCTAACTCTTATGGCATACTGATGACTTTTTCTTCCATTTTCCAAAAAAGCAAGTTTTGTCAGTCTCAGTGTTTCTCTGATCTAGCTACTCACAATTCCATTCCCAAAGTAGTGACCTAGTTCTGTCACTTGGGTTTCAAAGGGAGTTGAAGTGTCACTGAGTGAGTACAGCAAACCTGTTTAATGATTTATAGGAAGCAAATAAAAAGAATTTTGTTTGCTAACCTAGAAGTATATCAGATTTTGGTTTCAATTTATAATTTTGCAAAATATAAAGACATTTCCTGGCTAACTCCATCCAGATGAATTATTCAGTATTTTTTCTCCTATCTTAATGAAGTTAATTTGAATGCTAATTTCCTATAACCAAGAAAACAGTTGAATTAAATAACCCTTATCTTTTAAACTTAAAGCTTATACTACTAATAATCATTTAACATTCACTTCCTTTTTTCTGACTTAATTGGTAGGTAAATAAAATACTTCAAATTTGATTGGCAAATTGGAAAATCACTTAGAACAATCTGCTAGTATTTTTTATTCCCTTTGTTTTTTCCTTTACACATTTGTACTGCAAAATAAATCAAGGACAAAGACTCACACTGAATTGATCAACTTGTGTTTGGTCTTCATGGGAATTACATCTTTTTTCCCCTCAACATTTATTAAAGGAACATACAGAATTTCAGACTATAGCAAACTAATACCTTTAGCTTGACTAAGAGTTGATTTTCGTTAAGGAACAGAACTTGTAATTTATTTCGACATACTTTAATGTATGACTCATCCCTGTTAAAGTTGTGAGACTCAAAACTACGCCCAAATCACTTAATTTTATGTCCTTCCCTGTTTACTGTGTCTGACCTTCAAGATTTCGTGACTGATGCTGAAATGGAAGCCAACCACTGCAGAAATTTGGGGGAAAATGAGATCTGAAGAATACAAGGGGAAGTAGGAATTCATTTCTAGCATTTCCAAACCTGCTTAATCGTGTCTGCTCCACCACAGTCAGAGGAAAAGACTGAGTTCATGGAAATTACCAGCTAAGCCTTACATCTGTCTTTAATGTTTTTAGGAAGTATACTGAAAAGGTAAGTGAGATGTCTGTTTTGAAGAAAGACTCTTACTGGGTACCTTAAAACCCGTTGTTTCCTATTAGTAAAGATGGGCAGCTTCTTTATTCCTAGCTTCAAAAAGCCTTGCCCCTGTTTGGTGTGTTTCTCAGTATTGTGGAGAAGGTAGTTTCTGAGCAAGGTGGTGCTTTTCCTCTGCTTCTCAGCAGCTAAGACAGAAATTGCACCGAAGTGTACAAAGGGCCAATTTTTGTTGTCCTGTTGTGCTCAAATCCTTTTTTTTAAAAAAGTTATTTCAATCAAGTCTTAGTTTTATTCCTCACTATATAGGAAAAAAATCTTTAATGCCTCAAAAGTTCCATTCAGCATTACATTTGCATTACTCTTATTTGCAGCAAATATGAGTAAAATTATAGGTTTTTAAAGGTCTCTAATAACATCCACTTATATTGGTTTTGTAGATAATCCATAAATTACCAGAAATAAATTATTCCACATTTATTACACACCCATGTAATAGATGTCGTGCCAGGCCCTGGAATATACTAATGGCATCACCTCATGTGGTAAAAAGACACATTCCGCCATCCTGGAGTATACAAAGGTAGACTAGCATATAGTTCATGTGCTCAAGGAGTTCATTTTTATTGACATGATACAGATAGAATTGTAGTTTAGGGAATCAAAATCTAATAAAATGAGGCTAATTCCATTTTCCCATTAACACTAATAACTAGTGTGTAAATCTGAATATGACACATTCTATATGAAAGAAGCTCTGTGTGCATCTACACTAAATACTCGTGTGTGCCAGGTACTGTTTTAAACTACGTATATTTTTTTAATTCTCATAACTGTTCTCTGAGGTATGTACTAATACTAAAGCTTATTGTTAAAGGAAGGCAGAAAAATTAAGTAACTTGGCCTAAGTTTGCATAACTGTGATCTGGGATCAATATTTGAACCCATACAGGCTGATTGCAGAGCCTGCACTCTTAATTTGAGTGTGATATTTATGTGCAGTACCTGGCTATAAGTACCCACAAAACGTTTCAAATTCTTTATAAAATTTGCTTAGTTAAAAAAGTACCAATTGCATAATATGGTTATAAGTCTGGTAGAAGTTAGGCTTTTTACAAGACATGCTGCTTACTGCACCAAGGAGGCAAGAAGGCTTTTTAGAGAGCCCAGAATTTCCTTTCCTCAACTCCTGCTTCCAAGACAGTCATTTTGCATGATAACCGTTTCCCCAAAAAACACAGACACAAAATTTAAAGAACTGGAACAGAGGAAGCAGAGCTTATCATAGTATATATGTTTAGTACCCTGTCACTTAGGTCCACCCCTCTTTCTTTGTGGATTGTGGACATTTTGTTTAACTGCTAAATCATGAGAATATATGACTGCTGAGACTTTTCCAAGGATTTTTTAAAAAACACATTAGGCTTTGTGCAGAAGTAAAGAAAAAGTGCTGTGAGAACCCCAGGTAGGTAATTTACTTTCTATTGTACTCATAGTTTGTTTGAAACCTCTTCACCTCTATCCCTTATTGTTTTATACTCTGTAAATCTGATTTTACCTTTAATAAACTTTTCTGAAGTGAGTGAGTTTTTTTTGTCTTATTTCCCATTAGATTCTCTACCTTCTTTGTTCACTTTACGTATGTTATTGCCACTCCCTTCAAAACTGGTGGTTTAATTAAAGTGACAGCATCTTCTATATACCCAGTACTGTTGAGGATTAAAAAATACATGTGTGCCGGATGTGGTGGCACACACCTATAATCCTAGCACTTTGGGAGGCCTCAGGCAGGAGGATTGCTTGAGCTAAGGAGTTCGAGACCAGCCTGGTCAACGTGGCAAAACCCCATCTCTACTAAAAAGACAGAAAGTTAACTGGGCCTGATGTTGTGCACCTCTCACCCCAGCTACTTGGGAGGCTGAGAGGTGGGAGGGTCACTTGATCCTGGGAGGTCAACGCTGCAGTGAGCTGAGAACAAGCCACTGCACTCCAGCCTGGGCGACAAAGCGAGACCCTGTCTCAATAGAAAAAAGAAAAAGTGCCAAGGCTTTGCTCCTAGTTCGGTGCAGGTTCCAACCAGTACTAAAACTTTGCAAATTTTTGAGGGAAAAACCAGAAGTTGTAGAATCAATATGAGCATTTAATTGTATAGCAAGCAATTGTGGCAGAAAAAATTCACCCTAGTGAAATCAAGTTAACTATTCTGTGAATGAGATTAACCAGAGGAACAATTTTGACCATGTATCTTTTAAATCACTGTTTCTCAAACTTCAGTGTGTATGGGAATCACCAGGGATCTTGTTAAAATGCAGATTTTGATTTAGTAGGTCTGGGGTCAACCTGGAGAATTTGAATTTATTTTCTCTTTTTTTAAAAGTAGTTTGAAATATATTTCACATACCATAAAATTCACTCTTTAAAACTGTCCAATTAACTGTTTTTTAGCATGTAGAGTTGTTCCACTATCACCATTCTAATTTCAGGACATTTTCACCGTGCTGAAAAAGAAACCTTGTACCTATCACTCCCCATCCCCCTCTCCCTTCCACCCTTTTCCCCTCCACCAGCATCTGGCAACTGTTAATCCACTTTCTGCCTTAATTTATATCTTCTGGACATTTCATAACGTTTTATAGACTTCTGTACCTGGCGTCTTTCACTTAGTGTTCAAGGTTCATCGATGTTGTAGCATGTATCAGTACTTCATTCCTTTTTGTGGCTGAATAATACTCCATTGTATGGCTATAGCACGTTTTCTGTGTCCCTGCATCAGTTTCCATTTTTTGGCTATTATGAATAATACAGCTATGAACATTTATGTACAAGATTTTGTGTGAAAGTATGTTTTCATTTCTGTTGGGAATATACCTAGGAGTGGAATTATTGGGTCATATGGTAACTAACATTTTAAAGAACCGGGAAACTATTTTCTAAGGTGGCTGGACCATTTGAGAGTGCATTCCTGACAAGCATCCAGGTGATACTGAATAGCAGGCTCTAGATTACATTTTGACATCTATCAAGAAAACAGGAACATGAACTTTAACTGAGTTCAGCTGCCAAAATCTGGCCAGCAGCAAAGAAGGTGGGGTGGTTTTGGTTTTCATAGGGCCTTGGTACCTCCGATTTTCTACCATTAGTCTTAATGTACCTGGGCTTATTGTTCTAGCCTTCGAACTCTTCATGTAAATTGATATATCTGCTATCTAAAAAAGAAAGAATATTCATTTTTAGTTGAAAGAGGCATTTCTAAGATGAGAATGGCCATACTGTCAGTGTGGTAACACTGTTTTTGATAGTGTCCTGAAAGCATGTTGATCCTTTCTAGGTGCCATCAGAGAAGGAAGGGTATGCTGGTGGAGCATGCACACAAATGATTTAATACATTGTAGTGCATGTTGGGATAGAGCAAAGGAGGGCAGATTCAAGGAAGACTTCCAGGAGACGAGTCCTGAACTCAATCTCTTAATTCATTCAACTAAGATTTAATGTAGGAGATCTAGATTCTGTGGGGGTTCAGATGAGGTAGGGATTACTTCTGTTTTATATGAGGTAGGATGACAATGGGGGTAGGTGGTAGTAGAAATTAGAATATTTCTTTGGGATGATACTTGAAGTAAGCCAGGATTTTAGATACAGAGGTATATGAGAAGGGTGTGTTCTAAGATGATAAAGCAGAAGGAACTAAAATACAGAAGTCAAATGGCACGACGTATACCAGCTGTATTTACTGAAATATGCCTAGAGGTGCTGTGTTAAGCCTCAGGTACACAAAAACATAAAACATGACCCTGCCTTCATAATTAGAACTCAAGTGAGATGTTTGAAGTGTAATACAATGTGATTTGTATGAAAAATCACATTGTGTGTGTGGTAGGAGGTATAGATTAGTTTTTAAGAAGGCGTAATTTTCTTGACTGGTGGTTGGTTCTGTTTGGTTTGACTCATGGGTGCCTGAAATAAAAGGAGTAGGAAATACAGATGTAAAGGTAAGTTGGGCTGTTATTTACTGTTGTTTACTTTGGCAGAAATGGTCTAAAAAACTAAGCATGTGACGAGTAATGAGAGGGGAGCAGCAGGAGTCTGAGTTTGGGTTCCTTTTCTTCCATTAGTTCCTGTGTGACTCTCCCTTGTGATCATTGATCTTTACTGGAGGTACAGAGTACCTGGTCTGGTCCTCAGTTTTAAGAAAATGAATTACCTAGTATACTCCAAGGCCCAACTTCTGTACCCCATAGTTGGAAATTGTCAGCTTTCCTACAAAGATTGATTTATGAGCTGCTCTTTAAAGCAACTTCTTATAACATTTTCAACCTTTTGACTGTTCACAATTAAGAGTCCTTCAATCTTTTCCCATCCCAATAGATGAAATGGCAAGACAAAATTTCCATGAGTTATATTGGACAGGTTTCTATGCATTACCTGTTGTTGCATAACAAATTACCCCCCTAAAACTTAGCAGCTTAAAACAAACATTTATTATCCTCTACAATTACTCTGGGTGAAGAATCCAAGAGTCACTTAGCTGAGTGATTCTGACTCTTAAGAGGTTGCAGGCTGGGTGCGGTGGCTAACACCTGTAATCCCAGCACTTTGGGAGGCCAAGGTAGGAGAATCGCTTGAGCTCAGGAGTTCAAGACCAGCCTGGGCAACAATAGTGAGACCTCGTCTCTACAAAAAAATTTAAAAATTAGCCAGGCATGGTGGCACACACTTGTAGTCCCAGCTGCTCGGGAGGCTGAGGTGGGAGGACTGCTTGAGCCCAGCAGATCGACAGGTTGAGGCTTCAGTGAGCTGTGGTTGTGCCACTGCATTCCAGCCTGGGTGACAGAGGAAGACCATGTCTTTTTTTTTTTTTTTTTAAAAAGTAATCTGAAGGCTTGACTAGGGTTGCAGGATTTGCTTTCAAGGTGGCTCACGTGCATGACTACACCTCACTTCCTAGGCAAGTGGACTTCTGCATATACTGAATATTCTCATGTAGCTGGCTTCCCCCACAAAGTGAATAGGAAGACTCCATTTCCACAGTATCTCATTGACCACACAGGTCAACCCTCTTCAGTATGGGAGGAGACTACCCAGGGCTAGAATACCATGAAGTGAGAATCATCAGGGCCACCTTGGAGGCTGGCTGCCAAAACTTAGGATGAATTTGAGGCTACTTTCCTATTAAGTGTATAAAGCTGACCTTTGACATGCAAACTTAGTAATACCTATTTATGATTCCTGATACACTTTAATACTCTATAGTGATTTCTTCAGAAGCATTTTGACCTAAATGTAAATATATCATTCACTATGCATACATTTTTCTAAAAGGGAGTTTAATATCTACACCAGGATGAATTGTAGTATGTTTTAACATATGTAAGGTGCTCAGTACTTGCTCAACTAAAGCCAGGTGTGGTCATGCACACCAGTGGCACTTGGAAGCTGAGGCAGAAGGATTGCTTGAGCCTGGGAGCTTGAGGCTGTAGTGTGCAATGTTCATGCCTCTGAATAGCCATTGCCCTTCAGCCTGAGCAACATAGTGAGACTGTTTTTTTTTTTTTTTTGAGATGGAGTCTCGCTTTGTTGTCCAGGCTGGAGTGCAGTGGCGCGATCTTGGCTCACTGCAACCTCCGTCTCCCAGGTTCAAGCAATTCTCATGCCTCAGCCTCCTGAGTAGCTGGGACCACAGGCATGCACCACCACGACCAGCTAATTTTTGTATTTTTAGTAGAGACAGGGTTTCACCATGTTGGCCAGGCTGGTCTCAAACTCCTGACCTCAGGTGATCTGCCCACCTCGGCCTCCCAAAGTGCTGGATTACAGGCGTGAGCCACCGTACCCAGCCAATAATGCATTTTTTAAAAGATATTTTTGTTCCAATATTAATAAATAAAAATGTTTATGAACTTAAAAGAGAAGTAAGAGGTGAAATCAGAAAGGTAGTGAAATCAGGTCTGTAGGACCTTAAAACCTGCTGCGAGGATTTTTGAGACAAATGGGAAGGCAGTGGAGGATTTTGAGCTAAAATATTACTTTTTCACTTCACTGTAGCCACAGTGGCTTCCTTACTGCTCCTTGAAACTCTGGGCAACTTCTACCCCAGGGTCTCTGCACTGGCTGTTCCCTCTGCCTGGAGAGCCTTTAGGCAGAGTATCTGCACAGCTCACTCCCTCACCTCCAAGCCTATACTCAAAGGCCTTCTCCACAAGAAGGCCCTATTTGAGATTGCAGCCCAGCCCGACCTCCCTTGCCCTTGCACTTATCATCATCTGCTCTGCTGCTTCTCCAGCACTTATCATTTTTTATCCTACAGTATATAATTTACTTATTAATTACATTTATTGTTGTCTCTCTCTCTCTGCTAGATATAAACTCCACAAGTGCAGGGATCAACACCTAGAGTGTATCTGGTACATAGAAGTTTCCCACACACTTGCTAAAAGAATGACTTAAAGGAATAAGTTTTGGTTATATGGAAAATTAAATTTACTAACTTTTTCTCATCATGCATAAATGGTTATTGAAGATTTAGGATCTTGAAGAATTTCTTAATTATTTCAGAGAGCTACGGTTATGTTTCTTAGAGAGTGTTTACCAAACCAAGAAAGTAGACTCATAGTTTAGGAATATTTTTAGCACTGTGGGGTGAAATTAAAAGTTTCTGGTTGGCCGGGCACAGTGGCTCAAGCTTGTAATCCCAGCACTTTGGGAGGCTGAGGAGGGCGGATCACGAGGTCAGGAGATCCAGACCATCCTGGCTAACACGGTGAAACCCCGTCTCTACTAAAAATACAAAAAATTAGCCGGGCGTGGTGGCAGGTGCCTGTGGTCCCAGCTACTCGGGAGGCTGAGGCAGGAGAATGGCATGAACCCGGGAGGCAGAGCTTGCAGTGAGCAGAGATCGTGCCACTGCACTCCAGCCTGGGTGACAGAGCAAGACTCTGTCTAAAAAAAAAAAAAAGTTTCTGGTCAACCATTTTTGTTATAATTTATTTTTATATAATTTCAAACTTATGGAAAAGTTGCAAGAATGATACAAGGAACTTCCTATACCCTCTACCCAGATTCACCAATTGTCTACATTATTTATCATTTCCTCTGTGTGTGTGTGTGTGTGTGTGTGTGCATGTGCTTGTGTGTTCCTAAAACTTCTGAGTAAATTGGAAACATTGTGTACCTGTACCCATAAATATTTCAAGTGTGTCTTTTAAAAGTGAGGACGTTATCTTACAGTTGTCAATATCAGAAAATCGAACATTGATACAATAGAATTATCTAATCCATAGCCCCCCCACCTTTTTGTTTTTTGTTTTTTTTTGAGACAGTTTCACTCTTGTTGCCCAAGCTGGAGTGCAATGGCACAACCTCCCATAGCCCATTTTCTTTCCTGGTCTTGCTCTATTGCCCAGGCTGGAGTGCAGTGGGGTGATCATAGATCACTGCAGCCTCCACCTCTTGGGCTCAAACGATCCTCCCACCTCAGCCCCCCAAGTAGCTGGGACCTCAGGCACGCGCCTCCACGCCCAGCAAATTTTTAATTTTATGTAGAGATGCCATCTCACTTTGTTGCCCAGGCTGGTTTTGATCTCCTGGCCTCAAGCGATCTGCCCACCTTAGCCTCTGAAAGTGTTGGGATTACAGGTGTGAGCCACCACATCCAGCTCATTGCCCATTTTCAAATTTCATCCACTGTCCCAGTAATGTCATTTATAGCAATTTTTTCCCAATCTTGCATCGAAGTCAGGATCATACACTGCTCTTAGTCTCCTTTAATCTGAAATCATCTTTCAGCCTTTCTTTGTGTTTTTGTTTGTTTCTTTGTTTTGAGATGGAGTCTGGCTCTGTCCTCCAGGCTGGAGTGCAGAGGCCCCATCTCAGCTCACTGCAACCTCTGCCTCGAAGGTTCAAGCAATCCTGCCGCCTCAGTAGAGATGGGGTTTTGCTATGCTGCCCAGGCTGGTCTCGAACTCTTGGCCTCAAGTGATCTGTCCGACTCGGCCTTCCAAAGTGCTGGGATTCCAGGCGTGAGTCACCACACCCGGCCAATTAGTGAGGATATTCTTTGAGACTATGTTCCTCATTAAACTTGCACCTACTGGTTTTAACATCATTCCTTTTGTATTTATTAGCTGTCAATCTACTGTAAGGAAGAGCTTTCCCTTCTCCCCATTCACTTATGTCAGTATGGACTCATGGACTTGTATTTTATTCTGTGGTTTGTAATCCATTGCTATTGTTAATTATTTTGATGCCAATTGTCCTAGATTTCTGGTCATCCCTTTGCCTCAAAAACAAGTTTACATGAACCATATAGTCTCCAAGTTGGGTTTTCAAAGAGGTAATGGGTCCAAATTGAAAAGGTAGAATTTAGGTTACTGGAAGGTAGAAATAACTAGTAGGAAAATCACTTTGGGCAATTTTCAATAACAAAAACACCCTATATACTGAAATGTGTTAAAATAACAAGAAAAATAGCACAGCCACTCAGCAGTGAATTTCAGTGTAAGGAATGAGGATAGGCGTATCCTTATTAGAAAAAAGAAGGAAAAATGCTGCTTGAGCTGCTGAGTTGTTTCAGCCCTGGAGCTGAGGGCGGGGCAATGCATGAAGGTAGTGGGAGAAATGATGGCTAATCATAAAATCAAAATGTCAGCCTAAGATACCATTTTAAAATATTTCATTCCAGGCTGGGCGCGGTGGCTCAAGCCTGTAATCCCAGCACTTTGGGAGGCTGAAGCAGGAGGGTTGCTTGAGTCCAGGAGTTTGAGACCACCCGGCAACATAGCAAAACTTCGTCTCTACAAAAATTTTTTGAAAATTAGATGGATGTAATGGTATGTGCCTGTAGTCCTAGCTACTCGGGAGGCTGAGGCAGGAGGATTGCCTGAGCCCAGTTCGAGGTTATAGTGAGCTATGATTACGCCACTGCACTCCAGCCTGGATGACAGAATCAACACTCTGTGTCTAAAAAATGAATATGTAAGTAAAAATAAAAATATCTCATTCTCATAGGCCCATCTCCTCCTCCTCTTCCAGAAACTCTTACTGGGTCTTTGCTGAATGGCAGTATAGTTATTTGCATAGGTTTGTTATAAATGTCCTTTTCACCAGACTATAATTGGAAAAATTGGCTTTGCAACCAAGGCCTTGCCTTGTCATATTTGAAAATGTTGCTTATTTAATCAAGTATGACCAGTCTTTCTGAGGAAACACATTTGGCTTTCATGGAGCCAGCACTTTCAAAGCCCTCTCAGAAAAATGGTCCTGGGGCACAGCTTACAGATGAGTAAGGAAGGCCACTTCTTGGCAGGCGCCCAAATCTTAGATATTTGCTCAAGTAAACAGGAATTCAGCAAAACGTAAAGTCCAGTCTGAGATTCCTTCTGAAAATTTCCAGCAATTTTTTTTTTTTTTTAAGACAGAGTCTTGCTCTGTTGCCCAGGCCGGAGTGCAGTGGTGTGATCTCAACTTGCTGCAACCTCCGCCTCCTGGGTTCAAGCTCTTCTCCTGCCTCAGCCTCCCGAGTAGCTGAGATTACAGGCATGAGCCACCACACCCGGCTAATTTTTGTATTTTTAGTAGAGATGGGGTTTCACCATATTGGCCAGGCTGGTCTCAAACTCCTGACCTCGTGATACACCTGCCTCGGCCTTCCAAAGTGTTGGGATTACAGGCTTGAGCCACAGCGTCTGGCCACCATCTTTTTTTTTTTTTTTTTTTGAGATGGGGTCTGACTGTGTCGCCCATGCTGGAGTGTGGTGGTGCGATCTCGGCTCACTGCAACCTCCGCCTCCCAGGTCCAAGAAATTCTCCTGCCTCAGCCTCCCAAGTAGCTGGGATTACAGGCACCTGCCACCACGCCTGGCTAATTTTTGTATTTATATAGAGACAGGGTTTTGCCACGTTGGCCAGGTTGGTCTTCTGACGTCAGGTGATTCACCTGCCTCAGCCTCCGAAAATGCTGGGATTACAGGCGTGAGCCACCGTGCCTGGCCCATTTCCAGCAAATTTTTAAGGTCTGTGTGATAAATTAATGTTCTTGTTGCACCTATGTATATAATCAGGTCAGACCTAATAAGACCAGCCTTATTTTGTGATCAGAAACATCATTTTTCAAGATTTTTTTTATCACAAGGGGTGTATTAATTTCCTATTGCTGCTGTCATAAATTATCACAAACTCAGTGACTTAACACAAATTTATTATCCTATAGTTCTGGAGATCAGATGTCCAAAATAGCAAGGAATTAATAACCAGAATATATTAAGAAGCTCAGACAACTCAATAGGAAAAAAATCTAATAATCCAATTTAAAAATGGACAAAAGATCTGAGTAGACATTTCTGAAAAGAAGTTGTACAAATGGCCAACAGATACACGAAAAGGTGCTCAACATCACTGACCATCAGAGAAATGCAAATCAAAACTACTAGGAGATATCATCTCACCCCAGTTAAAATGGCTTTTATCCAAAAGACAGGGAATAACTTGTGCTGGTGAGGATGTGGAGAAAGGGAAACCTCACGCACTCTTGGTGGAAATATAAATTAGTACGACCACTATGAAGAACAGTTTGGAGGTTCTTCAAAAAACTAAAAATACAGCTACCATATGATCCAGCAGTCTCACTGCTAGGTATATGCCCAAAAGAAAGGAAATCAAGACTGGGCGCAGTGGCTCATGCCTGTAATCCCAGCACTTTGGGAGGCTGAGAGGGGCGGATCACGAGGTCCGGAGAGCGAGACCATCCTGGCTAACACGGTGAAACCCCGTCTCTACTAAAAATACAAAAAATTAGCCAGGCGTGGTGGCATACGCCTGTAGTCCCAGCTACTTGGGAGGCTGAGGCAGGAGAATCAGTTGAACCTGGGAGGCGGAGGTTGCAGTGAGCTGAGATCGAGCCACTGCACTCCAGCCTGGAGACACAGCGCGACTCTGTCTCAAAAAAAAAAAAGAAAAAGAAAAAGAAAAGAAAAGAAAGGAAATCAATATATCAAAGAGGTAGCTATACTTCCATGTTAGCACTATCCACAGTAGCCAAGATTTAGAAGCAACCTAAGTGTCCATCAACAGATGAATGGATAAATAAAGTATGGTACATACACACAATGAAGTACTATTTGTCCATAAAAAGAATGAGATCCTGTCATTTACAACAACAGGGATGGAACTGGAGGTCATTATGTTAAGTGATAGAAGCCAGGCACAGAAAAACAAACTTCACATGTTATTATTTATTTCTGGGAGCTAAAAAAAATTAATTGAACTCCCAGAGGCTGGGAAGGGTAATGGGGAGGATGATAAATGGGGATGGTAAATGGGTATAAAAATGTAGTTAGAATGAATAAGATCTAGTATTTGACAACACAACAGGGTGACTACAGCCAACAATAATTTATTGTACATTTAAAAATAACTGAAAGATTTAAATTCAGGTGGATATAACAAGAAAGAAAGAAAAAATAATAATTGAAAGATAATAATTGGATTGTTTGTAATACAAAGAAAGGACAAATGCTTGAGATATTGGATACCCCATTTACCCTGGTGTTATTATTATTATTATTGAGGCGGAATTTTGCTCTTCTTGCCCAGACTGGGGTGCAATGGGCCGATCTCGGCTCACTGCAACCTCTGCCTCCCGGGTTCAAGTGATTCTCCTGCCTCAGCCTCCCAAGTAGCTGGGACTACAGGCGCACACCACCACACCCGGCTAATTTTTGTATTTTTAGTAGAGTTGGGGTGTCACCATGTTTGTCAGGCTGGTCTTGAACTCCTGATCTCAGATGATTCACCCACCGCAGCTTCCCAAAGTGCTGAGATTACAGGTGTGAACCACCATGCCTGGCCCACCCTGATGTCATTATTATGCTCCATATGTCTGTATTGAAATATTTCATGTACACTGTAAATATATATACCTACTAGGTACCCACAAAAAATTTTTTAAGTTCAAAAAAAAAAGGGGGGGCCGGGCATGGTGGCTTACACCTGTAATCCCAGCACTTTGGGAGGTCGAGGCTGGTGGATCACAAGGTCAGGAGTTCAAGACCAGCCTGGCCAAGATAATGAAACCCCATCTCTACTAAAAATACAAAAAATTAGCCGGGCGTGGTGACACGTGCCTGTAATCCCACCTGTTGGGGAGGCTGAGGAGAGAATTGCTTAAACCTGGGAGGCGGAGGTTGCAGTGAATCCAGATTGTGCCACTGCACTGCAGCCTGGGTGACAGAGTGAGGCTCCGTCTCAAAAAAATAATAAATAAAAAATTAAAAAGCCCAAAATGGCTCTCCCTGGGCTAAAATCAAGGTGTCAGAAGGATTTTCCTTCCAGAGGCTCCAGGGGAGAGGCCATTTCCTTGTCGTTTCCAGCTTCTAGAGGTGTCCTGCATTCCTTGGCTCATGGTCCCCTTCCAACTTCCAAGCCAGCAATAGATAGTCAAGTCTTTCTCATGATTCTATCCATCTCTCTGTTCTGACTGCTAAGCCTCCCTCTTTCCCATTTAAGCACCCTTTGGATTACATTTGGCTCATTCCACCCAGGGTAACACCTCATCTCAAGGTCATCTGGTGAACAACTTGAATTATCTCCTGCCATGTAACGTACTAGGTTGGTGCAAAAGTAATTTCGGTTTTTGCCCCTCCCCCTTTATTTTTAATTGCAGAAATTGCAATTACTTTTGCACCAACCTAATAACATATTCACAGATTCCAGGGTTAAGATACAGGCATCTTTGGCCAGGTGCGGTGGCTCACGGCTGTAATCCCAGCACTTTGGGAGGCCAAGGCGGGCGGATCACTTCAGGTCAGGAGTTTCCGACCAGCCTGGCCAACATGGTGAAACAAAAATTAGCCAGGCTTGGTGGCGTGTGCCTGTAATCCCAGCTACTCCAGAGGCTAAGGAGGAGAATCACTTGAACCCAGGAGGCGGAGGTTGCAGTGAGCCAAGATTGCGCCACTGCACTCCAGCCTGGGCGACAAAGCGAGACTTTGCTTAAAAAAAAAAAAAAGATATAGGCATCTTTAGGGAATCATTATTCTGCCTACCATAGAGTCTAGGGAAAATTTGTGCTTTAAGGGAAAATTGCATTGTCTAGAGCAGTAGTTGGCAAACTGCTTCCTATGGGGTAAATCCAGCAGCCACGTGTTTTTGTATTCATCCTATGAATGGATTTTACATTTTTAAATGCTTAAGAAAATTAGAACAACAATATTGTGTGATGTAAAAATTGTATAAAATTCAGGCTGGGCGCGGTGGCTCACGCCTGTAATCCCAGCACTTTGGGAGGCTGAGGCAGGCAGATCACGAGGTCAGGAGATCGAGACCATCCTGGCTAACATGGTGAAACCCCATCTCTACTAAAAATACAAAAAAAGAAATTAGCTGGGCGTGGTGGCGGGCGCGTGTAGTCCGAGCTACTTGGGAGGCTGAGGCAGGAGAATGGCGTGTACCCAGGAGGCAGAGCTTGCAGTGAGCCAAGATGGCACCACTGCACTCCAGCCTGGGCGACAGAGTGAGACTCTGTCTCAAAAAAAAAAAAAAAAAAGGTATAAAATTCAAATTTCAGTGTCGACAAATAAAGTTTTATTGGAATACAGCCATGCTCATGTGTTTATGTATTATCTGTGGTTGTTTTATAGTACAAGGACAGAATTAAATAGTTCAAACAAAAATTATATGGTCCACAAAATATCTACTATCTGGCCCTTTACAGTAAAAGTTTGCTGATCCCTGGTCTAGCACACACCCTTCCAGGTTATCTGATTCTAGCCTCTCATTGCTTTTGAGCTATTTCACAACTCTATAAATTGTAAAAAACCTCATAGCAAGGTAAAATAATTCCTGTCTATTGACGTGCAAATTCTGTCTAGCAGAGGTTACATTAACTTCTCTCCCTGACTGCGGAAGAAGCCAATTTTGCTTCCATTTGCACATTTATGTGAATATTTTTGATCAAAAAATGTGTCTGTTCTTTGAATTCTCCTGTGAACTGGTTGTAACAGCTTACTGGCTCCCTCATTAATAATGAATTAGGGGTTGGGCTCGGTGGCTCAAGCCTGTAATTCCAGCACTTTGGGAGGCCAAGGTGGGCGGATCAGCCTGGCCAACATGGGGAAACCCTGTCTCTACTAAAAATACAAAAAATTAGCCAGGCATGGTGGCGCATGCCTGTAATCCCAGCTACTCGGGAGGCTGAGGCATGAGAATCGCTTGAACCCAGGAGGCAGAGGTTGCAGTGAGCTGAGACTGGGCCACTGTACTCCAGCCTGGGCAACAAGAGCAAAACTCCATCTCAAAAAAATAAATAAATAATTTAAAAAAAGAATAAATAAAATCTTTAACATGTGTTTTTTTAATATCCCAATGAGAATCGTGATTTTACTCTTTTTTGAAAATGATCCTTTAATGTAGGCTATCCAATGAGGAAAGACAGTTGAGACCCAGTCTCGGCCCCTTTGGAGCCAGGCAGTCTGGCATCTCCTTTGGCTCTGAAATTGCCAAAGCTCCCAGGGATACCACAGAAATCATTCTGCTATGGCCTGTTATGGTGGCCAACACCAGGACCCAAGGACCTGCACGAGGAGTCGCACAGAAGAGCGCTTCCCATTGGAACCTGCCCAGAGGTGAGTGGCAATAGTCTGAGACTTGAGTGCACAAAATATGAGGCAATTTTTTTAAATTTAAAATTAATTTTAAAACTTTTTTTAAAGATGAGGCAGGTCAGGCACAGTGGCTCACACCTGTAATCCCAGCACTTTGGGAGGCCAAGGCAGGTGGATTGCTTGAGGCCAGGAGTTCAAGACGAGTCTGGGCAACATAAGGAGACCCCATCGCTACCAAAAAAAAAAAAAAAAGAATTAGCCTGGCATGGTGATGCACGTCTGCATTCCCAGCTACTTGCGAGGCTAAGGAAGGAGGATCCCTTGAACCCAGGAGTTCGAGGATACAATGAACTGTGATTGCAACACTAGACCCCAGGCTGGACCACAGAGTGAGACCCCTATCGCTTACAAAAAAAAAAAAAAAAAAGATGAGGCAAAGTACATGGGCTTGGAATCAAACAGCCCAGTTCCTGCCTTAGTTTTGCCATAATGTCATCTTGGACAAGTGATGTATCTTCTCTGTGGGCATAATCCAAATTACAGAGTTGTTTTGAGGACTACATAGAGGAGAGTTGGTACAAGGCCTCTCAGTAAGCCTTCAATAAATATTCGCTGTTATTATTACCAGGGGGTAGCAACTAGCCAGGGTTGATGGAGCCCATGAATGCTATTCAAATTATGTAATCATTGCGAACATTTCCTGAGTCCTCACTATGGGCAGGTCCTCATTTAGTCCTCACAGTATCCCCAGGAAGCAGGCACTAATAGAACATAGTTTATTTTATTAGGCCAGGCGCAGTGGCTAACACCTGTAATCCCAGCACTTTGGAAGGCCGAGGCAAGCAGATTGCTTGAGTCCAGGAGTTCAAGACCAGCCATGGGCAACATGGTGAAACCTCATCTCCACCAAAAATTCAAAAACTAACAGGCATGGTGGTGCACGCCTGTAGTCCCAGCTACTGGGACTGAGGCTGAGGTGGGAGGATCACCTGAGCCTGGGAGGCAGAGGCTGCAGTAAGCCGAGATTGTGCCACTGCACTCCAGCCTGGGCGGCAGAGTGAGACCCTGTCTCAAAAACAACAAGAACAAAAAAGCAAAAAACCCATAGTTTATTGATGAAGTATTGCCATGGGGAAAAGGGAATTGACTTAACCATGGCCCCAAAAGTCCAAACTTACCCCAGCTGGTGGAAGTTGCCAGAAGATCAGTTTGGTTCAAGGGAAGGCGTTTTAATATCTGAAGCTGATGCACAATGGCGAGGAGTGATGTGAGTCAGTGAATTCTCTGTGACACACGGTGTTCAAGCACAGACTATACACATTTTGGGTAATACTGAAGACGAACTGTGTTATATAGGAGTTGGGACTAGATGATCTCCAGATTCCTTTCCATTCAGATTCTGGATCACTTTTGCTGGAAAGGGGATCAAAAATGGGAGCTTTGTCACTGATCCCCTAAATCCTTACACTGTCCTATAACCTCAATCATTCTTTGCCACTCAGAAGCCCTTCTAATCTCTGTGGTCTCTAAAAAGCACCCCGGCTTTATGTTCCTCTGTTTGTTCTGTCTTATAGTAGGTACAAATTGGAGGATGGGCATCCCCTTTCACACGTTCCCCAGGCCCCATGCTCACTCTTTTCCAAAATAGATCCCATTCATTCCCCCATCAGAAGGGTGAGCTTGTAACCCAAGCCCTCATTTGCATGGGCTGCTTAAGGCCCTGTACCTAATTCTGTATTGGTAACTTTGCATTCTTTAAAGAGGGCAGTCCAAAATGTGTATGCTTGAAGATTCATGAATCCCAATCCATCTGGGCCCCTTTCTGGGCCTTCATTTCAAAAGATGTGAAAGATGGGGAGAAGAGAATGTTTTAGACAGTCCTGACGATGCCTTCTGAATCTCATAGTCTAAGACCCTGTACCTCTGCCATCATAGACTCATGGTTTCTCATTGCTGCTTAGGCCAAGACAAAAAATTTCTACTCGGCTGGGTGCAGTGGCTCATGCCTGTAATCCCAGCACTTTGGGAGGCCGAGGCGGGCAGATCACGAGGTCAGGAGATCGAGACCCTCCTGGCTAACATGGTGAAACCCCATCTCTACTAAAAATACAAAAAATTAGCCAGGTGTGGTTGTGGGCGGCTGTAGTCCCAGCTGCTCAGGAGGCTGAGGCAGGAGAATGGCGTGAACCCGGGAGGCGGAGCTCGCAGTGAGCTGAGATTGCGCCACTGCACTCCAGCCTGAGCAACAGAGCAAGACCAAAAAAAATTAAAATTAAAAAAAAATTTCTACTGAAGAGGCTGAGGCAGGAGAATCACTTGAGCCCAGGGGGCTGAGGCTACAGTGAGCCATGATAGTGCCACTGCACGCCAGCCTGGGCAACAGAACAAGACCCTGTCTCAAAAACAACAGGCCGGGTGCGGTGGCTCATGCCTATAATCCCAGCACTTTGGGAGACCGAGGCAGGCAGATTGCTTGAGGCCAGGAGTTTGAGACCAACCTGGCCAACATAGCGAAACCCATCTGAGGATTCTGGCATAGTATGCTACAGCTCAGAACTCCTGGACTCAACAATTGCATTGTCTTGAGAGCAAAATTAGGATTTTAATTTGGGACTTTTGATTCTTAGCTTACAGGATGAAAGTCTAGAGATTTTCACTGCATACTCAGCGTCTTCCTTTTCCAGTAGAGCTGCGGCACATGAACCTTTTAAGAAAGACTTCCATCTAAAATAAAAATTGGGCTGGGTGTGGTGGCTCATGCTTTGTAATCCCAGCATTTGAGAGGCCAAAGCAGGTGGATCACTTGAAGTCAAGAGTTCGAGACCAGCCTGGCTAACATGGTGAAACCCCATCTCTACTAAAAATACAAAAATTAGCCAGGCGTGGTGATGTGCACCTGTAATCCCAGCTACTCAGGAGGCTGAGGCAGGAGAATCACTTGAACCCAGGAGGCGGAGCCTGCAGTGAGCGGAGATTGTGCCACTGCACCCCAGCTTGGGCAACAGAGCAAGACCCCATCTAAAAAAAAATTAATTAAAAATCAAGAAAATTGTCTTAAAGAATGGGTTAAGATGGGTTAAGATTCAGTTTTTTTGGATAATTTGGATAACTCCCCACATGGGCAAGTCCAAACGTGCAGATCAAGGAAGTATCACTGCTACCACTTCACCACCTAGGCCAAGTATATTATTTTCACCTTGATGTTACTTTGATAGTGGCTTGGGAATTAGGTTAATTTGCACCTGTTGGTAGAAGTCAGAGAGGTGTTACCAAATCTGTCACAAGCTCTCCTTCCCTAATTCATCTGCAAGCTCCCCTTGAGGGGAAGGAGGGCATGGCTTTCATGTTTTCGGCATTCCTCAGCCATCACCTGCAGAGAGACACCTGCTAGGGGCAGGGTGTATAGATTTTCCCTAAATCAGTCTTTCAGGGTTCCACACTTCATTCATCCTAAGTGCAGCAAAAATTAAATAAGAAGCTTCATCAGGCCAGGCCCGGAGGCTCACGCCTATAATCCTAACACTTTGAGAAGCCAAAGCAGGAGGATAGCTTGAGCCCAGGAATTCGAGACCAGCCTGAACAACATAGTGAGATCCAATCTCTACAAAAAATAAATAAATAAATAAATAAATAAAATTTTTATTTATTTTTTTGAGACAGGGTCTCAGTCTGTCGCCTAGGCTGGAGGGCAGTGGCGTGATCTCAGCTCACTGCAACTTTTGCCTCCCAGGTTCAAGCGATTCTCCTGCCTCAGCCTCCTGAGTAACTTGGACTACAGGCACTTGCCACCATGCCTGGCTAATTTTTGTGCTTTTTGGTAGAGATGGGGTTTCACCATGTTGGCCAGGCTGAAAAAAATTTTTTCAATTAATTGGGCGTGGTAGCCTATGTCTGTGGTCCCAGCTACTTGGGAGGCTGAGGTAGGAGGACCACTTGATCCTGGAGGTTGAGGCTGCCATAATCATGCCACTGCACTCCAGCCTGAGCAATGAAGCAAGACCTCGTTAAAAAAAAAAAAAAAAAGGAAGGAAGGAAGGAAAAGAGAAAAGAGCTGTAAAAAACAAAACAAAACAAAACAAAAACAAGCTTCGTCATAGTATCATGCTTGGAGACAGTGCCAGGGATGGAATACAGCAACTTAAACAAACAACAGCCCTTTATATGGCAGCATAAACTGAAACAGCTCCCCTTTCCTCCTCCAAGATGAGGGGAGAAGCTTGGGCTGAGCTGGGCACCTTTTAATGTTTCCTAATTTGAGGAAGCTTTGTAATACAATTCAGGGCAAGACGGGGGAAAGGCACCTTTTGCATAATAAGACCAGAGCTATCTAACAGCAAATAGGATACAAATCAGGGTAACAGAAGAATACTAACTTGTCACTCAGAAAGGCATGCTCTCCAGGAGACCAATTCTCATGGGAGAGGAGTGTTTGCTTTCAGATGTTTACCAGACTAGAGGTTCAGCCTGGAAGCACCCAGAGATCCCTTCCTCACCCATGGAACCAGGGCTCGCCTTTGCATTGGACAGGGCTGGCCTAAAGAGAGACAACAATGAGAAGAGAGAAGAGAGTCAGGGAGCATGGGAGCAACTGCAGGACACCCTCTCTGTCACCCAGGATACATTTGTAATGCAAAGAGCTGAACAATCCATCCCAACTCCCTCTACTGTCTTCCCAAGACCAAGAGAGATAATGGATCTGAGAGTCTCATAAAATGCAATTTGGGTGCAATCAATGACCACCCAAGAAGAGTTTGGCAACCTCTTTCTTCAGGTTTCCTCCCTGGAGCACAAGCTTTCTCAGCCAAGGCACTATTGACCTTTTAGGCCTGTCAATTCTTTGTGGAAAACCACGGCTCCAGCAGAGGCACAGGTGGATTTATTGAGTTGCTAATGAAGTCGTGGCCTCAAAACCCTTCATTTACACTATTAGCTCCTTCCAAAGAGCTGAGGGAGGTCCTAATGAATGATGTGTTCACAGAGTGAACGTTTTTTGTAAAATTTGTTAAAAACATTTTTTAACTGCAATTGGTTAAGATCACTCAGTCACACATTATCTCCTTTTACTCCAGCACTTTCTTATAAAAATTTGTATTTTTGTGGCTTTTTTTTTTTTAGAGAGGGGGTCTTGCTCTGTCACCCCAAGGCTGGAGTGCAGTGGCTCAACCATGGCTCATTGCAACCTCCAATTCCTGGGCTCAAGGGATCCTTCCACCTAAGCTTCCCAAGTAGCTGGGACTGCAGACGGGAGCCACTACTATGTCTGATAATTTTTTTTTTTTTTTTTTTTGAGACGGAGTCTCGCTCTGTCACCAGGCTGGAGTGCAATGGTGCGATCTCGGCTCACTGCAACCTCTGCCTCCTGAGTTCAAGCGATTCTCCTTGGTTGCTGAGTTCAAGCGAGTAGCTGGGACTACAGGCGCACGCCACCACACCCAGCTAATTTTTGTATTTTTAGTAGAGACGGGGTTTCGCCGTGTTGGCCAGGATAGTCTCGCTTTCTTGACCACGTGATCTGCCTGCCTTGGCCTCCCAAAGTAGAGTCGGGGCTCACTGTGTTGCCCGGACTGGTCTTGAATTCCTAGCCTCAAGTGAACCTGCCAAAGTGCTGAGATTACAGGCATGAGTCACCACACACAGCCAAAATTTGTATTTGTAATTTTTAATCATTTTTCTTTTTTTTTTTTTTTAATTCATACAGAGTCTCGCTCTGTCGCCCAGGCTGGAGTGCAGTGGCGCGATCTCAGCTCACTGCAAGCTCCGCCTACCGGGTTCACCGCACTCTCCTGCCTCAGCCTCCCGAGTAGCTGGGACTACAGGCGCCCGCCACCACGCTCGGCTAATTTGTTGTATTTTTAGTAGAAACGGGGTTTTACCATGTTAGCCAGGATGGTCTCGATCTCCTGACCTCATGATCCACCCGCCTCGGCCTCCCAAAGTGCTGGGATTACAGGCGTGAGCCACCGCGCCCGGCCTTTTTTATCATTTTCTTAAAGATGGTCCCCCCCAGTAGCCTAAGCTTCAGGCCCCACAAAACCCAGATCTGACCCTAGAGTAAGACAATCCTTGCTTCTACCCCATCCTCACATACTCAAAGTTTTTAAACCTCTTTAGGCATCAGTTTCATTTGAAAAATTGGTTTATTAATGGTGATTTCCTAAGATTCTTGTGAAAACTAAGTGATAAAATGGAAACTGCTTAGCCTACTGCCTAGAACAACCACACACTCAATACATGGTAGCTGTTATGAAAATAGTGATATATTCATTTCCTGATAGTGGAAATCAAATGTGGTGACCGCTTCAGTTGGGAGAAGGACTACCAGCTTCCTGATGGCGGGAAACCACGATGACACTGAGGAGCTAAAACATTTGGCTAGAACCATCACCAAGGAAAAAGTCTGGTTTTGAAAATGATGCCAGGCACGGTGGCTCACATCTGTAATCCCAGCGCTTTGGGAGGCCAAGGCAAGCATATTGCTTCAGCCCAGGAGTTCAAGACCTGCCTGGGCAACATGGCAAAACCCTGTCTCTAGCATTGCAACATAGTGAGACCTCATCTCTACAAAAAATACAAAAATTAGCTGAGTGTGGTGGCATGTGCCTGTAGTCCCAGCTACTTGGGAGTCTGAGGTGGGAAGATTGCTTGAGCCCAGGAGGTCAAGGCTGCAGTGAGCAGTGATCATGCCACTGCACTCTAGCCTGGATGACAGAGCAAGACCCTGTCTCAAGAAAAAAAAAAAGAAAAAGCAAATGATGATGGAATATTCAAGCTTACAGTCTAGGCTCCACCATAGAGGAAAAATGAAGAACAGAGAACCCAGAACTACCTTCATGGGTTTCTTTCTAGAAGAATCTCTTTTAATGGATTCTTTCTGTGTTCTATGGGCAGCTGACCCCTCTGCAGACCCATTTATTTATTTATTTACTTATTTATTTATTTTAATTTTTGAGATAGGGTTTCACTCTGTCACCCAGGCCAGAGTGCAATGGTATGATCTCAGCTCACTGCAACCTCTGCCTCCTGAGTAGCTAGGATTACAGGAGTGTGCCACCACACCTGGCTAATTTTTTGTATTTTTAGTAGAGACAGGGCTTTGCTATGTTGCCCAGGCTGTACAGACCCCTTATTTAAACAGATACAGCATTAGAGGCCTTACAGGTGTTGGTATCAATTCTATTTCTTGCACTGGATGGCAGGTTCGGGGATTACAGTATTGTTTTCTAAACAGTAAGATATATTATGTAAACTTTCTTTATGTGTGTGGTATTTTTGCAAATTTGTTTAAGCTTAAAAAAATAACTGCAGGCCAGGTGCAGTGGCTCACACCTGTAATCTCAGCACTTGGGAGGCCAAGGCAGGAGGATCACTTGAGCCAGGAGTTTGAGACCAGCCTCTGCAACATAGTGAGACCTCATTTCTTTTTCTTTTTATTTTTTTAATTGAGACAGAGTCTAGCTCTGTCGCCCAGGCTGGAGTGCAGTGGCGCAATCTCGGCTCACTGCAAGCTCCGCCTCCTGGGTTCACGCCATTCTCCTGCCTCAGCCTCCCAAGTAGCTGGGACTACAGGCGTCCACCACCACGCCTGGCTAATTTTTTTGTATTTTAAGTAGAGATGGGGTTTCACTGTGTTAGCCAGGATGGTCTGGATCTCCTGACCTCGAGATCCGCCCTCCTCGGACTCCCAAAGTGCTGGGATTACAGGTGTGAGCCACCGCGCCCAGCAGTGAGACCTCATTTCTTGGGGGAAAAAAAAAAAAAAAGGGAGGTCAAGGCTCTAGTGAGCTGCAATCACACAACTGCACTTCAGTATGAGTGACAGAGAGAGACTCTGTCTCAAACAGCAACAATAAAAGCGTGCAGTATGGTCCTCCCTTATCTCTGTCCCTGATTCACTGTAATCTCCAGGGCCTCCATTTCCACTTTTGTAAAATGGACCTCTCTAGGGTCTCTTCTGGCTTTAAGTCTATGGAAGTGTATATAAGTGTATAAGTCTATGAATTATTTGCTAAACCGAACAGAACAATAAGAACTTGAGTCTGACAACCTGTCTGAACACCTCCCCACTCTGCAGCAAAATGTATTTCTGTCTTGACATCTAAAATGGAAGCTTAATTGCTGATAAGTGGTTGACAACTGGTAAATGCATTTTGGGTGGATTTAGAGAAACTAAATCTATAACGTACATCGGAACATCAGAAGATGCTCTAGAAAGTTGGGCTTCAGGGAATGAAGTAAGGGGCCTACAGGTGATGGGAGGACCCTCAGCCTGGCCAGGAAACCTGTGGGGCCCGGGAATTGCAGCCCTGTTCCCCACAGTCCTTCAGTAAGAAGTGACAGCAAAGACAACAGGTGCCATTTATAAGACATTTATGATCCCCTATCGCTGAGCTAGTTGCTTTCATGGTCATGTAGTGCTTCTGACAACCCTCTGGTACTATTTAATGAGAAGTATCATTTATCCAGAAGTTAGTATTGCCAGGCTCTATCTTACACATAAAATATCTCATTTAGTCTATGAGGTAGGGACTCTTATTATCACCAAATCACAGGTGGAGAAACTGAGGCACAGTTGCCCAAATAAAAAAAAGTATTTATTTTTATTTATTTATTAAAAAAATGTACCTCCGCCTCCTGGGTTCAAGCAATTCCCCTGCCTCAGCCTCCTGAGTAGCTGGGACTACATGCATGCGCCACCACGCCCAGCTAATTTTTTTTTTTTTTTTTTTTGCGACGGAGTCTTGCTCTGTCATCCAGGCTGGAGTGCAGTGGCGTGATCTCGGCTCACTGCAAGCTCCGCCTCCCAGGCTCACGCCATTCTCCTGCCTCAGTCTCCCGAGTAGCTGGGACTACAGGCTCCTGCCACCACGCCAGGCTAATTTTTTGTATTTTTTTTTTATCAGAGACAGGGTTTCACCGTGTTAGCCAGGATGGTTTCAATCTCCTGACCTTGTGATCCGCCCGCCTCAGCCTCCCAAAGTGCTGGGATTACAGGCGTGAGCCACCGCACCTGGCCAAAAAAAATTTTTTTTGAGACAGGATCTCAAAAAAAAAAAAAATCTCGAGGTTGCAGCCTAGGCTTGAATGCAGTGGTGTGATCATGGCTCACTGCAGTCTCCACCTCCCTGGCTCAAGTGATCCTCCCACCTCAACCCTCCCAGCAGCTGGGACTATAGGCATGTGCCACCATGCCTGGGTAACTTTTGTATTTTTTGTAGAGGTGGGGTTTCACCATGTTGCCCGGGCTGGTCTGGAACTCCTGGGCTCAAGTGATCCTCCCGCCTCAGCCTCCCAAAGTGCTGGGATTACAAGTGTGAGTCAACATGCCTGGCCCCACATCAAATAACTAATGTATGATGGAGCTGAGACCTGAACCAAGCATTCTGGCTCCAGAGTCCATGCTCTTTTTTTTTTTTTTCTTTTTAAGATGGAGTCTCACTCTGTTGCCCAGGCTGGAGTGCAGTGGCAAGATCTCGGCTCACTGCAACCTCCGCCTCCCAGGTTTAAGCACTCTCCTGCCTTAGCTTCCCAAGTAGGTGGGACTACAGGTGCACGGCATCACGCCTGGCTAATTTTTGTATTTTTAGTAGAGATGGGGTTTCACTATGTTGGCCAGGCTGGTCTCAAACTTCTGAACTTAGGTGACTCGCCTGCCTCAGCCTCCCAAAGTGGTGGGATTACAGGCTTAAGCCACTGCACCCAGCCAGACCCCATGCTGTTAACATCCATACTCTACTGTCTTCCAGGATAGCTCTGAAGGAGTGCTATTATTATTTCCAGTTTATGGATGAGGAAACTGAGGCTCAGATTGATGAAGTGACTTCCCTAAGGCTGCATAGTGTGTAAATGGCAGAGCCAGGCCTCAATTTCTGGTTCATGTGTTTTCTTTTTTTAATTGATCATTCTTGGGTGTTTCTCGCAGAGGGGAATTTGGCAGGGTCATAGGACAATAGTAGAGGGAAGGTCAGCAGATAAACAAGTGAACAAAGGTCTCTGGTTTTCCTAGGCAGAGTGTTTGTGTCCCTGGGTACTTGAGATTAGGGAGTGGTGATGACTCTTAACGAGCATGCTGCCTTCAAGCATCTGTTAAACAAAGCACATCTTGCACTGCCCTTAATCCATTTAACCCTGAGTGGACACAGCACATGTTTCAGAGAGCACAGGGTTGGGGGTAAGGTCATAGATCAACAGGATCCCAAGGCAGAAGAATTTTTCTTAGTACAGAACAAAATGAAAAGTCTCCCATGTCTACTTCTTTCTACACAGACACAGCAACCATCCGATTTCTCAATCTTTTCCCCACCTTTCCCCCTTTTCTATTCCACAAAACCGCCATTGCCATCATGGCCCGTTCTCAATGAGCTGCTGGGCACACCTCCCAGACGGGGTGGCGGCCGGGCAGAGGGGCTCCTCACTTCCCAGTAGGGGCGGCCGGGCAGAGGCACCCCTCACCTCCCGGACGGGGTGGCTGGCCAGGCGGGGGGCTGACTCCCCCACCTCCCTCCTGGACGGGGCGGCTGGTCGGGCAGAGGGGCTCCTCACTTCCCAGTAGGGGCGGCCGGGCAGAGGCGCCCCTCACCTCCCAGACGGGGCGGCTGGCCTGGCGGGGCTGACCCCCACCTCCCTCCTGGACGGGGTGGCTGCCGGGCGGAGACGCTCCTCACTTCTCAGACGGGGCGGCTGCGGGGCGGAGGGGCTCCTCACTTCTCAGACGGGGCGGTTGCCAGGCGGAGGGTCTCCTCACTTCTCAGACGGGGCGGCCGGGCAGAGACGCTCCTCACCTCCCAGATGGGGTCGCGGCAGGGCAGAGGCGCTTCTCACATCCCAGACGGGGCGGCGGGGCTGAGGCGCTTCCCACATCTCAGACGATGGGCGGCCAGGCAGAGACGCTCCTCACTTCCTAGATGTGATGGCGGCCGGGAAGAGGCGCTCCTCACTTCCTAGGTGGGATGGTGGCCGGGCAGAGAGGCTCCTCACTTTCCAGACTGGGCAGCCAGGCAGAGGGGCTCCTCACATCCCAGACGATGGGCAGCCAGGCAGAGATGCTCCTCACTTCCCAGACGGGGTGGCGGCCGGGCAGAGGCTGCAATCTCGGCACTTTGGGAGGCCAAGGCAGGCGGCTGGGAGGTGGAGGTTGTAGTGAGCCGAGATCACGCCACTGCACTCCAGCCTGGGCACCATTGAGCACTGAGTGAACCAGACTCCGTCTGCAATCCTGGCACCTCAGGAGGCTGAGGCTGGCGGATCACTCGCGGTTAGGAGCTGGAGACCAGCCCGGCCAACACAGCGAAACCCCGTCTCCACCAAAAACATACGAAAACCAGTCAGGCGTGGCGGCGCGTGCCTGCAATCGCAGGCACTGGGCAGGCTGAGGCAGGAGAATCAACCAGGGAGGCTGCAGTGAGCCGAGATGGTGGCAGTACAGTCCAGCTTCGGCTTGGCATGAGAGGGAGACCGTGGAAAGAGAGGGAGAGGGGAGACCATGGAAAGGGGAGAGGGAGACGGAGAGGGAGAGAGGGAGAGGGAGAGGGAGAGGGAGAGGGAGAGAGAGAGAGAGAGAGAGAGAGAGAGTCCAATGCACCGGTTCATGTGTTTTCAAAGCCCATGCTGTTCACCATTGTCCCATATTGCCTCTCTTGGTCAGTTACCAAATGGCTACTGTGAGCCCCGCTCTGTGCTAGCAGCAGCTGGGAAACAAAGTAGGAGAGATGTTGGAGAAGGATGCACCTGTCTTTGCCCTGGAGCTGCCACTAATTCACTGTGTGACCTGAGGCAAGTCAGAGCCTCTCTCTGGGTCCCAAGTCCCATGTGTAAGTGAGAGGCTGAGCGATGTCCCAGACTGTGGCCAGGACATGTCTGGTGACATAGGATAAGGATATAGGGCTTGGCAAAGAGCAGAAGAGGAGGCTTTAAATGATCAGACTCCCAAGGAGGACAGAAGACCTTCAGGGTGGAAATGACCTGAAGCTTAAATCAGAAAAACCCCCTTTCTCCATCACTGTTTCCTCACTTCTTCCCAGAGGAGAAAGATCAGAAAAGGAGGTGAGAAAAAAGGGCTGGGGGAAGGCCTATTAAGTTTCCTGTGACCACTGTAACACATCTCCACAAACTTGATGACTTAAAACAAGAGAAGTTGCCAGGTGCAGTGGCTCACGCCAGTAATCCCAGCAAGTTGGGAGGTCGAGGCAGGAGGATTGTTTGAGCCCAGGAGTTCAAGACCAGCCTGGGCAATATAATGAGACTTGCTCTACAAAAAAAAAAAAAAAAAAAAAAAAAAAAAATCAAAAAATTAGCCCATGTTGCAGTATGTGCCTGTGGTCCCAGCTACATGGGAGGCTAAGGCAGGAAGATCGCTTGAGCCCAGAAGGTTGAGGCTGCAGTGGGCCATGATCATGCCACTGCACTCCAGCCCAGGTGACAGAGCAAGACTCTGTCTCAAAAAACAATGGCTGGGTGTGGTGGTTCATGCCTGTAATCCCAGCACTTTGGGAGGCCGAGGTGGGTGGATCACATGAGGCCAGGAGTTCAAGACCAGCCTGGCCAACACGGCAAAACCCTGTCTCTACTAAAAATATGAAAATTAGCTGGGTGTGGTGGTACATGTCTGTAATCTCACCTACTCTGGAGGCTGAGGCACAAGAATTGCTTGAACCCAGGAGGTAAAGGTTGCAGTGAGCCATGATCGCACCACTGCACTCCATCCTGGGCGACAGAATGAGACTGTCTCAACAACAGCAACAGCCACAGAAGTTTATTTTCTCACAATTCTAGAGGCCAGAAGTCCTAAATCAAGGCAGTACTCCCTAAGGAGTCTCAAGGGGTGAGTCTATTCCTTGCCTCTTCAGCTTTTGGTAGCTGGTGGCCTTCCTTGGCTTGTGGCTGCTTTGTCTCTTCTCTGTCTTCACATGGCTTTCTCCTCTGTCTGGCCAACATCCCTTGCCTTTCTCTTATAAGGTTACTTGTGATTGGATTTAGGGCCCACCGGGATAATCAAAGATAATCTTCCCAATCTCAAACCCTAAACTTAATTAAATCTGCAAAGACCCTTTTACAAAATAAGGTAATATTCACAGGTTTTCAGAATTAGGATATAGTTTTTTTTTTTTTGATACAGGATCTCAGGCTGGAGTGCAGTGGAGTGATCGGAGCTTACTGCACCCTTGAACTCCTAGGCTCAAGCCATCTTCCTGCCTCAGCCTCCTGAATAGCTAGGACTACAGGCATGCACTAACATGCCTGGCTAATTTTTAAATTTTGTAGAAATGAGGTCTCGCTATGTTGCCCAAGCTGGTCTGGAACTCCTGGCTTCAAGCGATCCTCCTGGCTTCAAGCGATCCTTCTGTCTCAGCTTCCCAAAGTGCTAGGATTACAAGCGTAAGCCACTGTCTCTGGCCTGGACGTATTTTGAGGGACAATTTTTCAACCTACTACAGAGGGGAAAGACAGAGAGAGAAATGAAGTTGAAAGATGGGGAAGGGCACCACAAGCACTGATTTAGGAGCTGCTCATCTCTGCCAAAATGCTGAGTAATTGCCCTCTACTACTTGGTCTTGTTCCTCAATCAATCCGTACAAATCTGTAGGATGCTCCCAGCTAGAAGGTCCATATTCTGCTCTTCTGAGTCTCCCAGTACTTAGCAGCAGTTTTACAACACTGGCTGGGCTTGCTGCAGCGGGAATCCTAACAGACAATGTGGGATAGGTATAGGGGTTTGGAGACCTGGGTTCTGGGTCTGGCTGTACCACCAGCTCTCTGTCGGCCCCGGAGCCAGACACTGCTCTTCTCTGCACCTCACTCCTGTCCACACACCGTTGCCCATGCTGCTCTCTTGTCTTGGGTCTCCTTTCCACCCTCTCTCCCTTCTCCAATCTCAGCTTACCTATGTCTTCCAGAGATCCTTTACCTAACTCCCAGGGTGGGGCTAGTAGCTGACACCCTGACGACAGGCAAATGCATTTTGTTTTAAGTGGCTTAGAGAAACTAAATCTATAATATCCCTGAAATGGCCTGTTTCTTTGTCTGTCATCCACAGAAACCCACCAACCCATGAGCACCTCAAGTGGCCAAGAGCCTGGAGTCTGACTGCTTGGGTTCAAATCAAGGCTCTGCCACTTACTGTCTATGTGGCTTTGGGACAGTTACTTACCCTTTTTGTGCTTCAGTTTCCTCATCTGTAAAATGAAAGTAACAAGAATAACATCTGTCGTCCAGCGTTATAACTAAATGAGCTGTTATCTGTAAAGTGCTTAGGCTGGGCCTGGCATGAGGTAAGCACATATTTAATACTAATTATCAGCATCATTATTTGTATCCTCAGGGTCAGGCACACAACAGGCACTTGTGAAAGTGTTGATGGAAATCAGGTGATTTCCAGTTCTTTTTTTTTGAGACAGAGTTTCACACTTGTTGCCCAGCCTGGAGTGCAATGGCTCAATCTCGGCTCACTGCAACCTCTGCCTCCCGGGTTCAAGTGATTCTCTTGCCTCAGCCTCCTGAGTAGCTGGGATTCCAGGCGTGCGCCACCACAACTGGCTATTTTTTATTTTTAGTAGAGATGAGGTTTCTCCATGTTGGTCAGGCTGGCCTTGAACTCCTGACCTCAGGTGATCCGCCCACTTCAGCCTCCCAAAGTGTTGGGGATTACAGGCGTGAGCCACTGCGCCTGGCCTAAGTTCTTTCCAGTTCTGCACATGCTTTTTTTTTTTTTTTTTTTGAGACAGAGTTTTGCTCTGTCACCCAGGCTGGAGTGCAGTGGCTTGATCTTGGCTCACTGCAACCTCTGCCTCCCAGGTTCAAGTGATTCTCCTGCCTCAGCCTCCCGAGTAGCTGAGATTACAGGCATCCTCCACCACGTCCAACTAATTTTTATATTTTTAGTAGAGACGGGGTTTCACCATGTTGGCCAGGCTGGTCTAGAACTCCCGACCTCAGGTGATCCACCTGCCTCGGCCTCCCATAGGGCTGGGATTACAGGCATGAGCCACTGCACCCGGCCTAAGTTCTTTCCAGTTCTGCCCATGCCCCAAGGTTGTGCCAGTGGTGAGATGGAACAGGGAAAGCCAGGCAGCAGCTACAGCGGCGTAGACAGTGATTTGAGCACACGCAAGCTCGGACTGGTGGGGAGCGTGGCCAAGCGCCGCATCTGCGATCCTGGTTCTTTGCAGAAACCATCCTGCCTCCTCTCTTTTCAGCCTCAGCCATCCCCTTTAGGGGTTTGCTGAGGATCCACTGTCTGAAAGCTGTCATGAGCCTGAGCAGGTCAGCAGCTGACCAGCCCAGAGGAAGCCCTTTCTTCAGTTTCCTCGGGTGGCCACAGTGTTAGACACAGGAGGAGAGAGGCTGGGCCAAACAAAATGCCCGCAGCCTTGCAGGGAGACCTGGAGTCTGCTGTGAGTGGGCAGTTCCCTCCCTCCCATGTCCCTCCCCACACACATTTGCCCACAGGTTGCAACCTTTTTTATTTTTATTTTTGCCTTCATGGACCAGTCTTAGGAACCTCTGGCATCAATGGATGGAGAACCAGAAACACACAAGATTTGGGAGGCCTAAAAGATGATTGTTGTTATTTTATTTATTTGTATATGCTCTGCTTTTTAAAAAAAAAATTGATTCAAAACACCATAAGGTTATTCAGAGTGACCTAGCCTAGGCTGGCAGTGGTCAAAGTTGTTTTCCATCTTCCTGCCCCCAGGGCATACATCTTCCTAACCCAGGTCCCTAGATGGTGGTCTCTCTCAGCTGCACACCAACCAAGCCCAGCTGAGGGTTGGCTGGTCTAGTGATCTTTCTCAGAACTATTTGCATTTGAGAAGCATGGGAAGCCCCAGCACCCCACTCCTTCCAGGCCACAGTTCCCAGGAGCCCAATGCTCTGGGAGATGGTACCAGATAATCTTTCATACATTCAATCAACAAATGTTTGCTGGTGCCAGGGCTGGAGATACAAAAGAGAAAATAAGGATCCTGCCCTCAAAGCCTCACCAATTATTGGGGAGATGTGCAAGCTACAAATAAGATAATTATGATAATAGAAAAGGGAATAAAATGCCACAGAAGGCCAATAACAGGAACTGACATTTGCTGAACTCCCTTGGCTGGGAGCTCTGCTATGTACTTTTATCATCCATGAACACATTGAAACCTCATGATGACCCTGTGAAGCCCCCATTTTACACATGAGCAAATTGGGGCTCTGAGAACTACAGAAATCTGGCACAAGTCCTACAGCTCATAAGTGACTAAGCCAGATCTGTCAGGCTGAACTCTGTCTGAAAAGACAGGGAAGCTTCATAGAGGAGGTAGCTTTTAAATTGAGACTTGGAGGTTGAGTAGGAGGTGGCCAGATCAAAAAGTTGAGGGAGAGGAGAGAGAAAGATGAGTACTACAGTTGGTGAGAACCAATGAAAACTCAGCAACTTTAAGGAGTAGGGGAGAGCGACTACTCCTTCTTTTCTTCACCTCCCATGGTCCAGAGTTGCTCACCCCTGGTCCAGAGCCTGCCCAGGGCATTCACACCCACACCTGGAAACCCATGTCATCTGCAGAGGGATGTTCTCTTCCTTGTTTCCCTAGCTGGGAGAATTTCTGGGAGGCAGAGTGACAAGAGTACCTGTTCTGGGACAGCCATGGTCTGAATGTTTATGTCCCACCCCCTCGATTCCTATGTTGAAATCCTCACTCCCTATATGATGCTATTAGGAGGTGTGGCCTTTTGGAGCTGATTAGGTTTGGGGATGGAGCCCTCATGGCTGGGATTAGTGCCCTGATGAAAGAGACCCAAGAGAGACCCCTCACTCCTACCATGTGTGAGCATGTTAATGCTCTATTTAATAATATATTAAGATACGTGCAGTTAGAGCAAGAACTAGTTTAATGTTAATAGCCAGGTATCATAATTATTATTACTTATTACTTCTAGGCTTAACCTTGACTTAGGGCTCTGGCTAGGAGAGAAAATATTTTTTAACCCATTTTTCACCTCTTAACAGTCTAAAACTTCCTGAGATGTATCTCTAAATATCTCTGTGGGGATTAAAAGCACCTTAGCAGTGAAACTCCTTATACGTGGCTTTCCTAAGGAGCCAATGGTGTCCTCATAGCCATAAAGTCTAATCTGAAGATATAAAGAAGGCACGATCAGGGCCTCCTTGCTGTGTTCCCATCTGGGCCCTCACCAGACACTGAATCTGCCAGTGCTTTGGTCTTGGACTTCCCGGTGTCCAGAAGCGAGAGAAATAAATTTCTGGCTGTTTGTTTGTTTGTTTGTTTGTTTTGAGACAAAGTTTCACTCTTGTCACCTAGGCTGGAGTGCAATGGCACAATCTCGGCTCATTGCAACCTCTGCCTCCCGGGTTCAAGTGATTCTCCTGCCTCAGCCTCCCAAGTAGCTGGAATTACAGGCTCTTGCCACCACGCCCGGCTAATTTTTGTATTTGGAGACGGTGTTTCACCATGTTGGTCAGGCTGGTCTCAAACTCCTTACCTCAGGTAAGGATCCACCTGCCTCGGCCTCCCAAAGTGCTGGGATTACAGGTGTGAGCCACCGCGCCTGGCCAACTTCTGTTGTTTACAAACTACCCAGTCTATGGTCTTTTGTTATAGCAGCCAGAACAAACTAAGACAGGGACCAAACCCACCTTGGTTCAAATCCCAACTTTGCAACTTCCTAGCTGTGTAAGCAAGTTGCCTTCCCTCCGTGAACCTCAATTACTTCATCTGTAATAGGGGATAATAGGATCTCCTAAGCTTGTTCTCATGATTAACTGAGATGAGGTAGGCACATCTCCAGGCAGTGGACATAGCACAGTAAATGGCAGCTGTTATTGTTATTAGGAGGTATGTGTAAGAACACTTCGTCTCTAAGTAGTTAATTTGGAGACTGAAACATTTTCGACATGAGCAGATGCCCAGTGGCGCTAATGACAATCTGTGGGCAAAAAAAAAAATCTCTGCAGGATACATCTAGGATTAAATCAAATGAGGTAATTCATGGATAGAAAGTGCTCAGACCAGTGTCTAGCACGGACTGGGTGGTGCTCCAAAAATGAGAGCTCCCCCTGATATTTACAATTCAACAAGCTTTCTTATGGAGACTTAAAATGGTTTGAGCACACTGTAAATAACCATGGTTTACAGGAGATATTTTTTCAGGAATTCATCTCATGTTCTCCATCAAGGGACCCCTATCTTGTGCAACCAATTTATCTCTCTTTACAAACCTTATTAGGTTCTGTCTGTGTACTTTCAAGAAAAGTTACTTTTTGGCAAGCTTGAATGGGAAAAGGGATATGATTGCTTTAAAACTAGAGATCTGGTGTGTGAGGTTGCCATGGAGACGATTTAATGTAAACTTTATTTTACAGCATGCCCAGCTAAGTAATTGGTCAGAAGGGAAGGGGAGAAGCTACAAGCAATTTCCTCCAAAAAAAGAAGAGGAAAAAAAAAATCACTAGAGAAAAGCTAGCAGATGAAGAGAAATCTTTTTCCACTCAGGGAACGGCAATTAAAAGGTTCACGCTTCTGGTAAGGGCAGAAACTGCATGATTTGGCACTTTCTTTCCTTTCTTGTTTTTTTCTTCTTTCTGTGGATTGAAATACAGGGGGGAAAATAGGAGTAGAGAAAGAAGAGGAAACAGCAAAGCTGATTAGTACTCCCAGTTGAAAGGATGTAGTCTTTATGGCTATGAATAGGACAGCATTGGCTCCTAAGGAAAGCCATGTATAAGGGCTTTTATTGCTAAGGTGTTTTTAAGCCCCACGGAGATATTTAGATATACATCCCGGGAAGTTTTAGACTGTTAAGAGTTGAAAAATTGATTAAAAGATATATTCTCTTCTAGCCAGAGCTCTAAGTCAAGGTTAAGCCTAGCAGTAACAAATAATACGTAAGAATTAGTGATACCTGGCTATTTATATTAAATGAATTCTTGCACTAACTGCATATATCTTAATATATTATTATATAGAGTATTAACATTTTACTAGTGTTTTATTGGTCTTTTAAAATTCTTTATTCTTTATTTATTTTATTTTTTTTTTTTTAGAGACAGGGTCTCATTTTGTTACCCAGGCTGGAGCGCAGTGGCACGGTTGATCAAAGCTCACTGCCGCCTAAAATTCCTGGGCTCAAGCAATCCTCTCACCTCGGCCTCCTGAGTAGCTGGAACTACAGGTGTGCACCATTATGTCTGGCTAATTTTTAAAATTTTTTGTAAAGACAGGGTTTTGCTGTGTTTGTTGCCCAGGCTGGTCTTGAACTCCTGAGCTCAAGTATCTTCCCACCTTGGCCTCCCAAAGTGTTGGGATTACAGGTGTGAGCCACTGTACCTGGCTAGTCTTTTGCTTTTTATTTATTTATGTTTTAGAGATGAGGTCTGTCTGTGTTACCCAGGCTAGCCTCAAACTCCTGGACTCAAGGGATCCAGTCTCCTTAGCCTCCCAAGTAGCTGGGACTGCAGGCACACGTGACCACACCCAGCTCATTAGTCTTTTTTTTTTTTGAGACAGAGTCTCGCTCTGTCGCCCAGGCTGGAGTGCAGTGGCTCTATCTCGGCTCACTGCAAGCTCCGCCTCCCGGGTTCACGCCATTCTCCTGCCTCAGCAGGTGTTAGCCACCACGCCCGGCCTCATTAGTCTTTTTAAAAAGCAAGTTTTCTCTATTCATTAACCACTCCATTCACTAACTAATCTTCTGCTAAGCTTTTGAGCCATCAGTCAGTTGAAAAATATTTGTTGAGTGTTTAATGTTTGCCAGAGCCAGTGCTAAGCCTATGGGTATAGTAGGGGGTAATCAAAGTAGGCAGGGGCCTTTCCTGAATGGATTTTATAGTCTAGAAAGGAAGGCAAATCGTCGATGAAAAATTACATAATTGTATTACAGTTGTGGTAAAGGCCAAAAAGCACAAATCTAATGATGCGCAATCTTGTGCGAGCAGAATGTGAGAAGTATGAGTCTAAAAGCAAGTATGAAACATCATTCATTCCAAACGTGAGTCTCAGAACTAAGAACTGGAATCCTGTGCACATGCTTTCCGATTCTGCACATTTATTTATTTATTTTTATTTATTTATTTTTGAGACAGGGTCTCACTCTGTCACCCAGGCTGGAGTGCAGTGGCGCGCTCTTGGCTCACTCCAACCTCCACCTCCCAGGTTCAAGCGATTTTCGTGCCTCAGCCTCCCGAGTAGCTGGGACCACAGGCGTGCCCAGCTAATTTTTGTGTTTTTTGTAAAGATTGGGTTTCACCCTGTTGCCCAGGCTGGTCTCAAACTCCTGATCTCAAAGTGATCCACTGGCCTCGGTCTCCTAAAGTGCTGGGATTACAGGCGTGAGCCACCATGCCTGGCTTTTTTTTTTTCAGACAGGGTCTCATTTTGTCACCCAGGCTGGAGTGCAATGGCACGATCATGTCTCACTGCAGACTTGACCTCTTGGGCTCTGGTAATCCTCCCACCTTAGCCCCCCGAGTAGCTGGGACTACAGGTATGCACACCACCATGCCCAGCTAATTTCTGCATTTTTTTTGTAGAGATGGGGTTTTGCCATGTTGCCCAGGCTGGTCTTAAACTCCTAGGCTCAAGCTGTCTGCCTGCCTCAGCCTCACAAAGTGTTGGGATTATAGATGTGAGCCACCCTGCCTGGTCTAGCAAATTTAAATTTAAATTGTTTGTTTGTTTATTTTAGTGTCCATTATGTGCGAGGTCCGAAACAGACATGATCCTTGTCCTCAACAAGCTTGCACTCTAAGTGGGGAGACAGATATTGAGCCCTTATTATGGGCCTGGCACCAGGTGAAGCACTTACGTGTATTATCTCATTTAAACTTCACACTAACTTTATCAGATAGGTACTATTATTATCCCCATTTGTCTTTTTTAAAAAAAAATTTTTTTTTAACAAGGAAACCAAAGAAGCCAGCCCATTTTTCTTTTTTCTTTTTTTAATTTTTTTGACGGAGTCTCACTTTGTCATCCAGGCTGGAGTGCAATGGTGCTATCTCGGCTCACTGCAATCTCCGTCTTCCAGGTTCAACCGATTCTCCTACCTCAGCCTCCCGAGTAGCTGGGATTACAGGTGCTTGTCACCACACCCAGCTAATTTTTGTATTTTTAGTAGAGACGGGGTTTCACCATGTTGGCCAGGCTGGTCTCGAGCTCCTGACCTCAGGTGATCCACCCACCTTGGCCTCCCTAAGTACTGGGATTATAGGCGTGAGCCACCGTGCCCGGCCACCAGCCGATTTTTCATATGGGAAATGGAGTCACAGATTAGTGAAGCAACTTGCTCAAGGTCACACAACTAGTTAGTGGTGGATTGGAGATTTAAATCCAGACAGTGAGGTTTCAGGGCCTCGCTGCCAGGCTGTGTGCTGCCAATCCGGCTGTGTGAGCCGCTGTTTGAAACTTCTTAGGCTCTTGGTCAGAAATTTGGAAGCATCATACTACAGAAGTGGTGGGAATAGCTTGAATTCAGGACAGAAATCCCCAAGGTTCGGAGGGGTTCCTGGGCAAAAAGAAAATCCCTTCCATTCCCCAGTGTTGGAGTTTAGCATATCTTACCCCATCATTTTTCAGATGAGCCACCATTTGGACCTACTCTGAGAACTCAGAGGAAGCATTTAACAAACTTCATGCACTGGAGGGGAAGGACAGTTATGGGGCACCCAGATTAGTTGGGCAGTGCCAGGCCTGTTTCCAGGATCACAGGAAGAGAGCAGCCACCAAGCACATGGGGCCCATGGGGATGGGCCTGGGAACAGGAGAGAACCATAGGAGGCCATGGGAAAGAGGTTACAGAGGCTACAACCCTGGGCTGGGACTCTTGTGGGTCCTGCTTGGAAGTGACTCACTGTGTGGCTTCGGGCAGTCACTGTGCTTGCCTGAACCTCGGTTTCCTCTTCTGGCTATTCCCACTGCTTCCACAGTACAATGGGTTGTTTTGTTTTTTAATTGTTTATTTCTATAGGTTATTGGGGAACAGGTGGTATTTGGTTGCATGAGTAAGTCCTTTAGTGGTGATTTCTGAGATTTTGGTGCACCCATCACCTGAGCAGTATACACTGCACCCAATTTGTAGTCTTTTATCCCTCACCCCCTTCCCACCCAAATGCTTTTTTGTTTATTTGTTTGTTTTTGAGACGGAGTCTCATTCTGTCGCCCAGGCTGGAGTGCAGTGGCGTGATCTCAGCTCACTGTGATCTCCGGCTCCTGGGTTCAAGCAATTCTCCCGCCTCAGCCTCCTGAGTATCTGGGACTACAGGCGCGTGCCACCACCATGCCCGGCTAATTTTTGTGTATTTTTAGTAGAGACGGGGTTTCACCATGTTGGCCAGGGTCTCAAACTCCTGGCCTCAAATGATCTGCCTGCCTCGGCCTCCCAAAGTGCATGGATTACAGGTGTGAGCCACCGTGCCCAGCGTGATGTTTCCAAATGCCTGACCAATTGCCTAGAATGAGGAAATGGAGGCAAGGTGTTTGACCTTGCTCAAGGTCACACGGCTAAGAAGTGAGGAGCCTGGACACAAACCCAGGTTCTCATCCCCACCTATCCCAGTCCTTCCCACTCTCAAAGGCCCAGCTCTCGCACTGAGCCAGCCTCCCAGAGCAGGGGACTAGCTTGTTCTCAGGTGACCTTTCTCCCTACCCCTCTAGGCCACCCCAAAAGCCCCATCAGGGCCAGAACTAGGTACCATCCCCTCACCCAGCCCAACCCACCGCTGGGCACTCAACAGGATGGGCTTGTGATTGGTGGATGCAACTATTTCCCTGAAAAATAAAACCAACCTGGCATTTGCAGCCTCAGCTGTTGGGGTGGCGAGCACTGCTTCGGTTACCTCTGAAATAATTAATGACAGTGCTTGTCCAATCTCACTTGAGGTGTGAGGAGCAGAAGAACAAGGGGGAGAGTTGCTGACTATGCCCCACGAGGGACTTAGAGGGCGATCTTTTTTTTTTCATCCTGCCTCAGGTTTATTTGTATAAATAGCACAGTAGGACCCCAGCCCCATGCAGACGGCAGCCCAGAGGGATCGCAGCAGTCCTTCTGTCCTCACACTGGCAGACAGAGATCTCTACTCTGAAGCCTTTGTAGGGGCCTGGGCACCTCTGGGAGCCCGAACTGGAACTGAAGCTGCAGCTGTAGCCTGGGCCTTCATTTGATCCTTGGCCTTGGCCTTTGGCCGGCACAGCCTGAGCCCCTTGACAATGCGGGCATGAGCACGCTTCCCAAGCTTGGGGTGGGCAATGTAGGCAAGTCGATCAAGCTTGCGGCTAACACCCTTTGGGATCTTGGGCTTAACCTCCTTGGGGTTTACGAGGGCCTCGATAGCCTCGGCACGTGCACTCACGGCCTTGGCACTGTTGGCCTGCATCTTCTTTAGGACCTTCTTGTTGTGCTTCTTGGCAAACACGTGTTCCTCAGGAACTTGGGGTCCACCCCCTTAAGGGATTCGTATCTTTGTGATCGGGGTTTCTTGAGACCATTTCTTTGCCATTTTCGGGACTGGTTGTGTGTGGTGTGGTTCTTGGACTTGGCCATATCTGCACCTTAAGCCGCGGCTCCCCTAAAGGCCTATGTTGATAAACTGGGCCTTAGAGCCTTGGCTGAGACAGCCCCTTGATTCTTGCTTTTCGGGCTTCAAGATGGCAGACAGTTGGCCCGCAGTTCTCACTGAACCAGCTAGTTATGTTATTACCTGGAAGAGACAACTCTAGACATGCTTTCCCTCCTACTCAGGCCCACGCATTCCCACACAAATGCACATGCATGCAGTGCCCATCCAGCTCACATCATGAGGTTACTCCCAGGGTTACAGCTCATTCAGGACAGAGGAACTGCTGTGACCTCACACTGCCACCTCCCACTTGCTGTGACTCCACTGAGCCTAAGGCCAGTGGCTTCAGATGTGGCATCCACCCTGTGCCAGGCTCACTAGAAGCATCATGCCTCTCACAAAATCTTCATGAAAAGGAGCTTATTCGCCCTCACCCCCAATTTCCAGATGAGGAGACTGAGGCTTAGAGAAGTTAAGTCACCTGGCCGGAATCCCATACATAGTATGTGGCAGAGATAGGGTTGAAGACCAAGTCTCTGGGACTCTGATGCACATAACCGGTAAATCAATCCAAGAAAGCCAGCAGGTTAGTGGAAACCAAGCTGGCTGGAGATTCCACTGCGACTAACCATGTAAGACTCAGCCCAGCCCTTCATGATATGTGGGAATGAAGCATCACAGGGATGTCACTGAGGAATGAAGCCCTATAACTGTCTACCCCTGCCAAAATAACAAAAATGCGACTCTTAGGGGCCGGAACAGAACTGACACCCAGGCAGCCGTGGGGAGCTGGAAGGGCTTCTACCCAGCTCCTTGAGGGCAGAGGCTGGCACTGGGTTCCAGGAGCCTCCCGTGCCTCCCCCTGCTCCTGTCTCTCTCATTCTGTTTCCCAAAACATCTCCTCTGATCTCTTTAACATCCTGGGAAGTCTGCATCTTTCTCACCTCTGCAGGAAGGTGCTTGGAGAGCCAAGGCTGTTGGGTTAAAAATACAGAACTTGAAATTTCTGAGGACAGGGAAAGCAACGTCCAACCTGCAGAGTAGGTCTCAGGGTGACAAGAGAAGCTCTTCCTGCTGTGTCTGAGATACTGAGAATTTGCATGAAAATCTTCCAGACCAGAGTCATCAGCTCAAAACTATTAAGCATTGTGACAACAAATAAAAACAAAGGCAATTTATTTTTAATACTCTTTTTTAAATTATGGAAGTTATGCATGGTCATGTGTAAAGAACATTTTTCTTTTTTTTGTTGCTGTTGTTTTTAGTTTAGTTTAGTTTAGTTGTTTAGTTTGAGATGGGGTTTTGCATTTGTCACCTAGCCTGGAGTGCATTGGCACAATTATAACTCACTGTAGCCCCGAACTGCTGGGCTCAAGCGATCCCCCTGCCTCAGACTATTGAGTAGCTGGGACTACAGCCTTGAGCCACCGTTCCTGGCTAATTTTTGAAGTTTTTTGTAGAGATGAGATCTCACTATGTTGCCCAGGCTTGTCTTGAACTCCTGGCCTCAAGCATCCTCCCACCTTGGCCTCCCAAAGTGCTGGGGTTACAGGTGTGGGCCGCTGCACCTGCCCATTCTTCTTTTTTTTTTAATGCCTAAACAAAGATATGTGCGTGTATGTGTGTATAGTGTTAGGATGTTTGTTCCTTTCTTTTGCTTTCTTTCCTTTTTCTACAAAAAGAATCATTCTATACTGTTCTGGAATATACTTTTTTCATTTAACAATACATAGCAGACAGCTTTCCAATATATTTAGATATATTAATTAATCTACAATTATATTAAGTAATTCACATGATTCAAAACTCCAGAGGTACACAAGAATATTCAAAAATGAGCCTCCCTCTCACCCCTACCCCAGGTACCCGGTTATCTCCCCAAAAGCTTCCAGTGTTACCTTTCTTGTGCATCCTTCCAGGGCTGCATTAAGCATGGATAAGCAATTATGTATATGCATTGCCCCCCATCCCCAGTTTTACATAACAGGATATACTGTATATCTTGTACATATAATACTGTTCTGCGCCTTGCTTTTTTTTTTTTTTTTTTTTTTTTTTCGGGACAGGCTCTTAAAGGCTCATGATTGTGCCACTGCACTCTAGGCCCAGACTTAGAGTGCAGTGACACAATCATGACTCACTGCAGCCTCGACTTCCTGGGTTCAAGCAGTTCTCCCGCCTCAGCCTCCCAAGTAGTTGGGACCACAGGCGTGTGCCATCACACTCAGCTACTTTTTGTAAGTTTTTTGGAGAGATGGGATTTCGCCATGTTGCCCAGGCTGGTCTCAAACCCCTAGGCTCAAAGGATTCGACCACTTTGCACACCCAAATTGCTGGGATTACAGGCATGAGCCACCGCACCCAGCCTGCACCTTGCTTTTTTCACTATAATACCATGTCCTAGCGGTCATTCATATTCATATGCAATATTTCATTCTTTTTAGTAGCTAGTAACATCCTATGTGAGATATGTAGACTCATTCATGCAGCTTTCTCTCACTGGTGGCCTTGTAGCTTGGGTCCAGTTTTTTTGCTTGTTGCGGTTATGAGTGCTTCAGTGAATCTCCTTGCACACATATCGTTAATAAAAGCACTCATAGTTTTATTTCCTAGAAGTGGAATTGCTGTGTCAAAAAGTATGCATTTTAATTTTTAATAATTTAGTTATGTATGCATGTTTTAAATTTTAATAAATAATGTCAGATGATTTTCTCAAAGGTTGTAGCAAGCTTTAAAGCATGAGTTTATGATCTGAATTGTATTTCAGTTTTTAAAAAAGAGCGATTTTTAAAAAATATTAGCTGGGTGTGTAGTGCATGCCCGTAGTCCCAGCTACTCAAGAGGCTGAGGTGGGAGCCCAGGGGTTTGAGGCTGCAGTGCACTTTGATGGTGCCTGTGAGTAGCCACTGTATTTTATGCTGGGCAACATAGGGAGGCCCCGTCTCTAAAAAAAAAAAAGGGTAGCGATTTGTGGCTCATTAACACTTCCCCATATATTACTAATTGTTTAAATTGTTGTCAATATTGTAAGAGAAAAATAGTATCTTCTGGTTGTAAATGTGTATTCCCTGACCTCCCTGTGAGGGTGAGCACGATCTCCTAAGTGTTTTGGCCACTTGCAGTCAACTGCTATGAATTCTCTGTGTCCTTTGCCCATTTTTCTTTTTCTTTTCTTTTTTTTTTTTTTTGAGACGGAGTCTCGATATGTCGCCCAGGCTGGAGTGCAGTGGTGTGATCTCGGCTCACTGCAAGCTCCGCCTTCCGGGATCACGCCATTTTCCTGCCTCAGCCTCCCGAGCAACTGGGACTACAGGCGCCCTCCACCGCGCCCAGCTAATTTTTTTTTTTTTTGTATTTTTAGTAGAAACGGGGTTTCACCGTGGTCTCGATCTCCTGACCTCGTGATCCGTGAGCCACCGCACCCGGGCATTTGCCCATTTTTCTAGTGGGTTCTTTGTCTTCTTCCTATGAACTGTTTTTTTTTTTTTTTTTTTTTTTGAGATGGAATCTCCCTCTGTCTCCCAGGCTAGAGTGCAGTGGCATGATCTCAGCTTACTGCACCCTCTGCCCCCCCGGGATTCAAGCGATTCTCGTGCCTCAGCCTCCCAAGTAGTTGGGATTACAGGCATGTGCCACCATGCCCAGCTAATTTTTGTGGGGTTTTTTTGCTTGTTTGTTTTTTGAGACGGAGTCTCGCTCTGTCACCCAGGCTGGAGTGCAGTGGCGCAATCTCCGCTCACGGCAACCTCCACCTCCCAGGTTCAAGTGATTCTCCTGCCTCAGCTTCCCAAGTAGCTGAGATTACAGGCACCCACCATCACGCCTGGCTAATTTTTGTATTTTTAGTAGAGACAGGGTTTCACCACGTTGGCCAGGCTGGTCTCAAACTCCTGACCTCAGGTGATCCGCCTGCCTCGGCCTCCCAAAGTGCTGGGATTACAGGCGTGAGCCACCTCGCCCAGCTCCTATGCACTTCTTAGGATAATTCTTTGTATGAACCCTTTGTTTTTGTTTTGTTTTTGTTTTGTTTTGTTTTTTGAGACGGAGTCTCGCTCTGTCCCCCAGGCTGGAGTGCAGTGGTGCGATCTTCGCTCACTGCAAGCTCCGCCTCCCGGGTTCACGCCATTCTCCTGCCTCAGCCTCCCGAGTAGCTGGGACTACAAGCGCCCGCCGCCACGCCCGGCTAAATTTTTTTTTGTATTTTTAGTAGAGACGGGGTTTCACCATGTTAGCCAGGATGGTCTTGATCTCCTGACCTCGTGATCCGCCCGCCTCGGCCTCCCAGAGTGCTGGGATTACAGGCGTGAGCCACCGCGCCCGGCGAACCCTTTGTTTTATGTGGAAAAATTTGTCCCTAATCTATTATTTTGGCTTTGTTAACAGTGTCGTTGCCATAAAGAAAAATTTATTTTTTGCATAGTCAAATCTGTCAAGCATAATATTTTAAGAAAAATAAATTTATTTTTATCTGTAAAAATACACATTTTTAATAGTGTGATTTCTATGAATGTTGATTTTGCTTGCTAGCCATATGCTTTACTATTCTAGGTAAAGTGGAAAATAGAAAATAACAATCAGTTGATAACATCAAGCTTGTTTACATTCCTTTGTTTCAAATGACTCTCCTGCCTCCAGACGATGATGATGATGGTGATGATGAAAACACCTACCCTGTACCAGGTGCTGTGCTAAACTCTTCACACACATTATCTCACTTCATCCTTACAGCAGCCTTTGGAGGTAGGGTTTTTTTGTTTTGGTTTGGTTTGGTTTTTTGTACCTTTTTATTTATTTATTTAGAGACAGCATCTGGCTCTGTTGTCCAGGCTGGAGTGCAGTGGCACAATCATAGCTCACTGTAACCTTGAATTCCTGGGCTCAAGTCAGCCTCCCACCTCAACCTCCTGAGTGACTGGGACTACAGGCGTACTCCACCATGCCCCACTAATTTTTTTTTTTTTTTTGAGACAGAGGGGTCTCACTGTGTTGTCCAGGATCATTTTTTAAATCGAAATACAATTCACAGATCATAAGCTTATCCTTTTAAAGTGTACCATTCAGGCCGGGTGCAGTGGCTCATGCCTGTAATCCTAGCACTTTGGGAGGCCGAGGCGGGCAGATCACCTGAGGTCAGGAGTTCGAGACCAGCCTGACCAACATGGAGAAACCCTGTCTCTACTAAAAATACAAAATTAGCTGGGTGTGGTGGTGCATGCCTGTAATCTCAGCTATTTGGGAGGCTAAGGCAGGAGAATTGCTTGAACGTTTTAGAGGTGGAGGTTGCAGTGAGCTGAGATCGTGCCATTGCACTCCAGCCTGGGTGACAGAGTGAGACTCTGTCTCAAAGAAAAAGAAAAAGATTTAAAAAATAAAGTGTACCATTCAGTGATTTTTTTTAGTATATTCACAAAGTTGTGCAATCATCACCATTATTTAAACCCAGAACATGTTCATCATCCCAGAAACAAATCCTGTGGTAGGTAGTTTTCATCACCATTTTACAGATGAGGAAACTGAGGCTCAGAGAGGCAAAGTAAACTGGCCAAGACCCCACAGCCAGGTCTGGGTTTGAGCCTAAGCCCCATGGCGTGGGGTGTCATCCTTCTCAGTGAGATTCATTGTTCTAGACCAGGAACTAGTACGCTATTCTGAAAAAGGCCAGATAGTAAATATTTTAGGCTTTATGGGTCATTCAATAGTTAGGGTTTTTTTTTTTTTTTTTAATCGAATTTAGGGCAAAACAAAGACAACTCCATATGAGGAAGTGATTTCTAAGTTCCTAAATATCTGAAAGTGGGTCAGGATTCCATGGGAAGTAGTCAAGCTGAGGGCAGGCAGCAGAGACGGTCTTAAAGAGTTGGATTCAGAACAGACCTATTGGAGCCAGGGACTCCAGTTCAAAGTTAGGAGCACCAGATGTGTGTGGCACCACCCAGCTCAGCAACCCCCTTGTTTAAGAGCACACCGGGCACACAGTAGGCCCTTTAGGTGATGTGTTGTAAGGTCTGACATTCATTTGCTGCCCTGGCATCTTTGAGCCTCATGGGGCCCCAAAGGCCAGTTCCCACCCTGCTAGTTCCCCCATCAGCCAGAAGAGCTTCACCCACCTGGTCCTCAACATACCCAGTTTCACCTTCCTGCCAGCCCAGGGAATCATTCAAACAAGCCAATCACATCCTCTCTTGGAAACTGGGAGTCACCACACCCTCTTGTTTACTGCCAGGCCCACCTCCCATGGCCCCTGTTTGTTCTGTCCCTGAGTGCAACCCTTCTGTGGCCCTGCAATCCGCTTCTGTTTGTTTTCTTTTTTGGTGTTTTCTTTTCTTTTTTCTTTCTTTCTTTTTTTTTTAAAAATTTTTCTTTTATCTTTTTCTGAGACAGGGTCTTGCTCTGTCACCCAGGCTGGAGTGCAGTGGCACAATCATAGCTCACTGTAGCCTTGAACTCCTGGGCTCAAGCAATCCTCCCACCTTGGCCTACCAAACTGCTGGGATTACGGGAGTGAGCCACCATGCCCAGCCTGCTCATTGGTTTCTTCTGCTTAATTTTAGTTGTCGTGTGTTCTGCCATTTTGTGCTATTCGGGGTGATGTCTTTCTGTCACCAATGGGCTGCATAGGAGGTAACTAGATCAGAGGGCATCTGCTTCCCTTTCTCAGCATCCGTTCCCTTTTCTCATGGGGTCAGCAACTTGATTTTCCTGTAGGGAGTCCCTCTCTCCCTCTCCTTCTCCCACTCAGGCCTTGTGGTTCAGGTAGAAAAAATAGAGAATGAATCCAGCTATATTTGAGTTGGTGCTATTCCTAGACATTTTCAGTTATGTGAGCCAATAAGTATTCTCTTCCCCTCCCACTTTTTTGGAATCTTAGTGCAAAAGAGTCTTGACTAACAATACACTCAAAAAAACGCAGATTGAATGAATAAATGCATTCCCAGTTGCTGCTATGCTTCTTGGCACATGGTAGGTCTTAATCTAATGAAGGCCTTCATTTAGGAGAGAAGAAAACTTATCTGTTGGAAACAGAGCCAGGTCTAAGATAAGAAGTCTAAGTTAATATGAAAAAAGTTGATCTAAGAGAGTGTGAAAAAACTTGGGGCTAGGCACAGTGGCTCACGCCTGTAATTCTAACACACTGGGAGGCTAAGACAGGAGGATCATTTGAGGCCAGCAATATGAGATCATTTGGGGCAATATAGAGAGACCTATCTCTTAAAAAAAAAATCCTATAATCCCAGCACTTTGGGAGGCAGAGGTGAGCGGATCACTTAAGGTCAAGAGTTCGAGATCAGCCTGGCCAACATGGCGAAACCCCGTCTCTACTAAAAATACAAAATTTAGCTGGGCATGATGGCACATGCCTGTAATTCCAGCTCCTTGGGAGGCTGAGGCAGGAGAATCACTTGAACCCAGGAGGCAGAGGTTGCAGTGAGCCGAGATTGTGCCACTGCACTCCAGACTGGGTGATAGAAAAAGACTCCATCTCAAAAAAAATTAAAATTAAAATTAAATAATTAGCCAGGTGTAGTGGTGCACACCTGTAGTACTAGCTCCTCAGGAGGGTGGGGTTGAGCCCAGGAGTTTAAGGCTGCAGTGAGCTATGATCGTGCTACTGCATTGCAGCCTGGGTGACAGAATGAGATCTTGCCTATTAAAAGAAAGAAAACTTTGGGCAGCACATTGTCACGTACTCAAGATCCCCAAGGAAGCCACTAAGAACCAGAAAGAATTGGTCTGCCCAGGCGGACCCTCCCTGTATCGGTATCACAGTCTCTTGCTGGTCCTGTCCCCTAGTATGGGTCATCCAAGCACAAGGCTTCCTTCCCCAGGTGTGTACAGTGGAGCTGGAGAGCATCACACGTTTGGTCATTCAGTCTTCAATGAAACAAGCCATCGGGAGGTTACCAAAGCACAACAAAGTCTCATTTCTAAAATAGTTCAGGCCAGGTGCAGTGGCTCACACCTGTAATCCCAGCACTTTGAGAAGCTGAGGTGGGCGGATTGCCTGAGCCCAGGAGTTCTAGACCAGCCTGGCCCACATGGTGAAACCCTGTCTCTACTAAAAATACAAAAATAGGCCTGGCGCAGTGGCTCACGCTTGTAATCCCAGCACTTTGGGAGGCTGAAGTGGGTGGATCACCTGAGGTCAGGAGTTCAAGACCAGCCTGATCAACATGGCGAAACCCCGTCTCTGCTAAAAATACAAAAATTAGCCGGGCAGGGTGGCGGGCACCTGTAATCCCAGCCACTTGGGAGGCTGAGGCACGAGAATCCCTTGAACCTGGGAGGCAAAGGTTGTAGTGAGCTGAGATCGTGCCACTGCACTCCAGCCTGGGTGACAGCGTGAGGATCTCTCTCAAAAAAAAAAAAAAAAAAAAAAAAATTAGCTGGGCATGGTGGGACACGCCTGTAGTCCCAGCTACTTCAGAGGCTGAGGTGAGAGAATTGCTTGCTTGAACTCAGGAGGCAGAGGTTGCAGCGAGCTGAGATTGCGCCACTGCACTCCAGCCTGGGCAACAGAGCAAAACCCAGTCTCAAAAACTAAAAAAAAATAATAATAATAGGCCGGGCTCGGTGGCTCATGCCTGTAATCCAAGCACTTTGGGAGGCCGAAGCGGGTGGATCACCTGAGGTCAGGAGTTCTAGACCAGCCTGGCCAACATGGTGAAACCCCATCTCTGCTAAAAATAGAAAAATTAGCCAGGCATGGTGGCAGGCGCCCGTAATCCCAGCTACTTGGGGGGACCAAGGCAGGAGAATTGCTTGAACCCGGGAGGCGGAGGTTGCAGTGAGCCGAGATCGTGCCATCACACTCTAGCCTGGGGGGACAAGAGCAAGACTTCGTCTAAGAAAAAATAAATAAAATAAAATAAAATAAAATAAAAATAATAATAATTTAAATAAATAAATAAAATAGTTCAATCTAGTGACCACAGTTACAGTCTGGGAAGAGGTGTTAAGCTGGGCCCATGAACCCCCACAATAGCTCCATGGAGAGAATTCCGGTGGAGCCAGGATAGGGAAAAATTACATCTGTGTTCTCATCATTATGTATTTGAAAGTTAGCATCACTTCAATTATGAATGGAGGTTATAAACCACTTATTATTAGTAATTTCTGTGGCTTTCATACCCATGAAAAATCACAGATATTTTTGTATCACTTTATGGTTATCACAGAAAATATATTTTATGCTCATCACTACTTTGAAATTAGAGTGGTTATTAGACCAGCCGTTAGATCTTGTTATGTAATGTGTTAATAAAGCAGCACTTTTATTATTATGTCATGGATTTGTCAGGGTTTAAAAATATATATATTTTGACAACTGTATTTCCTTATAATTGGTTTCCTTAGCAATTCTATGTATTTTATTTTATGCATTTTAAAACATGTTCTTAAAAATAACACTACCACTGGGCATGGTGTCTCATGCCTGTAATCCCAGCACTTTGGGAGGCCAAGGTGGGTGGATCACTTGAGGTCCGGAGTTCCAGACCAGCCTAGCCAACATGGTGAAACTCCATCTCTACAAAAAAATACAAAAATTAGCCAGGCATGGTGGTGCACACCTATAGTCCCAGCTACTCAGGAGGCTGAGACAGGAGAATTGCTTGAACCTGGGAGGTGTTCCATTCAACATAGCAATCCCATTACTGGGTATGTACCCACAGGATAATAAATTATTCTACCAAAGAGACACATGCACTTGTGTGTTCATCACAGTACTATTTATAATAGCAAAGACATGGAATCAACCTAGATGCCCTTCAATGGACTGGATAAAGAAAACATGGCGGGGCATGGTGGCTCACGCCTGTAATCCCAACGCCTTGGGAGGACGAGGCAGGTGGATTACCTGAGGTCAAGAGTTCAAGACCAGCCTGGCCAACATGGTGAAACCTCGTCTCTACTAAAAATACAAAAAAAATTAGTTGGGGTGGTGACACGCTCCTGTAGTCCCAGCTACTTGAGGAGGCTGAGGGAGGAGAATCGCTTGAACCCAGGAGGCAGAGGTTGCAGTGAGCCAAGATCGTGTCACTGCACTTCAGCCTGGGTGACAGAGGGAGACTCTATCTAAAAAAAAAAAGAACAAAATCATTACTTTTGTAGCAACATGAATGCAGCTGGAGGCCATTATCCCAAGTGATTAACACAGAAGCAGAAAACCAAATGTGAAATGTTCTCACTTATAAATGGCAGCTAAGCACTGGGTAAACATGGACATAAAGATGGGAACAATAGAGACTGGGGACTCCTAGAGCAGGGAGGAAAGGAGGGGGCAAGGGTTGAAAAACTGCCTATTGGGTACTATGCTCAGTACCTGGGTGATGGGATCACTCATATCCTAAATCTCAGCATCACCCAATATACACATGTAACAAACCAACACATTGTACCCCTTGAATCTAAAATAAAAGTTGAAATTTTAAAAATAAAATAAAGGCTGGGCATGGTGGCTCACACCTGTAATCCCAGCACTTTTGGAGGCAGAGGCAGGAGGATCCCTTGACCTTAGGAGTTTGAGACCAGCCTGGCCAACATGGGAAACTCTGTCTCTACAAAAAAACACAAAAACTAGCTAGGTGCGGTGGTACATGCCTGTAGTCCCAGCTACTTAGGAGGCTGAGGCAGGAGAATCCCTTGAGCCTGGGAGGTTGAAGCTGCAGTGAGCTATGTTCATGACACGACACTACAGCCAGGGTGACAGAGCAATAACCTGTCTCAAAAAATAAAAATAAATAGGCCAGGCGCGGCGGCACATGCCTATAATCCTAGCACTTTGGGAGGCCAAGGCAGGCAGATCACTTGTGCTCAGGAGTTCGAGACCAGCCTGAATAACATGGTGAGACCCCATCTCTACTAAAAATACAAAGTTAGTCGGGCATGGTGGCACACGCTTGTGATCCCAGCTACTCAGGAGGCTGAGGTGAGAGGATCACTTGAGCCCGGGTGGCAGAGGTTGCAGTGAGCCAAGATGCTGCCACTGCACTCCAGCCTGGGTGACAGAGCAAGACCCTGTCTGAAAATAATAATAATAATAATAAATAAAATAAAAAACTAAAAGCATGTTCTGGGGAGGAGTCCATAGGTTTTACCAGATTGCCAAAGGGGTCCACAGCATAAAAGCAGGTTAGGAATCCCTAACTAGCCCTGCTGTTATTCCACGATTCTAATTCTTAGCCTCAGTGAACCTCAGCCTGCCCATCTACAAAAATGGGAACATCAATACCTATCTCATAAAATTGCTACAATGTTTAGATGAAATATGCATAGTGTCTGCCTGCTTAACATATGGGAAGAAATGTGTACATGCTGACTTCTCTTCCTCCATCTCTGGCAATTCCCAACTAGTGGTGCCTTGGAAACCACAAGAATTTGATGCCAGATCTTCCTGGGTTCAAATCCCATTTCTGCCATTTTAGCTGAGGGACTTAACCTCTCTAAATCTGTTTCCTCATCTTTTAAAAGGGGTCACTTCTTTCTAGCAGTGTTACAAGGATGAAGATCTTAAATATGTAAAATGCCCTACATAGCCTGGCACCGAGTGGGTTTCAAAAAATAGAAGCTGCCATCATCATCGATGGTCCCATCAGTTCCTGGACACTGCCTAGCACACACCAAGTCTTTTTCTTTGCTAGAGAATCACTCTCATCCTCAGCCCATCCCTGAATGGTCCCAGTCACCCTCTCCTAAGTGATAAGCAAGTGTTTAGGGGGTCTCTCCTCCCTGATCTGCTGTCCCCCTGTCACCCCCTCAACATGAGCTCTGGAGGCAGCCCAGCAGGACAAACTTGGTGCTGTCATTATGCATAAAACACCAGGTGAGCCAGGCACAGTGGCTCACGCCTGCAATCCCAGCTACTTAGGAGGCTAAGGCAAGAGGATCTCTTGAGTCCAGGAGTTCGAGTGAGCCGTGATCGTGCCACTGCACTCCAGCCTGGGTGACAGAAAGAGACCTGTCTCTTAAAACAAAACCAAAAGGCCCACCAGGCCCACCAGAGCTGAAATGTCCTCTAGACCTTGTGTTATAAATGGGGAAACTGAGTCCCAAGAGAGTGAAGGCACTTACTCAAGGTTGTATAGATTTCCTTCTGGGACATGGATACAGTTGCTGTCCTTTGTACAAATTGCCTCATCTCTTCTCTGCATTCTTCCTGCCTAAGAAGCAAGAAAGGAGACAGAAAGACCATGCAGGGTCAACTCTAGGCTTTTCAGGAATGCATGGGTGAATACAAACAGAAAATAATAAGAGCCAGGACAGGCACGGTGGCTCACGCCTGTAATCCCAGCACTTTGGGAGGCCGAGGCAGGTGGATCACCTGAGGTCAGGAGTTCGAGACCAGCCTGGCCAACATGGTGAAACCCCGTCTCTATTAAAAATACAAAAAGGGTGCAGTGGTAGGTGCCTGAGGCAGGAGAATCACTTGAACCTGGGAGGCGGAGGTTGCAGTGAGCCGAGATCGTGCCACTGCACTCCAGCCTGGGTGACAGAGTGAGACTTTGTTTCAAAAAAGATAATAATAATTTTAAAATAACAATAACAAGAGCCAAATATTAAGCATTTGATTATGCCTGGCCTCAAGAGCTGTACACATATCACCTCTCCGCCCCTGAATGAAGTAGGTATGACTATCCCCATCTTACGGAAGAGGAAATCCCAGAGAAGGTAACATATCTTACCCAAAGTCACATAGCTTGCCAGGGCCACGGTCTGAATCTAGAGCTGTCTGATTTAGCACGTATACTCTTTCCTCTATGAAAACCCAAAACTTTCATTGGAAAGTTCCAGTGGGTTCCATTGGGTTCCAGTGCTGCTGTGACTTTTTTTTTTTTTGAGACGGAGTCTCGCTCTGTCGCCCAGGCTGGAGTGCAGTGGCGCCATCTCGGCTCACTGCAGGCTCAGCCCCCTGGGGTTCACGCCATTCTCCTGTCTCAGCCTCCCGAGTAGCTGGGACTACAGGCGCCCGCCACCACGCCGGGCTAATTTTTTGTGTTTTTAGTAGAGATGGACTTTCACCGTGTAAGCCAGGATGGTCTCGGTCTCCTGACCTCGTGATCCGCCCGCCTCGGCCTCCCAAAGTGCTGGGATTACAGGCGTGAGCCACCGCGCCCAGCCTGCTGTGACTTTTACAGCCTTGCTGTTGCATGGGGCCAGCACTGTCCTAGCTGGGGCCCCCATTCCTGCAGCCTCTCCTCAGTATAGCACTGTGCTCTCCACTCCCCAGGCCCCATTGTTAAAAGTCGGTGTCCGCCGCGGCCCCAGCATGCTCCAATGAGAACCCACGTTCAAGAGGAGCCCTGGAGCTGACCTGCCACCCACTCCATGGGCACCGTGCTCCTTCTTTTTCAAGATTATGAGGCAGGCATAGACCTGATAATTGTGTTTGTATTGGGGTTGATGTATATTTGTGCCCAGCATGCATCCACACCCCCTACCACGAAAGCAGATGGGCACGTCTTGCCTTCGAAAGAAATATAATTAAGGCAATTTAGCATCTTTCTCAAAGGATGCTCTTCCTGCACACGGGAGGAAATGTTTTCGGAGCTGCTTTAGAATATTTGAAGTTTAATTCTGTGATGCTCACAGCTGGTCCAATCTGGAGGAGGCTGAGGGGTAAAAAGGGGGAAGCTTTTTTTTTTTTTTTTTTTTTTTTTTGACTAAGTCCTGGGGCAGGAGGGGAGGAGCCACTAACTCAAGGGATGACTTGCTTTGTGGTTTTGAGAAGGTCTCCCCCATTTTGAGCCTCAGTTATCACATTTATTGAAACAAAAATAATAATACATGAAAATAAAACAACTCAGCAATAGTTTTGAGATCAGCCCTATAGATTCAGAATCCTCGGAGATGCTGAACAAGCTTCACAGGTGATCCTGACTCAAGCCAGGCTGGAAAACCTTTAGTTTAAAAGCATTTTTTGGGCCGGGTGGGGTGGCTCATGCCTGTATATTCCAGCACTTTGGGAGTCCAAGGCATGTGGATTACTTGAGGCCAGGAGTTCGAGACCAGCTTGGCCAACATGGTAAAATCTCATCTCTACTAAAAATATAAAAATTAGCTGGGCGTGGTGGCGCAGGCCTGTGGTCCCAGCTACTCAGGAGGCTGGGGCACCAGAATTGCTCAAACCCCGGAGGCAGAGGTTGCAGTGAGTGGAGATCGGGACACTGCACTCCAGCCTGGGTGACTGAGTGAGACTCTGTCTCAAAAAAAAAAAAAAAAAGAAATTTTTTTTTTTTTTGCTTCACTGAAAATGCTGATGTGGTGGCATGTGCCTACAGTCCCAGCTACTCGGGAGGCTGAAGTGGGAGGACCACCTGAGTCTGGGAGGTCCACCTGAGTCTGGGAGGTCCAGGCCGCAGTGAGCTGAGATAGTGCCACTGCACTCCAGCCTAGGTGACAGAGCATGACCCTGCCTCAAAAAGAAAAAGAAACAAAGAAAAGAAAATGCTTTTTAAAAAAGAAGAAGTAATGTAGAATAGTAGAGCCAGAAATAACTTTAGTAACTTTTCTTACATAAGGTAAAGCATGAACCTTGCTGATATAAAGCAGCTTGCTCACAAGCTTCAGGATTACTGTTTTCTCCTTTGTTTCTTTATTTAATTTATTTTTTTAGAGACAGGGTCTTGCTCTGTCACCCAGGTTGGAGGGCAGTGGTGCAATCATACCTTACGGTAACCTCCAACTCCTGGATCCAACCCATCCTCTCACCTCGGCCTCCCAAATAGCTGGGACTAAAGGTGTACACCATTGCACCTGGCTAATTTAAAAAAATTTTTTGGGCCGGGCACAGTGGTTCACAACTGTAATCCCAACACTTTGGGAGGCTGAGGCGGGTGATCACCTGAGGTCAGAAGTTCAAGACCTGCCTGGCCAATGTGGTGAAACCCCGTTCTCTACTAAAAATACAAAAATTAGTTGGATGTGGTGGCGAGCAAATGTAATCACAGCTACTCGAGAGGCTGAGGCAGGAGAATTGCTTGAACTTGGGAGGCGGAGGTTGCAGTGAGACAAGATGGCGCCATTGCACTCCAATCTGGGCAACAAGAGTGAAACTTCATCTCAAAAAAAAAATTTTTTTTTGTAGAGACAGAGTCTCCCCAAGTTGCCCAGGCTGGTCTCAAACTCCTGGGCTCAGGTGATCCTCCTGCCTCAGTCCCTCAAATATGTTTCTTTTATTTAAATCATACAAATTACAGGGCTGTAAAAAAATGCCAACAATGCTGTACATAGGAGAATAAAAGGGAAAGTTCCTTGCACTGGCCCCATCCCCTTCTCCCTGCAGCTGGCCACTGTTAGCAATTTGCTATGATTCTTTTCAGGATTACTTTTCTAGCTAAATGCTAGAAACTTACCATACTTAGCACAGAAAATTATCATATCGATATATAGAAATCTACTGAGTTATTTTTAATTTCTTTATGGTTGTTCATAATGTAGATACAGTATCATCTATTTAACCAAAGGCAAGTCAAAGGCATTTAGGGCATTTTCGTTTTTTTCACTATGATAAACATTCAACTGTGTGTATTTAGGAGGGTATTTTTGTAAGATGGTATTTAGCAATAAAATTATCAAAAGGCATGCTTACTTACAATTTTGATAGATGCTGCCAAATTGTTCTCCAAAAAAAGACTGCCTGAATATGCATTTCTCCCAGTAGTTAATCCTGGGGCATTTCCTCACACCCTAGCCAATACTCAATATTATCAATCTTTCTTAAATTCTCCAGTCTGATGGGTGAAAATCAACTCTAATTCAAAATTATCTTTTTTGTTTGTTTGTTTTTGAGGAGTATCACTCTGTTGCCCAGGCTGGAGTGCGGTGGCTTGATCTTACCTCACTTCAACCTCTGCCTCCTGGGTTCAAGCGATTCTCCTGTCTCAGCCTCTCAGGTAGCTGGGACTACAGGAGTGCACCGCCACACCCGGCTAATTTTTGTATTTTTAGTAGAGACAGGGTTTCGCCATGTTGGCCAGGCTGGTCTCGAACTTCTGACCTCAGGTGATCCACTTGCCTTGGCCTCAAAGTGCTGGGATTACAGGCATGAGCCACTGGGTCTGGACCGAAATTATCTTTTGAATTTTTTTTTTTTTTTTTTTTTTTTTTTTTTTTTTTTTTTTTTTTTTTTTTTTTTAGAGATAGGGTCTCACTCTGTCACACAGGCTGGTCTTGAACTGCAGCTCACTGCATAGCTCACTGCAGCCTCTAACTCCTGGGCTCAAGCGATCCTCCTGCTTCTGCCTCCTGAGTAGTTAAAACTATATAGGTGCATGCCACCACACCCAGCTAATTTTTTATTTTTTGTAGAGATGAGGTCTCCCCATGTTGTCCAAGCTGGTCTTGAACCCCTGGCCTCAGGCAATCCTCCCCGCTCTGCCTCCCAAAGTGTTGGTATTACAGGTGTGAGCCACTGCGCCTGGCCTGGATGTTTATTTCTACATGGAATTTGGAGGTTCTTTATGTTTTGAAAAGAATACCTGAGATTTTGAAAGGATGCTCAGGAATCTCAAATGTGTCTGTTAATTATCCATTCCAGAAAGTTCCCTTGAATTTCAGAGACTGTCAAACTGTCTTGTCATTGGAGAGATGAGAGTTGCTCTTTCCACAATATCTGAAGGTTAAATTTAGAAGCGGCATTCATGTATTATTATTATTTTTTTCCAAGCCACTTTTTAGAATTCAGTCCTGCTTTTCAGCTTAGCTGGATCCCTGTGGGAGTGGTATGATGAGACTGCAAGGTGATGAGACTGGTATGTGTGTGGGTTTACCACATCAGCCCTTTTTCTCTCTGCTCAACTCAACATAGAGAAAGAACCCACTCCTTACCAGATTACCAGATTCCTCTCTATAATGAGAATGTAACACGCATGCACTCAGCAGGAAAACCCTTCAAGAACAAGGCCCTTGTGCACTTCAGGGGTATAATGAAGAGAAAGGCAGGGAAGTAACTTTTCAGAGCTGTCAGTGGCGCCAGGCACACTGCTGGCTACTCTCCCTAAGCTCCTTTAACCTCAATCTTATAAAGGTAGATGTTATTATTGCTTTTTTTTTTAAAACAAGGTCTCACTCTGTCGCCCAGGCTGGAGTACAGTGGTGTGATCATGGCTCACTGCAGCCTCGACCTCCTGGGCTCAAACAATCTTCCCACCTCAGCATCCCAAATAGCTAGGACTACAGGTGCACACCACCACACCTGGATAATTTTGATTTTTTTTGTAGAGATGGGGTTTTACCCTGTTGCCCAGGCTGGTCTCAAACTCCTGGGCTCAAGCGATCCACCTGCTTTGGCCTCCCAAAGTGCTGAAATTACAGGCATGAGCCACTGCACCCAGCCTACGATTCCTATTTCATAGCTGGAGAAATAGACTCAGACCAAGCGATGTGGGCCCCAGAGCCAGCCCCCTACACTAGAATCCTGGCAATGTCACTTATTTGCCGTGAGACCTTGGGCAAGTGTCCACCCTTCTTGTGCTATTTCCTCACCTATAAAATGGGGATAACAAAGTACACAGACCTCACGGGTGGACTGGGAGACTTCATATGCAAAGTACTTCTGAAGACAGCACCTGGTATCCAGTAATCCCCTGTTAACAGGTGGCTCTTGTTGTTGTTGTTGTTGTTGTTGTTGTTTTGCAGCTCCCCGAGATAACCTGGGGAGAGCTTTTTCAGTCCTCTGAGCCTCAGATTGTTCATCCATAAAATGGGCATGGGGCATGATAATCCCCTCCCCAAAGGCTGTTATATAGATTAATTAAGGAATTACTTAAGTGCTGTGCCTGGTGCGGAAGAACATAGCAGAGAGGGAAGCAGTGCTTGCAACTTCCTAGCTTCCTCTGTTTCCCTGAGTGACCTCAGTGCCTTCTCTTATTGATTGAAATGTTCAGAGGAGTGTTGTCCTGGAATACTCTGTTAGCCCAATACATGGGGGGTGACTTACAAGACTGGAAGGTGGTGGGGTTATCTGAGGATGCTCTCTGTGTCTCTCCCTAAGTCTGGGATCAGTCCAGTTAGAACCTAGCGGACTTCAGCCAGGCATGGTAGCTCATGCCTGTAACCCCAGCACTTTGGGAGGCCGAGGTGGGGGGATCACTTGAGGTCAGTAGTTTGAGACCAGCCTGGCCAACATGGTGAAACCCGGTCTCTACTAAAAATACAAAAATTAGCTGGGCATTGTAATGCACACCTGTAGTCCCAGCGACTTGGGAGGCTGAAGCAGGAGAATCGCTTGAATCTGGGAGGCTGAGGCAGGAGAATCGCTTGAATCCGGGAGACGGAGGTTGCAGTGAGCCGAGATCACCCACTCTAGCCGGGGTGACAGAGCAAGACTCTGTCTCAAAAAACAAAACAAAACAAAACAAACAAACAAAAAACTAGTGAACTTCTCAGAAATAGTCCTAATTTTTGTCTCCTCATCTTTTTCCCCACACCACTGCCTGGAGTCAGGACCCACACCTCTCGCGACAGCCTCCTGCCTGGACTCCCCCATTGCAGACCCTTGTCTTCCTGCATCCTATACCTGAGTTCTGGAGTTTTCTCCATATCACACACAAGTGTGGAGTAAACCTTTACTGTCTATTCAACCCCCTGATTTTTCTGGGGCACTTACTATGCACCTGGCCCATGCTAAACACTTGACCGGCATGGTTTCACATGCGCCTGCCAACACAGGTAAATACTTTTACTATGCTCATTTCGCAGATGAGCAGGGGAGGGAGGAGTTGGGTTGTGAACAAACTGGAAACCTCACACAGTCCTGTGAGGAAACTAATAAGCCTGCTTTATATTATTTTATTCATTCAGGAAATAATACTTACTGTGGGTCTAATGTGTGCAGGCCTCCTTCTAGGTCCGGGGGAACCGGGTATGGTGTGGTGCATGCCTGCAATCTCAGCACTTTGGGAGGCCCAGGTGAGAGAGTTTCACCATGTTGGCCAGGCTGGTCTCAAACTCGTGACCTCAAGTGATCCACCTGCCTCGGCCTCCCAAAGTGCTGGGATTACAGGTGTGAGCCACCATGCCCAGCCCACCATTGCCTTATTATTAATAAGAATAATTTTTTCTTTAACAGTGTGAGTGGGAACAATTGGGAATATCAAACTTTGCCTGTTTCCTTGACTGGTTTAAATGTCTTTTAATTTGCACCACAGAATCTAAAACTTACAAGTTCCTGTAGGAGAAGAATCTTGTTTTGGGATTAGACCAAAAGACCCTGTGAGCCGAACTTCTCTGGGGCAGTTTAAGCCCATCACAGTTCAATCTGAGTCCAAAGAGGCCCCTCCCTCCCTTCCCCTCGGCCACCGGCCTCAGCTCTGCCATCCCCTCGGATTCCTATTCCCCAGGCGAGGCAATCGAGCTCTTAATTAAATTCTCTCGTTAGAAGTCAAGCCCGAGGAAAACAAACAGCAAAACCTCTCCTGCGAGACTTGTCTCTTCCTGGCTCAGAGGCTCGATGCTGGAGATGGTATCACTGACTGCCCTTGGACACCCATCCCTTGCTGCTCCCCGGGAATTTCCTGTTGGCTCCTTCCCAGGCTCAGCCTCACCCCATCTGGCCCAGAGGAAATTGCAATGGGAGGTGAAAGGATGTTATCAGGCATTTCATTGCGTGTTTCATTTAGGGTTGAGTCTCTGGACTCTGGTCAAGGGGGGAGAACGGGGAAGGCTTCAAAGACAGAGAAGAGGCATGGCGAGAGGCACTGAGATATGGGCTGGGGGACACAAGGCACTTGTCCCCAAGGACAGCGGACATGTGATCACACACATACCACCCCCACACCTCCCCTGATTATACTCCAGTAGATGCAGGAACCATGGGGAACTGGAAAGAGCACTGGACTGGGAGTCAGGAAGCCCTGAGTTACTAACTCACTATGCAATTGTTTAATAGTAATCAGAGCAAAATGTATTGCGGGATTGTGTGCTAAGCGTTATGCTAAACCCCACACATGCTGGGTGTGGTGGCTCATGCCTGTAATCCTACACTTTGGGAAGCTGAGATGGGAGGATCTCTTGAGTCCAGGAGTTTGAGACCAGCTTGGGCATAGGGAGATCCTATTTCTACATAAAATTTAAAATTTAGCCAGTTGTGGTGGCATGTGCCTGTAGTCCCAGCTGCTTGGGAGGTTGAGGCAGGAGGATTGTTTGAGCCTAGGAGTTTGAGCCTGCAGTGAGCTATGATTGAGCCACTGCATTCCAGCTTGGATGACAGAGTAAAACCCCTTTGTTGCGGGAAGTCAGGGACCCCAAACAGAGGGACCGACTGGAGCCATGGCAGAAGAACATAAATTGTGAAGATTTCATTTTAATATTGACATATATCAGTTCCCAAAATTAAGAGTTTTATAATTTCTTATGCCTGTCTTTACTTCAATCTCTGAACATAAATTGTGAAGATTTCATTTTAATGTGGACATTTATCACTTCCCAAATAATACTCTTATAATTTCTTACGCCTGTCTTATTTTAATCTCTTAATCCTGTTATCTTCGTAAGCTGAGGATGTATGTCACCTCGGGACCACTGTGATAATTGTATCTAACTGTACAAATTGATGGTAAAACATGTATGTTTGAACAATATGAAATCAGTGCACCTTGAAAAAGAACAGAATAATAGCAATTTTTAGGGAACAAGGGAAGACAACCATAAGGTCTGCCTGCCTGCGGGGTCGGGCAAAAAGAGCCATATTTTTCTTCTTGCAGAGAGCCTATAAACGGATGTGCAAGTAGGAGAGCTATTGCTAAATTCTTTTCCCAGCAAGGAATATTGATAATTAATACTCTGGGAAAAGAATTGCGTTCCTGGGAGGAGGTCTATAAATGCCCACTCTGAGAGTGTCTGTCCTATGGACTGAAATATGCCCTGGTCCCCTGCAGTACTCTCAGGCTTATTAGGGTAGGAAAAAAACCCCACCCTGGTGAATTTGAGGTCAGACTGGTTCTCTGCTCTGAAACCCTGTTTTCTGTTGTTTAAGATGTTTATCAAGACAATATGTGCACAGCTGAACATAGACCCTCATCAGTAATTCTAATTTTGCCCTTTGCCTTGTCATCTTTGCTTTTGTCCTTGCCCTGTTTCCTCAGAAGCATGTGATCTTTGTTCTCTTTTTGCCCTTTGAAGCATGTGATCTTTGTGACCTACTCCCTGTTCGTACACCCTCTCCCCTTTTGAAATCCCTAATACAAACTTGTTGGTTTTGCAGCTCAGGTGAGCATCAGAGACCTACTGATAAGTGATGTCACCCCCAGTGGCCCAGCTGTAAAACTCTTCTCTTTGTACTCTTCCTCTTTATTTCTCAGGCCAGCCAACACTTAGGGAAAATAGAAAGAACCTATGCTGAAATATTGGGGGCAGGTTCCCCCAATACCCCTTCTCAAAAAAATAAAATAAAATAATGATAATAATAATGGGCCAGGCATAGTGGTTCACGTCTGTAATCCCAGCACTTTCAGAGGCCAAGGTGGGCAGATCACTTGAGCTCAGGAGTTCCAGACCAGCCTGGGCAACATGGCAAAACCCCATCTCTACCAAAAATATAAAAAATTAGCTAGGCATGCTGGCGTGTGCCTGTAGTTCCAGTTAGTCAGGAGGCTGAGGCAGGAGAATCACTTGAGCCCAGGAAGCGGAGGTTGTAGTGAGCTGAGAACGTGCCACTGCACCCCAGCCTGGGTGACAGAATAAGACCCCATCTCAAATAACAATAATAATAATGAGGATGATACTAAACCCTAAGCATGGATGATCTCACTTAATTCTCACAACTTTATTCCCTCTTTCTTGGACAAGAAAACTGAGAATCAGAGAGGTTAAGTGACCAACTCAAAGTCACACAGCTAATAAGTGGTAGAGCTGAGATTCAAACTAAGTAGGCTGGCTGCAGAGCCCAAGCTCCTCTCCTAACTGTGTTTTCCAGGTAATTCCTCCTTCTAGGTCTCAGTTTTCCCAACTGTAAATTAACAGGATTAACACACTCAAACTCCAAAGACCCTTCTAGCTCTAACGACCTGTGCTTTATTCAACAGTCACTGTATTGCCAGGCCCTGAACTGGGAATACAAAGATAAGGAAGCCTTCATCTCCGTCTTCAAGTTAGAAACTTCTTCAAAGTAGAAATCACATCTTACTTATCCTTACTGGCCCACCCCACTTGCCACAGCAATGTGTAAAGAGAAGATGCTCAAATTATTTGTTGACTAGACAGATACCTGATTCATGGGGAGTCTGATGTAACTGAGGACCTTGTCCTGTTACTACCCTTGCAAGAGAAAGTTACTTAATCTCTGAGTCTGTTCCTTCATCTATAGAGTGGAAATACACAATAGTACTTTCCCCAGAGGGCAATGGAGAGGAGAATGCATGTTAGGCCCTTAGTGCAGTGCTTGGCGCACACATACACACATACACACACATGCACACACACACACAAAGGCCAGGCATGGTGGCTCACACCTGTAATCCCAGGATTTTGGGAGGCCTAGGCGGGTGAATTACATGAGCTCAGGAGTTCAAGACCAGCCTGGGCAACCTGGTGAAACCCCATCTCTACTAACATACAAAAATTTATCCAGACGTGATGGCACGTGTCTGTAATCCCAGCTACTCGGGAGGCTGAGGCATGAGAATCACTTGAACCTGGGAGGCAGAGGTTGCAGTGGGCTGAGATCGCACCACTGCACTCCAGCCTGGACAACACAATGAGACTCTGTCTCAAAACAAAAACAAAAACAAACAAAAAACTTTACCCTGTTGCTAGCTAGTGAGGGGTTTGCTGTACCCCTCTTTGTCATCCTCAGGTAAAAGCTATGAACCTATTTCCACTGCTAGGGGCAGGTAGCATATTTTCTCAGCCAGATCCTGAGTGATGAGAAAGAAAAAAAGAGCGAGAAGCCCGGGCTTCCCATTCCCTGAGAAGCCCTCCCCAGGATCCTGATTCCCATGCAGTCCTTGTTCCTCCCTTCTGTCTAGACAGCTCTCTCCTGAAGAAACTGCAAACCACAGACTGTCTAATGACAAAGCTTGCCCCAGACACCTGTCCCCAGACACACGATTCATTTAACCCTCTTTAAAAAAGAATAAGCCTGACTCCCACCTCTGAAGCAGAGGGGCACTCTATGGGCATAGGAGTGGCGGGGTGTCTTCTTTTTTCATTAATTTATCCATCCATCCATCCATTCATCCATCCATCCATCCATCCTTGGTTGAATGCTTACAATGTACCAGATTCAGTGCTAGGCACTGGGGATACCTAGGTGAGTAAGACACAAGCTGGCCTCTAGAAACTCATAATATTGGGGGAGGTAAACACAAAATCATTGTGAAAAGTGTGGCATCCCAACTATAAGTAGAGTCATGGGGAATACTCCTGAAGAGCTTCCTGTGTGCAAGGTCCTGTGTTGTGTACTTCAGATGCATGATTTCAACGTGGCCCTCATCATAACTAACCCCATGAGATAGGTATGCTTAATTGTGACCATTTTACAGATGGGCAGAATGAGGCTCGCAGAATTTAGATAACTTGTCCAGGATTGCACAGCTATTAAACAGCAAAATTGAGATTCAGACCCAGTCTGATCACTGGACTTATAGTTTTTTTTCCCCAATAGTGTCAAGTTTATTCAATGGTGAGTAACTTGAAATATTTTATTTCTATTAAACATTGATATAGTAAAACAAAAAATTTTGTAGATTTTAAAAATAAAAATGAGATTTCAAAATAATTCTGAGCTTTTAATGAGCCACTTTGTTTCACACATACAAGTTCCTAGAGTTTTGTGCTTTTCCCCTGATGCTGGAGTACTTTACACATTTTTGAGATGCATATATAGGGTAAGAAACTGAGAAAAACCAAGCTTTCAAATAAATATATTGGTTATAATTTAAGAGGGATCTTGGGCAATTGATAGGAAAAATTGAGTATTAAGTTTCAGGGCATCAGGGATTAGCAATCTGTCCTGTCTAATCATGTCATTCCCTTGCTCAAAGCCCTTCCCTGGCTCCCATCACTCTAAGGATAAAGCCCAGCTTCTTTTCCTAGCATTCAAGGCTCTTCACGTGCTGGCCCCTTCCTACTCCTCCAGCCTCGTGTCAACCACTCTCCACAACTCTAGTAATACCAAAAGACTTGCAGTGGCCCTAACTGAATTCTCTTTAGCCTCCATGCCTTTGCACAAATATTCCTTCTGCCAGGGAATTTCTCCACGTCCCTTGCTCTTTCTTTGCTTAGATGCCTCCCACTCATCCTTCAAGACTCAGCACAGGGGTACCCTTCCCAGCTGCTTCCTGACTGCTTGCCCACCTCCCAGGTGCTCCACTCTGAGCCCCGTGGGCCCCCTGCTACCTCTCTCCTGGTCTTCCCCACTGTGCTATGCTTAACTGTGTGTGGGTTTTCCCTTGGGGATTGTGAGCTTCTTGAGGGCAGGGACTGTGCTTAACACATCCACGGGCCCAGGGTAAGGGCTCAGACGCTGAAGTGAACCCTCTCCAGCAGACCCAGCCTTTTCCTTCAGCCAGCTTTCCAGTGTCATTTACCATCTTCAGTGGCTTGTATTGTTCAACATTGTTAGCAGATGTTTTGTTAGAAGGTGCTGAGATGCCATACAAGTTTTTTTTTTGTTTTTGTTTTTGTTTTTGTTTTTTGAGACGGAGTCTCGCTCTGTCGCCCAGGCTGGAGTGCAGTGGCACGATCTCGGCTCACTGCAAGCTCCGCCTCCTGGGTTCACGCCATTCTCCTGCCTCAGCCTCCCAAGTAGCTAGGACTACAGGTGCCCGCCACTACGCCCGGCTATTTTTTGTATTTTTAGTAGAGACGGGGTTTCACCGTTTTAGCCGGGATGGTCTCGATCTCCTAACCTCATGATCTGCCCGCCTCGGCCTCCCAAAGTGCTGGGATTACAGGCGTGAGCCACCGCGCCCGGCCGCCATACAAGTTTTGCCCAAGGTTCGCCCTGACCAGGGCAGCTTCTGGGGCTGTCAGGGTCTTTTCATTGAGGACACACACCCAGGATGTGTCTGTATTTACTCTGCCATTTGGATTTTTCAACTGCAGGATCTTAGGCTAGGACCCCAACAGCAGCTGCAAGTGCTTCGGCTGTGTAGACAGGACCCTTTCCTCCTTCCTGACTTCAACCTGGGGCATGAGCCGCAGTGCCTATTTTGGGAAATGCCTACATTTTTCATTGCTCAACCTTCCTATTTCCTATTTGGGAAAAGAACCTAGGGCCTGAGTAGAGTGGAGGCCGAGGTGTGGTTGCCGATAACTCCTATTTGCCAGTGATTTATTTGCCTGGGATTTGTGCTAAGACGAAAAGAATGTTTGCATTATTAATGATCATTGATCACAGGCTTCCAAAAAAGAGAGAGATTGAGAGAGATGTAGGCTCCAGGCCAATCATCAAATGGTAAACCAAGAGGGTGGGGCATGAAGAAAGGAGGGGAGGGCTAGGTTTGTAGAGAGTTATGTGGAGACAGAAGGACACAGAAGGACACAGAATAGAAAGTCTAGATGAGCTGCTGAGTTTTGGGTGTGCCAGATGTCCAACAGCTGTGTGGGCTGCGAATAAACCAATGCCGGCAGGTGCTGCTGGCCTCTCCCTACACCCAGTGAAGGAGACTTCAAGACAAAGAATGTTACCAGGGACAGAGGGTCATTTCGTAATGATAAAAGGGTCAATTCATCAAGAAGAAATAACAGGGTTGGCCACAGTGGCTTACACCTGTAATCTCAGCACTTTGGGAGGCCAAGGCGGGAGGATCACTTGAGCCCAGGAGTTTGAAACCAGCCTGAACAACATAGCAAGACCCCGTCTCTAAAAAACAAACAAACAAACAAAAACAAAAAACAAACAAACATAACATAACAATCTTAATGCCCCTAACTAATAACAGGCTTCAAAACACATGAAGAACAAGCAGATAAAGACCCAGTAAGGAGCTGAGCGCAGTGGCTCATGCCTGTAATCCCAGCACTATGGGAGGCCGAGGCGGGCGGATCACGAGGTCAGAAGATGCAGACCATCCTGGCTAATACGGTGAAACCCCGTCTCTATTAAAAATACAAAAAATTAGCCGGGCAGGTGGCACGCTTCTGTAGTCCCAGCTACTCAGGAGGCTGAGGCAGGAGAATCGCTTGAACCCGGGAGGCGGAGGTGGCAGTGAGCCGAGATCGCGCCACTGCGCTCCAGCCTGGGCGACAGAGCAAGACTCCGTCTCCAAACCAACCAACCAACCAACCAACCAACCAACCAAAAAACCGGTAAGGACACAGAAGGCAAGGCCAGTTCCTCATGAGCTGCGAGAAACCTGGACACAAGCCATGGCCGGTGTTCGTGCCTCTTCACTGTCTTCAGTGGAAGCCTCTTGCTGGTCCTGTCTTTGTGCTCAAGTCTTCTCTCTCCCCTGGTTCTCTGCAACCAGGCTGGTTCATCTCAGCATCCCAAACACCTGCTGGGGGCTGGGGGCTGGCACTCGGAATCTGTCCTTTGAAGGATGCTGGGAGCTGTCCCTCCCCTACCTCTCTGACCGCCCCCCCCCCCCGCCCCCTTCCATTCATCCAGCTTGGACACCATCCGGCTCAGGGTCTTTCCCAAGACCCACTCCTTCACCTCCTAACTTTGCTCAAATGCTACTTTTGCAGGGAGGTGCCCCTGAGCCCTCACTTCCACTCCCTACCTTCTTTCTCTGCTTTCTTATCCTCCCTACCCTTTACCTCTATAAATATTTTATGCATTTTGCGTATTAAATGTGTTGTCTCCCCGCAACAGAACGGAAGCTCCCTTAGGTCTACCTCTGTTTTGTTCACTGCTGTATCCCCAGTGCCTAGAACATGCCTGACACAGTAGATCAATCAATATTTGTTAGACGAAGAAAACAAAAATCCAACTAGGAATGAACACCGGGGACCCGGACGGATAGGGGAGGCTGGACTTTCACCAAGTGTCTCTGGGCATGGCCCACCTCCCTGCAGACCCCTACCCCAGAGCCAGCCCACCTGCCCTCCTACAGGTGGGGGCCGGAGAGCGCTGGCCCGGGGCCTTTTCCACCTCCCTTCCGCTGCGCGTACCCACCCCGGGTGCTGGGCGGGGGCTGCTACGAGTCGCAGGCCGGGGCTCGGAGCTCCGGACCATCCCGAGCGGGGAGGCCGGGGGCCAAGCCTTCCTCCGGGCGGGCGGGGGGCCGAGTAGGGAGGGAGCCCGGCGAGGGAGGAGCTGGAGGAGGGAGCAAGGAGGAGCGGCGGGCGCGGGAAGGGGAGCGCGGAGAAGGAGCCGCAGGGCTCTGGGAGAGGCGGAGGCAGGTGCGGGATCGCGAGGGCGCGAGCCGGAAAGGGCCCCGGGGCGGCGGGGCGGGCGGCCCCCGAGTTCGGCGGGGGTCGCGGCGGAGACAAGGCGGCCGCGACGGGGAGACGCCGCGCGAGGAAGTGGATCGGGCGGGTACGCCGGGTGTGCGCACCTGCCCGCCGGGCAGCGGGTAAGCTCTCGGGGCCGCGTCTGCAGCCTGGCCCCAGCGGCCGTCCGCGGGGAACTGAGGCCGGGAGCGGCGCCCCTCCTGGGGCCTCGGGGGCCCGGGGCGTCCCGCCTCTCTGTGCCCTCGGACGGGCGCGCGCCAGGGAGAGGGTCCCGGAGGACCTGCCCGGCCGGAGGGAGGCCACCGGGGGTGGCCGTCCAGAGCCCCGGGAGAAAAGGGAGGACTGAGGCAGCGCCCAGGGAGGCTGCGGGATCCCACGCGCGCGTTGGGGGTGCCCAGCGCCCAGGCGAGAACTGGAGGGGCAGGAAGCACCCCCGGGCCGGGGACCGCGACGCCCCCCGAGGGGCCCCGGGCGCCAAGGGAAGCCGGGCGCTGCCCCCTGCTGGCCAGGTTCGGGCGCGGCGCCGCGGAGGGGCCTCCCCTCTCTGGAGAGAGTTGAAGGGGGTCCGGTGTGGAGCCCCGGCTGGCTCCGGGCTGGGGCTGACCGGCTCTGTGACCTTGGGCAGGTCACTGCATCTCTCCAAGCCTCAGTTTGCACGTCTGTCAAATAGAGGGGCATTCTCTCACTTTGCAGGGTCCCTGGAAATAAGTGAGATCCCCGCTAGATGCTTTTTTTAGAAACTGTAAAGTTCTGTATAAATCCTAGCTAATCACATAATGCCGGAACTGGAAGGGCACTGAGAAATCTGCTTTATTACAAATGGGGAGAGTGGGGAATCCGTCTTGCCCAAGGTCACACTACCAGTAGAAGAATCTAAGACTAAAGTCCCCAGGTCTGGGAAAGTTCGGGATTAAGAGCAGGGCTCTCAGTCAGGGTCCCGGTTGCATTAGCAAACTGGCCTTGGCCACCTACTAGCTGTGTGATCTCAGGAAAGCCCTTACCTTCTTTGAGGTGTGGTTTCCTCCCATATGAAGTGGGGACAACAATTCTCACCCCACAGGCTTACTGTACAAATCTAATGGGATTGTCACTCAGCACAGCCCCTGGCTCCAAACCAGAGCTCAGCCACTAGTGGCCATCATTTCTCTGAGTAGCAGCAGCAGCAACCCCTCCACTCTTCCTTGCAACCAGCTTCCAGTGTTTTCCAGTTGAGCCCGTGGTGTGGGTCTGCGCTGTCCTCTGGATCACACAGCCACTGGCTGGGGTCTCAGCCCTCCTCACAAGGACATTTGGGGACACTTTATCAGCAGCAAGTGAGGCCATTGGGGTAGCCAGCCTTTTTCAGTCTTTAGTCCTGCTCCACTGGTGGGGAGAAGTAGGCAGCCTTTGTCATTGAGACATCCAGGAAGCTGGGACCTAGAGGGTGGCTAGGAGGGAGGGACCAGGCCAGCTGGACTTGACTGGCAGGGGCTAGGGCCTCTACCCCTACAACAACCTCTACAAGCACTTCAGGGCCCTGCTGTCAGACCAAGGCTTTGATCTCATGAACAAGTAAGTCCCAGTGCAGCCCGTGGGTGGGGGATGGAGATCATGTCTCTGCAGCCACAGAAGCCCTGAGCCCTAGTGCTGGCTTCCCAGTCCCAGGCCTGCCTGCTGGCTCACCGCCTTCCAGAACCTAGTACAGGGCCAGAAAAACAGAGATGCTTCCTTAGAGTTTGTCAGTTACCTGATGGATCAATAATGAGGGCGGGACCACTGGCTCATCCCTTCTCTCCTAGGCCACGGATGGATGACTATTCTTTTTGGTGAGAGTAATGTGAATGTGAGCAGAAATACAGATTCTCAGAGTATGGAGTTCCCAGACCTGAGAGGTCTCTTTCATTGCACAGATGTTTCCCGTCTAAGGCCCACAGAGGGGCAGGGGTCAGCCATGTCTTCCAGGAAGCTGAATTCAGCAGACACCACTCAGTCTTTTTGCTTATTTGTTTTTGTTTTTGAGACAGGGTGGTGCTCTGTCACCCAGGCTGGAGTGTAGTGGTGTGATCATGGCTCACTGCAACCTCAACTTCCTGAGTTCAAGTGATCCTCCTGCCTCAGCCTCCCCAGTAGCTGGGACTACAGGCATGCGACTCCATGCCTGGCTAATTTTTGCATTTTTTGTAGAGACAGGGTGTCGCCATGTTGCCCAGGCTGGCCTCGAACTCTTGGGCTCAAAGAATCCACCCTCCTTGGCCTCCCAAAATGCTGGGACTACAGGTATGAGCCATGGAGCCTGGCCTGCTCAGTCTTTCACTGCTCTCAGCAGCAGTTGACACTGCTGACTGTTTCTTCTCCCCAAAACACTCTCTTCTCTGGGCCCCTGTGACTTGACACTGTTACGTTGTTCCCTCATCTTTTTGCGGCTTCATTCTCCTTTCTACAGCCCTTAGATGCTCTGCTCCCCCAGGCCCTCTGCTCCTCTCCTAGTAGACACTCTCTCTGGGTGATCTCACCCACCCCATTGGCTTTAGTTATCACCTCTATGCACATGACTCATACATGTATGCCTCTAGCCCAGATCGCTCCTCAGGCTGTTGACCCACCTATTTATTTTCAGCCAGGCACTGTTCTAGGCTCTGGGGATATAGGGATGAGCTAGACAGGAGGTGTATGTTAGCAGGGCATGGGGCAGGTGGAGGGTGTGTGGGGAAAGATACGCAATAAACAAACAGGCAGAAAATATCAGATCAGGTTAAGTGCTAAAATTAGCATAAACCAGGGTGATGTGGTGGAGGAGGGGAGCTGCTTTATGTTGGCTGGTCAAGGTGTTGCCAAAGGGGTGATATTTAAGACGGGCAGCTGGTAGGAGATGAGGTCAGAGAGACGGCCGGGGTGGCAGCAGATCACGTAGGGCCTTGTAAGCCATGGGAGTTTTGAATTTTATTCAGAGTGAAGTGGGAGCTGTTGGAGAAATGTATTTATTTATGAATGAATGAATGAATGAATGATGACAGAGTCTGGCTTTGTCACCCAGGCTAGAGTGCAGCAGTGCACTCTGGGCTCACTGCAACTTCCACCTTTTGGGCTCAAGACATCCTTCCACCTCAGCCTCCAGAGTAGCTGGGACTACAGGCACGCACCATCATGCCCAGCTAATTTTTGTATTTTTTGTAGAGATGGGGTTTCGCCATGTTGCCCTGGCTGGTCTTGAACTCCTGAGCTCAAGTGATCCTCCTACCTCAGCCTCCCGAAGTGTTGGAATTACAGGCGTGAGCCATTGCACCCAGCCAAAAACTTTAAATGGAGAAGAGGAAATACTGATCTTTCTCCAGGGCCTACTTGAGCCTTACAAGAGAAGTTATTTCCTATTATTTGCCAGTCTACTGTGCTCTGAACACTGGAGTGGGAAGAAAATAGGTAAATCTTCAAGGAACTTCCAGCAGTAGGCAATGAGAGACACAAACAAACCTGGAGTCGGGAGAGGGCTTAAAGGAGAGAGATTTTGCACTCAGTTGTCCAGGGAAGACTTCCTGGAGGAGGTAGCTTTTGAAAAGGACCTCAGAAAGCAGAGAGAGGGGCTGGGTAGCGTGGCTCACACCTGTATCCCACCACTTTGGGAAGCCCAGGTGGGCAAACTGCTGGAGCCCAGGAGTTTGAGATTAGCCTGTGCAACATGATGAGACCCCATCTCTAAAAAACAAACAAAAAAAATTTAGAAAGCAGACAGGAGTACAACAGATATGTATGAAAGGGAATGGGAAAGATTGCTCTTCTAGGCAGATGGAACAGCCTGAACTAAGACATGAATGCCCCAAACATGTTTAGTGAAGACAAGGGAGAGAATACAGAATGTGTAGGGGAGTGAAAGGTCTGGCCTATTAAGAGAAAGACCCTAGACTTTGCCATTGATATGTGAGCCTCTGCTTCCTTATTGTTTTTGTTTTGTTTTGTTTTTAGACGGAGTCTGTCTCTGTCGCCCAGGCTGGAGTGCAATGGTGCGATTTCAGCTCACTGCAACCTCTGTCTCACAGGCTCAAGCGATTCTCCTGCCTCAGCCTCCCAAGTAGCTGGGACTATAGGCGCACACCACCACGCACAGCTAATTTTTGTGTTTTTAGTAGAGACGGGGTTTCACCATGTTGGCCAGGATGGTCTTGATCTGACCTCATGATCCGCCAGCCTCGACCTCCCAACCCTTATTGTTTTTATGAAATAACTGGTTAAGTGCTGGGGAAGAGAGTAAGGAAGAATTCAAAGCTTGGGCTAGGTGTGGAAGAACAGGATAAGGTCTGCTACAAAGGAGGCGCTGGCCAGATATGGTGGTTCACTCCTGTAATCCCAGCACTTTGGGAAGCTGAGGCAGGTGGATTACTTGAGGTCAGGAGTTCGAGACCAGCCTGGCCAACATGGTGAAACCCTGTCTCTACAAAAATACAGAAATTAGCTGGATGTGGTGGCATGCACCTGTAATCCCAGCTGCTTGGGAGGCTGAGGCAGGAGAATCGCTTGAACCCGGGAGGCAGAGGTTGCAGTGAGTGGAGATTGAGCCGCTGTGCTCCAGCCTAGACAACAGAGTGAGACTCCCGTCTTAAGAAAAAAAAAAAAAAGAGGCACTCAGGAGGGCTTGCTGTGAGTGAGGTGGCTTGAGTTTGGAGCCCCTGTGGGACATAAAGGAGGGATGACCAAAGGATATTTGGGGCCAGAGGTACAGAGAGAGGGGTCAAAGAAAGGTGAAACTGTCAGTATTCTTTTTTTATTCATTCTTTGAGTAAATCTCAGCATCTGTAAGTATTAAGCCTAAAATATATAGCTATGAACAAAGCCGTATCCCTGCCTTGGGAATGCACCATCTTATGGGGAGACAGACCACAGGCATTGGACTGCAGGATAATGAGATGTGTATTACAAATCCTAAACGCGAGGCACTGTGTTGGCACAGAGAGAGGCTGGCTCCACTTGGGCAGAAGGAGGAGGACAAGTTTCAGTAAAGAGGGGAGAGTTAAACTTGGTCTTGAGAGTGAAGTTGGAGCTGGATGGTAAGTGAGAGGGATGGGCACCCACACACAGGGCACTGGGCTTCATGGCATGAGTTGCCCCTTCCTTCCAGAATTCAAGTCCAGCAAGGAGACAGGGGTGGGGTAAGCAAGAGATTCCAGTCCAGGGGAGTCCAGTGTGATGTATACATTAGAAGACCAGTGGCGTGGAGAGAAGGGAAGTGATCAGGTCCCTCCCTAGTTACCAGGAAACTTCCCGAGAGGGTGGGGGAGATGAGCAGATAGAGGGAATAGCCTGCGCAGAGACTCAAGGAAGTGACAGAACTGCAGTGTTTTTGCAGCCAAAGGTCTCAGCCAAGAGGTGGGCTGGAGGTGGGGTCTTTTGTTCAGTCCAGGTGAATAGGAGGATGAGAGGAAATGACCGGGCTGTGTGATGTCTGGATAGGTAAACAATAGGAAATGTAGAAAAGGATTTGGGGCTGGGCATGATGATTCACAACTGTAATCTGGTACTTTGGGAGGCTGAGGCAGGAAGATCACTTGAACTTAGGAGTTCAAGATCAGCCTGGGCAACATAGGGAGACCCCATCTCTATAAAAAAATTTTTTTAAAATTTGCCAGGCATGATGGTGCACCTGCAGTTCTAGCAACTTGGGAGGCTGAGGCAGGAGGAAGGCTTGAGCTCAGGAGGTTGAGGCTGCAGTGAGCCATGATCATGCCACTGTACTCCAGCCTAGGCAACAGAGAGAGTGAGCCTGCCTAAAAATAAATAAATAAAAATACATACATACATACATACATACATACATACATACATACATACATACATAAAAAGGATTTGGAGTGTATTGCAGGGAAGAGTTCTCCAAGGTTCAATCCTGTGGAATAGGTATCATTGGACCCAGCTTCTCTTCACTTGCTAATTCCTTGTTTTTAACTCGGGACATGGTATGAAATTTCAGTTTCACTTGTTAATTTTATTTGTCCTCCCACGCTCAGCTTCAAAGCCACTTTCACAGTGAAACCTCAGGGTTGCAGCAGGCTACCTGTCCCCCTACTTTCCTTCCCATAGCTCCCTGCATGCCCCACTGTTATCCTCATCATATCTGTGGTCCTCATTGCAGGATCATTTCCCCAGGGCCATTGTAAGTCCTCCTAAGAGGAGAGTCCACATCTGCATTGCTCATGCCAACATGTGGTAGGCTTTAAGTATATTGTAGTTGAATAGATGAGGAAACAGAGAGGTTGAGTAACTTGCCTAAGGTCACAAAGCTAGAAAAACGGCTGAGCTGACACGTGAGTTCAGTCTACCTGACTCCATAGCTGTATCTAGCTCCAAAGCTTGTGCTCTGAATCACACCTGTATTGTGGCTCCCAAAAGAAAAAGCAGATGATGAATAGCAAGTTTGTATCCTGTAAACACTAACAAATTTGGTGTTTGGTTTCAAGAAAATGAATTCCTGTTGTTAGTACCTTGTTTATCCAGTCTAGAGAAGATAGCTTCTCCTCTGTCCTGGAAATATTCACTCCATCAGCTCAAAGTGTTCTCTGCGGACCCAGGTGTGCAGCATCTGGGGGAGAAGAGAAGAGAGAGGTTGGGCTCCAGTATAGGGGGGATGCAGTTCTAAAGGCTTCTTGCAAAGTATGGTCAGCCCTGCCAGTCGGCTCCCAGGATTACTCACCTGGTGTGGAAACTCAGATGAGAGCTGGGGGGGAGACTTGAAAATGCCAGAAGCATATAGTGTGAAATGGGCCTGAGAGCCTTCTCTCTTTCATCTCAAATTCCTGTTGCAAGCAGGAGCCAGTAGAAGGAGCGCTGGTGGGAGTCTGAAGACTTGGTCTCAGCCTGTAACACACTGTGTTACCTTGAGCAAGTGTCTTGCCCTCTCTGAGCCCAATTCCTGTCAGCATCATGAGGGAGTCGGACTAGATGATTCCTAAGAGTCCTTCCCATCTGACACCCTGATACCCTTCTGAAATCCCAGGGCTGACACTACTGCTACCCCTCACACAACCACCGTGTGGCAGGCATCACCTGAGAGCTTGTCAGAACTGCAGACCTGGCTGGGCGTGGTGGCTCACGCCTATAATCCCAGCATTTTGGGAGGTTGAGGCGAGTGAATCACTTGAGGCCAAGAGTTCGAGACCAGCCTGGCCAACATGGTGAAACCCTGTCTCTATTAAAACTACAAAAATTAGCCGGGCATGGTGGCACATACCTGTAGTCCCAGCTACTAAAGAAACAGAGGCAGGAGGATCACTTGAACCTGGGAGATTGCAGTGAGCCGAGATCACATCATTGCACTCCAGCCTAGGTGACAGAGTGAGACCCTGTCCCAAAACAAACAAGCAAACAAAACCCTGCAGACCCACAGAATCAGAATCCTCATTTTTAATAAGATCCCTAGGTAATGCATGTACACATTCAAGTGTGAGAAGCGCCCAGTCACCACTTCCTTCCCCTTCCTTTGGGTTGTGCCAAGCTGCCGTCACCAGGCCTGTCAGAGAGAGGGCCTGCTCAGGTGATAGTGATGGAGCCTGGCACATCACAGGTACCCAGTACAGATTTCTTGAATGTGTGGGGTAGGTATTTGTGGAAAGAAAGAAGTGGAATTGACTTTACCTGGCACCTTTTATGGATGGTGGAGCATGGAGTCGGGCAAGCCCAGATTCCAATCCTAGATCCACAGTGCCCTATCTCTGGGGTCTTAGGCAAGCCATTTCTCTGAGCCTCACTTTCCTCCCCTGGGAAGTGGGAATAATTGATAATAATAATAGGATTGACTACAGAGGGTTGCGGTCAGACTTAAATGAGTTAATACATGAGAAGCTTAGAACAGTGCCTGGCAGATAGTAAACTCTCAATAAATGTTGGCCACTACTTTACTACTGGGGCCATTATGACCCCTCCTCATCCCCATGCCCACATAGCGCCCTCCCCCCCTACTGTCCCAACCCCCTCCCTGGAAATGCAGTTCCCTGAGGACAGACTCCTGATGTGAGCCCTAGGGAGTAATATCACCTGTACTGAGAGCCACTGCTAGAGCAGGACTGACCAATAGAAATATAACAAGAGTGACAAATGTGATTTTTCAATTTAGGAAATTTCAAAGTAGCCACATTTTTAAAAAGTGAAACTAGGCTGAGTGCGGTAGCTCACGCCTGTAATCCCAGGCACTTTGGGAGGCCGAGGCGGACGGATCACCTGAGGTCAGGATTTGGAGACCAGCCTAGCCAACATGGTGAAACCCTGTCTCTACTAAAAATACAAAAATTAGCCAGGCATGCTGGTGGTGCGCACCTGTAATTTCAGCTACCCAGGAGGCTGAGGCAGGAGAATTGCTTGAACCAGAGAGGAAGAGGTTGCAGTCAGCTGAGATTGTGCCACTTCACTCCAGCCTGGGTGACAGAGCAAGACTGTCTCAAAAAAAAAAAAAAAAAAGTGAAAATTTTATATATTCTATTAACCTACTACACCCAAAATATTACCATTTCAACATGTAACTAATACATTTATTAGTGAGATATTTTATATTCTTTTTTTACATTCTTTTTTTGAACCAGGTACATCTCAGGGGCTACATTTCAAGTGCCCAATGGCCACACATGGCCAATAGTGGCTATTTTATTTCTGAACTTTGGCTCTCAATCCCAGCTGTGCCATATATTACCTGTGTGGCTGGGAGCCAGTCATTTTACCTCTCTGGACCTCAGTTTCTTCGTCTGTAAAATGGGTGCACTAATTCATTTCCCCCACCCCCAGTTAGTAATGATAGGAGCAGTTGGTGATTTTTCTTTTCTTTTCTTTTCTTTTGAGACACCATGCCTGGCTAATTTTTTTTTTCTTTCTTTCTTTTTTTTTTCTTTTGAGATGGGGTTTCGCTCTTGTTGCCCAGGCTAGAGTGCAATGGCATGATCTCGGCTCACTGCAACCTCCGCCTCCTGGGTTCAAGCGATTTTCCTGCCCCAGCCTCCCAAGTAGCTGGGATTACAGGCATGTGCCTCCATGCCCAGCTACTTTTGTATTTTTATTAGAGACAGGGTTTCACCATGTTGGTCAGGCTGGTCTCAAACTCCTGATCTCAGGTGTTCCACCCGCCTCGACCTCCCAAAGTGATGGGATTACAGGCGTGAGCCATCATGCCCAGCCACCTGGCTAATTTTTGTATTTTTTGTAGAGATGGGCTTTTGCCATGTTGCCCAGGCTGGTCTTGAACTCCTGGGCTCAAGCAATCTGCCCACCTCCATCTCCGAAAGTGCTGGGATTCAGGCATGAGCCACCGTGCCTGGCCAGATGGTAAGAATTTAAAACCTCTTTACCCACTTTCCCACAGCATGGGCGAATATAGTGAGTTGTTAACTTCAAAGGCTCTTGCAGGCCGGGTGCAGTGGCTCACGCCTATAATCCCAGCACTTTGGGAGGCCAAGGTGGGCGGATCACCTGAGGTCAAGAGTTCGAGACCAGCCTGACCAACATGGTGAAACCCTGTCTCTACTAAAAACATACAAAATTTAGCAAGGTGTGGTGGTGCATGGTGTAATCCCAGTTACTCAGGAGGCTAAGGCAGGAGAATTGCTTGACCCTGGTGGGCGGAGGTTGCAGTGAGCTGAGATCGCACCACTGTACTCCAGTCTTGGTGACAGAGCAAGACTCCGCCTCAAAAAAAAAAAAAAAAAAAAGAGGCTCTTGCCTTTTAACAGTGTGTTTGGTTGTTTGAGGTGGTCTCTTGCCTGTTGAAGACTTGTAGAGATCCAGTGCAAGGCTGAAAGCAGGAAGGCACTGGGGGCCTCTTATTTCCCTAAGCATTGCAAAGGCCTTGAAAACAGGTTTCACCTGTCTTTGACTTTTTTAAGGTAGCCAAATTGTCAGTGATGAAGATAACTAGGTATCATCCAGGCCAGTGGTTTTTCTTCTTGGTTTTACCTTAGAAGCACTTGAGAAGTTTTCAAAAATCAGTGCCTGGGCTCTGCCCCCTGGAGGGTGAGGCCTAGATATCTGTTGTTGTTTTTAACAGATTTTTTTTTTTTCTTGAGATGGAGTCTCATTCTGTTACCGAGGCTGGAGTGCAGTAGCACGATCTCAGCTCACTGCAACCTCTGCCTCCTGGGTTCAAGCGATTCTCCTGCCTCAGCCTCCTGACTAGCAGGGACTACAGGCACGTACCACCACACACCACACCCAGATAATTTTTGTATTTTTTTTTAGTAGAGACGGGGTTTCTCCATGTTGGCCAGCTGGTCTCGAACTCCTGACCTCAAGTGATCTGCCTGCCTTGGCCTCCCAATGTCCTGAGATTACAGATGTGAGCCACTGTGCCCGGCCTGACTTGTATTTTTAAAGCTCTTCAAGGTAGGTGATTCTGATGCTCACCAAGAGAATCTCTGATCTGGTCCAACTACCTCATTTTCAAGTTGGAGAAACTGAGGCTCGGAGGAGGAACTGACTTATCTTAGGTCACACAGAAAGTTCGCAGCAAAGCCAAGCTAAAGCCCAGGGCCTCTGCCTCTCAGGCGTGTGCTCTGTTCTCAGGGCCCATTCCCCACCAGTTCCTGGAGCCTTTCATAGACAGGTATGGATCCCTTGCTCTGGGCCAGGCGTCAGGGCTATAGGGGTGAATGAGACACTCAAGGAGCTCCTGTTACTGTGTCAGAGTCAGTCTAATATGGTGAGAGCTAGGGTGGCAGGCTCTCAGGAAAGGGGTACCTGAGCCAAGCCGGGCTTGGGGGGAGGTTAGGGAAGGCTTCCTGGGGAGACACCAGAGCCTAGCTCTGAAGGGTGACTTGGAATTAGGTAGCCAGGGGACTGAAGAAAGGACATTTTCCAGTCAGAGGACACAGCAGGGACAAAGGATCAGCAGGAAACAGCACCGGAGCCTGGGGTATGGCAGGAGGGTACTGGCAGAAGAACAGGCAGGTCTGTGCTGCTGGAGTATGCAGTTCACAGCCAGCTATGCTGGGAGATGGGGCTGGAGATGGAAGGAAACACCAGTTCATGAAGAGTCTCTTAAACCAAGCTGTGAAGCCTGGGCTTAATCCCAGGTGCAGTGGGAGCCACTGGAGGATTTTAAGGGAGTGACCTGGTCAGACTGTTAGTTGAAAGGAAGATTCTGGGCCCGGCGCGTTGGCTCACGCCCGTAATCCCAGCACTTTGGGAGGCCGAGGTGGGTGGATCACGAGGTCAGGAGATCGAAACCACGGTGAAACCCCGTCTCTACTAAAAATACAAAAAAATTAGCTGGGTATGGTGGTGGGCATCTGTAGTCCCAGCTACTCGGGAGGCTGAGGCAGGAGAATGGCGTGAACCCAGGAGGCGGAGCTTGCAGTGAGCCGAGATCGCACCACTGCACTGCAGCCTGGGTGACGGAACGAGACTCCATCTCAAAAAAAAAAGAAAGGAAGGAAGATTCTGGGTGGGATATGGTTAGAGAATGGAGAGGAGCCAGGGGTAGAGGCTGGGAGACCATTGAAGCCAAGAAGGATGGTTTCACTCTCCTGAAACAGAACAGTGGCAGTGGGAGTGGAGGGGGAGAGAAGAGTCAAGGCACAGTTAGGTGTGGGCAGTAGAATGGACAGAATCAAGTCATTCAATGAATGGAGAGGCCAGGTGCAGTGGCACACGCCTGTAATCCCAACACTTTGGGAGGCTGAGGAGGGTGGGTCACCTGAGGTCAGGAGTTCGAGACCAGCCTGACCAACTGATGAAACCCCATCTCTACTAAAAATACAAAACTAGCTGGACCTGGTGGCGCATGCCTGTAATCCCAGCTACTCGGGAGGCTGAGGCAGGAGAATCACTTGAACCCGGGAGGCGGAAGTTGCAATGAGCTAAGATAGCGCCATTGCACTCCAGCCTGGGCAACAAGAGTGAAACTGTCTCAAAAACAAAACAAAAACACACACTTAATGAATGAAGGGACTTTATCAATTGGCATTGCTGTGTAACAAGCTACCCTCAAACTCAGTGAATTAAAACAACAGCATTTATTACTACAAATCATGTATTTGGAGGTTGGCTGATTTAATCTGAACTTGGCTGAGTACTTTTTTTTCCCATAGGTTATTGGGGTACAGGTGGTATTTGGTTACATGAATAAGTTCTTTAGAGGTGATTCGTCAGATTTTGGTGCACCCATCACCTAAGCAGCACACACTGCACCCTATTCGTAGTCTTTTATCCCTTTCCCCCTCCCACCCTTCCCCCCAAGTCCCCGAAGTCCATTGTATCATTCTTATGCCTTTGCATCCTCATTGTTTAGTTCCCACATATCAGTGAGAACATACAATGTTTGGTTTTCCATTCCTGAGTTACTTCACTTAGAATATAATAGTCTCCAGTTTCATCCAGGTAGTTGCAAATGCTGTTAATTCAGTCCTTTTTATGACTGGATAGTATTCCATCATATAAATCACAGTTTCTTTATCTACTTGTTGATTGATGGGCATTTGGGTTGGTTCTATGATTTTGCAGTTGCGAATTGTGCTGCTATAAACATGCATGTGCAAGTATCTTTTTTGTATAATGACTTCTTTTCCTCTGGATAGATACCCTTGGCTGGGCATTTCTGCTGATCTTAGCTGGGCTCGCACATGTGTCTGCTGGTTGTGTGAGAGGCTCTGTTCTAGGCCGGGTTTGGCTGGAACAGCTCTGCTCCACGTCCTTGTCTCTCCCTGCAGGGACCAGTGCGCATAGCCCAGGGATGGCAATGACAGAGTGCAAGCAGAAACATGCACAGCCTCTAGAGGACTACATTTGGCACTGGCTTACTGTCACTTCTGCCTCATTCTGTTGGCCATAGCGAGTCCATGCTGAACCCAGAATCAAGGGACAAAAAAAATACTCCTTTTGATGGGGGCAGGGAGAGGTGGCACAGGGCAGTAGAAGCATTGAGCTGAGCTGAGAGGGACACTAAACTGCCATGTGATCTTGGGCAAGTCACCTACCTGTCACTCATGTGACAGTCATGTGACATTGGTGCTGTTATTGTTCGCATTTTCCACATGAAAAAAATGAGTGTGGCCGGGCATGGTGGCTCATGCCTGTAATCCCAGCACTTTGGGAGGCCGAGGCGGGTGGATCACGAGGTCAGGAGATCGAGACCATCCTGGCTAACACGGTGAAACCCCGTCTCTACTAAAAAATACAAAAATTATCCAGGCGTGGTGGCCAGTGCCTGTAGTCCCAGCTACTCGGGAGGCTGAGGCAGGAGAATGGCGTGAACCTGGGAGGCGGAGCTTGCAGTGAGCCGAGATTGTGCCACTGCACTCCAGCCTGGGTGACAGAGTGAGACTCCGTCTCAAAAAAAAAAAAAGAGACTGGGTAACTTATAAAGAAAGAGGCTGAATTGACTCACAGTTCCACATGGCTGCGGAGGCCTCACAATCATGGTGAAAGGCGAAGGAGGAGCAAAGTCATGTCTTACATGGCAGTAGGCAAGCGCTAATTTTTTTTAACATTTTTTTCTAGAGACGGTCTCCCTGTATTGCCCAGGCTGATCTCAAACTCCTAACCTCAAGCAGTCCTTCTGCCTTGGCCTCCCAAAGTGCTGGGATTATAGGTATGAGCCACTGTGCCTGGCCCCGTTCTACTGTAGATGTTTGTTTAGGTAGTTTGCAATTTGGGGTTGTTATGAATAGTGCTGCTGTGAACAATTCTTGCATGTATCTTTTGGTGGACGTACACACATGTTTTTCTTGGATGTACAGCTAGGAATGGAAGTACTGGGCTGGAAGTTTGGTGACTTTTTATTTTCTATGTTTCACAGAGGTTTTTGTTTGTTTGTTTTAAGACAGGGGCTCACTCTGTTGCCCAGGCTAGAGTGCAGTGGTACCATCATAGCTCACTGTAACCTCAAACTCTTGGGCTCAAGCAGTTCTCCCACCTCAGCCTCCCAAGTAGCTAAGACTACAGATGCATGCCACCATGCCTGGCTAATTGTTAAATATTTTGGAGAGATGAGGTCTCGCTATGTTGCTCATGCTGGTCTCAAACTCCTGGCCTCAAGTGATCTCACTTCATCCTCCCAAAGCACTGGGATTACAGGCGTGAGCCACCATGCCCTGCTCATTTTCCAGATTTTATGATTAGAGAAACTGAGGTGCAAGACTGATTTGCTTACACCTCAAGACAGTGATTAGATTTTAAAACTGGCACTCAGATACAGGTAGAAAGAGAGAGCATGAGATGGGGGAGATGCATACACGTACACACACACCCATACCCATGTTAAAACTTTCCAGATTTGGCCGGGCGCGGTGGCTGATGCCTGTAATCCCAGCACTTTGGGAAGCCGAGGTGGGGGATCACCTGAGGTCAGTAGTTCGAGACCAGCCTGGCCAACATTGTGAAACCCCATCCCTACTAAAAATAAAAAAATTAGCCAGGCGTGGTGGCCGGCTACTCCGGAGGCTGAGACAGGAGAATCGCCTGAACCTGGGAGGCGGAGGTAGCATTGAGCCGAGATTGCCCCACTGCACACCAGCCTTGGTGACAGAGTGAGACTCTGTCTCAAAAAAAAAAGAAGAAAGAAACTTTCCAGATTCTTCCCACATGTATTCTATCCAATCCTCATTATATCTCTGGGAGGTAGACTTGATACCCTGATTTTTGCAGAGGAGAAAACTGAGGCTGTAGGAGGTCCCATGCAGGAGAGAGAATGAGATGAAATAACACCTGTGGGTGCATTTTGTAAAATATAAAGCCCTGTCCTGATTTGTGCAGAGTGATTTCTCCATCCAGAGCTCACTCATCTGTGTACACAGCTTCTACAGAAAGAACAGCCACAAATTACTGTGTGGGGGATGTATTCTACTGCAACAAATCTTTTTATCACAGAGCCTTATTTTTTTCTTCCAAAAAGATGAGACTGGCTTCTAAGGACACATTAAACCCATACATCCTTTTTGTTCCTGGCAAGGTTTTATGACTCACTTAGTTAAAGAGCCCTCAGAAAGTGGAGGCAACAGATCTTCCTGCAGGCTGAATGAGCCCTGGATAGGAAGCTTTTGTAAGAGGCCAGCTTTTGCTTTTGTAAGAGGCCAGCTTTTGCTGGCCAGGTGCGGTGGCTCATGCATGTAACCCCAGCACTTTGGGAGGCTCAGACGGGCAGATCCCTTGAGGCCAGGAGTACGAAACCAGCCTGGCCAACATGGTGAAACCCCCTACTAAAAATAGAAAAATTAGTCGGTTGTGGTGGTGCATGCCTGTAATCTCAGCTACACAGGAGGCTGAGGCAGGAGAATAGGTTGAACCTGGGAGGCAAAGGTTGCAGTGAGCTGAGATTGGGTCACTACACTCCAGCCTGGGCAACAGAGTGAGACTCTGTCTCAAAAAACAAACAAACAAACAAAACAACAACAACAACAACAAAAAACCACGAAAAATAAAACAAAAATTAAAAAAACACCTGCTGTGTGCCAGCCACTGTGCTAGGCATGTTCTCCCTACTTCATTGAAGCCGCATCACAATTCTGGGTGAAAGATGTCATTATCCCAATTTACAGATGAGGAAGAAGGGCCCAGGAGGTGAAAGGACTTGGACCCCACAGTAGGGATTGGTTGGTGGGAAGGAACCAAAAGTCCCCTGTCTTGGCTGGGCACAGTGGCTCAGCCTCTAATCCCAGCACTTTGGGAGGCTGAGGCAGGAGGATCACTTGAGCCCAGGAGTTCCATACCAGCCTGGGCAACACAGGAAGACCCCATCTCTACAAAAAAATATTGAAAATTTGCTGGGCATGGTGGCTTGTGTCTGTAGTCCCAGCTACTTGGAGGGCTGAGGTGGAAGGATCACTTGAACCTGGGAGATCGAGGCTGCAGTGAGAGCCATGATCATGCCACTGCACTCCAACCTGGACAACAGAGGAAGTCCCTGCCTCTTAAAATGAAAAAGAAGAAGAAGAAAGTTCCTTGTCTTACTACCATTTCTCAGAGGCTGCTGTGTCCGTGTAAACTGGCTCAGCTGGGAAAACATGAGTTGGTACAAATGAGGTTTCCTGGATAGAAGGTCGCTCATGGACATACAGGGATGGGAAGGAGTATTCCCTGGCCTGGAAGCCTCCTTCATTCTCCTCTCCCAGGACAGGTGGTTCCTCTCCCTCAGCTTCTTTCTCTGCTCCATTCTCCTGCCCCTCTCTACAGACCTGCTTTTTGTTTACCTTTGGCTTTTCTATTCCCCCAAAACCTTCCTTGGCTTTGGTAAAGGCTGCAGCCTGACTCCAGCCTCAGGACCCTTGGCCTGCAGATTTATCTTCCCCCATCTTCTATCCAGCCCAGCTCCCCATGGTCTCCATTCTAAATTCCCAAGAGAGAATCTGATTGGCTCATTTTGGGTCACATGTCCACCCTGGTCCAATCAGCTGTGATCAAAAGTGGTCTCTGGAACAGGCTGGGATTGGGTCATAAGTCTGTCTGTCTGCTTTTCTCTTTCCACCCCTCTTCAGAGATGCCAGAGCTGGGAGAGGCATGGTGTGGCTGGAGTCCATGTGATCTGGACTTCAGGGGAGATGCTGTGGCCTGGAGGTGGAGGTGGGGGCCGAGAAAGGTCCTTGCTTCTGCTGCTGCTGTCATGGCCCCTGGGAAAATGGGTGGGCAGGGAGGAAGCTCCTTGGTATGTCTGGGTTTCTGACAATGGCAGACATCTCTCACCAAAACGGGCAGTGATACTTTGTTTCTGGTGAGGGAAGTGATGTTGTTGCCTGGAGACCTGAATTTGGTTGGATGCACCATAGAGAACCAGAGAAGTCACATTTGTGGTCACCATTTTATTACAAGGCCAGGCACGGTGGCTCAGGTCTATAATCCCAACAGTTTGGGAGGCCAAGGTGAAAGGATCACTTGAGGCCAGGAATTTGAGACCAGCCTGGGCGACACAGGGAGACCCTATCCATAAATAAATAAATAAATAAACAAACAAAAAGAAACCATTGACTATATTGAGCGTTTGGTTTCCATGATATTGACAGTTCTCCCCAAACTCCTGTGAGATTTGGATTATCATCTCCATCACTGAGGCTGTGCAGGCTCAGAGAGGTGAAGTGATTTGCCCAGTGGCCACAGCAAGAAAGCGAAGCAGTAGGAATTGGGAGCTGAGAATGCCTGCTCTTAGCCACTGTATTCCTTCTTTGTTAGCATCATGACAATTGTTCAGGACTCCACTGTTTACAACACAACACATACATGATCTTGCTGGCGCTACTCAATACTCCTTTCGGACAGCAGAGCCAGGCTTTTGTTCCCATTTCACCAAGGAAGTAACTAAGGGTCAAAGAGACTGTGCTTTGCCCATGGTTACCCAGCTGGTCAGTGGCAGAGCTGGGACCAGAGTGCAGATCTTCTGCACTAAAAATTATCAATAGGTATTAATGTATCAATATATTATTGCTGGTGATAGGGTTCTTTTTCATAATATACAAAATAGATTGAGAAAAATTACATATACTACCGAGCACGGTGGCTCATGCCTGTAATCCCAGCACTTTGGGAGGCTGAGGTGGGCAGATCACCTGAGGTCAGGAACTCAACACCAGCCTGGCCAACATGGTGAAACCCCATCTTTACTAAAAATACAAAGATTAGCCAGGCATGGTGGTACGTGCTTGTAGTCCCAGCTACTCAGGAGGCTGAGGTGGGAGGATCACTTGAACCCGGAAGGCGGAGGCTGCAGTGAGCGAAGATTTGCATCACTGCATTCCAGGCTGGGTGACAGAGGAAGACTCCTTCCCCGCCAAGAAAAAGAAAGAAAGAAAGAAAAATCACAAATACATCATTCCCTACAAAGCAGTACAAACACACACACACGAATAACAATTAATATTAATGTACTCACCACCTACTTAAAAAATACAACATCAGGCTGGGCATGGTGGCTGATGCCTATAATCCCAACTTTGGGAGGCCAAGTTGGGAGGATCACTTGAGCCCAGAAGTTCAAGGCTGCAGTGAGCTATGACTGTGCCACTATATCTGGGTGACAGAGCAAGACCCTCTCTCTAAAAAAAAAAAAAAAAAAAAAAAAAAAAAAAAAAAAAAGACCACACATGGCGGCTCACACCTGTAATCCCAGCACTTTAGAAGGCCAAGGTGGGAGAATTGCTTGAGTCCAGGAGTTTGAAGACAAGCCTGGACAACATAGGGAGACCCCACCTCTACAAAAAAATTTAAAAATCACTTGGGAGTGGTAGTGTGTATCTGTGGTCCCAGCTACTCAGGAGGCTGAGGTGGGAGGATCACTTAAGCCCAGGAGGTCAAGACTGCAGTGAGCTGTGATCATGCCCCTGCACTCCAGCCTAGGTGACAGAGTGAGACCCTTTCTCAAAAAGGCCCGGCATGGTGGCTCACGCCTATAATCCCAGCACTTTGGGAGGCCAAGGCAGGCTGGCCAACATGGCGAAACCCCATCTCTACTAAAAAAAAATACAAAAATTAGCCGGGCATGGTGGTACACACCTGTAATCCCAGCTACTTGGGATGCTGAGGCAGGAGAATCGCTTAAACCTGGGAGGTGGAGGTTGCAGTGAGCCGAGATCGTGAAAAGAACATAATTGAAACTTTTAAAACCCTTTATGATTATATTCCTTCTTCCTTTTCCCTCCAGGAGTAACCACTATCCTGAATTTTATATTTATAATTTCTTTGCTTTTCCTTATGGTTTTGCCACATATATTTATCTCCCTAACAGTTTGTTTCTTCTTGCGTGTTTTTGACTTTGGCACTCTGCCTTGTTTGTGACAATCACCATTTTGGTATGTGTAGCTGTGGTTTACTCTGTTTTGCTTCTCTGTAGCCCTCCATCATAGGAATACGCCATATGCTACCATTCTGCTGTTGATGGACGTTTGGTTGTTTTTAGTTGTTTGCTATTTCATGCTACTAGGACCATTCTTGTTGCTGTCTTCTAGTGAACACAGAAGAGTTTCTCTGCCATGCATACCCAGCAGCGGAATTGCTGAATCATGAGGTAGTCATCACATCTTTAGTTTTATGAAATAATACCACATTGTTTGCTTATGAAGTTTCTCCAATTTTTACTCTACTAGTGGTAGAAAATTGCTCTACACTTTTTTTTTTTTTTTTTTTTTTGAGACGGAGTCTCGCTCCATCACCCAGGCTGGAGTGCAGTGGCGCGATCTCGGCTCACTGCAAGCTCCGCCTCCTGGGTTCACGCCATTCTCCTGCCTCAGCCTCCCGAGTAGCTGGGACTACAGGCGCCCACCACTGTGCCCGGCTAATTTTTTTTTTTTTGTATTTTTAGTAGAGACGGGGTTTCACCGTGGTCTTGATCTCCTGACCTCATGATCCTCCTGCCTTGGCCTCCCAAAGTGCTGGGATTACAGGCGTGAGCCATTGCGCCCGGCCCACACTTTTTTTTTTTTTTTAAGAGACAGGATCTCACTGTGCTGCCCAGGCTGATCTTGAACTCCTGGGCTCAAGCAGTCCTCCTGCCTCAGTCTCCCAAGCTCCACACTCTTATTAACTGACATGACATGATCAGATTTAAAATGTTGTACTTTTCTACTAGGTGAAAATGGTATCTTCTTGTCATTTTAATTTTTCTTTCTTTTTTCTTTTGTTTAAAATAGATAGTCTTGCTATGTTGCCCAGGCTGGTCTTGAACTCCTGGGCCCAAGTGATCCTCCCACCTGGGCCTCCCAAAGTGTTGGGATTACTGGCATACGCCACCACACCCAGCCTTCATTGTCATTTTAATTTTTTTTTTTTTTTTTTAGGTAGAGTCTTGCTCTGTCGCCCAGGCTGGAGTGCAATGGTGCAATCTTGGCTCACTGCAACCTCTGCCTCACGGATTCGAGTGATTCTCCTGCCTCAGCCTCCCGAGTAGCTGGGTGCCCACCACCATGCCCAGCTAATTTTTGCATTTTAGTAGAGATGGGGTTTCACCATGTTGGCCAGGCTGGTCTCGACCTCCTGACCTCAGGTGATCCACACGCCTCAGCCTCCCAAAGTGCTGGGATTACAGGTGTGAGCCACCACGCCTGGCCTGTATTTTTTATTTTATTATTTGAAGTGTGACGGGAAAGAGACAGTTGCTTATAGAGCTACAGTCCATGTCTCCAAAGGTAGCTAGATTATGAGAAATTCTCCTACCTTTGTTCACAATGGGGAAGGATAGCAGGCAGGAGGGGAGATAGCCTCTCAATTGTGTTACTTCTTGCAAAGCTACAGCCTAGCCTTCCTAACCAAGTCTGTCTGCTCCTGTCCCTGTGTCCCTGTCCCTTTTCCCAAGATGTTGCTGAGGGCTGGAGGGCTTACACACACACCAGCCCCTTGAGCCTTTCTGAACCCACGCCTTTCACTGAAATTAGGTCACTGGAATGCTTGGAACTCAAGGAGTGACCGCATGAGTTTGTGGGGCAGGCACACCAGGCTTCCTTGGGAAATGACGCACCTCAGTCACCCAGACTGTCTGCAGGGAAGAAAGTTTCAAACGAGCCAACCAGAGTTCACATTTTCCATATGAACCAAAATGGGAGCAAAACTTCAGCCGGAGGCTTTTGGGGTGGAGCCTGGGGCGAGTGGGGGCAGGAGGGGGTCATCACACCAGCTATACACGCGTGCCTTAAGGCTTTTCATCCTCAACTGAGGCAATGTAGGCAAGGGTAGAAATTTCTTGAGAGCTCTGGACCTGGTTTTTCCACTTCCAGCCAGGTGGCCTTGGGCAGGTGACATCACCTCTCTGAGCATTGGTCGGGTCATTATAAGTTGGGAGCCACGTTGCCCACTTTACAGGTTGGATGACTCTTAGCCCCAAAGCTAGCTCAGTGCCTGAAATATAGCAAGAGCTCTTCAAAAGATATTGTTATAATATCCTTTAAACTGTAATATATGTTTTGGAGTTGGTGGCTTAGGATTGGTTTTCTTAAACTGAGGCTTTCCCCTCTCCTCCAGGCAGATTTTTTTTTAATGAAGCACCCACAAATTTGGGGAGTGGGAGGGAAAATACTGCATTGCAGGTTTAGCTGCTGCTCCTTCTTTTTTTTTTTTTTTGGCAGAGTTTCACTCTGGTTGCCCAGGCTAGAGTATAATGGCACGATCTTGACTCACTGCAACCTCCACCTCCTGGGTTCAAGCAATTCCCCTGCCTCAGCCTCCCGAGTAGCTGGGATTACAGGCATGCACCACCACGCATGGCTAATTTTGTTTTTTTAGTAGAGACGGGGTATCTCCATGTTGGTCAGGCTGGTCTCGAACTCCCGACCTCAGGTGATCCACCCACCTCGGCCTCCCAAAGTGCTGGGATTACAGTCAAGAGCCACCGCACCCAGCTGGTGATTGATTTTTAAAACGTTAAGAAGCTAAAGCCGCTCACACCTGTAATCCCAGCACTTTGGGAGGTCAAGGCTGGAGGATCGCTTAAGTCCAGGAGTTTGAGACCAGCCGTGGCAACATAGCAAGACCCTGCCTCTGTGAAAACAAACAAACAAATAAAAAACAATTAGCTGGGCACGGTGGTGTGCACCTGTAATTCCAGCTACTTGGGAGGCTAAGGTTGGAGGGTCACTTGATCCAGGAGGTCGAGGCTGCAGTGAGCTGTGGTCATGCCACCGCACTCTAGCCTGGGGGACAGAGCTAGATCCTATCTCAAAATGAATAAATAAACAAATGATTTTTAAAATTACTGGTTTATTATATAGGATTCAAATGAACAACCAGAAGAAAAGGTACATAGGACAAGGTCTGAAAAAGCTTCAAGGGGCCAGCCACAGTAGTTCATGCCTGTAATCCCAGCACTTTGGGCGGCCGAGGCAGCGGATCATGAGGTCAGGAGTTTGAGACCAGACTGGCCAACATGGTGAAACCCCATCTCTACTAAAAATACAAAAATTAGTTGGGCGTGATGGCATGTGCCTGTAGTCCCAGCTACTTGGGAGACTGAGGCAGGACAATCGCTTGAACCCAGGAGGCAGAGGTTGCAGTGAGCCGAGATTGCGTCACTGCACTCTAGCCTGGCAACAGAGCGAGACTCTGTCTCAAAAAAAAAAAAATTATTCATGCTCACTATAGGACATTTGGAAAATTCAAATGAGTAGAAAAAGGGCCACCCCCCCCCATACTTTGTAGAGAAATACATTGTAACAATTTGGTTTCTTTCCTGATGGCCTTTATCGTTCCCTGTGTACAGTTTTATTTTGTTTCCATTGTTGCTAAATAAATAAAATGATGCTTTCTGATTCACAACTTACAGAGCTGATTTCATGTACTTCTAACAAGCTTGTGATGATTCCAAAAGCTACGACTCTTTGTCCCCTCTGGGAATTGCATGGGTGGGGCACATCACCCTCCCTGTATTCTGATACTTTTTAGAATGCCAGTTTCACAGCACCATGGCCAGCTTTAAGTAGTATCTTTTTAATCATATAGTTCATTTCAGGCTTCCACATTGTCCTTCTAGAACCTAACTCTATTTTTTTTCTTTTTTAAATCCCAGATCTTCTGAATGTGTCCCTGCTCTGTGAGCCCACAGTGATCTGTTTGTTTTGCCTGGTCCCAGCTTATGCATTCTTCGAGTCTTGGTAACCAGGATGTTTTGTCTGTTCAGGCTCTAAAACGATCAGTGGGATAGGAACCGAAGTTAAGTAGCTCAGGATGCGTCAAGATGAACCTGGGAAAACCGCGAGCTGCTGTGCTGACTGGACTGCTTCTCTGAATCGGCTGGAACTTCTTTTTGTGTCTAGTTTTAAAAGCTCCTCAGAAGCAACCCTAAATCCAGAATCGTTTCAATTACTGTGAGGGGAATTCTGAAGTTCTCATTAAACACACGAATGTCTCAAGCTTTGAAAAGAGCCAGATGCCAAAGGCAAGAATCCCAGGGCATTGCCCACCTGGGTGTGATCCCCTGATAATTGTCTAACAAATTCAGCATGTGTCCCCTGGGCATGACCATCTGCTGGGAAAAGTTCCAGGACCCTGAGACATCTTGGGATTCCTGTGGTTTAGGAAAGACCTTTAACTACCAGCTGGTAGTTGTCTCAGCATTCTTCAAATAGTCCGGTCTTGTTTAATATTATTATTATTATTGTTATTTAATTTTATTTTATTGCAACTGTACTTAGAGAATAGTCTGGTCTTGAGACCTTTTCACTGTGGTCTGTTCTGGTGTACGGCTCCCACCAGTGTGAAGCAGAAGGATGACTTTGCTCTGTTGTCAGGACAACCTTGAAGGAAGGAGCCAAATGTGTGGAGGTCTGTGGGAAGAGAGAGCCACCTAGCATGTCCCCACTGAACCAGTCAGCAGAAGGCCTTCCCCAGGAGGCCTCCAACAGATCCCTGAATGCCACAGAAACCTCAGAGGCTTGGGATCCCAGGACCCTCCAGGCGCTCAAGATCTCCCTTGCCGTGGTCCTTTCCGTCATCACACTGGCCACAGTCCTCTCCAATGCCTTTGTACTCACCACCATCTTACTCACCAGGAAGCTCCACACCCCTGCCAACTACCTGATTGGCTCCCTGGCCACCACCGACCTCTTGGTTTCCATCTTGGTAATGCCCATCAGCATCGCCTATACCATCACCCACACCTGGAACTTTGGCCAAATCTTGTGTGACATCTGGCTGTCCTCTGACATCACGTGCTGCACAGCCTCCATCCTGCATCTCTGTGTCATTGCTCTGGACAGGTACTGGGCAATCACAGATGCCCTGGAATACAGTAAACGCAGGACGGCTGGCCACGCGGCCACCATGATCGCCATTGTCTGGGCCATCTCCATCTGCATCTCCATCCCCCCGCTCTTCTGGCGGCAGGCCAAGGCCCAGGAGGAGATGTCGGACTGTCTGGTGAACACCTCTCAGATCTCCTACACCATCTACTCCACCTGTGGGGCCTTCTACATTCCCTCGGTGTTGCTCATCATCCTATATGGCCGGATCTACCGGGCTGCCCGGAACCGCATCCTGAATCCACCCTCACTCTATGGGAAGCGCTTCACCACGGCCCACCTCATCACAGGCTCTGCCGGGTCCTCGCTCTGCTCGCTCAACTCCAGCCTCCATGAGGGGCACTCGCACTCGGCTGGCTCCCCTCTCTTTTTCAACCACGTGAAAATCAAGCTTGCTGACAGTGCCCTGGAACGCAAGAGGATTTCTGCTGCTCGAGAAAGGAAAGCCACTAAAATCCTGGGCATCATTCTGGGGGCCTTTATCATCTGCTGGCTGCCCTTCTTCGTGGTGTCTCTGGTCCTCCCCATCTGCCGGGACTCCTGCTGGATCCACCCGGCGCTCTTTGACTTCTTCACCTGGCTAGGCTATTTAAACTCCCTCATCAATCCAATAATCTACACTGTGTTTAATGAAGAGTTTCGGCAAGCTTTTCAGAAAATTGTCCCTTTCCGGAAGGCCTCCTAGTCTTATTCGGTGATGACTCTTGTTATCTTTTGTGTCCTGTAACCTCATCGGGATTGTCTTTTTTTTTTTTAATTATTTTCTGAGACTTGGATTAATTCATGGTATCTTGAGTCTTGGTTCAATCAACAGAATTGTTCTTTTTCCTGTTGTTTTCTTAACTTCTGAAAGAGCTGTGGGTGGTGGGGGGCGGGGGGCAGGACTGAAGATTTCACTACTTAGCATAATATTTTCTTTCTTTTTTTTTTTTTTTGAGACGGAGTCTTGCCCTCTCGCCAGGCTGGAGTGTAGTGGCACAATCTCAGCTCACTGCAACCTCCGCATCCCGGGTTCAAGAGATTCTGCCTCAGCCTCCAGAGTAGCTGGGACTACAAACGTGTGTCACCAGGCCCAGCTAATTTTTGTATTTTTAATAAAGACGGGGTTTCATCATGTTGGCCAGGGTGGTCTCGATCTCTTGACCTCGTGATCCGCCCGCCTCAGCATCCCAAAGTGCTGGGATTACAGGCATGAGCCACTGTGCCTGGCCAACATAATGTTTTCACAGTTCCTCTTTGTTGGAAGAAGTGTGTGACCTACAAGATTCCTGGTTGATACAGTTCAGGTGAGAAACTGTTTGATTATAGAAAAGACCCCAGACTCAGAGGGAAGGCTCTCTGGTCTACCTGAGATCTATATGGAGCTTAAAGGAGGGTGAATAAGATTAATGACCTGAATTGAAAGAGAATTTGGAGCCAGGATGGGTCTCCATTCTGTGTGGCACCTTGATTGGAAAATAATATCCATGCGTTTCTTCCACTGAGTCTTTCTTAGATTAAATCTCTCCCAGTTGTCCGTGAAGAGAAAGACAGTATTTGCAGTGCCGATGATATAGAGTGACTTGGAGAGAGATTCAGAAGTTAGGGGTAGCGGGGGTAGGATGGTTGGGACCAGATTGACTACCCTGTACCCTTCCTTCTTCCCCAATATGCCTGCGCCATCTTCACATTCTGAAGTTGAAACCCATGATCACCCCTTTGAGGTAGATTGACCGGCTTTAGACGCCCACCCCCCACCCACCGCAAGCTTTGAGTGGGACACCATTCTGAATTTTTTTTCTGAATTTTTTTTTAACATCTCTTTCTCATTAGAGATCTGAAAACTCATTAGAGATGTTGAGTCTTATCAAATAAAAAGCATGAGACATCATGGCCAGTAATGTCTTTGGGTGATTTTTCCCCCTCTCCCTGGATGTAGAAACCATTCAACTCAATTCAGTCTCTAGCATTTGTTGAGCACCTACCACAGGCCAGGTCCCACGCTCCAGCCTTGGCACTTGTTATCTCCTATCAGGATGTGAGAAAGTAAGGATAGCATGATGATTAAGAGCTCAGTGGCCACCCTCAGTGGCTCATACCTATAATCCCAGCACTTTGGGAGGCTAAGGTGGGAGGATTGCTTGAGCCCAGGAGTTCAAGACCAGCATGGGAAACATGTCAAAACCCTGCCTCTACAAAAAAATACAAAAATTATCCAGACATGGTGGTGTGCACCTGTAGTACCAGCTGCTTGGGAGGCTGAGGTGGGAGGATTGCTTGAGCATGGGAGGTTGAGGCTGCAGTGTGCCATGATCATGTCACTGCACTCTGGCCTGGGTGACAGAGCAAGATCCTATCTCAAAAAGAAAAAAAAAAAAAAAGGCTCAGGACCTGATGCCTCAGCTCAAATCCGACTGCAGCCAGTTTCTCCTGGATGAACCTGGATAGGTTTCTTTCTTTTTCTTTCTTTCTTTCTTCTTTTTTTTTTTTTCAGACAGAGTTTTGCTCTTGTTGCCCAGGCTGGAGTGCAATGGCCTGATCTCGGCTCTCTGCAATCTCCACCCCCTGGGTTCAAGCGATTCTTCTGCCTCAGCCTCCCGAGTAGCTTGGATTACAGGCATGCACCACCATACCTGGCTAATTTTTGTATTTTTAGTAGAGATGGGGTTTCACCATGTTGGCCAGGCTGGTCTCGAACTCCTGACCTCAGGTGATCCACCCTCCTCAGCCTCCCAAAGTGCTGGGATTACAGGTGTGAGCCACCAAGCCCGGCCCTTTTCTTTTCTTTTTAAGACAAGGTCTCGCTCTGTTGCCCAGGCTGGAGTACAGTGGCACAATCGGGACTCACTGCAGCCTCGACCTCCCAGGCTCAGCCTTCTGAGTAGCTGGAACCACAGGCTCACACCACTATGACTGGCTAATTTTTAAAATTTTCGGTAGAGATGGGGATCTCACTATGTTGCCCAGGCTGGTTTCAAACTTCTGGGCTCAAGCAATTCTCCCACCTCGGCCTCCCAAAATGCTGGGAATACAGGCATGAGCCACCACACATGGCCTAGAAAAGTTTCTTTATCTCTCTTTGTCTCATTTTCAAATATACAACGGGGATAATAATAGATAAGTTACTGTATAAGTTACTACAGTGCTTGGCACAAGAGCTCTTAAACTGACCTACTCAACGTCAAACAGCAATATAAAAATAGTACCTATGATTTATTAAGTGCCTATAATGCTCCTTGCTTACACTTTCTCATTTACTTGTCATCTTGATTTTATAGATGAGGTAAAGAAACCTGCTTATGGGCTGGGCATGGTGGCTCATGCCTGTGATCCCAGCACTTTGGGAAGCTGAAGAGGAGGACTACTTGAGCTCAGGAGTTTGAGACCAGCCTGGGCAACATAGGGAGACCCCGTCTCTAACGACAACAACAGAAATTACCGGACATGGTGGAGCGCACCAGTAGTCCCAGCTACTCGAGAGGCTGTGGCTACAGTGAGCCCTGATCATGCCACTGCACTCCAGCCTAAGAGACAGAATGAGACCCTGTCTCAAAATAAAAAAAGAAAAGAAAAAAGAAAAATAAAAGAAACCTGCTTATGGTTAGGTGATATTAGAGAAGGTTTCATAAAGAGAGAACACTTCAGCAGACTGCCAAAAGCTGAGCCCATGTGGAATAGATAGGAGCCCAAGAGAGGGGAGGTATGACAAGACCTCTTGGGGGAGATGGGACAGAGCAGAGGAAGGTAGGGAGGGCCACACCAGGTGGAGAAAAGAGCAGTAACAGAGCCCCAGAGACCTGTAATATTTGGTGGGGTCTCTGGGCACAGAAAGAAGAATGAGGGGCAGGAATATGGGGTGTCAGGAAGGAAAGGGAAAGGCGGGAGGCGAAGATTTAGGGGATGGTTGGTTATCCAGAGGAATCTCATGCTGATTTGAAGCTTATGCTAGACATCATCCAGCGCAGCCCTGTACCACCTGCATTAGAATCACCCAGGCAGGGCTGGGCACAGTGGCACACTCCTGTAATCCCAGCACTTTGGGAGGGCAAAGCTGGAGGATCACTTGAGCCCAAGAGTTCGAGACCAGCCTGGGCAACATGGTGAAACCCCATCTCTACTAAAAATGCAAAAATTAGGCGGGTATGGTGGTACACACCTGTAGTCTCAGCTACTGGGGAGGCTAAGGTGGGAGGATTGCTTGAGCCGGGGAGGTTGAGACTGCAGTGAGCTATGATCGTGTCACTGCACTTCAGCCTGGGTGACAGAGCAAGACCCTGTCTCAAAAAAAAAAAAAGTCAAATTGAAGGTAAACTTAGAACTTAGGCCGGGCGCGGTGGCTCATGCCTATAATCACAGCACTTTGGGAGGCCGGGGCGGGTGGATCACCTGAGGTCGGGAGTTTGAGACCAGTCTGACCAACCTGGAGAAACCCCATCACTACTAAAAATACAAAATTAGCCAGGCATGGCGGCACGCGCCTGTAATCCCAGCTACTTGGGAGGCTGAGGCAGAATTGCTTGAACTGGGAGGCGGAGGTTGCAGCAAGCCGAGATTGCGCCATTGCACTCCAGCCTGGACAACAAGAGCGAAACTCCATCTGAAAAAAAAAAAAGAGAAACTTGTTTCTCATGACCATAGGGGAAGCCTGTGTTTAGAGCCTTTCTCCTCTTCTTCCCACCCATCCCTGTCATGCCCCTAATTCCTTCACGCTTAGTCACAGACACACACACAGCGTGATGGTGACGATGCAGGTTCCTGTCTAACACAGGACTCTGCTAATTTATGGTGTATGTAAGTGGGCAGACACTGCAGAGTGCCCACCCTGCAGCCAATCCTGTTCCCTGGTCACAGGACCCTAAGTCCATTTTTTTGTTTTTGTTTTTTTTTAGAGGTGAGGTCTCACTATGTTGCCTAGGCTGGAGTACAGTGGCTATTCACAGGTATGATCATGGCATACTACAGCCTGGAACTCCTGGTCTCAGGCGATCCTCCTGCCCCTGCCTCCCAAGTAGCTGGGACTACAGGCATGCACCATCACACCAGGCCTCAGGTCAGCTTAAATGGCAACAGGCTGCAGCCCGCAGGAGGTGAATCCTGACGTTTGAGTAAATATTTGGGCACCGTGGCCCACCTCTGCTTTCTCAGTCAGCATCCTTAGGGTGCATGTCACTGTCCCATGATCTCTCATCAGACTAGGAGCCCCGCAGGGTATTTCATTGATCTTTGTACTCTTAGTACCTGGCACACAGCCAGTACTCAAGTAACGATAATAGCAAGTGTCTATTGAGCACTTACTGTGTACCTAGGTACTGCCCTAAGCATTTTATGAGCATTAACTCATTTAACCTGCATGAAGTTGGTCCTATTACTATCCTCCAGATGAGGAACTGGAAGCCCCAAGAAATTAAATACTTTGCCCATTTTCACCTGCTGATAAGTGGTGGGACCAGAATTCAAGACACAGCTGCAGCCCAGAATCCTCACTCTTAACCCCCAGGGGATATGGCCAGGGTCAAAATGGCATGTGGCTTTGAGGAGCAGCATAAAGCAGTGAAGAAAGCACTGATCTGAGAACCAATGAACCTGTCCCAGTTTTTCCACAGTCTTGCTTCATGTCTCTCTGCCTCAGTTTGTTCTGTACAATGTGGGTAATAATAATGTTAACCTCAGGGTGGTTGGGGCCTATGCTCAACTCTGGAGCGTTCAAAACTGGGGGAGGTTATTGAATGAGACTAGGCCACAGTTAGCTTATAAGGAATTAACTAAACACATACACACACACACACACACACACACACACACACAGAAAACACGGTGCAACTATGTAGATCACCAAACAAGCCTGTGAACAAGGTTTGGCCTCTGGGCCACCAGTTGGCAACCTCTGATCCTCCCCATTGATCCTCCCCATGCTGTTGACTAATTTCTGTTCTCCATACAGCAGCTGGGTCCCTCATGGAGCTCACAGTTCCTCTGGGGACCAAAGTGCATGAAACAGATTACAAAGCCAGACAGCCGGTCCTCCACCAAGCCTGTGCCGCACCCCACGCCCTCAGCTCCCTCAGGTGCATTCCAGCCACCTGTCACAGGAAGAGGTGGACTGAGGGGAGGAAGGCAGAAGTGCCCTTTTTACACGGTCACTGGCAAGGATAGATGTGAGTAGTCCTCTGCATCTGAGGGTCTTAAGATAGTGCATTTACCTGCTTCCCTGGCCCCCGTCTATTTTGCTCCCAAGGGAAGGAGTAGGAATTCTAGACCTAGAGGGTATCAGATGGGAGAGGGCCTTCAAGGTCATCCAGGACAATCCCAATCAGATCTCTAACATCAGAGCAGCAGCTTATGCATTATAATTGGTGAAGTGGGAACTACTATTATCCCCATTTTGCAGATGGGTAAACTGAGACTCAGAATGGTTAAGTAATTCACTCAAGGTATTGCTGCAACTAAATAGCAAAGACAGCGGGCATGATAGTTCAAGCCTGTAATCCCAGTACTTTCTGAGGCCTAGGTGGGCGGATTCCTTGAGCTCAGGAGTTTGATACCAGCCTGGGCAACATGGTGAAACCCCATCTCTACAAAAAAACACAAAAACTAGACAGGTTTGGTGGCATGCACCTGTAGTCCCAGCTACTCAGGAGGCTGAGGTGGGAGAATCCCTTGAACCTGAGAGGTTGAAGCTGTAGTGAGCCATGTTCATGCCACTGCACTGTAGCCTGGGTGACAGAGCAATACCCTATCTCAAAAAATAAAACAAAAATAAATAAATAGCAAAGTCAGAATTACATCTAGCAGTATGACCTGAGAGCCAGCATGGCTAGCCATCAGCCTCTACCACCTCCTTGGCAACACTTGTACCAGTTGTTTGAGAGGGTGCTCATCACCTTTCTCTATTTTTTTTTTAAGACAGAGTTTCGCTCTATCGCGAGGCTGCAGTGCCGTGGCACGATCCCGGCTCACTGCAAACTCCGCCTCCTGGGTTCAAGCGATTATTCTGCCTCAGCCTCCTGAATAGCTGGGACCACAGGCATGCGCCACCACACCCAGATAATTTTTTTTTTTTTGTATTTTTAGTAGAGACGGGGTTTCACCATGTTGGCCAGGATGGTCTTGATCTCTTGACCTCGTGATCCGACCGCCTCGGCCTCCCAAAGTGCTGGGATTACAGGCATGAGCCACCGCTCCCTACCCTTTCTGTATTTTTTTAACCATAGCTACACTAACCCAAAACTAGTCAGGTGCCAGGCCTTGCACTTGGCACTTTATTTATTTTTATTATTTATTTTTGAGACAGAGTTCCACTCTTGTTGCCAGGGTGGAGGGCAATGGCGCAATCTCAACTCACTGCAACCTCCACCTCCCGGGTTCAAGCGATTCTCCTGCCTCAGCCTCCTGAGTAACTGGGATTACAGGCACCTGCCGCCATGCCCAGCTAATTTTTGTATTTTTAGTAGGGATGGGCGTTTCACCATACTGGCCAGGCTGGTCTCAAACTCCTGACCTCGTGATCCGCCCACCTCAGCCTCCCAAAGTGCTGGGATTACAGGCATGAGCCACTGTGCCTGGCCCACTCGGCACTTTAAACATGCTTTCTATGATTCCCTCATAACATAAAAAAAAAAAGTCAAATTGAAGATAAACTTAGAACTTGGCCAGGCGTGGTGGCTCATGCCTGTAATCCCAGCACTTTGGGAGGCCTGCATGTTCCTGCATGTTCCATATTATGCCCATTTTATATGTGAGAAAACTGAGGTTCAAAGTCATGAGGGAACTTGCCAAGCTTAAAAGCACATTAGGGACAGACTGAGATCAAATGCATATTTGTTCTTTATTGAGCTCTGACTGAAAGCTTCCCTTGGTTTTGGGGAAAGAAAAATCTGTCTCCCAGAAGTGGCAGCCCCTGGTTCCTAGTTCTCAAAGCCCACGTGCTCTCTTCAGATGTTTGAAGTGGACACATTGCACCCCTTCAGTATTTTATATACCACAGTCAGAGAGTGGCTCCTTCAACTCTTCCCCATAAAATGTGATTTTGAGGTCCCCCCAGCCATCATCTTGTTCATCATCCTATGGATAAGTTATACTTTTTCCATGTTCCAGTCAAAGTTCTGATCCCAAAATGGAACACAGTTCTCTAGACACGGACAGAAGGACTATCATCTCCCTCACTGTACACACAGTGCTTCTATTAATATAGCCCCAAACCCAATAAAGTATCTCCTATGTACAAAGCACTGCCCATGCACTTGGGATAGAGATTGAACAAGCCAGCAACTTCCCTGCCCTCCGGGAGCTTACATTTTGCTCACTGAGCTAAGGGAGGAGGCAGAGTCACTTTAGACATGAATCCTAGAATGTCAGAGCTGGTAGCGCCCAGTCCCCTCCTGCCTCTTTCTTTTTTTGAGAGGGAGTCTCGCTCTGCCACCCAGGGTGAAGTGCAGTGGTGTGATCTCAGCTCACCAAACCTCCACCTCCCAGATTCAAGTGATTCTCCTGCCTCAGCCTGCCGGGTAGCTGGGACTACAGGTGGCTGCCACCACGCCCGGCTAATTTTTGTATTTTTAGTAGAGATGGGGTTTCACCATGTTGGCCAGGCTGGTCTCAAACTCCTGACCTCAGGTGATCCACTTGCCTCAGCCTCCCAAAGTGCTGGGATTACAGGTGTGAGCCACCGCACTCGGCCTCCTGCCTTTTTTATTAACAGATGAGGAAACTGATCCCAGAAGGGGCAGTGACAGACCCAAGATTCTTCAGTGGGACAAAATTCACTTCTGCCTTTCTCATAACCTCAGGCACTGGTGAGACCTGGGGCCTTATAGAGAAATGTGGACTGGGATGAAAAGTTTGCTGTTGAGAATTTTGTTGTTAAGTGGACCCACCCTACACCTCCTTAAAGCTTTCTTCAGAAATCCTAATTTATTTTAGATATGGCCACCAGGTGGCGCAGAGGCACCAGGAAAAAGTGCAGAAATCAAAGGTGGGTGGGCTCCTTCCTCTTCCGATCAATTTTCCTTTGCAAGGGGGAATGGTGAGCGGGGAATAGCAAAGCCAGCCTGGCGCGGTGGCTTGTACCTGTAATTGCAGCACCTTTGGAGGCCGAGGCAGGTGGATCTCTTGAGCTCAGGAGTTTGAGACCAGCCTGGGCAACACGGTGAAACTCCGTCTCTACAAAAAACACAAAAACTAGCTGGGTGTGGTGGTGCATGCCTGTAGTCCCAGCTATTCAGGAGGCTGAGGTGGGAGAATGCCTTAAGCCTGGGAGGTCAAGGCTAGGACAGCATTGTACTGTATACATTATACATATATACATATACATTATACATATACAGAGGTGAATTCTGCCTCAGTCAAGGAGGTAGTATGGAGTAGTGGCTAAGAGCCTGGATGCAGGCATCACACAGACCGGGTGGGAAACCTAGCTTCCTTTTGCTGCAGGGGGAACTCCCTGACACCTAGCTCACGAGGTAGCCTCTGACACTTAGATTTGGGTACAAGATAAGGTCCTCATTTACTGGGGCTCTACACAGAGTTGGAACTGCTGGTGCCCTCTTCCTGACAGGTCCCTTTTCCAGACAGTTGATGGTCAACTCCAGTCCAGCAGAGAAGTTTCTGCAAGAAGGCAGGAAGTCTTTGCTGCCACCCAGAGAAGGTAAGGCTGATGGAATCCAACAGCTTCACAGCCCAGGATATGTGTGAAAGCTCATCCATACTTCTGTTCATTTCATGACACACAGATGTGCAAAGGGTCTGAGGCTGAAAATGGTGAATGATTCAGGGGTGCTGAGAGTCTAGAGTTCGGGGGTGCTGAGAGTCTAGAGTGCCTGAGAAGAAAGAGAGGGTTGGAGAAATAAGCTGGGCCTTGGGGACTTGACCAAGCTATCTACTTTGAACTTTATCCTGGGAGCAACAGGGAGCTATTGAAGATTATTTAGCAAAGGAATGATACAGTTAGACCAGTGTTGAAACCAATCACTCAAGCTGGGTGTAAAAGAAGAAATGGGCCGGGCGTGGTGGCTCACGCCTGTAATCCCAGCACTTTGGGAGGCTGAGGCGGGCAGATCACTTGGGGTCAGGAGTTTGAGACCAGCCTGGCCAACATTTCGAAACCCCATCTCTACTAAAAATATAAAAATTACCTAGGTGTGGTGGCATGCACCTGTAATTGCAGCTACTCAGGAGGCTGAGGCAGGACAATCGCTTGAATCAGGGAGGCAGAACTTGCAGTGAGCCAAGATCATGCCACTGCACTCCAGCCAGGGTGATAGAGCGAGACTTCATCTCAAAAAACAAAAACAAAAACAAGGAATGGAGGTGGGGGAGCCTGGAGGCAGAGTCCAACTAGAAGAGCTGCAGGCTGGAATGGGGTGATTACACTGATAGCTGATTTTTCATCCACTCAGAGCTTCTCATCGGTGAAGGGGCACTCGAGTGAAATTTGTCTGGCTTGCCCAGGAGACAGCTCCCACAGGGTAAGGGGCTGCCCTGGGGCCAGAGAGGAAGAGTGGTTGGTCCCAGCAGCAGGTGTGTCCAGGGAGATCTTCGATATAATCAGACGGCCTGGGAAGAGACAGGTGGCTAATGAAAGAAGCTAGATTCTGGGTCAGGTTGGAGGGCAGAGGCAGTGTGCGATCTAATGGTTAGGAACACATAATGGCACCAGACACATCTTGTTCAGGTCCCAGCTCTGTCTCCTCTTGGCTGTGTGGTTGTGGCCAGGTCACTTTGGCTTGCTTTCTTTTTTCTTTCTTTCTTTCTTTTTTTTTTTTTCAGACAGAGCCTCACTCTTTCGCCCAGGCTGGAGTGCAGTGGTGAGATCTTGGCTCACTGCAACACCCGCCTCCTGGGTTCAAGCAATTCTTGTGCCTCAGCCTCCCGAGTAGCTGGGACTAAAGGTGCATGCCACCACTCCCAGCTAATTTTTGTACGTGTTTTTCAGTAGATACGAGGTTTCGCTATGTTGGCCAGGCTTGTCTCGAACTCCTGACCTTAAGTGATCCACCTGCTTTGGCCTCCCAAAATGCTGGGATTACAGGCGTGAGCCACTGTGCCTGGCCCATGTTGCCTTTCTGAGCCTCAGTTTCCTCATCTGTAAAATGTGATTATGAATAGGGCTCGTGCCTTGAGACTACTGTGGGGGCTGGACGAGGGAATGTGTGTAAAACTCAGCACAGCACTGGGTGCCTAGGAAGCACTCAATAAGGGAAGCTTCAGGTTCTCAGCCCCCATCAAAGACAGTCTGTTGTTGGGGCAGGGTGGTCATTCTGGCTTTGCAGCACGTCTCCAGGCCAGGGTGGCTTCAAAAACTGGCCAGTCTGAGCTGATACCACACTAAGTTACGCCAAGAGAATTCCAGCCAGAAGCAAAGAAATGATGCTTTGGACAGCCCAGGACCACATTCTGGGGGAAATGTGCCATTTCTGTTCCACTTTTTTTTTTTTTTTTTTTTTTTTTGAGACAGAGTCTTGCTCTGTCGCCCAGGCTGGAGTGCAGTGGCTCGATCTCGACTTACTGCAAGCTCCGCCTCCCGGATTCACGCCATTCTCCTGCCTCAGCCTCCCAAGTAGCTGGGACTACAGGCACCCACCACCACGCCTGGCTGATTTTTTGTGTTTTTTTTAGTGGAGACGGAGTTTTGCTGTGTTAGCCAGGATAGTCTCGATCTCCTGACCCCGTGATCCACCCGCCTTGGCCTCCCGAAGTGCTGGGATTACAGACATGAGCCACTTGCGCCTGGCATTTTTTTTTTTTTTTTGAGACGGAATTTAGCTCTGTCGCCAGGCTGGAGTACAGTGGCGCAATTGTAGCTCAGTGCAGCCTCGCCCTTCTAGGCTGAAGCGATCCTCTCACCTCAGCCTTCTGTGCCCGGCTGATTTTTTTATTTTTTGTAGAGACAAGGTCTCACTTTGTTGCCCAGGCTGGTCTCAAACTCCTGAGCTCAAGCAATCCTCCCACCTTATCCTCCCAAAGTGTTGGATTACAAGCATTAACCACTGCACCTGGCCTCTGTTCCAATTTTTGAAACATTAAAAATTATTCTGCTTCTTCCAGGGGTTCTACGTGATATTCTCTGTTTTATTTTGCTAGTTTCCTTTTTATTTTGTGGGTGGTTGTATACTGAAGTCTTCCTATAATACTAGTTATTGTGATAAACGTTTTATGTACATTCTTTTTTTTTCTTTTTCTTTTTTTTTTTGAGACGGAGTTTTGCTTTTGTTGCCCAGGCTGAAGTGCAATGGTGTGATCTCGGCTCACCACAACCTCCACCTCCCAGGTTCAAGCGATTCTCCTGCCTCAGCCTCCCCAGTAGCTGGGATTACAGGCATATGCCACCACGCCTGGCTAATTTTATATATTTAATAGAGACAGAGTTTCTCCATGTTGGTCAGGCTGGTCTTGAACTCCCAATCTCAGGTGATCCACCCGCCTCGGTCTCCCAAAGTGCTGGGATTACAGGCATGAGCCACCGTGCCTGGCCTTATGTACATTCTTTCATGTAATCTTTATAGCAACCCTTTCATGGTGTTTTTGTGTTATTGTTCTCACTGTGTGGATGAAGAAACTGAGGCTTGAAGAAGTTAACAAACGTTCCTGGGTCTGTCTGACACTAACCCCTTTGCCCTTCATTACTACACTTACCTGGCCTGTCAGCAGAAAGGTCCCTAGGGCCTTAGGTTACCCTAGTATCCTGCCCCAGAATTACCCAGTGAGTAGAATACCAAGGTTTGTCTGGACCAAAAATAAGAGAAACAACCTTTGGGAGGCCGAGGCAGGCAGATCACGAGGTTAGGAGTTCAAGACCATCCTGGCCAACATGGTGAAACCCTGTCTCTACCAAAAATACAAAAATTAGCTAGGCATGGTGGCACGTGCCTGTAATCCCAGCTACTCGGGAGACTGAGGCAGAGGAATTGCTTGAACTGGGACCCAGGAGGCAGAGGTTGCAGTGAGCTGAGATCGTGCCACTGCACTCCAGCCTGGGCTACAGAGCAAGACTCTGTCTCAAAAAAAAAAAAAAAAAAAAAAAAAAGAAACAACCATGTGACACGGGGCACAACTCTGTCTGATTGAGGAACCATCCATTGTATTAGGGTCACATGTGTAATACATTCCCTGAGAGTTTAATGCAGGGAAAAATTTGTCTCTCCCAAATCACTGGCCTGATTCTTCCAACCATATCACAGCAATAGCTAATTCTTCTATACGATTTACCATGTAACAGGCCTGTTATGAGAATGAAATATGCAGCTGGGCGCGGTGGCTCATGCCTATAATCGCAGCACTTTGGGAGGCTGAGGCAGGTGAATCACTCGAATCAGGATTTCGAGACCAGCCTGGCCAACATGGTGAAACCCTGTCTCTACTAAAAATACAAAAATTAGCCAGGCGTGGCAGCAGGTGCCTGTAATCCCAGCTACTCAGGAGGCTGAGGCAGGAGAATTACTTGAACCTGGGAGGCAGAGGTTGCAGTGAGCTGAGATTGCACCACTGCACTCCAGCCTGGGCGACAGAGCGAGACTCCACCTCAAAAAACAAAACAAAATGAAAAAAAGAACTAAATATGTCTGAAGTCATTTAATCCTTCCAGGGACCCTAAGAAAGGGGTTTATTATTATATTATCCTGTTTTTCAGAAGAAGCAACAGAAGCACAGAGAAATTAAACAACTACTTAAGGTCGTGTGACTAGTAAGTGGTAGAGTTGGGTTTCAAAACAATGTAATTTGCCTCCAGGGTCTGTGTATTCAATCACATGTTTACTACTTCCTACACAGTTTGTAACTCATCCTGGTTCCCTCTTTGCTTTGACTGCCAGGAAACTCAGAACCATGATTTGTTTGTTCTTCACAGTTACTATCCTTAGAAAACTCAGCCCACCATTTCTACCCTAATTAGTCCGTATTTCATCTTTCTTTCCTTTTTCCCCACTGGCCTTTGAGCCAGGCTTTTATCGCTCCCGAATTCTTGTTCTTTAATTATCAGTCAAATGGTCTCGAGGCTGCAATGAAACTACCTTGAAACCCTTTTTGGAAAACACATTACATAAGACATCAGATGAACAGAGATGGCTTCTGACCAGCTGAGGCAGTTGGACACAGTTGAAGATGTCTTTTGAGCATCTTTCGTGTAACCAGCACTGTGCTCTGTCATGTGGAGGATACAACAGTGAGCCCAAGGTAGTCCCATACTAGTTATGCCAACTGCTATGATAGATAAATCCTGAAATCGCAACGCCTAAATACAATAGAAATTAGTTCAATGTGTGCCCCCCTCAGTCAAGTGATGAGTGAGACCCAGGTTGACTAAGGCTCTGCCCCGTTCAACTTGTAGCTTCCAAGGGCCCCCTGGTGTTGACATCTGATTGGCAGATGAGAGAAAAGAGCTTTGAGCAAGCATACATCCTTCTTCACCACTTTGGCCAGGACATGGCATTCATGTTCTCTGCCCATATCCCACTGGTGAACACGAGTTATGTACCTAATTAGCAAGGAGTGCTGGAAAATGTAGTCTGGCTGCTTTTCTCAGAAACAACTCTACACGTGGAAGGGGAACAGCTTTGATGAACAGCTGACCTTGTCCCAGTTTACGAGGAACTTAAAATTATTGAACCGTCTACCCTTATAGAATGGCTAAGAATACCATGCAATATGTAATGTGGCCACAGGGAGGAAAATGGCCTGGCCTTGTTTACAAGAAACCACGGACAAAAAAAGGAGCATTTAAGGCTGGGCACAGTAGCTCGTGCCTGTAATCCCAGCACTTTTGGAGGCCAAGGTGGGTGGATCACCTGAGGTCAGGAGTTTGAGACCAGCCTGATCAACCAATGAAACCCTGTCTCTACTAAAAATACAAAATTAGTCGGGTGTAGTGGCACACGCCTGTAATCCCAGTTACTTGGGAGGCTGAGGCAGGAGAATCACTTGAACCCGGGAGGCGGAGTTTGCAATGAGCCAAGATCATGCCATTGCACTCCAGCCAGGGCTATAAGGCGAAACTCCGTCTCAAAAAAAAAAAGGAGCATTTACGTTTAAACCAAATCTATTTGTCCAACAAGGGAATGGGATGGGGGTGTGGAGAGGGGGAGAGTTTATCATGATAGTGAGTATTCAGGCAGAGGCTAAGTTTTCACTTGGCTGAAGGCTCTAGAAAGGGTGACGTGACAGATGCCTCCTATCAGTCCTTCTAAGTGTGAACTTCCATGTAAGGTTCCCTTAGTCACCTCTGAGCACTTACTTTGTGTCAAGTTCTCGGTAAGGCTCTGAGGACCCAGAAACAAATGAGACAAGGTCATGGTTACTCAACTGAAGTGCTGAAGCAGGATAGAGAAAGGCTGAGCTCTGGAAACAGGAGGCTGGAGTTTAATTCCTAGCTCTGTTATTTCGTAGCTGTGCATCACTGGAGATGCCACTTGGCCTCTGGTTCTGTTTCCTCATTTATGAACTAGGAACAACAGTTATCTTCATAGATTACAGGAACCCAATGACAAAAAACACCTGGAGTATTTGTAGCACAGTGCCTGGTATGTAGTAAGCATGTTATTTTATTAGTAGTAATATTTTTATGATGACCTTGGATAAGTCACTTCATTTTTCAAAGCCTCAGCTTTCTCATCCATAGGATGGAGTTAACACTGACATCATGGGGTTGGAATCTTGCTGTGTCGTGGGGTCGGGAGCTGCCATTTCGTCTCTCCGCTTCCTCCTGGGATAAGTGGGTCGCATCATGCCCACTTGATCGCGGACGGAAAGCAGCCCCGTTCAGCGCAAAGGAGGAACCTGAATTAACAAGGACGCGATTTCCTGGCTGCGCTCCCGGGGTAGGAGGTTTGCGCTGGGTCCCATCCCCCGGCCGGTCCTGCTCAGGAAACGCGGAGAGAAAGCCAGGAACCAGGCCTGCCAGGCCCTGCGGCCCCTCAGCGCCGTCCCTCCTCCCCGGCCCTCGGCTGCAGGAAGCCGGCTGGCGGGAACGCCCTGCCTGGTGGGTGGGAAAGGCCGAGAGCGCGCCCGGCACCGGCGGCTTCCCAGGCCCGCGGCCGGCTGGCGGCGCGGAGCTGTCACTGCGGCAAACGGCGAACGCGCCGGCCCCCTCCCCCGCCGCCCGCAAGCCTGGTGCAGTCGGCCCATGAGTATTTCATGAAGTGCCGCAGCCGGATTCATGGCTCACTGGCGCAGGAGGGGAGAGAGGCTGAGTCCTGTCAAGCGCCAGCGCCCCACCCGTCACGGAGCGCACGCCGCGGGGGCCAGGCTGGGGAGGGAAGGGTGTCCAGCCCTCTCTTTTGGGTGGTGAGATGCTGAGGCCTGAGGGTTTCTAGGTGAGTGTTCAAGGTCATGGCTAGTAAACGGCAGGGCCAGGATGCAACTCGGGGTCTGTTTCATCCTAAAGTTTGTGCCTCGGGTCTGTGGTTCTGCTCCAGGTTTTTGGGGTGTTTGGGGGGCGGGGGTTACGTTCTTGCCGCACCTCAAGAACCAGAGTTCTGTACCCTGGGGCTACCGATGTCCTCTCAGAGGTCTGTGAACCCCTTGTAATTGTGTAACATGTTGTGTGTGTTGCATTTTTCTTCGAAGTTTCAAAGGCGTCAGTGATCCAACAAGGGTTAAGAATTATAGCCCTCTGCAGGGCATGGTGGCTCATGCCTGTAATCCCACCACTTTGGGAGGCCGAGGTGGGAGGATCGCTTGATTCCAGGAGTTTGAGACCAGCCTGGGAAACATAGTGAGACCCCCCCCCCATCATCCTTACAGAAAATTTAAAAATTAACTGGACGTGGTGGCACACGCTTCTAGTCCCAGCTACTGTGGAGGCTGAGACAGGAGGATTGCTTGAGCCCAGGAGTTTGAGACTGTGGTGAGGGGTGATTGTGTCACTGCACTGCAGCCTGGGTGACAGAGGCCAGACCCTGTCTCAAAAAACAAAAAACAAAAAACCCCCCAAAATTATAGCTCTCCAAGTCTGCTTTGAGGACCCCAGCTTCATGAGAGGTTGAGGTTCCTCTATGTCTATAGCCTCTTGAGAATATTTCTGCAAAGCCCCAGCTGTTACTCTGTAGCAACTTGGGGGCCTCTACAGGATCCCAGATCTTTCTACTGGATCTTGAGACTCTTTCTATAGGGTCTTGAGATCTCTCTGGGGATTTGAGCTGTTTATGGGGTCCTGGTGTCTCTTTCTGAGGTTCTGACATCTCACTATAAGGTCGGATGGTCCTCCATGGAATGAATTCTAAACCTGGGCCTCAGAATGCCTATGAACTCCCTGAAATTGTATGCAAGATTTTGTGGGTCTGTCTGTATACATGGAATTCTGGAGACAGGTTTCATGGATTTCACTAGATTCTTAAAAGAATCTGTGATCCCCCAAAAGCTGGGAAAAAATATTGCTTTAGAGCATTCATTTGGACAGGTCTTACTCCTTTCTCGTCAATAAAAGTCAAGGAAGTAGGGGGCTGGGCTATGGTGGGTCACACCTGTAATCCCAGCACTTTTGGGGAGGCTGAGGTGGGCAGATCATTTGAGGTCAAGAGTTCAATACCAGCCTGGCCAACATGGTGAAACCCCGTCTCTACTAAAAATACAAAAATTAACTGGGTGTGGTGGCGCACGCCTATAATCCCAGCTACTCGGGAGGCTGAGGCAGGAAAATCACTTGAACCCAGGAGGTGGTGGTTGCAGTGAGCCCAGATCATACCACTGCACTCCAGCCTGGGCGACAGAGCAAGACTCCATCTAAAAAAAAAAAAAAAAAAGTCAAGGAAGTAAAAGGTGGAGGAAATAAAAGACAGATAAGAGACAGTGTTTTCTAGTAGAGTATGGGCTTTGTACTCAGGCATTCCTGGGTTAAAATCCCAATTTTGCCACTTACCAGCTGTGTGACCTTGAGCATGTTCCTTACCCTCTCTGAGGCTCCATGCCACCTCTTCTAGGAAGCCTTCTCTGGCTCCTCAATTCAGTTAGGTCCCCACCCTGCATTCCCCCAATCCCTCCTGGCATATCACCTGATTCTTTGCAGCACTTAATGGAATTGTTATTAAGTAATTGTGTTTAATGTTGTCCTGTTTCTCCACTCCTCCAGTCCAGGAAACTTGGGACTTTTGCTGTATTACAGTCTGTGTAGTGCCTGGCACATGTTAGGCACTCAGCCATTTCTTATGAAATGCATAAAAATGTAAAGGAATGGAGGGATGCAGGCCAGACACTGTACTAGGGACAGAAAGGGATCAGAAATTAATAAGCATCATTCCTGTCGTCGAGGAAGTCCCAGGCTGGAGGGAGAAATAAGATGCATGAGAGGAAGACTGTCCTAATTGCGCTAATGGGGGATGAACACTAATGGAGGCAAACACTAGGGGGGAAAGCACCAAAAGGTCCAAAGACGAGTGAGACCTAGTCCCTGAAGAGCTGAGATGCCTTTCCTTTGTATTATGTGTTACGATTTACAAAGCACTTAGCTTACATGAAATAGGTGGGTATACACTTACTCTGCAGAGGTGGGAAAACTGCTGCTGAGAAGAGTTCAATGACTTGCCCAAAGCCACCCAGCCAATAATGGCTGCCTGAGTGCATAGCTTATTTGCTTTGGAATACAGTCCATTTCCTCCTGGACTTGGGCTTTGATGTTGCACATGTCTTGGTTTAGATCCTACTAGATGTGTGACCAGTAAGTGACTTTCCCTGTCTGAGCCTTGTTTTCCCAGTCTGCAAGATAGCAATAATGACCCCCTATAACCTTTAAGAGATAGTATATGCAATATACTAGCAATAATGACCCCTATAACCTTTAAGAGGTAGTATATGTAAAGTACCCAGCATGATTCTTGGTTCAGAATAAAGGATCTATAAATGTTTGTGGAATGAATGAATGAATGAATGAATGAATGAAATGCATGTAGTAACGGTTGCCCTGAAACATGAGGGAGGAAAGGAATAGAGGGAACTTAAAATCATGCCATTTTGGGGATGATAGGAGAATTGAGGGCTATTTTATTCCTTCCTATTCTGACTTTCTATGATTCTTGGCAGACTTTGCACTGGCCTCAATCATACTGGGTAATCATTTGTTGTTTGCAAACCAGCAAAAGTGAGCCAACTCCAGCTTGGTTAGCTTTCTTTTTATGTATATCTTTATTGCCTTTTTTTCTGATGACACAGTAATACTTCTACATGTAAAAAATTAAATTGCAGAAAGATATAATGAGTGAAAGTGAAAGTGCAAGTTTAGACATGGTAGACACAAGGTGCTGACATATTGTGATTCTTTGGAAGGTGTGGAGGGGGCATAGGACAGTGTGATGGTGAATTTTATGTGTCAATTTGACTGGGCTAAGGGATGCCCAGATAGCTGGTAAAACATTATCTCTGAGTATTTCCAGGAGATATTAATATTTGAATTGGTAGATTGAGTAGAGAAAATTGCCTCCACCAATGTGGGTGGGCATGATCCAATTCACTGAGGGCCCAAAGAACAAGGGCCCTTGTCCAATTCACTGAGGGCCCAACAGAACAAAAAAGAGGAGGAAGGAAAATTTGCTCTCTCTCATTGAGCTGGAACATCCATCTTCTCCTGCCCTTGGACATTGGAGCTCCTGGTTCTCAATCCTTGGACTCTGAGACTTATACCAGCACTTCCCTGCCCACAAACCCCCATTCTTAGTACCACCATCTTTTCTGGTTCTCCAGCTTGCAAAAGGCAGATTGTGGGACTTCTCTGCTTCCATAATCTTGTGAGCCAATTCTCATAATAAGTAAATTATATATATATATACTCCTATTGGTTCTGTTTCTCTGGGGAACTCTGACTAATACAGACAGGGACAAAAAAAAATTCTCCCTGCTTAAAATTCTTTTTGTCCTGGCCTTGTCATGGTTCCTGAGACTTCTATTAGGTGTCTTACTTTTGGCTTCTAGCATTGAAAGTTCAAATGCAACCAAGGGCTAGGGTCAGGGGAGAAAGTGAAAATCATCTCGGCATGGGCTTTCTTGGAACCCCACGAAGGAGGAGATGGGATCTGTGGAACTTTCTATTGCAGTATGCACAGGTGGCTCAGATGCCCACTGCTGGTATACCTTGTAGCTGTGTTTTTACCCTCTTTCCCCTCCATAGCAAAGTCTTTTTTGGAAGTTCTCACTATATGCACACACAGAACAGCAAAACAGGCTGGGCACAGTGTCTCACACCTGTAATCCCAGCACTTTGGGAGGCCAAGGCAGGTGGATGGCTTGAGCTCAGAAGATGGAGACCAGCCTGGGCAGCATGGTGAAACCCCATCTCTACCAAAAATACAAAAAAAATTAGCTGGGCTTGTTGGCAGGCACCTGTTATCCCAGCTACTTGGGAGGCTGAGGTTGGAGGATTACTCGAGCCTGGGAAGAGGAGTTGTAGTGACCCAAGATCATGCCACTGCACTTTAGCCTGGGTGACAAAGTGAGACTCTATCTGAAAAAAAAAAAAAAAAAAAAAAGAAAAAACAAAAACAAAATGAAACTCAGCAAAGCAAAAAAAAAAGAAAAAAAACTGAAGGTTCTCTAGCTCTTTTTTATTTATTTATTTTTTTAGAGACAGTGTCTTTCTCTGTCACTCAGGCTGGAGTGCAGTGCAGAGATCATAGCTCACTGTAGCCTCCAACTCCTGGGCTCAAGCAATCCTCCCTCCTCAGCCTCCTGAGTAACTAGGACCACAGGTGTGAGCCACCATGCCTGGCGGTGGCTCACACCTGTAATCCTAGCACTTTGGGAGGCTGAGGTGGGCGGATCATGAGGTCAGGAGTTCGAGACCAGCCTGACCAACATGGTGAAACCCCGTCTCTACTAAAAATACAAAAATTAGCCGGGCATGGTGTCGCAGGCCTGTAATCCCAGCTACTCAGCAGGCTGGGGAAGGAGAATTGCTTGAATACGGGAGGCGGAGCCGAGATCGCACCACTGCACTCTAGCCTGAGCAACAGAGCGAGACTCTGTCTCAAAAAAAATAAAAATAAAAATAAATAAATAAAATTTTGGCTGGGCATGGTGGCTCACGCCTGCAATCCCAGCACTTTGGGAGGACAAAGCTAAAGGATCGCTTGAGCCCAGGCATTCGAGACCAGCCTGGGCAACATGGTGAAACCCCATCTCTACTAAAAATACAAAAATTACCCGGGTGTGGTGGATCATTCCTGTAATCCCGGCTACTCGGGAGGCTGAAGCAGGAGAATCGCTTGAACCTGGGAGGCAAAGATTGCAGTGAGCCCAGATCGTGCCACTGCACTCCAGCCTGAGCGACAGAGGGTGACCTCTGTCTAAAAAAAAAAAAATAAAAAAATAAAAATTTTTTTTTGTAAAGACAGGGGTCTCACTATGTTGCCCAGGTTGGTCTCAAACTCCTGGTCTCAAGTAATCTTCCCACCTTGGCCACCCAAAGCACTGGGATTACAGGTGTGAGCCACTGCGCCTGGCCTATTTAGTTCTTTATAGTCTCCATATTTTTCTATGCATATACTAAGCATATATTACAAACTATAACTACAGGATCCTACTACACTTGTAATTCGGCAACTTACTCTTACTCTTTTCACTTAACAATGCCCAATAGAGACCTTTATTGTCCAATCATACAAATCTATTCCTTTCCTTTTACTAATGGAGGTCTTGCTGGGAGGATGAGGACATGTTCAAATAGTAACAGCAACCACTATATCCTGGCATGAACTAGGTGCCAGGCTCTGAACTCAGCTCTTTCACATGTTTAACCCTCACAGGCACTGTGTGAGAAAGGTAGTATTATTATTTCCATTTTGCAGATGAGAAACTGAGGTGCAGAGACCTAAAAGCCCAAGATTACATAACTAGTAAGTGGCAGAGCTGGGTTTTGAATCCCGATCTTTCCTGTGCCAAAGCTTTTGCTATGAATAAATCAATAAGTGGTTGCTGGGATCATGGGTCCTGGGGAGAAAGTTCTTTCTTCAGAACCTCCCTTATATGTCCTGGGTTCTTCCTTCCAAGGGTTTGTGGTACTTGGAATCAGCATTAGCCCTTAGGAGCAACTCAGTAAAGGCCCTTCCTTTGCCTCCAGCAATCTTACAGCCATGATTACTTTTCACAGGAAGTGGTGTTTTTGAATATTTTTTCTAAAAATAAGCTATAATTTATTAGAGGCCTTTGAAGACCGGGCCAGGCATTTCAGGACACCCATGTGCCTGCCTGCAGCATAGGAAATTAATCAGAACCCCAAAGTTCCTCCCCTCCTTCCACAGGCCAGTGCTCTAGAAATGCCCAGTGCCTCATTGCAGTTCTCCTAGAGGATTGCAGAGATGCCAAGGGCGGTTTAACACAGATCCACGTCTCTGTAAAGAAGGTGAGAGGAGAAAGGCATGAAGCAGAAATGGGTCAGCTGTGCTGCAAAGAACTCTCAGAGAGAACTACACGCTGACCCCAGCTTGGAGGCATGCTGAATGGCAGAGATGCCCTGGGGCATCATCAGATGTGACTCTGCTGAATCCATCTGGGGTCTGCAGACTGGAGTGCTGGTTTCCATTCCAATGGGAATGCTTTGCAGGGCCACTTTCAGCAAGCCTCTTCCTTTCTCAAGACCCTAAAGTCTTCCATATGAAATGATTAGGTGGATTGTTATGAGGTGCTGTGTGGTGTTAATAACTAGAAATAATACTGATTATAGTAGTTATATATAAAAATACATATATAAATCATACAGTAATTATATATATATATATATATTTTTTTTTTTTGAGACAGGGTCTCGATCTGTCACCAGGCTGTAGTGCGGTGGCATTATCATGGCTTATTGCAGCCTCCACCTCCCAGGTTCAAGGGATCCTCCCACCACAGCCTCCTGAGTAGCTGAGACTGCACGGGCACCACCAGGCCTGGCTAATTTTTAGTATTTTTTGTAAAGACGGGGTTTTGCCATGTTGCCCAGGCTGGTCTCAAACTCCTGGACTCAAGTGATCCATCCCCCTGGACTCAAGTGATCCTCCCAAAGTGGTGGGATTGCAGGCATGAGCAACCGCGCCTGGTCAATATAATACTACTGAAAATAAGAATGACAGGGGCCTGATGTGGTGGCTCACGTCTGTAATCCTAGCACTTACGGAGGCCAAGGTGAGTGGATCACCTGAGGTCAGGAGTTCGAGACCAGCGTGGCCAACATGGTGAAACACCGTCTCTACTAAAAATACAAAAATTAGCCAGGTGTGGTGGCAAGTGCCGGTAATCCCAGCTACTTGGGAGGCTGAGGCAGGAGAATCTCTTGAACCTGGAAGGCAGAGGTTGCAGTGAACTGAGATCGTGCCACTGCACTCCAGCCTGGGCGACAAGAGAGAAAATTCGTCTCAAAAAAAAAAAAAAAAAAAAAGAAAGAAAAAGAAAATAAGAATGACAATCATATTGTTCATATTGTTTGTGGAACACTGTGCCTGATGTTTTCCATACAGTATCTTAGGTAATTTTAAAACAAACACCACAAGACTATATTATTATCCCCATTTTATAGATGAGAAGACAGGCTCAGAGATGGCTATTATGACCCCAGAACATATGATCCCAGGGTTTTCTGGCATCAGAGCTTGAGCTCCACAAACATGTGTGGGTTCTGACCTCCAGGAAGTGCTAAGAAACAAATGGGAGGTCAGTTCTTTATAAGTTGTAGTGTTCATGCCCACGTGAGGGTTAAACACAATGTTATTGGTTATTCAGAACAGGGAGGATTGCTTTCTGGCTGGGAGAAGCTGGGAGGTGAGACAGCAGGGGAAGAGCTTCAGCAAAGGGTCAAATGTGGGAAAGCAGTGGGTGTGCTAAGAGAAGTTTGGATAAACTTTGTGTGTGTGTGTGTGTGTGTGTGTGTGTAAAGGTAGGAAGTGATCATACCAGGCCAGGGCTTTGGCCTTTATTCCATAGGCAATAAAGAGCTTACACAAGAGATGTCTCAAGAGACCAACCATGCTGCTGTAGTCAGAGAGGAAGCAGCCCTCAGCCCATCTGTGTCCTGGCTTGTGAATGCTGCTGCGTGCCAGCGTGTGGGAGGGCATCCGCAGCGAGAGCAGTCTCTGGCTGTGTCCTGTACTATGCTGGGTGTGGGTCTTGGGCTGTCTTTGAAGCCTTCCTCCTGGCTTCTCAGGGCACTAGGTGCCTTTTAGATAGTAGACTTAAAGGAAGTATGTCATAGAAGTATGGGAGGGGATTTTGAGATCATCTGGTTATTCCCCCTTCCCATTTTAAAGAAGATGAAAATCGGGAACATAGATGGGAAAGTACTTGTCTAGCATCACACAAAGAATTAATAGCACAGTGGGGGACGGGAACCCATGCCTCCCGAGTCTGAGCTGAGTTCCTTCTCTGCATTTGCAGAGTAATAGAAATAGGATTTGTTGAGTGATTATTCCATATCAGGTTCTAGGCTAAGCACCTTTCCATTGATTATCTCATTTAATCCTCACAACCCTACTGAGAGTGTCCCGCTTTTTTCTTTTTCTTTTGAGACAGGGTCTCACTCTGTCACCCACGCCGGAGTGCAGTGGCACGATCACGGCTCACTGCAGCCTCGACCTCCCTCGGCTCAAGCGATCCTCCTACTTTAGCTTACCGGCGGGCGCCACCACTCCCGGCTAATTTTTGTATTTTTTATAGAGATGGGGTTTCGCCATGTTGCCCAGGCTGGTCTCGAACTTCTGAGTTTAAGCGATCCGTCCGCCTCAGCCTCCCAAAGTTCTGGGATTACAGACTTGAGCCACCACGCGGGCCGAAAGTGTCCCTCCTGAAATCGAGAAGTCTTGTCTTCCATTTCGATTTCCCAGGGCGCCTAGCACAGGACCCAGCTACGGAGGCAATAAAAACTTGGTGGAGTCTAAGTCCTGGGAAGGGAAAAAAAGGACGGAGGGGGCGGGGCCTACAGACAACCCCGCCCATCACAAAGACCCCGCCTTCCAGAACGCTGACGTCACAATTTGGCCCCGCCCCTCATTGTCAGTCCCGCGGAGCCAGAGGAGGCGCCGGTCGCTGGCAGCTGAGCGGCGGAACCCTTCGCTGGCGGGAGCGCGGTTCGGGGCCGCAGAGGTGAGGGTCCGTGAGGCGGCGGCGGCGGGAGCGCGGCGCGGGGAGGGGAGGGCGGCGGGGTTGGGAGGCCGGTCCCGGGTGAGGTCGGGGCACCCGCGGCCACGGGGCAGAAGAAACCGCGGGCGCAGCCGAGGAGAGATGGGGTGTGGAGTTGGGGGAGAGTTGGAATGGATTTTGGAGGAAGGGCTCAGGAGGAGACCTTTTGGGGCGAGACCCAGCACATGTTTGTGGAGTTGGAGGAAGAGACTCTGAGGAGATTTTTCCTCGGGAGGGGGAGGGAAGGTTCTGAGGAGACTTCTTGGTGGGAGCGAGACTCTGAGGAGAAATGTTTGGGGCAGAGACGCGGAGGAGACATTTTCGAGGGGGCGGCGAAGAGTTTCGGGGGTAGAGTTTGGGGTTGGGGGAGGGGGCGCGGGCCGACAGGGGCGGGGGGCGACGAGGCGGCCGTGGAGGGGGCTGCGCGGGGCCCGGCGGGCACCGGAGGAAGGAAGTGATCAGACAGGAAGGGCCCGGGAGCTGCAGCAGCAGGAGGAGGAGGGCGGTTTGGGAGCGCGTCGGGCCGGCGTGCGGGGCCAGCTGCGGGCGCGGGGCGCGGGCCGCGGGCCGGGCGGGGAGGGGTCCCGCGGCCGCCGCAGCTGTCGGCCGCGCCGGCCCGCGTCCCGGGCGCTCTGCTGGTCTCGCAGCCAGACCGCTGGGCCGGGAAGGAATTCGAGGCATTCGCTTTGTTTAAGTTGCCAGTAGACAGTCCTTAGGACTAATTAATGGTGGAATCTGCAGGGGGACGCCGGCGAGCGGGGCCGGGGCCTCCCCCCGCCCGCCGCGGTGAACTTTCCGCAGCGCGGGGCCCGCCTCCCGGCGCACCCCCGGCCCCCGCCCAGCCGCCCGGGCAGGGAAGGAGCCATGGCTTCCCGGAGCGCAGGAATGAAGTGCGGTTTCTGGGGCTGGTGGCCTCTGGCTGCGGAGCCTGCCTGCAGGGAACCTGGCGACCCGCAGCGGCCGCGCTGGGGCTTCGGAGCCCGGTTTAGAGCTCTTGGAGGTGGCTGCGGTTTCTGTGCATAACCTTGGAGGAGCCTCTGTGAGCCGAGAAAGACCATCTTGCTTTGGAGCATCTGTTTCTTCATCGCGTCAACCCCTTTCCTAACACTGCAGAGCTTGTTGTGGCTTGTTTCGGGAATGCCGAGGCCAGTGCTCACCCTTGCGGGTGGGAGAGGGGAAGAGAGTAGGCACCCCCAAAACCCCTGTAGTGTGATTTCCAGAAGGCCAGACTGCCTGCAGCTCCACCGTCGCACCTTCACTGACTTGAATGACCTTGGGAGAAGGATTGCGCTGCTGAGCCCTTGGTGCCTTATCTGTCGTTGGAGGAGAAAATACTCTCTGGACCTCCCTGCCTTTTGGGGATGTTTTGAGGGGTGGGGTTTGCTCAGGGTATTTCTTTTACAGACGGCTGCAGTTCTGGCCTAAGGAGCTGGACTGGTGTCAGAGCCGGGAGAATTCAGATCACCTAATAAGATTTGACTACCTCAAATTAGGGAGGGAGGGGTTTGGATTTTAGGAGGACATTTCTTTTTGGGGAATCTGGAAGGTGTGTTCCAGATTGCCTTCTGTCACCTTGTTTGCAACTTTGGTAGTATTCATGTGGTTAAATTGAATTACCCCCATAGAAAATTCTTCTTTTGTCAGAAATAATTGTTTTGCTCAGAATTCCCCTGGGGGCAGATTAAGGTTTTGCTCAATTTACTCCTAGAAGAATTTACTCCTAGAAGAATTTTCCAGGTTTCTAAAATTAAATCACTTTTCTAAACATAGTAACTAAAGTTTGAAAAGCTGGAAATAGTGAGCTGGGAAGGGAATGGGTTGGAGTATGAAGAAGGCAGCAAACACAGGTTCATTGTTGACCAGTGATTAATAATGCGGATTGTTAATTAGCCTTCGTTGATTATGAGGTGTTTTCTTAATCTTAAATAATTTAAGACCAAGAAAAGGAACTAATGTTGTTGAGTTGCCTATTCTGTACCCAGTAATTATGCTAGGTGGTATAGATCTTAGGCAGTCTTCCCAAGAATTTTGTGAGGTGGTAGTTAGCATCCCTTTTTTTTTTTTTTTTTTTTTTTTGAGACGGAGTGCTCTGTGTCACCCAGGCTGTAGTGCAGTGGTGCGATCTCGGCTCACTGCAACCTCCGCCTCTCATGTTTAAGCTATTCTCCTGCCTCAGCCTCCCGAGTAGCTGGGATTACAGGTGTGTGCCACCTTGCCCGGTTAATTTTTGTATTTTTAGTGGAGATGGGGTTTCACCATGTTGGCCGGGTTGGTTTCGAACTCCTGACCTCAAGTGATCTGCCCGCCTCGGCCTCCCAAAGTGCTGGGATTACAGGTGTGAGCCACCGCTCCCAGTCAGCATCCCTGTTTTATAGATGAGCAAGCCAAAGGTCAGAAAGTAAAGTGGCTGTCCCAAGTTCACACACACAACTAGTAAGAAGTGGCACTGGAATTCATACCCAGGTCTGTTTCTCAGGTCTGTGGTTGTCTCTCTACTTTGCCCACTGCCTTGGGAATCATGAGACCTAGTTTTTTGGCCTTTGACTCAGCCACTGGGTGACTGTGGGCCCTAGAATAAGTCATTTAAGTCTATTCTCCAATAGTATTGCCTTTTCTTTCAGCAGTGTTGTAAATATGCACTTGAAGTGTGCTGTTTTTCTTTTCTTTTTTTTTTTTTTTTTGGTAAAAAGACAAACATATAAGGCTGTAGTAGTGTAGTAGTGGTATGTACTATATGCCTCTAGGTGCTTACTTATTTCTTATGATGAAAGCATTTCTGTTAAAATGGGGAGTACCTAAGTGATCATATATTTCATTTATGTAATGGAAGTTGATGGATAGCTAATGGCCCTTCCAGTGTAAAGCGGCCATCATTAAGGTAACATTATCAGAAACAGAATCATTTTTCATGTAATACAGCTTTTAGGGACAGTGTCAACTTATGAGTAAAGCATGCTGTTACAGGTAGGACCCGGATAGTCCAGGCTGAAAGATGTGGTATAAACTTTGATGCATATAATAGATGCATAGCAAATATTTGATGAGTGAATGAATGAATGTAATGAATGTATTCCCTTTTTTTTTGGAGTGCAGTGCTGTGATGATGTCTCACTGCATCCTCTACTGCCTGGGCTCAAGTGATTTTCCCACGTCAGCCTTCTGAGAAGCTGGGACCACAGGTGTGTGCCACCATGCCTGGCTAACTTTTTTTTTTATTTATAGAGATGAGGTTTCCCTGTGTTTCCCAGGCTGGTCTCCTGGAACTCCTGGGTTCAGGGGATCCTCCCATGTCAGCCTCCCAAAGTGTTGAGATTACAGGCATGAGCCATCATGCCCTGCCCGGAATGCATTCTTTAAAAAAAAAAAAAAAGCTTTATTGAGGTATAATTTACATACAATAAAATTCACCAATTTTAAGTGTACAGTTTGACAAATTTTGACACATGTATACAGTTGTATAATTACCACCACTGTGTTTATTTTTTTAAACTGTGTGTTATCTTTTAGGAATTGGGTAGCAGATTTATCCCTGGGAATGTTATGAGGTTTCTATGCTCAGATTCAATACTGTGAGATCAGAATGAATATTAGAGTGTTAATGTGCCAACTTGGGAGGAAATAGGAAAACCTTCGGTATTTAATGGTGAGGTAAATAGGAAGAATAAGGAGAGACATTTATTGGATTAGGGGAAAGATAAATAAATTCAGGAGGAAGTAGATTTTAGTTACTTTTAAGACAGAGGATACATTTTGGGGAAAAAGTTACCAAAAGATTTAAGGAGTTGAACTTTTTATTTTTTTTCTTTTGAAATGGTAGCTCCTGAAATATAAAACTTAACATCTTTGGCTGTGCTTAAGAAGCGCTTAACAAATTATGGTTGTTCAAATAATACTTAAGGGTGGGGATGGTGTAAAGTGGTTGAAGGCCTTGCCCTTCCACCTATGACAGAATATCCTTAGTGTTGATCTCTAACTTGTTTTAAGTAATATTCCACAAAGGGAAGAATACATTAGGTAGCAATTGTGGCTTGCGGGGAAGATTGTTTCTTCCTTTTCATAATTTCTCAAGTCACTGAACTTCTCCCAGTATGCTTTAGCTCAAGTCTCTGTCTCTTAGAAAATGCCTGGAACCTGTGCTAGTGAGCTTCTAGAAGAAGCCCCATTTCTACCTTCTCTTTATTTTTTGATTTTATCTTTATTCATTCTGTTTCTGTATGGTGACTGTGTTTTTTTTTTTTGAGACGGTGTCTCACTGTGTCACCCAGGCTGAAGTGCAGTGGTGTGATCTTGGCTCACTGCAAGCTCCGCCTCCCGGGTTCACGCCATTCTGCCTCAGCCTCCCGAGTAGCTGGGACTACAGGCACCCGCCACCATGCCCGGCTAATTTTTTGTATTTTTAGTAGAGATGGCATTTCACCGCGTTAGCCAGGATGGTCTCGATCTCCTGACCTCGTGATCCGCCCGCTTCGGCCTCCCAAAGTGCTGGGATTAGAGGCGTGAGCCACCGCGCCCAGCCGGTGACTATTTTATAAGCCCTTCTCTCACCCATGGATTTGTCTGAGAATGGAAACTTTTTTTTTTTGCTCTGCCCGAAGCAAAGGAATTCTTGTTAAATCCACCATTGGTCCTCCGTATACCATTAGGAAATAATAATTAAAATAACCCTTTAGATCTACTCAAAGGGGTGACTATAATAGTGTTCCCTCCTTGAGCGGGGGACATGCTAATCTTCTCTGTATTATTCCAGTTTTAGTATTTGTGCTGCAGAAGTGACTACTCTGTTCACCTTTGAAAAAATAATAACTCTATGAGGTAGTCATTATCCTTATTTTATAAATGAGGGAACTGAGCTCAGAGCAGTTAACTGCCAGAGCAAGTGAGGGGCAGACCATTGATTCGAGCTCAGGTATGATTGATGCTCAGGTTTGGGGTCTATGTCATTACACTCTCAGTTGTATGGGAGTGGAGGGTCAAGGGAAGAGCTTGAAAATACCATATTAAAATATGAGCCACAACATGACAAGCATTGCTAACCTTTTTAGGCATTGCTGTTGTCATCTATGACTTTCTTAATTTCTGGAGATTCCTCCTTATGTTCTAAGGAATTGATAGTTAATCCTTTAGTATTGCACAACTTCCTTCCCAGACTCAGCATTTTTTTTTTTTTTTTTTTTAAGAGACGGGATCTCACTCTTTCTCTCGATCTGGAGTATAGTGGCAGTCATAGCTCACAGCAGCCTTGAACTCCTGGGCTTAGGCAGTTCTCCTTCCTCAGCCTCCGATTAGCTGGGACTACAAGTGTGCACCACCATGCCCAGCTAATTAAGAAACATTTTTTTTTTTTTTGTAGAGATAGGGTTTTGCTTTGTTGCCCAGGCTGGTCTTGAACTCCTGGGCTCAAGCGATTCTCCCACCTTGGCCTCCCAGAGTGTTGGGATTACAAGCATGAGTGGCACCTGGCCCCAACATGCTTTTTTTTTTTTTTTTTTTTTGAGAGAGTCTCACCCTGTCACCCAGGCTGGAGTGAAGTGGTGTGATCTCGGCTCATTGCAACTTCCACCTCCCGGGTTCAAACGATTCTTCTCCCTCAGCCTCCCAAGTAGCTGGGAGTACAGGTGCCTGCCACTACACCCAGCTAATTTTTGTATTTTTAGTAGAGACAGGGTTTTACCATGTTGGCCAGGCTGGTCTCGAGCTGCTGACCTCGTGATCCGCCTGCCTCGGCCTCCAAAAGTGCTGGGATTACAGGTGTGAGCCACCGCACCCAGCCTTATTCTTTATTAACATGGTACTTTGTATCACTGGCTGTTTGAATTACTCCTCTGAAAGCTTCTACCCGGGTAATCTTTCATTCAAGACCTGCCGTATTTGCATGTGCCCCTTTATACCGTTTGTTTCTTTATTTTTACAAAAAAATTTAAAAATATGGACTGCTTTATGAATTAGCATGTCATCCTTGTGCAGGGCACATACTAATCTTCCCTGTACCATTCCAATTTTAGTATTTGTGTTGTGGAAGTGAGCACTCTATTCCTGTTTTTATCTGGACAAAATAGTATTTTAAAAATGTATTATGGGCTGGGCTAACATGGTGAAACCCCGTGGCTACTAAAAATACAAAAAATTAGCCAGGCATGGTGGCAGGCACCTGTAGTCCCAGCTACTCGGGAGGCTGAGGCAGGAGAATGGCGAGAACCCAGGAGGCAGAGCTTGCAGTGAGCCGAGATCACGCCACTGCACTCCAGCCTGGGCAACAGAGCGAGACTCCGTCTCAAAAAAAAAAAAAATAAAAGTATATTACGTTATTAAAAACTTTATGATTGAAGTATATAATACATATACAGAAAAATGCATGTAAAAGTGGAATTTGATGTTTTTTTCCCACAAACTGAATATACCCATGTAAGCAGCACCTAGATCTAGATCAAGAAACAGCGTTACCAGTACCTAGAAGCCCCTATCCAGTTCCCTTTCAGTTCCTGTCTCCCCTCTACCACCCAGGGTAATCACCATCCTGACTTCTGACAGCATAGATTATTTTGCTCTTTTTTTGTACTTTTGTAAAAATTGAATCATATAGTATATATTGTTTGTGGTCTGGCTCCTTTTATTTAACACTAATGTGACCGTGCAAAAATTTTTAGTGGTTTTTAGATTTGGAATAAAATTCAAATTTCAGCTTTTTTTTTTTTTTTTTTTTTTTTTTGAGACAGTCTCGTTCTGTCGCCCAGGCTGGAGTGCAGTGGCGCGATCTCAGCTCACTGCAACCTCCACCTCCTGGGTTCAAGCCGTTCTCCGCCTCAGCCTCCCAAGTAGCTGGGATTAAAGGTGCCTACCACCACGCCTGGCTAATTTTCGTGTTTTTAGTAGAGACGGAGTTTCACCATGTTATGTTGGCCAGGCTGGCCATGAACTCCTGACCTCTTGATCCACTCACCTCAGCCTCCCAAGGTGCTGGGATTACAGGCGTGAGCCACTGTGCCTGGCCATTTCAGTTCTTTATTTTGACCTATAATGCCCTGTATAGCCCGTCTCCTGGCTACTTTTCGGGTAGGCAATTGGCATTTTATGCCAATCTCATTGCCCATTATGCCTCTGTTACGCTAACTTCTTATTTTTATTCTTATTTTATTTAATTTTTAGAGATGGGGTCTTACAATATTGCTCAGGCTGGTCTCAAACTCCTGGCCTCAAGCTGTCCTTTGGCCTCCAGAGTAGCTGAGATTACAGGCATGAGCCACTGGCCTTATTTATTTTTAAACTCAGTGAGCTGTTTCCTACCTCAGGGCCTTTGTATGCATGGCTCTGTCTTCCTCGAACACTTCTTTTCCCTGCTCTTTGCATGGCTGCCTTCATGCCTGAGCTTATGTATAAATATCAGGGATACTTTTTCTCATCATCGTGTCTTGCTAGTCCTTTCCCATTATTCCCTATTACTGGCTTCTGTTGCCTCCTTTCATAGCACCTATTGCAATTTATGATTATATATCTGCGTGCATGATTATTATGTCTTCCCTGCTAGATTCCATGAAAGCAGAGAACTCATCTGTTTTGTTCTCCAGTGTATCTCTAGTGCCTAACACAGTGACTGACATAGAGTAGGTATTTAATAAATATTTAATGGCCATATTCCCAATTCAGCACCTTTGGTCCCATTATCTTTTGTCCTTTCCTCTTATGCTGTTTAACTATTTAAATCTTTTCCACCCCTCAAGACTGAGCTCAGTTCTCCCTCTTTGAAGTCTATCATGGTTTTGCAACAGTTAATCTTTCTTCTCTAAAATTTTATAGCATTTATTGCCAGTACCACCTTGTGTTCATGGAAAATCACACTATCACATATCTTATTTTACCTAGTTGTATCAAAAGCTTCTTATTTTCTCAGAAATCTTGTAGCTTGTTATGCCAGTACCCCTCATATTTTTGGTTAACTTGACCAGCTTCTATTAATATCTTAATTAGCTAATTTGACTGGAAGCTTCTCGATCAGAAGCTGTTTTAGCTAATGCCCTCCTCAGTTATTTTCACTGGCACATAGTAGGTCTTTAGTAGAGTTTTTGATGACCAATGATATTTATGTATAGGTAGCAATTTTAATTTCTTAAGCTTATTAACTTGGATTCTTTTTATTAGAATCCTGCTTAGTATTTTCTCTAATCTAAAGGCCGGGAGTGCACCAACTGCTTCCGGCGATATAGAGACTATTAGGGTGTGAAAGTACAGGAGTCCAGTCCTAATGCCACAAAGCAGATTCTCCTTTGGAACTTGTCACTGGTGTAGAATTAACTATGCAGAGTTCCTTCTTAGAAAAAATGCTTTATCAGTGCTTGTTTAATGTTCTCAGATTGGAATTACTAACAGAAACAAGACACTAGGTAGTACTTTATTTGAATTTTCTGTTGACTAACATTTTATTTTGATGTCAACAAAGCAAATCTTGAGCCAATTAAATCTGCTTAAAGCTGCTTTGTCTGATGGGTAAGCTCTCTCAGTAGTTACTCTTCCTCTTGTGTTAAAGGCAGAAGAATGTTCTATAAGCCAATTTAAATGCAAATTTAAATTAGTAGCAACTTAGTTGATTTAACTCAGTACATATTTCAAATTAAGTGGTAAATTTAAATTAGTTTTTAGGAGGTACCTACTGTGTATTTTAAATCAGTGATTATTTTGGCTTTTCTGATGAAACTACATCAGAATATTACAGGGTAATGTAGTAATTGGTTTGTTTTTGTTTTTGTTTTTTGAGACGGAATTTTACCCTTGTTGCCCATGCTGGAGTGCAGTGGCGTGATCTTGGCTCACTGCAACCTCCACCTCTTGGGTTCAAGCGATTCTTCTGTCTCAGCCTCCCGAGTAGCTGGAACTACAGGCGCATGCCACCATGCCCAGCTCATTTTTGTATTTTTAGTAGAGACAGGGGTTTCACCATGTTGGCCAGGCTGGTCTCGAACTCCTGACCTCAAGTAATCCGCCTGCCTTGGCTTCCCAAAGTGTTGGGATTACAGGCATGAGCCACCGCGTCTGGCGTGATACTGATATTATTAGCCATTGGCTATGTGACAGGCACTATCCTAAGCATTTTTCATACATTAGTTTATTTACTCATTCACTCAACAAATATTTATTGAGTACCTATCATGTTTCAAGCTCATAATCTCATGTATTCTTCACCACACCCATGAAGTAAGTATATAGTTTATTATTTTAACCCCATTTTACAGATGAGGAACTGGTACACACAGAAGCTAGATATCCAGTGTCACAAGCTGTTGAGGGTCAGATACTGAGGTTTTTTAAAAGAATGCCAGTTAGTGACATCTTTGGCATGAATTAATTCTATGCTAGATTTTTATCTTTGGGAGGGGAGCAGTAATCAAATTTTTTTTTTTGAGACAGAGTCTCGCTCTGTAGCCCAGGCTGGAGTGCAGTGGTGTGATCTCGGCTCACTGCAAGCTCTGCCTCCCGGGTTCACGCCATTCTCCTGCCTCAGCCTCCCGAGTAGCTGGGACTACAGGTGCCCGCCACCACGCCTGGCTAATTTTTTTGTATTTTTAGTAGAGATGGGGTTTCACCATGTTAGCCAGGATGGTCTCAATCTCCTGACCTCGTGATCCGCCCTCCTCAGCCTCCCAAAGTGCTGGGGTTACAGACCTGAGCCACCGTGCCTGGCCAGTAATCAAATTTTGAAGTCTCTGGTAAACTGTAGTCAAAATGATTAGAACAGAATGTGATAAGCTAAACTGAGATTACTTCTTCTCTTACCCCCAACCCATCTCTTTTTTTTTTTTTTTTTGAGATGGAGTCTTGCTCTGTCAGCTCACTGCAACCTCTGTCTCCCGGGTTCAAGGGCTTCTCCTGCCTCAGCCCCCTGAATAGCTGGGATTACAGGCACCTGCCACCACAGCTGGTGAATTTTTGTATTTTTAGTAGAGACGGTGTTTCACCATGTTGGCCAGGCTAGTCTTGAACTCCTGGCCTCAGGTAATCTGCCCACCTCCGCCTCCCAAAGTGCTGGGATTAAACGCATGAGCCACCATGCCTGGACCCAACCCTTTTTTTTTTTTTTTTTTTTTTTTTTTTTTGAGACAGAGTCTTGCTCTTGCCACTCAGGTCAGGGTGCAATGGCACGATCTCGGCTCACTGCAACCTCCATCTCCCAGGTTCAAGTGATTCTCCTGCCTCAGCCTCTCAAGTGGCTGGGATTACAGGCGCCTGCCACCATGCCTGGCTAATTTTTGTATTTTTAGTAGGCAGGGTTTTGCCATGTTGGCCAGGCTGGTCTCGAACTCCTGACCGCGTGATCTGCCTGCCTTGGCCTTCCAAAGTGCTGGGATTACAGGCGTGAGCCACTGCGCCTAGCCTAACCCATCTTTTACAAGAAAAATTTCACAGAACAACAAACAATATGGAAAGTCTTTATTTTGGAAAATCGCAGTTTATTCAAACCAAGGTGAACCGAGTATAAAAAGATGAGTGGATATAAATAACCATATTAAATACTGTGCCTTCAGGGGCACTCTGGAAGCAAATATAATGGAAGTATGAGTTTAAATGTTTAAATTAGACAATTTCAGTTGTTTTTCATTACTTTTCAGTATCATTTGACTGCTTTTACACAGATCTGGTATGATATTTCACATTTCCAATTTTGTTACTATGTAGTTTCATAGTCATCTCTGGGGCAACTGTAAGGTATTATGACTGCCTTTTTTTTTAAAGAGACAGGTTCTCATTCTGTTGCCCAGGCTGGAGTGCGGTGGCTCAATAATAGCTCACTACAACTTTGAACTCCTGGGCTCAAGCGATCCTCCTGCCTCAGCCTCCTGAGTAGCTAGGGCTACTAGTGCATGCCACCATGCCTGGCTAATTAAATTTTTTTTTTTTTGGTAGGGGCAAGATTTATGTATTATTTTTGTTTTGTTTTGTTTTGTTTTGTTTTGAGATGGAGTCTCCCTCTATGGCTCATGCTGGAGTGCAGTGGCGCGATCTTGGCTCACTGCAACCTCCGCCTCCTGGGTTCAAGCTATTCTTCTGCCTCAGCCTCCTGAGTATCTGGGATTACAGGCACCCACCACCACGCTGGGCTAATTTTTGTATTTTTAGTAGAGATGAGGTTTCACTGTGTTGTCCAGGCTGGTCTTGAACTCCTGACCTCAGGTGATCTGCCTGCCTTGGCTTCCCAAAGTGCTGGTATTATAGGCATGAGCCACCGTGCCTGGCGAGACAGGTCTTGATATGTTACCCAGGCTGATCTTGAATTCCTGGCCTCAAACGATCCTCCTGCCTCAGCCTTCCAAGGTGCTGGGATTATAGGTAGGCACCACTGTGCCTGGCCTAGGACGGCTTTTTAAAAACAAACATCAGAACTCTCCAAATGGGAAGTTATTTTTTTTTTATTGAGACAGGGTCTCACTCTGTTACCCAGGCTGGACTCCAGTGGCATGATCACAGCTCACTGCAGCCTTGAACTCCCGGGCCCTAGCAGTCCTCTCACTTTAGCCTCCCTAGTAGCTAGGACTATAGGCACGCACTACCACATCTACTAATTCTTGTATCTTTTGTTAGAAATGGGATTTTGGCATGTTGCCAGGCTGGTCTGCAACTCCTGGGCTCAGTGATCCTCATACCTTGGCCTTCCAAAATGTTGGGATTACAGGCGTGAGCCACTGCTCCCTGCCTTGGAAAGTTATGTATTTATTTTAGTGACATTTCCAAATTCTGAAATATTTGGTATATTTCTTTTGAATTTGTCTTTAGAGCATATTACGTGTTCTTAATTCTGGTAAGTCATCATTGTGCAGGTGCTTATATTTAACTTTTGGAGATAGGAAAGTCTGGTGAAGGAAGTGAGTGGTCAGCATTGTTTTTGGCCACAAATGAAATGTTATTCTAAAAGGTGGAGACTAGCATTTTGTGTGTGTGTGAGGTTTGTCTTTGAGAATCCTATAAATGGCACGTCAAAAAAGTTTTGAGTCTTGGCCACATGATTGGAAGATGCGCCCAGTCATCCCAATCCTTGGAAGGTCTTACCTCCCAAGATGGCGCCATTGAATAACAGCACTTGTTTTCAGTGCTGAAACCTCTATAAAACAAATCATGGTATGAATATGACCCATATTACAATTAAATTGGAATTCTCTTAATGAAAACATTAGGTTGTATTAATGTCACTGTGATTTTATTTATAACGTTAATAAATTAATATTGTTAAATTTTGTCTAAGAAAGGAACATGTTTAGTCTGCTGACAGGCAAATCTGTGTAGGAACAGATTCGAACTGAAGTATAATTAAAGGGTGAAATGTATTTTTCTGGCCCACTTTCCAATGCTTTATTTTTTGTTTTTATTTTTTGAGACAGTCTCGCTCTGTTGCCCAGGCTGGAGTGCAGTGGCATGATCTCGGCTCACTGCAACTTCTGCCTCCTGGGTTCAAGCGATTCTCCTGCCTCAGCCTCCCCAGTAGCTGGGATTACAGGCTCATGCCACCATGCCTGGCTAATTTTTGTATTTTTAGTAGAGACAGGGTTTCACCATGTTGGCCAGGCTGGTCTCGAACTACGACCTCAAGTGATTCACCTGCCTTGGCCTCCCAAAGTGCTGGGATTACAGGTGTGAGCTACCGTGCCTGGCCGGCTTTATTTGCATAGGCTTTCTACAGATGCTGAAGAACTCAAATAGAAAAATGGTATCATTTACCTTGGTCTGACAGCATTTTTCTGTTTCTAAACATAAATCTCTGTTTTTATCTAGTTTCAAGTTAACTGGTAACGTTAACTGTTGAGATAAAGTTAATTTTTGGTTAAGTCCTGGAACAGCTTTATCAAAAATGTGCTGTTTTCCCAATTATCTGCGGGTATTTATCTGATTTAGGCCATTTTAGTGATTCACCAGTGAATGAGCAGCTCATTTAAGTGTTAATTTTTTTTTAGATGGAGTTTCACTCTTGTTGCCCAGGCTGGAGTGAGTGCAATGGCACGATCTTGGCTCTCGGGTTCAAGTGATTCCCTCATCTCAGCCTTCCGAGTAGCTGGGATTACAGGCACCCGCCACCACGCCTGGCCCATTTAAGTTTATAATTCAGATATTTTGAAGAATTCTTAGTCATTGAGGACTAATGATGAAACCAGTTGCTGACTTCTATATGACAGCTACAGTACTTAAGTACCTTTTATGTGTTTATTTAATCTCTTTTCAGCAACCCATTAGGGTAGATATTAATGAGGATAACTATTATTATCCTCATTTTGCAGAGGAAAAAACTAAGTCCCTAAGATGTGAGATCGGTTTGACCCAAGGTCAGTGCCAAGCTAGGATTTGACCTTGAGTTTACTCTTGAACATTACATTGTTTTAACACATAATGATTTTATGAACTGTGTACTGCCCTGTAAGTAAATGAGGTCAACATTGTCTTATGTTTCCTAGGATTGAAAGAAAGCCATTTTTAGATCTTGATGGACTTAAAGATTCATTAAATGGAAGACTTTACAGAAGTATACAGAAACTAGTTAAATATAGAAGATTCTTATAGAGATATTTAGAAAATGTAGTTAGGGTGTGTAAACAAAGTAATGGTCCCTGGTAGATTTAAATCAGGAATACCAGTTTTTATGCTTCTTGCCACAGCTGTAATGGAGTATAATATGATATATTCTTAGTGTAATTTGATAAAATTAGACATTTTCCAACATATGCGAAAATATTTTCTGTAGGAACTTGAGGACTTATCATTATGTTAGAATTTTGTTTTGAGACTAGATCCTAGGGCAGTTTTAAAGTGACTACCAGAATCTTAAAGACATGTGATGGAAAAATAGATGGGAGGACAGTTAATGGAGCAGGGAGAATTAATACGGAAATAATAAGGTAACTTAGAGGGAGAGAAAAGGAAAATAAAGGAAAGAATCCCAGCACTTTGGGAGGCTGAGGCGGGCGGATCACGAGGCCAGGAGATCGAGACCACCCTGGCTAACACAGTGAAACCCCGTCTCTACTAAAAATACAAAAAAAAAAAAAAAAAATTAGCCAGGTGTGGTGGCAGGCGCCTGTAATCCCAGCTACTCAGGAGGCTGAGGCAGGAGAATGGCGTGAACCCAGGAGGCAGAGCTTGCAGTGAGCCGAGATCATGCCACTGCACTCCAGCCTGGGCGACAGAGCAAGACTCCGTCTCAAAAAAAAAAGAAAAGAAAAAGAAGACAGGGTCTTACTCTGTTCCCTAGGCTGGAATGCAGTATGTGATCATGACTCACTGCAGCCTTGATCTCCCAGGCTCAAGCAGTCCTTCCACCTCAGCCTCCCCAAGTAGCTGGGACTACAGGCACAAACCACCATGCCTGGTAATTAAAAAAAAATTTTTTTTTTGTAGAGATGGGGGTCTGGCTATGTTGCCCAGGCTGGTGTTGAACTCTTGGCCTCAAATGATCCTCCCACTGTGGCCTCCCAAAGTTCTGTGAGTTTTGACAAATGTATACTGTCCAACAACCACCACCACAATCAAGATTTTGCACAGTTCCATCACCTCTGCAAAGTCCCTTCTGCTCTTTTGTAGTCTACCCCAATTCTTACCCTCAGGCAACCACTGCGTTGTTTTCTATTCCTATCGTTTTGCCTTTTCCAGAATGTTCTGTAAGTGGTAGTCTGTAGTCTGTAGCCTTTTAGTCTGGCTTATTTCACTTAGCATCGTATTTTTGAGGTTCATCCACATTATTGCATGTATCAGCAGCTCATTCCTTTACATTGCTGAGTAGTATTCTATTGTATAGATGTATTATAGTTTGTTTATTGACCAGTTGAGGAGCATTTGGGTTGTGTGTGTGTGTGATAGAGTCTCACTCTGTTGCCCAGGCGGGGGCTGCAGCCTCAACCTCCCAGGCTCAATGATTCTCCTACCTCAGCCTCCTGAGTAGCTGAGATGACTACAGGTGTGCACCACCGTTTGTGGGTAATATTTTTGATTTCTAGTAGAGTCGAGGTCTCACTATGTCACTCAGGCTGGTCTCGAACTCCCAAAGTGCCATGACTGGCTGCGACTCTGTCTTAAAAACAAAACAAAACAAAACAAAACAAAAACAGGTAAGAGAAAGGGCATCATCTCAGATTAAAGGGGTTTTTCATGTTGAATAATTTAGCCTTATGAAAAATTTACTATTCTTGGGTGAAAATACCATTGACTAAAATGACTGCCCTAGGAGGTCTGTTGTTATGCTAATAGTGTATGTTGAAATGACAGGTTACAGTTTACTGGGATTAGTTTAGGCTGAAGTGGTCTGTGAGGGCTTCATGCAGGCAGTTAGACTAGAGTTTTTCAGTGGTGGATGGATAGAGGTTGAAGAGGCAGAAAGGAAAGAGAAGGTTTTGTTTTTCTTTTACTTTTTAAATTTTTTTCTTTTGTATTTGAGAAAGTTAAGGATGAGGGAATGGTTTTCTAGGCAAGAGCAAATCAAGGGCAAAGATAGAGATTAGACGTATTATTGATGGGAACTGGGAATACTTGTCTGGTCTAGTAATAGAGTTTAGATTATGGACTAGGAAGGAGATAAGATAGTGAAGTAATGCTCATTGAGATTATGAACAGTCTTAACAGTCATACTGAGGAATTTGGACCTGATCTTGCTAACATTTGGGAATCATTGAAGGTTTACAAGTTGAGCAGTGACTTGATGAACTTGGAATTATGACATTAATCAAGAAGTGTTGTATAGATTATCTGAAAGGAAGCCAGTTAAGGAATTTTTTTAAAGAAATAAAATTATGCTGCAGGCATGAATTTAGCAAGTGGAATGGGAAGAAAAAGGAATATATTGGAGAGATTTTGGAGAAGGAAGAGATGGGACTTAATAACGTAGAGAAAGAAGAAAAGAAAGTGAAGATAGCTCTTAAGCTTATGAAACTGGTAGAATTGGCCGGGAACGGTGGCCCACACTTGTAATCCTAGCACTTTGGGAGGTCGAGGCTGGTGGATCACCTGAGGCTAGGAGTTCGAGACCAGCCTGGCCAACGTGGCAAAACCCTGTCTCTACTAAAAATACAAAAAGTAGCCGGGCATGGTGGTGGGCGCCTGTAATCCCAGCTACTCGGTAGGCTGAAGCAGGAGAATCGCTTGAACCCAGGGGGCAGAGGTTGCAGTGAGCCCAGATTGTGTCACTCCACTCCAGCCTGGGCAAGAGTGAAACTGTGTCTCAAAAAAATAAAGAAAGAAATTGGTAGAATTGAGGAACATTTGTGGTATTAGTTAACTGAAGTTGGAAAGGGTACAAGACATAGCCTCTCTTTTGCCCTCAAATTCTCTGTGGACTGCATTATATCCATATGCTTTTTCAATTCCATTTATTTGTGAGATGTTGAGATTCTCTAAAATTGCCCCAGGATTAAGCTGGAAGTTAAAAGTTTAGTTTATTTTGGAAGTAATCATTTGGAAAAAAATACAGTACGTTTCAAACCATGAAACATTGTATAAGTTCCTAGTTATGAAAATCGTACCTTAATAAACACTGTCATCCTTAGTTAGGTTAACTGTTAGATAGAGAGGACTTTTTGGAAAACATTTGTTATTTTATGATTTTTTTAACATAATTTGCCCTGTGTGTATTAACAACAGTAACCAATAAATTGTGGTTCAGCTTGGATGGTTTAGTTTATAATGACATTAGTTAAAATGGTCTTCCATTTCTTTTCATTGCAACATGTGGAGTATATTATCTACCATTTCTTTTCTTTTTTTTTTTTTTTGGAGACTGAGTCTTGCTTTTTTGCCCAGGTTGGAGTGCAGTGGCGTGATCTTGGCTCACTGCAACCTCCGCCTCCTGGGTTCAAGCGATTCTCCTGCCTCAGCCTCCCGAGCAGCTGGGACTACAGGTATGTGCTACCATGCCCAGCTAATTTTTATATCTTTATTAGAGATGGGGTTTCACCATATTGGCCAGGCTGGTCTTGAACTCCTGACCTTGTGATCCACCCGCCCTGGCCTCCCAAGTGCAGGGATTACAGGCGTGAGCCACTGCACCTGGCCATTATCTACCATTTCTTAAGCATCTACTGTGTAGTAGGTACTTGACTTACACTTTAATCTTTACAACTGCCTCATGAAATAGGTACTGTTATTCCTACTTTACAGGTGAGGAAATGGAAGCTCATAGAGGTTTAAGAAATATCCCTGGGGGAACCGGGAGAGTTAGAATTCTAGGTCAGTGACTTTAAAGTCCATGTTCTTTCTGCTCCTCTATCCTTGGATTACGCACCATAAGAACAGGAATAAAGAGTGGGTCAGTTGAGCTAATTGATTAGATAGTAATTTGAATCAGTGAAGTGCTAACTAAATATTAACTGGTGTTATCTATCCTTTTCCATCCTGTCTGAGCATGCAAAGGGGGCTTAGAAGACCCAGTTATGGCTGGGTGCGGTGGCTCATGTCTGTAATCCCAGCACTTTGGGAGGCCGAGGCAGGCGGATCACCTGAGATCAGGAGTTCAAGACCAGCCTGGCCAACATGGTGGAACCACATTTCTACAAAAATACAAAAATTAACCAGGCATGATGGCGGGTGCCTTTAATCCCAGCTACTTGGGAGGTTGAGGTGGGAGAATCGCTTGAACCTGGGAGGCAGGGGATTGCAGTGAGCCGAGATTGCACCATTGCACTCCAGCCTGGGCGACAGAGCGAGACTCTGCCTAAAAAAATAAACAAACAAAAAACCCAGTTCTAAATCATAAAAATAGAAGACCCAGTTCTAGTCATGTGGCATTCATTTATCTTTTGGGGAATGTCCCTCCTATGCCTTTGTAGAACACAACAAATCGTTATTAAAAACAAATGTCCAATTCGAAAAACAAACACAAACAAACTGTTGACACAGTTCAGCAACTTGCTAGTCTTGGCAAATGAAATTAAAGGATATTTCAGGTCCAGCTTCTGGGAAAGTGGGTTTTGGAGATGATTCCACTTGAAAATTAGGGCTAGTTAGTGCTGAAGACTTGTTGTCTGTGGTATCCAGCAGTTTTTTGATATGTTTGTCTTCATTCCCCTCATCCTCTGCAGCCATAAAGTTCTTTAGATTACTCTTCTTCATCTTCACTGTTGGTAAAAAGTTATCTCAAAGTTCCGTCTGCCTTATTGCCTCAGTATTTTAAAAGCTCAGTCCCATTCTTTTCTACCTCATTCTTGATGTCCCTTTACTACCTGTTTCTGCTGGGTCTGGTAGAACCTGTGCACAAATGTGAGCAAAGTCCTAAGTTCTTAATTTTTTTTCTTCCAATATTTCTTCCATCTCCTAACCCATAAGTGAAAACACGGCTTTTTCTGTAATGAATGCTATTATTTCTGTTTTCATTGGTTGAATACTCTGCAACTCCTTGGACGAGGGGAGCAATCATTGTAGTTCTAGTCATTCACTGTCCCTCTAGACCATTGTTTTGCCATTTTTGCACAGCTTCTGATTTTTCAAAAAGTCCTTACCATCTGTTCTCTCCCCATTTTTATTGCTTTTTGTCTTTTGTCCCATTGCTTTATTTGCTTTTGTCTGATGACTTCCAGGATCCACATGGATCAGTTTTCTTCTTCATTGCATTCTCTAGTATCCAGTACCTCACTCTCATCAGTTATCTTTCTCTCTTCCATCTTCACCTTCGCTATTGAGTCTTTCTTTTCAGACTACAAATACAGAGGTCTTGTCTATCCTAAAACAAATAAAAATTTTCTGCCTTTTCAGCTTTTTGAATTATTGCCATCTTTTTCTTCTTTTACTTCTAAACTTTTTTTTTTTTTTTTTTTTTTTTGAGACGGAGTCTGGCTCCGTCACCAGGCTGGAGTGCAGTGGCGCAATCTTGGCTCACTGCAACCTCCGCTTCCCGGGTTCAAGCAATTCTCCTGCCTCAGCCTCCCGAGTAGCTGGGATTACAGGCGCGTGCCACCACACCCAGCTAATTTTTGTATTTTCAGTAGAGACGGGGTTTCACCATGTTGGTCAGGCTGATCTCGATCTCGTGACCTCGTGATCCGCTCCCAAAGTGCTGGGATTATAGGCGTGAACCACCACGCCCGGCCCTTTTACTTCTAAACATTTTTAAAATGGCATTTTGTATGCAGCTTTTGCTTTTACACTCACTCACTTTTTAAGACTTTTCCTGTCTTGTTTCTGTCCCCAACACTACTGTAAATGCACATTCAAAAGACCCAATGTCTGTATATTCAGACATTTTCCTAGCCTTGTTTTCCTTAATATCGCTGCAATATTTAAGTTGTTGATCATCTTCCTTGAGCCTCTTTGACTATAAGTTAAAAATATATGTGTTTGACCCCATCTAGCCTGATAAGGCCATTTTGCCTGGCATTTGGCTGGTTGTTGGACTCTGGTGTTCATCTTGTGGCCTGTACTGACTAGCAGAGAAAGGGTGGAGCATGTTGGCACTGTACATCTTATAGTGCTCTGTACTCTGTGGACTTTTAAGTAAATAATTGATTTGACTTGCTAGTCTTCCTGTTTTCTCTTCCTCTCTCCTCAGTCCTGCTGTGGCTCGTGTGTAAAATGGATTGGTCACTTCTGGTCTTGACTCTGGTTAAATCTATAACAAGTAAAAAGTCTTATGTTGTTTTCAGAGTGGACTTTCTTAATTTTTATTTTTTAATTTAATTTTTTTTTTTTTTTTTTTTTTTTTTTAGGCAAGGTGTCACTCTGTCACCTGGGCTGGAATACAGTGTTGCCATCATGGCTCACTGCAGCCTCGACCTCCCAGGCTCAAGTGATCCTCCAACCTCTGCCTCTTGAGTAGCTAGGACCATACGCATGTGCCACCACACCTGGCTAATTTTAAACATTTTTGGTAGAGATTGGTCTGTGTTTCCTAGGCTGGTCTTGAACTCCTGGGATCAAGTGGTCTTCTCACCGTGGCTTCCCAAAGCATTGGGATTATAGGCCAGACTTTTTGAAAGAATGATATGGATTAAATCCTTTGGTAAATGCTTGTTAGATTTGAACTGCTCCAAAATTTTTGGGAAATTTTATATCAATTAGTGTCCTAAATGAGAACATTTTTGTGTTCTTTTTTATTTTAGCATGGTTTCATGAAACAAATCAGATTCTGTCACAGAAAAATAATTACACTGAGAATCTCAGTAGAATAGAATTCACAAGCACCACTTATTTTCAGGAATATTTCCTATAACATTGCACTGTGACAGTTCCCTGGAGTTTGTCATTGAATTTTGAGCTGAAGTTGCCCAGTTTCAGAAAGTTGCAGAGATAGCTGGGAAGAAGTAGCATGAGATTTGTGTTAGGCTAATACAAATTTAGTAAAGCAAATTTTCGAGATGACCTGATTTTTTGAGAAGGAAACAGTACTGAGTTATGCCACTTTGGTCGTTGTTGTTTTGTTGTGCTACATTAAATGACCTTTGAAGATTGTCTTCTTGAAATTTTTTTTTAACCTTGGGAGATTTGAGTCATTCACTATTTTCAGATGTTTATCACCTCCCCTGACAAGAAATGGAATTATTCAGCCCAGAGAGATGAAAAAGAGCTTTGAACTCAGTCTGAAGGTTCCGGGTCGGTCTTTATCATTATCTACCTATATGAACTTGAGCAAGTCACAAGTCCCTTTACCTTTTGGGTCTGAGATTTGTCAAATGAAAAAGTAAGTAATTTTAAGAAGACACTACCTATTTTAATTTGGGGCATTTGATGAAAAGCCATACAGAGTGACTCTCATGTAATTAGAAATGTGGCAGTTTATATTAAGAGATAAGGGTTTGCAGTATTATCACTACACATAAGAAACACAATGTAGCTATTGTATTCTTGTATTTCTTAAGTTCAAAATGGTAGAAGAGATGCTTGCATAGGCAGCAATATTAGTTACATGGATTATAAATTTACTGGAAAATATTACCAAAGTATGGAGACACTGAAATGTGAAATGTAAAACATATGCCCATTTCAAGATTACTTGATAGCTTTGAGACAAACATTTTTTAGATACTTGTTTACATGGAAAATGGCAAAGAAAAATGAAATAAAAATATTAACAGTAGTAGCTAATGGTGTTTGCTTAGCACTTACTATGTGCCAACAACTATTCTGGGATGAGTATATAATCCATTTAATTTTTTTTTTTTTTTTTTTTTTTTTGGGTAGAGACTGGGTCTTACTATGTTGCCCAGGCTGGTTTCAAACTCCTGGCCTCAAGTGATCCTTCCACCTCAGTCTTCCAAAGTGCTTGCTTGGTTTACAGGTGTGAGCACCTGGCTTTGGCCAACTTTCTTAAAGCATTAAGCATTTCTTTTTCTTTTTTTTTTTTTTGAGATAGAGTCTTGCTCTGTCACCCCAGGCTGAAGTGCAGTGGTGCGATCTCGGCTCACTGCAACTTCTGCCTCCTGAGTTCAAGTGATTCTCCTACCTCAGCCTCCCGAGTAGCTGGGATTACAGGCTCCCACCACCATGCCTTGCTAATTTTTGTATTTTTAGTAGAGATGGGGTTTCACTATGTTGGTTAGGCTGCTCTGGAACCCCTGACCTAAAGTGATCCACCCGTCTCGGCCTCCCAAAGTGCTGGGATTACAGGCATGAGCCACCGTGCCAGGCCAGCATTAAGCATTTCTTAAAGCCCATGTAGTTATTATTATTATTATTATTATTATTATTTTTGAGACGGAGTCTCACTCTGTCACCCAGGCTGGAGTGCGGTGGCGCGATCTCGGCTCACTGCAACCTCCGCCTCCCGGGCTCACGCCATTCTCCTGCCTCAGCCTCCCGAGTAGTTGGGACTACAGCTGCCCGCCACCACACCTGGCTAATTTTTTGTATTTTTAGTAGAGATGGGGTTTCACCATGTTAGCCAGGATGGTCTTGAGCTCCTGACCTCGTGATCCGCCTGCCTCGGCCTCCCAAAGTGCTGGGATTACAGGCGTGAGCCATCGCGCCCAGCCTATTATTATTATTTTTTTGGAGACAGAGTCTCATTCTGTCACCAAGGCTGGAGTACAGTGGTGTGATCACTGCTCACTGCAGCCTTGATCTTCCCGGGCTCAGGTGATCCTGCCACCTCTACCGCCCAAGTAGCTGGGACTGTAGGCGCACACCACTACACCTAATTTTTGTATTGTTTTGATAGAGATGGGGTTTTGCCATGTTGCCCAGGCTGATCTCAAACTCCTGGGTTCAAGTGATCCTCCCACCTTGGCCTCCCAAAGTGCTGGCATTGCAGGTGTGAGGCACCGCATGGGGGTCCCATTTAGTTCTTAAATTCTGTGTGATAGGTATTATCCCTATTTTACACATGAGGACACTGAGACGCAGTTAAGTAACTTGTCCATACGGCTATTAAGTGACGTCATGTGACTAGGTTTGTGTGACTCCAGAGCCTATGTTCCGCATAAATTTATCTGTTACATGTTAATCTCAGAATGCATAAAGATAATGGTGCATGGGCTGGGCGTGGTGGCTCACGCCTGTAATCCCAGCATTTTGGGTGTCTGAGGCAGGCAGATCATGAGGTCAAGAGATCGAGACCATCCTGGCCAACATGGTGAAACCCCGTCTCTACTAAAAATACAAAAATTAGCATGTGCCTGTAGTCCCAGCTACTCGAGAAGCTGAGGCAGCAGAATCGCTTGAACCCAGGAGGTGGAGGTTGCAGTGAGCCGAGATCGCACCACTGCACTCCAGCCTGGTGACAGAGGGAGACTCTGTCTTGAAAAAAAAGATGGTGGTGTTACGATGGTGAGGACAAAGAATTCAAATTATTTGTTGAATGTTTTACTAGGTTATTGTGTTTGCTTCCTTAATCCATGTGTAGTAATATTCTAACATAATTTTCATTACATAAGTATATTTGAGTAATATATACTCAAATTTATTGACTCAAATGAATTGAGTTTGAATTCCAGCTCTACCATATAATATTTGTGTAAACTAGGGAAAGGAACTCTGTTTTTCTGGGCCTCAGTTTACTCATCTTAAAAATGAGGTTGGCCAGCTGCAGTGGCTCACGCCGGTAATCCCCCAGCACTTTGGGAGGCTGAGGCGGGTGGATCATCTGAGGTCAGGAGTTCGAGACCAGCCTGACCAATAACGATGAAACCCTGTCTCTACTAAAAATACAAAAATTAGCCAGGCGTGGTGGCATGCACGTGTAATCCCACCTACTCAGGAGGCTGAGACAGGAGAAACACTTGAACTCAGGAGGCGGAGGTTGCAGTGAGCTGAGATTGCGCCATTGCACTCCAGCCTGGGCAACAAGAGTAAGACTCCGTCTCAAAAAAAAAAAAAAAAAAGAGATTAATAGTATCTGCCTCATAGGGTTGTTGTGAGATAATACGTTAGTTCACGCAAAGGGCTTTAAATGACACAAAACAAACACAATAAATATTACCTATTATTATTGTGTTATGCTTTTAAGTTTTTCAAGTACTTTAACATTTCCTTCAAATAGCGTTCCTATGAGAGAGGTAGGGTCTAGAGTCTGTTATAGTAAGTCTTGTTTTACAAAGAAATCCATGAAGAAACTTATTTAAGCACACCAGAACAAAATTAAAAGAAATAGGCTGGGCATAGTGGCTCACCTGTAAGCCCAGCACTTTGGGAGGCTGAGGCAGGAGGATCCCTTGAGCCCAGAAATTTGAGACCAGCCTGGGCAACATGGTGAAACCCTGTCTTTACAAACACACAAAATACAAAAAATTAGCTGGGCGTGGTGACATGTGCCTGTGGTCGCAGTTACTTGGGAGGCTGAGGTGGGAAGATCACTTGAGTCTGGGAGGTTGAGGCTGCAGTGAGCTGTGATCATGCCACCACTGCATTGCAGCCTGGGCAACAGAGCAAGACAGAGCAAAGAAAAAACAACCAAAAAATCCCCCCAAAACCCCCACCAAAATGAAAAGAAATACAATTTAAAACATTCCTTAACCCCAACCTGAAAGAGAAAAATAAAAAGGCTTGGGATGTGTTCTAATAGTTACCTCTCTTATATAAGCAGGACTAACCTGTGGTATTTGGAATGAGAGAAGAGATCATTGCTGGCTACTCCTTTCTTCTTTTGGTTTTTTATTCTCTTCCTGCTGTTAGATGGGAGGTGGGGAGCATGTTACTGCATATTTCTTATGTCCTAGTCTAGCCTAGCCATCTGGGAAGCTGAGAAACCATATTTGAAGGATATCACATCTGCCAGGAACTGGGAAGACAGCTTACCTTTTTATGTGAAAAAAGGTAAAATGAGAGGAGACCTGAGCTACCAGTATGATCTGTTGGTGTTATGTGAGTTGTTTCACCAATTTAACTCTTAAATGGATTTAATAGAATCCCACTCTTTTGTTGTGTGTCAGTTTCTTGCAGTCGTTTAGAGACATTTTTGGAATCTAAGTATTTCTAGGGCTTTTTTCCCTTCTTACAGCCTTATGCCACTTGATATCTCTCAGCTGTCAGCACCTGATTTTGCTGCAGTATGTACTGCAAGATCTCTGCATTGCTGTAACCAGATCTTGGTCAGATGTACTCTTTCCATCTCTTCGATGAAAAGATATAGCATTGGAGACTCTTCCATATCCTTTGGAAAAACCTGAAAAGAAGAGTCTTTGAGAAGTCACCTTGTGTTGGGGCTTCTCTTGGCTAGCATTTCTCTGGCTGTAGCCTTCCCTTATATTTAATACGTAAAAGCACTGTCTTCAGCAAATGTGTATTGTACCTGTCCTTGCAAGAGGCTACTACCATATTAGTTACTGGAAATGCAGAGAGTATAACAATCAAAGCATATTGGATTAGACTGAGTTATGATTGAAGGTAGATAAAGCATTATACTGTAATGGAAGAGAGCTTTAGGATAAGGCAGTCCTGAATTTTAATTCTCAGTTCTGCCTCTTAAGACCACTGTGACCCTGAGCAAATTGCATAACCTCCCTGAACCTCAGTTTTCTCATCTGTAAAACAGAAGTACCAGCAATACCTAGTTCTTAGGGTTGTTTGAAGAGTTAAATGAGATAATAAATTTGTAACACCTAACAGAATGCTGGGATGTATTACTGTGAACTGTTATGAACCTTTCTGAAGTTGAGTTTCTAGTTAAAATTGGGATATTAATACTTATCTCAGATTTGTTGTAAAAATGAAATAAGGATGGTAAACAGTTAGCCTGGCGCAAAGGTTTTATCCAGCATAACAATCCTAGAGGGATGTTTATGGTAAGAATATGTGCAAAAAACAACTGAAGCAACTAAAACACTATAGACAGTGTTTCTACTAAAGTCATACCATCACCAGTAACTAGTCAGTGCCGCTTCAGCAATCTGGGTTACTCTGGCTGTGCCAAACTAAGTATGTGCATTTCCAGTTGTATTTTGCCCACTATTTATTATTTCCTTAGTATATCTGAAAATCTAGTCATTTTTCTTTTTTATACATAGATTCTACTCATTTTAAAAGAGTCAGCTTAAATTTTACCATCGACCAGGTACGGTGGCTCATGCCTGTAATCCCAGCACTTTGGGAGGCTTAGGCAGGTGGATCACGAGGTAAGGAGTTAGAGACCAGCCTGGCCAATGTGGTGAAACCCCGTCTCTACTAAAAATACAAAAATTAGCTGGGCTTGGTGGCAGGTACCTGAAATCCCAGCTACCCTGGAGGCTGAGGCAGGGGAATTGCTCGAACCCAGGAGATGGAGGTTGCACTGAGTGGAGATCATGCCACTGCACTCCACCCCGGACAAGAGAGTAAGACTCTATCAAAAAACAAAAAAGAAAAAAAAAATAGAGACGAAGTCTTACCATGTAGCCCAGGCTGGTTTCAAACTCCTGAGCTCAAGCGATCCTCCTGCTGCCTCAGCCTCCCAAAGTGCCAGGATTATAGGTATGAGCCACCGTGCCTGGCCTATTCATTCTTTAAAATCTACCTTTAGGTATCTTCTCTTCTGTGAGACCTTCCCTGATCCATAGTAAGTTGCAGTTGACTCTTGAACAATGTGGGAGTTAGGGGTGCCAACCCTCTGGTGCTGTCAAAAATCTGTGTGTGTGTGTGTGTGTGTGTGTGTGTGTGTGTGTGTGTGTGTGTGTGTATATATATATATATTTTATGCACCCACCATTTATTGGATGCCTGTGTGCCCAGCACCTCAGGTATGAAGCCAGACCACCAGGGCTCTGTTCTCGCAAGCTGTAATGTGTAATTCTGGCCCCATCATACCCTAAAGTCCGATTCAGAACTCAGATTATCCCGAGGCCACATATGCCCCTGGAGAAACCAGACTCATCAGAAGGGACTGGCAGCTCCTTCCTCAGTGATCAAACAGCAAAAATGTGCTTTCAAAGTGGGAGGCAATGCCAAAAAGAAAAACATTGCCTTAAGAGAAGAACCATTACAAAAAGAGAAATGACTGTCACCAAAATTAAAGTGTCATGTATCCACAAAATAAAATATTAACTAAAAATAATGCATTAAAAAGACCTTTGAAAATTTAGAGTAGGCTAGGTGTGGTGGTTTATGCCTGTAATCCCAGCACTTTGGGAGTCTAAGGCAGGAGGATTACTTGAGTCCAGGAGTACGAGACCAGCCTGGGCAATGTAGCAAGATCCTGTTTCTACAAAGTATTTTTAAAAATTAGCTGGGCTTTTGCCGGATGCGGTGGCTCATGCCTGTAATCCCAGCACTTTGGGAGGCTGAGGCGGGTGGGTCACCTGAGGTTGGGAGTTCAAGACCACTCTGACCAACATGGAGAAACCCTGTCTCTACTAAAAAAATACAAAATTAGCCAGGTGTGGTGGCACATGCCTGTAATCCCAGCTACATGGGAGGCTGAGGCAGGAGAATTGCTTGAACCCGGGAGGCGGAGGTTGCAGTGAGCCGGAGATGGCGCCATTGCACTCCAGCCTGGGCAACAAAAGCAAAACTGTCTCAAAAAAAAAAAAAAAATTAGCTGGGCATTGTGGTGTATGCCTGTGGTCCCAGCTGCCTGGGAGGCTGAGGTGAGAGGATCGCTTGAGCCCAGGAGGTCAAGGCTCCAGTGAACTATGATCTTGCCCCTGCTCTCTAGCCTGGGGGACATTGGGACCCTGTTTCCAAAAAAACACAAAAATTAGAGTAAAAACTTCAAGATGATTTTATGTTATGGACCATGAGATCTCCCTGCTTGGCCTGTAGTGCTTTGGTGGCCCATGTGGCAGAGGGGTGGCTGCACCGCTGTGCCCACCCACCTTGCTGCCCAGGCCAAAATGTAACACACTGAATACTATGTCCTTGGGTGCTCTCACTCCCTCCAGGGACACCAGAGACTCATTGCAATTGGCCACTGATGTGGCTTGCTCCCCTCATCAGCTCTGACCAGTGATACCCATGTGAGTGGTTGAGGGCAAGGACACACCTGTCTTCTTGGGTCCCTTGAACATGGCATGAGGGTGTGGCTTGCCCACAGGAGGCTCAAGGGATACACTGGGAGGGCACTGCCCAAGGCTTTTTGTCTCCCCTACAAGGTCCCAGGCTCCCTTGCCTGGCTCCCCTGAACTCAAAGCAGAAAGCAGGTTTCCTGAAATCTAGCCTTCCTCCTTTCCCCCACCTTCCAGGAATGTGGGGCCAGGCCGTGTCCCGTTCTCCAAGAGCCAGGCTGAGGGCTAGTTGTCACGCATGGGTGGCTCCAACCTGCTGGCCTGGTCAGAGTAGAGGGGTGGTAGGGACTGTTCGTCTCCCAGCCCACAGACCAGGTAGCTGTGGTTGTACTTGGCCTCTTTGCCGTACAGCTCCAGGAGGACCTTGGTGAGCTCTTTATCCACCTTCTCCCTGGGCACACTGTGGCTAAGGAGCCAGCCTGTGAGGTGCTTGAGCATTGGATTGGGCTCCAGCATGAGCCTGGTGTGGCGTGACTGGCTCTGATGCCAGAGCAGGCCAACGTTGGAGATGGTCTGAGCTCCATCATGGCCTCTAGCAGAGTGACCAGGGAGAGATGTAGCTCTGAGGGTGCTGCCAGCAGCAGGTGTTGCCAGCAGCAGACACTGCTGTAGGCCCTGAGTGAAGGGCATGTCCTTGGGTGCCACTGGCTCATGTGAGGGGGACAAGGGGTCCAAGGAGGCCGAGAGGGGCTCACAGTAGATCCAGTCGAGCATGCCTGTCTTGCACACCAGCTGGATGCCCTCCTCCTTGGTGGTCCAGGGCTAGAAAGGCAGCTCGGTGGCCTCAAAGGGCAGGAAGGACTTTTAGCGCTGGCACCAGGCTCTGAGCAGCCAGGCAAGCAGTGCCATGCCACTTTCCCACAAGGCATTGCAGTGGTAGTTGAAGATGGCATTGTGAGTCAAGTTGCCCATTAGCACCACCAGCTCCCAGGAGTTCAAGGACAGGGCGTGGCCCACTGGTTGTGCATCTGCAAGATCCAGGTGATCATGAACTGCTTGGGGTTCTGCTTGAAGCCACAAGAGATGGCCAGGAGCTTGGTGTAAGTGTAATATGTGTATTACATATGTGTAATATGTGTAGTACCCTTTCTTCCACCCATGTGAGTAGCTACCATTTGTCAGCCATGGTTGTAGTTGCCCTAAGTCAGAAAACAGCAGAGAGTCTGGATAGGTGCTACTACAGGAGTGAGAAGAATAGCCAGGCCCTTCAACTCCTGAAGGAAGCACCAAGAGGAATGGCAAGGCTCTTGGACTCCTGGAGGAAACACCATGATGTGGGGGTAGTAGTAGGGTGGTCCCTCAACTTGAAAATACACCCAGCCCTTACTCTCTCCAAGGCCTGAGTGTAACCTTTGACTTCTCCAAAACTTAATGGCCTCCTGTTGACCAATAACATAAACAGTTAACACATTTTTTTTTTTTTTCTTGAGACAGAATTTTGCTCTGCCCTCCAGACTGGTATACAGTGGCATGAGCACAGCTTACAGCAGTCTCAGCCTCCCAGGCTCAAGTGATCCTCCCACCTCAGCCTCCTAAGTAGTTGGGTCTATAGGTACGTGCCACCAAGCCCAGCTAATTTTTAAAATTTCACTGTAGAGACGAGGTCTTGCTATGTTGCCAGGGCTGGTCTCGAACTCCTGGCCTCAAGCAATCCTCTTGCTTCAGCCTCTCAAAGTGTTGGAATTCCAGGTGTGAACCACTATATTAGACCCACATATTTTCTGTGTTGTATGTATTATATACTTGTACTCTTATAATAAATTAAGCTAAAGAAATTGTTACAAAAATCATAAGCAGGAGAAAATATATTTACTATCCATTAAGTGGAAGAGGATCATCATAAAGGTCTTCCTTGTCATCTTCACATTGAGTAGGCTGAGGAGGGAGAGGAAGGCTTGGTCTTGCTGTCTTGGGGTAGTGAAGGTAGAAGAAAATCCATCTGTAAATGGACCTGTGCAGTTCAAACCCATGTTGTTCAAGGGTCACCTATACCTCCTTCTGCCCTTTGTACATCTGTTGTTGCACTTAACACATTGTGTTGTAATTATTTGCGTACTTTATTTATAATAAACTGAATATCATAAGATCAGACTATCTCTGTATTCCCACTTTATAGTACATGCCTTGCTCAATAGATACTGAATTGAGACCTTGATGCTTTCACCTTGTGTTGGCATTTTACTTTTTCCAACCAGAGAGGGCATGAATGGGAAATGAGTGGGAAGTACGCTTTGGTGTCTGTGTGTGTGTGGAAAAAAAAAATCTATATCTATATATAATCTATATATATACACACACATTATATATACAAAATATACATATGATGTGTGTATATATATATATATATATATATATATTTTTTTTTTTTTTTTTTTTTTTGAGATGGAGTCTTGCTCTGTCACCCAGGCTGAAGTACAGTGGTGCCATCTTGACTCACTGCAACCTCCACCTCCCGGGTTCAAGCGATTCTCCTGCCTCAGCCTCCCGAGTAGCTGGGACTATAGGCACGTGCCACCATCCCTGGCTAATTTTTGTATTTTTAGCAGAGACGAGGTTTCACCGTTGCCCAGGGTGGTGTCGAACTCCTGAGCTTAGGCAGTCTGAACTCAGTCTCCCAAAGTGCTGGGATTACAGGCGTGAGCCACTGTGCCTGGCCTCATTTATATATATATATATATACACACACACACACACACACACACACACACACACAAACACATAATCCATATACCATAAAAATCATTTTATGTGTATAATTCGGTGCTTTAAAAAAAATACATTCACAGGGTTGTGCAACCATCATCATTATTTAATTTCAGAACATTTTTATCACCCCCAAAAGAAACCCATACTCATTAGCAGTCACTCTCCGTTCTCTGCTATTCTAGCCCCTGGCAATCATAATCTACTTTCTATCTCCATGGATTTGCCTATTCTGGACATTTTGTATAAATGGAATCATACCATATGTAGACTTTTGTATCTGACTTCTTTCATTTGCTATAGTGTTTTCCAGGTTCATCCACATTTTGTAGTATCTATCAGTACTTTGTTTTATTTTTTTAAGGCTAATAACCCATTGTATAATAATACTACATTTTGTGGTCGGGTGCGGTGGCTCACGCCTGTAATCCTAGCTCTTTGGGAAGCTGAGGCGGGTGGATTGCCTGAGCTCAGGAGTTCGAGACCAGCCTGGGCAACACGGTAAAACCCCATCTCTACTAAAATACAAAAAAAAATTAGCCAGTCGTGATGTCATGCACCTGTAATCCCAGCTACTTGGGAGGCTAAGACAGGAGAATTGCTTGAACCTGGGAGGTAGAGGTTGCAGTGAGCTGAGATCGTGCCATTGCACTCCAACCTGGGCAACAGAGCAAGACTCCATCTCAAGATAAATTAATAGTAACAGTAATACATTTTGTTTATCTGTTTATTAGTTGATGGACATTTTTCAATTTTTGGCTGTCATGAATACTTCTACAAGTTTTGGTATGGACATAAGTTTTCATTTTTGGGGATGTAATTCCTAGAGTAGAATTGCTGGGTCATATAGTACCTGTATGTTTAACTTTTTGACAAACTGTCAGACATTTTTCACAGTGTATCATGTTACATTCTCAATAGCAATCTATGAGGGTTCCAGTTTCTCTGCATTCTCTTACACTTGTTATTGTCTGTCTTTTTTTTATTACAGCCATACCAGTGGGGATGAAGTGTCATCTCATTTTTTTTTTTGAGATGGAGTTTCACTCTTGTCGCCCAGGCTGGAGTGCAGTGGCGCAATCTTGGCTCATTGCAACCTCTGCCTTCCGAGTTCAAGCAGTTCTCCTGCCTCAGCCTCCTGAGTAGCAGAGATTACAGGTGCCTACCACCACACCCGGCTAATTTTTGTATTTTTAGTGGAGGTGGGGTTTCGACATGTTGGCCAGGCTGGTTTTGAACTCCTGACCTCAGGTAATCCACCTGCCTCAGCCTCCCAAAGTGCCGGGATTACAGGTGTGAGCCACCATGCCTCGCCTCACTTTGGTTTTGATTTGCAGTTTCCTAACAGTTAATGATGTTGAGCATCTTTTCATATGCTTATTGGCCATTCGTATATCTTCTTTGAAGAAATGCCTGTGCAAATCCTTTGCCCATTTTTAGTTGGATATTTTTTATTATTGAGTCGTAAGATCTCTGTATCTCTCTGTATATTCTGGATACTCGTCTCTTACTGGATATAGGATTTGGAAATACTTTCTATGTGGGTTTTTTTATTTAATTGCCTAGAGTTCATTGCCCATGCCATGTATAAAGATGATATAGTGGAACTAGAGGTTCTGACAGAGCATATGTTGACTGAAGTGATTGCCATATGACAGATAGCACCATTGTTGTTATGCAGTTCTAGAAGCCTTTGATTACAAGAAAGGAAGTAAGCATTTAACTGGGAACTGGGGAACTTTTATTTTATTTTTTTGAGATGGAGTCTTGCTCTGTCGCCCAGGCTGGAGTGCAGTGGCACGATCTCGGCTCACTGCAAGCTCCGCCTCCCGGGTTCATGCCATTCTCCCGTCTCAGCCTCCCTGAGTAGCTGGGACTACAGGCACCCACCACCACGCCCGGCTACTTTTTTGTATTTTTAGTATTTTTAGTAGAGACAGGGTTTCACTGTGTTAGCCAGGATGGTCTCGATCTCCTGATCTCGTGATCCACCCGCCTCGGCCTCCCAAAGTGCTGGGATTACAGGCGTGAGCCACCGTGCCCGTCGGAACTTTGGGTTTTAGTCCTGTCATTGTCGCGGCCAGAGAGTATGACCTTGGGCATATTATGTAATTTTTTCAGAGTCAGTTTTCTCATCTGTAAAGTGAATGATTTGGACTAATCTTTAAGGTCACACAATACTAAAGTTTGAGTTGATAAGGTCCTGGGGGGCACATGTTATAGATCAGATTATACTCCCTCTCATTTGTTCTTACTACAGGACCTATGTAATGCTGTTTTACGTTTGTTGGAAAATTGTTTTTGTTTTTTCCTCTTTAATGAAGGACCCTCTGTGTGTGTGTGTGTGTGTGTGTGTGTGTGTGTGTGTGTGTGTGTGTTTAAGACGGAATCTGCCCGCCTCAGCCTCCCAAAGTGCTGGGATTACAGGTGTGAGCCACTGCGCCTGGCCCTGTCTGTTTCTTTAAAATTAGTCGTTATTAATTCTGACTAACTCTAATCATTTGAATAAACCTGCATTTTTATTTAAGAATTTATAGCTAAACCAAACCTTTAAATTTCTTTAATCTAGTGTTCTGTGACACAAATGATGAATTAGAGGCACAAAAAAGCTCATTGATTTAGCAACCTATTTGCTGGGTGTCTACTATGTTTCTGGGTCAGGTTGTATAATTAAGTACTAGCAGAATTGAGATGAGAATTGAGGTCTCCTGGACTTTCAGTTCACCACTATTTCCAGTATACTACTTTGTCATGGGTTACTAAGTTAGTCTGGTTAAGGAGTTATATCAAGAATTTACCAGCTTCTCAACTAAGGGTTATAGTAATTTGTCTCCAAATTCTGATCCCTAATAATTTATAGCATCAAGTAAAACCAACATATATTTGTTACATATTTTAGGTATAAGTTGATGCATAATTTAAAATTTTAATAATATTCTCTTCCTTTAAAGACCTATTTGCAGCCTTAAACAGTTACATGTATCTCTAAGCTCTTGAATTGGCTACCTATGATATATGTACAGCAACTCCGGTCCAATGTGAGTGCTTTTACACTATCCCAACCCGTGTTCTCTCTGGTTGCTTTGAATCCTGATTAAAATGATGTATTCCAGTACCATGCCTGTTCCTAACCACTTGTTCATATTAATGTGGTTTTTCTGAATCTTCAATAGAATATGCAACTATGTTGGAATCACAAATACAATTCTCTTGGAAAATCTCTGAAGTCTACCCAACTCCACCCCATAAGTAGGTACTAGTGTAGGCTGATTAAATGGTTTGAATACAAGTGTAGAATATTCCTAAGGAATCCATAGTTCTTTGTATGTAATTCTAAAAGCCAAAATGCATTTAAAATGAATAAAGTAATTTGCTTCCTGGCAAAACCTGACCTGAATTGAAGCAGGCTATTTATAATCTTTATTTCACTTTTTATTATGATTATTCACATATTTAACTGTAGAAATATTAATGTGTTTGCCTATTGGGTGCTGCCCCAGTCCTTAAGTTTCCAAAGTTTGAAAAATTTTGAATTTCAAAACACATTTAGCCCCAAACAAAGAATTGTGGATTGGTATTTGTTTTGTTGGTGATAGTTCCTTGTCACACAGATTCTTCTTGAAACATACTCCAGGGGATTGAGTTTTTGTATTGAGCTTTCATTGGTTAATAAAGCATGGCAGGGGTGGGAGGAGGGAGAGCATGAGGAAGAATAGCTACTGCATGCTGGGCTTAGTACCTGGGTGATGGGATGATCTGTGCAGCAAACCGCTGTGGCACACAATTTACCTGTGTAACCAACCTGCGCATTCTGCATATGTACCCCTGAACTTAAAAGTTGGGAAAAAAAAAAGCATGGCAACTAATTTCCACTGCTATTTTTGTTTGTTTCAGACAGGGTCTCACACCGTCCCCCAGGCTGGAGTATAGTGGCCTGATCATGGCTCAGTGCAGCCTTAACTTCCTGGGCTCAAGCAATTCTCTTACCTCAGCCTCTCCCAAGTAGCTGGGACCAGAGGCGTGCGCCACCATGCCAGGCTAATTTTAAAAATTTTTTTGTAGAGACAGGGTCTCACCATGTTGCCCAGGCTGGTCTCAAACTCCTGGGCTCAAGCAGTCCTCCTGCCTCGATCTCCCAAAGTGCTGGGATTTCAGGGGTAAGTCACCACACCTGGCCTTGTTTATTTTTTAAGAGACTGGGTCTCACTTTTTCACCAAAGCTGGAGTGCAGTGGTGTGTTCATACTTCACTGTAGCCTCCATCTCCTGGGCTGAAGTGATCCTCCTGTTTTAGCCTCCTGAGTAGCTGGGTCTGCAGACGTGCACCACCACACCCGGCTAATTTTTAAAATTTTTTATAGAAATGGGGTCTTGCTGTGTTGCCCAGGCTGGTCTCAGACTCCTGGGCTCAAGTGATCCTCCTGACTTGGGCTACCAGAGTGTTGGGACTACAGGTGTGAGCCACGGTGCCTGGCCTTGTGTCTGTTTTAATCTAGAGTAGGAGTCAGCAGACTTTTTCTGTAAAGAGCTAGATACTATTTTCAGGTTTGTGGGCCATCTTGTCTCTTGTGAGGGAAAAACAGCCATAAATTATTCATAAACAAATGGGCGTTGCTGTGTTCCTATAAAACTTCAGTTTGCAGACCCCTGATCTAGAGCAGTCCTTTCTAACTTGTTTGTGTGTATATCTTTAATAACATTCTCCTTTGGAAGAGTCCAGGCCAGTTATAATGTCCCATAAATCGGATTTGTCTGATTGTTTTCTTGTACTTAGATTCAGGGTAGACATTTTTGGGAAGAAATATTACATAGATGCTGCTGTGTACTTCCCCTTGTGTTGTACTGGGAGTCATATAATGTCAGTCTATCTCTTTATTTATTTATTTATTTATTTATTTATTTATTTATTTTTGAGATGGAGTCTCGTTCTGTTGCTTAGGCTGAAGTGCAGTGGCACGATCTCGGCTCACTGCAGCCTCCCCCTCCTAGGTTCAAGTGATCCTCCCGCCTCAGCCTCCCAAGAAGCTGGGATGACAAGTGTGTGCCACCATGCCTGGCTAATTTTTGTATTTTTAGTAGAAACAGGGTTTCACCATTTTGGCCAGGCTGTTCTCAAACTCCTGACTTCAAGTCATCCACTCGCCTCGGCCTTCCAGAGTGCTGGGATTACAGGCATGAGCCACTGCGCCCAGTCTGTCTCATTGTTGATGGTAAGTTTTATCTTTCCGTTGTAGGGATCCCTACTTCCCTTTGTGAGAAATCTGTACGGTGACTTTGAGAGAGTATAAATATCCTATTTTCCAACCAAATGGTTTTAGCATCCACTGATAATCTTAGCTTGAATCAATTATTACACTGGCGGTTGTGATTATAGTTCTTAATATCTGCCTAAGTAATAATAGCAATAATAATTAAATAATATTTTTAAAAATGCTTGTGAGCTTAGAAAGATCTGTTCGTATATATCGTCACTGTGATTTTGTAGTTTAGTTTCCCATCATAGACTTATCTCCTTGGGAGGATAAGGCTGAAAGATTGGGTCTTCATGTGTTGTGCTTTCTAGAAGCAGGCTTCCAAAATAGAGTGTCTTTCTTTTCTGAGCCCAAGGCTGGTTAAGAAGAAGGGACCTAGTCTAGGCTTTTGCCCAGGTTTTTGCCTTGGGTTCCTTACTTCTTATGTCAGTATTTCTTGCGTTTTAGTGGTTCAGTTTCTGAGTCCTGTAGTATTTTCTGGATCAGTTTTGGTCTAATTATATGTAAAAGCTTGTATTAAAGACCATCAAGTAGTTATAGCTAGAAAATTGCACCTAATAATCTTCTTAAAATAAACATTTTCTTCTCAGCAACTTCTTATGAAAAATTTAAAACATAGAAAAGTTGATAGAATACTTATTAGACTATTCATTGGAATTCAGTAATTGTCAACTGTTTGCCTTATTATACTTAAGTTGCTGTTAGTATCTGTGTCTCTATATATATCACAACAAATTTTTTTCTGAACAATTTGACAAGCTGCAGATGTGTCACCCTAAATAATAAGGATAATCTGCTATGTAACCACCATACCATTATCACACCTAAAAAATTGTTTTTCTTTATCAGCCCATATTCAGATGTCTCCAGATTTCTCAGGAATGTCTTTTATAGTTTTTTTTTTTTTTTTAAACAAGAAGTGTTCTCTTGAAGAACAATAGTAGATAAGAGACGCATATTAAGAATTGGACAGTAAAGTTTTCTGTGTGGTCTCCTGACATAAACAGTAACTAGTACGTTTATATGGTGCCCTGCAGGTAGCTGTAATTAGTTGCATTTCTTTGTTCAATAAAATGAGATTGACTGGGGATGGCAGTGTCAAGGATTCTTTAGCTTATGACCAGGTGTTTGACCTTTCAGAATATCATTGATGAGTATGACAAATTGAAAAAGTAAGAAATTAGAATGATGCCTAGCTCACTGCCTGACTCATGGTAGGTACTTAATGAGTATTTGTTGACTTAAAGATGTAACTGGAGGGGGTGTCAGAAAAGGAAATACCATATTTCTGTCCTCATTTGTTGAGCAGTTATTTGGTGATTTCAGTGCATTTAGTCTGTTAGATGCTGTGGGAGATTAAAGGTAGGAAACACCAGCTTGGGCAACATAGTGGGACTCTGTCTCCATGAAAATAAAATTAAAAATAAGCCAGGTGTGGGCCGGGCGCAGTGGCTCATGCTTGTAATCCCAGCACTTTGGGAGGCCGAGGTAGGTGAATCACCTGAGGTCAGGAGTTCGAGACTAGCCTGGCCAACATGGCGAAACCTCGTCTCTACTAAAAATACAAAAATTAGCTGGGTGTGATGGCATGCGCCTGTAATCCCAGCTACTTGGGAGGCTGAGGCAAGAGAATCACTTGAACCCAGGAGGTGGAGGTTGCGGTGAGCCGAGATCACGCCACTGTACTCCAGCCTGGGTGAGAGGGTGAGACTCCATCTCAAAAAATAAAATAAAATAAAATAAATAAATGAATAAATAGGAGCAGGAAACAATGTTCTTGCTCCTGAGGAGAACTACAGTATTAGGTGAGAGGAAACAAACTCGTTTTTTTTGGATTAATATTTATTGACTGCCTTCTGCATACCAGCTAGTATTCCAGGCTAGGCACTGGGGTACAGTGGTGAACAGAACTCAAAATTCTTCTCTTCATGGAGTTTACATACTAGTTGGGAGAGACAAGTAGTAAACATATCAACAGAATAATTTCAGATTGAGATGGAGAAAAAGAGAAGTTTCATATACTAGGAAGTAATGTGAGAGGAGTGCAGCTTTAGCTAGGATTGTCAGCTAAGGCATTTCTGAGGAATGATATTTGAACTGTGACTTGAATTAGGAGGCAGTAGCTGCCATGGGAAGATCTGAGGGAAGGCAGAGGAAGCTCCAAGTAGAAAGATCTTTTTTTTTTTTTTTTTTTTTTTTTTTTGAGATGGAGTCTCACTCTGTTGCCCGGGCTGGATTGCAGTGGGGTTGATCTCAGCTCACTACAACCTCCATCTCCCGGGTTCAAGCGATTCTCCTGTCTCAGCCTCCCAAGTAGCTGGGATTACAGGTGCCCGCCACCACGCCTGGCTAATTTTTGTATTTTTAGTAGAGACGGAGTTTCACCATGTTGGCCCAGGCTGGCCTCAAACTCCTGACCTCAGGTGATCTGCCCACCTCTGCCTCCCAAAGTGCTGGGATTACAGGTGTGAGCCACTGTGCCCAACCCCCAGGTAGAAAGACCTTAAGGTGGAAATGAGCTGGCTGACGTGAGGACCCAGGAGGCCAATGTATGTATATGGAACATTGAGTGAGAGGTCTCAGAGAGAATGGTAGAATATGATAGGAGATGAAGTAGGAGGGGTGGCAATAACCAGATTCTGTAGAGTTTTATTTTAAGTGATAGGAAACCATTGATGAATACAAATAGTACTCCATAAAACAATGGAAGGATTCAGACCATTGATAAGGGCTTAATTTCAAGAAACTATTAATTTGGGGACTGAGCATGGTGGTTCACGCCTGAAATCCCAGCACTTTGCCAGGCTGAGGTGGGAGGATTGCTTGAGCCTAGGAATTCAAGACCATACTGGGCTATATAGTGAGACCCCATCTCTAAAAAAAAAAAAAAAAAAAAAGATAACTGTTAACTTGGTGGATCCTAAGGATAACCCCGCCTCTCTTTCCCTCTTTTATTTTTTTCTTAAACAGATCTCTATTGAATAACCATTATATTCATAATATTGTACAGGTAAAAATACAAAGAAATGACAGTTCTGCACCTTCAAGGAGTTTTGTGTTTTACTTGGAGTATTATGACATAAACACATACACAAATGTTTATGCATGTCCTGTATAAAAGAACAGTACATCTATCATAGTAATATATGCTTATATACCGAATGTCAGTAGGTTATCAACAAAGGTAGAGTTAAAAAATAGTGAATGTGGAAAGGTTCCACTGAAGAGAGATTAGCATTGAATTTCTTGAATAGATTTGATGAGATGGAAAGGGTATTCCAGGCAGGGAAAATGTCTGGGCAAAGTTATAACATGAAGTAATTTGTCTTCAGGAAATGAGTGGATCAGTCTGTCCATAGAAGGAAAAAAGATAACCTCCAGCTTGCCAGGGCTTTGAGTGATGCATTAAGGAATTTAGACTAATCTGTAGTTATTGTGGATAACCCTTTATACATCTTACTTATGTGTTAGTCACCTGTATTCTAAATCTGCTTATTTATTTATAATATTTATAATATTGTCTGCTAAGTGCACATGTATTCTTTGAAACTCAGCCCTGGCAGATATACAATGCCATTGTGATTCTGGCACATGGTACGTATATAAATATAGATACAGATGCAGAAAATGAATGAACTGGGGAGGAAAATCTTTTAAGTGATCTTATTTCCTTAGGAAAATTTGATGGGATGGAATTTGTTTCTCTAGTAGGAGTGGAATAGTTGGAGGATTTTGTTGCGAGATGGATTGGAGGAAATGTTGAATTATAAGAAGGCTATGTGCATGTTAAAATGTGTTGCAAGATTCTGAAGTTCATTGTCTTATTTATTTATTTATTTTGAGACGGAGTTTTTGTTCTTATTGCTCAAGGTGGAGTGCAGTGGCATGATCTTGGTTCACCGCAACCTCCGCCTCCCCGGTTCAAGCAATTCTCCTGCCTCAGCCTCCCAAGTAGCTGGGATTACAGGCATGCGCCTCCACGCCTGGGTAATTTTGTATTTTTAGTAGAGACAGTGTTTCTCCATGTTGGTCAGGCTGGTCTCGAACTCCTGACCTCAGGTGATCTGCCTGCCTTGGCCTCCCAAAGTGCTGGGATTACAGGTGTGAGCCACCGCGCCTGGCCTCATTGCCATCTTTATAATCTGGGTTTTGATAAGGCAATGGTCATTAATTTTTGAGGGCTGAAAATAAGAGAATGGTGAGTCTAATGATGAGATTGTCCTATCTTGATCATTATTTAAAATATGCCCCACCACATACACACAATCCCAGTAGCTTCTAAACAGTCTCTTATCTACCCAGATCCACTGGCTTTAAAAATATTTTATCATTTCATATCAGTCTCAGCAATGTCATCGATAAATGCACTTTGTGACATTCATTAGGAGTGATGCTATAGCCTTTAAAGATTGTTGCATATTTTCTGTTTATTTTCTCTTTAGCTTAGGAAAGACTAATCAATATATAGGCTTATGCTGTTAATGTTTATTGGCTCCGCCTAAGAAGCACAGCTTTTATAGCTGGAAGAAATAATCTGGAATATTTTTTATCAGTATTACAGATCTGACATCTAATGTTCTGAATAGATAAGTGCCTTAGCATGAAAGGAGGGAATTATTATCTAGTTATAGAACCCAGTGTCCCTCCCCCACAATGAGGCCAGGGTTATAATCCTTCTAAAAGTGAAACAATATATTGAGGTCTGTATCCCAGTTCTCTGCTATTGGAGACTTAATAGTGCCAATTGGAGACATAGCACTTAGACATATAAAAAGGTTAGTAATGGGTAAGCCACATCCTTTCTTTCTTAAGGATAAACTAATTTGAGTTTAAGATGTTTACCTTATAATGCTCCAAATATAATGGGGTTTTAATAATGCTGGCCTTAGAGGCTTTTATTCTGTCTTCAAGGCTCAATTAACACTAATAATTAATATTGTATAACACTTTACATTTATGAAGTGTTTTTATAAGCATTAACACATTTGAACTTTAGAGCATGATTGTTAGATGGGGAGGCAAGTACATTTATCTCTTTTAGCTGAAACTTATTAATAAATTCAGATTTTACTTCACATCCATGTCTTAGTACACTAAGCTATGCTGCTTTTTATGATTTCACTTGCTTTATATCCAAATTCCCATAGTAATGAATTATGTTATGATGGATTCCATTTTGGAATAAACCCAGTTTGTTTTTTTTTTAACTGAGAAACTTGTATTTTCCACTTTTTTAAAAATTAAAAGGGAGTTGAATGAACTTAAGTTTTTTCTTTTTTCTTTTTTTCTTTTTGGGACAGAGTCTCGCTCTGTCACCAGGCTGGAGTGCAGCGGCGTGATCTCGGCCCACTGCAACCTCCGCCTCCCAGGTTCAAGCGATTCTCCTGCCTCAGCCTCCCGAGTAGCTGGGATTACAGGCACGTGCCACCACACCCAGCTAATTTTCGTATTTTTAGTTGAGACAGGGTTTCACCATGTTGGTCAGGCTGGTCTCGAACTCCTGACCTCTTGGTCCACCTGCCTCGGCCTCCCAAAGTACTGGGATTACAAGCATGAGCCACCACGCCCGGCCACTTTTTTTCTTTTTAAAACTAAAATTGGGCCTGGTGCGGTGGCTCACGCCTGTAATTCCAGCATTTTGGGAGGCCGAGGTGGGCGGATTACGAGGTCAGGAGATCAAGACCATCCTGGCTAACATGGAGAAACCCCGTCTCTACTAAAAATGCAAAAAATTAGCTGGGCTTGGAGGCGGGCGCTTGTAGTCCCAGCTACTTGGGAGGCTGAGGCAGGAGAATGGCGTGAACCCGGGAGTCGGAGCTTGCAGTGAACTGAGATTGTGCCACTGCACTCCAGCCTGGGCCACAGAGCGAGACTCCGTCTCAAAACAAAACAAAACAAAACAAAAAACAAAACTAAAATTGGAGCTGAAGAATTTGATCCTAGACAGATCCTTGAGTTTGAATTAAATTATCCTTTTTAACTCTCATGGATTCAGTAAATATCAAATGTTTTCTGTGTGCCAGGCTTAGTGCAGAGGGTGGAAGGTGGTGGGAGAAGCCTTAAGAATTAAACTAATACAGTGAAAAAAACCAAGAATTTAAAGTCAGGTAGACCTGAATTCAAATCCCAGCCCTGCTAATTAGTTATTAGTTGCAAATTGCTAAGTGCCTTGGAGCTTCAATTTTGTAATCTCTAAAATGAGAATAATAACTCTTATAGAATTATTTTGAGGAATAGGGTGATGTATATAAAGCACTTAGTAATGTGTGCTTTATAAGACATTACTGCCCATAGACCAATGAATAGACAAAAATGTATGGTGAGAGTTACTGAGTCTTGACAGGAAGCGTTTGGCTGACCTAATGCAGAATAGAGCGAAGTGATTTTGACTGCCAATATACAGTGTGCTGCTTTTGTTGAAACTTGTAGCTCTCACACTGGTATTTGCCAACATTACATTTGACTTCTCACATAGTAAAAGACAACTCATTCCTGTGGAGTTTAAGGCATGTGGAAACATCTATCTGTAGGCTAGACATTTAAACTTCTGTTGTAGTTCAGTTGCGGGAGAAATTGCACATTACCATAGAGTAGTGAAAGTCAGGTAGCAGAGAGCCTCTCTGGGCTGGTACCTATATTCACTTTCCTGAATTCTGTAAACATCAAAAGCAAGAATGGCCATCCAGGATGAAAGGTACAGCTGACAGTATGGTCAATAAACTGAACAGGGTGTAAGACTAAGAACTTATTTTGTTTTCTAAAATGGTGCCTTCTTCGTATTTAAACTTCTGTGGAGCATCTGTCATATGCCAGGTACTGTTCTGGGTTCTAGGAATATAGTGGTAGTGGTGGGGAAGCCCCTTTTCTAATAGAGCTTACATTCAGTGAGAGAGAGTGTAAGTAAATATAAAATATAATGAATCTCAGGAAATACTGAGAACCATGAAGAGAAGTAAAACAGGAGAAGCAAGTATGTTGGGTCTCACTATGTTGCTCAGGCTGGCCCCAAACTCCTGGGCTCAGCTGATCCTCCTGCCTTATCCTCCCAATGTACTGGGATTACAAGCATGACCTCTGCACCCGGCCTTGCTTGTTTTAAAATAGGATCTAAAATAGGAGCCAACATAGTGTGTTTTAGTCACTATTTAGAAGGGCCCTTTATATGAGTTGAGAGAGCACTGACTTCAGAAGTTGCTTTAGGAGGTAGAAGGGAGGGGAGTGGGTCTGGTACAGTTAAAAATTGGCCTGCATGCCATCCTTGGAACACATATTTTACTGTGGGTTATACCATTCCAGAAGACGTATATTTATGTGTCCAGGAGACCTAATGATCGCCCTCCCATACACACTTCACAGTATTTTAAAAAGTATAGTCTGTGGACTATCTGTATCAGAATGCACAGTCTGTGGGCTCTGTAACAGATCCACTTAATCAGAAGATTTGAAAATGGTACCGAGGAATCTGTAATTTTAACAAGTACCCAGGTAATTGTATATCCATATGAAGTGTTGAAAATTACTGTTTGTAACCTTGTCGATAGAAATAATCTTCAACCCAGTCTTAGTAGGCAGGCAGGCAGGCAGGCAGGCAAGTACTTGCTTATTTAAGATTCGTTACTTTTCATAATTGACATTGGAGCTTGCATTTCCTTTTGCATTGATTTAACTTCTGGCTTTAATCTCTGATATACTGTGTCCTCCATGTTAAGATGTGTCGATGAGACAGCAGAAAATGAAACCTTTGTCCTCTTTCCTTACATTATTTTGTGTTTTCACTATTAGCCACATCCCTGGGAAGAGGCAGCCTCTGAATGGAGAATGCTGAATTGGCTGTATAGACTGATGTGCTTTAGTAAAAAGCTTGCTCACACTCAACACTTTTTTCCGTGTTTATTGAAAATTCTAGTTATTTACCTGTTACTAAGAGTTTATTTTTCATAGATCTTTAAATGTCTAACATGCACTTAAAATGAAAGAGAAAAACAAAGAGAATAGGATATTGAGAAAGTATATGATTTACTTCATAGTAAGACACTAAATACTTGATATCAAGGTAGGGGATAGAAAAAAAATCAGCAATGGCAAATTTAAACCATCTGCAGATGGTCCAGCTAGATCCTTACAGGGGTCGCAGCCATCATTTTAGTGGGCATACTTTTGAAGAAAGTATGCACTGTTTTCTCCATTTTAATTTTAACGATGCCACTGATACTGTCGGGTTGTAAGCATATCTGCTAGGACTCATGCGTAGGACTAGGCCAGCAGATACCCAAGCATATCTGCCAGCTTCCAGGGAGGGCTATTGAGGACAGGGTTTTCTAACTTCCTTGGAATTTCCACTTCCTAGTAGTATGATTTGAGTCCCTCTCTCAGCTCTGTATGATGGGAAAATCTGCAATTCAAGCTTGATTTATTTGGCTTAAATGATGGGGCAAACCTCCAAACCTGGGCAAGCTCAACACTTTCGTACCTTGCCTTTTTTTTACTGTCATGGCTCCTGTCAAGGTTAGGTCATTTAGAGTTTGAAAGGGCATTAGAATGAACGAAAGTCTGTAGGTTTCATTTTACTGTTAAAGAAACCAAGAGTCAGAAAAGTGAACTTATTTTCCTTGAAGTCTAGATACTAGAATATGAAGTCAGGTGATGTGGATTCCTTCAGTGGAGCCATCTAGTTGAGTAATCTTTTAAAAAAATGTACCTCCTTGCCCCAAAATGATGTTAATCTTTCTGTTTAAGGGTTCTTGTAGTCTTTCCATTCTAGTAGTCGATTGTTTTTGACTTCACCTGTGTAGTGGTTGGGAGGCACCATTAAGGCATGAGTGATAATTGTATCTTGCTTCTTAGTAAAATTATGAAATATTTAAGAGAAAAACTCTTGAAATTAAGGCATATGGAGGAGGAATAACTCTCCCTGAGTCACACCACAAAGCAACAGAGGAGAATTCACAGAGAGTTGGTTTCTTTGCTTGGTACCATATGTTTACTTTCTTTTGCCTACCCTGTCCTTAGCCACTTGACTCCCTTAAAGTCAGTCTTGTGAAGAGGTATGGTGTGGCAGAAGATACCAGAGTTGGGAGTCTGGCCACTTAGGTCCTAGGTCCAGCTTTGCTTCAAGACTCCGTTTCCTCTCTTTGGGCTTTATTTTCCCCATCTTTAAAATGAAAGGCTAGACTAGATTATTGCACCCTAAGTATCTTTCCAGCTCTGATATTCTTTGATTTCACGAATCTTGGAAGGTTCTAATGCTGTTTGATGAAGGGCTGCAGCTTTCCATTTGCTCTTGCTCACAGCATGATTCTGCATTGAAACTTTACCATGGTGTGTACCTTGGGTGGTCTTAGGGCAAAAATTTTTTTTTTCAGGAGGAATTTTTCTGAGAGTGTAGATTATATAGATAAGCCAATTTTTGTTTTCTTTTTCTTCAGTGCTCTAAGACATCTGAATGTTTTTGTTTTTTTAAAGAGAGATGGTGAAAGGTTAAAAATAAGAATGAGAAAAGACTACTTTGAAAGTTGGATCTTTAGAAAGTACATTAATGAGTATCCCAAGTGACTACTCTTGGGAATAATCAAGAATAGCAAATGTCTTAGGTCTATATAGGGTGGCTTAGCATTGTGGCATTTTCCTGGTGCTGTTGCAAAGCACAGAGATGTTCAAAGTCTATGGTTAATTTTTGACCTTGGAAAGGAAATGCTGGCTTACCTCAGGGCCTGAGAGCAGGGAGAGCTACTGAGGACAGGGTTTTCTAGCTTCCTTGGAATTTCCACTTCCTAGTAGTAGGATTTGAGTCCTTCTCTCAGCTCTGTATGACCAGAAAGTCTGCAATTCAATCTTGATTTATTTGGCTTAAATGATGGGAGTTTGTTTAACCCTGAAAAATGTCACTTCAACCTTGAGATAGCCTAATGATGCTTTTTTTTTTTTTTTTTTGGAGACAAAGTCTCACTCTGTTGCCCAGGCTGGAGTGCAGTGGTGTGATCTTGGCCCACTGCAACCTCCGCCTCCCGGGTTCAAGTGATTCTTCTGCCTCAGCCTCCTGAGTAGCTGGGACTACAGGCATGCACCACCACGCCTGGTTAATTTTTGTATTTTTAGTAGAGACGGGGTTTCACTGTGTTGGTCAGGCTGATCTCGAACTCCTGACCTCGGGATCCCCCCGCCTCGGCCTCCCAAAGTGCTGGGATTACAGGGGTGAGCCACCGCGCCCGGCCAGCCTAATGATTCTTATAGGATACTAAAGCTATTTGGACATGAGTCTGTCTCTAGAACACGCTTGATGGCTTTGTTCTAAAGTGATAAAGTATAGTCTAGCTCTATACTAGACACCATTTGTCCTTATGCTGTATTCTTCTAGGTAGGTGAGGCTCCTTCTATTCCTGCCTGAATGAAAAGCATTTAGCTGACTTCCCGAGCATGCTGCATCTTGTCCTTCAGTTTTTCTTTGTTTTTCATTATTCTTTGCTGAAGCTCAGCATGTCTTCCAGTTGTGGTTCTACACAAGGCAGGAGCCATAGAAGTTCTGCACGATTGCTTATTAGAAAAGAAACGTTAAAAGCATGAGTTAGGAAAGGAGTTTAGGTCTTTTACTGTGTTCATAGCATTAGGATGAAGAGTTGGGAAGATGGGGGAGGTGTGGAGACTTGGATCCAATAAGACTAAGAAGGATTTGAGGAAATGGAACTTTGGGTTGCTGGCAGGGCAGAAATACTTGAAGAACACTCCCGTTTTAATAAGTTATTTTTAGTTTGCAGAAAAAGAGTAGTTTCTTCAGTGTCCTGGAATCTTGTAGTTGTGTTTGTAACCTAAACTAATCGGCTTAGCCTGTGCCAGAAAAGTGTCAGGTGGCATGCTCATTTCCTTCTAACTTTTAGTACTGCCTGGCTTAACTGCTGTAGTTCTGTGACTAGGCTTCAGGGCGTTGGTAATGGGGACTAACTGGGGGAAGGGGCAAGCTGCTGCTGGTTGCATGCTGCTGGTCTGAGCAGAGAGAACCCTCGTGCTAAGTCACTGCCCTAATGCATTCACTCTGGCTGTACATATAATGTGGTGCTTGAATCCAGAGTGTTCACTTGTGGTACCCTAAGTATGACTTTGAGTGGAACTACCTTAGAATCTTATTTTTCCAATTAACTTGACAGTCTCTAGTCATTTCTTTTGGCTCTTGTCCTGGATATTTTATTCTGCCTTAAGTGGTTTTTAATGGATTTTAAGCTCTCAGTTATCATTCATTCAGCACAACTTTATTGAGTGCCCACTCAAATGTATGCCTGGCACCATTGTAGGTGTTAAGTGTCTTTTGGTGTTTCTTTATTAGAAACTGTTGATTTTATAAATGTTACTCAGTTGAAGAATGTCAATTACTTAAAGTCTTTTTAAAATTAATTAATTAATTAATTAATTTATTTATTTTTAAGACAGACTCTTGCTCTGTCACCCAGGCTGGAGTGCAGTGGTATGATCTCAGCTCACTGCAACCTTTGCCTCCTGGGTTCAAGCAATTCTCCTGCCTCAGCCTCCTGAGTAACTGAGATTACAGGCGTGCGCCACCACACCCAGTTAATTTTTGTATTTTTAGTAGAGGGGGGGTTTCACCATGTTGGCCAGGCTGGTCTCAAACTCCTGACCTCAGGTGATCCACCTGCCTTGGCCTCCCAAAGTGCTGAGATTACAGGCGTGAGCCACCATGCCCAGACTACTTTTTAATGTTTGAGGCAGGGTCTTGCTCTGTCATCTGGAGTGCAGTGACTTGATCTCGGCTCACTGCAGCCTTGACCTCTGGGGCTTAAGCTATCCTCCCACTTCAGCCTCCCAAGTAGCTGGGACCACAGGTGTGTGCCACTACGCCTGACTAATTTTGTTTTATTTTTTATAGAGACAAGGTCTTACTATGTTGCCCAGGCTAGTCTTGAACTCCTGGCCTCAAGTGATCCTTCTGTCTTGGTCTCCCAAGTGCTGGGATTACAGGCATGAACCACTGTGCCTAGCCTATGTATTTTAATTTTTAAATTTGGATAAGACTTTATATAAATTTCTAGGCCAGAAAAACCAATTTTGGTTTGGGTACTATATGGTCATTGTACAGGAACAGATGTAAATTAACTAGAAGATGTGATCTCTGCTCTTGAGGCATTTAGAATGGTATGGAGAAAACAATAGGCAGTACAAATTATTGAAGAAGTACAAAAACTATTACAGACTAAATTAGCTGTATATAACTACCTACCTAAGTGCCAAGGGGCTGTTTGGTCAGTAGGGTTTACAGCTCCCCATTGGAGCAGGTTTTCCCCTTATTTTTTTAGCTTTGTTTATAAAGATATAAGCCAGCAGCTTATAAATGTGGTTGTTTGTAATCTTGGGGATTTTTCTCCCTGGGCTGGTCTTATTTTTTGCTTAAGACATAATAAAATACTCTGGGTAACTGATTTTTATGGAGACGAGAAAAACTTAAGAGGTAGTCAGCTCAGTAAAGCAATAGCAGATAGTGGTCTGATCCACCTCGTTTGTAGAGGCCAGGGGAGTGGAGATGGTGGTGTTCTTGTTTCTGCCTCTTTTGGGCACTGAAGCAAGAGAGGCTAAATATGAAAGCCCTCCTTTAGTTGATATCAGCTTGCCTTAGGTTAGCAAAGTATTTAAAATATGAGCCTCAATTTCTTCAACATATAAAATGAATTTGATAATATCCTTATGGGGTCATTATTAAGGATTGAGAGTATGGATGTGAAAGTGCTTTGAACTATGAAATAATGTATAAGCATTAGGTATTATTGTCAGGCGTAGTGGCTCATGCCTGTAATCCTAGCACTTTGGGAGGTCGAGAGAAGAGGATCGTTTGAGGCCAGGAGTTCAAGACCAGCCTGGGCAACATAGCAAGACCCTGTCTCTACAAAAAAATAAAAATAAAAAAAATTAGCTGGGCATTTTGGTGCACAGATACTTGGGAGGCTGAGGTGGGAGGGTCTCTTGAGCCCAGGAGCTTAAGGCTGCATTAAGCCATGATTGCACCATTGCACTCCTGCCTGGGTGACAGAGAGACCTGTCTCCATATATATATGTTTATTTATTTATTAGGAGGTATATTATTTAGAGCGTAGGAGGCATGCACTTCTGAGGCCCTTGTCAGGATATCTTCTAGGGATCCTGAATTTCAGATGATTCTGGGCATTCAATAATTGGACTTCCTAGGCTGGTGCCGTGTCTCATGTCTATAATTCCAGCATTTTGGGAGGCTGAGGTGGGTGAATTGCTCGAGCTCTGGAGTTTGAGACCAGCCTGGGCAACATGGTGAAACCCCATCTCTACAAAACTTACAAAACTTAGCTTGTTGTGGTGACACATCCCTGTAGTCCCAGCTACTCTGGGAGCTGAGCGGGGAGGATTTGCTTGAGTCCAGGGGGTTGAGACTGCAGGAAGCCACGATTGCTCCACCGCACTCCAGCTTCGGTGACAGAGCACGACTCTGTCTTTAAAAAAAAAAAAAACTACCAACAAAAAACAAAACCTGGACTTGAGCTGGTGATAATAAGAAAAATACTTTTATTTAATGTTATTTGAAAGGGTTGTACATGAGGGAGATGAATTATTCTTTCTTATAAGTTTATATAAGTCCATTTATACATAAGAGTCTTCGTAAGTATAGGCACTTATAATTTTCAGTAGTTTGGCCATTGAACATTTACTGAACTGTTACTGTGTGCCACGTTCTATGCACATGCTTGGATTCAGAGATGAAATACATAATTCTGGCCTTTCAGGAGCTCGGGGTTTGGTACAGGAGAGTAACAAGTAGACAATTATAATACAGAATGATAAGTGCTATACTAGAGATAAACCTAGGGTTTTTCAGAAGGGCTTATTCTTACTTGATTCCTCTCAACATCCTCTCCAGACTTTGTTTAAAAGTTGTAAGAGATATCTTAATGAGGCCTGGAGAAATGAAGCAGTTTGCCTAAGGTCACACCCATAGCTTGTTATTTTTAAAGCTAAAACTAAGATCTGAGTTGTCATACTTGCTTTCACTTTCAGTTATGTCCTAGCTAATCAGGAGGCTGAGGCAGGAGGATTGCTCGAGCCCAGGAGTTCGAGGTTATAGTGAGCTGTGATTGTGCCACTTCACCGTAGCCTGGGCAACAGAGTGATACCCTGTCTCAAAAAAAAAAAAAAAAAAAAAAAAAGAGCTAGTCACATCAGGTCGTTAAAAAAAATGTTGACTGTTTATTTCACACTGTACCAGGCCAATGGCAGTACAAAAGAATAAGGTGGTCTATAATTATGGTGTAGTAGGGATAGTAAGTATAAAAAAATGAGAAATTAGCATCAAGTCAATTCAACTAATACTTTTGTGAAGCTCCACGTTAATTGCTACGGGGAATATAAAACAACATAGGACAACCTACCTGTGGCTTTTTCTTTAGGAGATGGTGTCAGATAAACCTGTAATGCAAAGTAGACTAAGAAAATTGCTCAAGTAGAGATACAGACAAAGTGCATTGGGAACATAGGCCCAAGAATCTTAGAATATTAGAACCAAAAGGACAGGTAGAGGTGATCAGTTCTAGTGGTCTTTAGTTACCATTTTGGAGACATGGAGCCCATTTGGTTAGAGAAATTTGAGGAACCTTGCAAAAATCAGGGAATCAAGTGAAATTAGGATGACAATATAAAATTTTCAGCTGCCAGGAAGAAGAGGACTTGAACTGGAAATAGGCAGCCTTGGATCACAGAAATAGAGTATTGTAGAACTGAGGCCTTTTTAAAGTAAAACCTAACACCTAAACTGGCCAAAGGTAGACCCACTGTACCTATGACAATAACCATGTTTTATTGTGTACAAAGTACTTTCACATACATTCTTCTGTTTGGTCCTTATAATCTTGTAGTCAAGACACATTGTCATTTCTGTGTTACAAATGAGGAAACTATTCTAGTAAGTTGGAGAGACAAGAGTAGAACTCAGGATTCTACTGCCCATTGTACTACCTGGTGTGTGAATGTGAGTGAGTTTTAATTTTAATTTTAATTTTTTTTTGAGATGGAGTCTTGCTCTCTTGCCCAGGCTGAAGTGCAGTGGTGTGATCTCAGTTCACTGAAACCTCCGCCTCCCGGGTTCAAGCAATTCTCGTTGCCTCAGCCTCCTGAGTAGCTGGGACTACAGATGTGTGCCACCATGCCTAGCTAATTTTTGTGTTTAGAGATGGGGTTGCACCATGTTGATCAGGCTGGTCTCGAACTCCTGACCTCAAGTGATCCACCCACTTTGGCCTCCCACAGTGCTGGGATTACAGGCGCAAGCCACCATGACTGTTTGTTTTTATTTATTATTTATTATTATTTTTTGAGATGGAGTCTCGCTCTGTCGCCCAGGGTGGAGTGCAGTGGCGCAATCTCAGCTCGTTGCAGCCTCCACCTCCCGGGTTCAAGCAAGTCTCCTGCCTCAGCCTCCTGATTAGCTGGGACTACAGGCGTACGCCACCACGCCTGGCTAATTTTTGTATTTTTAGTAGAGACAGGGTTTCACCATGTTTGCCAGGTTGGTCTCGAACTCCTGACTTCGTGATCTGCCCGCCTCGGCCTCCCAAAGCGCTGGGATTACAGCCGTGAGCCACTGTGCCCAGCCTCCTGTTTGTTTTTAATAATGTAGACTTTGACGTGAGACATGTTGGCAAGTGTGACTTAGTAAAAGAAGGAGATAGACATAGTTATAGCTACAAGAAGGAACTTAGGGCTTAGGGGTGGGAGGCAGAACTGGCACAGAGCCTGATTATTCTGACTTGGGCATCTTCCTTGCCCTTTTGGATGCTGCCTTATTATACCTCTGGCCCCACCCATCCACCTCTCTTAGTACTTATTTAAAATTATTTCTGCTGTAACTGGGCAAGTTACTTTCTCAAGGTGTTCCCCCCCCCCGCCCCCCCCCCCAGGGCTTCCTGATTGTGGGGGGGGGGGGGGGAGAGAGAGAGAGAGAGAGAGAGGAAAAAAAAAAAGAATGTGTACAGTGATGAAAAGAAAATTGAATTAATATGTGTAGGGTATATTTTCGTTCAGGCATTATGTGCTTAGGCATTTAATGTATATTTTTATATAATCCTTACAACAGTCCCATGAAGTTTAGATGTAATCTCTATATACAGTTGTGGAAACTGAGGTTGTGAAGTTTAATCACTTAAAGTAATATGTGACTGAATTAGAATAGAACCCAGATAATCTGACTTTCAATCCCATGTGTGGTTTTCCCTTATAGCATGTTGCCAGGGCAGCAGGCAGGATGGAGAGAGAGTGTGGAATAGAGACAAAGGGAAATTCCCTAGAAGCAATAAAATGGAAATAAACTTGTTACAGGGGGTAGAAATAATAGTGACCCTGTAAAATATGCCTTCAAATTAAAATAGCAGCAGAAAACCTTTTTCACTCAGGCTCTCTAATAGGTACAGCTTAGTATTCTTCTTCTGATACCACCAAGTATATAGAAGGGCATTTTAATCTTCCATTTTAAGAGATGAGATACACTTCTCCTAAGGGAGATGAGATGCATGTAAAACAAAAAACTTCTAGATTGATGCTCTGGGCACTTAACAGTCAGTACAAGGGAAGTCACATTCTCTGAGTTGAGTGTGAAGGTAAAAAGATTCGAAACCTTTGGGTGACTTGCACCTCCTAAGACTTGCAGCTCGTACATGTGACAGACAGTGCTAGGATAGTACCCTCATTAAACAAAAATAACAACAAAACTGATCCTCAACTCTACATTTTCCTTATCACTTTCACACAGGCAAACTTTTCTTTCTTTTCTTTTCTTTTCCTTTTCTTTTCTCTTTTTTCTTCTCTTTGCCTTTTTTTTTTTTAACAGTCCAGTGGTCTTTTACTTTTTTACACCTTCTGATTTGGCCAACTTTCTTTCATTCATTTATTTATTTGGAGGCAGGGTCTTGCTCTGTCACCCAGCAGTGATGAAACCATAGTTTACTGTAACCTTGAACACGTGGGCTCAAGCAATTCTCCCGTCTCAGCTTACTGAGTAGCTAGGACTACAGGCATATACCACCATGCCTGGCCAATGAAACAGTGTCTCACTCTGTCCAGGCTGGAGTATAGTGGCTCCACTCACTGCAGCCTCAGTCTCCTAGATCAAGTGATCCTCCCACTTCAGCCACCCGAGTAGCTGGGACTACAGGCATACGCCACCACACCTGGCTAATTTTTAAATTGTTTTAAGAGACAAGGTCTCACTATGTTGCCCAGGCTGGTCTCGATCTCCTGAGCTCAAGTGATCCTCCCATCTCAGCCTCCCAAAGTGCTGGGATTGTAGGCGTGAGTCACTGCACCTGGCCTGGTTTTATTTTTGGAGAGATGGGGTCTTGCTATGTTGCCCAGGCTGGTCTCAAACTCCTGGGCTCGAGTGATCCTCCTGCCTCAGCTTCCCAAAATGTTGGAATTACAGGCTTTAGGCACTGTGCTTGGCCTTGGCCAACTTTCTCTCCGTAGGTGAATAACAATTTTAGATGTGATTCTGTTGCTAAACTTCACAAACATGGGCAAGGAAGCCTAGTCTCAATTGTAGACCACTGGTTAGAAAAGGAAACAGCAGGGCCGGGCGTGGTGGTTCACGCCTGTAATCCCAGCACTTTGGGAGGCTGAGGTGGGTGGATTACTTGAGGTCAGGAGTTTGAGAACCAGCCTGGCCAACATGGTGAAACCCCATCTCTACTAAAAATACAAAAATTAGCTGGGCGTGGTGGCATGCACCGGTAATCCCAGCTACTCGGGAGGCTGAGACAGGAGAATCGCTTGAACCCGGGAGGCGGAGGTTGCAGTGAGCCGAGATCGTGCCACTGCACTCCAGCCTGGGCAACAGAGCGAGACTTTGTCTCCAAAAAAAAAGAGGAAGTAGCAGAGCCGGTTCTTTGAGTGCCAGCTTTCAAATAGATACATTAATCTCAACCTAGTTTTATCAATTATTTATTAATAAGCACTCCCAAAGTGCACAAAAGTTCTTAAGTTCTTTCTAATTCTGATCTTGTTTATACTCTTCTTTGGTAAGGTTTCTTTGGCAAGGTGAAAAATAACCTGACACATAGAGATGGGATTGCTGGATTCTAGTTTTGTTTGTCTGTTACTAGCTTCCTAAAAAGGTCTCAGAAGTCCCTTTGTTTGCTCATCTGTCATATGAGATAAGAGTATTTGCCTTCTCATCCTAAAGGTTACGTAGATTTAAAAAGTTATTCTGGGAGAATTAGAAGCACTTTCAGTTGAAAGACATTATTTTACAGCAGTCCTCTATCATAGATAGGTACTGAAATATCTATTATTGATGCGATTTAAGTATTAATGGCAAGACTTATAGAAAATTATTAAAAAAGTTTGAATAATTTATATAACATGAGGTACTCCAATTAATCAAATGGTATGCCTCTACTTAGATCTTTTCGGACCTGTTTATAGTTTCTACAAGGGCAAATGGAGATAGCATGGTTAAGGATGTCATTCATAGTGTTATTGGAAAGGACAATAGTATATCATTGTTAAATATCATTTAGTCTGGCCTTTTTGTTTGACTGATGAAGCTGAGACCCAGAAAGTGTAAAAGACACATCTGAGGTCCAACAATGTCTGTGGTAGAACTAGAGGCCGCCACCCGGGTTTCTCACTCCCCATCCAAGTTTCTCTACACTTAGAGGGTGCGTTGTCTTACTCTCAGTTTCCCGCTTTAGTCAGAAAAGATCACTGGCTCTGGATTCTCTTCATTCCTTCTTGTTGGCAAGTGGGGTTGGGAGGAGGGAAGTGAGCAAAAGGCAGGCCTTAAAGAAATTGACATGTCTTCTGCAGCTTATGTTTTTTCTTCCACTTTTATCTGGAGTGTTCTGAACTCCAACATGAAGTGACTTGAATGTGAGAAGCGACTCAGTCAGTGATGGCATTCAGGGAAGCTGCTTTTAAAACCACCTAGGTTGGTTCATACATAGCAAGCTGCTGGCACTTCCTTAGCCCCATACCCCCTGATTGGTCCCCACCCCATCCTGCCATCGGCCTGTTTACCATGTTGGCTTTTTGGTGAAGAGACTGCACAGGGCAGAAAAATTATTAAAATCCTTCCTGGCTTTTTTCCTGAACAATCCTGAATGCTACTTCAGCAATTATAGGAGGAAAAATAAAATTATTTTCCCCTTGCTTCCTATATAATTTAGGACCACTAGAAAACTCTGTGATCCCAAGTTATTCTGTTTCTCTCTGATACCAATTTTTCTGATAACAGAAAATTATCCCTGTGTATACTTTAGTAAAGGGTCTGAGGGTGGTTTTTCTAGAGACTGAGAATGACCCAGAGTTGTTTCAGTTTGAATCATTTCTATTGTTCTGCTTCCACATTTCACTGACTCTTTCCTCTGTCATCTCCATTTTGTCCTTAAGCCCATTCAGTGAATTAAAAAAATTCAGATACTGTATTTCTGTTCAAAAATTTCCACTTAAATTTTTTTTTTCAGTTTCTCTTCTGAGATTTACTGTTTTCCCCTTCATTTTGAGCATATTTTCTTTTTTTTTTTTCTTTTTTTGAGACGGAGTCTCGTTCTGTCGCCAGGCTGGAGTGCAGTAGCTGAATCTCGGCTCACTGCAAGCTCTGCCTCCCGGATTCAGGCGATTCTCCTGCCTCAGCCTCTCAAGTAGCTGGGACTACAGGCGCGCGCCACAACACCCGGCTAATTTTTGTATTTTTAGTAGAGACGGGGTTTCACCATGTTGGTCAGAATGGTCCCGATCTCCTGATCTCGTGATCCGCCTGCCTCGGCCACCCAAAGTGCTGAGATTACAGGCATGAGCCACCGTGTCCGGCCTTGAGCATATTTTCTTTTACCTCATTGATCTTAGTTATAATAGCTCTGTTAATATCTTTGTCTGAGAATTTCAGCATCTGGGTTGTCTTGGAGTTGCCCTCTGCTGATTGTCTTTTCCTTTGCAAATTGCAAATGGGTTTAATTTTTCTAGGTGTTTTTTGTTTGTTTGTTTGTTTTTGTTTTGTTTTGTTTTGAGACAGGGTTTCACTCAGTCGCCCAGGCTGGAGTGCAGTGGTGTGGACATGGCTCACTGCAGCCTTGACTACTGGGCTGAAGTGATCCTCCTGCCTCAGCCTCTCAGGTAGCTGGGACCACAGGCATGTATCACCACACCTGGCTAATTTTTTTAAATTTATTTTCATTTTTTGTAGAGACAGTGTCTCACTGTGTTGCCCAGGCTGGTCTCAAAAACACTTTGGGCTCAGATGATCCTCCTGTCTTGGCCTCCCAAAGTGCCAGGATTACAGGCATGAGCCACCGTGTCCAGATGCTTTTTCTAGTTCTTTATGTAATTTGGAATTGTATTCTTCACACTGTGAATGTTGTATTGTGGAGACTTTGGTTTCTGTTGATGTTTTTAATTTAGTAGACAATAACTCAGACTCAAAACTGCAAACTCTGTCACACCTGCAGTGGGTCGCAGTTCAAATTTCAGTTCAGTTCTTTTCTCTTTAACTGAGGTCTTTGGATTCTGCCCTATGCTTGCATGGCTCAGGGTTCAGCCAGAGACTGGGTAGAATTTACACACAGAACCTGAGACTCTCCTTTTCTAGCTCTTTTTTTTCTTACTTCCATGATCTGTGGCTGCTCTGGGCTATTTCTTCAGGACAGAAAGCCTAGGGTTTGTTTTTTGATTGGAACTTCAGCTAGACCAGCCTCAGGCTAGAGATCCAAAAATGAGGAGTTCATTCCATGTCAGCCCTTTCTTCCAACTTTCAACTTATTTTCAAAATCTGCCAGCCCTTGTTCACTTCAGATAGTTTTTGTGTTTTATCCAGAGTATAGTTGTTGTCTGTGGGAGGGTCATACTGAAAGCAGAATTTCTTACTGACATTTTTATCTATTATCAAAGTGTTTGGGGGACAAAAATGTTCACTTGAGCTTGTTTTGTAAGCTTGGGCAAGTCTCCTTTCCTCTCTGGGACCCACTTGCTCCTCTGGGAAAGGAGGTGGTTGGACTCTGTGATCTGTAAGGATCCTTCAGTCTCTGCTTCTAGGCAGACAGACACGTACACACATACTACCACCACTATCACCACCAACAGTAACAGAAACAATAAGTGCCAGAAGAGATGCTTGAGGGAAGTGATGAGGATGGATCTGTCATGGTGGAAAGCTCTCTGAAGCAGCATCACTAAGGAATTTGAGGATGTTTACAGTCATCCTCTTGTTTTGGGGACAGAGGGCAAGTACGCTGAGGAAGCAAGAAGTAAATGGCATTCAGAAGAAAGAAATCAGTTACTGCTTACTTCTACCCCTTAGAAATATGAGAGAACGTAGACAGTTGAAAACAAATCAGGATTAGCTGGAGTTCCTCTTTCCCTTTGGCAGTGCATTCTGTCTTGTTTTGAAGAGAAAAGCCCCTGGGCCTTAGTAACATGTCAGCAAATTTGGCAGTAGGTGGTAGGTGCTGGGACAGTAGATTTTAGCAGGGGCGCTGCTATCACTGTTAGGGCTGCAGAGACCTTAGGGGAGATAGACCAGATTTATGTGACCATTTCTTAGAGTTCAGAATTTTTATGTAGGAGAGGTTTTAGGCTATGCAGAAGAAGATGAGTGTGTGTGTGGGGGGGCGGTGTTTGTGTGTGGGTGTTGTGTGTGTAAGGTGGGTGGGGAGGGGGAAAGAGACAGGTGGTGATGGGGTAGGACGGAAAGTCTGTGGAACTGTCCTAAAACTATTTGAATACCAATCACACTTACTTTAACTTCCATTGATTATTTTTTAAAAGCAGAGGGTGGAGAGCTAAAGCTTCCCCCACATCCACCTAAGCTATCTCTTGGGTGCCGCCTTGGTATAGATCGTTTTTAAAATTATTTTTAAATATAGAGCGTCACTCTGTCATCTAAGCTGGAGTGCAGTAGGACAACTGTGGCTCACAGCAGCCTCAAACTTCTGGGCTCCAGGTGATCCTCCCGTCTCAGTCTCCCAAGTAGCTAGGACTATAGGTGTGCATCACCATGCCCAGCTAATTAAAATTTTTTTTTTTTTGTAGAGATGGGGGCCTTGCTTTGTTGTTGTCCAGGCTGTTCTTGAACTCCTGGGTTCAAGCAATCCTCCTGCCTTGGCCTCCCAAAGTGCTGGGATTATAGGCATGAGCCACTGTGCCTGGCCTAGATCCTTTTTTATACTTATTTTCTAGCTGTTTTTATTATCAGTAACTTTTTTTTTTTTTTTTTTTTTGAGACAGCGTCTCACTGTGTCGCCCAGGCTGGAGTGCAGTGGCGCGATCTGGGCTCACCACAAACTCCGCCTCTTGGTTTGAAGAGGTTCTCTTGCCTCAGCCTCCTGAGTAGCTGGGATTATAGGCACATGTCACCATGCCCAGCTAATTTTTGTATTTTTAGTAGAGATGGGGTTTCACCATATTGGCCAGGGTTGTCTTGAACTCCTGACCTCAGGTGATCTGCCCGCCTTGGCCGCCCAAAGTGCTGGGATTACAGGCGTGAGTCACCGTGCCTGGCCGATACTATCAGTAACTCTTCTCTTTGGGAGGCCAAGGTGTGAAGATTGCTTGAGGTCACGAGTTTCAGACCAGCCTGGGTGACATAGTGTGACCCCATCACTACAAAAAAAAATTCTTTTCAAATTTTATTCTCTTGAGGCTTGAGTTACTACTGTTCCCCTCATCTTTTAAGCTGTTTTTAAAAAACTCTCATTATTTGTCCATTGTAATTCTAGCCGCCTTGCTCTCTGGGAAGATAGAGGCAGGGATGGGTGTGTGTGTGTGTGTGTGTGTGTGTGTGTATGTGTGCGCGTTCATGCATGCGCGCAGGTGCAGGTATGTGTGCATGTGTGCATGTTTTGGTGGAGGTGTGGAAGTTGGATTAAAGGGACCAATAGTCTTGGAAGGCAGTCACAAGGTGGCTTGCAGGGATGTGTAAGGGAGGCAGTTGTGATGAAAGAAGGGAGGATAGTTTGTAAGATCATGTACAAAAGCTTTAGGTTTACCACTAGCTTAGAAGCTACCTTTCCATTTTCCTCAAGAGTAAGATAACACAAGAAGTTTGACCCAGATCTTCCATCTGTAGTAGCTCTTCTCTAATTTTAGGGGTAAGATTCAATGGGATGGTAGGCTTTTCAACTCTCCTGTAGAAGCCTGCTTGTTTCAAAACTGGAGGGTAAGTTTGCAGAAAGAAAAGCTCTATTTTTAGTTTTAATTGATATTGGGTGGTTCAGGGCTCTTTTGAGGACCGAGTCTAGAGGGCAACAAAATGAGAGCCAGCATGGTGAAGGGACTTTCAAAGTCAGACAGACTTGAGTTTAAACTCTGTCATTTAATAACAAGCTGTAAGACCTTGGACAAGTCACTTCTTGAAACTTAAATTCTTTATCTGTAAAGTAGAGGTAACATTATCTTCTTATTGTCTTATATAAAACATAAAGCATAGTGCTCAGGGTTGGTAAATACTCCGCAGATGTTTTTTTCCTATCTTCTAGAACATCTTATTTTTAGTAGAATCCTTGCTTTTCTGCTAAATAATTGTGTGACTCACCCTTTCTAAGTTTTAGTTTCCTTCTGTAAAACAAGGACATTTAACTGAAGGTTGAGTATCCCCTTATCCGAAATCCCTGGGACCAGAAGTGTTTTAGATTTCAGATTTTTAAAAAAAATATTTGCATGTATACAGTGACATGTCTTGGGATAAGACCCAAGTCTAAACATGAAATTCGTTTATGTTTCCTATACACCTTATACATATAGCCTGAAGGTAATTTTATTTTTCCCCAGGGGACATTGAATAAACCTGAGTATTGTGTGCCTGTATTTTGACTGCGACCTATCAGATGAGATCAGGTATGGAATTTTCCACTTGTGGAGTCATGTGGGCACTCAAAACATTTCAGATTTTGGAGCATTTTGAATTTGGGATTTTCAGATCAGGGATGCTCAACCTGTAGCTGATTTCTGAGATGCTTCCTAGCTGTAAGATGTCATGTACATTTTTAGACTGTTGAGGAATGTTCGGGTGTTTTAATTTAAGCAAAGACAGTGGGTTCTACCCTAGGACCATATCATCTTATAGGAAAGGGGAAGTCTCCTACAGCCAAATTCTTTCTTGACTTTCCTGAGAGAGACATAGCCAGCTTAGCCAGGTTCCTTTAGTGTCAGGATCTAGATGCAGATCTTACCTTGGCCCCTTGCTGACAGTGAATTGTATGTGAAAGTCTTTGGGACAGCCCTCTGGGTCACCTCAGTCTTGGTATGATTCATGCATTACCTATCTCTTCCATTCTGTTTATATTCTATCCAGGTCAAGAGACAACTGCCTTTGAAAGAGAGTGAGTGACTGTTTCCAAAACAGCAAGCATAGGGAGAGCCGCCGGAAGTATTGACGGAAAGCTTGAATTACCTACATGGTAAGTATGTTGTACAGTGAAACCTGGGTGTACCAATAGAATTGGGTGGTTTCTGAAGCCACTATAATTTTGCCACTACTGGAAGTGGGGAGGAAAGTCAGTATTTGTGATGGCCTATTATGAACCAAATACTATGCTGAGTACTTAACCAACCAACCTGATGAGGGTGAAAAATCCTTGCATGAAGTTAGCAACCGTAAGAATTAGGCCACCCTTAAGAAGTAGCTACCATTTATTGAATATTTACTCTATGTCGGGCGCAGTCCTGTTGGACATGTTATCGCCCTACCAACCCTGTGAGGTAAGTACTGTTGTCATCACCACAAGGAAACAAGCTTAAAGAGGTTAAATAACTCTTCCAAGTTCACACAAGTAGTAGAACTAGGTTTCAAACCTGCATTATTTTCTTTCCTTTTTTTCTGAGACTGGGTTTCGCTCCCATTGCCCAGGCTGGAGGGCGGTGGCGTGATCATGGCTCACTGCAGCCTTGACTTCCTGGGCTCAGGTGATCCTCCCACCTCAGCCTCCCTAGTAACTGGGACTACAGGTGTGCACCACCATGCCCAGCTAATTTTTTTGTAGAGACTGGGTCTCTGTATTGTCCAGGCTGGTCTCAAACTGCTGGGCTAAAGCAGTCCTCCTGCCTTAGTCTCCCAAAGTGCTGGGATTACAGGCATGAGCCACCACCCTAGTGGGTTATTTTCATTACACTATAATGTTTCCCTTTTAAGAAAGTTACTTTTTGGTTGAGGCTGTGACTGATTTAACCTTGGAAAAGCAAAGCAAAATACAAAACCTTTTGATCAACAATTAGGTTCTTTTCCTAGCCATTTATGGATTTTATGTGCCAATATTTTATTGGTTGGTGTTGGCTAAGGCAGAGGAGAGCACTAATGAAATAGAAGAGATAGAAGTGAGAACTTGAACGGTCAGTGGCCAAGAGACCTGGTGGTCTTGGTTGCTCCTGATAGCTGGATGATAGTTAGAGAAAGCTTCCCTAGGAAAGTAGAGCAATAGGGTAGCTCAGAATGAGTGGGAAATGGGTTCTCGTCATAGCAGTGACTGGGCATAGGAAAGGAATCTTAACAAAGCCTCTTGCTCTCATGTCAACCCCTCTGAGGAAATAGGTGTAGTTAGGGATAATACAGAACTCTTCTCGAAGGAGTGGAAAAATTCAAGGCAAACTCTTGCCCTGTATTTTTTTATTTTTTGCAAGGCGTAGTCTTGCTCTGTTGCCGAGGCTGGAGTGCACTGGTGCGATCTTGGCTCACTGCCTCTGCAAACCTCCTCCTCCTGGGCTCAAGCGATTCTCCTGTCTCAGCCTCCCGAGTAGCTGGGATTACAGGTGTGTGCCACCACGCCTGGGCTAATTTTTGTATTTTTTGTAGAGACAGGGTTTCACCATGTTGGCCAGGCTGGTCTTGAACTCCTGACCTCAGGTGATTTGCCCACCTTGGCCTCCCAGAGTGCTGGGATTATAAGTGTGAGCCACTGCACCCAGCCTACACATACCTATTACACATAAAATATTTTGCTATATACTGGGGCTAATGTTCTGATGACAAAAAATGGCCACTTACTACACGCTTTAGTTATCGGAACTAAGTATACTGCATTAAACAAAATAGAAAAAGTCCTTTCTCTCAAGGATTATATTCTAATGGGTGGAAACAGATAAAAATGAATAATTAGATATAAATAAATAAACAGGTGAGTAGACAAATAACATCCACTAGATAGTACATGCTAAGAAGACAAAAAAGCAGCGTAAGGTGATAGTGGTGGGGAGCTGAGGGATTGCTCCTTTATGTACAGCAATCAAGGAAGGCCTCTGATGAGGTGATATTTTAAGCTAAGATCTAAAAGAAGTGAGGAGTCCAGCTAGGGAGATATCTGGGGGAAAAGCATCCTAGGCAGAGGGAACAGCAGGTATAAAATCTCTGAGGGATGAGTGTAACTGGTCATGTATAAGGACCCATAAGGAGGCCGTGTGGCTGGATTGGAGTAGTAGGGAAGGAGCAGCAGATGAGTGATGGGACCTAGATCATGTAGGGCCTTACAGCCATGTGACACCTTTGGAGTGCATTGTATTCTAAGTGAGGTGCACTAAAGAGCTTAGAGCAGAGGAGTGACTTGATCTGACTGATGTTTTAAAAGGCCTACTCTGGTTGTTGTGGGAGAACAGACTGTGGAGGGTGGGGAAGGATGGACACTGATGGGAGCAGGGAGACAAGTTAGGAAGCTTTTGCAGTAATCAGTAGTCCAGGGCAGGGATGATGGTAGGTTGGACCTGGGTGGTAGTGGTGGCTAACCAGAAAGCAATGGCTTCTAGACATACTTTGAAGGCTCTCAAATTCTAATTCTCCCCATAGACCTGTTTGATTTTTTTTTAATTTAAATTTTTGGTTTTGTTTTTTGAGACAGGGTCTCACTCTGTCACACAGGCTGGAGTATAGTGGTGTGATCTCAGCTCATTGTAGCTTCGACCTCCCAGGCTCAGTTGATCCTCCCACCTTAGCCTCCTGAGAAGCTGGGACTACAGGTGCATGCCACCACTCCCAGCTAAATTTTGTATTTTTTGTAGAGAAAGGGTTTCACCATGTTGCCGAGGCTGGTCTTGAACTCCTGGGCTCAAGCTGTCTGCCTGCCTCAGCCTCCCAAAGTGCGCTAGGATTATAGGCATGAGCCACTGTGCCCATTTGAGAGGTGTTTGATTTATTTGGAGTTAACGTCTGGGTCACAGGGGTTTGAGGATGTCATTGGAAACTTGACAGTGATCTCTGGTAAAATTCTAAAATTGATTGATCAAAGAATGAGAACAGTGATCCCTAGAAGCCAGCTTGTGTTCACTAAGAATAAATCATGCTAGCTGATAACAATTCTTTTTTTTCTTTAAGCCTTGCCATGATTTTATTTAAACGATCGGTACAAGTTCAGTATAAAAATATTAGAGAATAGACATAAGCAAAAACAGAAAAAAAGCACATTATCCAGAGATAATTACCATATAGCAGTTTGATATATATATCAGAGCATTTCATTTTTGGAAAGATTCCTAGGTCGCTGGAGGATTGGAATGTGCTACAAAGGTAATGTGTCTTAAGTGCTAACATTAGGTATTTAATGTTTTCTCATGTGATCCCAAGACAAAAAAAAAAATTTTACCTGGCTTTGGAGCTTCTTGAATAGTTGCACTCAGGAATTGTAATAGATCAGTGTTAATCTATAGGAGGTGTTTTTAATGATTTTGGTTATATTTTGTTTTTGAACATCAATTTGGATGAAGATATAGAAAAGACATGCCTATGAGACTTAAATAGCGAATGTTTGCAGGCTAGACAGTGTAGAGAATATTTAGTCAAGGGATTGAAACTAAGAAGTTGAAATCCAAAAATAATAAATAATAATTTAAGCTGAAACTTACATGACACTTACTATAGACCAGGTACTAGTCTAAGCAATTCTTGCATTAACTTATTTACACATACCATAACCTTATAGGTATTGAAGCATAGAGAATTCAAATGACTTATCCAAGGTCACACAGCTAGTAGCTAATAAAGTCAGGGTTTGAACTTAGGCTGCCTGGCTTCAGAGTTCGTAAACTTTAATCATTGTATCACGTTGCCTGCAAAAGAATTAAGCCCCATATTTCAATTATTAAAAATGAGATTTAACAGTTTATTTGGAAACAAAGCCAGTATGAACCTACAAATTGGTACTGTGGCTATCAGATTCGTTCATGCAATCTTGGACTTCATTATTAGAACTGGGCAGACCAGGTCATCTTTCATCCATCCCACCCTTTTACCCCATTGCTACTGTCCTGGTTCAGGCCCTTATCCCATCTCTTGCCTTGACTATTACAATAGCACCCTAGTTTATCCTGCTAGAATGGCCTTTCAAAAACTGCAGTTCTGATTGTGTTACTCTCTTACTTAATCCCTTTGTCCAATACAGGTTGCAAATTTGCTTCCCATATCCACTTGCAGGCATGTATGTTTTGGAGGGACTATACAGTGGTATTCTTTTTATTTCCTCTTTTTTGAAATCTGAATTCATTGGCTACATTTAAGAGATTATATATAAAAGTAGGGCATAGCCCCTCTTAGCCATAGTCCTTCTAGGCCCTTTAACTCATTTAAATCATTGGCCTGATCTCTTTGGCACCTGCATTTCAGCCTCTGGCATAAAGGCTAAGCATCTTTCCTAGAATGTAGTGCCTAGATCTGAAAATAGTCCCCTTTATGTAAATTTGGCCAGTACAGAATACAATAAAACTATTACATTAATTTATTTACAAAACATTTATAAGGTTCCTACCTTGCCCCTGTCACTGTATTCAGTGCCCAGGACTGAAAAATGAAGATAACACAGTCCCTGCTCTCAGAGCCCAGCAGAGGATGACAGATATTTTAAGTATCATGGATATAGTGATAGAAGCATCTACAGAATTTAGGATGGTGCATTTCTCTTGCGGGGAAGGATGGTTTGAAAAGGCCTCAGAGAACAGATGCATTAAAAGATGTTTACCATTGGGCCAGGCGTGGTGGCTCACACCTGTAATCCCAGCACTTTGGGAGGCCGAGGCTTGTGGATCACTTGAGGTCAGGAGTTCAAGACCAGTGTTGGCAACATAGTGAAACCTGTCTCTACTAAAAATAGAAAAATTAGCTGGGCGTGGTGGCGCACACCTGTAATCCCAGCTACTCGGGAGGCTGAGGCAGTTCTCGAGAATCCCTTGAACCCAGCAAACGAAGGTTGCAGTGAGCTGAGATCGTGCCTCTTCACTCCAACCTGGACGATGGAACGAGATTCCGTCTCAAAAAAAAAAAAAGAAAAAGAAAAAAAGATGTTTACCATCGGAATGGCTGTGGGTTGTGGGGGCTTGGAAGGAAAGGAGATAAGGGAATGTTCCTCAAACAGTACACCCTCAGCCTCTGAACTTACTGTGACATTTCAGGGGCCTCAAACCTACCACAGAGACCTTACCAGTTAATTGCTCTTCCCCTTGTGTCTCTGGTGTCAGCCATGCTGAATTAAATTCCCCGAATACAGCATTGTTTTGTTAGCTTGTTCACTCCCTCCCTCCTTCCCCCCCTCCCTCCCTCCTTCCCCCCTCCCTCCCTCTCTCCCTCTCTCCCTCCCTCCCTCCCTCCCTCCCTCCCTCCCTCCCTCCCTCTCTCCCTCTCTTCCTCCCTCCCTCCTTCCCAATAAACAACTATATTATACTCTTTATGTACTAGGCACTGTTCAAGGGGCGGGGAATACAGCAATAAAAAAATTACAAACACAAAAAACTACACTTCTGACCTCATGCATCCTACTTTCTGGTAAGAAGAATCAATGTAAATAAATTTACAAGTAATCAGGTGGTTAAATGTGCCAAGAAGAAAAATAAGTAGGGTATCTTACCTTAGAGCTGTCCAAAGATGGAGTGAGTTGTCTTGGGAGGAAGTGACTGTCATTCTTGTCATTAGAAGTGTTTGAACGGAAGCTGAGTAACTACTTGCTAGATAACGTCCGCATTGAGTGGGAGGTTGGACTAGATGATCTCTAAATCCTTTCCAACATGAAGAATCTCTGTATGCTAGCTGGGTCCCTCACTCTTGAGTTTGCGTATCCAAAATACATGAATTTGTGATTCTGGGAAAAATAATGTAAGCCCTGTAATTAGATAGAAATGTGCAAGAGTTGATGGTGAGGCTTAGACAGCCTAAGATTTTAAAACAGGTAACTACAAGTGGTCAGGAGGAAGCTGCTTGAAAATAGCTCTTGGCCAGGGGCGGTGGCTCGCGTCTGTAATCCCAGTACTTTAGAAGGCTCGAAGGGCGAAGTGGGAGGATGGCTTGAGTCCAGGAGTTTGGGACCAGCCTGGTCAGCATAGAGACCCCTTCTCTACAAAAAAAAAAAATGAGAAAAATTAGCCAGGCATGGTGGCATGTGTCTGAGTCCCAGCTGCTTGGGAGACTTAAGGTGGGAGGATTGCTTGAGGCTAGAAGGTAGAAGCTGCAGTGAGCTGTGATTGCTCCACTGCATGACAGCCTGGTAGACCCTGTCTCAATAAAAAAAGAAATGAAATCAAATGAAATGAAATGAAAAATGAAATGAAATGAAATATAAAATAAAATAAAAGCTCCTATTATCCTTTAGATCAGAGATTGGCAAATTCTGGCAGACAGGCCCACTGTCTTTTGCTTTTTAAATTTTTAATGGTTTATTTAAGTAGAGACAGGGTCTTGCAGTATTGCCAAGACTGGCCTTGAACTCCTGGCCTCAAGCAATCCTCCCCGCTCATCTTACCAAAGTGCTGGGATTACAGGCATGAGCTACCATGCCCTGCCCACTGCCTGTTTTTTTAAATCAAGTTTAATTGAAACATAGTTATGTTCATTCACTTCTGTACAGTATATATGTGGTTGCTTCATCACTACATTGTCAGAGTTCAGTAGCTGGAATAGAAACCTTAGATCCTATAAAGCCTAAAATATTTACTCTCAAACTAAGTTTGCATACTTATGTGTATACTATCAAACTTTTTAAAAAAAAGTTTGCCGACCCCTCTTTAAATGACTATTGGGAACAGGAAGTGAATCATGGCAGCTGTGTTGGGAGAAGGGGCAGGGCAGGCCTGATTATGTTCTATTTCAGACCTTCCTGATCTGCCAGGACAGGAAGAAGAGCCACCCTCCAAAATGCTGGATGGGGCCACTTGGAACTGGGTTCAGGAACTTTGATAGAAAGAGCCCTGAATGAGAGACAGTTGGCACTGTATGTTGCTAGCGTGAATTAGAACTGAGCCAGGTACTAATGTAGGGGTGGCATGAAAAGTGAGACTGTCCTTCCCTTTGTAAAAACCTTCTTATGGTTTCCCAAGGTTTAATATAAACAGTTTCCTTCCCAGACCCCACCCTTAGGCACATTTAATCACTTCTTCTGAGCTTCCGGTTATATGTATGATGATACAATATGCTAAGGAAAAAAAAAAGCAGGATAGAAGACAGGATGCAAAAGGGTGGGTGCTATCTTATGTAAGATGGTCAGGGAAGGCTTCTTTATCATAGTTTTATGATTGGTTATATCTGTATGATTCCTTAAAGGCAAGGGTAAGATTTTCTACTTATCTTGGCAAAATGCTGGGTGCATCATAGGTGTTCTATAAATGTCTGCTAAATAAATGAATTTTGCCTGGATAAACATACTTAACACAGAGTAAGGGAGGCAGTAGAAAGAGAGGTGTCTACTTTGCTTTTGGATGATCCAGGAGGTAGCAAAGCATTTCTTATCCTGGCTACTTAGGGCCAAAAGGTCAGAGATAAGTGACCTCCTAACCCCATTTTCAGTCTAGTTCCTTGTTTACTCTGGGGAGAAGGGATGATCTTAGTGAATCACTATTTTTAGGAGGATTTTCCCTGATGAAACTTACTTTAGGTATGCATAGGACTTTTCAAAGTGCTTTTGCTAACTTTATTGCATAGTGTTGCTGTAAGGTAGTTGATATTCTTTTATTTTTTCAGAGGAACTAAAGCATAGAGAAAATCAGTGACTTGGCCAAACAGTATGGTATTCTTAAAAGAATATAAACTTTGGAATTGGACCTAGATTCACTCTGACTGTCCTTGCTAGCTGCGTACTTTGGGAAAATTTGAGAGTCCTTGCCCCATAAGGTTATTGTGAAAGCTGAATAGAATAATAGTAGTAGCTTACTGTTTGTTGTGACTTATGTGCAAGGTATTCTGCTAAGCATTTTACATGTCCAGGGATTACCATATTGTTTTTGTGTGGACATTGAGGGAAAACCTCCGTGGAGTAACGTAGGAACATGTAAAGTAAATGATCTGAGATTCCTGATACCTGCAGAAATCATGTATATAAGGTACTTAGTATTGCCTGTAGTATAGTACTGCCCTATTTGTGGTTGTACTTATTTGTTCCTTTATACTCTTTTGTCATTGTTAGTTTGTTTATAGAGTAGTGCTTAGAACTCCTCATTTTGTAAAAATGCTTAAGAGTTTATAAGGAGGTGATTTTGCATAATGGGAAGAATCCTGAACATAGAGTCAGGAGACTGAAGTCCTTGACTTTTGCTAAACTGCTGGAAAAAGCACAGTATTTACTTCTGAGTCCGTTTCCTTGTTTCTAAAATAAGGGGTTTGAATGAAGTAAGTGATTTTATTTTAAATAAAAGCTATGTAGAATTCTTTAATAAAGTCATATAGGAGAAGCCCAATATTGTAAGAAGCTAAAAATCAGTTGCTTTGGTTGAGTAAGTGAAAGGAGCCTGGAGTTCAGCCTGCTCAAAATATCTCCCCTGTTGTCTTTCCCCTAAATGACCCCAAGGGGATTTGCTGAGTCTAGTTTGAAAACCAGTTGACTAAATGATCTTTAGCTACCTTCTGGCTCTGAAATCTCATTCTGAGGAGTGGAGGAAGATCCAGAAATGTTTTCTACTACTTCTCCAACATTTGGTCCGATAACTAGAGCTGAACATCCTGTGAGTGTTGTGGTTTTTTGATGTCTATGTCCTGTTTGTGTGGCATAGACCTGCAAGAAAGGGCTTCCCAGCAGGTCAGGGGGAGAGAATTGTGGTTGAGACATTGTGCAAGTGGCACAGGGCTAGGGATGAGATCATTCAGAGCATTACCACAGGGCCTGAGATTCTGTGCTGTCTGTTCACTCTTGCCATCTGTTTTCTCCTTTGTAATCCATGATTAGGTCATGGACATTCTTATTATTTTCTGTTAATGGTCATTGCCAAAGGGCCGACAAGCTATTTGATAATTAGGAGGCTCACTCATCAGTCAAATTCATCGAATTTTCAGCATTCCCTGTGTGCTAGGCTCCCTGCTGGGTACTGAGAATATAGTGGTGACACAAGTTGGAGAGAAGAATTGAGTAAATAAAGCTGCAATAGAGTGTGATAGGTTCTGTGATGGGAAATATGTAGCAGACTGTGAAAGCAAAAAAGAGAGGCCCAGATCTGGCCTGGGGTTTGAAGAAGGCACTCCAGAATTTTCCAGAAGGATGTATTGTCTAAAGTGGGATCTGAAGAAATGAGAAGGAATCAAACTAGTGAGGGACCAGAGGGAAGAGGGAGGGCGAGGATGTAGATGAAGAGGCTGGCGGGGCCACATCATGAAGGGCTTTGGGTGCCATCATGGGGAATTTGGACTTTATCCTAATAGTAGCCAGGACCTTTAGAGAGTTTTAAGCAGTGGTGTGTAATACCTGCTTTCTCTGTATGTTTCCAGTAAGTATTTGCTACATATTTACTGGGTTTAGCTTTTTCATTGCCTGTACTAGTTGATTCATATCATCCAGAGTCTTGATAAAACATATAAAATTGGCACTAAAAGCCAAATAAATAAAACGGTGGTATAATTCCCAGACTCTCTGAATTCAGAATTATGATAATTTATAGATGGGGCTATACTAAGGTTTAACGTTTCCTTCTTTTGAAAAAGAGATTGTGAAAACTATAGTATAAGCTAGTACAAATAAGATGTGCTGAGAGAATGCTACAGTTTGAGGATAAGCTGGGTTTTCTTTAACAGCTTTATTGAGATATGCTTTATTTATCATGAAGTTTATCTCTTTAAAATACACAATTTAATGGTTTAAGCATATTTATGAGGATATGCTGTTTTAAAGCACTTTATAGATGAATCATATATCATTTGTCTTCCAATGACTACGATGGCAACACAGACCCTTTGTATCATACACTCATTTAAAATTGGTGTGTGGTCTAAACTTAATTAAGTCCTCCCAAACCAACCCTGTGTATACATTGACAAGATTTTAATTGTACCACTGGGCAGAAGGCCAAATGCAAGAGTTTTTAAAAGGGAAAAGCTT